>NC_000006.12:142570790-143820790 GCF_000001405.40 Homo sapiens | reverse complement strand
GGAAATGAGGAGTTGGGGATTCCACAAAGGGTCTCTGCTGGGGCATTGCCTAGTGGAACTGTGAAAAGGAAGTCACTGTCCTCCAGACCCCAGAATGGTAGATCCACTGGCAGCTTGCACCCTGTGCCTGGAAAAGCCACAGACATTCAACGCCAGCCTGTGAGATCAGCCTGGGGGCTGCACCTTGCAAATCCACAGGGGTAGAGCTGCCCACTTACACCAGAGTACCCAGGACATGGGACATGGAGTCAGAGGAGATTATTTTGGAGCTTTATGATTTAACAACTGCCTTGTTGGGTTTTGAACTTGCATGGGGCCTGTAGCCACCTTCTTTTGTCTGATTTCTCCCTTTGGGAACGGGAATGTTTACCCAGTATAGATCTCCACCATATCTTGGAAATAACTTACTTGTTTTTTATTTTACAGGATCATAGGTGGAAAGGATTTGCCTTTTTTCAGATGAGATTTTGAACTTTTGAGTTAATGCTGGAATGAATTAAGACTTTGGGGGACTTTTGGGAAAGCATTTTGAAATGTGAGAAGGACATGAGATTTGGGAGCAGCCAGGGTCAAAATGATACAGTTTGGATATTTGTCCCTGCCAAATCTCATGTTGGAATATAATCCCCAATGCTGGAGGTGGGGCTGGGAGGTGTTTGGGTCCTGGGGGTGGATCCCTATGGCTTGGTACTGTCTTTGTGATGGTGAGTGACTTCTCACGAGGTCTGGTTTAAAAGTGTGGGGCACTTCTCCTCCACTCTTTCTCCCATTCTTGCCATGTGATGTGCCTGCTCCCCCTTCGCTTTCTGCCGTGATTGGAGGCTTTCTGAGGCCTCCCCAGAAGCAGATGCTGCTATGCTTCCTGTACAGCCTGCAGAACTGTGAGCCAATTAAACCTGTTTTCTTATAAATTACCTAGTCTCAGGTATTTCTTTATAGCAGTCAAGAATGGCCTAATACAGTCTGTGAGGGTGTTTTCAGGGACTGGCTTGTGAGTCTGAGTGGACTAGGTAGGGAAGATCTTCCCTCAGTGTCGGTGGCCACAGCCAATCTGCCAGAGAGCCAGAGAGGACAAAAACAGAGAAAAGGAGACTATGTCAATCTATCTACTGGAGCTGGGATACATGCTCTTCCTCTCTTGTCCTTGAACAACAACTCCAGGCTCCCCACCCTTTGTACTCCAGAACTTACACCAGTACTCCCCACTGCCTCGAGCTCTCAGGCCTCCAGCCTTGGACTGAGCCAGGCTACCAGCATCTCAGGGTCTCCAGGTTGCCGACAGCCTGTTCTGGGACTTCTCAGCATCCATTATCATGTGAGCCAATTGCCCTAATAAATCCCCTCTCATATATCTATATACATATATCTTATTGGTTTTGTTTCTCTGGAGAACTCAGACAGATACAGACCCCTTTCTTGGCCATCGGATCTATACCCACCCCTGTCCTATTACCTTTTCTTCACAGTCCTTAGCACTATCTGAAATGCTCATGTGTATTTATTGTTGACTTGGTAATAGTTTGCTTCTCTACTGGAACATAACCACCTGAGGACCTTATGAGACAGGTCCTAAACTCTCAGGGTCCAGAACACAATCTGGCTCACTAGGGATGTGCTCAATAACTATTTGTTGAATGCATAAGTCACTGAACACATATACACAGGGGTATCTAGGAAGTTATTTGTTAGCTCTATAAATAATTCTATATGACTGAGGAGTCCAATCAGAAGCCCCTAAACTTAATTACAAGTAAATGTATACTAATATACAATAACCCACCTGACAGGACATTCCAAAATGTTTTCTAGGAAGAGTCAACCACAACCTGAAGCAAAATATGGAAGTTCTATAAAAATATTTCAAAGAGTAACTGAAAACCTCTTAAATCAAATATTTTATATACAATGTGAAAGGCAAATTGATATGGTTTGGCTGTGTTCCCTCCGAAACCTCACCTTGAATTGTAATCTCATAATCCCCACATGTTGTGGGAGGGACCTGGTGGGAGGTAATTGAATCAGGCGAGTGGTTTCCCCCATGCTGTTCTCGTGACAGTGAGTACTCACGAGATCTGATTGGGCTTCTCCCTGCACTCGGCACTCATTCTCTCTCCTGCTGCCCTGTGAAGAGGTGCCTTCTGCCAGGATTGCAGGTTTCCTGAGACCTCCCCAGCCACATGGAACTGTGAGTCAATTAAATCTCTTTCCTTTATAAATTACCCAGTCTCGGGTATGTCCTTATAACAGCATGAGAATGGACTAATACACAGATAATAATAACAATCCTAATATAATACTTACCAGAGCTTACAAGTCCAAGTGCTATGCATCTATTTCCTCATTTAATCCCCAAAACAATCTTACGATGAAAGTACTCCTATATCATCTTTGTACAGATGTGGAAACTGAGGCATGGGGATGCTAACTCATTTGCCCAAGGCAGAGAGAGACAGCTGGTAAGTGGACGCGCTATGCTCCAGACTGTCTTCCTAACCTACATTTCAGTATGAGATCAAAACATGTCTTCATCTGTACTTCTATTTGAAGGGGTGATTTTCTGGTGTTCTCTGGGTAGCATGGAATAGAAAAGGTGATCATCTGAATTTCTACCTCTGTCCATTTTAATCAAATTTTATTTAAATTTTTTATTGATTATTTTATTATATTTTTAATTGACACATAATTGTTCATATTTATGGGGTACAGAGTGATATTTTGATGGCATAAAATGTGTAATGATCAAACTAGCAAATCAATCATCCTACACATTTATCATTTCTTTGTGTCAGGAACATTCAAAATTCTCTCTTCTAGCTTTTTGAACATATGCAATAAATTATTAACTATAGTCCCCCTACAGTGCTATAGAACACTAGAACTTATTCCACCCATCTAGCTGTATCTGTTAACCAACTGCACCCTATCTCCTTTCCCCTACCCTCTTTATCTTCTAATAACCACTAGTCTACTCTCTACTTCAATGAGATCAACTTTTTAGCTTCTATGTGTAAGTGAGAATGTGTGGTGTTTATCTTTCTGTGCCTGCCTTATTTCACATAACATAATATCCTCCAGGTTCATCCATGCTGGTGTAAATGACAGAATTTCATTCTTTCTTGTGGCTGAGTAGTATTCCATTGTGTATGTATACCACAATTTCATTATCCATTCAAGTTCTGATCAATTTTGACCAGAGAAAAATCCTGTTCCACCCTCTCAGGTCACACTTTGATTGCTACAGTCTATTCTTAAACTTTTCACAATGACTTGAAGAGCCCATCCAGTGATACCCCAAACTAGCAGCAGCATCTCCCTCTGAGCAGGGCACACCAGCATTGTCCATACTCCAGAAAGGGAGCAGCAACCCAGGGAGCCCTGACAACACAGTGCATTGTACCTCCAGGACCCTCACACCATGAGCTACCAAAGGCCTATCTTTCTAAGGTTCAGCTTTTCTAAAAATTAGTTAAAAGCTCATCTAACTTAGCAATTATTTAGCCCTCGCCAAATCTGCTGGGCTTTGCGTACCAAACATTCCACAGTGTCCTAATCTTCAGATGTTCATCTAATCTTGAATTCAAGGGGCAAGGATAAGGAAACCTGATGTTTTCTCTCTCCATTGGTAATGTCTGTGGGATGAAGAAGGTAAATGAAATTTTGGGTTGGATAACAAAGGGAGTAGTCAATGGACCAGAAGAGATAATCTTCTTTTTTGGGGGGTGGGGGGGACACCGTCTCACTCTGTCACACAGTCTGGAGTGCAGTGGCATGATCTCGGCTCACTGCAAACCCTGCCTCCTGGATTCAAGAGATTCTCCTGCCTCAGCCTCCCAAGTAGCTGGGAATACAGGCACTCGCCACCACACTTGGCTAATTTTTGTATTTTTTGTAGAGACAGCATTGTGCCATGTTGACCAGGCTGGTCTTGAACTCCTGGCCTCAAGCGATCCTCCCGCCTCAGCCTCCCAAAGTGCTGGGATTACAGGCATGAGCCACCGCACCCAGCCAGAAGAGATAATCTTTGAAAGCCCAATATTATCCTGGAAAGTATTCTGTATTTAATTTTCAAAAATAACTGAGGACAGTGTAAGATTTTTTTTTTTTTCCTGCACACACCATTTGCCCATGGATCGCAGTACACAGTGAGTTCCACAGTCTAGATTGCATTGGAAGGTCACAGGCCACCAACACAGCTTCAAGGGCTGGCTAGGAAAAGAAGGTGACCAATTGATACCGTGCGTGCAATAATATGCTCACAAAGCCAGAGGTCAGAACTATGACCCCTCTTTAGATAGATTGCCCAGATTCGGTAAAAAGTAACAACCAGAAGGAAAACAAAAGCCATATATTTTCCTGCTCTATCCAATCTGAAAATGACACTTTTATCCTGTTTAAATTACTCAGCTTATCTTCAAATTCAGCTCTAAAACGCTGTGGTTAGAGGTACTGAAAATGCAAAATACTCTTCAGTTTGTTATTTCTCGGTATTTTGCTATTTCTCGGTAGTTTGCATTCATTTTAAGGTAGGAGAAGTTCAGCTTTACGTCTTGAGAAGTTTGTCTATGTGACAGCATGACAGTTTTGGCTTTAGGCTTCAAGTTGGTGGAGGAATAAATAGATTTACTGTGCCCTAAGGATACTGAAGCCTTTTGTCCACCCTCTTTTCAGAACTTTCCTGAGACTCCAATCTAAAGTCATACATATTTTCTTCTTTCTTTTAAAACTGCAATACATTTTTTCTTATTTTCATACTGTTGAGAGGGAGGGAATGGGGGAAAAGCTATTTTTAAGTTATGGAATTCAGATAAAGATAATGATTTCAATAAAGGCGGTTCCTTTATAATTTAATTTTAAAAAATTATTCATCTTCCTATAAATTCTTTTTTTTTTTTTTTTCTTGAGACAGAGTCTTGCTCTTTTGCCTAGGCTAGTGTGCAGTGGTGCAATCTTGATTCACTGCAGCCTCCACCTCCCGGGTTCAAGTGATTCTCCTGCCTTAGCCTCCAGAGTAGCTGGGAATACAGGCATGCACCACCATGCCCGGCTAATTTTTGTATTTTTAGTAGAGACAGGGTTCACCATGTTGGCAAGGCTGGTCTTGAACCCCTGACCTCAGGTGATCCACCTACCTCGGCCTCCCAAAGTGCTGGGATTACAGGCATGAGCCACTGCGCCCAGCCCTTCCTGTAAATTTATTCACATAACATAAAATATATAATTACTCACAAAGGTAAAATATTACTTTCTTGTACTTCCCTACTTGATAGATATAAAACTCCTAAATAATTCATTCCCCTTTTCTTTAAAAGAGTTTCATTGTCACGCCACCTATACTTATTATTTTTAAATTTTATTTATTTATTTATTTATTTTAAAGAGACAGGGTTTGGCTTTGTCATACGGCTGGAGTGCAGTGGCCGGATCATAGCTCACTGCTGCCTGGAACTCTGGGGCTCAGGGGATCCTCCTGTACATATACTTATGTTAAACAAAGGAAGAGGCTCTCTTAAATTACAGCTCCTTGTTCTACCTGAGAGGCTAGACCACACACTGGCTGGGCTCTTATCATTCCCAATACTGAGCCTTGCTTTCAACTCTGGTAGTAGTTAAAGCAGCATTTTGCAACTCTTTTAATTTCTGTCCAGGTAGCAAGTAAATGGAGTATCCATGAAAGGCAGTGCCACTACAAAAGCAGCCTTTCCATTCCTCGGTGGAGGACCCCTTATTAATTTTCATTGCAGTTTCAAGTATAGTTCCTGTGATGTCATATTTTGATAAGCATATCTAGAAGCTGAAAAGAGTGGTTTACTTTAACCGTAAACCCACATAGGATAGTAACACCTCAAGAAAGTATAGAATGAGATCATTGCTTTAAAAAATACTTATATGGGCCGGCGGCGGTGGCTCACGCCTGTAATCCCAGCACTTTGGGAGGCCGAGGCGGGCGGATCACGAGGTCAGCAGATTGGGACCATCCTGGCTAACACGGTGAAACCCCGTCTCTACTAAAAATACAAAAAATTAGCCAGGCGTAGTGGTGGGCGCCTGTAGTCCCAGCTATTTGGGAGGCTGAGGCAGGAGAATGGCGTGAACCGAGGAGGCGGAGCTTGCAGTGAGCAGAGATGGCGCCACTGCACTCCAGCCTGGGCGACAGAGCGAGACTCCGTCTTAAAAAAAAAAAAAAAAAAAAAAAAAGTGTGTATGTCTATGTGTCCATACGTATATACAGTTGACCTCTGAATAACATGGGTTTGAACTGCATGAGTCCACTTATAATTGGACGTTCTTTCACCTCTGCCACCCCTGAAACAGCAAGACCAACCCCCTCCTTCTCCTCAGCCTATTCAACATGAAGACGATGAGGATGAAGACCTTTATGATTATCCAATTCCACCTAATGAATAGTAAATATGTTTTCTCTTCCTTATGATTTATTATTATTACTATTTTCGAGACAGATTCTCACTCTGTTGCCCAGGCGATCTCAGCTTACTTCAACCTCCACCTTCCAGGTTCAAGCAATTCTTGTGCCTCAGCCTACCAAGTAGCTGGGATTACAGATGTGTACCACCACACCCAGCTAATTTTTGTATTGTTAGTAGAGACAGGGATTCTCCATGTTGGCCAAGCTCGTCTCGAACTCCTGACCTCATGTGATCCTCTGGCCACGGCCCCCCAAAGTACTGGGATTACAGGCATGAGCCACTGTGCCTGGCCTCCTTATGATTTTTAAAGTAACATTTTCTTTCCTGTAGCCTACTTTACTGGTAAGAACATAGTACATAACACATGTAACATACAAAATATGTGTTGATTGACTATGTTATCAGTAAGGATTCCAGTCACCAGTAGGTTTTAGTAGTTACGTTTTGGGAGAATCAAAAGTTATACGTGTATTTTTGACTGTGAGTGGGGATCAGTGCCCCTAACACCCAGGTTGTTCAAGGGTCACTGTATGTGAATATCTCAGTCTCAACATGAGAAAACTTCTCAACATTAAGAAACTTCTCAACATGAAGAAAAACTTCTTACCATTAAGAAAATTTGAAAAGTAGATAAAAGAAAAAAAGATTACTATAACCCCACTCTATAATAAAGCACTAAGAATTTTTGAAGTTATTTCCTAATCTTTATTTCCAGGCATCTGAATTTTTTTTTTTTTTTTTTTTTTTTGAGGCGGAGTCTCGCTCTGTTGCCCAGGCTGGAGTGCAGTGGCGCGATCTCGGCTCACTGCAAGCTCCGCCTCCCGGGTTCACGGCATTCTCCCGCCTCAGCCTCTGGAGTAGCTGGCACTACAGGCGCCCACCACCACGCCAGCTAATTTTTTGTATTTTTAGTAGAGATGGGGTTTCACCGTGTTAGCCAGGATGATCTCAATCTCCTGACCTCGTGATCCACCGACCTCAGCCTCCCAAAGTGCTGGGATTACAGGCGTGAGCCACCGCACCCGGCTGCATCTGAATTTTAAATAAAATATACTGCTGCTACAGTTAGTCAATATCCTGACTTTCCCACTTGACATTATGCCAATGATCTCTTGCGGCTCATTTTAACTCTAAGAGCCTCAATTCAATGATTCTATGAGTCTTCAGTAAGACTCCTTAATATAAGAAGTAAATAATTTACAAGCTGATACAAATATGAAACTACTTTGTATACTCCAAAAATGTCATCATTTACAAAATGAGAAGTTTATTTTTAAAAAGCGATATTCTCTCTTGATAACAAATCTGATACATGTTAACACTTTCTCTGTTGGGAAAACAGAGAATAAATATCCAAAGGAAAATTAAAATTACTCAAAATCTTACTGCTCAGCTGTAACTACTTTACAGTTTAGAACTTAAGTAAAATTTGACCTTTCATGCAATTTATCTTTAGAATTTAGAGAGTTATTTTATATTGTAGAAATTCCATTTACTATGGAAAAGGAAGTGGCTTTTGTTTGCCATGTTGGTCTCCTTCGAGAATGCAATGATACTATCTAATGATCTATCACCCTCAAATGGACTTTTTGGTTTTGAACAGTGGGCTGAGTGGGCACTGTTGAGGGGTAGAAAATGCAGAATGTGGCCAGACAAGCAGCAAGGTCTAAGCAACTGAGGTTAGGGCTTGGTACCTATAGGGCCACGGGATGACTTCTTGTGGGGACCATTTGTCCCTACCTTTCTTGCCCTAGCATCCATTCCAATTCCAGGGCACCATCTGGAAAATACTGGGAGAAACTGGGAGAATTAGATGAAAGAGTAGAGCACCACAGTTCTTCATCACTACAGACCAAATATGTCATGGAATGTATTCCATGACAGAAGTATCAGAGGTACCCCCTCAGTGCACAAGACGTGGAAGTGTCACAATTAATATTAGTGCCAACACATTAGTCAAGAAAAGCCACCACGACGTAATCTTCATTTACAGAAACAAGGACTTAGAGAATGGATTCTTTATTTTTTCTTTTAAATGTTTGTTTTTGACTAGGTAATACATTCATAATGTTTCAAAAATTCAAAAGGTTCAAAAGGGTGAGTTGTGAGAAGTCTCCCTCCCATGCCTGCCCTTGGCCACCAGCTTGTGTCTCTCTCCGGAGATAGAGAAGCAAAGGAAGCTATATACAGAAGTGGGTCCTTCCATTGTACACCAGTACATCACTGGGTTGGAAATGGCCTCTAGATAAAGAGGTGCCCGAGAAGAGGAGTCAGCCCATTTATTAACCACCCCAAATCTGCAAGGAGTTCACAGATTGAGGTTTTGAAGGGAAGCCTTACTTGGTATAAGGAGACAATGTCTCATGCTAATAAGAGGAAAGGAGAGCTGCTGTGTATCTAGGTTGCATTGAAAGGGCAAGGTAATGATTCATAAGGTGTTTATTTTCCCCAAGAGAGGCTGGTACTAAGAGTACCACCACCTTTTTTATGAACAATTTGCTAAATGTAAAACTGGATCATGTTTTTGTATTATTTTTATTAGAAAGAGTAGTGATTACCAGAACTTTTTCCCCTTAAAAGAATTACTGAAAACAGCTTGAAAATCATAAGCATTATTTTTATGTCTTGGAGACAAACTATATCCCTACTGGAATATATCTCGAATGATGTCATAAGTTAATGGAAAAATAGCAGTAACATTTGCTTTACTGCCAAGGTTTAAGAATACTTAAGCAAGGCATATTTATTTTGGTGATATGAATATTTAATTTTTCCTTATCTGGAAAGGTATTAAAGAGTGTTAATCAATTTATGTTTTGGAGAACTTTTAAAATTTACCCTTGATATTAGCTGTTACTCTCCCTGAAAGCTTATATATTTGCATCTGTTTATATTTACATAAGCAATAAAAATATCAATAGACTTTTATGAAATACAAGAAGCATATACTAAATTTCTCTAGATGAGTAAATAAAAAAAATAGCCAATAGAATTTTGAGGGTGAAAAAATGCCCCATCAAATATAAAAGTACACTACAAATCTATCCAAATTAAACAGTAGGATATAGACATGGATAGACAAACAGCTCATTAGAACATAATAAGCAATCCAGAAATTGACCGATGTGTATATTAAAAGAGAATTTCACATCCACAGGGAAAAAAGTGGCATTGAGAGAATCAACTACTGATTTAGAAAAAAGTAAAGTTAGTTTACTTTCTGAATCATACACACAAATAAATGCACCTCTCCAAAGCATAGATAACAGGTAAAAATAATAGTTTTATACTCTTGGCCTCCGTCCATAAGACACAAAACAATGAAGTAAAACATAACAATACAGATAGATTTGAATATACAAAAATTTAAACAAAATACCATTAAAAAGTTTAAAAGTTAACAATAAATTGGAAAAAATATTGCAACATAGGCAATAAAGGGCTGATATCCATGATATCTAAGAAGATGTTACCAATCCATATAAAAGACAAACAACTACCCAAAAAATTGATCACATAATTTTTTTTTTTTTTGAGACAGGGTCTCACTTTGTCACCCAGGCTGGAGTGCAGTGGTGTAGCCATGCCTCACTGCAGCCTCCATTTCCTGGGCTCAGGCGATTCTCTCACCTCAGCCACCCAAGTAGCTGAGACTACATGCAAGTGCCACCATGCTAAGCTAATTTTTAAAATTTTTTTCTAGAGATGGGGTCTCACTATGTTGACCAGGCTGGTAGAGAACTCCTGGGCTAAGCAATCCTCCTGCCTCAGCTGGTCAGAAGTTTTGGATAGTCAAATCAAATAATAAAAAATAAGTGATCAATAAAGGTATGTTAAGATGCCCAATCTAATAGAAATCAATGAAATGGGGTATTATTGTTCATCCTTTAGAATATAAACCTCTCGACCACATGAGTAGTGAGTAGACTAGGCATGCTCTTAAACTGTAGATCTGTAAACTAAGTGCTCTTTTTGGAGGATAATGGAATAGTTTATTCCAAAATGCAAAATGTATATGCCCAGAAACCTAGCAAATCCACTTATGGGACTACCACAGAAATACTGGCATGTGTGCACAAAGATATATGCATAAAGAAAGTCAAGGCAACATTGTTTTAATAATGAAAAACTGAAAACTCCATAAACATCCATCAATAGTGTAATTGTTCAATAACTTTTTGGCATATTATCTATGAAATGTCAGTCATTCAAATGAAATATATATATACACAAATATATACATAATTTTTTTTTCGAGACAGGATTTCTTTCTGTTGCCTAGGCTGGAGTGCAGTGGTGTGATCTGGGCTCACTGCCACCTCTGCCTCCTGGGATCAAGTGATCCTCCCACCTCAGCCTACCAAGTAGCTGGGACTACAGCTGTGAGCCACTACGCTCAGCTAATTTTTGTATTTTTAGTAGAGACAGGGTTTGCTATGTTGTCCAGGCTGGTCTCGAACTCCTGAGCTCAAAAGATCTGCCCACCTCGGCCTCCCCAAGTGCCGGGATTACAGGCCTGAGCCACTGCATCCAGCTGAATGAGATATATATTATTATAGAAAGATTTCTTAGATGCTGTGTTTATGTGTGAGAGAGGGTACATATAAATGCATACATGTACATACACATATTTAATATATATATATATATACACACATACACACATTTATAAATGCATGGAAAAACATCTAAAAGGATCTACATCAAGCTTTTACTAGTGGATACCTGTGAGAACAGAAATGAGGTTGGGAAAGGAGTGAAGGTTTTTCATTTATACTTAATAGAATTTTGTATTGCTTGAATGCTTAATTAGAATATATTATTTTTGTACATACAAATACATATATAAAAAAGAAGCCAGGTGCAGTGGCTCATGCCTTTAATCACAACACTTTGGTAGACTGAGCTGGGAGGATCGCTTGAGCTCAGGACTTCAAGACCAGCCTGGGCAACATAGCAAGACCTCATCTCTACTAAAAAAACAAACAAACAAACAAACAAAAAAACAAAAAATACCCCCACAAAAACAAAATGACCCTTACTTCTCCCTGTACTCCAATTTTATTGTGCTTCTTCATATAGAGTACAACAGAACAGAAAGAACCTCTTTTAGTATAAATATTTATTTTTCATAAAATGAGAACTTCCATAAAAATGTACTTTTAAAATTTGATTCCTTTTGACTGTAATTTGTTCTTTATATCATGCTATCAAATGAAGATAAGGCTATCAGATACTCCAACTTCTAGGAAAACTATGCAGAAGCAAAACTATCCCGAATGATAATGTATGGGTTGAGTGCAGTCACTGCAGCTCAGGGATCAGGACCCAACTGCACCAAGCACTCTATCTTCCCAGTTGCCCGGAGGCCCCAGCCAGCATGATGTCACTCAAAATATTCCACCTTTTAATAATCAACTTTACTTCAGAAGAGCAACTACAGGTGTCACATTTTAGCATACATTTTTCCCGACCCTAGAAGTGGAAGGGAGAAAAGAGGGGGACAAAAATGTCTGGCTTGATAGGGACATGTTGTTGGTCTCAGAGTAGATTATGATAGAATAAAGCCCTCAAATAGATAAAAATCCATTCAGGATGTTGGAACGCTCTACATGTATATAAAAACAAATGATATAGGAGGAAATAAAAAAATAAAGAAGAAGTACATTCAGCTCTTGGTGTCTGCAGGGGATTCATTCCAGGACCCCTTCAGATACCAAAATCCATGGATTCCTCAAGTCCCTGATAGAAAATGGTGTAGAATTTACATACAACCTACACCCATCCTCTTGTATACTTTAAATAATCTTTAGATTACTTATACTACCTAATACAATGTAAATGCTGTATAAATAGCTATTATACAGTATCGTTTTATGCTCTGTGTTATTTTTATTGTTGTGGTGTTATTTTATATTTGTTTTAAAAAATATTTTGGGCTGGGTGTGGTGGCTTATGCCTGTAATCCCAGCATTCTGAGAGGCTGAGGTGGGCGGATCACTCTAGGTTAGGAGTTTGAGACCAGCTGGACCAACATGGTGAAACCCTGTCTCTGCTATTAATACAAAAATTAGCCAGGTATGGTGGCACATGCCTGTAATCCCAGCTACTTGGAGGCTGACACAGGAGAATCGCTTGAACCCGGGAGGTGGAGGTTGCAGTAAGCTGAGATTGCATCACTGCACCCCAGCCTGGGTGACAGAGCAAGACTCTGTCTCAAAAAAAAAAAAAAAAAAAATTTTGGATTGTGGTCAGTTGACTCCACAGATGGGGAACCCATAGATATGGAAGGCCAACTGTAACCCTGAAAGAAAGGGGAGTTTCTCTGGCACACAAGACAGTAAGATAGGAAGAAAAGCTGTGGAGCAAGTCTATGATAACAAACCTCACTCCTCCCCCATCAATTTCAGGGAAGTTTGCTGTTAAAGTTGGAGGTTATACAGCAACTTCCTTTATATTGTGACATGCTCCCAGCACACAGTACCATCATCACCGGGACTGCAGGAACAGTGGCACCAGGATGTATGGCTGTAGCTTAGGGGATCAATATTTGTTACCGGGTTAGGTAACCTGTGAAAGAAACCGAAAGGGACTGAGGGAAAAATGGTAAGATGATAGCGATCTCCTTCGTCACCAGTAAAATCAGGATTCCCATCCTAAAGTTACATCTTCTGAAAAGTCAGCTTCAATCCTGTGTTATGTCTATTGTGAAACCAAAGTGTTATGTATGTGCCCACACTGACTCTCGCCAGCATCTATTCTGGGCATACAACTTCAACTAAGTCTGTTCAAGAGCAGAATAAATGATGTCTTCAGACCCAGAAAAAAACGAAGAAAGGAACCAAAATGTAGCCCCATGGAATGATTCAGACTTCCTTGAAAGAAAAGATTTAATTTTAGAAATTCTTATTCAGCATGATTAGTTTTAGTGTTCTTGAAGGAGATAGCTGAGTTTATTATGAAATTCTAGAAATTTACAATCTTATCTAGTCATATCTTTAAAACTGTCACATTGACTATTAGGTTCTTAAAAGCCAACAAGGATGAATGTGAGAGAAGCGGAAATGTTCATAAGATGGTTTTAAGCTAAACTGTTTAAAAACATTTTTTAATTGTGATGAAATATACCTATCATAAAATTTACCATTGTAAGCAATTTCTTTTTTTAACCAACTCAACATGGGATCACATCTTAAGCATTTTCAATTTCTAAGCTGCATTTTGTCACCTACCTTGTAAACTGTCGACTCTCTTCATGAACTTCCATTTCTGTGCTTTTAAATTCATTTAGTTCTTTCCTTATTGCTGCCTAAACAGGAAAAAAAATAGATAAACAGAACTGTTATTTAGGTCATATATTGCCCCAGTATATACAGCATCAATGAAGCAGACCTTTTTTTTTTTTTTAAGAGATAGAGTCTCGCTCTGTCATCCAAGCTGGAGTGGAGTGGCGAGATCATGGCTCATTGCAGCCTCAAACTCCTGGGCTCAAGTGATCCTCCCAACTCAGCATTCCCAGTAGCTCGGATTACAGGTGTGCGCCACCATGCTCAGCTAATTTTTAAATTTTTTTTGGTAGAGACACAGTCTCAAGATGTTGCCCAGGCTGATCTCGAACTTCTAGGCTCAAGTGATCCTCTCACCTCAGTTTCTCAAAGTGCTGAAATTACAGGCATGAGCCACCATACTGAGCTTAGACATTCTTTTAAGGTGTAATAAATATAATATCATACTATAGCCAAACTAAAACCATGATAGACTTCCTTCAAGTGCCATTGGCAAGAGGGAGTGGGAGCGGGCCTTTGCTAAACTCATCCTTGAGTCTGGTCTATGAGTCACACGGAACATCCCCCACCCACGATGACCACAAGGAAAGTGCAGGTCATGACATTTTCTGAGAAGCAATACCATTTTCCTATGGAAAGTTCTACATAGAATATTGCCTACAACAACATGGCTTTGACTAGCTGCCAGAGAGCTACAGAGAAAGCAGTTGCTTATATATTCTTTAATATTGGAAGTTTATAGAAATAGAACTTATAATTTCAGCATAATCCTTAAAGCTACCCAAAGAAAATATCAAATAGAATGCATTGCTATTTAAAGAACACATAATCCGTGTCACGTAATTTTTGGTATTTGAGGGGATGCTTACGCCATTCAGACTGAAATGTTAACATTAGTTATCTGTTAACAAATAGTGGCAGGATTACAGATGGTTCGTGGTTTCAAATTTTTGCTTATTTTTATTTCCTAACTTCTCTATAAAGAATGTTTTACTCATGTTTTTAAAAAGGTGCTAATAAAAACACCCCTGTAACCTCTAGGCAAAATGGACTCTTCAGCCAAAACTAAGAATGATAAGTCACAGGGAGTGACTTCACTGGGAGATAAAAAGTCTTCTTTGTGGTTGGAAAATAATACATTTTAGGAAAGGGAACAGACAGAAAAAAAGCCCTGAGGCCTGTCTCTAGCTCTCTCTCATAACTAACCATCATTCTGCAATACACGAGCCTTTCCCTCAACACTCCTTTCAATGCTATATTTAAGTCCATGTCACAGATTGTCTCTTCTCCCCAGATATATTCCTCAGCCCCTGTAGTTTCTATGGAGAACCTGTGACTAGGAACTGTGACAATAATGCTTGCTACTGACTTTTGGAAATGAAGAAGCAAGCAGAGAAATATGTGTGAGCCTGAGTCCTCTGTGACATGGCTGTCCAGTTTGTCTCACTAGTCCGATCAACAGTGAGGATACTTTTGCTTACTGCAAAAAGTGATGCCTAGAACCAGAAGGAGAAAGAGTGAGGCTGCTCTATACCACTCGCCAATTAACATCTATAAAACGTTCTTCCTTGAAAGGAGGTTTTTTTTTTTTTTTTTTTTTGAGACGGAGTTTCACTCTTGTCACCCAGGCTGGAGTGCAGTGGTACGATCTTGGCTCACTGCAACCTCCGCCTCCCAGGTTCAAGTGATTCTCCTGCCTCAGCCTCCCGAGCAGCTGGGATTACATGCATGCACCACCGTGCCTGGCTAATTTTTTGTATTTTTAGTAGAGACGAGGTTTCACCATGTTGGCCAGGCTGGTCTCAAACTCCTGACTTTGTGATCCGCCCGCCTCGGCCTCCCAAAATGCTGGGATTACAGGCATGAGCCACCGTGCCCGGCCGAAAGGAGGTATTTTAATTTGAATAGTGGCAGAGAATCCTGTCTTGATGTTCATTTTAAATTTCTTCTCCAAATGTAAGGTTTCAGCAGAGGAAGTGAAAAGCGGTCCACTGGGAGTCAGAAGGCAGGGATTCTAGTCTTGGCTATGCCCTCATTAGCAGTGTGACCCTTAGTGAGTCACTTCACTCCAAACCCCAATTTTCTTATCTGGAAAACCAGGAGGAAATTCTTCACAATATCATGAGAATTAATCAAGAGCATATTTGAAAGTGCTTTGTACACTGTAGAGTCAATAAAATGTCATTATTATGAGCCTCTTGAAAAACAAATTATTCTAGTTTGTGATTGGGATTCACAATTCTTTCACTTTTATTTATGAAGAGTCCACTGGAATGGAAGAAGATAATGCCACCGAAGTTGACTTAACCATGAATAAGATAAAGTCCTTATTTGCAATAGTAGGTTGGCTACTACTGATCTAAGAGTATGGCAAAAATCAATGAAAGCATTCTGTGAGCATCAACTGAGATATGGAATTTACAAAACATTACAATTGTAAATTGTGTGCTATAGATCCATCATATTGATACAATTTATAATTCACTGATGACCATATACATATGCATAAGAGAGACAGTTTACTATTTACAGGCATATCCTACTGGCTCATCTGCAATGTGACTTTGCTATTCCCCCATCAAGAGGTGAAGTCTGTCTCTCCAGCCTTGACTCTGGGTGAGTCCTGTAACCACTTTCAACAAATGCACACAGTAGAGGTGATACGTGCCAGTCTGATGTGGCCCTTAACTGGCCTGGCACCTTTTGCTTCTTGCTACTTTAAAGCCAGCTGCCATGTAAAAAAAAGTGACTACTCTCAGAAAACCATGCTGTGAGAAACCCAAGATACAGGGAAAGGCCCTGGAGGTTAAGATGCTGGGTAGATAGAGAGAGAGAGGCCAAGGAGCAAAAGGCACCGACGGTTAGTGAAGAAGCTGTCTTGGAAGTGAATTATCTAACCCAGCATCTCACCTGATGCCACAGGGATCCCAAACAAACTGCTGGGCCGAGCCCTTCCCAAATTCATAACTCAGAATTGAGAGCAAAATAAATAGCTGTTTTAAAAGCCACTAAATTCTGGGGTGGTTTGTTAAAAAGCAGTTGATAACCTGAAAACTATTCCAAGGCTTTTACCTTACAGCTGATGCAATGGAGGCCTAGAGAGGTCACATGACTTGCTAGAGAGAGATGCGCATTAACCCTTTTCCTGTTTGCCCTGAGAATATTTGCCTGGCAACACTAACGGCTGCAGTTGTTTACCTCAGGATAAGTTTGTCATGAAATATCTTGCTTTTATTTTCGCAACGCTCTAGTATATCGACTTTGGAAACAAAAGACATCATTCTATTTATAGCATTATGGTTTTAGTAGTGGTATTCCTATTTACAAAATACAGTATTTCTCTATTGCTGAAAATGTCAAATCCTAGAAAACACAGCCTTTCTATGTGTGATGTTAACATCATTCTCAAACAGTTGTTGGCCAAAAAATCGTTCGATGAATCTGATTTTTCCAAAATAGATGATTTTGATGTTCTATTTAGAAACAACTCCAAGAACAGTTTTTATATTCATTTATTTATTTTTATTTATTTGAGACAGGGTCTCACTGTGTCATTCAGGTTGGAGTGCAGTGGCGTGATCTCAGCTCACTGCAACCTCTGCCTCCTGGGTTCAAACAATTCTCCCACCTCAGCCTCCTGAGTGGCTGGGCCTACAGGTGTGCGCCATCATGCCTGGCTAATTTTTTGTATCTTTTGTGGAGATGGATTTCGCAATGTTGGCCAGGCTGGTCTCAAACTCCTAGGCTCAAGCAATCTCCCCACTTCGGCCTCCCAAAGTGCTGGAACTACAGGCGTGAGCCACTGCAATCGGCCTCTATTTTATTTTCACATTGAAAATCTGTCAGATTTGCTTCAGCCTCAAAGAGCGTGTTTATGTAAAATTAAATCAGCACTGGCAGCGAGGTGCACTTTCTTTCTCTAAACAGGATGAGGGTTAAATGACAAACATGGGGCTCATACACAAGCCTTTTAACCTCACATCCTACAGTCTTTCCATTAATATGAGCTTCTGGGCCCCTGTCATCAGGAAAATTGCTTCAGATCTGCATGTTGTGTGTGCTGGCTTACAATTAGAAATGATGAGTCAGTTATGTGAATGATATGGCAATGGAAGTGATGTGAAATTGTAAGGACTAGTTGTTTGAAAAAAATATACCAGAAAGATGTGACTACAGGCAATTAAAGAAATAGAATGCTTATTTTTAAAATTCACTGAAGATTGATCATAGTTTTATTACAAGAGCTACTTCCTCTTGGAATAAAGAGAAAGATTTCCTGAGAGAGTTTAAAACAGGAAAAAAAGTAAATCAGACACTTTAGACAAATACATGTATAATAAACTTAACTCTCTTCTTTGCAAAGGAGACCAGGTTTTAGGCCTAATAATTCTTCACATATATGTAATTAGGACTGATTTTTTTTTTTTTTTTTGAGACAGGGTCTTGTTCTGTCACCCAGGCTGGAGTGCAGGTGGTGTGATCACAGCTCATTGTAGCCTCAAATTCCAAGGCTGAAGACACCCTCCCACCTCAGCCTCCCAAGTAGCTGGGACCATAGGTGTGTGGCCACCACATCTGGCTAATTAAAAAAAAAAAAAAATTTGTGGAGATGAGGTTTTGCTGTGTTGCCCAGGCTGGTCTTGAACTCCTGGGCTTAAGCAATCCTCCCGCCTTGGCCTACCCAAATTGTTGGGATTACAGCCATGAGCCACCACACCCAGTCTGGGACTGATTTTGTTGAAAGACATGAGATAGAAAGAGCTGGGCTGAGGTTATGGGGGATCAGAGCTCCAATGGTGCTGGGTTGTACAACCAATGGGAAGCCATTGAGCCAAAACTAGGTATTTCTAGAGTAGAAACAACAACAACAACAAAGCTCTATGAGATAGCAACTGAGACCAAATATGTAGTCATTTTGGCATCATGAGAATTATAGAGAGGAAAAAGGAAACAAAAATGTCTGAAACTAAGTTTAAAATTGGCCAGTGGTGAGTGGTAACAGGTCTGCTTCATCAGTCCCAGTCAGCTCAGGCGTTATGCCGGGAAGAAGCAACAGGTGATTTGTTGAAAATGCAGACCCTGGAGTGGACCTCCAGTAAACTCCAACAGACCTGCAGCTGAGGGGCCTATCTGTTAGAAGGAAAATGAGCAAACAGAAAGGAATAGTATCAACATCAACAAAAAGGACATCCACACCCAAACCCCATCTGTAGGTCACCAACATCAAAGACCAAAGGTAAATAAAACCACAAAGATGGGGAGAAACCAAGGCAGAAAGGCTGAAAATTCCAAAAACCAGAATGCCTCTTCTCCTCCAAAGGATCACAACTCCTCGCCAGCAAGGGAACAAAACTGGACGGAGAATGAGTTTGATGAGTTGACAGAGTAGGCTTCAGAAGGTCAGTAATAACAAACTTCTCCGAGCTAAAGGAGCATGATCTAATCCATTTCAAGGAAGCTAAAAACGTTGAAAAAAGGTTAGATGAATGGCTAACTAGAATAACCAGTGTAGAGAAGAGCTTAAATAACCTGATGGAGCTGAAAACTACAGTACGAGAACTCCGTGAAGCATACACAAGCCTCAATAGCCACTTCGATCAAGCGGAAGAAAGTATATCAGTGATTGAAGATCAAATTAATGAAATAAAGTGAGAAGACAAGATTAGAGAATAAGGAGTGAAAAGAAATGAACAAAGCCTCCAATAAATATGAGACTATGTGAAAAGACCAAATCTACGTTTGATTGGTGTACCTGAAAGTGATGGGGAGAATAGAACCAAGTTGAAAAACACTCTTCAGGATATTATCCAGGAGAACTTCCCCAACCTAGCAAGAGAGGCCAACATTCAAATTCAGGAAATACAGAGAATACACCACAAAGAGATTGCCCGAGAAGAGCAACCCCAAGACACATAACTGTCAGATTCACGAAGGTTGAAATGGAGGAAAAAATGTTAAGGGCAGCCAGAGAGAAAGGTTGGGTTAACCACAAAGGGAAGCCATCAGACTAACAGTGGATCTCTCTGCAGATACCCTACCAGCCAGAAGAGAGTGGGGGTCAATATTCAACATTCTTAAAGAAAAGAATTTTCAACCCAAAATTTCATATCCAGCTGAACTAAGCTTCATAAGTGAAGGAGAAATAAAATCCTTTCCACACAAGCAAATGCTGAGAGATTTTGTCATCACCAGGCCTGCCTTACAAGAGCTCCTGAAGGAAGCACTAAACGTGGAAAGGAACAACCAGTCCCAGCCACTGCAAAAACATGCCAAATTGTAAAGACCACTGATGCTAGGAAGAAACTGCATCAACTAACGGGCAAAATAACCAGCTAACATCATAATGACAGGATCAAATTCAAACATAACAATATTAACCTTAAATGTAAATGGGCTAAATGCCCCAATTAAAAGACACAGATTGGCAAATTGGATAAAGAGTCTAGACCCATCAGTGTGCTGTATTCAGGAGACCCATCTCACATGCAAAGACACACATAGGCTCAAAATAAAGGGATGGGCTGGGTGCGGTGGCTCACACCTGTAATCCCAGCACTTTGGGAGGCCGATGCAGGCAGATCACGAAGTCAGGAGATCGAGACCATCCTGGCTAACACAGTGAAACCCCGTCTCTACTAAAAATACAAAAAATTAACTGGGCATGGTGGCGGGCACCTGTAGTCCCAGCTACTCAGGAGGCTGAGGCAGGAGAATAGGGTGACCCTGGGAGGCGGAGCTTGCTGTGAGCGGAGATTGCACCACTGCACTCCAGCCTGGGCAACAGAGCCAGACTCGGTCTCAAAAAAATAAAAAATAAAAAAAATAAAGGGATGGAGGAAGACCTACCAAGCAAATAGAAAGTAAAAAAATAGCACAGGTTGCAATCCTGGTCTCTGATAAAACAGACTTTAAACCAACAAAGATCAAAAGAGACAAAGAAGGCCATTACGTAATGGTGAAGGGATCAATTCAACAAAAAGAGTTAACTATCCTAAATATATATGCATCCAGTACACGAGCACCAGATTCATAAAGCAAGTTCTTAGAGACTTACAAAGAAACTTAGACTCCCACACAATAATAATGGGAGACTTTAACACCCCACTGTCAATACTGGACAGATCAATAAGACAGAAAATTAACAAGGATATCCAGGACTTGAACTCAGCTCTGGACCAAGTGGACCTAATAGACATCTACAGTATTCTCCACCCCAAATCAACAGAATATACATTCTCCTTAGCACCACATTGCACTTATTCTAAAATTGACAACATAATTGGAAGTAAAACACTCCTCAGCAAATGTAAACGAACAGAAATCAAACTGTCTCTCAGACCACAGTGCAATAAAATTAGAACTCAGGATTAAGAATCTCACTCAAAACCGCACAGCTACGTGGAAACTGAACAACCTGCTCCTGAATGACTACTTGATAAATAACGAAATGAAGGCAGAAATAAAGATGTTCTTTGAAACCAATGAGAACAAAGACACAATGTACCAGAATCTCTGGGACACAGCTAAAGCAGTGTGTAGAGGGAAATTTATAGCATTAAATGCCCACAAGAGAAAGCAAGAGAGATCTAAAATCGACACCCTAACATCACAATTAAAAGAACTGGAGAAGCAAGAACAAACACATTCAAAAGCTAGCAGAAGGCAAGAAATAACTAAGATCAGAGCAGAACTGAAGAAGATAGAGACACAAAAAACCCTTCAAAAAATCAATGAATCCAGGAACTGGCTTTTTGAAAAGATTAACAAAATAGATAGACTGCCAGCAAGACTAATAAAGAAGAAAAGAGAGAAGAATCAAATAGACGCAATAAAAAATGATAAAGGGGATATCACCACTGATCCCACAGAAACACAAACTACCATCAGAGGATACTATAAAAACCTCTACACAAATAAACCAGAAAATCTAGAAGAAATGGATAAATTCCTGGACACATACCCCCTCCCAAGACTAAACCAGGAAGAAGTTGAATCTCTGAATAGACCAAAATAAGCTCTGAAATTGAGGCAATAATTAATAGTCTACCAACCAAAAAGAGTCCAGGACCAGACGGATTCACAGCCAAATTCTACCAGAAGTACAAAGAGGAGCTGGTACCATTCCTTCTGAAACTATCCCAATCAATAGAAAAAGAGGGAATCCTCCCTAACTCATTTTATGAGGCCAGCATCATCCTGATACCAAAGCCTGGCAGAGACACAACAAAAAGAGAGAATTTTAGGCCAATATCCCCGATGAACATCAGTGCAAAAATCCTCAGTAAAATACTGGCAAACCCAATCCAGCAGAACATCAAAAAGCTGATCCACCATGATCAAGTCAGCTTCATCCCTGCAATGCAAGGCTGGTTCAACATACACAAATCAATAAACATAATCCATCACATAAACAGAACCAATGACAAAAACCACATGATTATCTCAATAGATGCAGAAAAGGCCTTGGACAAAATTCAACAGCCTTTCATGCTAAACTAGGTATCGATGGAACGTATCTCAAAATAATAAGAGCTGTTTATGACAAACCCACAGACAATATCATACTGAATGGACAAACACTGGAAGCATTCCCTTTGAAAACCGGCACAAGACAAGGATGACCTCTCTCACCACTCCTATTCAACATAATGTTGGAAGTTCTGGCCAGGGCAATCAGGCAAGAGAAAGCAATAAAAGGTATTCAAATAGGAAGAGAGGAAGTCCAATTATCTTTGTTTGCAGACGACATGACTGTATATTTGGAAAACCCCATCGTCTCAGCCCAAAATCTCCTGAAGCTGATAAGCAACTTCAGCAAAGTCTCAGGATACAAAATCAATGTGCAAAAATCACAAGCATTCCTATACATCAATAACAGACAAACAGAGAGCCAAATCATGAGTGAACTCCCATTCACAATTGCTACAAAGAGAATAAAATACGTAGGGACACAACTTACAAGGGATATGAAGGACCTCTTCAAGGAGAACTACAAACCACTGCTCAAGGAAATAAGAGAGGACAGAAACAAATGGAAAAACATTCCATGCTCATGGATAGGAAGAATCAATATCGTGAAAATGGCCTTACTGCCCAAAGTAATTTACAGATTCAATGCTATCCCCATCCAGCTACCACTGACTTTCTTCACAGAATTGGAAAAAACTACTTTAAACCTCATATGGAACCAAAAAAGAGCTCGCATATCCAAGACAATCCTGGGCAAGAAGGACAAAGCTGGAGGCATCTTGCTACCTGACTACAAACTTTACAAGGCTACAGTAACCAAAACAGCATGGTACTGGTGCCAAAACAGATACACAGACTGATGGAACAGAACGGAGAAATAACACCACACATCCACCACCTGATCTTTGACAAACCTGACACATACAAGCGATGGGGAAGATTCCCTATTTAATAAACGGTGTTGGGAAAACTGGCTGGCCATATGCAGAAAACTGGAACTGGACCCCTTCCTTACACCTTATACAAAAATCAACTCAAGATGGATCAAAGACTTAAATGTAAGACCTAGGACCATAAAAATCCTAGAAGAAAACCTGGGCAATACCATTCAGGACATAGGCATGGGCAAAGACTTCATGTCTAAAACGCCAAAAGCAAACGGCAACAAAAGCCAAAATTGACAAACGGGGATCTAATTAAACTGAAGAGTTTCTGCACAGCAAAAGAAATTATCACCAGAGTGAACAGGCAACCTACAGAATGGGAGAAAATTTTTGCAATCTATTCATCTGACAAAGGGCTAATATCCAGAATCTACAAAGAACTTAAACAAATTTACAAGAAAAAAGCAAACAACCCCATCAAAAAATGGGCTAAGGATATGAACAGAAACTTCTCAAATGAAGACATTTATGCAGCCAACAGACATATGAAAAGATGCTCATCATCACTGGTCATGAGAGAAATGCAAATCAAAACCAGAATGAGATACCATCTCATGCCAGTTAGAATGGCGATCATTCAAAAGTCAGGAAACAACAGATGCTGGAGAGGATGTGGAGAAATAGGAATGCTTTTACGCTGTTAGTGGGAGTGTAAATTAGTTCAACCATTTGGAAGACAGTGTGGCGATTCCTCAAGGATCTAGAACTAGAAATACCACTTGACCCAGCAATTCCATTACTGGATGTATACCCAAAGGATTAGAAATTATTCTACAATAAAGACACATGCACATGTATGTTTACTGAGGCACTATTCACAATAGCAAAGACATGGAACCAACCCATATGTCCATCAGTGATAGACTGGATTAAGAAAATGTGGCACATATACACCATGGAACACTATGCAGCCATAAAAAAGGATGAGTTGATGTCCTTTGCAGGGACACGGATGAAGCTGGAAACCATCATTCTCAGCAAACTATCACAAGATCAGAAAACCAAACACCGCATGTTCTCACTCATAAGTGGGAGTTGAACAATAAGAACACATGGACACAGGGAGGGGAACATCACACACTGGGGCCTGTAGGGGGTGGGGGACTAGGGGAGGGATAATATTAGGAGAAATACCTAATGTAGGTGATGGGTTGATGGGTGCAGCAAACCACCATGGCACGTGTATACCTATGTAACAAACCTACACGTTCTGCACATGTAACCCAGAACTTAAAGTATAATAAAAACAAAGAAAGAAAGAAAGAAAGAAAGAAAGAAAGAAAGAAAAGAAAAAGAAAATGCAGACCTTGCTGCCTTCTCAAATAGCATGAGCTGTGGGGCCAGAATTAACTAGAATTGCCATTTTGATATCCTTTATTTCTTGGATAAAATTATGATGGGATGTGGAGAGGATTTCTGGACTACTCATCAATCAAGTTCAATGCCACAGGGAGGCAAGTGTACTCCCTTCTGCTGCTAAGGCATCAATGAACAGGGCAAAGAATAGCTTAGGGACAACAAAAATCTCAGGCTTTCTTAGGACCTGTTTAGACACTGTGTTCCTGGAAAGACAGTTTGTCTTATTCAATTTTATATCCCCAGTATCTAGGACGATACCTAATATATTGTAAGGGTTTTAATAAGTGATTACTGAGTGACCTGTTGGACAAAAGCACATCTCATCTGAAAAAATTCTACACTCTCTTTCACTGGATAATTTTAGACTAGATCGTAAACTCAGGAATCAACGGTGAAAATATCACCAATGGGGAACAAAGCTTGGCTTCTCATCCCTGACTATGAGTATAATATTGGTAATAGCTACCATTTATTGACAAGCAGGAATTCTAGAGATATTCTACCTAATTCTCAAGATAGATATAATTGACTTTATTTTACTAGTAAGTAAACCTAGGTTAAATGACTTGGCCAAGGTCAAACAACTACTAAGTGGCCAAGTCAAGGATCAATCCATCCTAGAAGTGCCCAGTTCTAAAGCCTGCCCCTCTCTCCTCCATGGAGCTTCCAAGTTCTACTCTAAGGAGATGGTTACTGGCAGGCAAGCCTAGGTCTTCAGGCCAATTCAATGGCCTTCTCTGACCTCACCTCTCTGCCACTGAAGGGCCAGCTCGTCTATCTACCTCAGTGCAGGAAACCAGGCCATCTCTATTTTACTGTACATATATCTGTTTCTAGTGCTCTAAGTACATATATTCTAAAACTGAAAATTTTATTTTGTTTATTTTTGTTTTAGAGACAGGGTCTCATTCTGTTGCCCAGGCTGCAGTGCAGTGGCACAATCACAGCTCATTGCAGTCTTGAACTCCCAGACTCAAGGGATCCTCCTGCCTCAGCCTTCCAAGTAGGTAGGAATACATGGGTGTGCCACCACACCTGGCTAATTTTTTTAGTTTTTGTAGAGAGAGGGTCTTGCTATGTTGCTCAGGCTGGTCTTTAACTCCTGGCCTCAAGTGACCCTCCCACCTTGGCCTCCCAAAGTGCTAACATTACAAGTGTGAGTCATTGTGCCCCGACCTGAAAATTTTATTTTAAAGGTGAATAAAGCTCAATCAAGTTCACAATTAATAAGGCATTTCTCCCACCACTTCTCTTTTCCAACATGAGCCATTTAACCAGACTACCAGATTCCGGAGATTCCCCACCACAACCAGCAAGGGCCTTCCTCCTTCACAGAAAGGAGAGGCATTGATTAATTACTGACTGATTGGCTACTACTCTTTAAAATGCAAGGTGGTAGCTTAATGGGGCTAAGAAAATGGCACTAAGATAAGAGAAAGAAAAAAGATGTCTCCTTTAGGCTGAAAGGAAGCTCATTTTTTGTTTGTTTGTTTGTTTGGTTTGGTTCAGTTTTTGAGATGGAGTCTCGCTTTGTCACCCAGGCTGGAGTGCGGCGGCATAATCTTAGCTCACTGCAACTTCTGTCTCCTGGGTTCAAGTGATTCTCCTGCTTCAGTCTCCCAAGCAGCTGGGACTACAGGCAGGAGCCACCATGCACAGCTAATTTTTGTATTTTTAGTAGAGATGGGGTTTCACCATGTTGGCCAGGCTGGTCTTGAACTCCTGACCTCAAGTGATCCACCCAACTCACCCTCTCAAAGCACTTGGATTACAGGCATGAGCCACTGCACCTGGCCTCATTGTTTATTTTTTAAAGCAGAGGTGGAAATATTTACTTTGAATAGTTTTTAAAAATGGGATATAGAGCTCAAAAGTTAAAAATAAAACTCATTTTTAAACCTAATAGCTAAATTATAATTTTTACATGAATTAACTTAATACAATATTTTAAATCTGATCTAAATATATATAATAAATAATATATTATAAAATGTTTTAAGGTAAAAAGCAACAAAAACCAGAAATGCTTGTTAATAATGGTGATTAGCATGTGTTATTTTCATTCTAAAATAAAATATACACTAAGACCATTGATAGTCTTAGGATCTTTGGGCAATAATATTGTACTATTTCATCACACTTATCTTTTAACAACTAGAGGGAACAATTTTTTTCAGTGTTAGGTAGTAAATGGTATTTTTAGAAATTATTAAAAGTACCGTGCATTAAAGTGGTTCTTTTTTTATTTTTGCATTTTTGAATATTCAGATATGGCCCAATGAATATTCATCACTTGTGTATATACAATATACTACACATAAACATCTTAAATTGTTGCATTTTTCTATTTTTTATCTTTAAAAAGTGTACCATATTATTTATTTATTTATTTATTTTGAGATAAGGTCTAGCTCTGTTGCCCAGGCTGGAGTGCCGTGGCATGGCTCACTGCAGCCTCCTGCTCCTGGGCTCAAGCAATTCTCCCACCTCAGCTTCCCGAGTAGCTGGGACTACAGGTACGCGCCACCACACCCGGCTAATTTTTTGTATTTTTTAGTAGAGGCAGAGTTTCACCACATTGCTCAGGCTGGTCTCAAACTCCTGAGCTCAAGAAATCTTGAGCTCAAGAAACCTTGGCCTCCCAAAGTGCTAGGATTACAGGCATGAGCCACCATGCCTGGCCAATATTTTTTCTATTTAAAAGAAATTCTACCTCTTAATTTTCTTCCAGAGAAACACACACATACACAATAAAAATCCACTTCTAAAAATGCTGCTTTTTAGACTTTAAAAAGCCTCAGGAGAAATGTGAGAGATACTGTCAGAGGGAGAAAATGAGGCCCATGTGTGAGGAGAGAGGGGCAGTGGCTGTGCTCTGGGGCTCAGATCTGCAAGGGAGATGTCAAAGTCATATGCCTTCAAAGCACTCATGAACAGAAACAAAGCCTGTGGCAGAAAACCTGGTCATGTACCTTTCCCCTGCAACCTAGAAGTCCAGAACAAAATCCCATTTTTGTTTCAACATAAAATTAAAAAAAAAAATCCTCTCTGTTACAGCTAGAGATGAATGAGCTTTACCTTCCAACAAAAGAACAAGAGTCAAAAGGAACTGTTTCTAGGGTTTGGACAATTTAGTTTCCACATGAGGGTGGTTAGTCATTTAGACTCTCCCTGCTTGCATACTTGGCAACTGCAGTGATCTTTACTCATTTATCTGGCCCTACCTGCCTTTCTGAAGTTTTGCATTTGAATAATAAGATAGCTGGGAATGGTGGGTGTGGAAAATTGTATTTTCCAAATTTGGCCACAATTGTGATCTTGCCACTCCCCTGTCAAGAAGTGGAGCTAATTAATTCCCCTTTCCTTGAAGCTTGAGCTGGTCTTATGATTTGCCTGTTACTAATAGAACGTAGTGGAAGTGAGGCTGGATGCCTTCCAAAGCCAGATCAGGAAAGGCCATATAGCTTTTACCTGGTTCTCTTGGGACATTTGCTGAGCCACCAAGTAAGAAGACTGATGACTCGGGCCACCATGCTGAAGAGGCCATGTATAGGTAGTTTGGCGGACTAGGAGCCAGAATTGAGCCCAGTCTCTGAGCCTTCCTTACCAAGACACCAGACATGTTAGAGAGGTTATCTTGGAGCCTCCAAAGTAGCCTATTTGTCAGCTGAATAACATTGAGTGACCTTAGTCAACCTCATGAAGAGCAGAAGAATCACCTAGCTGAGCCCTGACTAAATCCCCAACCTACAAAATCTGTAAGATATAAAATAGCTGCTGTTTTCAATCACTAAGTTTTGGGGAAGGTCACTGCACAGAAACAGTGACTAGAGCAGGGTCAACTAGGAGCCACTAAATGAGAGGTGAATGACCAGAAGCCCACAACTGAAAGGAAAGGAGGATGGAAGAAACCTTGCACCAAGTTCATAATGCAGTACTATTTCTAGCAAAATGGCATACCAGATGCCTTGACTAACTCTTCTATTGAAAAACAATTAAAATGCTAAACATGGCATCTAAAAACTGCTTTAAATGTACTAAACAGCTGGGAAAAGAGTAAAAAATACTTTGATGAGAATGAGTAAAAGAAGATCATGGCCAGAAAAATAAGGTAAGTGAGAAATGAAACTGGCTTTGACCTTGAGGGCACTTGTGTTAAATCTAGTGAATTTGAGCAGGCATCTTTATGATTTGGTGAAATACAGAAGACACACAAAACCCACTCAGGTCTAATAAATAATTCTCTCTCCATAAATTGGGGACCAAATGGCATACCCTCAGTGTAAGGGTAAGCTAGAATATCTGACCCTCCAAGGACAAACAAAAAATTGCAAGCTGGTGCTTAGTAAGTAAGGGGATAGGCAGGGAGTGATGAAATGTACCCTGAAAATTTGAAGCCATCAGCTAAACATCACAGAGGTTTGCTGCTTCAATTCATAGTACTAAGGTAGTATAAAATAACTCATTTTGACAATCCAGTTTAAAAATTATATTTTTAAATATAACAAAGTTTCATCAAGAAAATGTATGCATTCTAAACATATATATCTAATGATACACCTCACAATAAATGAAGCAAAATTAACAGAATTATAAGGAGAAGTAAAAAAAAAAATCCACATAGTGGGAGATTTAACATGTCTTGTTTGTTACCTGATGGATCAAACTGACAAAAAAATAACTAAGGGTACAGAAATCTGAATAGAACTAGCAAGATTGATCTTACAGGAAAATTTGCACACCCTCAAACCATAGAACACATATTGTTTTCAAGGACATGTGAGATATTTATAATTACTAAAAATCCCAATATGAAGGCCACATCCCAGACCAATGAGATCAGCATCTCTGGAGATGGGACCCAGACATCCACATTCTTAAAGATCTATAGGTGATTCCAATTTGTAGCCAAGGTTGCAAATCACTGACACACAGAGTCATTTCTAACCTTCAGTGCTTGTATCAGAAAGTAAGGAAGGATGAAAATTAATGATCTGGAGAGTCTATCTTAGGTTAGAACAGAATAGCCAATAAAGCCCAAAAAATTAGGAGGAAGAAGAGAAAAGAACAAATAATGACATAGAAAACAAACATATAATACAGATGACCAAGCAAACTGAAAGCATATCTTATACCTTCCCCCAAAAAACAACTCCAGGTAAACAAAAAAGTTAAATGTGAAAAGCAAAATTATAAACAATTTAGAAGACAGTATATGAGAATATATCTATCATTTTGGTATGCAAAGAATTTTTAAAACCAGAAACAAAATCATAAGCCATAAAGAAAAAGGTTGATAAATTCGACTGTATTAAGTTTAAGAATCTTGTTGGCCGGGCGCCATGGCTCACGCCTGTAATCCCAGCACTTTGGGAGGCCGAGGCGGGCAGATCACAATGTCAGGAGATGGAGACCATCCTGGCTAACACGGTGAAACCCCATCTCTACTAAAAATATTTTGTAAAAAATAGCTGGGCGTGGTGGCGGGCGCCTGTAGTCCCAGCCACTCGGGAGGCTGAAGCAGGAGAATGGCGTGAACACAGGAGGTGGAGCTTGCAGTGAGCTGAGATCGAGCCACAGCACTCCAGCCTGGGTGACAGAGTGAGACTCCGTCTCAAAAAAAAAAAAAAAGAATCTTGTTAAATCAATATTTGCAACATACATAACTGGAATATATGAAGAACTCCTATGAATCAGAAAAAATTGACAACCCAAAAGAAAATGGGCAAAAGGCACTTCGGTGGAGTGGTATCCAAATGCCCAATAGGCATATGAAAATATGTTCAATCTCATTCATAATGAACGAAAGGCAAAGTAAAAGCACAATGAGATACGACTTCCTAGCTTCCTCAGCCTGTGCTCTCCCTCCGTCCTCAAGGGTCTGCTCCTTGCCTCTTTCACATAAGTACTGACCTGCTACTCCAGTGATTTTTCCCACGCTATCAGTTACTGACTTTTCCGCCTGTATGTTCAACCTCTCCCTTTCTTTTGACCCCTTCACCACATAAAAAATTGTTCAAGTATTTCCCATAAATTAAAAAAAAATCACTCCCTTGATACTGTATCTCATTTTCCAAATTTACGCACCCAAGCTTATTGACCTTCACAATCACCAGCCATACGTTGAACAACTGCCTCATCATACTTCAGAGCCCAAATTCTCAGGATTGTGTTTGATCCTCGTTGTCTCCACCACAGGCTTCCACCCATCAGGCCACCAAAATGCTCCCTCTCACCATGTCACTGCACACATGTGGCCGTCCGTCCTCCCTGACACAGTCCTTCCAAGCTGCTGTGCTACCAGCTTCTCCTCTTTCCCCACTTCACGGACATTTCTTCTCAATATTCTTCTGCTGCTTCTTCCTAAAACATCCCTGGAGTGCTTTTCTCAGCCTCCTTCTCTTCTATTCTTGTTCTGAACATTCTTCCTTTGTGATCTTATTCCTTCTTACTTTTCATTTCTACTTATGAGCTAAGGATTTCTGAATCTGTATCTCCAGTATATGCTTGATGCATAGCAGGTATTTTAAATAATGAAGCTTCCTATTAAAAAGAGTCAGCACAGAGCATGATTAAATGCCTAGTTTTAGCATTAAGATGTGGCATGTTTAAGCAAAAGTACTTATGATTAAAAAAAACTGGGTATAGCACGAGTTTATTCAATACCAGATTTTGCTAAGAGATAAAAATTAGAACAATTTAAAAACAAACGGTTGGCACGAATCTTTGCCTATGGAACAATGGTACTAATAAGGTAAAAGTCTTTCTACATTGATAGAACCCACTGTATATTTCATTTTTCAGGAATTGTGTGCAATGATTTAGATTAGGGGTTGGTAAGCCTGACCTGCAGGTCAAATTTGGCCCACCATCTGTTTTTGTAGATAAAGTTTTATTGGAGCATATACATATCCATTCAATTACACATTGTCTGTGGCTGTTTTCATGCTACAATGGCAGAACTGGGCAGTTGCAACAAAGATTGTATGGCCCACATAGCCTAAACTATTTGCTGTCTTGTCATTTCTATTAAAAGTGTGCCAGTCTCGACGAAGATTAAACCTTTCTATTAACATATCCCTTTAAAATGATAAGTTGTATAAGTTATATTTTCTAAGAGTAAGGATAAATCCTGGATGTGAGAAAGCCCTCCTCATCCAGGTATGAAAGCAGGTAGGTTATATGGTAAATAACTACTTTTCTCTGAGACTTAGTTGAAAGAACTACATTGATATCACTAAATGTATCACTTAAGTGGCTTAAATAATCAGAGGCAGAAAACTGTTGTAATATTTGGTAAGATCTCGTCCCCTGGGATGACTTAAGTAGGGGGGATGTGGATATTGGAGCTTCCAGAAAAGCAATACAATCAACACAAAATCCACTGGGATTCTTGCCTTGTCTGCAGGTGTTAACCTGGCCCAGGGCTTGTCTGCTCGGCGGTCATAGTCAGGAGAATCCGTGACTTCTACATACTCGTTAAATCGCAGGATCCTTCGAGCTTGTAGCTCTGCCACTGTGGGTCTCAGGCTGAGCTGCAGGAGGACAAGGAAAAAGGCAGAGTTCAGTAAACCACTTACAGCCTCATGGTGGCAAGTTTTCTATAGAGAACACTTCAAAGTTATGGTTAAATAAGGTCACTTTCAGATCAAAAAAAAAAAAAAAGGCAACAGCATCTTGGGAATTTCTAATGAGAACTAGAAAGCCATGTGCCCTAATTTTTGAGACTATAAAAAAATCATCGTTTTAGATAGGTCACAGTCTTTGGCAACCACCTGCATTATGCTATTTTCCCCAACTTGCCTGGCACTGTGATAAAGGTCTATCATCCCTGACGCAAGGAACATGCAATGCGCAGACACAATAGTAACCCAGATACAGAATGGCTGGTTTGGTGATTGAATTATCAAGGCAAAAGCCATGGAATTTTTAGAAATGGGAATAAAAACCTGTTCCTATAATATTAAGCCCATACACTCAGAAATGTACAAAGTTATGACATAGAAAGGGTCCAATAAAGGGTGTGCCTACAGCACAGCTGTCCTTAAGATATTCATAATAAGGACAAGACCCCAATCAGACACATGCCCTTGGCCAGAAAAACCGATGTACACGAATGGGGAGGGGAGAGTTGATGGAGAACTGTACTTCCTTGAGGCCATCACTGCTTAAAATCAACTCCAACCTTTAAGATACTTCTAACAACTTCGGTTCCTCCTTGTGGTCTTTGTCAAATTCAGATTTGTAATTATATTGCTTTTCTTTCTGGGTCCTTTCTCAAACCGAAGAATAAGACTCTGACAGGTGAAAGAAAGCTGGCCCCTTGGTAAACAGGCATTATCTACTCTCTGCTACGGAGGTTCACTCCCATTTTGGTCTTTCTTAGTTGGGTGGTATCACAGTTATCTCCAGAGAGGTAGACTTAGACCTCTATTGTAGCCATAGGGCCCATTTTCATATATTTCCTCTCTTATATATACTCTGTATACAGCCAGACTACCCATCATCTAAGTGGTCCTCTCCGGAGATATTGCTTATTTTTTTTTTATTTAAACAGAGTGGGTGGGGGGTCTCTCTATGTTGCTCAGGCTGGTCTTGAACTCTTGGGCTCAAGCGATTCTCCCATCTCAGCCTCCCAAAGTGCTGGGGTTACAGGCATAAGCCACAACACCTGTCCAGAGATATTCCTTATTTTGCACTGGGTCTACATTCTGTAGTCATTAACAGCCCTTTCCTGGGCCTCAGTTTCCTTCTGAACTAAGCCAATACTGTAATATTCAAAGCACTCAAGGACTTTTAGAAGGCCTAGGCCCATACCCTGAGCCCACTGGAGCAGGGATGTGCCAACTATGGCTCCCTCTATCTTCATAGAGCCCCGGTAGGCAATGGACAAGAGAAAGAATAATCTAAGTGATCTGCTATAGTCTAGTTGCTGTCCAATCTATATTGCTAGCTTCTTGCTGCCACTTTGGGGCAGGTGGAAATAAGGAGGTAGAGAAGCCCTTGCTCCTAAGAACTGGCTAGAAGGAAAGTGACCAATGGCAATATAGGTTAGAAATTCTCCATCCAGTCTTGTCCTCAGGACTGTCCCAGTCATGGGGTAGCTACCAGTGCTACGGGCTGACCTGCACCTACGGCATGGAGCTATGTATGGTGGAGGCAAGTGGGTGCAGAGGGTAAGGGCTGGCACTGCTGCCTCATGGAGGGGCCCAGCTGGATTGAGAAAGATGATTTGTATCACAAGACTGTGCCCAGGGCAATAAGGAGGGGGTGATTGATTGTCTACAGATGGTAACTTAAGGGCCATTGAAAACTAGAGTCATCCCTAGAAATTGAGTCAATAAAGTCTTTCAGTTTGATCATTATTTGACATTTATGAGCTTTGAGAAAAAAAAATGATATGGTTTGGCGGTGTCCTCACCCAAATCTCAACTTGAATTGTATCTCCAGAATTCCCACATGTTGTGGGAGGGACCCAGGGGGAGGTAATTGAATCATGGGGGCTGGTCTTTCCCATGCTATTCTCGTGATAGTGAATGAGTCTCATGAGATCTGATGGGTTTATCAAGGGTTTCTGCTTTTGCTTTCTCCTCATTTTATCTTGCTGCCACAATGTAAGAAATGCCTTTTGCCTCCTGTCAGGATTCTGAGGCCTCCCCAGCCATGTGGAACTGTAAGTCCAATTAAACCTCTTTTTCTTCCCAGTCTAGGGTATGCCTTTATCAGCAGCATGGAAACAGACTAATACAGTAAGTTGGTACCAGGAGTGGGGTGTTCCTGAAAAGATACCCAAAAATGTGGAATCAACTTTGGAACTGGGTAACAGGCAGATGTTGGAACAGTTTGGAAGGCTCAGAAGAAGATAGGAAAAGGTGGGAAAGTTTGGAACTTCCTAGAGACTTGTTAAATGGCTTTGACAAAAATGCTGATAGCAATATGGACAATAAGGTCCAGGCTGAGGTGGTCTCAGATGGAGATAAGGAACTTGTTGGGAACTGGAGCAAAGGTGACTCTTATTATGTTTTAGCAAAAAGAATGGCGGCATTTTGCCCCTGCCCTAGAGATTCGTGGAACTTTGAACTTGAGAGAGATGATTTAGGGTATCTGGCAGAAGAAATTTCTAAGCAGCAAAGCATTCAAAAGGTGACTTGGGTGCTGTTAAAAGCATTCCATTTTAAAAGGGAAACAGAGCATAAAAGTTCAGAAAATTTGCAGCCTGAGGATGCAGCAGAAAAGAACCCATTTTTTGAGGAGAAATTCAAGCTGGCTGCAGAAATTTGCCTAAGTAGCAAGGAAGCTAATGTTAATCCTCAAGACCATGGGGAAAATGTCTCCAGGCCATGTCAGAGACCTTCATGACAGCTCCTCCCATCACAGGCCTGAAGGCCCAGGAGGAAAAAGTGGTTTTGTGGGCAGGGCCCAGGGTCCCTGTGCTGTGTGCAGCCTAGGGACTTGGTGCCCTGTGCCCCAGCCACTCCAGCTGTGGCTGAAAGGGGCAAATGTAGAACTTGGGCTGTGGCTTCAGATCGTGGAAGCCCCAAGCCTTGGCAGCTTCCATATGGTGTTGAGCTTGTGGGTGAAAAGAAGTCAGAAACTGAGGTTTGGGAACCTCTGTCTAGATGCCCAGGCCAAAGTTTGCCATGGGCAGGGTTGGGGGTGGGGTGGGGCTCATGGAGAACCTCTGCTAGGGCAGTGCAGAAGGGAAATGTGGGGTTGGAACCCCCACACAGAGTCCCTACTGGGGCACTGCCTAGTGGAGCTGTGCAAAGAGGGTCACTGTCCTCCAGAACCCAGAATGGTAGATCCACCAACAGCATGCACCATGTGTCTAGAAAAGCTGCAGACACTCAACACTAGTCTGTGAAAGCAGCCAAGAGGGAGGCTGTACCCTGCAAAGCCACAGAGGTGGAGCTGCCCAAGACCATGGGAACCCACCTCTTGCATCAGTGTGACCTGGATGTGAGACCTGGATTCAAAGGAGATAATTTTGGACCTTTAAAATTTGGCTGCCCCACTGGATTTCAGACTTGCCATGGGCCCTGCAACCCCTTTGTTTTGGCCAATATCTCCCATTTGGAACAGCTAGCTGTATTTACCCAATGCCTGTACCCGCATTTTATCTAGGAAGTAACTAGCTTGCTTTTGATTTTACAGGCTCATGGGTGGAAGGGATTTGCCTTGTCTCAGATGAGACTTTGGACTGTGGATTTTGGGATACTGCCGAAATGAGTTAAGACTTTGGTGGACTGTTGGGAAGGCATGATTGGTTTTGAAATGTGAGGACATGAGATTTGGAGGGGCCAGGGGCAGAATGATATGGTTTGGCTGTGTCCCCACCCAAATCTCAACTTGAATTGTATCTCCCAGAATTCCCATGTGTTGTGGGAGGGACCCAGGAAGAGGTAATTGAATCATGGGGCTCGGTCTTTCCCATTCTATTCTTGTGATAGTCAAAAAGTCTCACAAGATCTGATGTGTTTATCAGGGGTTTCCAGTTTTGCTTCCCCTCCTCATTTTCTTTTGCCGCCACCATGTTAGAAGAGCCTTTTGCCTCCTGCCATGATTCTGAGGCCTCCCCAGCCATGTGGAACTATAAGTCCAATTAAATCTCTTTTTCTTCCCAGTCTCAGGTGTGTCTTTATCAGCAGTGTGAAAATGGACTAATACAATGGATAAATTAAGGATGTTTTTCCTTGAAAAACAGAACCAAACACTTTCAACATAGTCCCATAGCTTTTCTGTGGGAATGAAGCATTGCCTCCATCTGCCTTGGAATGCTTTTGTTGAAGACTCCCTGGCCAGCCCACAAAAATGTGGGTCAGGTCACACTTCATGTAGATGTCACATTTTAGTCACTTTATCCATTTTTAGGTGCATAAGGTATGCCTGAAGAATGATTAGAAGGATTTATAATGAAATATAAACTCTGATGGTGCTTGATTTTTCCAAAGGCTATTACTTTAACACAGAAAAAAGTGATGGCCCTAACATCAGATTTATATATTCATAAATAAGTGGCAACAATTGTCTGAGTTTGGGAGGTAAGACATTTGTCAATCTGGGTAGCACTGTAGCAGGCAGGCTGGATGATCAAGTTCACTTAATAAATTACTTACCCAGCTGTGATGTGGAATAGTGGGAAATCTTCAGGAGTAACAAATTACTTACTTGTTTAATATTTCCAACACTAAATGGAAAGTGTGAGCATTTTAAGAAATAATTTTTATCATAATTAAAAACTTTTTTCACTTCTTTTTTTCTTTTTTTTTTTCATTGTTCTAATCAAGCGAGATTAATTTTCAATTAATTCTTTTTTTTTGAAACAAGGTCTCACTATGTTGTCCAGGCTGGTCTTGACCTCCTGGGCTCAAGCAATCCTCCTGCCTCAGCTTCCAAGTAGCTGGGACTACAGGTGCGTGCCATTGCACCTGACTCAAAACAATTTTTTAAAATGGAAATACATGCATTGAAATGTTAATAATGGCTGTCTCTGAATGAAAGACATGATTTTATTTTTTTCTTTTTTTGTGTCTTTAAAAATTTTCACACAGAGTACATACTTTCATGGAGTAAATGCAACTTAAAACCCTTGTTAATTATTCAAAATTAGCACAACACACAATCAGAAACATCACTCATAGCATGTGCATTATATTGATTTGTTTTATTTTATTTTATTTCATTTTTTTGAGACAGGGTCTCATTCTGTCTCCCAGCCTGGAGTGCAGTGGCACGATATCAGGTCACAGCAACCTCTGCCTCCCAGGCTGAAGCAATCTTCCCACCTCAGCCTCCTGAGTAGCTGGAACTACAGGCATGTGCCACCATGCCGGCTAATTTTTTTATTTTTTGTAGAGCTAGGGTTTCACCATGTTGCCCAGGCTTGTGATTTTGATGTCTATGATTATAGACTAATAGGAATAATTATTTCTAAACATCTGATTTACACATACAGAGAGGATTAGTATTTTTTTTTAAAAGTATATCTCAAAACACATATGCTCATTAATAGTTATGATTTCATTACCTTTCTGCTGAGTCTGCGTTTAAGTTCCATTTTTGCTTCTTGTTCCTCTTCTTCATTCTTTTCTGTTTATTAAAGGAGGAAAGTCGTGATGACAGTTACTATAGATGATTTCATATTCAGAAAAGTGTATCAGGCCACGATCATGTGACTCTAACAAATAATGATCAAACACACAACCAACATTGTTAAAAAGTTGTCAAAATATTTTGTAGGAAGGTTGATCATCTTACACACACACACACATACACACACACACACACACACACACACACACATGCTTTTTTTGTAGGACTGGTTTGCTTTACTAATTTTAAACGTTTTTGCTTCCTGATGTCTTGTTGTATTCTTAAAAAAACCACAGGAGTGCCCATATTCTAATGAAAGCCCTCTATTGCTGATCATTTCATGGGCTTATAAGCACAATTTACCAGAATTCAGATAAAAATTTACTTCTGGATCTGGCCTTCGTGTGAAAATCTGAGACATATTAAAAGAGCAAATTAGAACCATCCGATGCATGTCTGAGCTGCTGATTTCCACTCAAATCCAACCAAAATATTTGATTTGTCTTCCTTCGTTTCCATAGAAGCAGAATGTAAGCATTTCCTTGGACTTTGCTTTCAAACCAGAATGTTCTAAATGAGGTTATGATGTACTCTGGGTGGAAATTATTTATTTTCTTGTGACTTTGCCTTTCCAAAGTCTTCTCGTTCTCTAGTGATTCACCAAGTAGTACGATTTTATGCTGCCCAACAGATGGGATTTAAAGAAAAATGTCCAAAATTTTTAAAGAAATAAACACCCCTTCAGGTTTTGCTGGTTGTTGCTTACTTGAGGAACATCTCTCTGTTGCTTCGTTTAGCTGATCATCTGTTTGATCAGTGAGCATACATTTTGCTTCTTGGATACCGATGCTTATGAAAGATTATGTTTTAGAAAGTGCTATTATGAACTCTTTTGCAGGAAAATAACACCATATAAAGCCTTGACCAAAAGGTTGAAAAAGGAAAACTTCTTCTATTTGTTTATTTATTTTTATTTTTATTTTATTTTTTGAAACGGATTCTCGCTCTGTCACCCAGGCTAGAGTGCAGTGGCGCGATCTTGGCTCACCGCAACCTCCGCTTCCCGGGTTCAATTAAAAAAAATTTTTTTAATCCATGACAGGTATGAAATATATTTATTTTATAATTCAAATAGACTTCTTACAACTAAGATTATTTTTACTGTGAATAACATATCAGTATTCAATATTTGCAACAGCTGTATTTGTTAGTTGAACAGGCTAAATTCTCTATCAGTTTTCCTTCTCTGAACAGGGAAAAGTTTCTATGTTCTTCTGAAATAATAACTTTAATGCATAAGAAAGAAGGTGATTAGACAAAGAGTGGACATAAACTGTAATCATCCACAAGACAAGAAACAATGAGTTAATATCCTTTCATTTTGTGCCAGTCAAACAAATTTGGTTATAATTTAAATTTCTTCCTATGAAAGTACTCTAGGGTTTTAATTGCTTCACAAAATATATATCCTTTCATATCCTTAAAAATGCATACTTAGGTTCAAAGAATTACCTCATATGAGTTGGATAAAGCTTGTGGATTGTCAAAATACATAATAAACAAATGCCACACTGTGGTTCTTGTGATTTAAACCAGAGCTTTACAAGGTGACACGATAGTGAAAATAACATTGTTGATATTGTTGATAAAAAGTGATGATATTGTTAGTGATATTGATGACATTATTAATAAAAAGAAAAATATAATTCTGAGAACATTTTTGTCAATTCTTCCTATACAGTATTTATGCTATATTTTTAAGGTACTTTTCAAAGATTAAAAAATTGGATATAATACATCCCAAAGCTAACAAATGCTCCAGTCGTCATTAAATACGCAAAAATGATATTTCCTTGAAGGGAATATTTGAAAGTTTTGCCTTATTAAGCATATTGTTCAGCTAGTGCTACCAGGTAACAGTGATGTCTAAAAAGAGAAGGGCCAAATGCAGTTAGGGAATTGAATTCATTTTTGACATCAGAAACTGATTTCTTTAAGTTTTCCATGTTCAAAATTGTACTTTTAGTGAAGTTAGAGGACGAGGGTGAGAGGTAGAGGGAAGCCAACATGACTGTTCCTCTGAATCTTTACTTTCATCTTGTAGAGATGGGCTGTCCCTATGTAGTCCAAGCTTGTCTTGATCTCCAGGACTCAAGTGATCCTCCCGCCTCAGCATCCCAAGTAGCTGGGATTACCAGCATGAGCTACCATGACAGCTTCTCTGAATCTTATTAAACAGTCATTGTAAAATCTCTCATAGAGTCAAGTTTAAACCTTAAACTCAGTATTTGAAAATACACCAAGTTTTTTGTATGCTTCCTTCATTTTTTGATTCACTAGAGGACTAATTATAAAGTAGGATGCAAATCTTTCTGGTCAATTTAAACAGGCTGGTGGGATATGCATGAAGGAAGTGACGTGGTTCATTGACAAATCTTGCTCTCAGTGACTCTCATCAGAGCAGAGAGGGGCGAACATTTCGGACGACCCGCAAGAAGCATTTCCGATAAATAAACAAATAATACATGTGGTTAAACAGCAGCAAGCACCACAGGAAACCCGCCTAGCGAGCAATGTTACCCAGAGAATTTTGTGGATGAGCTAAAAGAAGAAAGAAAAGTATAAAAATACCAGCAATTGGAGTATTATCTTCTTGAGTTGTTAATTCAGATAAAATGGGTTCAAAAAGCCAAATTTTTTTGTGGATTTGTTTTTCTTTCTGCTTTTTACATGTTTCCATGTAGATGTTTTGTTTTTTCAATTTTTGGTGGAGATGAGATCTCACTATATTGCCCAGGCTGGTCTCAAACTCCTGGCATCAAGCAATTCTCCTGCCTTGGCCTCACAAGGCTTTGGGATTACAGGCATAAGCCACCTTACCTGGCCTCATATGGGTGTTTTTAGCAAATGAAAAAGACACACATAAACTTAAAGTGCATTAAAAAAAGCTGGATCAACAGATGCATAGATATGTCATAAAGCAAGATGTTAATGACAGACTATAGATGGTAGATATATGCGGATTTACTGTAAAATTCCTCCAACTTTTCTTCATGTTTAAAAATTTTCATAATAAAATGTTGGGGAAAAATATATGCAGAACTCAATGGCCTAATTCATTTTTCTCTATAGAAGACATGGCTAGAATTACATTCTCAGCTAAATACATCACCTTTCTTGATTAGCAAAAGTTGAACTTTTAAGTACCAAAAGTTGCTTTCTATTTTATCAGTTTTTAGGAACTGGTTCTAAAATGAATAACTAAATATAATATAATATAATATAATATAATATAATATAATATAATATAATATAAATACGTATATGTAATATGTCTTTTTAAAAAGCTCTAGTATCACCAAAATAATTAGGAAAGACATCAAGTAAGGACTGGCATGGTGAATTGACACTAAGAAATATAATTTGTCCTGTGGTCACCAATGAAAACTAATGACATTTATTGGCATCTGACTCATGTTTATTGAACTAGTGATGGGCTCTAAAAATTGTTGAATGTTTTATTCTGTGAATTAGTTTTCTAGTTTGCCAGAAAAGATGCCCTAGTTAGGGCCGGGCACGGTGGCTTACACCCGTAATCCCAGCACTTTGGGAGGCCAAGGTGGGCGAATCACGAAGTCAGGAGTTCGAGACCAGCCTGGCCAACATAGCAAAACTCCACCTCTACTAAAAATACAAAAATTAGCCAGGCATGGTGATGCGCACCTGTAGTCCCAGCTACTCGGGACGACTGAGGCAGGAAAATCACTTGAACCCAGGAGGCGGGGTTGCAGTGAGCCGAGATAGTGCCACTGCCCTCCAGCCTGGGCAACAGAGCAAGGCTCCGTCTCAGAAAAAAAAAAAAAAAAAGATGACCTAGTTAAAGTAAACGTCCTTAAAAACCACACTGTATCACATACTTTTCTACTGTTCTTGAACAAAAGCTGGAGATGAAACATACAAACAAACGAACAAGAGCAATCTATGTGGAAGAACCAAGACACAAACGGGCTGAGTAGAGTGTTTGTAAGTTAGGCCATTCAGTTTCCTGTGACTGCTCAGGGAAAGATGACCTCTCCCAGTTTTCTTCTGCCTCCCTTGGCTGTACAATAGTGGGTCAGGAAATCATAAGCCAGTTATCAGCCTCTCTAGGCTGGAAATATGCCTCTGTTTCCAGAAATAAATATGCTTAGGTGAACTTAGAAGGAAGGAAAAAAAGGGCTGGAGTCAAATCTGAAGTGTCTCACTCTTTCCCAAACCTCCAGGAAAATGGGATATAAAGGCCAATGCAGCACTTAAGATCAACACGCGGTAAGTTTCTAGATCTATGAAACAGTTCCTCAGATAACCAAACTCCATTGTGGTTTGGCACTATTTATCTCACAGGATCAAGAAAGAATTACCCAAAATGTGCTCTTCCCTTTTTCTTCTAGGTATTGGATCAGGCATCCAGTAAGACATAATCTCTGTGTTTTTTAGGAGCGTAGGGTCTGCATTTGAGCATGCTTAAAACTTAATTCAACAAGCATTTCCCAGGAACCTATCATGAAAAGCAATGAACCTTTTTGGTTTGTTTTGTGTCAAAATGAGATGCTGCTTCTACTCTTCCTCAGCAAAGCAAAAACACAAAATTTTCCTTCTTTTCTAGCCGTGAATTTTTCCTCCTCCAAATTGGCTCTTCTATACATTAGTAGCCACTTAAGTCCTTCCTGGAGCTGTATTCTAGTTATGTCAAAAAAAAAAAAGCCAGAAAAAAGCATTCCAAAGAAAGTGATCCCATAGACTGGGTGGATGGTAGTTCCTCTCACTGGATGGTAGTTCATTTTCATTGTTGAATTGATTTCGTACTAACAACTGTAATACAATATGCTACTAAAATCTTTCTTCCCTAAAGGAAAGAAAGTATCTTAGATTGGAGAAGAGGGGTCTTCTAGCAGGCCAAGATAACTCGAAAAGCCTGGCTGACAAGGATTTCCCCCACACCATGGGTCACTACCATTGCAGTACTAGCCGGAGTTTTACCCATCCCTGTTCTTTGATATTTCATACAATAAAAAGATCTTTTGAAACTGGGTTAACAATATATAAAACTACAGCTAGGCTCAATTTAAAAATATCCGTTTCTTAACTCACTGCAGTGCCTGTCCACACTGACACACAATAGCATGACAAACTGTATTTCTATTAGCTTTATAGCTTTAACATACTAACTCCAATAAATACTACTGCAGGGATGAGTAAAAACTAAAGTCAAAGAGAACAGAGGGAAAAACAGAATGGGAAAATAAAGTAGGAAAATGAATGGAGAACGTTTTAGTGCTGAGAAATTATAAACAACTCAAGAAGGAAGCCGAGTTATCATAACATAGGAAAATGCAATGGATTGAAAATTTTGTTTTGAATTGAGCCATTTGTTAAACTAGCAACAAACTGTATTGTTAATAATAATATAGGAATGTTTGATTTGTTTCCTTGTGGATTCTTTTGGCCTTTTCTTTGACATTTATTTGCGAGAAGACTAGAGCATTCTTTTTCTATTTAATATTTGGGTGAAAGAATACATGGAATATATTTCATCTTTCTTAAACACAATTGTCATGACCATGACTCTGCTCTAGGGGCGGGTATAAGGCTCAAAGCCATAAAATCAAATATCAAATTCAAGAAATTAAAAAAATATATAAACAATTACATATAAATGTGACATAAATGGACTATTTCAGTCCATCTTGAGTAAATGAATATATGATGGTTTCTTACTGATAAATCGATCATCTGTAGAGGCAGCTTGTTAGCGATTACACAAGGAATCATTCTATAGTATAGAATACTCACGTTTTAGGATGTTTCTTTGCTCTAATTCTTCAGTTGTGGGCCTCTGGCTCAGCCTCCTATGATGACAAAAAGGATATATTACAGGTTAAAAACAAGGTACCCTAGTAGGAGACTCAGAATAAAACAACAAAGCTCTATTTTTCATGTTTTGAGAAATAAAAATCCATTTTTAAAGCTGCAAAATAAAAGTCTCCTTCCCATTAGTTTGGAGACTACAGATCATGGCTGAGGCTGCTCACCGACCCCCATTACACAGTCTCCTTTCCTTTTAGCAACAGAGCGGCCTGGATGTTAGCTAGGTACCTGACTACAGACTTCTGCCTCCCTAGAAGCCAGGTATCGTGCTGTGACTGAGTTTCTGCAATGGGATGTGAGCAGAATGATGTTTGTTACTTCCCCTTCTCATCCTTAAAATGCCTGGGTGCATGCTCCCTTCTTTCTCTTTCCTTTTTCCACAGGCTAGAACTTCAGCATGATGGTGTGAGCCAGCTTTGATCATGCAGCTGAGACCATCTAGGGGATGGGAGAGCAGCAAGACAGAAGGAATGGGGCTGCCAGGCAGACTTCAAGGAGCCATGCTCCCACCATACTGGATCGCTCACCTACCTGGGGAGTGTCATGTGACAGTAATATTAAGATTACCTGGCCAGGCACAGCATCCTATTTTAGACCCTAATGAGCTATATATTAATTAGACTATAAGCTAAGCTGTAGCAGAGACCAAAAACTGCAGTGGTTCAAACCAGGTATGTGTGGGCCTACAGATCATGGCTGAGGCTGCTCACTGACCCCCATTACACAGTCTCCTTTCCTTCTAGCAACAGATCGGCCTGGATGTTAGCTAGGTACCTGACTACGGACTTCTGCCTGTGAATAGTTAAGTATTTAAAATGCGGTTGTTGCTATGCCGTGAACGCAATCTCCCTTTTTCATTGTATTTTCTTCTATGTAACAATGTTATATAAACATAATGTTGATTTTTATAGGTTAATCTTACATCAAGCAAACCTGCTGAAATCATTATATATAGCAATTTTGGGTCAGTTTTTAGAGCTTTCTAGGTATACAACCATGTATAATAACAGTATATCTTTCCTACAATTTATACCTTTTCTTCACCACAAATAATTGTGACCAGACTTTTAGCACAGTAAGGTTAAGGAATTTTTCTTTGCTTCTGTTTTTAAAGGAAATGACTTTAGGGTTTCTCCCTATAGTAAGATATTTAGTATATATTTTTTAAATTTATTTTTACATTTTTTTTGAGATGGAGTCTCACTCTGTTGCCCAGGCTGGTGTGCAGTGGTACAATCTCGGCTCACTGCAACCTCTGCCTCCAAAATTACTGCCTCAGCCTCCTGAGTAGCTGGGATTACAGGTGCCAGTCATCATAGCTGGCTAATATTTGTATTTTTAGTAGAAACGGTATTTCGCCATGTTGGCCAGGCCGGTCTTGAACTCCTGACCTCAGGTGATCTGCCTGCCTTGGCCTCCCAAAGTGCTGGGATTACAACTCCTCGTTTGTTTAGGATTTTAACAAAAACTTACAAAATTTTCTTTACTGCTACTTTGACATTTATTGAGGTGGGTATAGGATACTTCACACTTTTTTACTCCTTACTATGATAACACTATTATTATTTTATGCAAATATTATTCAATGATTTACATTCTTCTTCATAGTAAAACATAAACAAGAGTAATAAAACAATCAGAAAACCTAGAAGCATATACTCTCTTACATAGAGTAGAAAGTACAAAACAGGAGACAGTATACAAAAGAAAATTGGGCAGAGAGCCCAGGAGCGAAATTCTAATTCTGGTTCTGCTACTCAGTAACTGCATGTCTGTCCTTGAGACATTTCCTTAATCTCTCTGGGCCTCAGAGAGGCCCCTTGTTTTTCCTTGGTAAGATGGCAAGTTTAGAACTGTAGGTTTTTCCAGCTCGATACCATTAATCACGTTAGTCCCTCTTGCTTCTGCTGGCTTTTTCCCGAAGCCAGAAATGGTCACAGGTTAGGGCTGAATTAAGAAGACGAGAGCGAGAGAGACCACTGGTAAACATTCCCAAATTTCTTCCAGAGTCGCAAGAGGGTTTACAGAACAGAGAGACCCTCTAAGCCTCCCCCGAGGTTCCCTGGTAGGCTGTGCTTTTCCTTCAGATAGATGCCACAGCTGCTGTCTCTGACACCTTTCTGCACAACTCAGCTGTAAGGAGGTGCCTTAGGGGTTACTCTTCCTCTGGAGAAATGGTCAGCAGCCTCCATGCCAATCCTGCCTCCAGTTATACCACTTCCAAGCAAGGACAGCAATTTTCCCCCCACCTCCAAATCCTGCTCTGGGATTCTAGACAGTTCCTTTCTCCCAGTTATGCACCCTGTTGTGTATGCAGAGTAAGACAAGTCAGCAGAACAACTAATTCTTACATGTGCTTAAACTGATCATCAAAAATAAGACCTCTGGCATGAATGCTCACTTCTATTAAAACTGCCAGTTAAAGGGACTTGTAAAGTCACCAGTGGCAAAAGCAAAAATCCTATACAATGGTTGGAGGCAGGAAGAGATGTCAGATGATCCATTTACTTGAAGTTGGAAGAGGGATGTTCAGATATGAGGGTTAAGGCTACCTGACTTGGATGGAGGCAGACCATTGAAGGCAAATAATATTTCTGCAGTCTCACAGTCCACAGGGCAGAACCTCATGGCATTCCCAGGAATGCTAGTGAGTCCATAAATTAGGCCAGGATTGTTGAGCAAACTGTGATCTGCAGGCCAAATCCAGCTTTATGAATAAATAAAGTTTTATTGGAACATGGCCACACTCATTTGTTTATCTATTATTTATGGCTGCTTTTATGCTACAGCAGCGCAGTTGAGTAGCTGCAACAGAGACTGTCTGGCCAGCAAAGCCTGAAATGTTTGCCAACTGGTCTTTAAAAAAAAGTTTTTGACTCCTGGAATAGGCTTTGGTGACCTCAAAGCCACTGGCTAGCTGGGCCAAAGGACAGGTTCTTCGAGTGTTTCATCATGCAAGACCAACTTTAAAAGACCCAGTAGGCCAGATGTATCTGTACATAAGGAATTCACAATGACCCCAGTTAGGTAGGAAGCTTTGGGAGGGAGAAAAATACAAATTAGTCAGTACTGTCCTAAAATGTTAGCAATTACCTGACTAACTTGGTTCCAATTTGTTGTCGGATTTCCTGCCTCTCTTCTTCAGATGTACGCTGCAAGATGTTTTTGTCCTCTAGTTCTTTCTTAGATGGTCTGTTGCCAAGTTTGATAGCAAGAGTATCCCTCCGGCGTATTTTACTTGCCAAAGCACCTGAGGATTGAAAAAGAGCAGAAATGCAGAGAGAGAGGCTTTTAGCCAGTGGCACTCAGGTTACACATGGCATGGACTTTAAATAGAGCCCAGACCAAATTCTTTCTCCTCATGCAGGAGGAGAATCTTAATTAACCTAAGGAAAAAAAGACTTTGAGTTGGATGCAGTTCATTTTGAGAGGACTGAAGCGCTATTTCTTTTTAATGTTCTGAAAAATATTGGGACACCATGAAAAAACTTAGAAGTATCACTTCATCGTTTGGAAAGTGATAGCTGCAGTTTATTTTGCTGAGAGGGTGGATCATAGAAATGAATGATTGCACAATTCTGTTTCTTTTTCAAGTTTAAAAAACTTAGTTCTTTTGCTTTTATTCTGTACAGTTAATCCTTGTCTCCTCCTTTCCTCTACTCAGACGCCATCCTGGCAGAGTCTACCAATGTTTAACCCTTAATTACCCCAGAATCCTGAAAATTTCAACAAATGATAAGTAACACCACATGGATGATAATGGTTTTTTTTTTTTTTTGCTCCATGCAAATTAAAAGGGATTTGAAAAAGTGCCATTTAATCACTAATATAGTAATAACTTGCCATAATCTACAAATTCAGTCCACAGTGAATCCCTCCCATGTTATCCAGCACAAAGTTAAAAAAAAATAAAAGCACTTTCCATATCTCTAAGTTATATTAGGTTGATGCAAAAGTAATTGTGGTTTTTGCCATTATTTTTAATACATAAATGATATTATTATTTCCTAGAAGGCCTACTATCTTACTTATTGTGGAAGTATGATTTTTTTTAATGCTAGCAAGGTATTTAGCATTCTTTTTATTATTATTTTTTGAGATGGAGTCTCGCTCTGTCTCCCAGGCTGGAGTGCAGTGGCGCGATCTCAGCTCAGTGCAACTTCTGCCTCCTGGGTTCAAGCGATTCTCCTGCCTCAGCCTCCCGAGCAGCTGGAATTACAGGCGTGCGCTAGCATGCCCATCTGGATTTTGTATTTTTAGTAAAGATAGGGCTTCGCCATGTTGGCTAGGCTAGTCTCGAACTCCTGACCTCAAGGGATTCACCCACGTTAGCCTCCCAAAATTAGACATGAGCCACCGTGCCCAGCCTCTTAATGCTAATGAGGTATTTGGCATTCTTGACTCATTCCTCCTTCCCCTTTCTATAAACCCCAGTACAAAAGCGAGTGAAAATTTCAAACACCTCCAATGAGTAAGCCTATGAATCTGCACTGACTTTCTTTCTTCAACAACAGGCCCAGAGTGGAAGGGCTCTCTTTGGTCATAGTGAGAAAGGTCTCTGTTATTAGAAAGCTTTGATTCTCAGCACAAATACTAATATGCACATCTAGCACATCTAGCTCATCTAGCTCATCGACAAAGGCCAGATCCAGCCATGTGACATCATCTTCTGGAAAGGCCTCCCATCAAAAGCTAAACTTTAGGATATACACATTTCTAATTTGAGAAAGGAGGATGAGGGGAAAGAAAACATCAGATGTCTGGTTCCTAATGAGGCTTTTATTCTTTATAAACTGCAGCTGCTTCTGCTTATCACCCACGCTCCTCCCTGCCTCTTGAAAACAGTCTTACTTTCTCCACTGCCATCCTCATCTTCGTCTTCGTCCTCATCATCGGTGTACAAGATAGGCCCGTCCGAGTCAGAGTCATTGGCTTGGTATTCCCTGTGGCCTTCATCTTCTGAGGCACTAAAGGATTCTGAAGATTCGCCCATCAGCCCAGGAGTCAGTAGCTGAGGCACTGTCTTCCCCAGCTCCTCTTTGGTTGTGAAACTGTTAAAGGCAGAAAAGCATGGGAGTGATGTGAAGCTCAGAGCAACCCTTGGCGGCACTGACACTAAGAAAAAGAGCTCTAGTTTCATGGGCTTCCTTCAGGCTGAGGAAAGCAGACACTTGACATAGGCCAGGCTAAAGTCACTGAAATGAAACCTTAATTCTCAAGGTTTTACATTTTTCATCTGTAAAATGCAAACGCTTGGTATCTGATACATTTAGCAAACAAATAGGGTAAAACTACATTTTGCAAATTATTTTTTCCTTCAAGTGTCAGCTACAGCCTCAGCTCCTTCAGGAAGCTTTCATGGACCTTCAGTTTAATTCCTTGCCCCCACGTCTGTCCCATGGGGACCTGAAGACGATCCCGCTAGAGTGCTTAGCATACTACATCTTGACCACCCATTGCTTCTCTGCCTTCTCAATCCCACAAGTTCCTGGAAAAGTGAGACTCATTGTTTTGCATCACAGCACCCAGAAGGTAATGACGTAGAAAAGTACATCTTCTTTCATTAATATATGGCTGGGTTCGGTGGCTCACACCTGTAACTCCAGCACTTTGGAAGGCTGAAGTGGGAGAATCACTTGAGCCTAGGAGTTCAAGACCAGCCTGGGCAACATAGGGGACCTTGTCTCCACTAAAAATACAAAATATTAGCCAGCAGTGGTGGCCGGCACCTGTAGTCCCAACTACTCGGGAGGCTGAGGCAGGAGAATCGCTTGAACCCGGGAGGTGGAGGTTGCAGTGAGCCAAGATCGCGCCATTGCACTCCAGCCTGGGCAACAAGAGCAAAACTCCGTCTCAAAAATAAATAAATTAAATAAATACATAAATAAAATAAAATAAAATAAAATAATAAAAAATTAGCTGGGCATGGTGGCGCTTGCCTGTAGTCCCAGCTTGAGCCTGGGAAGGATTGCTTGAGCCTGGGAAATCGAGACTGCAGTGAGCCATGCTAGCACCACTGTACTCCAGCCTGGGTAACAGAGTGAGACCCTGTCTCAAAAAAATAAAAAAAAGCATATATATATATATATATATATATATATATATATATATATACACACATATATATATATATACATATATATATATATACATATATATATATACATATATATATATGTAAAGTACATATATGAATTAATCCTGCTTTTATCCCAATATGTAAATAGTAAAAACTCATTTATCCTATGTGTGTTTTCATTTTTAAAACTGCCTCTTGTAACATAACAGACAATGTGCAAGTTAAATACACTTTTTAGAAAAAAGGTAATATGACTCTAGCCTGGGTGACAGAGCGAGACTCCATCTCAAAAAAAAAAAAAAAAGAAAGAAAGAAAGAAAAAAGGTGATATGCAAGGAAGCAATAATTTTCTATTATTTAGCCTAGTAAAAGTCTATGATTTAAAGAGTTACTATTAATGTACAAAGATTGCCAATTTTCAAAGACTAGACTAAAAAATACATAGTAATTTACATAAAAACATCACATCAAAAATAATGTAATCTTCATTTTAAGACACAAAGATCCCCCAAATTGCTTTCTGGTAAAAAGTTCTTCCAGCAATAAACACAGATAAACTTTATCAGAATATGAGGTATTTAAAACCCTACTTCATAGTTATAAACCTGAGTGATCACTGTCAAAATTTTGTTTCTCACTTATCAGAAAAACCCAACAGACTATATTCTTGTTCTCAAACAGGGAAATAGGAAATCTCATTTTTATTGTGTAAAATATACATAACATAAAATTTGCCATTTTAACCAGTTTTAAGTGTACAGTTCACTGGCATTAGACACATTCACATTACCGTGTAACTACCACCACCAACCATCTTCAGAACTTTTTCGTCTTCCCAAATTGAAACTCTACCCATTAAACAACTCCCCATAACCATTATCTCCCAGCCATTGGCAACTACCATTCTACTTTTTGTCTCTATAATTTGACTATTCTAAGCACCTTCTCTAAGAGAAATTATACAATGTTTGTCTTTTTGTATGTAACATACTTCACTTAGCATAATGTCTTCAAGGTTCCTTCATTCATGTCGTAGCATGTGTGAGAATCTGCTTCCTTTTTAAGGCTGAATGATATTCCACTCTATGTATATAACACATTTTGTTTATCCATTCACCAATCAATACACATCTGTATGTTTTCACCTTTTGGCTATTGTGAATAATACTGCTTTGAGCACTGGTGTACAAATTCAAGTGCCTGCTTTCAATTATTTTGGCTATATACATGGAAGTAGAATTGCTGGATCACATGGTAATTCTATGTTTAATTTTTTGAAGAACCACCATACTGTTTTCCACAGTGTGAAATCTCATCTTAAATAAGAGAAGATCTATTTTTATAGGAAAAATTTTCCACAGTCTGGGTTTTTAGTTGATTGCCACTGGAAGCCATTCTTGTTTGAATTGGCTGCCATTATGGGTGATCACAGAATGTTTAAAATACATGCCAATTAATAATATGTTCTGAATAACAGAACAAATTTGAGAGATGAGTCCTTTATTTGTTGGTGTCATTGTTCACTAATTAATTATCATATTGATTATTATTCTAATCTTACTATTTGTATTTTGTTTCATGGTTTTCAAAGAGTCCAGCATACATCTACAATTTACAAGTATTCTATTGTATAAGGAGGGCAGATAACTTATAGTTCATGGAATCAAAGAAGACCATGAGTGAGTTGCCTAACCAAGGTAGCAAGTCTTGTCTAGAATCCAGACTGAAGACTCGGTCTACCTATTAAATTTTACATTTATTATACTATTATATTTTACACTTAATGAGTTATGTTATAAATTATATCTGATGTTAAATATATTCCAAATTTGTATTAATCAACTCATGACTTACCCCTCATTTTTCCCCCTCGGGTTCCTGGGCACACTGGACAATATAGTGCATTCTATACATGTTTGTGAAAATGAACTGTACAAAGTAGCCTTTTGGATATGGCCTCCAAATGGGCTTATTAGTTTTCACCTTATATTGTATCACACATATGTGTTACTGATGAAGCTGCCCATGAATGGAAGCCTACCAAATAATTAGTACCCTGCCATATGGGAAGAGAGGTAGGTATTTTTATACATAGCCACTTGTCTTCTTGAAAGTTTTGATATTTGTATTCCAAACAGAAGTCTCTTCATAAAATGACAAGATTTTCACACATTAGTTGATGAAACATAACTCAGAAGGAAAGTTCTAAGTAAAGAAAGTGACTAAGAGCCAGATATTCTAATCCAAATATCCACTTGAAAAAGGCAGAAGGAATTTGGAAGGAAATTTGAGAGACTACTTACTCCAGGTTCATTAATTCAAGAGCAAACACAAACCATCCCTGTAGGATGAACTGAAATTTAAATTTTGAAGAATATACAGAGAAGAAAATCCCTATGGCCTCTTCTAGGAAAGCATTATAACTACCTTGATGGACAGGAATATCTATTATAAATAGCCTCAATGGCTAATGATGTACTAAGCTCACTCCCTCTGATTATAGTCCCAGTAGGAATGAAGAACAGATGCTTACCTCTTTGGTCTGACAGTTCTTCATATACTTGAGATGAAGACTGATATTAAGCCCTTAGTATGTTGTGTGTTGTTTAGCACAATAAAATGAACTCCTTAAATATTTGTGGAAATGAACGGGATAGAGTCAGGCCACCTTTGGATATGAGCTCTCTGAGTGTTTAAGACTATATCAGGAAACACTTTACATGTTGCACCTTATTCTTTAGTATATTGAACAATAATCCCGTATACCCAATCTAGTTCCCAAAATTCAGATGTTACCTTAAACATTATACTTCCTGGGCACATCAGACAATATTTTGGTAAAAGCTAGTCTTAACTATATTGCCTTGCTCACTTTTGTATCCTTGGTGCTTAGTACATTGCCCAGCACAGAAAAGGCAATCAAAAAATATATGCTGTAAGAATGAATGTTCAGTTCTAATGGTTGGAAGTGATGGCAATGTTGGAAAATACTCACTATAGTTAAATGAAGACATTTGCTGTGTGCTGGAAGTATTAAGAATGCTCCTAGGGTTTGAATGTGTCCCTCAGAATTCATGGGTTAAAATTTAATCCTAGCTGGGTATGGTGGCTCACGCCTGTAGTCCCAGCACTTTGGAAGGCTGAGGCAGGCGGATCACAAGGTCAAGAGTTCAAGACCAGCTTGGCCTATATGGTGAAACCCCATCTCTACTAAAAATACAAAAATTAGCCAGGCGTGGTGGCAGGCACCCGTAGTTCCAGTTACTGGGGAGGCTGAGGCAGGAGAATTGCTTGAACCTGGGAGGCAGAGGTTGAGGTGAGCCGAGATCATGCCACTGTACTCCAGCCTGGGTGACAGTGCAAGATTCTGTCTCAAAAAACAAAACAAAACAAAACAAAAACCTTCATCCTCAGTGTGAAAGTGTTGAGAGGTAGGGCCTAGTGGGAGGTGTTTAAGTCATGAAGGCTCTGCCCTCGTGAATAGATTAATGCCATTTTCAAAAGGGCTCACAGGGGTAGGTTCACTCTGTTGTGCTCTCTGCCCTTCCACCTTCCACCATGTGATGACATGGAAAGAAGATCCTTGCCAAATGCTGCTGCCTTGATCTTGGACTTCTCAGCCCCTAGGACTGTAAGCCAATATTCTAATCATTATAAATTACCCAGTCTCAGGTACTCTATTACAGCAGCACAAAATGTCCTAAGAAAGACACCATAACCGTTCATTTCAATAAATCTTCTTTTCCCATATCTTTTATTAAAATGTCAAACAAAGAAAATAAATTAATTTGTAATTTGACATTTATTTTTTCTTGGCTGTCCTTCAAATATTGGTGCTCAAAATGACTTAAAAAAACCCAAAGAAACTAACAGAAGAGAAATGGCAGTAGAAGTAGAAGCCACTGCTTTGGAAAACATGAAATTATTCATTCAGAGCATGGAATTGGGTATGCATTCTGGCTTCACCACCACCAACTGGGCAGTCTGGTGCAAACTATTTTAGCTCTCTCAGTGCCAGTTTTCTTATCTATAAAACAGGGATACTTTTGGGAAGACTTGTGTAAATAAAATGATAATACATGTACAGTGCTTAGTTCCTGACACTAAATGAGTATTCAATAAATAAAGGTTATTATCATTAGCAATTAAAGAATTAAAGTTGATATTTTAGTTTCTTGACCAAAACCAACCTAATTAATGTAATAATTTTTTTTAAGTCTAACATGACAGATTGTTTTGAAAGAGAACCTTTTACATGATTTGAACAATGAATACAGGTTTTGTTCTTAGACTCAGGAGCAAAAAGCCAGGATGCAAGAGCTCTAAGCCTTTGCCAGACAGAATTTATCATTGCGTCTACTATACTCTGACAGCCATCCATCCCTTCATACTCGTGAGACAGGGCTAATATGTTTTATTTACCTGTAAGTAGAATATTTATAGGACTTTGTGAGTGATGAAATGCAAAGAATGAAAGAGAATGAGGACCCTTGGATGAACCCCAGGTTTCCAGCTTGGGCAACTGGGTGGTGGTAAAGCAACTAACCCACCAACTGGATGAGGGTGAGGTAACATTGAGTTCCTTGGCCCATTTTGTTCAGGTACCTTCTTAAATGAAACTAAGACTACTTGAGCACTATCTTTTATCTTCCATTATACTCTACAAAATCTAGCAATAGGGTCATCTTATCTTCAATGCTGCTTCCGCAATGTTAAAGTAGGCTGACTTTATCTATAACCATCTTAAATCCCTTTTTTATTTTCTTTCAACAATTCAATGAGCATCCTTTGTGTGCCTATGGCATATCAGACTCTGGAGTGGTTGCTGGGCACACAGAGGTGTCTTATGTAAGACATGTTGGCTAATTCTGTCCCACAGGGTTAAGTATAGTAGACACAATAACCAATTCTGTCTAGAAGTACTGAATGGCTTCACAGAGGACATAACATTTAAGCTGGGTGGGAATTTAAAGGAACAAGAAAGGGGACAACTCTACTGATGGAGAAAAAAGAGTTCAAATTTGAGAGTTCTCTTCTGATCTTCTTTATGTTCTTGGTGAAGGGGAAGGCTCAGTAACTTGCTGACATGAGTAGGTAAGCACAATGGTAAAGTAAAGATTTAAAATAAGCACTGAAAGGAAAGAGAAGGGAACTGTGGACTGCTGAGCAGTGCTGAAGCAGGTTCTAAGTGTACTTGAAAACATTGATCTCAAGTGGTATTTGTCAGCTCTACCAATGTAATTTTCTCCAGCAGCCCTAGGCATTCCCAGGGCAGGGCTCTGACAAAGCAATGGTTGGATCACATGTATGCCTACCTAACACTCAGTAGATTAAATTATATAAGAAAGCAAACCCGGTGCTTCATTTCCAACAGAATATATTAGTGATCTTTAGTTCTCAGATAAAATAGGGGGTTTGTTCCCCAACTCACCATTTTGCATTTTCTCTGTTAACACTTAAGCCAGTGCCTGAGTAGAGAGTGGTTCTGTTCGTCGGCTCTTCAGCCCAAAGAAGCTGACTTGGGTCTAAGGCAGAGACGGGCAGGTCAGCTCCAACGCTGACGAGGACAACTGGAGTGTCTGAGGCAGTAATGCACTGATCCTCAAGAGGGAGAGGGGGGGCCAGAGGAGAAGGTGCTGGAGCCACAGGGGGTGGAGGGACCATGGACTTGAATTTGCCTGTGTTCTGCTCCTCAGCTCCAGGGACAGTCTGTTCGAGTTTGAAACTCTCCACTCTGGTCTCTGCAGGCTCTCCTTTCAGGTCGGATGTGCCAGAAGTTGTTGTGTCTGAGGACAGGTGAGAAGTTATTGGCTGCTTGTCAGTTTTTCTCTTGCCCTTGGTGGTCCCCACTGTCCCTGCTTTGCTAGAAACTGTCTCCTTTGAAGCTTTGGGACGAGATGAGGTGGATGAAGTGGATGGCGAAGCTGATGCTTTAGAGCCAGTTGTTTTTTTTGAATGAGAGGAGCCAGCTACAATAGAGAGACCTTGCATTAAAAAATCAAAGAATACAATGCTTTTTAAAATAAAGTAACCAAGGTGTAACTGTCAACAACATTTAAAATGTTCCCTTTAAAGTTTGTTGAATAAATGTATAAGAGAAAATAGGCTAATCATGATAATAGTCTTGTCTTCTGCCCCTCCCTTCCTCCAATCCAGCAAGGAGCAAGTGATATTTACGGCAAAACTCAGAGGAACAAGAGTCCTCTGTCTTCTCTCACTTTAGTCTTTAGCTGAGCCAGCCAAAGGGAGAATCTTCTGCCCCTTGTCTATGGTTCACTTGAAAAAAGCCCGGTATGCTCTCAAGAAGGAATGTTATGGTGCGTAAAGGACAGACATCAGCAGCTAGCTGGGTGTAGCACACAATTAGGCTCATCATAAATTATACATGTTCTATGCTGTCTTTCTAGGAATAGAGTGGTGGCCTGTATTCAGAAGAGACTGGGGTATATATCCAGCTTCTTTCTGGGTCAAAAACAAAATCACTCATCTTACTGCTAAAAGAGAAAATCCACACCAGCTTTCCAGTAGCTCCAGAGAAGAAAGCTCGCCATGCTGGACTCTACTTCCATCTGCAGTAGAGATGGGGTAAAGGGAAAACCCATGGCCACACAGGAAAGGTACACTCCCTTCAAAGCATCAAAAGGCCAGAAAAAAACTTGTTGTTTACAAAACCTATTTACATGGGTTGCTCCTTTTTTTTTTTTTTTTTGAGACAAGGTCTTGTTCTGTCGCCCAGGCTGGAATGCAGTGGTGCAATATCGGCTCACTATAACTTCTGCCTCCTGGGCTCAAGTGATCCTCCTGCCTTAGCCTCCTGAGTAGCTGGGACTACAGGTGTGTACCACCATGCCTGGCTAACTTTAATGTATTTTTGTTGAGACAGGGTTTTGTCATGTTGCCCAGGCTGGTCTTGAACTCCTGGGCTCAAGGGATTCACCCATCTCAGCCTCCCAAAGTGAGAGGCTTTGGTGGCTCCAAAGAATTACAGGTGTGAGCCACCGTGTCTGGTTCTAAATAATGTGAATGGAAAGGATATCATTCTCAGGTCTTCTGACTCCACCTTCGCAAATGTGATCTTCCTTAATGCTTAAGTTCCAAGAAGGTCTTCATCGAAGGATAGCTATGGTATATTTGCCTACTTCCGGATAGGGCACCCTCAATCAAAACAGTTTCAAAACAAAAAGATTAACTACTTTTTTCTTTATGTCATCTTAGTAAATATATGATGATAAAATAAACTCCTATGAGAATACTCTTTTCTTTCATGACCTATAAATTTATCCTAATGGCTTCTTCTGTTATAATGTTGTTATGCTCCTTCTCTTCATGAAGGGTTCAACTATCTTTCACAGAACGATTAGAAAACATCTTGTTAGCATTGTGAAGCCAATCCACACTGTATACAGATGTTATTATAACTTACCTCCAGTTATGACTTTATTGAAGTCAATTGGGAGGGTGAAGAGATGAAGAATAAATGAAAGAATAGACAATGAGATGTAAGACTTCATTTATTCTGATTAGACTGATACTAAAGAAGCCAGTCTTATTTAGTGACAGGTTCCAGGCTTAAAAGGAATCCCTATGGTTTTGGGGTCTTTATCGTTTAAGATATACATAACTAGAATTCTTCTTCCCCAAATCTAGACCTGTTACTTTATAGAAAACAACCTTCCCTAGCCTAGAAGTCAAACTCATTAAGCACACTCCTTCAATCTAAGTCCAGTCTACATTTACTTTTCACAACAAAGACGCTAAGGATTCGGTGCCTAACCATGTTCAATTATTTTCTTAGCTAAGTTAAACAGAATCCTTTCCACATAACAATTCTAATAATTTGTTAAAGAAAATTCTTTTTTTTTGTTTTTTTTGAGACAGAGTCTCCCTCTGTCACCCAGACTGGAGTGCAGTGGCACAATCTTGGCTCACTGCAACCTCTGCCTCCCGGGTTCAAGTGATTCTCCTGCCTCAGTCTCCCAAATAGTTGGGATTACAGGTGCCCACCACCACGCCTGGGTAATTTTTGTATTTTTAGTAGAGATGGGGTTTCACCATGTTGTACAGGCTGGTCTCGAACTCTTGACCTCAGGTGATCCACCTGCCTCGGCCTCCCAAAGTGCTGGGATTACAGGTGTGAGTCACAATGCCTGGCCAATAAAATTCTTTCATCATTAACAGAAAAGTTAATTTTAGTTTGGCTTGAGGAAAAAGATACATTTTTTTTCACTGCCCAGAGTGCAAATTCAAGCCACATTATAGTTTTTCTTAAAGAATCTTCTTAAATAACAGGTCTTTGTTGAAATCAAACATGTTGCTTAAGTTACCTTCAATTAAGGGCATGATAAAAAAAAATGTCGCCTCTCCTCAGTTAAGTACTTTTGTTGTTAATAATGTGTAACAATGAGAAACAAAAATCAAGGAGATTTAACCCGATTTCTCTGGCAAAGAAGCTGAATGTTCTAAAACCGATACCTAGGTAGCTACAGGTCTACACTAACTTAGTAATAGAGAAAGAATCTTAACTTATGGTTGTTTTAACAACTTAAATCACTGGGCTGAACATCAAGAGTAGCATTTGAACAAACTTTTCTAGAAGGTCCATATTATTCAAATAAAACAAAGTTACTATGCAGAAAGTTCTAAACGGTTACAAATGGACTATCAGTAGGATCATAAAGGGATATTATCAATATTTGATAAAACGATTCTTACATGATGGGCTTGTTGGTGTACTTAAGTGCAACCCCTGTTTTCTCTGTGATAGCCTCTGGAAAAGTCAGGCCTTTTACAATACAATGAATAAAATGACTGTACTATTCTCTTAGGAGCATCATGAGTGCCTAAATAAATCTTCAAGCAAAATATCTGGAAAAACCTCAAAATCGTTTATGAAAGCTGTCCCCTGACCTGGTGTTAATCATCGGCTTTCTTCTGAGGGAAGTAAAGAGAGTCCAAGCTGAGTTCAGAGTGAGCCACTACCACGTGGAGAATGGGAAAGTGGAGAAGTTAGTGCAAGACAGGAGCTTAATTCCCAATGACAGAGTGATCATTTGGGGCTGTTCTTTAAGAAGAAGATCAGTGCCTCCCTCACTTTAAGCAGTGCTTCTAGGGTTTTCTAGGAAGTCTAGAAAACACACACAGATCCCAACAAGAATGGACACTGATGGGTGAGGACAGCTGCTCCCTGAGGAGATGGCCACTGGGCACTGTTGGCACATCATTCTGGGAAATTTCAGTTTAGAGCTTATTAGAAGAGACCCAGACACTAAAGGTCAAAGGCGGGACATGAGGAGCACAGGGAGAGGGATGTCTATTGGCATTCAGAGATCTGTTATACTGTCAACTAAACCGCTCTCTGAATTTGAGCATTATGGTCATACATTATGAGAGGAAAAAGATCAACACCAAGGCAAATCCTGACAGTCAACTGCTAGAAAGTTGCTGTTGATTTTAAGGAAAATAGATTTTTTTTTTTTGAGATGGAGTCTCATTCTGTCGCCCAGGCTGGAGTGCAGTGGCGCGATCTCAGCTCACCGCAACTTCTGCCTCCTGGGTTCAAGCGATTTTCCTGCCTCAGCCTCCTGAGTAGCTGGGATTAGAGGTGCACGCCACGACGCCTGGCTAATTCTTGTATTTTTAGCAGAGACAGGGTTTCACCATGTTGACCAGGTTGGTCTCGAACTCCTGACCTCAAGTGATCGATCCGCATCAGCCTCCCAAAGTGCTGGGATTACGGGTGTGAGCCACTGGGCCTGGCCTGATTAATGTCCTTTTAAAAGATAAATGACATGGTAGGCATCTTTCTTCCTCTTCACTAAAAAAATGGGAGTTTCCACTTTGCATCAAGCATATCTGATTGTAAAGCAAAGCTGGATACATATTGCATGAGTTATTGCAGGTCACTCAAACATCCACTGGTGATTTATAATAGTAACTTATAACCACATGACACCAGGATGTTTTGCCTTAGAACACACAAGTCTACAGGGGAGGTGTGGAACACTGAGAGTGTAACTTTCCACTCCACTGAAATAGTTTTCACTGCAGTAGAAAGTGGTGGGGTGGAGCTGAAACAAGTGACATGAACCCTTTGTCATTTATCAGAAGGGAGATGACTATGGATGCTGAGGATTTAACACATTAACATCCAGTAAATATATCAAAGTTATAATTGTCACATTTTTATATGCAAACCTTAGATATTTTGAAAGAAAATCCAAGCCAAAAAGCCACCCATAGGCTCATATAGGTAGAAGGTCAGTCAATGTCTAAATAATGTTATATCAGATCATTGTCATTCATCAGGCATACTACTCCCAGTATCCTTCAACTGGTGCTGATAGTGGATACTCAAGATGAAACCAGTATATTCACTCAAAAACTAATGAGGTGAACTATTCAATGGGTTGAATTTCCTTTGGTAGAGAGCAACAAAGGAATCTCCTGGGCATTCTTTGTGTCAAAGCTGAACCTGCTGGTGTAATGTCCTAAGACACCAAAAGCCCATCACACCTAGAAGAAACAATTAGCCCCATCCCAGAGCCAAGCACCCTAGAAGTGACCCCACAGGGCACTGGGGGCATACTCACCAGCCTCTCGGGTCGTGTTTCGGCTTGCTGGCTTGGGTGGAGGGACGGGGGCCTGCTTACCAGGAGCCTTGGTATTTTTTTTAATGGGAGGCACTTCATCACCTTTGTGGCTGGCCCCAGCAGTGGCCCCTTTCGGAGGCACAGGTGATTTTTTGGGTTTAGGTTTGGGTCTAGGCTTAGGAGGAGCAGAAGGAGGTAGAGCAGGAGCTGCCGGTGTTTCAGAGTGGTTTTCAGTGTTCTCTATAAACGAGAAAGTGAACAGAAGCAGACTGATACAGACACACACCATATAAACACAAGGAGCAAGACATGACGATAGTGACACAAAGCGTGTCTGCTTGGTACTTGAGAATCAGCATGGAGTTCTGCACCAGACAGAGCACAGTTTAGGGTGAAAACAAAGGCTGAAAGACAAACTGAGAAGTGTTCTCAGGGTACACGAATCACCCTTTAATAAAACCGGGTTATACAAACTACTTTGACGAAATTAGGTTGAGGATGTGTGTAAATGTTTGCAGTCAGGGGCCTCAGTTCCAGCCTTGGATCTGGGGTTGCTGGATGATGATGTGGGCATGAAGTGCTACATTTAAATTGAACAAACAATGATTTAACAAAGTTGAAGGCTCCTGGAGAGTGGCAGATGAACACGTTACAGTCACTGCTGTGGGGTGAGGAATGACAGCTACAGCAACTGCTGGACTCATGGTTACCCTTGAGAACTCAAGCCTGATCCATCTGAAAGGGATCTGTGTTCAGCCTCGCTGTGATCAAAACCCAATTATTTTGTAAGCTAAGAGAGACTCTGGAGAATCTTTTACATGAGGCAACAATGCGCTTTAGAATGAATCATCTTCTACTAGCAAAATTTTCTAAAGCTTTCCCAGTACATTGGCAGCTTCCTGTTCTAAAATAACTTCCTCTGCCCTTTCCTTCCTTCCTTTTCTTTTCTTTTTTTTTTTTTGTATGTGTGTGCATGAAAGAAAATCTTAAAAAAAAAATTTTTTTTTTTTTTCAGATAGGGTCTCGCTCTCTCACTCAGGCTAGAGTGCAGTGGTATGATCACGGCTCACTGCAGCCTCTAACCTCAGCCTCCTGTGTAGCTGAGACCACAGGTGTTTGCCACCACGCCCAGCTAATTTTTGAATGTTTTGTAGAGATGGGGTTTTGCCACATTGCCCAGGCTGGTCTTGAACTCCTGGGCTCAAGCAATTTGCCTGCCTTGGCCTCCCAAAGTGCCGGGATTACAGGCATGAGCCACCATGCCTGGCCTTTTCAAATACTGTCACAACTATAGGTACATCTAGATGGTGCCGAATCGAAGAAATACTTAGGTCTATTTTGTAATGTAAACCAAATAATTATTTTGGAAAGACAAAGGCTAAAATTCATCCAAAACTCATACCTAAGAATAGCAGCTTCTCACAAGGTTTTGTGTAACCGGAGGAGAAAGAGTATTAGTCTCTTGTTACTGAAAGACAGATGAGATGCTGAAAGTTCATTCATATATTCACATCTGTATTCTTTCTAATAGTGGCTGATGAGAATTAAACTAAAATACCATTCTAGTCCAAAAAGCTAAGCAGCATTTCTTTAAAAATGGGGCACAATAAAAACCTTGAGACAGTGTTAAGACAAGATCGAGCCTTAACCAAGGCTCCCATAATTGAATGCTCTAGAAAGGGTTTTAATATTGGAATATACTGCATTTTATTATTATTTATATTATTTTGTTTCTTATCCTAATGAGTGTGAAGTATAGAATTCTCTTTTAACCACATTCCCCATCAATCCACATATATAATTAGCATAGATGACTTCAGTTACAATAGGTAATCAATAAAGCTTTACTTTTAAAGTTCACCTTTGATCCTGCCTCAGCCACAAAATCCTCTTCTGTCACTGTGGCCCAAGTTGACCCTTCTATCTCTGAACTTACTTGGGCTTATTGTGTGAGCCACTTACTCAACATTTATCAGAAGCTATTTTGTATTTTTGCCTTTCTGTTTATATATCTTGTCTCCTCAACTAAGCTGAGTATCATGTATACTAATAGTAATGGCCCTCTTAACTCAGCCAGTCTTAACCAGGCAAGTAAATCACAAAAGTCAGTTAGGTTTGAGAATGATACAAGTTGATACACACCTATAAAATTTAATTTTAACTTAAAATATATAAATATACATTAATTTCCCAGTCTTCTGACATATGGTTGAAGTCTATTCTTTAAATACATCTTTGTAACTTTAGCCCCCAGTATAATACCATGAAGTATGGAGACTAAGCCCAATAGTGTCATCCATAGTGAAAGTCAAACTGATCTGTAACACATGTCACCTTAATTCTCTTATATACCACAAACTCTACACATGTTTTATCCTCTCCCTTAATAGCATGTCACTGAGGGATGTTTTTCCTTTCTGCCTAAGGCTTAAAATTCTAAAGGTATACCGGAAAGAATCCAGCTTCTGGGTTTGGGAAGGAGGAGATAGTTCACCAGATTGGTTGGCAATGACAAGACCTACTAGGGAGAAAATGAACACACTGCAAACAGACTTTCTCCTGGCTCCTTAGAGAATACGTCCGCTCCTCTTGACTCTTCGAACGCTACCAACTATGTGTGAACATTTGTCATTCTGGTAATTCTTAAGTTATGTGTGTGTGTGTGTGTGTGTGTGTGCGCGCACGTGTGCATGCACACACACGCAGGGACATATGAGTATGCAAATAGTATAATTTTTTGACTGAATTATAAACTCCTTTTGTCTGAAATTTAAAATTCCATCGAACACAATGCTGTAAACACTATGTCTATTCAACGAATGGGACTGACTGTCTAATAGTTATTGACACACACATCAGTAGAAAACAGAGCTTTAGTTGGAGCTGGGAGGTAATGAATTATGTCAAGTTGTATATTTTACACTTACCATGTGATCTGAAGACATGATATAAACTGATGGCATATAGGAGTATTATCACTTCAAGAGAAGGTTGAGAAAGGGCTGCCTCGTCATTCTGGCTTGATAAGGACGCTAGCCTTTCCAGCAATGCGGTCTGGAAAACAAGCTGTTTCCCATACTTCCAGGCTTGGCTCCTTTGAGCCCTGGAAGGTTTGAGGTCAACGATACTTAGAACAAGCCTGGGGCTGCATGTGGTCCTCACCCTGCCTAGAATGCAATTCTTACCCAATTCCTCTGCTTCACTTGATGACCTCCTTCTTGTTTCCTTCATGTCTTAGTTCATAAATATCTTCCTCTGAGAACCAATGTTGGCCCTCACTGTGAGCTCCCTTGGGTTGCTGTGCTCAGGCCTTCTACGGTACTTCGCATCTTGCACTACAATTGCCCGTTTGCATTCTGGTCTCCTCACAGGTCATGCTCTTAAGGCAAAGGCCATTTTTCATTTACTACTCTTTTCCTGGCCCCTAGTAGAGTCTCACCTATGGTAGACTTTCATTATTTGTGGAACAAATAAGTGTTCATCACTTGTTATTTCATTGAAGATTTTAAAATAATAACTTAATAAAAATAATGTCAAGCAAGATTTCTTAGAATTCTTATAAAATCTTATTATTTAAAATTATTATTATTTTCTTTTTTTGAGACTGGCTGTCACCCAGGCTGGAGTGCAATGGTGCCTGAACTCAGCTCACTACAACCTCCACCTCCCAGGTTCAAGCAATTCTCCCTGCCTCAGCTTCCCAGTAGCTGGGATTACAGGTGCCCACCACCACACCCAGCTATTTTTGTATTTTTAGTAGAGATGGGGCTTTGCCCTGTTGGCCAGGCTGGTATCGAACTCCTGACCTCAGCTGATCTGCCCGCCTTGGCCTCTCAAAGTGCTGAGATTACAGGCGTGAGCCATAAGATTTCTTATATTTAATACTAAGCTTTGTTTAACAGGGAGCAAGTGAGTTTTTCTGCTCTTTTTTTTTTTTTTTTTGAGACGGAGTCTCGCTCTGTCGCCCAGGCTGGAGTGCAGTGGTGCGATCTCGGCTCACTGCAAGCTCCGCCTCCCGGGTTCACGCCATTCTCCTGCCTCAGCCTCCCGAGTAGCTGGGACTACAGGCGCCCGCCACCACGCCCGGCTAATTTTTTTTTTGTATTTTTAGTAGAGACGGGGTTTCACCGTGTTAGCCAGGATGGTCTCGATCTCCTGACCTCGTGATCCGCCCGCCTCGGCCTCCCAAAGTGCTGGGATTACAGGCGTGAGCCACGGCGCCCGGCCTTTTCTGCTCTTATATATATAAAGGCACTTACTGAGAAAGAATAATGGGAGACCAAGAGCCCCAAAGACCTTAAGGAAGAAGTCTCTAGTATTAGGCAGAGGAGGCCCAAGACCACTGTACCAACTGCAGAATCAGGTGCCTTCAGGAGCCCCAGAAATGCCCAGGGGGCCTGGGTGGAATCTACTCACAGAGCAAGTGTGAAGGACACCACGTGCCATTTGTTTTGCTTTCTTTGACGGTGATGTTTCAAATATTAAAGTATTGAGATATTGTCTTATGAAGAGATATAATACACATCTAGGGCTCTAAAGGCAGATGATATGGTTTGGCAAATATAACCAAATAGATGACAGAATGCTCTTGAATAAGTTGGCTTCATGCAGGAGGAAAGGGAGCACTGTATCCCAAAATAAAGGGTGAATTAAGATCATGGGATGGTGGGGTTTGCACGGCAGTGAGCTCACACAAGCAGTGAGACCAGAAGAGGAGCAGAGGCAAAAGTGAAGCTTGAGTTGGTCTTCAGAATGAAAAATGTTTTTCTAGAGAAATAAATTGTTACCTTTGTCATAAGGCATTTTCTAATTAACATAATACACTGTAATATTAGTTATGCGTGACATTCTTTTCAGTCTCACGAAGTGGCTTCTATACCTAGCGCTTCTCCTTGTGGCTTTGGTGTGTGCACTTTCCACACAGGAGACAGCCGCACTGCCTCTTTAGTGGTATGTCAGCATCCAGCACTCCCAGCTCCTTCCTCATGTACCTACTAGCCAAGCAACAGGCTCTCTTGGACCTTATCAGATAAGGAAGAATTGAATGTACTAATTCTAAGCAAAGAAAAACATCTCTCAACTATTCATGGACCCATAAGGTCTGCTATCTTCTTTCAAGAACATCAAGGTCTGTTGGTTAATTCATATAAAACTGTCAGGAACTTTTTATTATGTTGATAAGGGAAACACTTCCTTTGATGTCTGGCCAGTCCAGTGACGAATACCCTGCACGGACCAGGCACCAGAGATGGCACTGTTACGTAATGCAGGATGCGATTCTTGGATGTGAGAAGGCTGCCAGGGACAAACCACAGATGGATTTGAAATTCAACAGTCTGGCGAGACAGGACAGAAAGACTTAAACAAAAAACATCACTACTTGCGTTAATACTTTCAACTGAATCCCACTAAAATTTATTTAAGTCTACTTTCTTTTTATGTTCCAGGAATATTATCATTGAAAGTATTAGTTAATTTCATAATTTGTGTACATAAGCTTAACCAGAGTCCTTCAATGGAACAAGGCTAGATAAAGCCCTTGAAATAAAGCAAAATAATACATTTCCAACAGATTATTTACACAGGCTTCTAAAACTTTTAAAGGCTAATATATATGCAAATAATGAACGGTTATGAACTTCCACAGAGGATGATTTTAAGTTACAATGGTGTGTTTAATAGGGCCATCAAATAATCTTTTTTCCCTTTCGCTCTCAAGGATCTGGGTCAAGAACAGAGGAAGAGAATTCACTTTCATCAGTTTCTAAGAGTTCAAAATGCCCACAGAACACACACTAGGTTTGACAAAATTTTACCATTCAACTTAGAGACAGACATTATAAAATAGGAAATAGTATATTTCCTAAAGATTCCTTTCTATGCTGCATGGAGGCATCTAGAATCTCCCCACAAAACCTTTCCTTTTAGAAGTTTCATTTCATGTTTGGAGGTTCCTACGCATCACAGCAGTGGTATCGAGATGTCATCAATCCATAACTAGGAATTTGTGAATGTTCTGGGAGTCCCTGATAGACATGTATTTTGCAGGTATCTCAATCTACTGTAGCATATTCACTCTAGGAACCAAGGTCTCTAAAGAAGTCTTCTGGGAATAGCATAATCGCCTCTGGCACATTTTGAAGTTTCCAATTGCACAGAGGCTGTGGGAATCAGCCAGCAGAGCAACCACAGTCCGTGGCATCTCTGGGAGCTATTCCTGGGTCTCTCTCAGAAACGTCTGGAACCTATGATGCTGGATATGTGGATGCCACCTGCCAAGTTCCCACTGCTGGAGACAGTGCTGGGCTGAACAAGCCATGTGGGTTTTGATATTCCTCCATGCTGAACTGCTCACGGGTCCAATTGTAACCAGCAGAGAAAGATGTTCAGATTTCTCACTTTCATTATGATCCTGAGACAAAGCTCCTAAGAAAGGATAATCTTCCCAGACATCTCTAATGATTAAAGAGGCCACCCCTTCTGATTATTACTTTTAATTAACATTTTTAATAATTGAAAAAACAAATACTGTGCTTATAAAATGGATGCATCTACCTGAGAAAATCATCCGATTTCACTTTACTAGTTATCATTTCTTTCTTTTTTCTATTTGTAAACCTCTCCTCTGCAGACTGCTGGTTTTAGAGTCACTAGTTGGAGCCTAAGTGCTGGTTCTAGACATTGAGCTATATACTAAAGTAAATAATATGGGTTTGTCTTTATTTTACCTTTCTTATCTTCTGCCTGTTCCTCCAGAGGTGGTGTTTTTTCAGATACAGAGCCATTACCTTCTTCAGACTTTACTACATTTTCCTCTCGGGTAGATTCCTCTCCGATGGGTATCATGTGCCCGTTTGAATTTTCAAAGTTAACTGTTACATCTCCATCTAAAATGGGAAAGAAACACCTAGATGTCTAACTTGCTGGCTTTCTTAAAAACAAGTTTTCCAGTTACTAGGATTGTAAAATTTAGATTCATGTTTCAGTCCCTGGGAACCAAATACACCCTGCACTGTTTCACCGGTTTATTCAAAACAAAAGAGCTAGAAAATCCTCTGTCTTGGGGAAAAGCTGCTATGGAGGGAATATCTATGCGCCATTTCAAGACAACAGGAATGATCATCCTAATTATCCAATATCCCAGGGCAGCAGAGTCCCTCGTTCATGTGCTTAGGTTTGTCTGAAGTCAATAGTTATGTGTTTCTTTGTCATTCAGAAACAGAATGGCGAGAGGAATAATCTGGAAAATGGAATAAACATTTTACAAGCACCAAAAACACAAGGTGAATGCAAATACACAAATAACATGAAATGTAATTACACATACAAACAATAAGTGGGAGAATATGAAAATTTCCAAGTACTACTGGTTCCAGAATATATTAAGTATATGATGTGCTAACTTCACACAGTAATATAACTGCTACTCTATGTTCAGGGAAAACATGATAGCAAGGCTATTTTTATTTTTATTTGTTTATGGAAAGATTAAAGTATACTCAGGTAATTATTATATATAACTAGCCAAAAAGTCCCTAAGTTGTCCTAAAAATAATTTGAAAACATTCGAGAAAAAAAAAACACACATAAAAAAGTAATCACAAAGGAATTTTAAAAAACCATAATGGATACAATGTTGAGAGATCTAAATCATAAATTACTAATTTTAACTCCTGTATTTCCATAATTCCTGGGGGTTTCTAAAGTGAAAGAGACTTTGCAGAAACATTTAATTCAGTGATTCTTGAAAAGATTAACCCTACTTTATATCTGGAAAATTTTAAGAGGCTTTGCTAGCATTGTAAAAGAAAAATTAACAAATGGAAGGTTTGAGCAAACTTAAAAATCTGCTTGATTACAGCTCTTTCAATTTTTTACTACTCTTATCTTGGCAATCATTATAAAACAGAAACCATTTCCCAAATTGTCATTAAATAGGATTGAATTGCTTTGGCTTAACAATAAAATCCATTTGCCTTCTGAACAAACAGACATGACATTTTAATAAATCAACTACATATCATGAAATTATGTCATTTTTAGAATGAAAAAGCAATCGTTGCTTAGTCATATAACTCCCAATAACCTATAACTAAGTCCCGTGTAAAACTAAAATAAACAATAATTGAAGGCAATGCCATTACAAGTAAATCTCAACTATTTTAATAAAATTAAAGTAAGAATTTTTAAAAGACTATACATCAAAACAAAGAGAACCCAAATGATTCTTAAATCCTATTATTAAATCCCAAGAAATTAGCTATAAAAAGGAGGAGAACACAATATATCCAGATAAAATAAAAATGAAGAATGGAAAATTCCAAACAAAATAGAAAACCACTTGCTTATGTATAAAAATCTTCAGTTTTTAGGTAACTCAAATATAAATTTATCTTTGTTTTCTTTGACTTTAGTTAGTTGATAATAAAAGTATATTGAAGTCATGTCAATGACAATTTAATTCTATTTTAAGCATTATTATATTAAAATTCTTTAGTTAAATAACTGATTTATTAAATTTAGAAAAACCTGGAAATTTTAATAGCTGTGACACAAGAAGAAAGTGTCTTATCCTATGATAGAGAGAAATAGTCAACAATGTGGAAAATACTTACTTTGAGGCATGAAATAAAGCTAGTTAGTATGAAAATAATTGTAGAAAAAAGAGACACATTTGTGATAAATATGGAATTCAAGAACAAAACAGAGGGGAAGTAAAGTTATTAATTAGCTGGTGTGTATATTGAAAAGGCTTTCTAGTATTGAGTGTTAAGGAAGTTGTTTTAGAATTAAAATAAGTTAAATCCTTGATATAGTGTGTGTGTGTGTGTGTGTGTGTGTGTGTGTGTAAGTAAAATACAAGCAGAGCAAAGGAAGGCAAGAAGATGCTGAGCTGGATGGCAGGTGACAATAAGCGGCCCAAGTCAACACATCTCACGAGAGCAAAGGAAAGAGAAAACTCAAAACGTAGTTGTCAGCTTAAAGAAAACAGAGATAAAGCACAAACAGGAACAAGTGGTTAAATAAGGAACACGAGGGTGTTTGAAGGGGGTCACCTCCTTCTAGTAAACAGGTGTATTGGGGATATATCATAGTTAAAGGAGGGACAGATAGAAAGAGAAAATCATGTATGACCAAAAGGCAAGTGACAAAAGTCCACAGTGGGAGAAAAGGAAAGGATGGCACACAGGCAAAACCACCTCCACAACCTCATGTCAAAAGCTAAGGGAAAAGATGGAGGGAAAAAAGCAGAGGTAAGCAGCAAACTTGGACTAGATCATAGACTTCCCAGGAGAGAAGACGAATCACTGAACTTTTAGGTTGAAGGTATGTCTGGATGTAAATAAGAGAACCTAAAAGGAAAAATAACAATAGCCGGGAGAGTATGGGATATGGTGGGATGGGGTCAGACTCAGGGTAGCTAGAGGGATTTTTAAAGTCTATCTGGCTCACTGAATAAAGGGCTTGATGGACAGGCACTGTCAAGAGCAGACGCAAGGTCAAGAAGATCAAGGCAAACAATGAATCTTCACTGGCAGCAGAAAGGAGGTTGTTACCAAGAACAGCAGCTTCTAGTCTCTCAGACTGAAATTCTCCAGATAATTGCTTTTGGGAAAATCACAGAAAACTATTTTCTCCAGCCCTCAGCTGAAAAGGGGAAGGACTCCATTTACTACTGACATCCTCAGGAACCTTCAACCATTAGATAATTTCTACGGTTCTAGATAGGGACCATGGAAAAGCTGGAAAGTAAAATCTAGTATTTTATGACTTCTCAAACATTAAGCCTATTATTATATTATGCTTAGGTTAAAAAATTGTTTTGTTCTTTTATGTTTTAAAACTTTTAGTTTCCACTGGAAAAGTTAAATAAAAAGATCAGAGAGTCAGATTTCTGAGAAGTATATGTTGGCCCAAGAAATTATAATCTATGAGGCAAATAGTTTCACAGATTCGGCAGAATAAAAATCATTTCTTTAAATTGACTATTGCTACTTGGTTTTCAGACAGAGCAAATTCTTTTTCTACCTACAAATTTTAATTAGGAAAAAAAGATGGGCTTTTAATCTTCACATTTAAACCCATTAACAGTTTCAATCATAAAATTTTCCATTTTGTACTTTCTTTAAAATATTTCTAAATAAACGATGTCTAATAAATGCATTGGCCCATCCCATAAAGCTGATGGCCCAGTGTTAAGCTTTCAATGGGTATATTATTTCTCTATTGCCTTCAGAGACATTGGACAGGGGATTAATTTTGATATTGCAAGCCTACCTTTAAGTTTAAAAAGTTAGAAATGTGCATTTTTAACTCTTAAAAGTCTCAAACAGGAAATAAATAGCTTCAAAATAATAGAAAAACAGGGAAAACATAAAATTCATTCATAAAGTAGAGTAAGAAAAGTTTGACAGGTCAGAAATTGAAGTAAAATACCTAAAATTGCGAGGGCTTAAGAAAATGCTACTATTCACTGCAGAGTTCCCTACTTTCTTTGAATCAGGAGAAAAACAGGAAAGCATTTCTCAGCTCCACTCTGGAATTATTCAGATGCTGGAAAAAAGCATGTCATTTTGATTTACAAATAGTGAATGCCAAAAAATGTTAAGTCCTTTGCAAGGAACATATATCAGGAAAACAGCTGTATTATTATTTCAATTTCAATTTCAATTCTAAATTAATAGCATTTTATTTGTTCCCATAAAAGTACAATAATAATACTTTATTATTACAGTAAATGTGAGGGGAAGGGAGGCATGAGCTTAATCAACAAAATTGCAACAAAATGTCCTTTAATTTTAAATTTAATAGTGGAAGCGATGAAAATCATTAGGTATTATTTATTTGGAGAAATAACCAATGTTAGCGTCTTCTTTTGAGGGTCAGTACCAGTTTCTATCTGATCCTTGTCTTTTCTGAACAAAGTTCCTCCTCGGGAGGATAGAGAAAAAAAGAGAAGATCAGAGATAGGGGAAAAAATTAGAAATAATCATTGCTAGGGAAAGATTCAGAGAAATGAAAAGAGAACAGTACTGCAAAATTACATGAGAGAAAGCAGAAAGCAGGTTAGTTTAGTTTGCCTATTCATGCTTTATTGATTGTACATTTCAGTGTTATTATAGAGTGCAAAGGACAAGAGGTATGTGTGCCTTCTCTCTTCTCTTTTATTGGTAGTCTTAAGAAACAAAATAGCATGAACCAAGCTAAAACTTTGCATTTACTCAAACACATGAGTTTCATGTGAATAGAAAGACTGAAGCTCAAGAATAGAGAAGAGAAGGAGCCGTAAGCATTTGTATCTCATCTGTATTGCCCTCGGATGTACCTTTGCAGAGTTTTAGGTTTAGAATGACATATGGTGATGGATTCACCAGGAAAGTCACTAGAATTCTATAATATTTCAGATTCTCTGCAGCTCACAAAGGCATTACCAATGGAAGCACGGCGCTTGGAATGCAGTAATCACCGCTTTACCTTACAAAGACCATGATCCCTTTAAATTTCAAAAGAAAACAAAAGAAAAACCAAAGAATGAAGGACCAAAATATTTAAAATGTATGATTAATTTCCTCACCTTGATCAGGCAATTCCTTAAGCACTCCCCTTCTTATCAGCTCCTCTCTACTTTGTCGTGTGGATATCTTCCTTTCTAATACTTTTAAAAAGAACAAGCACAAGTAAGAATCAAGTCATTCCTTAAGATAATTATGAAAAACATTCCAAGTAGAATTGAGCACATTTATTCTCCTCACATGAGGGCTCAAACTCGTTTTCTTAGTTGCTTAAAAAAAACACATGATCTGAGTGGAATCAACACAGCTATGACAAGAGCAAATGGCTGCAGCCCATGATCTGAAGTCCAACCGCCATCCCTGGTCTTTCAAATGGCCACCTTTGGCCTGGCGTCCAGGCATATTATTACATAGCAACTAGAGAGCATAAAGCCTGCTTCTCACGCTGAAGCTAGAAATGTTGCATTCTAAAACATATAATTCTATGGATATGCAGTGTATGAAGAAGATATGTATGCTTACATTAAAGAAAAAAACACATAAACATCAGTAAATATTCTGGGTAACCCATTTGCATTCCAGGAAAATGAACTATTTTCTAGTGTTTTCTCTCTCACTCCATCTATTACAAAAGCCCAACACATCATATTTCTATAACTCTTTCCCCTGCGTTCTCACTAATTCTAGAGAGTTCTTATATATTAGCTGACAATCCCCAGGTCTTAGGAGGATGGAGAAGGCAGTTAAGAATAATCAGCTTTCAGCCAGGAACGGTGGCTCATGCCTGTAATCCTAGCACTTTGGCGGGGGCCGAGGTGGGTGGATCACCTGAGGTCAGGAGTTTGAGACCAGCCTGGCCAACATGGCAAAACCCCATCTCCGAAAAATACAAAAATTAGCTGGTCATGGTGGTGGGCACCTGTAACCCCAGCTATTTGGGAGGCTGAGGCAGGAAAATCGCCTGAACCCAGGAGGCTGAAGTTGCAGTGAGCCAAGATCGTGCCATTGCACTCCAGCCTGGGCGACAAGAGCGAAACTCCATCTCAGAAAAAAAAAAATAATAATAATCAGTTTTCACAGACATGTAAAGCCATGGGGATCTTAACATTGATTCTTCCTTCTTCTGGAACAAATGTAAATGCCTGGTAGAACTTTGGAATGGGGCTTGGGAGCTCCGGAGCAGGATCTCAATTGTGTTCCCCTTGAGTGTGTATAGTATTAAATCCTGTGCTCTATATGTCCATGCAACTGCAAAGTCCATTCCTCACTTTCAGGGGCCAAGAAGGTGCGTAAAATTAACATGTGGTCATGTCATCTATTAATCCTGAGTCAACATTTCCCAAAGCGTGTTCTGCAGAACTCTATTTCCTCCAGACCTTCTGTTCAAAAATGCACTTTGATACAGCAGCGAAGGGCCAGATAAGGAGTCTAGGGCACTTTGAAGAGCAGGAAAGCTACACTGGTAGACAACATGCAGCTGCAGTAGCACGAGATTTCTGACGTTCCCCGATTCCTACTCCTGGGCTCATTATCTGCAAATCCTGGAACTGCTCTAGACAACATCGTTTCAACTAAACTAAAGCCATTACCCCAAACCAGGTTCTGACACATCCAAAGGGAGCAGGTGATAACACTAAGAAGACATTTGTGATAACACTAAGAACATGTTTGCTCAGGGGCTCCAGGGCCTCAAGCAAGGACACTGATAGGAGACAGGGTGGGAGGATGCGCCCTGGGCAGCCAGCTTTGTAGTAAGTGCATGAAAGTCTTCCTTAAGTGTTTGCTAATTGCATGTGCCACAGAATAGCAACGCTTAGTCTCTTGAAGAACCTGGATTTTTTTTTCCTTTCTGATAATAGAAATTGTGTATTCCTTTTTAAATCCTGGTTGCTAGAAAGATCAGAGTAAAACTGGATATTTGACACAGATTTCATATGACAATTCGTGGATGGAATCTCTGTTTCCTCCTTCTCTAAAACCTGACTTGACTTATATTTTATGTACAATATATAAGCTCTTTACTGCACATTTTGTCAAACTTTTTTTGGATAGAATCAGAATAGAAACAAACAGGAAAATGAGTGAATGAATGAATAAATGGTCAAAAGAATGACAACGAACAGCTTTGGGTTAAAAAGGAGACATACACAGAAGGCTTCCCTCCCTTCCTTTAGATTCCTCACTGACCCCATTCTTCCTGTATCTTCCAGAAGCAAGTAACAACAGCTCACTTAAAGGTTAGTAATTTCAATGAAAAAAGTTAACCGGGCAAAGAGTCTTTTTTTTTTTTTTAAACTGGGTGTTCTATTATGTAAAAAGAGTGTTGTTATTTAAATACAGTTTCAATTTGTTCGGCCTCTTGTCAAAAAGGAGAGAACTCTTATCAACGGCAGGAAGCCAAAGAACACCCACAGTGACAGGTGGGACACTGCTGGGATTTTGCAGGTGCTTTAGAAGGACCTTGACCACTGCAGCCTCCTACGGATTGTAAAAGCCCATTCATGCTTGACTGGGCTCTGAGGGGTGGCGGGACTCTGTAGACCTCCTCCAACAGTTGTCTTGGCCTCCATTCCTGGGAACAGGCCCAGAGATTCACGGCTGTTCTGCCCTAAACTTAAGGATGAAGGTGGCAACTGCAAGAGCAAGTGCCGCTGGCCTAGGGATCGGGCCACATTCTCGCAAACCAAATGCACTGCCAATTCAGCATTCAATCACGGTGGCTGTCTTCCTAACCGGCCCTTTGCTCATAAGAAACAAAACTTTTACTGGTTTGCTGCTTCTTTAAAATTGCCCAAAACACAAAATGGCTGCCAGGAGTCCTGGATTCTAGTCCTTGAATTCCTACAACTTGTTGAGTGACCCTGGGCAGTCATTTTGAGTTCCTGGGCCTCTAATCCATTATCTGTAAAATAAGGGACACAATTCAAGGATCACTAAGGACAATTCATCCAGCTCAAATGCTGAGTGATCCTGTGTCATTAATCGAGGCTGTCTGTAATCTCTGCTCGGGCACCTTTTAAAACGTTCGTTCTTGCACTAAAAAATCATCCGATAGCCTGAAACATACCAGGTTTCTTATTCTGCCTTTCCATTATGGATCCCGGAGGATTCTTTAGTTTTAGTTTTGAGTTTTGCTTAAATTCTAACTTAGTCTCAGCTAAAAATTCCCCCTTTCTTCCTTGTAAACTAAAAATTCCCCCTCTTTCTTCCTTGTAAACTCTGGAGCTTTGAAGCAGCAGCCTTGGCTTCCTGCCAAGAATCAAAACCAACAGCTTTGTTCTTTTGCTCTACCTCCTATAAACAGGCTCTGATAGGAAAATGCCGTTGGCTATTTGTTTGGTCTTTCGCTGAGAGCGTATTTAACACACAATGCGGATACCTCTGTACAGGGCCAATGAGAACAAACTGCAGGCGACCGAGCACGGAAAGTATGTTGCTGGGGCACAACATTCCAACCACCGCTCTCACAGCAGTACAAGTATCTCATTCTTCACCTTTTAAAATATTTGCCTCTTGTTTATATAGTGCCTGCATGTTTGCAGAGCACATTCACTGGACACTTTTTCATGGGCTCAGAGGGGGTTTGCATTGCAATGAATCTGAGAGGTCATTCTAGTCCAACACACCGCACAAAGCAGGGGCTGTCTCAGAATATTCCTGAGATGTGCTCACCTGCTTAAAATCATTCAGAGGGAAGATGCTCACTTTAAGGCGCAACCCACTTCAGTATCGATCACCCTCATTTTGAGGAAGGTATTCCAGAGAAGGAGTCAAATCGCACTCCCTGTAACTTCTGCGCATCAATCTAACCCAAGCTCTCTGTAGCTCCGGACTAAAGTCAGTTGTTTGTGAGCAGAAAACGGCAGCAGTCGGCTCCAGGTCATCACTGAGAGCCTGCTGTTATTGCAGCCTGCTCGAATCTGATCCCAAGTATCCCACCAGCTGCTCTTTGACTTTGAAGCTTACACCAATCTATGCACAGAAATCTATGCACCACAGCTACAGCACAACCAAGATACTGCCAGGGAAGACGCTAGTGGGGCACAGGTCGCTGAATGTCGTAGCTGAATACAGTAGCTAAGGTGTCTCCATGAAAAGTATTATCGCCAGTTGAGTAAATAAATGACTCATGGCCTCTCACTTTTATCCCAACTGGAAAAGCATAAGAGCTTTTTTTATACCAAGATCAAACAAAGCCATGATTTCTGTTTCACTCTGCATTGGGCTAATTGATGTTTTGACAGTTCAATTCTGATAACAGCAGCGCACACTCTAATTCTCTCTGGGAAGTGAAGGAAACACTGCCCTGTATTTTCCTGACTTCAGGCTTATACTCTGGTAATCTTCCAAAAACTTCCCATGGCTGCCCATCTTACTTCCAACAATCCCTGAACTCACCGCAGCCCCTTAGGCTGTCCCGCCTCCCACGTGCCTGGCTCCTAACCACTTCTTTCTGGCTCTTGGCTTCAATTTCTTGGGGCCCTGCATGGTGGCCTCTGTCCTTCCCAGGAGGCCATATCCCCAGACAACTGCTAGACTCACTCCATCCTGTCCCACAAGTCTCTGCTCAAAGGTCACCTTAGTGGAAGTCCCTTCCCTGAACTCCTGATGTAGAATGGCTATTCCCCTTCCCAACTTTATCTCTTCTTTCCCTGCAAAACCCATCGTCACCTCCTAACATGTGTAAGTATAATCTCATTGAGAACCAAAATTCTGTTTTGCTTACTGCTGTGTCCCCAACGTTGACTTGCAGGCTGTTGGCTTTGAAAAAATATGTGTATTTGTTGAATAAAAGAAAATAGCTAATCATGAGAATGGTATTGTTTCTGCCCCTTCCCAGTCCTCAATTTGGGAAAAAGCAAGTGAGGCTTGTGGCAAAACCCTGAGCGACAAGAATCTTCTGTCTTCTCCCTCCTTAATTCTTGGCTGGGCCAGTCCTAGGGAAAAAAATTCTCAACCTTCTGTCCTATGGATGATCTGAAAAAGTCTCTGTATGCACTGAAGAAGGGAGCTCACAGTCTGTAGACGACAAACACCAGCACCTAGCAGGGTGTAGTACACGACTGGGCTCCTCATAAATTAGAAATGATTTATGATGTCCTTCTGGGCATGGAGAGGTAGCTGTGGAGCTGCACTCAGGAAAAGAGGCTGGAGCATATGCCGCTGGCTTTTTTCTGCGGATACTTGGCTGGGATTTCATATTACTCTGGAAATATCTGTGAGAGTAAATCTTGTAGTCAACAAGTCACTTGTGTTTTTCTTTGGCGAGGAAAGAGAGTCCTAATTCTCAATTCTAACACCATTTAATGACTGGACAAAATAGAAGAGCAAATAGAAGACTATTAAATAAGCGTGCCATGCTATCTTCTCAGTTCTGAGTACTGAATGGCCTCACTGTAAAACTGTGACAGAAACACACAAAACCACTTGTCTTGTGTTGAAAGTGTTCTACAAGAGCCTGGCTCGGCTTTGCCCCTCTTCAATAGCAGTTGCAGAAAACAGAATGTCAGAAAATGGTCTGCTTTTAACAAGATCTTCACTAAGGCAGAGCTAAGTCATTTAAAGAAACAACCGCTTCAATGCCACCCAACAGGACATTTGCAAAAACCTTCCAAAACATCCCAAGAATGTACAGCAGAGATACAAAGCCAACATCCCCACCTAAAAACACTCAGGGGTCTGGCGATTTTTTTGTTTATCTGCTCCAGCCACTCCCCTACTAAAGAATTCTACAGTCTGTGGAACCAGCTGGACTTGGAACGGCAGCCAAGCTTTACAACCCGTCCCAGCGAACCATTTTTCCCATCACTTTCCTTCCATCTCTTTTTTGCAAGCCTGGTGTTAAAGTCAAACTTTACTTCTTGCCATTTCCTAAACATCTGCGGTTCTTCAGCTCCATTCCTTCATGTATTGTTCCTTCTTCCTAGAATTTAGACTGTTTCCCTATCCCTCTCGGGTGAAATCTACCCTAAAATGTTAAGTTCTCTTCACACAGTAGCTCTGCATGGAGATCTCACTATCCTGATGGGCTAGAACTTTGTGTTCCAAAAGCACTTTCAACCAACTTCTCTGTGCCTCAGCGTCCTCATCTGCAAAATGGAGAGATAGCAACTACTTTCCTGGTTCTTTTGGAGACTAAATAGGTTAAACCAAGTAAAATACTGAGACCAGTACCTAGGATCTAGAAAGCATTCAATACATATTAGCTATTAACTATTATTTCTGTTATAGCACTTACTAAGTTGTTCATTACTAAATTCATGTGTATGCGATTGCATAATCACATGATTCTAGTCTAAGCCTTCTGAGGGATGTCGTGTTTATCATGTCATTCCCATAATGCCCAAAATAATATATCGCACAGAGTAGATATTGGGGACCTAAGTGTCTTTTTGGGGGGAAGGAGGAAAGGCATGTCTAGCATCCTCTTCTACTTCTTTTAGAAATGGCCTTCCTGACATTTTTCCTTTGGGAAGCCACATTCCCCCTCTCTTAGTCCATGTTATTTGTAGAAGGCTAACCTCATCCCTGGGCACAAGGCTCTTGGGCTCCTGGGCTTATCCAATCAGAGCCCAGTTTCTCCCTGGCACTGGTGACTGGTTCAGAGAGGGACACATGCTCAAGTTGCAGAAATAAGATCCAGGCCCAAAAAATTTGCTGGAACAATAGGAAAGCAAGGCTTTCTCTTTCTTCTGGAGCTGTTAAAACCAGACAAATATGAGCAAGAGTGGCTAGTGGCCACCTTGCCTCCGCAAGAGGAGAACTGAAGTTAACAACCACAACAACAACAAAAGCCAACAGGGAGGAAATACAGACTCAAAAGAGGGAGCGAGACAGGTTCTTAATGAGATAGCTTGTAAGCACCTGGATCCAACCACGCCTGAAGGTTTTCTGCCCCTGGATTTTTCAGTTACATGAGCCAATGAGTTCTCTCTTTCATTAAGTTTGTCATGATTCATCAGCAGTGAAGAGCCCTGACTAATCAAAAAAGTATCAAATAAATGTTGTTGTTTTTTTTTTTTGAGATGGAGTTTCACTCTTGTCACCCAGGCTGCAGTGCAGTGGCGCGATCCCAGCTCACTGCAACCTCCACCTCCCGCGTTCAGGCAATTCTCCTGCCTCAGCCTCCCAAGTAGCTGGGATTACAGGTGCCCGCCACCATGCCCAGCTAATTTTTTTTGTATTTTTGGTAGAGATGGGGTTTCACCACGTTGGCCAGGCTGGTCTCGAACTCCTGACCTCAGGTGATCCGCCTGCCTGAGCCTCCCAAAGTACTTGGATTACAGGCATGAGCCACTGCGCCCAGCCTCAAATAAATGTTTTTAAATTGAATTTTCTTCCAGTAGTCACCACAGATTCTCTAGGTTTTTGAGGGCAGAAATATGAAAGGAGAACTAATATAGCCCCTCTTTACCCACTCAAGAGTTTGAAACTTGGCCAGGACTTAAGAAAGAGGAAGATCTGTGTTCCTTCCTCCTCTTGGGAAATTACTGTCGCAATTTCACCCAGAAATCTGATAGTAATCATCTATTTCTTATGTGCTTGGAGAACATTTTCCTATTTATTTTCTACCCACTATCCCTAAAAGATAAGCTAAGCAATTCTTCTTCTTATTATTATTGTTATTTTTGTTTTCAGATGGAATCTCACTTTGTCACTCAAGCTGGAGTACAGTGGGGCCATCTTGGCTCACTGTAACCTCTGCCTCCCGGGTTCAAGCGATTCTCCTGCCTCAGCCTACTGAGTAGCTGGGATTACAGGCATGCGCCACCATGCCTGGCTAATTTTTATATTTTTAGTAGAGATGGGGTTTGGCCATGTTGGCCAGGCTGGTATTGAACTCCTGCCTCAGCCTTCTGAGTAGCTGGGATTAAAGGCGTGCGCCACCATGACTGGCTAATTTTTGTATTTTTAGTAGAGATGGGGTTTCCCCATGTTGGCCAGGCTGGTCTTGAACTCCTGACTCATTCTCCTGCCTCAGCCTCCTGAGTAGCTGGGATTACAGGCATGCGCCACCATGCCCGGCTAATTTTTGCATTTTTAGTAGAGATGGGTTTTCGCCATGTTGGCCAGGCTGGTCTCGAACTCCTGACCTCAAGTGATCCGCCTGCCTCAGCCTCCAAAGTGCTGGGATGACAGGCGTGAGCCACTGCGCTCAGCTAAGCAATTATTTTTATTTTCCTCCTCAGATAAGGGTATTGAGACTTACAGAGACTAAATACATTTTCCAGTCACACAGTAGGAACCTGGTTGAACCCAGGTGTGTGTAACCAAAAGACTCCTGCTTTGTATTCTCCAATCTGAGTTCATAATTGTAAAGATTCCAACTTTCCCACCAGAGGTACGCTGCTTTCTGATTTTTCTTAAGAAAGCAGACAGCAGAACACTTTTTAAAGTTAATTTTAAATGGGTATTTTTAAAATGGTAGTACATTCTCACAGAGTTCAAATTATAAAAGGATACAGTGTAAATTCTCACTCTCACCCCGCCTCCCAACTATTAGACTTGAACCTCAGCCTTACTCCACAAGCAATTCTCCACTTTTATTAGTGTCTCGTGTATCCTTCCAGACATACTTGAACAAATATTCATTTTATTTTTTCCTTTTTTTTTTTTTTTAATTAAAAGGATGTTTTGTAATAGTTGTTTTGTTTTTGTAAAAGTGTCAGAGGCGTGTGAGCCAGAGCAACTCCATCTTGAATAGAGGCTGGGTACAAGGAGGCTAAGACCTGCTGGGCTGCATTCCAGATGGTTAGGGCATTCCAAATCACAGGATGAGCTAGGAGGTCAACACAAGATACAGGTCTTAAAGATCTTGATGACAAAACAGGTTGCAATAAAGAAGCCAGCTAAAACCCACCAAAACCAAGATGGCCACAAGAGTGATCTCTGTTCATCCTCACTGCTACACTCCCACCAGCGCTATGACAGTTTACAAATGGCATGGCAATGTTAGGAAGTTACCCTATACGGTCTAAAAAGGGGAGGCATGAACAATCCACCCCTTGTTTAGCATGTAATCATGACATAACCATAAAAACGGCAACCAGCAGCCCTCAGGGCTGCTCCGTCTATGGAGTAACCATTCTCTTATTCCTTTACTTTCTTAATAAACTTGCTTTCACTTCACTTTATGGACTCCCCCTGAATTCTTTCTTGTCCGAGATCCAAGAACCCTCTCTTGGGGTCTTGAGCAGGACCCAGTTCCTGTAACAAAAGTATATAATAGTTTACAAATTTCAGGTAGTAGGAGGTCACAGATAAGACCGAGGTGGGAGGAGGGAAGAGGTGATTGTCTTAGACCTGCGCAAACAGCAGAAGGGAATGGACATGGGAGATCAGCCCATGGGGACCTATGGTTCTAATTCCGAAGGAATAAAGGTCCAAGATTCAAACAATGAGCAAGTCCTCAATCCCAGAAGGGCCAGGAAGTACAAGCAATCTCAGGAGAGTAATTAGAAGCGAAGATTTGAGTGCTACGTGTAACACAGCCTGTCCTTCCCCTTCACTCGGACTCTCGCAAACTCATAAGAAACACGAATGCCTAAGACAGGTGTTTTTGAATTCATCTAGTTCAAAGAAAAGCTTGCGTGTTTCCATTTCCTGTTTCTTTACAGTAAAAGATGGTAAACCTAAGACACAGTGACACCACAGAGGGGACCAATGTTTGAAATACGAATAATGATAATCATCCCTAGAGAAATTACACTCTAATCTCGTCCCAAAAAGAACAGGCTAGAGAACTGATTTTAAAGTGAATCTCGCAGCCGGGTGCGGTGGCTCACACCTGTAATCCCAGCACTTTGGGATGCCGAGGCTGGTGGATCATGAGGTCAGCAGATCGAGACCATCCTGGCTAACATGGTGAAACCCTGTCTTTACTAAAAATACAAAAATTAGATGGGCGTGGTGGTGCACGCCTATAGTCCCAGCTACTTGGGAGGCTGAGGCAGGAGAACGGAGTGAACCCGGGAGGCGGAGCTTGCAGTGAGCCAAAACCGTGCCACTGCACTCCAGCCTCGGGACAGAGAGAGACTCCGTCTCAAAAATAAATAAATAAATAATAAATAAATAAAGTGAATCTCAGCTGTAAATGGTAATGAAGCTTTTCAAACTAAGAGATCATAAACAATAGCCATTGGAAGAGAAGCTCCAGAGAGCCTGAACTTCTAACACCCTTCTCCATGATCTGCTTTCAATCTACACATTTCAGGGACTCAACACCTTTGATCAAGATGGGATAATATCTCATTTCATCAGTCAACAGCAAGCAAGATTAGATAGAAAAGAAATCTTAGTGACACTAAAGCATCCTAAATGAAGACATTTCCATTCATTTAATTTTCTTTCTTTCTTTCTTTCTTTTTTTTTTGAGACAAGGTCCTGCTCTATCACCCAGGCTGGAGTACAGTTGCACGATCTTGGCTCACTGCAGCCTCCGCCTCCCGGGCTCAAGCCATCCTCTCACCTTAGCCTCCTAAGTAGCTGGGACTACAGGCATGCACCACCATGCCCAGCTAATTTTTGTTTTGTATTTTTTTTAAGAGATGGGGTTTTGTCATGTTGCCCAGGCTGGTCGTGAGCTCAAGTGATCCATTTACCTTGGCCTCCCAAAGTGCTAGGATTACAGGCATGAGTCACTGTGCTGGTCCCAACTCATTTAAAGATCTAATTCTATTGCCCTGGGGTAAAGGTGGCTGAAATTCTTTATATTTTAGGTTGATCTTTTCAGGGGGGTCATGAAAAAAAATGTATAATCTTTTGTTTTGTTTTGTTTTGAGATGGAGTCTCCCTCTGTCGCCCAGGCTGGAGTGCAGTGTCACAATCTCGGCTCACTGCAACCTCTGCCTCCCGGGTCAAGCGATTCTCCTGCCTCAGCCTCCTGAGTAGCTGGGATTACAGGCGCCCCCCACTGGTTTCGAACTCCTGACCTTGTGATCCGCCTGCCTAGGACTCCCAAAGTGCTAGGATTACAGGCGTGGGCCACAGCGCCTGGCCAAAAATGTATAATCTTTAAAAGCCTATTTTTTATTGAGTTGAGCCATGAACAATACATATTAAAACAACACCAACTCAGGTAGGTGGGGATAACCAGTCTAAGTTGTAAGAAGATTTGAGTAGGAATTTCCCCAAATCCATGTTTATTACTTTCATTTTACATATCCAATCAGACCAGGTTTCTTAAGATGATTAAAAAGTTTATTTTCTGGAGCATTCTTCACATTCTGTCCACTACCTACCATCTTGCCTACACAACAGAGAGCACAGTATTTGTAAAGAACAGTATTCCTTTGGCAAAACTGGTCCAGGCCTAAACTAAAGCAGGAAAGATAAACTACACCTGATTCCTGCCCAACCCTGCAGTGATAGGAAAATGGGTAGTTTCAACTGAAGTTTTTATTTTCTAAGATAAACACAAAAATGCAGTTTGGGGAAAGGTAACTTTTCACTGTAGCTGAAACTGTAACACTTAAGGTTTGATAGCAAAGCTAAGTTTGTACTTAGACATTATGCTCTTTTCAATAATCCCTCCTTGCCACTCTGTGTTTCAAATATTGTGATTATTTGGGTAATATCAGGGTCTCATCCTTCTTGAAGACTGAAAGGCTATGAAATGTAGAAGGAAGAATATATTTATCTTAATACATACTATATATAATAGAATATTTCATACAATAGGTTAGAATAGACTGGGCTGGGTGTGGCAGCTCATGCCTGTAATCCCAAAGCTTTGAGAGGCCGAGACAGGAGGATCACTTGAGCCCAGAGTTCGAGACCACCCTGGGCAATACAGTGAGACACCATCACTCTAAAAAATAATAATAAATAAAATTTAATTTAATTTAAAAAGAATAGACTGCTATATACTACATAGACATATATATAATATATATAATTCTTAAGAGGTCTAGAATATGTTATGTGTAGAAGTATTCTTGTCCTATATTGTTTCCTGTATAATATTTACAGAAAGGTATAAAATAAATATCATTCCTATATAATATTTATATAGAAGTTCACGATGTTATATTACATTATATATAATAGACTCTATATAATAGAATACTTTTATATAGGATGTATTCCAGTCCTCTTAAGAATATACCTTTGTGTTCAAATCCAGACCCTGCAAGTTATTGGTAGGTGAACACAGGCAAACTCCCCAACTTCTCTGAGCCTTTATTTCCACATGTGAAAACACAGGCACTAAAACCTAGCATGAATAGACGTTAGGATGATTAAAATATCTTGTAGGCCGGACGTGTTGGCTCACGCCAGTAATCCCAGCACTTTGGGAGGCCGAGGCGGGCGGATCACGAGGTCAGGAGATCGAGACCATCCTGGCTAACACAGTAAAACCCCGTCTCTATTAAAAATACAAAAAAATTAGCCGGGCATGGTGGCGGGTGCCTGTAGTCCCAGCTACTCCGAGGCTCAGGCAGGAGAATGGCTTGAACCTGGGAGGCGGGGCTTGCAGTGAGCCGAGATCTTGCCACTGCACTCCAGCCTGGGTGACAGAGCAAGGCTCCGTCTCAAAAAAAAAAAAAAAAAAAAAAAAAAAAAAAAAAAAAATTGTAAAGGGTTTGGCATAAATTACAGACCAAAGAAATAGGAGTTTTTTTCTCCTCTACTTTCCATTTCTCCTGTATACATTTGCATATTCCTTGATAATAATCCACCAATATTTTCATTTGACATGCTTATTGACCTAGAAGGCAGCATAGTATAGGGATTAAGAATGCAAACTCAAGGCAGGGTTCTGAGGATTAAATACTGGCTATGCTTTGCATAAGGCCTGGAACTTAGGGTGATTACCTAACTTTTCTGTGCCTCGCTAGTTTACTCAGGAGTAAAAGTGAGATTATAATAGTAACCTGCATCATAGGGTAACTGAGAAGATTGCAGGCATTTAAAATAGTATCACAGGCTGAGCAACATAGTGAGACTCCATTTCGACAAAAAATTAAAAAATTATCTGGATGAGGCAGGAGGATCGCTTGTACCCAGGAGTTAGAGGTTAAGGTGAGTTATGATTGTGCCATTGCACTCCCACCTGGGTGACAGAGAGAGAACGTGTCTATAAAAATTTATTAATAATTAATTAAAAGAGTGCCTGACACATAGTAAATACTCAATGAGTTAGTTATCATTATTATTAATACCCACATATCTTTTTCCTATATTAAGTTTAATCCTAAATGAAACTTCAAATGAGTAACAGAAATACATTTTTTAAACTTTAATTTTTTTAGGAAAAACTACTTTACTTCACAATGCTACACATATAGAAATTACCCAAATTATCCAAAGGGAACATTTTCAAGCCTCATGGGGTAGTAACTAATTTGAACTTTTTAGCATTGAATTGAAATGAAAAACTCAGCAAAAAGAAAAGATGACGGAATGCCAGCAATATGTCACTGTCTTACTTAACACAGGTGATTAAACTTTCATTGGTGTCAATAATGTTTTGCATTTGATTCATCTGAAGTTTTTTTAAAAAAACATTACAGAGGGTAAGTGGTGGGGTGGGGGGATGGGAAGTTGTTGAATGGGCACAGAGTTTTCATTTTGCAAGATGAAAAAGTTCGGGAGGTCTGTTGCACAACGATGTGAATATACTTAACACTACTGAACCGTAAACCTAAAATGGCTAAGATGGTAAATTTACATTATGGATTTTAAAATAAAATCAAATTGTAAAATATTTTAGGACTATAGATTTCTATAAATGCTGAAATGAAAAACAGACAAGAAAGAATTTTCATCACGATAATGCATAATCAGTTTTCTAATAATTTTCTAATATCTAGTCTTCTTTCCAATCATGTTTTTTTATTATCTTGTATTTTTGTATATAGCCTCTTACGCCCTGTCTTATGGGTACTAAGTAAACACTTATACTTTGGAATAAAGGAAACTTCATGAGTACCAATTTCAAAACTTACAGTCTAGGCTTGGGAATCAGTTGGAGAAACCTTCGGACAAAAAGTGTTATAAGCCTAGGTGAGCAAACACCTAACACAAAAGAAGTAAAAATTAAGATTGCATCTTATATTCTAAGTGAGAAATAAATCAGGAAAATATGTAAGCCAAAAAACAGTCACTTTCCAGGACTTAGCCCTCAGTGATAAGGACCAGATTCATATCACAGGATGAAAAAGACAAAACAAAACCACAAAGGGAAATAATATGCAAAGGAAATAAAATAATGGACTTTCCTGACATGAATTCTCTGACCCAGGCCAGAAGGGCTTCTGTAGTACCTTTAAAAGTGTTTAAAGTGGCACCACTCCAAAGGAAAATGAAATTAGGAAATTATCCACCCAAGCAAGGGATATAAACAATCGGATCTTCTCTTAAAGCAATACAAACCCACTTTGTCTCAACCCAATGGAGGCCTTATTTAATTAAGATGTGGGTGGGAACAGTGCTCCTTTTCTCCACATCCCCCTTAGCAATCAAATGTGATGGAAAAAAAAGGGAAAGCAAGTTAACAATTCTGCAATTCATTCTATGTGTGTGATTTTTAAAATGTGTCATTTGTAATCAGAAATCAGCAAAATCAGTAGCATCCATGTCTCATTTGAGAATGCTTTCACAGAATGCTCAGTGAAAATGCCTTGCTTATCTGAATTCACTAGAAAAACCTAACTCCCCCTGGAAAAGACGGGAGACTTGAGATACTAGTCAGGTCTATGGTGCAACCCATTTAAATCCAGAGCTCGGCTTGGATTAAACACAATATCCCACTTTTTCCAGAATGTACAGGAAGCAAGGGAGACTCCTCAACTCCATTTAGAAAAAAAGATTTCATGGTTTTATCGATCTGTAAGAGGTAGGACCTGATGGTTAGGCCATTTATTGTGCAGCTGGGCTATTCTAAACCCATGGTGGAAGCATCCCATATTTATAAAACCACTAACTTCAATTATGACAAATGCACAAAAAGTTAGCACTCATATTCTATTACTCTTTCCCATAAATGGGTTTTACCACTAGAATAGACCTATAATGAATAATAAATGCTCCATAAATAAAAAGATGGGCCATAATGAGTCTTTCCATCCACCTATGTATAAAAAGATTGAACCAAGAAAAAAAATCCATTCTACTGGGAGAAGAAAAGGGGAGAAATAATTAGTCTCCTTTATATTTAGAGCACATAGAGGAAATCTGTTTTAACACAATTATATACCTTTAGGAAAATAATAGACGATATTTTTTAAAAGCATACGTAATAAAATTATTATATAATATCTCTTGCCCACAGAATTTCTAGCACTCATTTGGTCTCATTAGGTTTTGTTGTGAAATACACAAGAACACAAATGGTTGAATTAAAATACAACCCCCACCACACTTCCTTTCTGAGAAAGATGTTCCCACATTGACCTTTGCAATGCTGCCATACAGAGCAGTCACAGTTACTTAAGGTCATTATCCATTCATGAGAGAATAGCTCCCCACCCTACCCACTAAATTGGTAAAATATTCATTTAGTCTGTTATGGCTTTTCAGGGTTTCTTGAGGCTGTTTTAAGCAACTCTCAGTGGTATGAACACTAAAGAAGGATTGAAAACAAGCAGTCATTCCCTACCCCTCACCCCAAATCCAGCACTTTCCAAATCGAAAAGATTCACTTGCAAATGCTCCATATATAGGATGGGATAAGGTCCATCAAGAGCCATTCATTCATTCATTCGTTCATTCAATATACATTTACTGAATGTTTAACATAAGCCAGGCACTATACAAGTTTCTTTGAGATCTCACCAAAGAAGAAAACAAAAATCCCTGTTCTCATGGAATTTATAATCTACTAGGAAGTGGGGTCAGATAACAAACAATAGAAATAATTTATAGATGTTAGACGGTAAAATGTGCTATGGAAAATGAAAAAAGTAAGGTAGAAAAAGAGGAGGAATCAGGCTAGGCATGGTGGCTCACATCTATAATCCCAGCACTTTGGGAGGTCAAGGTAGGACAATCACTTGAAGCCAGTTGGACACCCAGCCTGGGCAGCTGAGCAAGCCTCCATCTCTATGAAAAAAAATTTTTTTTTAAAATTAAGTTGGGTGTTGTGGTGCATGCCTTTGGTCCTAGCAACTTGGGAGGCTGAGGCAGGAGGATTGCTTTGAGCCCAGGAGTTAGAGGCTGCAGTAGAAATGATCACACCACTGCACTCCAGCATGGGTGAATGAGCAAGACCCTGTCTCAAATAAATAAATAAATCAGAAAAGAAAAGACAAGGAGTAATCAAAAGTGCTGGGTGGAGCTACTTTATACCCACCAGGATAGCAATAATAAAAAAAGACAGGTAGTAATAAATGTTGGCTGGAGTGTAGAGAAATTAGAATGCTCATACACTGCTAGTAGGAATATAAAATGGTGTGGCTGCATTGAAAAACAGTTTGGCAGTTCCTCAAAATGTTAAACATTGAATTACCACATGACTAAGCAATTCCATTTCTAGGTATATAACCAAGAGAAATGAAACCAAGAGAAGTGAAAACATATATGTACACAAAAACTTATATACAAATGCACACAGCAACATTATTCATAATAGCCGCCAATAGAAAGAAACCCAACGTCCAGCAACTGATGAATAAATAAAATGTGGTATATTCATACAATGGAATGTTTGGTATTTGATAATGAAATGATGTACTGATACACGCTACAACATAGATGACCAATGAAAGCTTGCTAAGTGAAAGATATCAGTCATAAAAGACCACATATGTATTGTATGATTCCATCTGTATGAGATATCAAGAATAGGCAAACCCGCAGAGATAGAAAGTAGAGCTGGGAGACTGGTGAAATGGGGAATGACTGCTAATGAGTATGGGATTTCTTTCTAGAGTGATGGAAATGTTTAAAATTGATTGTGGTGATGGTTTCACAGCTCATGAATATTACTAAAACCTATTGAGTTGCACACGTTAAATGGGTGAACTGTTTGGTATATCAATTATATGTCAACAAGGCCATTTAATTTAAAGAATTCTGGGGGAGAGGAGAGATTTGAAATAGAACAATCCAGATAGATCTCACTGAGAAAGTAGCATTTGCACATAGACTTTATGGAAGGAGATAAGGCAGTTGGTTAACCATAAAGAAATCTAGAGGAAAAGTTTCACTTTCTTTTCCATTTCAAAGCACCAGAGGGCCTGCTTAAACTTACCCAAGTTAAAAGAGATCACCTGAATGGTCCTATAACTATAAAAGAAATTGAATATGCTATTTAAATCTTTCAAAAGAGAAATCTTCAGGTCCATAATGCTTTACTGTTTATTCTACCAAACATTTCAAGAAGAAAATAACAACAAATCTACACAGTCTCTTCCAGGAACAGAAGAGGAGGGAACAGTTGCCAACTGATTGTATAAAGTTGGTGTTGCCCTGATATCAAACCTAGACAAAGATAGTGCAAGAACACTACAGATCAATACCATGAATCCTCAACAAAATATTATTCAATAAAATCCAGCAACATATAAAAAGAATACTACACCACAACACAGTGGGGCTGGCTGGGCGCCGTAGCTCATGCCTGTAATCCCAGCACTTTGGGAGGCCGAGGCGGGCAGATCACCTGAGGTCCAGAGTTCGAGACCAGCCTGACCAACATGGAGAAACCCAATCTCTACTAAAAATACAGAATTAGCCGGGCGTGGTGGCTCATGCCTATAATCCCAGCTACTCCGGAGGCTGAGGCAGGAGAATCACTTGAACCTGGGAGGCGGAGGTTGCTGTGAGCCAAGACCGTGCCATTGCACTCCAGCCTGGGCAACAAGAGCGAAACTCCGTCTCAAAAAACAAAACAAAACAAAACAACACAGTGGGACTTATCCTAAGGATGCAAAAACTGGTTCAAAATTCAAAAATCTGCCAATGTAATCAACCATAATAGTGGTCTAAAGAAAAAAACTGAAATGACCATATCAATTGATCCAGAAAAATGCGTTTGAGAAATCCAATATCTATTCATAATAAATACTCTTAGAAAGTCAGGAACAAAAAGGAACTTCCTCAACCTAATAAAGGGCATGTATAAAAACCTTCAACTGGGCTGGACGTGGTGGCTCACGCCTGTAATCTCAGCACTTTTGAAGGCTGAGGCAGGCGGATCATGTTGTCAGGAATTCCAGACCAGCCTGGGGCCAACATAGTGAAACCCCGTCTCTACTAAAAATACAAAAATTAGCCAGGTGCAGTGGCACGTGCCTGTAGTCCCAGCTACTCAGGAGGCTGAAGCAGGAGAATCGCTTGAACCCAAGAGGCGGAGGTTACAGTGAGCCGAGATCGCGCCACTGCACTCCAGCCTGGGCCACAGAGCAAGACTCCGTCTCAAACAAACAAACACACACAAAAAATCTTACACCAACATCATACTTAATGAATGCTTTCCCCCTAAGAATAGGAACAAAGCATGGATATCTCCTTCAACACTGCTGTTTACTATTGTAGTACAAGTCCTAGCTGGTGAAAAAAGGGAAGAAAAAATAAAAAACATGCAGGTTAGAATGGAAGAAATAAAATGATTCCCATTCACAGATGACATAATTGTCCATGTAGAAAATCCTAAGGTATTTTCACTAGAACTACTAGAACTGATAAGTGAGTTTAATAAGGTAGCATGATACAAGGAACAACTGGAAATTGACATTTAAAAATATATATAATTTACAGTAGCTAAAAAATAAAGAAAACAAATACTGAAGTATAAACTTATTAACTGTTTTCTAAAAACTTCAAAAGCTAATAAAAAAATGGAAAAGCTAATCAAATGGAGAGGCATACCAGTTCATAAATTAGAAAGTTCAATATGGTATAGGTATCAGTTCTACCCAAACTGCAGCATAGATTTAATGCAGTTTAAATAAAAATCCTAGCCAAAAAAAAGTACCCCAGCAGTAATTTTTCAACAATAAAAACAAGTTGGTTCTAAAATTTAAATGAAAGCCAAACAAACTAGATTAGTTAAAACAATTTTAAATGAAGAATAAGGTTGGAAAATCACACTACCTAATTTTCAGACTTATAAAGCTATAATAATCAAGATAGTGTGATATTGGTGAAAGAATAGACACAGATTAAGAGAATAAAATAGTGAGTCCAGAAATAGACCACATATATGTTGCCAATCAATTTTTGAACAAAGGTGCAAAGGTAATAGTCGTTTCAACAAATGCTGTTGAAATTTCTTACACATGACACCAAAAGCATGATCTGAAAAGAGAAAAAAAATGGTATTTCATCAAAATTAAGAGCCTTTGCTCTTAAAAGACACTGTTAAAGAATGGAAAGACAAGCTACTAGAGCCTGGCAGAAAATATCACCAAGTAACATATCTGACAAAGGCATTGAACCTAGAAGATATAATACTCTCAAACTGAACATTAAGAAAACAAACTACTCAGTAAAAATTGGACAAAAGACTTTTACCAAAGAGAATATGTGGAAGAACAATATATGCTTATTGATTTTTAAAACAGTACAAAGGCAACTTAATAGAAAAAGGATGATCTTTTCAACAAATGATATTGAAATAACTAGACATTTACATGCAAAAAACCAGCCTTGACCCAAACCTCACCCCTTGCATAAAAATGATCCTAAAACTGATCATAGATCTAAATGTAAAACATAAAACTATAAAAACATTTAGAAGAAAACATAGGATAAAAATCTTTGTGACCTGAGATTAGGCATGACAGGAGACCAAAAGCATGATCTATTTTAAAAGAAGCTGATACGGTGGATTTCATTAAAATTAAAAATTTTTCCTCTGCAAAAGGTACTGTTATAAGAATGAAAAGACAATCTACAGAGTGGGAGAAAATATTTGCAAATCACATATACAACAAAGAGCTTGTATCTAGAATATATAAAGAAATCTCAAAATTCAATAGTAAGAAAACAAATAACCCAATTAAAAAACAGGCAAAAGACCTGAATAGAAACTTCATCAAAGAGGATATATGGATGGCAGATGCGTACATGAAAAGAAGTTCATTGTTGGATGAATATTTTGCAAATATTTTCTCCCATTCCACAGATTGTCTCTTCACTCTGTTGACTGCTTCCTTTGCTGAGCAGAAACTTTTTATTAATAGTTTAATATAGTCAAATTTGTGCTTTTTTGTTTTGTTGCCTATACTTTTGAGGTCTTAGACATAAAATCTTTGCCTAGACTGATGTTCTAGAGTGTTTCTCCTATGTTTTCTTCTAGTAGTTTCATAGTTTTAGGTCTTCTGTTTAAGTCTTTAATCCATTTTGCGTTGATTTTTATATACTGTGAGACATAGGTGTCTATTTTCATTCTTTTGTGTTTAGATATTCACTTTTTCCAGCACCATTTATTGAAGAGGATGTTCTTTCCCTAATCTATATTCTTGGCACCTTTATCAAAAATCAGTTGGCTGTAAATGTGTAGTTTTATTTCTGGGTTCTCTATTCTATTCCATTGGTCTATGTGTCTGTTTTTATACAAATACCATGCTGTTTTGGTTACTATAGACTTGTAATATATTTTGAAGTCAGGTACTATGATGCTTCCAGCTTTCTTCTTTTTGCTCAGGATTGCTTTGGCTGTTTGGGCTCTTTTTTAGTTCCATACAAATTTTTCTACGTCTGTGAAAAATCTCATGAGGCTGGTGGATCACTTGAGCCCAGGAGTTTGAAACCAGCCTGGGCAACATGGTGAAACCCTGTCTCCACAAAAAAATATAAAAAACTAGCCAGGTGTGGTGGTGTGCGCCTGTAGTCCCAGCTACTCGGGAGGCTGAGGTGGGAGGATCACCTAAGCCCTGTAGGTAGATGCTGCAGTAAGCATCTATGCAGCACTCCAGCCTAAGTGACAGAGTAAGACCCTGTCTCAAAAAAAAAAAAAAAAAAAGAAAGAAAAAAAAAAAGGAAAGAAAGAAGAACAAAAGAACGAATGAACGAAAGAAAGAATGAAAGAAAGAAAAGAGTCACCACTGATTTTTATGTTGATTTTGTATCTTGTAACTTTACTGAATTTGTTTATCAGATCTAAGAGTTTCTAGATATAAAATCATGTCATCTGCAGTTTGTCTTTCTCTTTTCCATTCTGGATGCCTTTTATTTCTTTCTCTTGCCTAATTGCTCTGGCTAGGACTTCCAGTTCAATAGGAGAGGTGAAAGTGGGCATCCTTGTCTTGTTCCAGTTCTTAGAGGAAAGGCTTTTAACTTTTCCCCATTCAGCATTATGTTAGCTGTTGGTTTGTCATATAAGGGCTTTAATATGTTGAGGTATGTACAGGGAACTCAAATAACTCAACAACAAAACACCAAATAATCCCATTAAAATGTGGGCAAAAGATATGAATAGATATTTCTCAAAAACACATACAAATGGCAAACAGGTATATGAAAAAACCACTAATCATCAGGGAAATGCAAATCAAAACCACAATGATATATCTTACTTCAGTTAGCATGGCTATTATCAAAAAGACAAAAAATGACAGATGTTGGTGAGGATTCAAAGAAATGGGAACTCTTACACGGTGTTGGTAAGAATGTACATTAGTACAGCCATTACAGAAAACAGTATGGAGGTTTCTCAAAAAAACTAAAAATAGAGCCACCATATGATCCAGCAATCCCGCTACCAGGTACTCACCCCCACAAAAATGGAACTCAGTATATCAAAAGGATACCTGCATGCCCATGTTTATTGTAGCACTGTTAACAATAGCCAAGATATGGAATCAACCTAAGTGTCCATCAAAGATGAATGGATAAAGAAAATATGATTATGTACACACAATGGAATGCTGTTTGGCCATAAAAAAAAAAGAATAAAATCCTGTCATTTGCAGCAACATAGATACAACTGGAGGAAATTATGTTAAGTAAAATAATCCAGGCACAGGAAGACAAATACATGTTCTTACTCATAGGTGGGAGTTTAAAACAGTTGATCTGATAGAGGTAGAGAGTAGAATGACAGTTACGAGAGGCTGGGAAGGGTGTGTGGGTGTCAGTGGGGGAAGGGATAAAGAGAGGCAGATTAATGGGTACAAACATACAGTTACATCAAATAAATAAGTTCTAATGTTTAATAGCACAGTAGGGTGACTGCAATTGCAACAATGTATTGTATATTACAAAACAGCTAGAAAAGAGGATTTGAAATGTCCCCAATGGTAGAAATGATACATGTTTGAGGTGATGGATATCCTAAATACCCTGACCTGATCATGACCCAGTATATGAATGGAACAAAATATCACATGTATCCTATAAATATACACAAATATTATGTATCAATAAAAAAGTTCAACATCATTAGCCCATTAGGGAAATTAAAACCATGACAAAATACCACTACATACCTACTAGAATGGTTAACATAAAACTAATTACAGCACACCTATGTTCAGAGCAGCAGTATCCACAATAGCCAAGAGATGGATGCAGCCCAAATGTCCACTGACCAATGAATGGATTTAAACAATGTAGTATACTACACAGTCTTTGAAAAAAGGAAATCTTGTCACATGCTACAGCATGGAGGAAACTTGAGGACATTATGCTAGGTGAAATAAACTAGTCACAAAAAAATACTATCTGAGTCCACTTATATGAGGGATCTAAAGTAGTCAAATTCATAGTGATAGAAAGTAGAATGGTGGGTTACTGGGGGGGCAAAAAGGAAGTTGGCTAATAGATGTAGAGTTTCAGTTCTGCAGGATGAAAAAGTTCCGGAGATCTATTCATAGAACAATGTAAATATATTGAACACTACTGAGCTGCACGTTTAAAAATGGTTAAGATAGTGAATTTTATGACAAATGTTTTTACCTTAACAACAAAAAATAATGACAATACCAAGTGTTGACAAGGATGTGGAGCAACTGAAACTTTTCTCTGCTACTTGCAGGAATGCAAAACTCTGGAAAACTGTTTGGCATTTGCTTATAAAGTTAAACACACATTTAACATATGACCCCAAGATCCCATTCCTACACATTTTCCCTAAAGAAATGAAAACTTTTGCTCACACAAGAATGTACACAAGAATGTTTATAGCAACTTTATTTATAATTACCCCAAACTAGAAACAACCCATGTGTCTTTCATGTATGGATAAACTGTGGTACATCTATTCCATGAAATACTATTCAACAAAAAATGGAATGATGAATACATGCAACAACCTGGAGGAAGCTCTCGTGAGTCACTCTGCAAAGTGGAAGAAACCAGTCTCCAAAGATTTCACACTGAATGATTCCATTTATATGACATTCTTTTTTTTTTTTTTTTGAGACAGAGTCTCTATTGCCAGGCTGGTGTGCAGTGGCTCAGTCTCGGCTCACTGCAAGCTCTGCCTCCCGGGTTCAAGTGATTGTCCTGCCTCAGCCTCCCAGTAGCTGGGATTACAGGCGATGCCCAGCTAATTTTTTGTATTTTTCGTAGAGACGGGGTTTCACCATATTGGCCAGGATGGTCTTGATCTCTTGACCTCGTGATCCACCTGCCCAGCCTATGACATTCTTGAAACAACAAAACTATGGTGAAGAAGAACAGACCAGTAGTTGCCAGAAGTTAGGGGTTGGGAAGGCGTGACTATAAAAAGACAGCACAGGCCGGGCGCGGTGGCTCACGCCTGTAATCCCAGCACTTTGGGAGGCTGAAGTGGGCGGATCACGAGGTCAGGAGATCGAGACCATCCTGGCTAACATGGTGAAACCCCGTCTCTACTAAAAATACAAAAAATTAGCCGGGTATGGTGGCGGGCGCCTGTAGTCCCAGCTACTCGGGAGGCTGAGGCAGGAGAATGTCATGAACCCAGGAGGCGGAGCTTGCCGAGATCACGCCACTGCACTCCAGCCTGGGTGACAGAGAGAGACTTCGCCTCAAAAAAAAAAAAAAAAAAAAAAAAAAAGACAGCACAAAGGAGATTTGGGGAGTGACAGAACTCTGATATATCCTGACTGTGGTAGCGATTATGCAAAACTATACGTATATTAAAATTCTTAGCACTATACACACATATACACAGACACATATAAAACAAAGAGGAAACACCCACATGGTGAATGACCAAGAGATAACCTCTTTGGAGAAGGTCATGATCACATATTCGCCATAGAAAGTGAACTTGTTCATGGTACCTTTGTACATCTGCCTCCAGCATATGCCACACCACAGCTATTTCTAAGAAGAATCTCAGGAGTCCACACTGGAGCTGTCAGAATGAATACATACATTTTCCAGTGAACTATAGGCTCATTGGCCCATGGCCACAACCAAAGAGAGAGGCAAGGCAGGAAAACATTTTGGAAAAGTCAAAAAGCTACTTGTGTTTTCTGAAAGGTCAAGGGATTGACATAGCTGGCACAAACCAGGGCTCAACAAAAAAGCCCCATTTTTAAAGGCCCAGTTTGTTGAGGGGCTATTTACAGGAAATGTTTCCAAGAGGGGCTGCCAAAAACAACCAAAGGTAACCCTGACACCCCATGGTCTGGGACTGTGTAGAAACTCGGGGCTGGGACCTCTATTTTTCTTCCTTGGAGAGGAGCCACCAAGAGGCAATCTATAAATATAAACCAGCTTTCCCACTAAAAGGGAAGGTGAAAGAAGTTGGGTCGCATCATCCTTTGCTCTAGTCTGGAAAAGGTGAATGTTTTCTAGAAAAAAATGAAAGAATTAGGCTGGGCGCGGTGGCTCATGCCTGTAATCCCAGCACTTTGGGAGGCTGAGGCGGGTGGATCACGAGTTCGGGAGATCGAGACCATCCTGGCTAACACAGTGAAACCCCGTCTCTACTAAAAATACAAAAAAATTAGCCAGGCGTGGTGGCGGGAACCTGTGGTCCCACCTACTCGGGAGGCTGAGGCAAGAGAATGGCATGAAGGAGGCGGAGCTTGCGGTGAGCCGAGATCGTGCCACTACAGTCCAGCCTGGGTGACAGAGTGAGACTCCATCTCAAAACAACAACAAACAAACAAAAATTAGCCAAGTGGGGTCTCACACACGTGTAATCCCAGGTACTCGGGAGGCTGAGGCAGGACAATCGCTTGAACCTGGGAGGCAGAGGCTGCAGTGAGCTGAGATCATGTCACTGCACTCCAGTCTGGGAGACACAGCAAGACTCTGTCTCAAAAAAAAAAGAAAAAAAGAAAAAAGAAAAAAACGGAAGAATTATACAGTTAAGAAAGCCACACAAAAAGAAATGTTTTGAGGAAAAAATAGGAACCAAGAGATCAACCTCTTGACAAAACCAAGATGTCCTGTCAAGAGTTAATAGGAGAAAAAAGATAACACACAGGAGAGGGAGAATTGATGTGCTGTGTAGATCTGGCATGGAGCAGTAGGTAAGATAGAGAAGGGTGGTGTACCAGAGACTCCGACCCAGTGTCTTGCTTCTCTCACTGACCGCTATTCTCGATCTCCACGTATACTCTGATTTTCCCCACAACACCCTTCCCTGGTATTTCTTCCCTGGAATAGCAGCTTCATGAGCTTGTTTCTCTAGAACAGAATCTGGGCATAGGGTAGAAGCTCAGTGAATATTTGCTGTATGAATGGATGACAAGGAGGATTCATGAGACCCAGCAGGAAAAGTCAAAAGTGGTCACTGAGGAGCTCTTGATGAGGTGCCAGTGCTAGAGATGACAGCCTTGCATAGACCTGCCTGGCTAATCAGAAGGAACGCTGTCTTCTTGCAATGTGTTTCTTAGGACATGAAAGAGGGCACATCAAAACTCCTCAAACCCTCCTCTACTGATTTTTAAAAATAAGAATAATTGTCTTCCTCAGAAGCCATCTGGATGGTCTAGCTAGTCAGAAGTCCTGAGTGGAAAACAGGAAGGCGTGGAAGGTGAGATGTGGTTCTCTTCTCTTCTGGCTAGAGATCATGACATATGAAAAGAGTGGATAAAGAAATGGGAAAAGCCATTTCAACTGATGGTGTCGAAGACAAGATCTGACTTTCTGGACCATAACAGTCCTACAATAGCCTGACAAGACATGTGGTTCATTACATGAAAATAGGAATGAGATGCCAGACTGTTCACAACAGCCAAGACATAGAATCAACCTAAGTGTCCATCAACAGATGAATGGGTAAAGAAAATGTAGTACATATACACAATGGAATATTATTCCACCATAATGGAATACTATTCAGCCATAAAAAAGAATAAAATTCTGTCATTTGTAGCAACACGGATGGAACTGAAGGACATTATGTTAAGTAAAATAAGCCAGGTACAGAAAGACAAATGTTGCATGTTCTCACTCATATGTGGGAGCTAAAACAAAAAAACTGAACTCATGGAGATAGAGTAGAACGACAGTTACCAGAAGCTGGGAAGGGTAGTGGGGAGGAGGGATGGTTAAGGGGTACAAATGTACAGTTAGATAGAAAGAATAGATCTAGTGTTCAGTAGCACAATGGGGTGACTATAGCTAACAATATTGTATATCTCAAAATAACTAAAAGAGTGGAACTGGACTATTTCTAACAAAAAGAAACGATAAATGTTTGAGGTGATGTATATCTCAATTACCTTGATTTAAACATTACACATTGTATGCTTATATAAAAATATCACATATACCCCAAAATATGTACGAAAATTATGCATTCATTAAAAATAAAAAAATTTAAGAAAAAAATGACATGCCAAGAAGATGCTCACCAAATTGGCCTATTGAAGAGAATCTTAAAGTTGAATTCAAGAGAGAAGAAAACACCCACAAAATGGTATAAAACCAGATATCATGGAGGACAGTGGCCAGAATAGAAAAAAAAACCAATGCCAGAGACTTCTAGTGCTTTCGGAGAAACTAGCATCCAAGAAATGTGGATATGATATGTACATATATCCACATGAGGGTACAGAGAAAGAACAGAAAATATATTGTTATAAAAAAATAAAACAGATCACCCTGTTAGGAGGCTCTGGGTGATATTTTCCACAAAGAGAACATTAAATAAGCAGAAAAGTGATAGAGAGTTTTCATGGGAACTTCCAGCTCCCTAGACATTTACAAGATGCTTAATTCTTACTGGTAAATTCCTCTTTAAGTAAGATGAAATTCTATTCTAGACTTAATTCTAAATACTGAAAATGTGGTTGGTGAAGTAGAAATAATAAGAACTTTTGGAAAAGTCACCATGTTAGCTTAGGATTAAAAATAGCTAAGAAAGAACACATGAGGTACTGCCAGATGCACAGGCACCCTGTGGACTCCATGAGCACAGGGAACTGGTCAGGCTTGTTTATGACCATGTCCCTAGCACACACCTGCACTGGGCCAGGAACTCCATAAAAACTGAGTGACCTAGACAATCTAGTACACTCCTGTGGTGAGAAACTCTGAAACTGACAATAGATAAAGGGATGAACAAACTTAAAGAAAAGATGGAAGGATGATCATGTAACAATGTAATTAGGAGATACACACACACACACACAGACACACACACACACACACATCAGAAGATAGTTAGAAAGACTGGAGATAATTTGTTTCAGGCCAACACAAAAGGAAACCTCCTCAACAATTAGAGCTGGGAATAAGGAATTCAGGGAGAAGCTCAATGACTGCATGTTATCAGGGCTGCTGGAGACAGGGTTGATTCCTGCCCTAGAGAGAGAACTAGATGGCTAAGATCCTTTACAACTCAAAAATTCTTAATTTCAATTGAAAATTATGAAAGTGTTTTACTATAGTAACAATAAATAGTGTTTGGCTGTATTTGAATAAATATTAATAGTCCCAGGCTTCAGGCGTATTATGGGTTAAACTCAATTTTGTAAATTAGTTTGGGAGCATACCCATAATTCCAAATAATCTAAAAATGCAGTACCAGAGACACCACCAGTCTGTAAGTTAAGGATTGCTTAAGACAGAGGCAATAATGCATTATTATTTCAACTTAGAAAGGCAGTCTCAATAGGACTTGATACTGTGTCCACCAGAAAACACCAACATATGCGCCATTCTAAACTGGAACTCCATGAGGTTGGCTTTCTGACTTTTGGTTTGATGGTGGGTCAGAATCTGCCTTGCGAATTTGAGTTGAAGAAAGAAAGCCATAACAAAATGCTTATATTATAGAGTTAAACCCTGCTCCTCTTCTGGTAAAATTGTATAGAATGAAGTTCCATAATTTGTTAGGAGCCATGGAGCTGCAGTAGATATCAAGATTGACAACCAAGGCAGGTGCAGTGGCTCACGCCTGTAATCCCAATACTTTGGGAGGCCAGGGTGGGAGAATCACCTGAGATCAGGAGTTTGAGACCAGCCTGGGCAACATAGCGAGATCTCGTCTCCACAAATAACACAAAAATTAGCCAGGCATGGTGGTCCATGCCTGTGGTCCCAATGACTCAGGGGACTTGAGGTGGGAGGATTGCTTGAGCCCAGGCGGTCAAGCCTTCAGTGAGCCATGATCACTCCATTGCACTCCACTCCAGCTTGGGTAACACAGTGAGATCCTGTCTCAACAACAAAAAGATTAACAACCATGAGGTTCGTGAATGTGAGGCATTTTAATGGTTACATTATCAGACAAAATTTGTAAAGGCCTAGAATCACAATGTGTCCACACCATTACTGAAAGTGCATGCTATTGCTAACTCTGTGATGACTTCCCAGGATTCTCTCAGTGCTTTCCCTTCCCTCCTTCCTGCCTTTCCTTCAATGTTACCTTCCCAGGAACATTTCCCGATTTGAAACTGTAACCTCCCTCCCATATTCTCTACTCCAATTCCTTGCTTTAATTTTCTCTTCTCACTTTCTAGTACAGTATCTAACTTATTTGGGTTTATTTTCTGCTTCCTTCTCCTACTAGAATGCAAGTTTTTGCAAGAAGGAAGATTGTCTCTTTTATGTCACTAAAATCTATGAGAGTATCCCTAGAGCCTGTAACAGTTCCTGACATATTGTATGTATCACATACAATAGATGAAGATGGTCAGTAAACACTTGCTGAGGACAAAGAAGTGTCGAACACTTGGCTGGGCACAGTGGCGCACACTTATAATCCCAGGACTTTGGGAGGCTTAGGTGGGTGAATCACCTGAGGTCAGGAGTTTGAGACCAGCCTGGCCAACACGTTGAAACCCCGTCTCTACTAAAAATATAAAAATTAGCTGGGTGTGGTGGTGCATGCCTATAATCCCAGCTACTCAGAAGGCTGAGGCAGGAGAATTGCTTGAACCTGGGAGGTGGAGGTTGCAGTGAGTGAGATTACGCCATTGCACTCCAGCCTGGGCGAGAGTGAGACTCTGTCTCAAAAAAAAAAAAAAAAAAAGTGTCGAACACAAAGCAAGAAGCCCTCTGTGGATCTAGATGTGCTGTGTGGCCTTTGGCTGGTTACGTAACTTCTCCCTGACACAGTAAATTGGGAAAAAGGAAAGATTCCTTCCTCTTCCTCCAATATGATGTGAGGGTGAATGATAAATAAAAGCACTTCTAGGCCAGGCACGGTTGCTCACGCCTGTAATCCCAGGACTTTAGGAGGCCGAGGCAGGTGGATCACCTGAGGTCAGGAGTTCAAGACCAGCCTGGCTAACATGGTGAAACCCTGTCTCTACTAAAAATACAAAAATTAGCTGGGTGTGGTGGTGCATGCCTATAATCCCAGCTACTCAGGAGGCTGAGGCAGGAGAATTGCTTGAACCTGGGAGGTGGAGGTTGCAGTGAGTGAGATTACGCCATTGCACTCCAGCCTGGGCGAGAGTGAGACTCTGTCTCAAAAAAAAAAAAAAAAAAAAAGAAGTGTCGAACACAAAGCAAGAAGCCCTCTGTGGATCTAGATGTGCTGTGTGGCCTTTGGCTGGTTACGTAACTTCTCCCTGATACAGTAAATTAGGAAAAAGGAAAGATTCCTTCCTCTTCCTCCAATATGATGTGAGGGTGAATGATAAATAAAAGCACTTCTAGGCCAGGCACGGTTGCTCACGCCTGTAATCCCAGGACTTTAGGAGGCCGAGGCAGGTGGATCACCTGAGGTCAGGAGTTCAAGACCAGCCTGGCTAACATGGTGAAACCCTGTCTCTATTAAAAATACAAAAATTAGCTGGGCGTAATGGCACACGCCTGTAGTCCCTGCTACTCAGGAGGCTGAGGCAGGAGAATCACTTGAACTCAGGAGGCAGAGGTTGCAGTGAGCCGAGATCATACCACTGCACTCCAGCTTGGATGACAGAGCGAGACTCTGTCTCCAAAAAAAAAAAAAAAAAAAAAAAACACTTCCAACTTTCCAACTTCTTAGTGGAATAAGACAAGCAAAATCAAAATGCTGTCATTTATTAATGCAACCAGAGCAATCCTTAACAAATATCACCTTAAGCAAATCCTTTAACTTCGCCCTACTTTCTAGATGTGGAAAATAATCCTAAATAGCAACATTAGGTCTCTATGGTTACAAGAGAATATTATCCTTTAATAGGACCAAACATAACTTTGATCCTTGCCAACCATTTTTCTACATGTGCACTGAGGAAAGCAGGCCAGTCAAGTAGAAATAAAGTAATTCTTCAGACAAAATCCTTCTTACAGCAAAAACTAATGTGTGAGGCAAAACCATATATTAGAGCCACCTTTCAGTGATCAGTCCTTTCTGATGTGGGTAGGAAGACACCTTTTAGAGATGCAACTAGTGAATGGTCGAAAGTACTGGCTATGGGACCTCATTGCTTAGGTTCAAATATTGCCTTTGCCTACTGCCAGGTGTGTTTTCTTGGGCAAGTCATCTGAATGTTCTAGCCCCAGTCTCCTCATCAGTAGAACTGGGATAATAGTAGCCCTTAAAGATTGCAGTTCATGAGGTTGTACTGATGATTTAGTGAGTTAATATGAATCAAGTTCTTGGAGCAGAACCTGGTACCTAACAGCATTCAATAAAAATTAGCCATTATTATTACTATTAGGGAGTACACAGTACCTTCAGAAAATCAAAGATCTGATTCCTAGAATGCTACCTAAAAATCTAGACAGGCATTCTTTTTCTATTACCACCAACACAAATAAAAGTCTCCATTTTATTGAAGATAAGTTGCCTTGATTTTCTTTATACAGGAGTATAACTTACTTTTAAATAAGGACAAAAGATAGGAAAATATTTTTTTCCAATTTTATTGGCTTCTTAACAGTGGTACATGGCTGTAATTGTGAAGTACATGTTTTGTTAGTATTTTAATTTGTTATAATTTTTAAAATCTTCAATTTCTTTTATAAAGTCCCAAAGCATAGGCAGGGTATGATGGTTCATGCCTGTAATCCCAGCACTTTGAGAAGCCAAGGAGGATGAATTGTTTGAGCCCAGGAGTTTGAGAACAGCCCGGCAACACAGTGAAACCCTGTCTCTACAAAAAACACAAAAATTAGCCGAGTGTGGTGGTGTGTGCCTGTAGTCTCGGCTATTTGGGAGGCTCAGGTGGGAGGATCATCTGAGCCTAGGGAGGTTGAGGATGCAGTGAGTTGTGATTGTGCCACTGCACTCCAGCCTGGGGGAACAGAATGAGACCCCCTTCCCCCACCAAAAAAAAAAAAAGTCCTAAAGCACCCAGTACTGCATTTTTGGTTACAGTGGGTATTTAATAAAGAAGCAATTCAAGGCATGTTTTTTTTATTACATCCCATGTATGTTATTACATAAAGAACCTATGTGAAGTGCAGCAAAAGTGAATGTGATAGTCTCTGCCCTTAAATACTTTACGTAGTAAATTAGGAGCATAAGACAGACACTTAAACAAGAAAACAAGTTAAAATAAACATGTCCTAACAGGAGTACAGGCAAAGGAGGATCAGCTGGTGCTGAATCAAAGTCAAGAATATCTGCAGGAGGAAGAGACATGTTACTGACCCTTGAATGATTGGTAGTATTTCAATAGGTATAGCTGGAGGAAGGAGGTGCTCATAGGAACAGGAGAGAGCAAGAAGAAAAGCCAAGGGACCAAGAAGGCTTGGGGCATGCTGAGCCAGTGACCCAGCATGACTGAAGTCCAAGAGCTATGGACGAATAGAAAAGATAAGGTCAGTTTGGGTTAAACTGAGAAGAGCTGAGGAGTCTGGGTTTCACTGAAGAAGCAATGCAGACCCAGTCACACTTTTTGAGCAAGAAGTGACAGGAGCAAAGTCCCATCTGAGGAATGTTTCCTGATGGTGGTTATCCAAGAGGATATGGAGGGGCAAGAGGGGAGACGGGTGCTCTGCCCACCTATGTCCCCAGATCCACACATGTTGGGCCACTGCTGCTGACCAGAGCAAGCCCTCCTCTCCCTGCTCACCCAGCTCTTGGGCTATGTCATTTCTAGCAACAGTAGCTCCAGCACCACAGGCTTAGGATCTTGGGAGACTCCTCTTCCAAATCCATTCCCTGTGTTCCACTTTATATAGCAAGTTTCTGTCCTGAGTCCTTTGGTAAGTTCCTGTCCTACTTATCAGCTCTATTCCCTTGTTCTTTAAAAAAGGATAAGGCCATAGACTGAGTGAGGTGGCTCACGCCTGTACTCTCAGCACTTCAGTAAGCTGAGGTGGGCAGATTGCTTGAGCCCGGGAGTTTGAGACCAACCTGGGCAACATGGTGAAACCCCATCTCTACTAAAAGTACAGCAGAAAAGTACAAAAATTAACTGGGCATCGTGGCGTGTGCCTGTGGTCCCAGCTGCTTGGGAGGCTGAGGCGGGAGGATTTCTTGAAGCCAGGAGATTGAGGCTGCAGTGAGCTGTGATAGCACCACTGCACACCAGCCTGGGTGACCAAGGCCCTGTTCAAGTCTTTCTGATTCCCATAACAGACACCATCTGCCCCACCTAAATACTCCTACCTGAGAAAAGAATACCCTGGTTACTGAGGACTGCCTGAATTTTCTAATACTGCTCACCTGGATGCTCTGAGATTTACCCTACCTGTTGGAACTTGTGCCATTTTGTAGTGAAGTACTCATTGCTCTATTTGCCAGGCTTGATACTTGTAAAGTCATTATCTTGGTCACTCGGCTTCCTGACAGCCTGTGACATCCCAAACCTCCCCTGTCAGCCTCACCAGCTAGGTCAGGTTCCCCTCGTAGGTAAGCTTGCTGCTAGAACCCTACCTCTTCCTGTCTTCTCTAGTGGCCTACAGATTTCTATAGCTAGCTACAAATAAGCATAGCAAAAAAGCTACGTTGCACTAATTGAGACATTAGGTGATAGGACTAGACAACAGGAATTGACAGGATAGGCTGATGTTAAAGACTCTGCGTGAGGAGAAAATAAATCAAACGTTTTAGGAACTGATAGAATGTAGAAGATGGTGAGAGAAAGAAGAGTCAAAGAACTCCGTGGTTCAAAGTCTGGATGCCAAAGGAAGCCATGTCTACAGTAACAAGGATAGCTGGGGTTGGCAGGGGATCTGTTTTGGTTGGAATGCATTTATAGATAGTACTTTTCCACTCCCTCTTCCTTCACTCCCTGTGTCCATCATAGCATTTATTAGTACCCTACCTGTCTAGAATGAAAGCTCCATGAGGGCAGGAACCTCACTTGCTTATTGGCTGCAGAACACCAGCTTCCAGAACAGTGCCTAGCAACTAGCATGTTTTCCACAGAAATACATTTAGACCATATGAATGGATTTTGAGTTAACATGCTGTCCTCAAATAGTGCTACCCATCAGGTGCTTGGGTAGATGTGCATGGGCATCAGCTGGAGCCTGGGCCAGTTTGAGGGATGTGGGTATAGGAAAGAAGTGCATATTCAAAGCAACAGAAGGGCTAAGGCACATAGCAACCTTCCTGCTGGGGGTTAGGGGTGATGAGAAGAAGAAGAGAAAAGGCAAAAGAGAGAAAGAGAAGTCAAAGACAAACAAGACAATGGTAGCTTTTGTAAATTAAGGAAGAGGTATTTTGGACATTAAGGCAGGACTGACTGTTCAGTAATGGAAAATGTTGTAGAGGTTGAAATGAATGAAAATAAGAGAACGACACTAAATTTAATGGTTCGGAGGCTTGGAGTAACCTCGGTGAATACAGGACACAGAGATAGATTGCAGTGGGAAAAGGAATGAGAATGTGGGAAGAAAGAAAGTAGAGGCAGCAGAGATAGGTTAGATTTTCAGTAAGTTTGGTTTTGATGGTAATACACTGTGATAAGTTAGAGAAACAACTGTGTTTATTTAGGCAGGGCATTTGTACTCTTAGCTTTGGGGAGATACAAGCATATATAAAAATCCAAAGGAAGGATGTTTATATCCTCACCTCCCACCAAATCAAATCAAATCAAAGCAAAATGGGAAAAAATGATTATGTAGGGGAAAAAAAGATGTAAATGCCATTTTGAGTTCTAACAATAGGGAAGGGATAGAAGAACCTAGAGCTTACGTGGGACCTCTCATGCAGGAGAAGAAAAGAAATGAAGGGGGGTATCTGAGAGAAGTGGACGGAAAAGAGATCTATTCTCCTGCCCTAGAATCTAACAGCCAGACACTGAACAGCCTAAATCAGAGTTGAAGATATTGGAAACTTTCTGCTTTAAAACAAGGCCAGAGAACTGGAAGCTGGGGCATAAGCCCAGCCTGCCTTATAGGGCAAGATGTCCTTTAGACGTAGAATGAGCACTCCAAAATACAACTGATTCAAGGACCACCAAAACTGGCCACGAATGGGACCCTTCTTAACTCCCACTACAATAATAAACATGCTATTACAATGCATTAATAAATTAGTGTTACATCCTATCTACTACCAATTAAGAATTCCTATAACAGAAACCCATACCAGGAAAAGTGGTATTTATCGCTGTGCGGCAGAACACAATAAGGTTCATATCCATGTGAATACCAACCCAGGAGTTTAAGAGAAGGACAAACGTAGAAGAGTTACTTTTCTTGGAAGAAATGAACTTTCTTTTATACCTCAAGATGTTGTGGGTCTGGCCTAAGGTGTACTTCATTGATTATCAGACAGCAAATGGCCCTGATCATATCCAAACAGCTTGATTCCACTGCTTGAGATAATTTTTTAAAGAAGAAAATAACTTTCTCTTGGTTATATCCAAATATTAGTTTTGTGCAAAAGTAATTGCGGTTTTTTGCCACTAAAAGTAATGGCAAAAATCGCAACTACTTTTGCACCAACTGAATATATCAGTTTTCCTCTAGATATGACATCTTTCTCCAATGTGAAAAAAACTAATGTATGATACACCATTTTGTATCTTATGTTCGTTTTCGTACGTTACGTCTGGAGCCCTGCTCCCATCTTGGGTAGTCTTGGTAACGTGAAGAGCCAGATTCTCCCAATGCTTAAGCACATGTGAGAGGGAGGCACTTGAAGAAGGCCAGTGAGGTTCCTTCCACAACCAAAAAACAGAGGAGAACAAGATGCCCAGCCAGGGACTGGAAGGAGTCAAGGGTGTAAGGGTGTCTCTGGAGACCAACAACAGAATCAGGAACTGAAGCACCTCCGAGTTTAGCACATTCAACTACCCGATTTTGCAGGCGAGAAAACTGAGGCTGATCTGACCTGTTCAAAGTCACCCAGCCGGGTGTCCTCACACAGCACAGCACCCTGTCCCTCACCTCTCACTGCCTCCTAACCCAGAAAGCCACTTAGGTGCTGAAGAGGACCCAATAACCAAACTAGCATTATTTTCCCTTAAGCCAAGTTTCTCTTCTTTCTCTATCTTTTTATTACAGAAATTTTCCAATATCTATAAGCAGAGAAATGAGAATAATAACCACCATGGACCCATTGCCCAGCTTGAACAACCCATTGCCAGTCTTCCTTTATCTATAATCTTACCTACCTCACACTCCTCCAGGATTATTTTGAAACAAATTCCAGGTAGCCTATCATTATTTCTTGTTAAATATAAAATGCTCAAATAAACTATATAGCTGCAAATGCATCCGAGACCACTTTTTTGGGGAGCTTTGATGCTCCTATTCCATATCCTTGCATTGTGTGTAGTATTTTTAATTTCATTTCACAGCTCTAGAACAAAACTCTGGTTCTTATCTTAGTACAGACCAATAAGATATGCTCTGTGACCCTGTACATCCACTAACAATATTAGACTGTGGTGCAGTGAGGAATTTTGATGAAGGGATTGCCTTGGACAGTAAGCATGGGGAACGTTGAACTTACTAAACACTTTTCTATCTTAGACACAATACACTCACACTAACACTTGTTTAAATTGGGCTGAATTCTGGCCTGAGATTTAAAGCCAGCTTTGTCCACGAGTTGATATGAAAGGCACTAAGCAATGTAACTTTTAAGGTTTCACAAATCTACAAACTAAATTAACAATCAAACATTTTCACACCAATAGGGTTGTGCCTCTACTCTCTTAAGACAGAGACCATTTATTTGTCCTAAGGATATGATAGAAATCTAAAATCAAATATAACAAAACTTTTCTTTCATATAGCCACTAAAATCTTTCCTAAAGAATAAATACATCAAAAAATACATTTTTAAAAAAGTTTTAATTAACGAACAAGACCGTTAACATTACGTTATGTGTATAGCAGTATAGTCTACTAGTTAAATCGTTAAATATTTATATATTAATATAAATAGTATAGTCTAACTAAATATATAACATCATGTGTATATAAAAATGGATACCTGTCATCACAATGTTGATGAATAGCATTTCCACTTATCATTTTCTACTATTTCACTCCCTCGCCTCACCAATCCATTTTTTATATAAATTTACAAATATATATTTTTAAATAAGAATATATTAGAAAGTCAAGGTCAGTATAGAAAGAAGGCAAATCAGAACTCTTAAGTTGTTTCATCCTTATTTTATTCTTAAAATAAAGAATTTCATTTCAAATACGGATTAATTTTTTTCTGGGAAAAAACACACTGTAAAACATAATTTTCTACCTTTTAAAACGTTTTACAATTTATCCCATCTTCTAACAAGTTATGATACTCATACCTGCCGAGGTTTCTCTAAATTTGTCGCTGGTCTTCTTTTTCCTCCATTTCCAAGGCTTAAAGATTTTACCAATGGTGGATAGTTTCCCCTTTCTTTTGAAGGGAGGTGTTTGGGAACCTGCTGTGGGGCCATCTGAGTTTGCTATAGAAGCTTTGTCCAGTCCGTCAACTGTATAAAGAAAGATATAGACAGAGAAAGGTTGTAAAAAAGGTTGTAATAAAACCACATCATCAATTGGTCCCTGGGCTGTTAACGGTAAGCACGTCCACTCTAATTGGAATCTCACATAAAGTTTATTTGTCCCATTTCACAGCTGGTAGGACTTCCCTCATATCAATCAGTCAATCAGAAATTACAGCCCACTTAGAAAATCATTCTGGGGAAACAGACTAGAAGCAAGAGACTTACATTATAGATGGGGCCAGACAAATGAGTGTCTGTGCAACACAGCTGAATCCATCTGCAACAACCCCATCAATATTTTGTACAGGAATAGAGTATTCTAAGTATTTGTGAAATAGGCTGTTCCTCCAGAGACTAGTCTGACATTCTCAGTAATGAATATTACAGTTATGGTGTAGTTAAAATCATGGTTTCTCATTCACAAAATAAAATTTGGTGCCAGGAAGCTAAATTCTATTTTTACAAGGCTAAAACTATCTTTTGCTTCTATTACAAAAAAGGTTTTGAGCTTCAAAGAAACTGATAACTACACTAACAACAAGAAATATGTGGAAAATTTGGGTACTGTGTGTGATAAAAACATGTCTTTGTATGTCTTCACTATTTTATTAATCAGAAGAAATGCACAAAATCTTAAGTTGCCTTGCTTGCACTGTGTTCTAGGCTGACAGAAGATAGCAATGACTTATGTTACACCAACTATCAAATTTTAATGGCAAAGAACTGGAAGCAGGCCAGAAGGGATGAACTATAATATTATTCCATCAATAAAATAGCACTTGAAATTATGGCAAAAAAGAAAAAATCAAAACAGTAGTTTTTTCTTGGAGGCAGAAATAACCTGAGAAGAAACTTGAGGGAACGTATAGCGGTGATGGAAATTATCTCAACGATGGTTGGATTACCCAAAACTCATCAAATGGTATTTACAATTTTTTGCATTTCACTTTTGTAAAATTTACCTTTAAAAAACCGTAAACTGACAGTGAAGTCTAATTAATGACATGTATGCTGAAGTGTTTAGAGGTGAAGTGTACTGATGTCCGTCAAAAATAATAACTGGATAGATAGATGGAAAAGGCAGATGGATAAAAGTGCAATAAAGTAAAATATAGCAAAATGTTAAGTGTTGAATCCAGCTGGTAGATACGCATATGAGGCGTGATACCAATTCTTTTATCTTCTCTGTATTTTTAACAACTTTCTTAATATAATATTGGTCATAGTAAAACAAATAAAAACAAAAATTGAAGAGCAAGGACTTCTGCTTCCAAGAAGATGAAACAGACTTACTTTTTCTTTTTGAGATAGAGTCTTGCTCTGTCGCCCAGGCTGGAGTGCAGTGGCGCGATCTCAGCTCACTGCAACCACCGCCTCCTTGGTTCAAGCAATTCTCCTGCCTCAGCCTCCCAAGCAGCTGGGACTGACTACAGGCACATGCCACCAGGCCTGGCTAATTTTTGTATTTTTAGTAGAGACGGGGTTTCACCATGTTGCCCAGGCTGGTCTTGAACTCCTGACCTCAAGTGATCCACCCGCCTCAGCCTCCCAAACTGCTGGGATTACAGGCGTGAGCCACCACACGCAGCCCAAACTTAACTTTTTCTTATTCCTCTGGCTAAATACAACTAAAAAAAACAACCACGGGTGTTACATAAAAATGTAAGAAAATTCTGTAAGGCCAAGGGAAGGTAGACAAGCCTGGGACCTCAGAACCCAAGAAACAACACGGTGGTGAGATTCCTGGGTTTTCTTTTTGCCTCAAATATCCCAGACTCGTAGCTGAAGAAGTAAGAAACCTCGAAAGGCCAACAAGCATGGAAGCCAGCAACCCAGAAACACCAATGGGCACAGACCACAAACGTCTGCACTCTCTAGCCACATAACCAGGAAAGGGGCAGAGTAGCAACATAAGAAACTTTTAGACAATAACTGCTCTACTACAGCCGAGCACCATAGAAGAACCTGTGACCATGCATGCCAGCAAAGGCTGAATGGAGTTACTAGATTTCCACCCTCATGAGGCTCTGAAAAGGACCCCTAATACCCCTACTAGAGTGGTGTCAGAGAAGACCAAGCAGGAAACTAGCACCTTTATGCCTGGTGGCTGATAATGAAGCATCTTCCACAGTGTCAGTGGAGACCATGTAGGAAGCCGTGACATCCAGCCCTACCCAGCAATAACTGGGTATCTCTCCCCTTCCCCCTAATACAGAGGTGGCCAAATCATTGCACACTGGGAACAAGACCACCCCAACTGTGGTATCAAGGGAGACCACATGGGGATCTGGAAATTCTACCTGTGCCCAACAGTAACAAGGACACCCCACACACATACACAGCATGTCAACAGAGGACAGGTGGAGAAATGGGATTTTTACCTCCATGTCGGGGTGACAAGGCGGCACCCACTGCTTCCCCTGCTATAGAGGTGTCAGACAAAGCCAGTTAAAACCAAAGGTTTCAAACAAGATCTAGAGTCACATAACATAATACAAAAATGTCCAAGTTTCCATCGAAAATCACTTGACACACTAAGAACCAGGAAAATCTCAAACTGAATGAAGACAGACAATCAATAGATGCCACTTCCTAAATCCTTATGAGTTCTCCTTCCACACAAATTGGAATAAATCCTATTCCTTCCACTAGTGAAGTCTACTCTAATTTCAGGTACTATCTGGGCAGAGATGGGCAGACACTGTGCATTGCTAGGGAAAATTGGAGATTCAAGTCCTACGCTAACTGATTCTTCTGAAAGTGGTTCCTAACCCTACTTTCAGCCATAGCACAACAGATAGAGATACAGGGGACAGACTGATTTTGAAGCTAATTCAGAGTAAAGGAGCAAAATATTTATTACTTCAATTTAACTCCTGTCCAACTTCCCTCTTTGAACCAGAGGGCAAACCCAGGGGGAACTGAGAGTATGGTTTTACTTCTTCATGAAGACTTTGTGCTGAACTCTCATGGAAGGGCTTAACTTTGAACAACTTAAATGTTGTAAAATATAAAAGGGCTAATTATTATGAACATAGAAACAAAAGTTTCCATCTCAAATTCATCTCTGTGGCTACATGTCCAGTTTTCATTTTCTTACAATACATGGGATCTTTCTCTCCCAATCCACATATCCAGTTCCCTGATGCTGCATAAAAATTCTACTTTCCCTCTGAAGCAATTAAGAACAGCCTATTTTTCCCCTATCATAGACCATATTTGCAATTAGAAACCATATGTTGGCACAGTTGGCCGATGTGCCATTGTACTTCTCTTAAATCATGAATGTGAGGACCACTGTCATCTGCTTTTGAGTAGTATGGGCAGAATATTAACTCTCCTCTTTAGATACCCAGGACACTGGGCATTGCTATTGATATTTCTATAATTTTTCTTGTGGATCAGTTTTCCATTAAAATCCATTTGAAACTTTCCATAAATTATTTCACAGTAAGTCTGGTGAATTTTGCATTTACATGCAGATAAGAACAAACTGCCAGGTAAATCCCAGATGAAAGGTAAAATTTCCTGATTGTTTTCAGCATTAATTTTGATCCATTTTTATGTTACTAAGAGTAACTTGTCATTCATCAGAACTTACCTTTTCACACTTGAGTTCTACATTTTAAAACACAGCATATTTTGAAATACAGTCATTAGCTAATCAAATGTAGAGACTTTAAATGACACAGCTCAGTCTATCTTCCCACTGAAACAAGCCCACCCCTAACAGAATTTCCCCACAACACCAATTGCTAAGAAATCAGAAAATATACACAGGTTTTATTTTTTATTTAAACAGAAATGTATCAGTTAGGCAGTCCCAGTGCAAATGTGACCATATAAGCCAAAAATAAATGAGGCTAGATAATTATCATATTGATAAGGTTTAGAAATGTATCCTCACCCAAATCTCATGTCAAATTATAATCCTCAGTGTTGGAGGTGGAGCCTGGTGGGAGGTATGGATCATGGTGGCAGAGTTTTCATGAATTGCTTAGCACCGTCCCCTCTTGATACTGTATAGTGAGTGAAATCATATGAATTCCAGTTGTTTAAAAGTGTGTAGCACCTCCCTCTCTCTCTTCCTCCTGATCCAGCCATATAAGACAAGCTTGCTTCCCCTTCACTCACGTGCCATGATTATAAGTTTCCTGAGATCTTCCCAGAAGCTAAGCAGAAGCTGGCCTGCAGAACTATGAGCCAATTAAACCTCTTTTCTACATAAATTACCCAGTCTCTGGTATTTCTTTACAGCAGTGCGAGAACAGACTAATATACATATGAAATAAATTGTAGGTTTGAATAGTCTTCCCTTTGAAATTTGATAAATAAATTATAGAGATTCTTAGAAAAATTGATTCTACCTAATAGAGTTTGTTGTATGTTTATACTATTTAATAGATATGACATTTTAGATATTAATTTTTCACCACACATAATTATTTCAGGCACTGAGAAACTGAGACTAATGTGGCATAGTATTCCAGCTCACAAATGTTGTAACTGAAGGACCATTTAGAAAAGAATCTCCATAAAAGAACTCCTGGTACTAATTTTGTACAAACTGAGAGCCGCCCTGCGGGAAAAAAGTAGGTGGCAAAAAACATGGTCTCAACTTTTCTCCAAATATCCTTAAATATCTGAAGGTCGATGAGAATGCATTTTTGAAGCCCAATCATAGCAAAAATAACTAGGAGAAATCATGTGTGGTAAACAATGCTTTGATAACACTCTGCTGTGTATGCTTTAAGAAAGTTAAAACACTAAGGATATCAAACTCTATTTCCTTAAAATATGGTTTCCAGGCTTTGTTATTTTTTTGTGCTTTATTATGTTTTTACAATATTAAGATTATCTGTGTATATTTTTATTTCTATTACAGTTTTTGTATTTCCATTATAATTCTGTCACTTTCCCCTTTAAAAGCCACAGAACATATGGCAAAGAAAAATTAGAACAGTGCTTAGGGAAGATTTAACTTTATTACCTACATTTACATGAGGTCTCTTTCTCTCTCTCAATTGAAACAATAACTTAAGATACATGCTATCATTAAACAAGGGCGGATGTACAACATCTGGGCACAGAAGCTACCCACTACTGGTTAGGGTGAACTGATGGTATAAGCCAGTGATGAGGTCAGGGTGAAGTGATGGTATAAGCCATCACAGATGAGCTTGGATCATGGTTTCTAAGGCAGCCAAGTGGCTATCCTTGCCTTCCGTTGTCTAAAGGAGTTCCTTACTCTCTTGCTAATCAGAGTTTACAGCAGATTGGGTCAAATATCTTCCTTTTAAGGGTAAGATAAATGGCAAATGGAGAAGAGAAAATGAACAGAAGAATCAAAATGTGTGGCATCACACGGGGTGCAGGTTAAAAATTCTGAAACTGCTGAACATGTATATTGGGATCAAACAAGGAAGTACGGGAGTGGCAGATGGTGGAAGCCAGGTTTCTCACTACTGGAGAGAGAAGTTACAGATAAGCGAGAGAGTAAAGCTAGAATGATCCATGCAGCCCTGATGAGAGTTGGAGACATCTGCATGAACCCGTGTTTGCCCAGGTAGACAGATAGATAAGTAAATGAATTATAGACATGTATATATGCATGGGTTTGCTTACACACATGTATTTGCTAGCTCTGTCCTCTCAGAAGGCCTAGAAGCAGTAACACCCCAGTAGCAATGAGCACGCCCAACGCACAGATCTTGGTTTCTAATAGCATTCTCCAATAGGCAAGCACCACCTCCTTACAGAAAAGGCTGCTTCAAGAGCTGGGGCATGGAAAACACCAGATGAGCCCTGCAACATCTTGTAGTCCCAGAAAGTGCTCAAAAAGCAAACTGATGGGAGGAGGTAGGTTAAAGGGACAGAGGAGCCCACTCAAGAGTTTCCAAAGGCCAAAGCTGGAATAATCTCAGCAACAAAGTAAAATTATAGTATTAGATTATAACCCAAAGTATAAAATAAACATCCACAAATCCATACTCATATAGATAAATATTGAATGAATAAATGAATGTGGGAGAAGAGGTAAGTCCTTACAGAACTCCAAATAATTTATATACATAACCCTCTCTCAAGAAAGTGGAGCTTAACTCCTAACTGCTTAAATGTGGGCTATCCATAGTGACTTCCTTCCAAAGAGTGCAGTATGGAAAGAGAGGAGAAAGGGGTGGCTTTACGGTGAAGATGCTGACAAACAGGACCTTAGCCAGGGATCGAGGTTCACATCACCAGTGATAAGCTGTGCTGACAGTATGTACTCTTGATATGATATAAGGAGAATGGTACTTCAAAACCCACAACCCTGTAGTAACTACAAGGGAAACATCAGGCAAAACTAAATTGAGAAACATTTCTAAAATACCTGACCAGTACATCTCAAAATTTTCAAGGTCTGGCCAGGCACGGTGGCTCATGCCTGTAATCCCAGCACTTTGGAAGGCTGAGGTGGGCAGATCACGCGAGGTCAGGAGATCGAGACCATCTTGGCTAACATGGTGAAACCCCATCTCTACTAAAAATACAAAAAATTGGCTGGGCGCAGTGGCGGGCGCCTGTAGTCCCAGCTACTCGGGAGGCTGAGGCAGGAGAATGGCGTGAACCCGGGAGGCAGAGCTTGCAGTGAACCAAGATTGCGCCACTGCACTCCAGCCTGGGCTACAGAGCAAGACTCCGTCTCAAAAAAAAAAAAAAAAAAATGCAAAAATTAGCCAGACTTTGTAGCAGGCGCTTGTAATCTCAGCTACTTGGGAGGCTGAGGCAGGAGAATCACTTGAACTCAGCAAGTGGAGGCTGCAGTGAGCCAAGATCGCGCCACTTTACTCCAGCCTGGGCTACAGAGCGAGACTTGTCTCAAAAATAAAACAAGGCCGGGCGCGGTGGCTCACGCCTGTAATCCCAGCAATTTGGGAGGCCGAGGCAGGCAGATCACAAGGTCAGGAGATGGAGACCATCTGGCTAACACAGTGAAACCCTGTCTCTACTAAAAATGCAAAACATTATCCGGGCATGGTGGAGCGTGTGTGTAGTCCCGCTACTCGGGAGGCTGAGGCAGGAGGATCCTTGAACCCAGGAGGCAGAGGTTGCAGTGAGCCGAGATCGCGCCACTGCACTCCAGCCTGGGCAACTGAGCGAGATCCCATCTCAAAGACAAAAACAAAAACAAAACTGCCAAGGTCATTCAAAACAAGGAAGGTCTGAGAAACTGTCAGACCAGAGAAGCCTAAGGAGACACCACTGCTACATGTAACATGGCATCCTGAATGCATCCTGGAACAAAAAAAAGACGACATTAGGGAAAAACTACTGAAATCCTAATGAACTGTAGAGTTTAGTTAACAGGAATAGTATCAGTGTTTGTTCCTTGGTTGTAACAAATGTATCATGCTGATATAAGATCTCTCTGTACCATTTTTTCAGCTTTTCTGCGAATCTAAAACTATTCTAAAATCAAGTTTATATTTTAAAATGTGGCATTCGCTATCATGGAGGTAAATGAGGATAAAGATTTTTTTCTTAGGAGTGAGGAAGTCCGCTCGAAGGGGCCTCGGTGCCTACTGTCTTTTACCAACAGTAAAGATTTCAGCTGAAAGAGTTTTGGAAAGTAATATACTTCAGACTTGGCCATCTTTCTCTCCAAAATTCTCCCTTTACTAATACTTCCATTCCCAGTATTCTATAAGTAAGAGAACATTTAAATGGCTGTTTCAACACTTTTTAGCACATGATGGATCCAGATAAGGTAAGTAGTATTCAACACCTTGCAAAATGGTAGACAATGGGCCCAGCTCCAGCACGCATCAGGAGGTATACATCCACAGTTACTGTGTAAACAATACACAAAGAAGAGATTCCAAACATCCCTCCACCACACACACACACACACACACACACACAGACACACACACACACACACCCATGATGGACTTACCATGAAGTGAATAAATCAAGGCTGGCTGACCTTTTAAAGTAATGCCAAGAAAAATTTTCTCATTATCAGTACTGTGTTCATCAGAGACATATGATACATATTTATGGGAAAAAATTAAAACAAATTTATAGTCATGTCCTTGAACATGTGAAATGGTTAAATGTAAAAATTTTTAAAGAAACGATCTAAATATCTAAATAATCTAAAATTTTAGATTATTTTTGAACTTTCTATATATAAATGTATTCCCTCACTTAAAAATCTGAAAATAATAGAATTTTAGAGTTAGAAAAGATCTTGGCTCAGAAGAAAATTGCTTTTTATCAGCTGATGGTTCCTTTAAAAATAATCGGCATTAAGGTAATAATCATGGCAAAAGTATTTGAAAAATTATTTTGCCATCATCTTTTTAAATCCCTAAGAGTAAAAGAACAGAATGTAAGCAAGAAATTAAATTTAAAGAAAAAGAACAGAATGTGAAAACATTACTATATTAGAATGTATTGAAAGGATTTTAGTCGCTCTGGAGGAAGATTGCTCGTAACCCTGCTATTCATACATGCCTCCCAATTTGCCAATTTCCATTCCCCCATCACTTGAAAGAAACTACAAAGTTATCTAAAGGCAGTTGGGATAAGATCAGTTGTTCCCACAGTCATTAAAATTAATACTATGGAGATTTTCCAAAAAGATTTTTTCGAGGCATACAGACAGAATGTAAATGATATTGCACTCACAATCACATTCAGACCAAAGTGTCAATCATTCCAAAGCCCCAGAAATCCTCCTTATGCTTCTTCCAAATCAATACCACCCTCTCACCTCTATTCCCCCAGATAACCACTATTTTGACTTCCAGCAGCATTGATTTGTGTTACCTGTTCTTTTTTTTTTTTTTTTTTTTTAGTAATTTTTTGTAGAGACAGGGTTTTACCATGTTGTCCAGGCTGGTCTCAAACTCCTGGACTCAAGTGATCCACCTGCCTGGGCCTCCCAAAGTGCTGGGATTACAGGTGTTAGCCACTGTGCCCTGGCCTGTTTTATCACTTCTTGAACTTTAACTTAGTGGAATTACACAATATAATCTTTTGTATTTCTTTCACTGAATGTCTGTGAGATTCATCTATAAACTTTTTTCCCTTACTTGGTTTCTGGGAAAGCTAATCTACTTCTCTACCATCTTTTGATGTTGCCCTGAAGCCATGATAAATTAGAATTTCACCGAAGCAAGATTAAAGGTAGAGCAGTAGTTTATTTTCTGTAAAAAAAAAAAAAAAAAAAAAAAAAAGTTGTATATATATTCTTACAATGCATATTAGAGCACTCAGTAGTTCTGAGCAATGTAATTTATAAAAGCACTGGGTTACAGTGTTATCCACCATGGGACAACTATCATGTTTAGTACTTTCACATTATGCTATATATTAAAGCCCTATATATAAGGAAACTGGGAGCCAGGAAGGCTATCTGGCTTCCCAAATTGTTAACTAGTGAAAGAGATAAGAGTCTAGGTCACCTGATTCCTGATCCAGGCTTATTTCCCACTATACCAGGCTGTCTCCATTGGCATATGATAGCTAAACTCATGGTGAACCAGCAACACTCCTAGTAGCTCTAAAATAGCAGTAAGACTATTTGTAAAAAACAAAAAAGCAGGCTGGGTGCCGTGGCTCACGCCTGTAATCCCAGCACTTTGGGAGGACGAGGCGGGCAGATCACAAGGTCAAGAGATCGAGACCATCCCGGCCAACATGGTGAAACCTCATCTCTACTAAAAATACAAAAAATTAGCTAGCTGTCGTGGTGCGCACCTGTAGTCCCAGCTACTCTGGAGGCTGAGGCAGGAGGATCGCTTGAACCAGGAAGGCGGAGGTTGCAGTGAGCCAAGATCATGCCACTGCAATCCCTTCTCAAAAAAAAAAAAAAAAAAAAAAGCAAAGAAGACATTGCACAATCAGGACAAGCAATAAATCTGTGTTATTGTTCTGGGTTTTGACCACCCAACTGGGATGGTAAACTGTAAGCCAAGAAGAGAGTTGGAGCCTAGTTCCAACTCTGCTACTTAATCAGCCCTGTGACCTTGTGCTAGGATCCCAATTTTTCATTGCTGAAATTAGGAGACTAGGTTAAATGATCTCTAGGCTCCTTTCCAACTTTAAAAATTCTATGACTTCATATTGCTTTGTGCTGAGTGTATCAGTCTTGTAGGTCACATTAAGACCTATTCTATTACTTGATATTTTATTATGCTAAAAAAAGGACCTGTTCTAAGTGCTTTATCAATACTGCCTCTTTCATCATTACTACAACCCTGCGAAGTAGTTGCTATTAGTATTCCCATTTTATAGATGAGGAAGTTGAGGCTGAGAGACCAAGCAACTAGCAAGATCCCACAGCTGGTAAGCAGGATTTAAACTCAGGGAGTTTACCTCCCAAGTATTCCCTGTACAAAAATGGGGAGGAGGGTAGTGGGTGGGAGTGGATTTTTATTTTAAGATAAGGCAAGAGATAAACCCTAATGAGTAGTAACTCAATTCAACTCCCAGCCACTTATTGGGCTAATCCAAGGAGTTAGGGTAGGTACTGTTTTGCTGTCTAAAACAATGCCCAGTGTCATCACGGTTAATTTCACGCTGGCGGCAGGCAGTGTACTCTATACTTTATACTGACTAAAGTAATTTGATTGTACAGAATCCTTATTTATCATAATATTAATTTTAGAAGTTTGATACTATCAATTTTTAAACTTGTTTTTTTAACAGAGGCAGACATTATTTTTAAACTCCCAGAGGGAAAAGCTACTAAAGACTTCCATCTGCCTGCAAGCACTGACAGAGAATTCCAGAGTTTAAACTTGTGGCCAACAGGCCTGCAGAACGAATATGTTTGTGCAGCTGCATGACATCCTGATTCACTGACATGAACAACATCCCCTAGACTTGCTACAGGATATTTAACAGATTAAATAAAGTCGCTCTTATTTGGGGTTTACAGAAATTCTGATTGAGTAGGCAAAGGGCCACTTTGCTAATGGAAAAATCAATTTTAATGTAAATAAAAGCATTTTACGTTTTGAATGCCACTGTTATCGCTACAAGGGAAGGGTTGTCTCTATGAACAGATAGGATGACTGCTTAGGAATAGCAAGATGTCGCTACAGAGAGGAAAAACGTGACAGGAATCAACCAACAACCTATCTTGTTCCCCGTAGATGTTAGTCATATACAACAACTCCCGGAGTCTGAAGTGGAGCAGGTCATGGTGTGTAGAGTGTGTGCTGTGTTTGTGAAAAGGAAGAAAAAGCTGATATATCCCCAATGGACAATCTGCCAAGTGAAAGAATTTCAACTCATCCATGATAGGATAATGATCACCCTGTTCATGCTGGGAATGTGCGTCAGCACAGAACTTTAGGGGAGAAGCTGGTAGACCTTATATATAATTTGTGAAATAAAATATACTGAAATATCACAGTTCTCCTCTCGCCCCCCCTCCCCACTGCCCCCAATCAATGGAGTCTCGTTCTGTCACCCAGATGGAGTGCAGTGGTGAGATCTCAGCTCACTGCAACCTCCGGCTCCTGGGTCCAAGTGATTCTCTTGCCTCAGCCTCCCGAGTAGCTGGGATTACAGGTGCATGCCACCATGCCTTGCTAATTTCTGTATTTTTAGTAGAGACGCGGTTTCACCATGTTGGCCAGGCCAGTCTCAAACTCCTAAGCTCAAGTGATCCGCCCACCTCAGCCTCCCAAAGTGTTTGGTTTACAGGCATGAGCCACCGCGCCTGGCTGAAATATCACAGTTTTTAAGTAAGGGGCTAAATTTTGTTTCAGACAAAATTATGAAAAAATTCCCATTGAGGATGAATGTAACACAAATATTATTAAAATAACACATTAAATCTAGACCAATATATTTAAGTCGAAAGGCTGGTGGATAAATAAAAGCCCAGAGAATATATATAATGTGACTAACGTTCTCTCTATGTCCAAGAGCCTCCTGGCAGTCATACAGGGTCCCCAAGGCCGGTATCTGTGGAGAGACCGTGGCCACATGTAGTATCCCGGACAATCTCCCCAAGGCAGACATGAAACCTGCAGGCATGTACTATGGAAAACAGGATGCTGGGAGATCCATCCCATGGAGAAGAATTTATGTCAATTAGTCATACGGAGTCCCCAAGGCTCCCAGATTTACGTCCTTATAGCTCAGTTAAGAGATGACTGCAGCAACCCAGGCATCTGAACTTGGAGAGAAGGAGCGAAAAGGGACTGGAAATGATGGATGATCTGAGGGACACTGAGGAGAAAGAAGAGAGGAGTCTGAGGAACTGCCTGAGAACTCCATGGCCTGAACCTCTACAAGGGTATGGCTGGATGTCAAGAAGAGAGAAGATTTGGAGGAGAGACCTTTAGCTTGTATTCAGGCACCATGAACTTCAGGTGCTGGCAGAACATTCAAGGGAAGATGTCCAACGGACAGTCAGAAATGCATTACTGGCACTCTAGCAAGAAGCTGGAGTTGAAGTTATTTGGTGGAGTCTTCTAAACAAAAGCAGCTGTTGAGGACCAGGGGTAAACTCCTAGAGAATGATTACATTTAGGAGCAAGTGGGCTTTGCACAATAAAGAACGTTGAACTCCTTTGGCATTGAGAATGAACAAGTAAAGAAAAAGGTTTTGTTTGCTGTTTGTTTTAAGTTCATAAAGTGTGAAGGACACTCAAGCAGGTTCATGGGCTGAGGAGAAGGAGCCCTGGGTGTCGGGGTGTTGAAGATGCAAGAAAGAAGAAGGGCTGCAGAGCTGCACCAGCCAGGATGTCAGACCAGCCACACGGGGACTGCATGGGGACTGAATTCCTTCAGGTCATAGCGAGATTTGGGGTGGAGAGGGAGAGTCTGAACTTCATCCAGTGAATATGAGGAAATGACCAGGAAGTCAGGAGATGACAGCACCAAAGAAATGTGAAGGAAAACTCAGCAGACGGCACCTACCTCAGATGAGGGCATGCACAAGACTGGACGCAAAATGAGCAGGGAATAGCACTGGGGAGTTGATGCAATGTCAGCGCCCCCTGTGATAGGAGAGGTAAAGGACAACAGAGCCACCATTGAAGAGAATTACCAGGGCAACAGTGTTGCCAAGGAGACCCAGGGTTCGGACAATCCAAGGGAGAGGAGGAAGGAGATATCTGCAAAAATAATGAGGCTGTAGAAAAGTGTGTTCACTGTGGAACGGAAACATTCATGCACAATTAACTGAGCAGCTATTATAGAGGAAGGGCTACAATGGTAAGCAAAAACAGATCAGATCTCTGCCCTTAGGAGGCTTGCAGGCCATGAGAGAGGCTGACATTAGTCAAACAACCATCCACCCAAACGTAGACCTGCAGTGTGTAGTGAGTAGGAAATGTGGGGGACCCCAGAGGCTCACACGGTGGTACTGTGGCATTAGTTCCCACGGCAGACATAGCACAAGATGGCCTCCAAATTATGAGTTAAAATTCAGGGTAAAATTGTTTGAGGGCTACAGAGGTTTAGTCTAGTTTCATAGCATTGCCTAAAAGGTAGAAATATCCTATGCAAATTAAACAGGAAACCATTTAAAAGCCACTGAAAAGCAAAAGATTAACATTCCTTGGTTTGTACACCTAATTCTCTTGAGAGAAACAATTCCACTAGTTGCTTTTTAAAAAAATAATTTTATAATAATGATGCCTTTAGCATTGATTTTATACTTTTTCTAACATAGTTATTGAGGATGCCCCACTTGCGAGATGTTCTATTTTGGTTTCTTTCTTTAAAATGACAGGTGTGTTAAGCAAGCATTCCAGAGAATGAGTTGCTCCAGCAGGATTTGGATAAAACACACACAGAAAGCCTCTGAATCCAATTAGAGCACCATCAAACCAACTAGCTTATTCCAAAATCCTTTTCTAATATAATTTTTATTTAGATTTTCAATACTGGTCTGAAGAAACATTGAACATGTTCTAGAATGATGGGAAAAAGCCCGTAACAGAACCTCAGAATAGCCAGTTGCAATTCACCAATGTTTTCAGAAACCATAAAAATGATTTTTAATTGTTGTTGTTATTAAGTGAGTAGGTTAAAAAAAAGACTACCTCTCTGAGAAGCAAGAAAAAATAATACTTCTCACCACTAGATTAGGAGTCCCATGAGGACAGGGAGCAAGTTGATTTTATTCCTGGTGGTGCCCCTATACTGTACTTAGGCCACAAAAAGGTCCCTAAAAATATTTACAAAAAGAATAAGTCATGGGTAAATGTGGGGCAATAATTTACAAGGCCTAGGCTATGATTTATTTTAGCAGGTCTTTAGATTTTTCACAGAGGAAATTGTTTCCAACAGTGCCTTCCTGTAGAATTCCAAATATTTTGAAAGATAATATAACAAACACTAATGTTTGAAATTGGGAAAATATCAGAGCCAGCAGGAAGGATGATTAACACTCATAAGAATGGTACAGACATTGCTGACACAGTTTTCAGGTAAGCAAACACTTAATTGCTCTTTACAAGGTAATTGAAAGACAATTCATCAAAGACAAATAATTGAAAAACAGCTGGAATAATTTATATGTGAAATTGTCTTTTAAGAAGTTTCTATTTTCACCCGGTGATGAGTGGTGAAAATTAATTTCTTCAAGAGCACTCTCTTTGTTAACATTTCCTTCTTTCTCATCTCAGATTTTTCTTCAGTCTTAACCTTCTTTCTCCTAATTGGGGAAGCCAGAAAAGCAATTTTGTTCCATGGCAAAGAAACAAGAAAATAAGTTACCTAACTAAATTGGAACTAAATCCAAACTGCTTTTGTTTTTTCCATTCTCTTTAGGCATCACACACGAGAATGTGAATCTCTTAGAAAACAGTGGAACAATATAGAAAACTATAAAACCATTTTAATCTGAAATTAAATTCTTTGATAATATAGCATTATGACAGATGTTCAGTTATGTGGCAATATTTTAGGCTTTCAATTAACTAAATATATCGGAACTACAAGGTAGAACTACCTTGCATAATAGCCCAGTGTTGTGGTGGCAAACATCTGACTCTACAATGTAACATGTTCAATGACGAGGAATCATTCTTTAAGACTGGCAGCCAGCAACAAGTTTTTATTCCAATTTAAACAGAACACACCACCTCTCCTATCTCACCTTTCCACTGTGAAGCAAATATCTCCTGTTAGAACAGTACCCTAAGGGGAGCAAACACAAGTGGAGAGAGGGCTGACACTTAGGTATTTCCACACTAAAGCTTCCAGAGAAGAAAATGGTTTGTTTTGTTTAACTCTTTAGCTATGTGTCACCCTGATATGACTTTGCGTATGCTTAAAAAATAGGAAATAGCCATTTAAATATAAACACAGACCTGTGAGTACTGCAAAGGAAAAACATGGGCTTCCAGTGCCAGAAAGATCTGAATGTAATAATCTGTTCCTCCCCATCCTAGCTGGTAACCTTAGGTCTGTAATTCAACCTTTCAGAGTCCCTTCCTCATCTGTAGAATGGGGTAATACAATTCATGATTTGGGTTGTGGCTACTGTTAATAGAGATAATACATGTAAGCAAGTGGAAAAAGGCTGATAAGAGGTTTTGTGGGGAATAAAAATGGAGAGTGGGTTATTTATGATTTGGAGCAATTGGGGCAGCAAAATTTCTTGGAAAAATATTTTCCTGGTCTTCTAGAGGTCTCCAGGAAAACAAAAATGCCCCCTGAAATAAATAAACTCCTGTATACCCACCCAAAACAGTTACCTGCATTCTCCGTTGGTCTCAAGATAATTGCTGGGAGCTGCTAAAACCAACTAAGACTCGAGGGAAATCCCCACTACTCTATAGCAGAAATGCCCTGGATTAAGGAAAGAAACTAAGCAAGAAGGTTGACATCATATACAAGAATGAGAGAGGAGCTAAGAGTTGGACGTGGCTCTATTTCCTACCAGCTGGGAAATTGCGAATTTTTTATTTTTATGCTTGCACCTGCAAAAAATAAAAAATTTTAAAAATCAAACCAACAAACATAAAACTATTTTATAGAAAAGGCCAGTTGCTTACTTGATTAATACAACGCTTAGTAAATCAAGGTGAAACTGATTAGGCGCTATTTAGTCAGATACAAATTGTTGTTCCTTTTGGTTTTTAAAAATCCTGCACCGTATAAGATGTGTTGCTACGGCTGCTAAACACAGGAAGTTGCATTTTACTGTTGTTTCCACATGTGCCTAATGTCACAATCTAAAGAGAAAAGAAAGATCTGTTTTATGATTCCATTAACTTCAGATATTTTAAGTAAAGACCACCTATAAATTCAATGTAGATGACAAAGTCCCAGAGGATTCTTGATTATGAGACTCATGTTATCCACTGGACTGGCTAAGAAATCATTATCAAAGGGCCCTCTGTTTATTCTGCCCTTCCCTTTTAAAGATCTAGCAGGAACCTTATGCTCATTCCCTTTGCCTCTAGGACTGCAGTGCCCAGCAATGAAAATAAACCTGGACTGGCACTGCAAAACCACAAGCAATTAATTAAATCCTTATCAGTTATTTCCACTGTCTATAGTAAGACGCCATTTTTATGCCTTAGGGTATTGAATGTTGAATCTGAAATAGGGTCTTGGATCCAAGTGTTCTGTTCTCAACTTGGAAGAACACCAATATTCTATGACTTTTAACCTTCCTCAGATTGAGTGCTCAGCATATTCTAATCTGCAAGATGCCTTAAAAGTCTACAATGACAGAGTCACAACTAAAGGGTGTAGAGGTTTGGCTAAGAGCTTCTGCATGCCCTGATCCCCATGCCCAATCCATCATAATCTGGATTCGGATCAGGGCCTAAGAGAAGTGAGTCTTGTTTGCAGCCTTTGTAGAATGCTTGTATCTCGCCATCTCAAGGCAATTCCTGGTCCAAGAGATGCCTATAAAATTAAATAATTTCTGAGGTTTAAGGAGAGTTTTAATCATTTTACAAAAGGACCTAGGGTCACTAGATTCTGATGCACCCAATTCTTATTTGTGTGCTTAACCAGCTTGAGGGACCTTTTTCAATAAAATAAGGAATTTTGAACCTAGAGGAGGTGGGTGTGCTGTTGAAGCATTATCTTCACGTTGACAAGATAAGCAGTCCACCAAAACTGACTGCACCAGTTAAAAGTTTCCTGTGAGATTTACGAATTGATAGGAAGACATCATTGGAAGCCTGCTAGGTGGTTTACAATGCATATGGGCTAGAATACAAATGCAGTTAGTCGTAATGAATCATCTTCGAATTACCAACCTGTCTCAATGGGGCTCTGCGTTTTCTGGCAAGAACATTCTTGTTCTGACTTTACTTTGACAGGTGTTTAAACACCATCTTTCTTTAACACGCTTATTCATTTTCTTTCTTATTTTAGCAGCTCTTTGAAAAGAGACATGTCACCCTGCGGATTTCAAACACATCTAAGACAATGAAAGCATACAGAGCCAGCAAAACCAAACACAGAAAAGGAAGACTATATATGTAGTGACATTTGAGAACAAAACATTTCTCCAAATACAGGGCTTCACATTCAGGGCCCTCAAAGAAGATTATAAAACCAGTCAGGTGGCCACATTAGTTACTGACCACACTGGGATTAGGATCTTGATAAGTAGTTTGGGGGTTTCTTTCCTGAACATTACTCGATCAATTTGGTGCTCCAATCACAAGATACTGGTATTGATTTCTTACACAATGGCAGAAACATAATGTCACATATTCCATTTCTTTCTTTATTTATTTCCTTTTTTCTTCCTTCCTTTCCTTTCCCTCCCTTCCTTCCTTTTTTCCTTCCTCCTTCTACTTCTTCCTCCTTCCTTTCCTCCCTCCCTCCCTCCTTCCTTCCCTCCCCACTCCCTGTCGCAGGCCTTCCTTCCTTCCTTCCTTCCTTCTTTCCTTCCTTCTTCCCTCCCTTCCTTCTTTCCCTCCTTCCTTCTTTTTCTTTAAGATAGGGTCTCACTCTGTCTGTCACCCAGGCTGGAGTGCAGTGGTGTGATCAAGGATCACCACAGGCTTGATCTCCTGGGTTCGGGTGATCCTCCCATCTTGGACTCTTGGGTATCTGGGACTAGAGGTGCACACCACCACACCCACATAATTTTTTCTGTTCTTTGTATAGACGGGTTTCGCCACATTGCCCAGGCTGGTCATGAACACATATTCCATTTTCTAAATTTACCCCATATGCTCTACAGCCTATGCTTTACTTCCTAAGTGTACTGCCTAGTCACACTGGTTAATTTCCATTGCTGAAAATCACCTTCAATGCCTCCTCTTACTCAAGTAATATGAATATGGCACTGTTGAGGTGAGTGGGGAAGAGGCCTTAATTGGTTAAGAAATGAAACTCAAAAATCAGAAAAAAGACAATGGATGCAGTGTGCTTTGGGACATTGCTAATAAGTCCTGGTTTGTACATTGGTTTTAGGGACATTGCTTAAAGTCCTTAAATGGCCTATTTAAAAAATACAGAAAAAAGGGGCTGGGCACGGTGGCTCATGCCTGTAATCCCAGCACTTTGGGAGGCCAAGGCAGGTGGATCACCTGAGGTCAGGATTTCGAGACCAGCCTGGCCAACAGGGCGAAACCCCGTCTCTACTAAAAATACAAAAATTAGCCAGGTGTGGTGGTGCGTGCCTGTAGTCCCAGCTACTTGGGAGGCTGAGGCAGGAGAACCGCTGGAACCTGGGAAGTGGAGGTTGCAGTGAGCCAAGATCACACCACTGCACTCCAGCCTGGGTGATGGAGTAAGACTCCGTCTCAAAAAAATAAAAACAAAACAAAAACAAAAAAAGGACACTACTATGGGCTGAATTGTGTCCCTCAAAATTCATACGTTAAAGTCTTAACTCCCAGTACCTCAACATGGGACCATATTTGAATACAGGTCCTTTAAAAAAGTAAAATTAAGGTAAAATGAGGTCATATGGGTGGGCCCTACTCCAATGGGGTTCTTATAAGAGGAAAATATTTGAGCACAGATGTGTGTGGGCACAGAGGATGGACCATATGAGGACACAGAGGGAAGGCAGACATCTACAAGTTAAAGACAGAGGCTCTGAGCAGAAGCTAACCCTGCTGACACCTTGATCTTAGACCTCTAGCCTCCAGAACAGTGAGGAAATACATTTCTGTTGTTGCAGCCACTCAGTCTGTGGTATGGTGTTACGACAGCCTTAGCAGACGAATACTGTACAGACATTTACTATTATCTGCAAAGTTATTTATTAACATGTCGAAGGTAAAGTGAAAATGTCACACAGCTTTCAACCTCACCTCCACCTCAGCCCACTTGAAAGAAGGAAAAAGAAAAGTTCTTTGAAGGATTTTGCTATGATTACTTTATAATGGCTTCCTAAATTAAAACATTCTTGTTTGGAAAATGAGGTATACGTGTGTTCTGACATTCTGTGGTTGGATGACTGAAGGGGATTCAGTTTTTTAAAAGTGTACAGTTCTAAATTCTTCTAAAAATCTCATGTTTGATTTTATTCTTTTCATGTTTTCTTTAAAAAATTGGCAGTCAAGTACTTTCCAAGCGACAGAACATTAGATGTATACAATTCTGGTTTAGAGGCCTTTAGGAAAATGAAACAGCGCAGTCAGGCCAACAGGAACCCACGGCATGAGCTCAGTTAACTTGTTCTGGTTTATTCCAAGTTTCCATTCTCACCCGGCTCTTTCATAAACAGGTTGGCAGGTCAACACAAGCTAACTTTACAGATGCAGAAGAAATTTTGAAAAACACAAAATCCCTTTATAATAGATGAAATTGATCAGTGCAATCCTGAATCATCCCTTTAGACTGCCCTCCCCAGTCCTGTGAGCCACCCAGCTGTTGTCAGAAACATCTTTATACAAGAAGGAAGGTCAGAGGGAATGCTCAGCACACCCTGAAACACCTTAGGCAACGAACAGTGGCCTTCCATAGGGAGGCTGAAAAATTCTTTAGAAAAAGCTTTTAAGAGACCCCAATTAAGACTGAATGGAATTTACTTCACAGTGGGCAATGGGCTGCAAATAGGCACACAATTGAAAGGAAAGGATGCCTGAAGTACAAACAGAGGCGAAAATAAAAAGCCAAACATTATCCAAGACAGAATGCATGAACAGAAGTCTTAAATAAATGATTGCTTCCTTTTGGAATTTTCAGAATTTGCCGCCTACAGTTCTAAAAGGGAAAAGGGCTCAGCCTCCTTTTCAGAAATGTATTTTACAAAAATCTTTCTTATAGTTCTTCCTTCTCATTATTAAACAGCTATTTTCATCTAGTGCCCTGTTCTTTGACTTTGGTTTTGGGTTAAGTAATTAGTATGCAGCAACCCCAGATGAAGTTCACAGAGGTCTTCTTGAAAAGGCAACGAGTTGAAATTCTGTGGTCTTTTCCTAAACAGTAATTGGCATTCTGCTGATAACTTCCTTGCCTTCGAATGTAACTATATATTTACTTCAAACCTAGTTGTTGTGGGAAATGCATCATTTTGCTGCTTATAATATTAACAAAATGTACATAAAAGCAAACAGGTTTCTGGCAATAATATTCCATCAGAATCTCAACATTCTACTTGACAATAGGAATATTTGCTCATGAACAGTAAATATGAATGACCCAATTCATCCCGGCATTTGTGTACAGAACATCTGAGTCTCTGAACTGGATATTTTGTAACTTTTGCCTCAAGTAAAGAGAAAGACACACATAAAGATTCAAATGAGAATTTTTTTTTTTTAATTTAAATACAGAAGGTCCCTGACTTACCATGGTTTGACTTACTATTTTTGTTTACTTTATGATGGGCTTATCAAGATGTAATCCCATCATAAGTTGAGGACCATCTGTACAGTACCACTAACCTATAATTTGTTTTCCAGAAGATGTTTCTCACCTTAGGAATCCTCTGGAATGTTTGTTGAGAACACAGACTCTGAGACCCCTCTCCAAAAGACTTTGATTTTGCTGACCTATAATATGGGACCCAGCAATCAGTATTTTGCACACTAGGTGAGTTTCACAATTGGGCACTTTTGTGAAATATCAATGGTAGTTTGTAATACCCCCAGGATCCTATCAGAACGAGCATCCCATAAAGATGACGCATCCCTAAAATAAAAACACAGAAAAATACAGGAATACCACAATTATTCAATGTAGATCTTAAATGTGAGTCTTCTTAAAAAATGCCAGCACATTATTATCACAGTAAACACATTTTTAAATTAGTCTATGTACCACAAAACTTTTAAACGTCCATAAAATATTTTTTAGACCATTGCAACAAGCCAGGTCAAAGTTGAGATCTTGTGTGACCATCACCCAAGAAAGTCTTTTGAAATCAGTTAAAAGCTATCTGCTAAAGAGAAAAACTAAGTCTTCCAGATAAAAGGAAAACGTTCATCCTGATTAATTGGGAGGGATGGCAGTGTTTGTGCATACTGCAGCAAGTCTGCTTTGCTACCTTATGTCCCAGCCAAGCTCTCGACCAAGCATGAAGCCAGAATAAAGCCACGTTCTAATACAAAGACTCAAAAACCATACACCCCGTGAGCTTTTCTCAAGAAGCACCCTGTGTGCTCTGCCAAAATAAGGAAATAGACCCAGAAAAAAAAAGGGGGCATGGGATCCAGCAATCTGAAGATTCAATGCAAGAGGAAAGTGGAAGGAATCCCCCTGGTGTGATGAAGAGAGATCCCAAGACAACAGCTGGACAGTGGGCTCAGAGAAAATCCAGTCCACATGGGAAGAGGACAAAGGCTATGTATGAAGCTCTTAAAGATGAACCTGTAAGAATAACTCGAGTATTTGAACATATTGAGAAGCGATTCGTTAAATACATAACAAGAGAAAGTGTGGGGATGGTATGTAGGACACTTAGCAAGCTAACAAAAACACCAGTAGGAAAAACAAAAGGTATGCAGGAGAGAAAAAGAAATCGTGGTTTACCACAAGCCTTAGCTATCGTTGGCATTTCTGCTATTACATGGATGACTGATAAAATCAAAAACACAATATAAGAATGTTGGGGCTGGGCACAGTGGCTCACACGGGTAATCCCAGCATTTTGGGAGCTGAGGTGGGTGTATCACCTGAGTTCAGAAGTTCAAGACCAGATTGCCAAGACCAGCCTGGCGAAACCCTGTCGCTACTAAAAATACAAAAATTAGCCGGGCGTGGTGGCAGGTGCCTGTAATCCCAGCTAATCGGGAGGCTGAGGCAGGAGAATCACTTGAACCCAGGAGCCGGAGGTTGCAGTGAGCTGAAATCAGGCCACTGCACTCCAGCCTGGGCAACAGAGCGACACTCCATCTCAAAAAAAAAAAAAAGACTTGAGAAGATGAGAAAATGGGAAAATGGGAAATAATAGGAAATGTATGATTCTGAAATGGGGAGAGGCAGGGGTTGGGGTAGGGTAAAAAAGAGAACTACGTGTTCGGTTTCCATACTGTGAGCTCAGTAGATAATGTGTCATGCTGAAAAATCAATCAATAGGTAGCAAAGAGCATGCTATTTAGAGACTGGAGAATTAAAGAATCAGTTTAAACAACTCCACATTTCTTAGATGCCCCTGAACTTTCTACTCAGTTCCCACTACTCTACTAATGTATGACCTGGCCAAACAGAGCTATTCATTTATTTGACAAATAGTTTTGGTGTCAGGCATATACCTAGGAATAAGAAGAGACATTGGTGAACAAGACAGATAACGTCTTTTAGATCATGGAGCTTATGTTCTAGAAAAGAGAGACAATGAATAAAACAAACAAACAAGATCATCTGAGTGCTAAGTGCAGTGAAGGCACAGAGAGCTGTGGGTGGGACCTGGGTGGGTTATTCTGGAGAGGGGTAGGCAGGGAAGGTCTCTATGAAGCACAAGGATCCAGCCGAAACAAGGAGTCAGCTTGGCGAAGAGCGAAGGGAAGAGTGTCTCAAACAGGGTGCAGCAACGGCCAAGGTCCATGGGTGGGACTGATCCAGGCTTGTTTGAGGACTGAAAAAGGCAGTGAGGGGACCAGAGCAAAGTGATGGAAGATGAGGTCAGAGAGGTGGGCAGGGATCATATAGGCTCATGTAGAGCCTCGAGGGCCATACTATGCAATCTGGATTTCATTCCAAGTGCAGTGGGAGGACAGGAAGGTTTTGAGTGAGTGAGTGACATGATTTATGCTTTAAGAAATTACTTTAGCTGTTCTGTGGAAAATGAATTGCAGAAGGGTGGGAACAGAAGCAGGAGAGCAGCTGGAATCTACTGCAGTTGTCCATGTAATGGATGGCCCCAGAGCTTGGACGGTGGCAGTAGGGACAGACGGAAGAGCATGGACTTGAGATATATTTGGGAAGAGAAAAGGACAAGACCTGCTGATGGATCCATATGGAGGGGGAAAGGAAAACTTAAGAATAACTCCTAGATCTTGGGCTAGAATAAGTGAGTGGTTGGGGTATCATTTGGTGAAATGTAGAAAGTCAAGGGAAGAACTGGCTTGGAGGACAAAATCAAACCTTCTGTATAGACTTATGTTACCTCTGGGATGCCCACAAGTTTTCAAGCAGACCTGTCAAATAGGGAGTTGCACATTTGAGCCTGCAGTGCAGAGAAAGGTCAGAGTTGCAGACACAAACTGGGTAACTCTGGGAGTTGAGAGTTGGGTGAGACCCTACTCCCATTTCTCTACCCACCCCTCACCCCAGATCAGGCATCCACTTCACCTTGCTGGATTATTCCAGCCTACTTCTTGGTCCCACTTTCAGTCTCTCCCCATGAAATCTATACTGCATGCGGCAGGCCAACTCATCTCCGGAGGCAAAGCAATAATCATTTCTCTGGTTTGATTTAAAAAAAAAAAAGCGTCAGTGGTTCCCATTGCCTGTGGCTTTCAGTATTGCCTTCCACCCCTTTCCTTTTCAGAGCCTGAATTCTTGTCCCCATTATGTGTTTTGCCTCCTGATCTAGTCCTACAATTCTCTACATATCCCTTCCCTTCCACTCTCATTTCTGCACATTTTCACTAAGCATCTTCTAGACTGGACGCTTTGTGGGCAGGGTCTGTGTAGGATTTATCTTTGAAACTTCCCACCTTGCTTAGCATAACACCTTACACATAATAACTTTAATTTAGGAACTGTTTGCTGCATGAAGGTGCCACTCTTCTCCTTCTTAATATCCCCTCATAAAACAGGCTGATTTGTAGGACTATACCTGCCAAGCACATACCAGCACAGCTTTCCAGGATATTCTTAAGCAAAATAGCACTTCAGTCCTTCCTTGGCAGCCAAATTTCCTTAGTGTTAAGGGCTGCAGTGTTTTACTTGCCAGAAGGTTGATGTGAATAAAAACATCCAGCCCCTTGAAATGAAAATAAATGGAGGGATGGTTTATAAATATAAATGATAATGGTTAGACCGACCTTTTAGCAAGTAATGTGATTTGCCCATTCCTTTCCGCATTTCTGTAGTTTTGGTTTTTGTTCCCCTGCTTTTGTGGGGAGGAAACAAGAAGTGTTTATTTTCTTAAGACTATTTCTATCCTTAATATCACTTTTGCATCAGTTGAGTCTTCACTAAATATTAATATTTTCTCCCAAGAATAGAGACTAGCAGTTAACCTGCTACAGTAAAGTCCCCAAAGAAAAGATGTTGGAATTTTCCCTCTATTCAAATTAAATAGGCTTAATTGTAAGACCAATTCTTACAATTCTTGTTTCCTTCCCCACTGCATTAAGAAGGCAAGAGGTGACGTGTGACTTGCTCATTAGTCATTATGTTTTCAGACTGCTAAAAATAAAATAAATTTATTATTTTCTATTTCAGACTGCTAAAAATAAAATTAAAATATTTGGGATATTAGTCACTGACCAAATCTGATGAGCTATGGACCAAAGAGAAGTAGGTGATGTTGAAATTTTGCTCACATTCTTTCTCTCAAAGTAAGAGACATTCACATTATTATCGAACAGACTAAAAAAACAATTAAACCTAAAAAGAAGGTGGCTATATTGGGACCAATGTTTTCATTTTCATCACTGACAAAGGAAAAAAAAGTAGCTGAAAACCAGCCACTGAGCTTAAAGCTCAGAATCCACGCAGCTGGAGAAAAGCTAGTACAGTTGCAGGTGAGCTCATGACTTTAATTACGGTCAAGGTCCAGGTGGACAGTGGATATGGAAACCTTGGGTTCGATCATGTCCAAAGCAGGGGAAAGCCATGACTGTCACACTAACTCTTCAAGAATGAAGTTCCTGGGTGGGCGCAGTGGCTCACACCTGTAATCCCAGCACTTTGGGAGGCCGAGGCAGGTGGATCACGAGGTCAGGAGTTCGAGACGAGCCTGGCCAACATGATGAAATCTCATCTCTATTAAAATACAAAAATTAGCTGGGCATGGTGGCTCACGCCTGTAATTCCAGCTACCTGGGAGGCTGAGGCAGGAGAATCACTTGAAACCAGAAGGTGGAGGTTGCAGTGAGCCGAGATCATGCCACTGCACTCCAGCCTAGGTAAAAGAGCGAGACTCTGTCTCAAAAAAAAAAAAAAAAAAAAAAAAGAATGAAGTTCCTCTCCTCTATGTGTGTGTACATATAAATTTTTCTTTACATATTTTAAAAATGGAATCATATTACTTCATAACCTGCCTTTTCACATGTTGATGTTATTTATCATAAAAATTGCCTTTTAAAAATATTTTTACATCATTTTTAAATGGCTTATTCTACCACATGTCTATCTCAATCAATTCAACAAGTCTCTTGATGCTTGACTATTAAGTTAATTCCAATTTTTGGCTTTTGTAAAAATTGTTTTTATGAGCAATTAATTATTTCTTTTACAATATACTTCTATGAGCAGAACTACTGGGTCTAAGTGTAGTCTAAGTGCACTTTTTTTTTTTTTTTTGAGACAGAATCTCACTCTGTCGTCCAGGCTGGAGTACAATGGTGCAATCTTGGCTCACTACAACCTTCGCCTCCCGAGTTCAAGCAATTCTCCTGTCTCAGCCTCTCAAGTAGCTGAGATTACGGGCGCCCGCCACCACACCTGGCTAATTTCTATATTTTTAATAGAGACGGGGTTTCACCATTTTGTTCAGACTAGTCTCAAACTCCTGACCCCAGGTGATCCACCTGCCTTGGCTTCCCAAAGTGCTGGGATTACAGGTGTGAGCCACCACGCCCGGCCTAAGTGCACATTTTATGACTTAATATATATTGCCAAACTGCTTTTCTGATAAGTTGTACCAATTTAAATTACCACAAAACAATTGTCTTTTGGGAATTACTCATTTTAATCTTTGCTAAACTCATAGGTGATCAGTTGCATCCCTTTTTTTTTTTTTTTTTCATTTAATTGCTTAAACCTTATTTCATTTACCAAGTGATCACTTATGTTCTTCTTTGGTCAGGTAACATAGGCAAGTTTCTTAGCTCTCGTACTTTGGTTTTCCTCATTTATAAAATGGGGATATTAATATTAGTTACCCCGGATGAACGTCATAAGTTTTAAAAAGTTAATTCAAGTAAAGCACTTAGAGTAGTTCCTGGCCCATAGTGAGTTCACAATTGTAACCATTAGGTATTTTGGAAAATGCCTGTTCATGTTGTTTACTTGTTTTCCTATGTGGTTGCTTATCTTTTTGTTACTGACTTTTAAGAGGTCTTACTACATTAATGATATTAACTATTATTTTCCATATATAATTAAATATTTCTTTCAACTTTATGATTTTCCTTTTCAACTTTCTGATGTTAATTTTTTTTGGCCATGTAAAAGTTTAAAAATTTTATACTATTAAATCTATTCATCTTAAGCTAGAATAAATTACAGAGATCAAATATTCAAAACATGAGAAAAATAGCAGAGGAAAGCATTTTTGAAATAGCCCTAGTCTGTAAGAAAGAAAACGACTAATCAACTTGACTTAAAAATTTAAAGGTTTCTATAAAAAAGTACTATAAACAAACTTAAGGTACAAGAAAAAAATTTTTAATGTTAAAATATATGATAGACATTAGGTTAATCTCCTGAATATACAAATTTGTAAGAAACCATAAAAATAAGGAAAGTCTATAAATAGGCAATTCAAAGAAAAAGAAATATAAATGTCCTACATCACTCATAATCAAAATAAGATGCCATTTTTTACATATAGATTTACAAAGAGTCTAAAAAATTATTTATGCACAGCATTGTGGTCATGTACAGTTGTGTAGAGTGTTGACTGCAGAAGGACACATAGGTAAGAGAATGAGTGGGAATTAAATACATGCTAAAGTTCCACTTGTTAAGTCTGTGCTGTGGAGCTAGCTGCCTCACCCAGAGGAAGTGACTTCTAATTCTCACGAGGCTATGGGCTAAGAGTGACCCTGATATTCAGTGGTGGTGACAGAGTACAGAAACAGAAATTCTCATATAATAAGCAGATAACACTGAGAAAGCCTCTTTGAGAATAATGTAGCAAAGTCTATCAAAATAAAACACACAAATCTTTTGACCTAGCAACTCTACTGCTAATATGTCATTAGGACATGTAGTTTATAGTTGTCCATGTAATGGATGGCCTCAGAGCTTGGATAGTGGCAGTAGGGACAGACAGAAGAGCATGGACTTGAGATATATTTGGGAAGAAAAAAGAACAAGACCTGCTGATGGATCCATGTGGAGGGGGAAAGGAAAACCTAAGAATAACTCCTAGATCTTGGGCTAGAATAAGTGAGTGGTTGGGGTATCATTTGGTGAAATGTAGAAAGTCAAGGGAAGAACTGGCTTGGAGGACAAAATCAAACCTTCCATTAGATCCATGTTACCTCTGGGATGCCCAGCAAGTTTTCAAGCAGACCTGTCAAATAGGGAGTTGCATATTTGAGCCTGGAGTGCAGAGAGAGGTCATAGATATGGATGTTCATTTCAGTATTGTTCATAAGAGCATATACATATGCAAAGAACCCAGGAACAATATTAAAATACAACAGGATTCTTTTAAAGGAAGTTTTCATATATCCACATACTATAATAGTGTTCATTTATAGAATTAAAGAGAACAAGTTGGAAGTATTTTCAAGTTATATTACACGAAAAATTCAAAGTATAGAGCAGTAAGTATAGTATGTCTTGTTTGACTGCTGATAAAGATATATCTATGAATGAAAACTGTGTGGAATGAAAAAAACTGTTCATGCTGGGTTATAGATGAAAAGTGGGACTGGAGGATTCTGGGAGGGAGTAAATTCATTTTTATCCCAAACCATCTTGTAATGTTTGACTTCCTACCATGTATATATTATGGAATAAAGAAAACAAACTCCATCAGCTTTTGCCTTTAGGACCTCTTCCTGTGCCTGGTTTACAAGGAAATGGATAAATATTCTGGACAAGACAAATACAGGGCCCTGAACAAAACTTGGAAACCCAGAGACACAGATGAATACAGGTTCTATCACAACATAGGTGTGATCCTGCACACTTTATTTACTTGTTCTCTTGTCTCTTAAAAATGGGGACAGTGGCATTGTCTGCCCTTTCAACCCAAGGATTGAGGAGAAGCAGCCAAGTGCTGATCTGTGGCACCGTGAAAATGGGGTGGGGTTGGAAAAAACTAGAAGAAATAATTACTAGATTCAGATACCACCCTTCAGACAATAGAGCCAGAGTAATGTAATTCTTGGACTAAAAAAAGAATATAAAAAATACATACCTCTCATTCATATAATCATTGGTTTAAAGCAGTCAGGCTGCTTATTGAGACTATTTGTTGACTCATTCATATATTCATCAAAAATGTATTGTATCCAATCTACCATGCTCTACACTTCACAATGAAATACTAGAAGTCTCAATCCTCCTAGGGCATGATGCCAGAGGGTACCGAAACCATCCTATTTGAGGGCATATCGTTTTAGCCTGTACTTAGAAATAATGGATCCAATTCTCAGTAAAATACTTTTGTAAACCTAACCCAGCAACATACAAAAAGGATTATACACATTACCCAAGTGGGATTTATCCTAGGAATGCAAGGTTGGTTTAACAACCAAAAATCAATTAACGTAACATGACAAATGAATAGGATAAAGGACAAAAACCATATGATCACCTCAATAGAGGCAGGAAAAACCTTTGACAAAATTGAACAATCTTTCATGATAAAAACACTGACAAAGTAGGAATAGCAGAGAACTTTTTGACAAAGTGAACCTATGAAGAAACCCATAGCTAATAGCACAGTTAATGGTAAAAAAAAACAAAAAACAAAAAACAAAAAAACAACTTTTTTTGTTAGATCAGGAACAAGACAAAAATGCTCACAACTGCCACTTCTACTTAACATTGGACTAAAGGTTCTAGCCAGAACTATTAAGTAAGAAAAAAATAAAATAAAAGGCATTCAACTCTAAAAGGAGGAATTAAAATGTTGTTTCTTTGCACATGTAAATAGATCTTGTATATAGTATGATCATGTATATAGAAAATCATAAGGAATCCACTGAAAAACTACTAGGACTAAAAAATGAGTTCAGGCCAGGCATGGTGGCTCATGCCTATAATCCCTGCAATATTGGAAGGCCCAGGTGGGTGGATCTCTTGAGATCTCGAATTTGAGACCAGCCTGGGCAACACAGAAAACCCCATCTCTACCAACAATACAAAGTAGCTGGGCATGGTGGTGGGCACCAGTGGTCCCAGCTGCTCAGGAGGCTGAGGTTGGAGGATCGCTTGAGCCCAGAAGGTTGAGGGTGCAGTGGATAAGCCATGATCGCACCACTGCACTACACTGAAAACTACAAAACATGGTGAAAAGAAAGAAGATACAAAGAAATGGAAAGGCATCTATGTTCATGGATTAGAAGACTTCATATTGTTAAGACAGCAGTACTACCCAAATTGATCTACAGGTTCAATATCATTGCTATCAAAACTCTAATTGGCTTTTTTGCAGAAATTGACAGGTTGATTGCAAAATTCATATGAAAATGTAAGGGAACCAGAATAACCAGTAGAAACTTTTAAAGGAACAAAATTGAAAAACTCATACTTCTAGGTTTCAAAATTTACTACAAAGCTACAGTAATCTAGACATTGTGGTAACTGGCATAAGAAGAGACAATGGAGCAGAATTGAGAATCCAGAAGTAAACCCTTATGTACACAGTCAATCAATTTTTGGCAACGGTGGAACACCATTCAATGGGGAAAGAACGGTCATTTCAACAAATGGTGCTGGAACAATTGGATATTCACATGTAAAAGAATGAAACCCTACATGACGCCATACATAAAAATTAACTCAAAATGTATTACTGACCTAAATGTAACAGCCAAAATTATAAAACGCTTGGAAGAAAACACAGGTGTAAGTCTTCTTGCCTTGGTTAGGCTGTAGTTCTCAGATGTGATACCAAAAACACAAACAACAAAAGAAAAAAATTGATAAACTGCTCATCATCAAAACTTTAAAATTCTGAGCTGCAAATCACTCTACCAAGATGAAAAGACAACCCAGAGAATGGCAGAAAATATTTGCAAATCATGTACCTGACAAGGGATTTGGATCTAGTATACAAAGAACTAAAACTCCAACAGAAGTCAAATTATCCAACTAAAATTAGGCAAAGGATCTGAAGACATTTTTTCCAAAGAAGATATACAAATGGCCAATAGCACATGAAAAGATGCTCAAGGTCATTAGTAATTAGGGAAAAGGAAATCAAAACCATGAGATATAACTTCACACCTACTAAGATGGCTATAATCAAAAAGACAGTAACAAATGTTGGTAAGGATGTGGAGAAACTGTAACTTTCATACACTGCTGGTGGGAATGTAAAATGGTCTAACTTCTTTGGAAACTGTTTGGCAACACCATAAAAGGTTAAACATAGAACTACCTACCATATAATCTAGCAATTCCACTACTAAATATATACCTGAGAAATGAAAACATATCTTCACAACAACTTGTACATTAAGTTCAGAGCAGCATTATTCATAAATAGCCCAAAGCAGAAATAACCCAAATGTCCATCAACTGATAAATGGATAAATAAAATGTGGCATATTCATACAGTAGAATATTATTTGGCAATAAAAAGAAATGAACAACTGATACATGCTACAACATGGATGACCCTTGAAAACATTATGCTAACTGAAAGAAGCCAGTCACAAAATGACACATTATGATTCCATTGACATGAAATGTTCTCAATAAGAAAATCTATAGAGACAGAAAAGTTGATTAGTGTTTCATTAAGGTAGAGCCCACTGGTTGAATAGGGTGGGAACAGAGATTGAGGGTCACACAACACTGTGAACACACTGAAAAACAATGAACTGTACACTTTCCATGGGTGAATTTTATAGTATGTGAATTATACATCAATACAGCTGTTCTTTTTAATAATGGATCTAACTGCATATTTTCAGAAAAAATTATTAATGGTCTTCCTAGAACCCAGAGAATTAGGTGCAACCTAAACTGAAAGGCTCTAGAGAGCCTAAAGTCAAAACGGGGAAAGCAAGCTAACTTCTAGCCTATAATGAAGATTTTTACAAAAGGCCAAATTGAGCGATAAGTATGAATAATTAAACTCTGTGCTATTGATTCCTTTGACTTAAACAGATTTTCGCCCACTAAGCATTTAAGATGAGAATCATCTTTAATACTGTAATCCTAAGCAGCTGCTCCAGACTTAAACAACTAGTCAATGGCTAAGATCAAACAGAACAAGGATCTTCACGCCATCTGTAAAGCCAGAGTTAAACAGTTAACAAGGAGTGAACAAAATACCTGGAATAGTAGAGAGTTTGACAGTCTCAGACTCAGAAAAATACAGACATGAATATAAAACTCAGCAAACGTTATTTAATTTAAATTTTTTTTTTTTTGGTTTTCATTTGGAATCTGATGGCAAACCTTCAGGGAAACAGGGTAGCTCTAACGGATTTAGAGACACTGGATACCACGAGAAAACTGTTCTTTTACAATACCACAACTTAAGTCATAACCACTGTCATTCCTTAACTGAAAAATAAAAAACCCTGTATTTATGATGTATGGATTGGTCATTTCAATTCATACAAACTTTTAATCCGCAAAACTGAGGACCTGCAATTTAAGTATAACACCGTTCCGTGAGATATTTCTCTGAATTATCTTTCATGATCAAGCATAAATTTTTGTTTAAAACACTTTTTACTTAAGTAGATTACAGTTTCTCATTATAATCAGTCATTTTATTTGGAATTATAGCAATCCGGGTTTTTTTGCTGTACTAAGACGTAGGGAGTCTCACTTTAGGATTTTATTTGCTTCTTAGACATCATTTATATAATATTCCTTGATTTTTATTAAGGCAAAATTTGCTTTTCTAATATTCACTCGAGTAATATTTTGTGATAAAATCACTAAATTCAGGACAATACTTTCTGTATACTCTTGTATTGGAGTACAGATTTAATTCTATCTTCGCCGGTGCACAAATGTAAAAATATAACCCTTCCTTGAAATGAAAAGAAGTCTCACACCACTTTAAGGTAAGACAAAGGAAACCAAGTCTTATTTGCACAAAATAGTTTACTAAATTTAAAATCCTACTCAACCCCTCCCCGCAAATATCTCTCAAAAAGCTGTCAACATGAGGTCTTTGATTTCAGAGCTGTAGCCATGTCATTAATGGTAAAGAAGGTATATTCTGATTCTGATGTCTCTTCTTTGCAGAAGGGTCTTCTGTGGTATTAACAGAAACCTCAGCAAAGCTTGTGGTATCTCAGGGAGTGAAGCTGTGCTACCTAAAGAAACCCACTGGGTATAAAGTGGGGTGGGGGGTTGGAATGACAGAATGCTATCTAGCTAGACATCCTGAGGCAGATTAAAAAACCTTCCTCTGTACCCTGTCATTTCCTTTCAGCAAGATCCTGTTGATGTTTGCACAATTTAAAAAGTGTATCAAATATCTCAATGAGTAACATAAACGGTCCCTTCGAGTATTATTTATTTTTAATCGTTGATGGAAAAATATCAAAATAGTACCTTTTAAATTTATTTCCTTATCCAATCACAAGTAACACCACCAAACAGTTTTTTTTTTTTTTATCCCTACACTGTCGGGGAAATGCCAGACGTACCTTCCTTCCCTCTTTTTGTTTAAGAAAATGGAAAAAAGAAACTTTTAAAACAGAGCATTAGAACTCAGACACGTTACACACGTCTCCATAAAACTAACTTTAGTCCTGGAGAACTAAGTTCATGAGATATGTTTCCCTAAATGTTATAGCTGCTGTATCTACTATAAACAAAACAAGTCTCATTTGAAACAATTACGCATTTCGGGGCTAGTTATTAAGTATTCAGCGTCTGCCAGGATAAGGCGATCAGCGCTTCTACTCCGAATAACAAACCATAAATCAGTTGACAAGCTTGAAAGCATTCAGTCCTAGTCTGTTCGGAAGCCAAGCGTAAATACAGAAAAACCTGTTGGCATGTTTCTCTTGCTCTCTAAGTTTCGCGTTTTTAAAAACACTGTAATACGCAAATGGCGTTTCCCGTAAGTTTCTGGCTCCGAAATAATTTGGATAAAAAACCACAGCGAGGCATCGCGCACAGAAAAATGGAGCCTGTGCCTTTAAGGTAAAATCGGCTGGATCCCAAAAGGCATTCCTCTTTCACGACAAAGAGTTTGGCGAGCGCTACCTCTGGGGTTTCTCCGAGGGACTTGGCGGGTCCGAGCGGAACCCGACCAGACGACTAACCCTGCCTGCCCCGGGGCCCCGCCGCCAGCCCTGCGCCCGCGCGGCGGGAGCGCATCGCGTGCGCCCCGGACTCACCGCTGCCGGGCTGCGGGGACAGCGTGGACACCGAGGTCTGGCCCATGACTGGGGTCGCAGGGCCAGGTCCAGCGATCAAGCGGCTCCTTTGGTCCTTCGATCATGGGTCCGCTCCCAGCCAGACTTCCAGGCGTTCATGTCCCGGCCTGTGCCGAGCGGCCCGCCGGGTCCCCTCACCTTCTACCCCGCGCGGGTCTCCCAGCCCGGCCGGCCGCAGCCGGCGCGGCGGATCCTGCCCAGCGGATGCCTGTCATTCCTCTATGCAGATTAGCTGGGGTCAGGGGTCACGGGGGAAGAAGGGGGGTGAGGGCGATAGGGAGGGGAGGAGGGGGAAGCGGGGGGAGGGCGCAGGAGCAGGGGGTGGGGGAAGCCCCCAGCCGGCCCCGCCGCACCCGCACCCCCTCAGGGTGGTAGGGAGTTCAGGCTTTCAGACTACTCCTCTTTGACTTAAAAGGTTCAAAGTCAAATGATCCTTACGGGCTACAAGAAAAGGAATTAAAGTATTTAGTCACGGTACTTAATTTAACAAAATTTGTTTCTTAAAAGTTATTTCCTTCCTTACATTCTATTTGCAGTATTGTGGCACTCTCATGTCTTGTGCCCATTTTTTTCTCGTTTTAAAAATTATCTTCCTTTTAACAAATATAATTTTTTAAAAACGGCACTAATGGCCTCAATCAGGCTTGACAACAAATCTAAATGGTAGGTCTACGTGTGAGATCAACAAAATATACTTTTTGCTGTCTCCCACCTAAAACTCTGGAGTGCTGACCTCTCCTTTATTTCAAAAGAATTACTGTGAAATAAAGTGATTAAAATACACAAAAGGGGAAAAAAACTATAACAAACTTGAAAGGTGAATTAAACCCTTCTATAATATCCTGTTAAATCTCAATCTTCTTAAAAATATGAATACAAATAAATATTCTTCATATTTACAGTTAATGATTAATTAGTATAAGTAATCTTCATGCTATATATATATAATGTGTGTATATATATATACAGTATATGGAACATCTGTATATGGTGCATTAGATTGGATGGTGGTTACTGGATGTGTTCATTTTATGAAAATTCATTGAGATGTCTGTAATGATGTGTGCACTTTGCTGAAGGCATATATTTCATTAAAATGTAAAAAATATCAGAAAGTGCAATATATTTAGGTCATTTACCACAGCTTTCATTTTTTAATTTATCCTAGACAATCAACTCTGAACTAACATGAAAATCATTTTTTTCTAAAATTTTTATTATTAAGATCGTGCAGAGCCTTGTTTGATTTTTTTGAAAGGCACTTACTTGTCTGTTTTGTCATGGTTAATTAAGTTGCCCTATGTTTTTTCACACCCAAATAGCCCACCCACCACTGTGAGGAAGATCTTTTCCCTAAAAAAGTGTGATCCATTGTCTTCTTCCCTTTGCCTAATTCACTCTTAAGAAACACTGATTTTTTTTTTTTTAATGAAATTGAGGATTTAACCAAAATGTGAGTTCTAATTAGGACAATAAAATTAATCCTAACTACATTTCCTTATAAATACAAAAATGTGTTTTGGAAACACATCCCACCTGGGGCGCTAAGCGATGAGAGTAAGCAATTATAATGGCTGGCTCCTCCAGCTCTTTGCTTTGAGTTGCCGTAAGAAAAAAACAAACAAACAAAAGTGGTTAAAGGTAAGTTAAGAGGGAGAATGTTTCACTCTTCCTTTTGACAGTCTTTCTGATAAAGGGAGGTCACTGATCAGAGGAAATATACAGTACCTTTTGCACATTCAAAATATGTAACTGTAATAATTTTTAAATACTGATAAAAGTTAAACTTTAAGGTTGCTATCATTTCTTCTTTTCCTTGAGAAACAATAGCATATTTCTATTACTTCTATAAATTCTTATTTCAAAGATCAAGGAGGTGCACTATAGTTCCAGTTTTTCAGGAATTGCTTAATACAGCTATATTTACCTTATTCAAGACCTTTCATGATTTGCTAGTTAATATAATCTTCAGCCTCATCTGGGATTCCTATAATACCCTAACCAGGTTATGCAATTTTCTCTGAAACTCTTCCAGTTCCATTACATTATCCTTGAAGCATGTCAACCAAAACTGCAGGAAGTGTGCACTAAGTTTTCTTTCTAAGAGTGGGACAGTTCTTGTTCTTGGTTTCTAGAGCTTCTGATGGAACTTGGCATTTAAGTGGCCTTTTTATCACAGCTAACAAGTTATACTAATGAACATAGAAAACGTCTACAGAAATCTCTAAATTTCATTTCTAGGTTGTAACGCAAAGGTTAGATATTATCACCTAACAAGAGAATTTTAAGATAATTTTCCCCCAAATTGCCTTACTCTTGCCTTATTAGAACTCACACAGTTTTACTAAGAGTTCTGGGTGTTAATCCCATGGGTTTATAGTTTAACTCTGGAAACATTTAATGTCATCTGAAAGGCATGGACATTTCTCTGTATACTACCTCTCTCTAGGGAATTTATTAAAATGCTAAACAGGATTAGACCCAATACCTAACTCTGAGGAAGCTATCTATTTATAATTCTTCAGCATTTATCCCATTGGTCCCACCCTTTGTTCTCTATTTCTAAACCAATCTCTTATCCAGTGATATCTTGGTAAATGCTTAACTGGTTTGGGCTGGGGGTGAGGAGGCAGGAGGGGGCCTCAGACTGCTTTGTTTACTGTGATGTAAATACTCCTACAATAACCTATTCTACAGGCCTTCAACCAGCTAGCAAAACTGATATCAAACAGCTTGCAAAATTCCTTGAAATGTAACAATTTGGCCCACCAGCCTGTGTGAACTGCCTTCAGCACACCGCTACTTTTCTCTGTTATAATAATGCCGCATCATATCATACCATGGCTGAGTTTGAGGAATAGCTTCTATTTAGCCTTCCTAAAAATATAGACTAATGGCATCTACTGATTTTTTCCATGGAACACTCTAAATATTTTTCAAGCTCTGAAAGAACTACTGTGATTTATTCATTTATTTCCAGAAAGAAACTAAAGAAAGTGAATTAGTGAGATAGAATTTCCCCTTCTGAAAGCCAGTGTGCCTTTATGACACAAAGTTGTACTTATCAGGTTTTCAAGCATTCTACCCTGTAACACAGACTTCACTGGCTTGTCTGATGTGGGAAGTCTTAGACTCACCCACCTGGGGTACCCAAAGTGACACTTGCACTCCTCCTGGATGGAAGCCACTATATCTATTAGGTTAAAGTTAAAGCGGACAAAAGCCTAAACATTGGCAATCTGGACCATTTGTGAGAAAGTTCTTTTCTAGGTCAAAGTCCAAATGGCAGACATACAACTTGGTGCCTTTAGAGAAGATGGTTTACAATTACTACAGTCACCACTACCAAATCCTATAACTTAGGTTACTGCCAGATTTTTCTAGGCAGCCAAATCTAGCCTGGAGCAGGAAGAAGAAGGAACCTTCCTCAGAACACAAATGCCATGAATACTAATCCTGGAGGTCTCTGCCTTGTCCAGATGCTGCCAGCTGTGTGAGGATTCATTTTGAGACACCAGATGTTAGGGGTGGAGGAATTATGATGGGAGGGAAGGGTTAGGCAGAGTCCCAAGAGATGAGATGGTTGATCAGAACAGCAGTGACCTGGGAGGCAACAGTGGTTGATAGTGGCCATATACAAGCAGATGAAGATTACATTAATTTACACCCTTATTTCTAGATTTGACCATAGACACCCTGTGAATTAGTGACATTTCCTTGGCTAATGGGAATTGTAGCAATAGAAAAATTATTTCTTAATGGGAAGGAAATGAATGAAAACTTAGCAGTTTTCCTAATAGTATACTAAAAACGATATGCAAAAGTTGTTTTAACTATTTGGGTAGTTTTTACTAGAAGATCTTCTGGTTTTTAAAAACTTTGTATGTCTTCAAAACTTGGCTACATTTTGTAAGAGTCAGCTTACTTAGAAAAATATAAAAAGCAAATGGGAGCTTTACTAGATAATATAAACTCAGTGAAAACTCTGTATATGTAACTAATGTTTACTTTGTAAAATGTTACTCTATGGTAAAGTTGCAACTAAATGGCTACTATATCTTAGATTTTAACAATTCTGAGAGATGCTGGTTTGAACAGGATAATGCTAACAGATAAAGGAAAACTTTTGTTAAGGAAAGAATTACAACTTTGCATATTCTAGTTATATTAAGCATCAGTAGAAGACCACATTCCACAAGTATTAGAACAGGAAACAAACCTGAAAGACAGGCTTTTCTTTCCTATTGTTCTCATATTTTCATGTGATTTATTTCCTGAGTTTTCCTTCTTCTGCTTGCTCAAGCTAAAAGGATTAACAAAATACCTTGCCTCTGCCTCACCCTGCGTGAGTCTCTGCAGAGGCGGGGTGTGGCTCACGTGTGCTTGCTTAGTGAGTGAGCCCCACAGTTGGAAGATTTATGCTGGAAAATAAAGACCTCAAGGGGTGGTGCTGGAATTTCCTTTTCCAAAGACATTCTCCCTACCCTGGGAGGAAAAGCGTCTGTAATTTTGCTCTACTTCATTTCATAAGCAAAACAAAGTACTCATCCATAGTATTAAAACTCTAAAAACTGCTATAAAATGAATAATCTTTAATTTATTGACCAAAATCTAAAGAGAACAGTCCTTAAAGACATCTTTTATATGACTGCCCAATTTACACAAAATAATTGCTTCCAGTAAGGCCCAAATCTTTGTTTTGTTAACCATCACATCCATCCCTAGAAACTAACAAAATTTGCCTGGCAAATAGAGGGTACTGAATACATAGATGATAAATTAAAAATAAGCATTTATGTTATCTCCTTAATGGTAACTTCCAAGTATGGACAAAAAAAAAAATCTGGGAATACATGTAAAATTTTGGTAATAATATAGAATGTTGACTCCATAGCAAGAGAATATCGAGTCTGTCTGTGACTGTAAATTTTCTTTTGTATGCCCCTCTGAAATAATCATCTACTCATTCACCTAGAATTGACTGAGGACTTCCCATGGGCGTGGTACCTCTAGCACATGGGCATAAGGATAAGTGAGGTATGGACTCTCCTGTGGCGGAGGTCATAGTATGGGTACGGTGGAGGGTGGGTGTTGCAGCCTACAAATACATGATCCTAACAGTGGAGGAAGAGAAGTTTGTTCCTCCAGCTGGGAGTGGTGACTCATGCCTGTAATCCCAGCACTTTGGGAGGCCGAGGTGGGCGGATCACCTGAGGTCAGGAGCTTGAGACCAGCCTGGCCAACATGGTGAAACCCTGTCTCTACTAAAAATACAAAAATTAGCCAGGCGTGGTGGTGCACTCCTGTAATCTCAGCTACTTGGGAGGCTGAGGCCGGAGAATCACTTGAACCTGGGAGGCGGAGGTTGCAATGAGCTGAGGTTGAGCCATTGCATTCCAGCCTGGGCAACAGAGTGAGACTCTGTCTCAAAAAGAAATAAATAAATAAAAATAAAAATAAAAAAGAAGAAGTTTGTTCCTCCAAGTGCTAGGGATGCCCAGTAGGTTAGTACAGAGAAGGCTCTGAACTTTAGCAAATTACTAAATCCACATTTTTGCCACACAGAGGTGCTCATTCATTCTGAAGGTGCCCTAAGATTGTGAAGTGCTTCCTGAATTAAAGAAAGATTAAATTCTAATAGTAGGTGGTCAGAATTAACTGTATTTGTTTGTTTATTGCTTGCAGCTTTTTTTGTTTGTTTTTTGTTTTTGAGACAGCGTCTTGCTCTGTGGCCCAGGCTGGAGTGCAGTGGTATAATCATTGCTTACTGTAGCCTTGAACTCCTGGGCTCAAGCAATCCTCCCACCTCAGCCTCCAGAGTAGCTGGGACTATGGGTGCCTGCCACCATGCCCAGCTAATTATTTGTAATTTTTTTTTTTTTTGTAGAGATAGGGTCTCACTATATTGCCCAGGCTTGCTTGCAGCTTTTTGAAGAATAAGTTATGGACCCTAAAATGTACCCATTTAAAGCAAACAGTTCAATAAGTTTTAATAAACATGTAGTCCAACCAACAGCACACTCAAGTGTCAGAAAACTTTGAGATCCCTAAGGTATTCCATCATGTCCTTTTGCAGTTAATTCCTGTTTCACATCCCTGTACCACCCTTGGCATTAGGGAACTGCCAACCTGCTTTCCATGTCCATACTTTTGATTTATCTAAAATTTCTTACAAATGGAATAATATTATGTACAGTTTTTTTTAATCTGGCTTGTTTCATATGTTTTTGATATTCATCCATGTTGCTCTGTGTATCTGTATTTTGTTCCTTTTTGTTCTAGGTTGCCTTCCATTGTATGGCTATACAAAAGTTTGTTTATCTGTTTACCAGTTAATGGGCATTTGGGATGTAACTGTATTTCACTGTATTCCTGCTCCATGAAAAGACTTTGGGTCTATATTGTGTTACATATATGCTAGTTCTATATTAATAATAACTCATTGATTGGTTCACCACTCAACAAATATTTATTATGCATCTCCTTTTTACCAGTCTTTGTTCTAGGTACTTAGGAGACAGAATTATACAAAATACAAAAACACCTGCACTCATAGAGCTTCCCTTCTAATGGAATGACAGAAAATAAGCAGTAAACATAATAAATCAGTAAACTTTATAACAATTTAGAAGATGAAAAGTGCTATGAAATTCAGAAGAGTAAGAGAGATTGGACTGGCATGTGGTGTTCACAGTTGTCCTCACTGAGAAGATAATGTTTAAGCAAAAACACAAAGGAGGTAATGGAGTTAACCATATGGCTATCTGGGGGAGAGGTGTTCCAAGAAGAAAGACCAGTTAATATAAAGACAGGAGCATGGCATATGTTTGAGGAATCCAGGGGAAATGGTGTGGTTGGAGTACATAGAATAAGAGAGGTAAAGATGAGGAGAAGGAGATTATAACCACATAGGACCTTGCAGTTAACTATAAAGACTTTGGGCCAGGTGCAGTGGTTCAGACCTGTAATCTCAGCACTTTGGGAGGCTGCTGAGGCAGGCGGATCATGATGTCAGGAGTTCAAGACCAGCCTGACCAACGTGGTGGAACCCCATCTCTACTAAAAATACAAAAATTAGCTGGGCATGGTGGCGCATTCCTGTAATCCCAGCTACTCGGGAGGCTGAGGCAGGAGAATTGCTTGAACCTGGAACTGGGAGGTGGAGGTTGCAGTGAGTCGAGATCGTGCCACTGTACTCCAGCCTGGGCTGCAGAGCGAGACTCCATTTCAAAAAAAAAAAAAGGCCTTGGCCTTCTTCTCCTCCAAAGAATCAGAACTCCTCGCCAGCAAGGGAACAAAAATGGATGGAGAATGAGTTTGATGAATTGATAGAAGTAGGCTTCAAAAGGTGGGTAATAAACTCCTCTGAGCTAAAGGAGCATGTTCTAACCCAATGCAAGGAAGCTAAGAACCTGGAAAAAAGGTTAGAGGAATTGCTAACTAGAATCACCAGTTTAGAGAAGAACATAAATGACCTGATGGAGCTCAAAAACACAGCACAAGAACTTCATGAAGATACACAAGTATCAATAGTCGAATTGATCAGGCAGAAGAAAGGATATCAGAGATTGAGGATCAACATAATGAAACAAAGCATGAAGACCAAGATTAGAAAAAAAAGAATAAAAGGGAATGAACAAAGCCTCCAAGAAATATAGGACTATGTGAAAAGACCAAACCTACGTTTGAATGGTCTACCTGAAAGTGACGGGGAGAGTGAAACCAAGTTGGAAAACACTCTTCAGGATATTATCCAGGGGAACTCTCCCAACCTAACAAGACACGCCAACATTCAAATTCGGGAAATACAGAGAACACCACAAAGACACTCCTCGAGAAGAGCAACCCCAAGACACATAATTATCAGATTCACTAGGGTTGAAATGAAGGGAAAATGTTAAGGGCAGCCAGAGAGAAAGGTTGGGTTACCCACAAAAAGAAGCCCATCAGACTAACAGCGGATCTCTCTGCATAAACCCTACAAGCCAGAGGACAGTGGGGGCCAATATTCAACATTCTTAAAAGAATTTTCAACCCAGAATTTCATATCCAACCAAACTAAGCTTCATAAGCAAAGGAGAAATAAAATCCTTTACAGACAAGCAAATGCTGAGAAATATCACTACCAGCCTGCCTTACAAGAGTTCCTGAAGGAAGTACTAAATATGGAAAGGAAAAACTGGTACCAGCCACTGCAAAAACATACCAAATTGTAAAGTCCATCGACACTATGAACAAACTGCATCAACTAACAGGCTATATAACTAGCTAGCATCATAATGACAGGATCAAATTCACACATAACAATATTAACCTTAAATGTAAACAGACTAAATGCCCCAATTAAAAGACACAGATTGGCAAGTTGGATAAAGAGCCAAGACTTATCAGTGTGCAAAGATACACATAGGCTCAAAATAAAGGGATGGAGGAATATTTACCAAGCAAATGGAAAGAAAGAAAAAAAAAAGCAGGGGTTGCAATCCTAGTCTCTGATAAAACAGACTTTAAACCAACAAAGATCAAAAGAGACAAAGAAGGCCATTACATAATGGTAAAGGGATCGATGCAACAAGAAGAATTAACTATCCTAAATATATATGCACAAAATATAGGAGCACCCTGATTTATAAAGCAAGTTCTTAGAGACCTACAAAGAGACTTAGACTCCCATGCAATAATAGTGGGAGACTTTAACACCCCACTGTCAATATTGGACAGATCAACGAGACAGAATATTAACAAGGATATTCAGGACTTGAACTCAGCTCTGGACAAAGCAGACCTAATAGATATCTGCAGAACTCTACACCCCAAATCAGCAGAATATACATTCTTCTCAGCACCACATTGCACCTATTCTAAAATTGACCACATAATTGGAAGTAAAACACTCCTCAGCAAATGTAAAAGAACAGAAATCACAACAAACTGTCTCTCAGAACACAGTGCAATCAAATTAGAACTCAGGATTAAGAAACTTACTCAAAACCGCACAACTACATGGAAACTGAACAACCTGCTCCTGAATGACTACTGGGTAAATAACGAAATTAAGGCAGAAATAAATAAGTTATTTGAAACCAATGAGAAAAAAAGACACAACACACCAGAATCTCTGGGACACAGCTAAAGCAGTGTGTAGAGGGAAATTTATAGCACTAAATGCCTACAGGAGAAAGCAGGAAAGATCTAAAATCGACACCCTAACATCACAATTAAAAGAACTAGAGAAGCAAGAGCAAACAAATTCAAAAGCTAGCAGAAAACAAGAAATAACTAAGACCAGAGCAGAACTGAAGGAGAAAGATAAATGAAAAACCCTTCAAAAAATAAATGAATCCAGGAGCTGGTTTTTTGAAAAGATTAACAAAATAGACCACTACCAGACTAATAAAGAAGAGAAGAGAGAAGAATCAAATAGACACGATAAAAAATGATAAAGGGGATATTACCACTGATCCTACAGAAATACGAACTACTATCAGAGAATACTATAAACACCTCTATCCAAATAAACTAGAAAATCTGGAAGAAATAGATAAATTCCTGTACACATACATCCTCCCAAGACTAAACCAGGAAGAAGTCGAATCCCTGAATAGACCAATAACAAGTTCTGAAATAGAGGCAGTAATTAATAGCCTACCAACCAAAAAACAGCCCAGGACCAGACAGATTCAGAGCCGAATTCTACCAGAGGTACAGAGAGGAGCTGGTACCATTCCTTATGAAATTATTCCAAACAATAGAAAAAGAGGGACTCCTCCCTAACTCATTTTATGAGGCCAACATCATCCTGATACCAAAACCTGGCAGAGACACCACAAAAAAAGAAAATTTCAGGCCAATAGACCTGATGAACATAGATGCAAAAATCCTCAATAAATACTGGCAAACCGAATCCAGCAGCACATCAAAAATCTTATCCACAACGATCAAGTCGGCTGCATCCGTGGGATGCAAGGCTGGTTCAACATACGCAAATCAATAAATGTAATCCATCACATAAACAGAACGAATGACAAAAAACACATGATTATCTCAATAGATGCAGAAGAGGCCTTTGACAAAACATCCCTTCATGCTAAAAATGCTAAATAAACTAGGTGTTGATAAAACGTATCTCAAAATAATAAGAGCTATTTATGATAAACCCACAGCCAATAGCATACTGAATAGAAAAAGCTGGAAGCATTCCCTTTGAAAACCAGCACAAGACAAGGATGCCCTCTCTCACCACTCCTATTCAACATTGTATTGGAAGTTCTGGCCAGGGCAATAAGGCAAGAGAAAGAAATAAAGCGTATTCAAATAGGAAGACAGGAAGTCAAATTGTCTCTGTTTGTAGATGACATGATTTGATTGTATATTTAGAAAACTCCATCGTCTCAGCCCAAAATCTCCTTAAGCTGATAAGCAACTTCAGCAAAGTCTCAGGATATAAAATCAATGTGCAAAAATCATAAGCATTCCTATACATCAGTCACAGACAAACAGAGAGCCAAATCATGAGTGAACTCCCATTCACAATTGCTACGAAGAGAATAAAATACCTAGGAATCCAACTTACAAGGGATGTGAAGGACCTCTTCAAGGAGAACTGCAAATCACTGCTCAAGGAAATAAGAGAGGACACAAACAAATGGAAAAGCATTCCATGCTCACGGATAGGAAGAATCAATATCATAAAAATGGCCATACTGTCCAAAGTAATTTATAGATTCAATGCTATCCCCATCAAGCTACCACTGACTTCAAAGAATTTTTAAAAAACTACTTTAAATTTCATATAGAACCAAAAAAGAACTTGTATAGCCAAGACAATCCTAAGCAAAAAGAACAAAGCTGGAGGCATCACACTACCTGACTTCAAACTATACTACAAGGCTACAGTAACCAAAGCAGCATGGTACTGGTACCAAAACAGATATATAGACCAATGGAACAGAACCGAGGCCTCAGAAATAATGCCACACATCTACAACTATCTGATCTCTGACATATCTTACAAAAACAAGCAATGGAGAAAGGATTCCCTACTTAATAAATGGTGTTGGGAAAACTGGCTAGCCATATGCAGAAAACTTAAACTGGGCCCCTTCCTTACACTTCATACAAAAATTAACTCAAGATGGATTAAAGACTTAAATGTAAGACCTAACACCATAAAAACCCTAGAAGAAAACCTCGGCAATACCATTCAGGACATAGGCATGGGCAAAGACTTCATGACTAAAACACCAAAAGCAATGGCAACAAAAGCCAAAATTGACAAATGGGATCTAATTAAACTAAAGAGTTTCTGCACAGCGAAAGAAACTCTCAGCAGAGTGAACAGGCAACCTACAGAATGGGAGAAAACTTTTGCAATCTATCCATCTGACAAAGGGCTAACATCCAGAATCTACAAAGATCTTAAACAAATTTACAAGAAAAAACAAATGATCCCATCAAAAAGTGGGCAAAGGATATGAACAGACATTTCTCAAAAGAAGACATTTATGCGGCCAACAAACATATGGAAGAAAACTCATCATCACTGGTCATTAAAGAAATGCAAATCAAAACCACAATGAGAAACTATCTCATGCCAGTTAGAATGGCGATCATTAAAAAGTCAGGAAACAACTGATGCTGGAGAGGTTGTGGAAACATGGGAATGCTGTTACACTGTTGTTGGGCATGTAAATTAGTTCAAACATTGTGGAAGACACTGTGGTGATTCTTCAAGGATCTAGAACCAGAAATACCAACTGACCCAGCAATCCCATTACTGGATATATACCCAAAGGATTAGAAATCATGCTGCTATAAAGACACATGCACACTTATGTTTATTGCAGCACTCTTCACAATAGCAAAGACTTGGAACCAAGCCAAATGTACATCAATGATAGACTGGATAAAGAAGATGTGGCACATATACACCATGGAATACTATGCAGCCATAAAAAAGGATTAGTTCATGTCCTTTCCAGGGACATGGATGAAGCTGGAAACCATCATCCTCAGCAAATTCACACAGGAACGGAAAACCAAACACCACATGTTCTCACTCATAAGTGGGAGTTGAACAATGAGAATACATGGACATAGAGAGGGGAACATCACACACTGGGGCCTGTTGGGGGGTGGTTTGGGGGCCTAGGGGAGGGATAGCATTAGGATAAATACCTAATGTAGATGACGGGTTTATGGGTGCAGCAAACCACCATGGCATGTATATACCTATGTAACAAACCTGCACATTCTGCACATGTATCCCAGAACTTAAAGTATAATAAAATAAAAATAATAAAAAATACTTTAGCTTTTACTACGAGTGCGATAAGGTTGCAATGACAGTTTCGAACAAAGTAATAACATGATCTGGCTTTTGTTTTAAAAATCACTGTGGCTTCTGAGTAGAGAACAGAGGAGACAACATTAGAAGCAAAGAGACCAGGAGAGACTACAGGAATAATCCAGACTAGAAATGATAGTGGCTTAGACCAGGTTGGTAGCAGTGGGTGTAATGAAATGCATCTGGATTCTGGGTTCATTTTGAAAACAGAACCAATATTCCCTATGGATTGAATGTGGGGTGTGGGAGACAAAAGATGATGGAAGGAAGACTTCAAAATTTTTTTCTGAGCAACTGAAAAGATCAAATTGCCATTACTTAAAACTAGCACAACAGTGAGTGGAGTGGATTTGGAATAGAAAATTAGAAGTTCAGTTTTGAGATGTCTGCTAGACTTCCAAATACAGAATAAAAACAATCCCATGTGTCGCCAAGGGAAAGAACAAATCAATGTATACCTAAACACATCCTAGTGAAACTGAGCAGCAGAAATGTAGAGAAAATTTAGAAAGCAGGAGACAGAAAAGGCAAATCCCACTTTAAGGAATCATAATAAATCCAAGTAAATGAAAAACTATTTTTTCTTAGTGTTTTGAAGAAGCAACTGTCAACTTAGAATTCTATATCCAGGTAAACACTCATTCACTAAATCAATCATTCACTAAAAGTAATTAATCACTGAAAACATCTACAGGATATTCCTCAGCAAGAAAGAAAATGAACCCAGGCTGGGTGCGGTGGCTCATGCCTGTAATCCCAGCACTTTGGGAGGCCGAGGCTGGCAGATCACTTGAGGTCAGGAGTTCAGACCAGCTTGGCCAACATGGTGAAACCCCATCTCTACTAAAAATACAAGAAAATAGCCGGGTGTGGTGGCAGGTGCCTGTAATGCCAGCTACTTGGGAGGCCGAGTCAGGGGAATCACTTGAACCAGGGAGGCAGAGGTTGCAGTGAACCGAGATTGCACCACTGCACTCCAGCCTGGGTGACAGAGCAAGACAGTGTCTCAAAATAATAATAATAAAATAAAATAAAAATAAAGAAAGAAAATGAACCTAGAGGTAAGGGTGGTATGCATGAAACAACAGTGAGCACAGAAAGTGAGGACATGATGGTGAATTTAATAAACTATCGGCTCTGCAAATGAGGAAGTAGTGAAGTTTTAACATGTATGTTAAAGTCCTGATTTTGATCGGGGAAAGATATATGTACTAAATAATTTTAAACTTTGTTAGAAAAAGTAACTGTTTCAAATAGTAAGAAAGATATAACTATAAGCTTCCAAATCACTAAACAAAAGAAGGGGATTAAAGAAAGCTTCACTAATCCAAATAATGAGAAAATGAAAGAAAATTGAAGAAGAGCATGCTTAAAAAGATGACACAAATTAAGATGGCAATGTAAGTCCAAATTAGTAATCTCAATAAATATGAAAGGAATAAGCTTTCTTATCTAATGACAAAGACTAAAAAATTGTGAGCAGCAGAAACATAGTACATCTCTTTCTTTATCTGTCATTTTTAGAAGACACACCCCAAACAGCAAAAGCTGAAAATAAAAGTATGAAAAATATTTACTAAGAAAATTCTTACCAAAAGAAAATTTATAATCTCAATATTAATAATAGATAAATTAAAACTGAAGGTAAAATAACAAATAGTATAGAGGGACATATTATATAGTGTAATGACAAAAATTATAATCTAACAGGATGTTCAAATTATTATCTCATATATCCCTGACATCAGAACCATATATATATCTAAAGCAAAAACTAACAGAATTACAATGATAAACGGACAGATCCACAATAATAAGGAGAGATTTTTAACATACCATCAAAAACTAATAGATCATGAAAACAAAATATTTTTAAGGTCATGAATTTAAACAATCCCATTGACAAGCTTGATGTAATACACAAACGTGTAGAGACTTGTACTCAAGAAAATGGCAACTGTACATTGATTTAACACTAGATCATAACAGAAATCTCAATAAATTTTAAGTAATTCATATTAAGTAATCCCTGATCTCTGACCATAATGTAATTAAATTAAAAATCAACAAGAAAACCTAGTTAAAAACAGAAATAAAAACCCCTCCCACACATTTTTAGAAACTGAAAGAAACATACTCCTAAGTAACACAAGAAAATCCAATTGTAGCATAAAATATTTAGAACTAAACAACAATGAAAGCACTATAAAACATGTAGAATTAAGCTAATGTGGTAATTAGAGCTATATTTAAAGCTTTAATCGCATTTATTTAAAAAAACAAAGAAAAGATCTATTCAGGGAAAGATAATCACACAAATGAATTAGGTCAATATTAAATGATAAAGCTAAAAAGGGAAAGAAAAGAAAAAAGAACAGAGTAAAAAACAAAATGATAAAAACAAGGGCACCAATGAAACAGAATCTTAAAATCAAGAGAAGTGATTCAATGCTTTGGGATATTCAGTACTTCATTCATCCACGGGGAGGGCAAGCCTTCACTCAGCATGTTGAGAGAGTGCTCTGCAACTTTGAATGAAAAATGTAATTGGAAGAACTTAAAACAGAGTTACCATGTGACCCAAAAATATCATTACTGGGTATATACTCAAAGGGAAATAGATCACTATAGCAAAAAGACACATGCACTCGTACGTTCATCACTGTGCTATTCACAATAGCAGAGACATGGAATCAACCTAGGTGCTCATTAGTGGGGGCCTGGCTAGAGAAAACGTGGTACAAATACACCAGGGAATATTATACAGCCATAAAAAAAGAATGAAATAATGTCCTTTGCAGCAACATGGATGCAGCTGGAGATCATATCCTAAGCAAATTAATACAGGAACAGAAAACCAAATATCACATATTCTCACTTATAAGTGGGAGCTAAACATTGAGCACACATGGACATAAACATGAGAACAATAGACACTGTGTACTATAGGGGGAAAGGAGAAGAATGTGGGTTGAAAAACTACCTATTGGGTACTCTGCTCACTGTCTGGGTGCAATATACACCCATATAACAGTCCTCCATACATACCCCCTGTATCAAAAATAAAAGCCGAAATTAAAGAAAAAAAGAAAAAACTAATTGTAATATAGGTGAAGACAATTCACAATTCAAGATGAAAAACAAAACTGCCTGGTAGTCATAAGAACTGAAACATCCCTAGTAGGAAGGTGAATTTAAATATTACTGTTTTGCATTCAGGGAAAAATACAGATGCATTTTTAGTGTTGTTTAAAACACTTTCATTATTCAATAGTTCAGCATTTTATAACTAAAAACAGATGAAGAACTCCTACCCACTACTTATTTTTACTTTCTGAAGAGTAAATAGATATCTGTAATATTTTTTATTTGTAGTACAATGATATCTTTAAAACTCCAAACGACATCTTAAGGGAATAACAAACAAAATAAGTAGTTTCTTATATTTAACAGGCTTAACTTCATCTCTTCTTTACTTTTATGTTCCTTGTATTTTAAAATAGGGGAAAAAAAGCTATAAAGTTATTTCCTAAAACACACTTAGTTTTATTAGAACTTAAATCTAAGAAATGCCTCCAAGTAAAACAGCTCTCTAGGGTAAGTTGTGCATATTGAAGAGGCTTTTTAATATAAAATGGATTTCAGTAACTGCAAATTACTTCTCAATTAGGGAATGTTGACACATTCTCCAAACAGGTGATAAAGATGGGAGCTGAGAAAGGGGGAGGAGCAATGAAGCTTGCAGGTGCTCTGACTTAATCTTTCATCAAAACAAGATTTATTCAGGGAGAAATCATGTAATCACACAATTAAGAAGTACATATACAAAATGTGCTTGGAATATTGCCATTTTAAATCCACACATCACCCTCCAATGCAATGAGGGTCTTTTGCTGAGGGGTTTTCATTCCTCCAAATTTTCCAGGTAGAGAACTTGCAATTTTGAGAATGCACAAGGGAAAATTTTAGGTCAGGTGCAGTGGCTCATGCTTGTAATCCCAGCACTTTTGGAGGCTAAGGCAAGCGAATCACATGAGGCCAGGAGTTCGACATCAGCCTGGTCAACCTGGTGAAACCCCTTCTCTACCAAAAATACAAAAAATTAGCCAGGTGTGGTGGTGCATGTCTGTAGTCCCAGCTACTTGGGAGGTTGAGTAGCTTCCCTTTGAACCTGGGAATAGGAGGTTGTAGTGAGCCGAGATTGTGCCACATTCCAGCTTGGGTGACAGAGCGAGACTGCCTCAAAGAAAAAAAAAAAAAAAGAAAGAAAATTTTAGAAAAGGGCCAAATATACGATAAGAAACAATCTTTACCTAAAAGCTTTTTTATTTTATTTGCAAAATTATTGTTATACTTTGATATATTTATTTATTTACTATATAGGATAAAGTGCTCTAGATTTTGTTTTGCTCTAAATATTCTAAAACCCACATGAAGCCCCAGATTCCACTGCATTTTAGATTATTGAATTTCTTCTTTATAGATGTGTTACAGTGTTTTCTTGTGAACCAGTAACACATGCAGTGATTTGTTTCTACAAACCAACACTGAATACTATTATATTTAACTACATGCATTAATAAAACAGTCAACATTAATATGCATTTCTCACCTGGGTCTGTGACTTTAGGTGATAATTTTTACTTTGTTCCCACCTTAAATATTATCTTACTTCATCTAGAGTTTTTCATTGTATGCAAATTTTACTATGAATTTTTTATGAATATTTTACTTGTATTCCATTATTTATGTCAGTATAGAAATAGCTAGTATCTGAAAACTGATATTGCCATTTGAAGAGTGAGACTTTACTTCACAGCTTGCCAACACTGCAGCTACTTAAAATTTGTGGGTTATTTTTCTTCCCATCTTCTATTTAGATTTTTCTAAAGCCTCAGTTCTCAAGCCTCTGTTTGTCTCTGTATTCTATTACCATCTAAGGGACACATCCTTCCTTGAGGTTTTATTTTCTTTCTACTTGATTAACTCTCAATATCTGGCCTGTACTTCTCCTATAATTTGTTTTCTAAGGAGCGTGCCACTTGGATATCAAGTTCTCTCGGCCCTTAATTTATGTATTTCCATAGCAAATTCCTCAGTGGAGTTTATTGTGCAGCGTTTCCTCATCTGTCTGGACTGAATGTTATTTGGAGGCCATGTTTCATTTACTACTGAAACACCAGCACAGTCAGTGCACGGGTAAGTGCTCAGTAGGTATTTGTTTTATACATGAATGAATGAATAAATGAACCTGATCCGTATCAATACACTGCTTATGTCTGATATGGTTTGGCTGTGTCCCCACCCAAATCTCATCTCCAATTCCCGTATGTTGTGGGAGGGACCTGGTGGGAGGCAATTGAATCATGGGGGAGTCTCTTTCCTGTGCTGTTCTTGTGATAGTGAATATGTCTCATGGATCTGATGGTTTTAAAAATGGGAGTTTCCCTGCACAAGCTCTCTCTTTGCCTGCTGCCATCCATGTAAGATGTGACTTGCTCCTCCTTGCCTTCTGCCATGATTGTGAGGCCTCCTTAGCCATGTAGAACTCTAAGTCCAATAAACCTTTTTTTTTTTTTTGTAAATTGCTCGGTCTTGGGTATGTCTTTATCAGCAGCATGAAAATGGACTAATACAAGGTCTGTGGGTACCAGGAGAAATAGGAAAAGGAGATTGAGGATTTATTGAAAGTATGGAGAGCAGCTTTACTGCTAGGCCTACCAGTAGTAAGCAGTATTGTCAATAGAACACCATTTACAAATGAGCACTTAAGTTTTTTAATGCAGTAACTGAGAAAACACCAGATCTGAATATTACCATAATGACATTTAATATGTACCTACTAAATACATACATTTAAGTTTTTAGTGTTCCCAGTTAAAGTTCTGTTCAACTTCTCTTTTAATGTTACTGGCCTTTGTCTTTTGTTTAAAAATTGATTTGGTTGAAATACACCAGTGCTAAAGCTAATCAGGAACATTCATTACCTGACAAATCACTGTGTATGGATGAACAAACTGGAAGGGAGTTCTAGTTTCCTCTGCTTTTGGAGGAAGGAAATATTTGACTAACTGAGGTACTACAATAAATGCTTCTTACCATTGGGAGCATGGTGGACAGATGTGAAGGTAGACCCCAGGTAATCCACCTTTGTGTGATCCCCTCCCCCTGAGAGGGCACGTCTGTCTTGCTAGGGGACACTGGCTCTTCACCTGGCTTTAAAGAAGCAAGCTGCCATGTTGTGAGCTGCCACATGGAAAGGACAAGGAACAGAGGGCAACCTCCCACTCACAGCCAGCAAGAAACTGAGCCCTCAGTCTGGCATTCTGCAAGGAATGGCGTGCTGCCCAGTGACCACATGCACTTCCAGGTGTATCCTTCCTCAGTCAAGCCTTGGATGAGACGACATCCCTACTGACACCTTGACTGCAGCTTCATGAGACCCTGACACCCTCAGCAGAGGGTTTTTATACAGCTGTACAGTGAGTTTGTGTCTTAAGCTACGTGTTGCTACAAAACAGTAAAAAAGTTTAAAAAATTTTTAAAGTTTATAAAGTAAAAAAGTTACAATAAGCTAAGGTTAATTTATTATTAGGAAAAGAAATTTTAAATATAAATTTAGTGTAGGCTAAGTGTACAGTGTTTATAAAGTCTATAGTGGTGTAGAATAATATCCAAGGCTTTCACATTCACCCATCACTCACTCACAGACTTACCTAGGGCAACCTCCAGTCCTGCAAGCTCCATTCATGGTAAGTGTCCTATAGAAGTGTGCCATTTTTTATCTTTTTTTTTTTTTTTGAGACAGAATCTTGCTTTGTTGCCCAGGCTGGAGTGCAGTGGCATGATCTCAGCTCACTTCAGCCTCCACCTCCTGGGTTCAAGCGATTCTCCTGCCTCAGCCTCAGAGCAGCTGAGATTATAGGCGCATGCCACCCTGACCGGCTAAGTTTTGTATTTTTAGTAGAGATGAGGTTTCACCATGTTGGTTAGGCTGGTCTCGAACTCTTGACCTCAAGTGATCCTGCCACCTTGGCCTCCCGAAGTGCTGAGATTACAGGCAGAGTCACTGTGCCCAACCCCATTTTTTGTTTGTTTGTTTTTTAATCTTTACACTATAGTTTTGCTATACCTTTTCTATGTTTAGATATATGTTTAGATACACAAATGCTTACCATTGTGTTATAATTGTCTGTAGTATTCAGTGCAGTAACATGCTGCACAGATTTGTAGCTTGGGAGAAATAAGCTATACCATACAGCCTAGGTTGTATAGTAGGCTATTCCATCCAGGTTTGTTAAAATACACTCTATCATGTTTACACAATGACAAAATCACTTAACAACACACCTCAGATTGTATCCCTGTCTTTAAGCAATGCATGGTTGTACTTTATTGAAAAAAATCTGTTGGGAAAAAGAGACTGAGTGCTGTAATTCGTTTTCAAATACTGCACAGGAGAACCTTATCATTAAGGAGGTCAACTTCAGGTTAAGTTTTAAGTTCATATTTAAGTTTCACCTGAATTTCCCTTGTTAATTTGAAGGTGTATTTCTATATTTGTACCCAAATTTATTTTAAAATCACATTTGTTGTTGAAGCTCAGGTTAGTCTGGCAGTTTCTGTAATGTTAAACATACACCTACCCTATGACTCAGAAATTCTACTTGTCATTTATTCAGCAGAAATAAAAACATATATCCATAAAAAGACCAGTTTAGGAATGTTCATAGCAGCTTTGTTCATAATAGCCCCAAACTGGACAGGCCAAACGTCCCTCAACAGAAGAGTGGGTAAATAAATTGTGGTATGTCCATTAATGGAATACTACTCAGCAATAAAACACTGTGATGTGCTGCCTGGACCCCCCCTCAGAAATAAAGGGATTATTTCCCCTGGCTGCTAGGAGTGCTGCTGGGAGACAGCCCTCAGCTGTCAGCTTTTTATAAGGAGAACTTCCCTGCCTGAAAGCTGCAGGCTTGCCCGAGATACCACCTTCCTGTAGAAGGAGCCCACATCCAATGCCTGATCAACACGGGGCAAGCATCAAGGTCCCCACACCCCACCTTGAGATAACTGACAGACAATCTCACGCCAGTACCCCCACTGGGATGCACTGAGGCTGGGGCTGGAGCTGCCTCACAGCTCTATTCCCCAATCTGCTCAATCTGACTTCTTTCCCTGCCTTTCAAAAGACGTGGCTTCTAAGAGAACTCCTTTATCAATGCCCTGCGTGTTCATCTCTGTCTCTTCCCAGGGAATACAACCTGCGAGAAACTACTCATAAAACCAAGAAAATGGATGACCTTCAAAACCATTTTCCTGAGTGTAAGAAACCAGACACAAAAGAGTACATATTCTATGACTGATGAAGTTCTAGGATTGGAAAAACACGTACTGGGGAGAAATCAGATCAGTGTTTGCCTCGGTGGGGACTGACTGGGAAGGGCATGAAGGATCTTTTTTCAGGGGTTGGAAATATTCTACATCTTGATAGGGGTGTGGAGTGCATGGCTGTATGAAATTGACAAAACTCTGAATTGTTCACTGTATGTACATTGTACCACAATTTTTTTTTTTACTTAAATTCTGGGATACATGTGCAGAATGTGCAAGTTTGTTACATAGGTTTACATGTGCCATGGTGATTTGCTGCACCTATCAACCCGTCATCTAGGTTTTAAGCCCTGCATGCATTCGGTATTTGTCTTAATGCTCTCCCTCCCCTTGCCCCCGACCCCCAAACAGGCCCCAGTGTGTGGTGTTCCCCTCCCTGCATCCATGTGTTCTCATTGTTCAACTCCTACTTATGAGTGAGAAGATGCAGTGTGTACCACAATTTTTGAAAAGTAAAAAATAAAAAGTAGCCACATCAAACTTAGTTCAAGTTGAACTTATGGTTGGCCATTCAACATTCATAATATTTAAATTTTCGTGTGGCCAATCAAGCCTATGTTCATTTGAAACCTGGCAGATAGTTTTTTTGAAACTAAGTTTGGGAATTAACATGTCTATTGTGTTCATCTTTTTGCGGATTGCAAAACTAACAGACATGCTTTTTCTGTTTGAGTTATTAATTAAAATGCTTTGCTAATCAGTGATAACTCCAGAGGCTGGTGAAAAATCTTGATATTGCTTCTTCTATGATCACATCTATTCATTAATCAACACACCGGGTGTAATATTTACTCAACTACAATATTCATTCATCTACCTGTATCCTCATCTAGCATTGATGTCTCAGAGAATACTAGATCAGATTATAAAATCATAGACCAAACTTGCCCAACCTGCAGCCTGTGGGACACACACAGCCCAGGATGGCTTTGAATGCAGCCCAAAACAAATACGTAAACTTTCTTAAAACACTATGAGATGTTCTTGCAATTAAAAAAAAATCTCATCCACTATCATTAGTGTTAGTGTATTTTATGTGTGGCCCAAGACAATTCTACTTCCAATGTGGCCCAGGGAAGCCAAAAGATTGGACGCCCCTGTAACTGTTACAGCCAGGAAAGACTTGAGAGATCTCTCAGTTTGCAGACAAGAAAGCTTAGGCTCACAGGAGGTAACTGAGTTGCCAAGGTCAGAGGAAGTCCCTGGTCTGGACAGGAATGGACTGACCCCATATCCCAGGGCATGTCCCACCAGACAACCCTGCTAGAAGTCTCTGCGCCTGTTATTTCCTCTGCAGTTTGGCTTGGAGAAGAAAGTCAATGAGTGTATTTTATCCCACGATTTACCCTTCCCTCCACTGATGCTTCTTTTAAATATTTCCCCCGGTAATCACCTTAGGATAAGAAACTTAGTTCATGGAATAAAGAACTCTTTTTTGATCTTGATAGAGATCTAATTTTTGCCATCAACTAGGAGAAAATAGTGTATCTGCTGCCCGTCTGTTTTCTTCTTTTTCTCACATGGCAATTCGTAGGAAGCAACTTTAGTGAAAACTATATTTGATTCTCAGTAGACAGGTTTGACTCAGAAACTGAGGACATTTTACTAAAAATTCCGAAGAACTTTCATGTGTATGGAGAGATAATAGCAAGTATGTGGTAATAGGTGCAAAGTAAATAACTAAGTCTGAAACGTGAATAGAAAGTAAATCATAAATGCAAACACTACATTGCAGTAATCTTTTTCTCTTTAGCCTTTTCTTACAAAATCTGTGGCTTCCGTACAGAGTTGTAAATCTTTGCTTTGGATGTTTTCTAAGAAACATCTGAGAAAGCAAGTGAAGTCAAAGAAAGTATTAAAAATGCAGAAAAAATCTATAATTAATGACATATTCCATATTCTCTAATCATCTATATTTTGTGATTTTTAAATATCTTCTTTATTGAAATATAATCCACATAGCATACAATTCACCAATTTAAAGTATACAGTGGAATGGTTTTTAGTATATTCATAGAGTTGTGTGACCATCACTACCATCAATTTTATGGTATTGTCATCAACCCAGTAAGAAACCCTATGCCCATTAGCATCACTTCCTGTTCCCCACAATTCCCCCAACCCTAGACAACCACTAATGTACTTTCTTTCTCTAGGAATTTGCCTATTCTGGACATTTCATATAAATAGAATCATACAACGTTCATCCTGGTTTCTTTCACTTAGCATGATGTTTTCTTTTTTTTCTTTTTCTTTTTTTTTTTTTTTTTGAGACGGAGTTTCACTCTTGTTGCTCAGGCTGGAGTGCAGTGGCACGATCTCGGCTCACCGCAACCTCCGCCTCCCAGGTTCAAGCAATTCTCCTACCTCATCCTCCCAAGTAGCTGGGATTACAGGCATGTGCCATCACACCCGGCTAATTTTTTATTTTTAGTAGAGATGGGGTTTCTCCATGTTGGCCAGGCTGGTCTTGAACTCCTGACCTCAGGTGATCCACCCACCTCGGCCTCCCAAAGTGCTGGGATTACAGGCGTGAGCCACAGTGCCCGGCTAGCATGATGTTTTTAAGAGTCGTCCATGTTGTGGCATGTATCAATACTTCATTTAGTTTTTGTTTATTTGTAGAGACAAGGTCTTGCTCTGCAACCTAGGCGGGAGTGTGGTGGCATGATCATTGCTCACTGCAGCCTTGAACTCCTGGGCTTAAGCAGTCCTCCAACCTCAGCCTCCCAAGTCACTAGGACTACAGGCGTGCACCACCATGCTTGGCTAATTTTTTACTTTTTGTAGAGATGGAGTCTTGCTATGTTGCTCAGGCTGGTCTTGAACTCCAGGCCTCGAGTGATCCTCCCACCTCAGTCTCCCAAAGTGCCAAGATTACAGGTGTGAGCCACAGTATCCAGCCTTTATTTTTTTTAATTGGCAAATAATATTCTATTGAGTGGATATAGTATATTTTATTTACGAATTCATCAGTTTGATGAACATTTGGGTTGTTTCCACTTTTAGGCTGTTAAGAATAATGCTGCTCTGCACTTCATAAACAAGTTTCTGGTGAATATATGTTTTCATTTTTTTGGGTATATACCTAGAAGTAGAATTGCTGTTCATATGGTAACTCTATGATTGATTGTTTGAGGAACTGCCAGAGTGTTTTCTAAAGTGACTATATCATTTTAAATTTCCACCATCAATTTCTCCAAATCCTTGCAAACACTTGTTATTACCTGTCTTTCTGATTATAGACATTCCCATGGGTATAAAGTGGTCTCTTGTGGTTTTGATTTGTATTTCCCTGATGGTTAATGATGCTGAGCATCTTTTCATGTGTTTATTAGATATCTGAATATCTTCTTTGGAGAAATGTCTTTTCAAATCCTTTGCCCATTTGAACATTGGAGTATTTGTCTTTTTATTATTGCATTGTAATTGTTCTCTATATAGATACTTCCCTTTTCAGATACAACATTACAAAACTTTCCTCCCATTCTCTGGGTAGTCTTTTCACTTTATAGATGGTGTCCTTTGAGCCACAACATTTTTAGTTTGATGATGTCCAAATTATTATTGTTTCTTTTGTTTTTCGTGCTTTTAGTGTCATATTTTAAAGAAATAATTGCCTAATTCAAGGTCATGAAAATTTACACCTATGTTTTCTTCTAAGCCTGTTATAGTTTTAGCTCTTACATCTAGGTCTTTGATCAATCTTGAGTTAATTTTTTAATATGATGTAAGGTAGAGTTCTCACTTTATTCTTCTTCACATAGATATCTAGTTGCCCTAGCACTGTTTGCTGATAAGACATTTCTTTCCCCATTGAATTGTCTTGGCATCCTTGTTGACAACCAATTTTCTAAAAATGTGAGAGTTTATTTCTGGACTCAATTCTATTCCATTTATTCCATATATAAACTACTCTCCGAAAATAAACTTTGCATGTGGGAAGCTGCAATGAATTCTTTCAGGCCATTAGTAAACTGTGTCTTCAAAGCACCATATCAAAAAGCTTGGAGATTTTTTTCCTTTGCCCATCTCCACAGTCTGTATAAGGTAAGGGGTTTAGCAATAGCAACAGGGAAGTATTAAAGGCAATAAGCTGGAGATTGCAGGCAGGAGTCAGAGCAGCCTTCATTTTACAAGAGTGGAAAAACCAAGTCATGAACTTTGTGACAGCTTGACTAAAATCCAGAGGGAAACTCCAAAGCAGCTCGAGTCTCGATGCACAAATTGCTTCCTGACGTGTCTTGCGACTGGCCTTGTTTCCAGAGGGCCAAAGTTCAATGATTAGGATTACTTCTGAGACACCTGGGGACAGAGGCATCCAGAACAAATGCTCTGGCAGTGAGGCAACCATCACACCGTGTGCCATCAAGTACAATTCTCTTGCCAGTTGCAGCTTGCAAGGGTGAAAGAGAGCGCTGCTGGGAACACCTGGTGCTTTTCTATTGCTTGCCAGGGAGCTTCCAGCCTCAATCCAGCTGGAAATAATGTGAATGTTCCTGAGAAGGTGCTGGGTGCAGTGCCTGCACAGGGACCATGAATCATCCTCCTTAGAGTGGCTGCTACAAAGTGACTGAATTTCATAAAGCTGTGACCCTATTATAGATCACACACACACATGACCAGAGCAGGCGGTCCAGGTGTGACAGCCAAGACTTATCTCCAGGTGGGCATTCCGCCTTATTTCAGCCCCTGGGTGTGAATGTCACTGTTTCTGGTGAAATCTCAGCTCTTCTTGCCTACTCAAGGATGGTACAGGCCACTTAACAACAGCAGCAGGCATTTGCAGAACAGTCGGATTCCCGAAACCCTGAGCTTTTTAATAAGATCTGAAAACTGACCTAGCATAGTGGAAAACAAAAACACTTAAGTGTACTCACAAATATCCACAAGGCATTCACACGTCTCACAGGGAAAAACACAGCGTGCATCACTTTGAAGAGATTCTCATTTAAGTAATGCCAGCTCAAATGTCCATCAGCTAAAATATTCCAGCAGATACAGGGAAAAACAAACAAACAAACAAACAAACAAACAGCAGCGCAGGTACCTTTGTCTAGCTGATGCAGCCAGGCAGAGTTTCTTTTCTTTGGAAAAACTTCAAAATATTTTATTGGGGATTGTACACTTAATCACTAAACAAAAACCAAAACAACACTCATCTGTGCTTAATAAATGTATTTCAAGAAATGGTATGTATTTAAAGAAATGTATTTCAAGAAATGAAAGCAAGTAGTGGCTTTCAATCCTTTTTGACCAAATATCTTGTGGTTGTACCTAGTAAACGGTTCCCCCATCACCGCCATCATTTTTAGTATAAAGCAGAATCACCAGTGTTTACCGGCCTTTTTTTTTTTTTTTGCTTAAACAACAGAACTTTAATTTCTCAGGCTGGAGGCTAGAAATCCAAGATGAAGGCATCAGTTGATTTGGTTTCTTCTGAGGCCTTTCTTCTGGGTTTGTAGGTGGCTGCCTTTTCTCTATGTCCTCACATGGCCTTTTCTGTGTGAGTGCCTATGTCTGGTGTCTCTGTGTATCCACATTTTCTTTTATATATATATTATATATTTTTTTATTTTAAATTTGTGGGTACATGTGCAGGATATGCAGGTTTGTTACATAGGTAAGTGTATGCCATGGTGGTTTGCTGTACAGATCAACCCCATCACCTAGATATTAAGCCCAGCATCTATTAGCTATTCTTCCTGACGCTCTCCCTCCCTGCACCCTCCCACCCCCTAACAGGCCCCAGTGTGTGTTGTTTCGCTGCCATGTGTCCATGTGTTCTCATCATTCAGCTCCCACTTATAAGTGAGAACATGCGGTGTTTGATTTTTGTTCCTGCATTAGTTTGCTGAGGATAATGGCTTCCAGCTCCATCATGTCTCTGCAAAGGACTTTATCTCATTCCTTTTTATGGCTGCATAGTATTCCACGGTGTATATATACCACATTTTCTTTATCCAGTCTATCATTGATGGGCATTTAGGTTGATTCCATGTCTTTGCTTTTGTGGATAGTGTTGCAATGAACATACACATGCATGTATCTTTATAACAGAATGGTTTACATTTCTTTGGGTATACACCCAGTAATGAGATTGTTGGGTCGAATGGTATTTCTGCTCCTAGGTCTTTGAGCAATCACCACACTGTCTTCCACAAAGGTTGAACTAATTCACACTCCCACCAAGAGTGTAAGAGTGTTCCTTTTTCTCCACAACATTGCCAGCATCTGTTGCTTTTTGACTTTTTAATAATAGCTATCCTGACTGGCATGAGATGGCATCTCAATGTGGTTTCGGTTTGCATTTTTCTAATGATCAGTGATGTTGAGCTTTTTTTTCATATGTTTGTTGGCTGCATATATATCTTTTTTAAAAAAAGTGTCTGTTCATGTCCTTTGCCCACTTTTTAATGGGGTTGTTTGTTTTTTTTGGTAAATTTGTTTAAGTTCCTTGTATTAATAGATGCTGGATATTAGACCTTTGTCAGATGGATAGATTGCAAACATTTTCTCCCATTCTGTAGGTTGTCTGTTCATTCTGATGACAGTTTTTTTTGTTGTTCAGAAGCTCTTTAGTTTGATTAGATTCCATTTGCCAATTTTTGCATTTGTTGCAATTGATTTTGGTGTTTTCGTCATGAAATCTTTGCCCATGCCTATGTTCTAAATGGTATTGCCTAGACTTTCTTCTAGGATTTTTATAGTTTTGGGTTTTACACTTAAGTCTTTAATCCATCTTGAGTTGATTTTTCTATAAGATGTAAGGAAGGACTCCAGTTTCAATTTTCTGCGTATGGCTAGCCTGTTCTCCCAGCACCATTTATTAAATAGGGAATCCTTTCCCCATTGTTTGTTTTTGTCAGGTTTGTTGAAGATCAGATGATTATAGGTGTGTGGTCTTAGTTCTGGCTTCTCTATTCTGTTCCATTGGTTTATGTGTCTGTTCTTGCACCAGTACCATGCTATTTTTGTTACTGTAGTTTTGTTTGAAGTTGGGTAGGGTGATGCCTCCAGCTTTGTTCTTTTTGCTTAGGATTGCCTCGGCTATTTGGGCTCTTTTTTGGTTCCACATGAATTTTAACATAGATTTTTCTAATTCTGTGAAGATTGTCGATGGCAGTTTAATGGAAATAGCATTGAATCTATAAATCCCTCTGAGCAGTATGGCCACTTCCATGATATTGATCCTTCCTATCCATGAGCATGGAATGTTCTTCCATTTTTTGGTGTCATCTCTGATTTCTCTGAGCAGTGGTTTGTAGTTCTCCTTGAAGAGGTCCTTCACTTCCCTTGTTAGCTGTATTCCTAGGTATTTTATTTTTTTGTGGCCATTGTGAATGGTAGTTCATTCATGATTTGGCTCTCAGCTTGCCTGTTGTTGATGTAAAGGAATGCTAATAATTTTTGTACATTGATTGTGTATCCTGAGACTTTGCTGAAGTTGCTTATCAGCTTAAGAAGTTTTTGGGCTGAGACAATGGAGTTTTCTAGATATGGGATCATGTCATCTGCAAACAAAGATATTTGACTTCCTCTTCCTGTTTGGATACCCTTTATTTCTTTCTCTTGCCTGATTGCCCTGACCAGAACTTCCAATACTGTGTTGAATAGGAGTGGTGAGAGAGGACATCCTTGTCTTGTGCTGGTTTTCAGGTGAATGCTTCCAGCTTTTCCCATTCAGTATGATATTGGCTGTGGGTTTGTCATATATGGTGCTTATTATTTTGAGTTATGTTCCTTCAATACCTAGTTTATTAAGAGTTTCTAACATGAAGCGATGTTGAATTTTATTGAAGGCCTTTTCTGCATCTATTGAGATAATCATGTGGTTTTTTTGTCTTTAGTTCTGTTTATGTGATGAATCACATTTATTGATTTGTATATGTTGAACCAACCTTGCATCCTGAGGATGAAGCCTACTGAATCATGGTGAATAAGCTTTTTGATGTGCTGCTGGATTTGGTTTGCCAGTATTTTGTTGAGGATTTTTGCATTGGTGTTTCATTAAGGATATTGGCATGAAGTTTTCTTTTTTTGTTGTATCTCTGCCAGGTTTTGGTATCAGGATGATGCTGGCCTCATAGAATTAGTTAGTGTTTACCAGCATTTTAAAGCCAAGGCAAAAAACCTTCTTCTTGTACCTCTTAAATTTTCTCTGATTTGTGCTGTTTCACACCCTCCTTATCCACTCCATCCCTAACCCTTGTGCTTGAATGTCACTGTTTACAAACAGACACACACAAAAATGTGGCATCCCTTTCAGAGGAAAAGCCGTGGGCTTTGGTTGATGGTTGGTCAAGCACAGGTCATACAGAAGCCATGTGGAAAGGCAAAATCTAATTGACTTTATTCCACAGAAGCATTTTGAGTGTATGCAGACACACACAGTCATGCACATAGACACACAGACACACACAGAGACACACAGAGACATACATAGAAACAGTCATACACATAGACACACAGACACACACAAACATACATAGACATAGACATACACATAGACCCAGACAGACACACACACACACACAAACATACATAGACACATATGCATAGACACACACATGGACACATACACAGACACACACTTGTATACACACAGATATACACATAGACATACACAGACACACACAGAGACACATGCCCACACACACACAGAGACACACACACGTGCACATCCTGGGGAGGAGAAGCAGTTGTAGGAATGCAGACAGAGTAGTCTGCCTGTCTGAATTACACTTTCCCCTATGCTAGCATGCCACATTTACAGTATCAGTGCTTCAGAGCACTTTAAACCTCCCGGGCTCTTCATTCCTTCCTACCTCAGAGGGCAGCCACAGTAATGATAGGATTTCCTTCCACTCCACCTTAGCAAGCTTCTCTGTCTTACCTGACTCAACCCACCCATCGCAGGCTTCCCTTTCTATCAGCCATGCTTTGTTTGGTCTGTTCCTCCTCGTCCCCCCCTCCCAGGGACTCCCAGTGCAGAGACAGTCAGATCCATTTTCTACCCCTTTGCCCTTTGAATTTAATTCTTTTGAGGAATCTATTTAGAACTATGATGAACGCTTAGTAAATAATAAGGCAAAGTGATGACTAATTGAGCTCCCAGGGAAATGCAGATGGGCTGCAATATTTTTATCTCAAAACTTCCACCATGTTTCCTAGGCCCTGCCCTTCTCAGACAATTTGCAGTAGACACATGGAAGAAGTTGCAGAAAACACTGCGGTCCTTAACAGGATGCTGTCTGTATTCTTGCACTATGCTGCTATGAGTTTTGTTCCTGCCACCAACGAGATGATAAATCCCCTGAATTCTCAAAACAGACCCCAAATGTCATCACCCACCAGTTCCCAACTGTTGTGGCTCTGTCGCAGCCATACATCTCTCTCGGGTCACGGCAGGATCCTACCTGCTTCCCTTATTTCCACTGCGGCCACACAGCCAGGGGCAACTTCCCCAAGCCCAACCCTTCACTGGTTTCTTATCACAGAAGTCAAAAGAAAGTCCTAAATCCTTACCAGGGCCTACAACGCCTCCCTGAGTTGGCTGTGGCTAGCTCTGTGCCCATTTCCCCTTATGCTCTCCCTTACCTGCCCTTTCCAGCCACACTGGCTTTTTTTGTGGTTCTCAGACACAAGCCTATTCCCAGCACAGGGGGCTGTGCACTTGCTGTTCTTTCTGTACAGGTGCTCTTCTCCCAAGATATCTGCAAGGTTTCCTCCTCCCTCACTTCAACCAAGGTTTCCTTTCAGCTAACAAATCCTCACGGAGGCCTTCCCTGACTCCCGCGTAAAGTCAAAACCCCATGATTCTCTGTCTCTCTATTTTCTCTTCTTTCCCGCCCCCATCTCACTTAACTAAATTAAGCACTGAGAAATGTATCTGTCTCAATGGAATGCAAGCCCATGAGGGCAACGACCTAGGCTGTCCTCTTCACCATGGATAGTATACCTAGACTACACTGGGAGCTGGCACACTGTAGGTGTGAATGAATAAACACATGTGAAATGGTTTCCATTTACTGCAGAATTTTGAGAGGAGAAAAGGTCACTGGTTAACAGGAGGGTTTCAGGGTCAGGTTGTTTTGATTTTGAATCTTGTTATTACTCATTAGCCACGTGACTTTAGCAAGCTTTTTAGCTTTCAGAGTCTTGGTTTCCTCATCTGCAAAATAGGACTAATATTATCTACATCACAGAAAGGGATGCAAAACACATATTATAATAGATAATACTTAGTACCTTTGCAATAAGTTGTAATATTTCCAATTATCAATGTAGGTCAACAGCAACCCGGCACCATAAAATGTTTTATATCTTAATGGAGATCTAGCATAATTCTGGTTTGTGCTTTTTACCCCTTAGAAAAAAATGTAACTGCTGACAGCAAGGTGAAGACTTAATCTTTAGAGCCTTGCTAAAAATACATTTTAAAATTCTTTAGAAGCAAGGCTTACCTCACTGGGCACTTAAGAAATGTTGATTATAGAGAATCATCGTGATCAGAAGACTGTTATGTTAGAACAACAAACATAACTAAGGATGAGAAAACGTTCTCTGCTATTCAGACACTAAGCTCTAGCATAATAAGCAGGCTGAGCATAACTTCATGTCAAGAGAGAACAAGGCTTTTCTTACATACTTTTTCAGGCTCTTCAGAGAGTAGTGCTTGGGGGAAATTCCATGAGAAACATGTGGAGCAGTCTCAAATCCCCCTATATATTTGGTTAAACTTAAAGCTGAGGTCAGAGTACACCTGCCCTTCTTGACATTTCAAGAAAAGTGGAATTCTAATTATCTTCTCTATTTGCTCCATGTACCTAGGAAAGGGAACTCTAGTTCAATAATAAATCATGCAAAATGGAGCACCTTTTTTTCAGTTATATTTGAAGGATCAGGTTATGTCTAAGTAGTCATCATATTATGTTAAAATACATGTATGTGTTTGCCTGTGTCTGCCAAATAAAGTCAATTAGATTTTACAGGTCTGTCACTCATACTATGGATATTTGAGAGCTACTGAATTTAGTTATTTTAAAGTCAATAAACTTTAAGGAGTTATGCTATGATATTAAGGTTAGATAAATGCTTGTTCTATTTAGGAGTTTTAAAGTGGGATAGAGTTTTTCAGTTTAAAAATAATCCCAATTACTGACATAGACATAGACACTCTAACAATGAAAATAAAACCCTAGATTTGGGGCTCTTTGTGGGCCCCATTTGAGCCTAATTTATACCTCTCTTGTACCCAGCCTATGACCTCAGACATAAGAGATGCTCATTGAATGCCTGTTTAAGGACTGGAGAATATACATTTTGATGTAAAATATTAAAAAAAGTATTCTATTGTTTCTGACACGTTTATCTCTGCATAATTATTCTTCTCCAGTTTTTTTAAATCTATGCTTCATCTTTTCTGATAGACTATTGTTATATATTTTGAGGTAATCAATCCTTTCAATCATTTCTTTATAAATTTTGATATTAGTGTCATATTATGGAATGACTTCCACACTCTAGTGATACGAATACACACTTTAAAAAATATTTTCTTCTGGTACTTTTAAGTGCTTTTAGATGTAAATCTTTAATTCAGCTGTAATTTAGTTTTGTGTATTCTATGAGGAAGGGACATACAGTCTCTTTCAATTTTTTAAGGAATAATGTCAACATGACTTACTAAACAATTTATTTATTCTCCATTGCTTTAAAGAGTAACACAAAGAACATTACATTCTCAAGAATGGAAAAGACAGAGAACTATAAATACCAGAACATTCTTAATATAGTCACTTAAATTTTTCTCTTCCTATGAGCAATTCACCTATCAATAATACAACCTTGCCAAACACTTTAGCGCCACACAACTTTCTTTTAGCTTGGGAATGCTGGACCTACAGAATAAGAAACAGCATTTTCCAACACTGAGTGTGGCTTGAAATAAACAAGCTATATCTCCTGTTATAAAAACCAAATAACATATGATGTTTCATTTCATTCCTGAGTTACTTCACTTAGAATAATAGTCTCCAAACTCAACCAGGTCACTGCGAATGCCATTAACTCACTCCTTTTCATGGCTGAGTAGTATTCCATCATCTATATATATTCATATATATTCATATATATATATATTACAGTTTCTTTTCCACTCGTTGATTGATGGGCATTTGGGCTGGCTCCATATTTCTGGAATTGTGAATTGTGTTGTTATAAACATCTGTGTGCAAGTATCTTTTTTGTATAACGACTTCTTTTCCTCTGGGTAGATGCCCAGTAGTGGGTTGCTGGATCAAATAGTAGATCTACTTTTAGTTCTTTAAGGAATCTCCACACTGTTTTCCATAGTTGTATGTTCTCACTCATAAGTGGGAACTAACTTATGAAGATGCAAAGGCATAAGAATGACACAATTGACTTTGGGGACTCAGGGTGGGTGGGAAGGGGGTGAGGGATAAAAGACTACAAATGGGGTGCAGTGTATACTGCTCAGGTGATGGGTGCACCAAAATTTCACAAATCACCACTAAAGAACTTACTCATGTAACCAAACACCACCTGTTCCCCAATAGCCTACAGACATAAAATTAAAAATATCAAAAAACAGAAAAAACAAGCAAATGAAAAATAAACATTACTTAAAAGGCAAAAAAAAAAAACAAACCCTAAGATGCCATGATTGATTTTAAGATACACCATTGTTTTACATACCACTAAGAAAAACAAAACATGGTTGCCAATTATATTTGTAAGAAACCATTGATTATAATACATATCCTGACTTTAAAGCTGATAAAATGTGAAAAGTATTACATCTTAGAGTCAATGAATTATGCTAAAAAAAAAGCCTAAAATATACATGAGTCCAAATAAATGTCATTAAGAGTCATTTGAGTCTAACTGTGATATAATAATACAGGTTCATAACTGTACTTTTTTTTTTTTTTTTTTGAGATGGAGTCCCACTCTGTCACCTAGGCTGCAGTGCAGTGGTGCGATCTCGGCTCACTGCAAGCTCCGCCTCCCGGGTTCACCCCATTCTCCTGCCTCAGCCTCCTGAGTAGCTGGGACTACAAGCGCCCGCCACCATGCCCGGCTCATTCTTTTGTATTTTTAGTAGAGATGGGGTTTCACCGTGTTAGCCAGGATGGTCTCGATCTCCTGACCTTGTGTTCCACCCGCCTTAGCCTGTACTATTATGTAAAATTTCAGTGTATTTGAAGCATTCTTTGGCAAATAAGCTGAATTTAACTTTCAATACAATGGAAAAAGTGTGATTATATAATAGCTTGCCTTTCACCTCGCTTCTGGTGGTTTGCTGGCAATAGCTTAAAATGACTATACATTGGTTCCTTAAAATTGTATTTTATTTAGAGTTCTGTTGAGTTACTTTTTTAACGAGAAAAATATTTAAATATTTAAAAACCCTGGGGGTAGGCAGATGCTTCTTCTTTGATCTGAAATCACCCTGCTTCTAATCTTTTTTGATATCCAGTAAGCAACATCACATGAGGTGCAAAGAGGGGCTTGTACAAAGGAGAAAAAAGTTAGATTACTTCTTTCTAGTGTTTTATTTAATATCAATGTCTCATGGAAACAGGACACTAAATTGCTGCTTATAAACTAAATGTGCATTTCACATAAAACATTTTAACAATCTAAAGAGCTAGATTAAAAGATACCTAGAGGTTTGATCTTAAATGGTAAGCAAAAGCAGAAATTAAACATAATTATCTAGATCTGAACATTTATGAGCTGTATACTTAGTTATTATTTTGTTTTACTTCTGTTCACTTCTAGTAATAGCCCTCCTTTGAGGAACTAAATTTCAAAGTTCACTGAAGGTACATTTTCCTTCCTCAATGCCCATGACTTATATATAGATGAAACAATGCATTATAAACAACTGATGGTTAAAACATTGTTATAACCAGTGACTTGACTTCACAAAGGAATGTTACTAAAATTTACTGAATTCCAAACTGAATTAAATGCAAATATTAATTACTTTTGGACTATAAACTAACCAATTTTCAGAAGTAACTTGTGCATAGTATGACCCCATCTGTGGATTTTTAAGAAAATATTTCTAAATCGAACCACTAAAAATTCTCCAACTAGAAGGGACGTTAAATTTGGTTTGAGACGATGTCTATATCAAAACACTTCTGAAGCCAATCAAGTAGTCAGGGGATAGATTATTTATGAAATATTTTTTGCAAAAAAAAGACCCATTTAAACAATAATTTGGATAAATAGCCTCACCAATGATGTCTCTGTAAAATAATGATGTACTCAATTCATTATTATATATGCACTATAAAATCTTTTTAGTATAGTTAATTCCAAAATAATTTACAATGAAACTACCTGAAATATAATTTAAATACAGTCTTTTGCTTTGTATTTTCATGAGCTATCTTAGTACTCATGAACAACTTCCAAGCAAATTAATAGGGAATAGCCAAACTATTAGTATGCTAGGGTTACTGTAACAAAGTACCATAAACTGGGTGGCTTAAAGAACATAAATGTATTGTCTCACAGTGCCATAGACTAGAAGTCCCAAGACAAGAGCATTGGTGGAATGGGCTGTGAGGGAGAATCTGTTCCATGTCCCTCTCCTAGTTTCTGATGGTTTGCTGGCAAACTTTGACATTCCTAGGTTTGTAGAAGCATCACCCAATCTCTGTCTTCATCTTCACATAGTGTTCTCCCTGTGTGGGTATCTCTGTGTCCAAATTCCCTCTTTTTATAAGAACACCAGTCATACTGGATTAGAGCCTACCCTAATGACCTCATCCAAACTAAACCAATTACATCTGCAACAACCCTATTCCAAATAAGGTCATGTTCTGAGGTACTACGGGTTAGGACTTCAACATGCAAGGCTGTAGGGACACGGCTCAATCCATAACACAATCAAACAAGCCATGCCCAAACCACTACATCTGACTGCAGTTCTTCTAAGAGCTCTGAAGATAAGAAGGTGCAAATCTTTGACACAATGAGGTGTTTATTTGTGAATTTTGCTTACTTATATTACCATAGTTGTTCATTGTTCTGGTCAACAGATCACATTTTTTAGGTTCGCGAAGTGCTTCCAAAGCAAGCCTGCTTGCGATGCAGACAATAAATAATTTCTCCCTAATAACAATGTGGTACAGAAGCTGGATCTTCAAAAACTGTAGGACATTCCAAGACCAAGAGGAAATTACAAATAATAATAATAGGACATTGATTAAATTCCTATGCATTTTACAACAGTGTCAGTATAAGGCCAGTGTATCCTGACCTCATCTAGGGTTTGGGACTATAGTATGTGGAATGGAAAGGACATTCTGAATCAAGGATCTGGTATTATTAAAGAGGCGCTACAGTGTACTTAACTGCAGAGGAGCTATATATAATTCACCTCTATGTAGCTGTTGGCCATGCATGAGTGGGACAAACACGATTACCTAGTTAGATGCATAAATATCTAGGCATTCTTTAGTGTCACAAGAGAAAAAATGTATATAGAACTCCATTTCATCTCAGCTGCTTGTATTTGCTTCTTGTGGCTGTCATGACAAATTACCACAAGCTTGGTGACTTAAAACAACAGAAATTTGGCTGGGTGCGGTGGCTCATACCTGTAATCCCAGCACTTTCGGAGGCTGAGGCCAGTGGATCACCTGAGGTTGGGAGTTCAAGACCAGCCTGACCAACATGGAGAAACCCCGTCTCTATTCAAAATACAAAATTAGCTGGGCAGGGTGGTGCATGCCTGTAATCCCAGCTACTCAGGAGGCTGAGGCAGGAGAATCGCTTGAACCTGGGAGGCGGAGGTTGTGGTTAGCCGAGATCATGCCATTGTACTCCAGCCTGGGTAACAAGAGCGAAACTCTGTCTCAAAAACAACAACAACAAACACACAAACAAACAAACAAATCAACAACAGAAATGTATTATTTCACAGATCTGAAGGTAAGAAGTCAGGAATTGGCAGGGCAGTGCTCGTTCTCAAGGCACTGGAGGAGAATCCTTCCTTTCCTCCTCCAGCTTCTGGAAGCTCCAGGCATTCCTTGACTTATGGCTATACCATTCCAATCTCTGCCTCCATCTTCACATGCTGCTATGGTTTGAATGTTTGTCCTCTAAAAACTTCATGTTGAAACTTCATTGCCATTATCACAGTATTAAGAGGTGGGACCTTTAAATCATGATTAAGCCATGAGGTCTCCACTGCAAAGGGTGGGATTAATGTTGCGATAAAATGGCAAGTTTGAACCCCCTCTTGCTCTCTCTTTGCCCTTCTGCCATGTGACACCTGCCTCCCTGAGTCATGAAGAATGCCCTCAGCAGATGCCAGCACCTTGATCGTGGACCACCAACCTCCAGAACTATGAGAAATACATTCTCATTCATTATAAATTACCCTGTCTCAGATATTCTGTTACAGAAGCATAAAACAGACTAAGACACATGCCTTCTCTTCTGTGTGTCTATTTTCTCCTCTTCTGTCTCTCATAAGGAAACTTACTGGATTTAGGGCCCACCTGGGTCATCCAGGAGTATCTCATCTTAAGATCCTTAACTTAATTACACCTGTAAAGGTCTTTTTTTCAAATAAAGTCACGTTCACAGGTTCTGGAAGTTAGGACATAGACATATCTTTTGAGGAGCCACTATGCAGTCCACTACACAATTGCTTGAGAATGTCCCTTGTATTTGAAAAAATACTTTTAGCATTTTTCAGATTAAGTAGTAGTTTATTAATGTATTAATAGCACTAAATTAGTTGACAGAAAACAGAAAGGGAAAATGTTTGTTCTGAGGCTCAATCAAGAGGAATACAAAACCCATTGACCTTTTGTAGGCATTGACTGGTTCTGTGAGGTCTGCTTCACCTTCCAGCCTCGTCTCCTGGCTCACTTCTCCTCCATCTCTGCACTTCCATAAACGCATCTAGCTAGATAGCAAGTTGCTCTCCTTATGTCTCTCTGTAAGTCTTTTGTTTGAGAACGTTATTCTATTCTATTTGACTGAGTGACCTGGTTAACTTTGCTCATCTATCCATCTTTTGTGTCTTCTTCTGGAATACCTTCTGGAGGAACTGACTGAGGCTGTTTTACAGTGACCTTTTAAAAAACAGTAAGTAGAAGCAGTACACTCTAAAATGGTGATTAAAAGTATAGTAAATCCACAAACCGGTAACATAGACATTTGTTGTCATTATCAAGCATTATGCACTGTACATAATTATATGTGCTACACTTATATACAACTGGCAGTGCAGTAGGTTTGTTTACACCAGCATCAGCACAAACTTGTGAGTAAAGCATTTGCACTATGACAGCACAACAACTGTGACATCACTAGGTTATAGGAATTCTTCAACTCTATTACAGTTACACAGAATTACCATCATATATGTGGCCCACTGTTGGCAGAAACATCATTATGTAGCACATGACTCTATTAATAACAAGTTGTTATTCCTTGCTTCCTCCAGCTTCTGGAGGCTAGGAACCAGAACACATTATCTTTAGAGTAGTTATGTTGACTTCTAATTTCATTGCACTACAGTGAGAAAATGTAATGCAAATCAAATCACCCTTCAGTGGTTCTTAAAACTTCTTTTGTGACTGTGTAAATAGTCAATATTTGTGTATGTTTCATATTTGCCTAAGAGGAATGAATATCTACTTGTTGTGTGCAGAGTTCTTGATCAATTACATCAAGCTTGTCAACTGTCTTGCTCAAACCATCGCTATCCTTACTCATGATGGGGTATGCTAATCCATCATCAAAGGGAGAGTTAGTAATCCCTCCCGCTATAATCAGGCTTTCTCACTCCCAAACCTAAAGACTTTTCCCCAGCACAATTAATTCTTTTTGAATGGGCCAAATGTCATCTAGATGCCAAAAGTAAAAATAGGTGATCTACATAAGCAGAAAACAAAAGTGTGAATTAAAAATAAGAATTATTTTGCTTGTGTCACTTATAAAATGGCTCTGAATATGCTTTCACTTAGTAATTTTTGAAATGTTTTGAGCAATGATAGCCTTGATGGCATAAACACTAACTCCCAACGTGATTTAAAGATTAAATCACTATATAAAGTTCTGTTACATTTGTTTTACAACATTACATTGCTATAGGTATATCTTACCATTAATTTGTTTTGGAAAGACAGACTGTACTTCAGGTACTTTGCAGCAATTGTCATTTTATGAAGCATGTCATTGGTGGCTCATGAAAGCAGAAAGATGTAATGATTCAAAAATAATTCAGAAGAATATTGGACACTGTTAAAAAATTATGCATAAGTATGTAGATTCATCTGACTTTATCAGCCCTTGGCTGAGGCTTTTGATGCTACACTGAATAATTTTATTGCCTGACAACTGGGCAAAGAGAAAATGATCATTAAGGAGATAATGTCATTCATAGTTTTGGGGAAGCTACGAACACTCTAAATTACAATTTTTAGACAGAATAAATTTTGTAAACTACTGATTATTAAGGACAAATATGCAATTGGGCAGGAAAATTGACAGAGTAGAACAAAGGAATTTATCTATATTGCTAGAAAGAGCAATGGACAAGACACATGTACTTCCCTATATGCAAGAAGCATTGTCTGTGGATTTACTATTCTTAAAATATTTGAAGGAAAAGTATGATGAATCTGCCTGCTAACATTCATCTTCTAACTTCACTGCCCTTTTTTAAAAGTATGTATTTAGCATTTTTTCTTAAGCAAATATACATTTGGGGTGTTTAATGCTTAATATAAAATGAAAAATTAGCTCAAAACTTGGATAGCTGGGTGTGTGTGTGTGTGTGTGTGTGTATGTGTGTGTGTGTAATACTTTTTTTTTTTTTTGAGACAAGGTCTTGCTCTGTGGCCCAGGCTGGAGTGCAGTGGTATGATCATAGTCACTGCAGCCTTGAACTCCTGGGCTCAAGCAATCCTCCCATCTCAGCCTCCTGAGTAGCTGGGACTATGGGCATGCACCACCATGCCCAGCTAATCTTTTAATTATTATTTTTGTATAGACGGGGTCTTGCTATGTTGCCCAGGCTGGTTTCAAACTCCTGGCCTAAAGTGATCCTCCCACCTTGGCTTCCCAAAGTGCTGGGATGATAGGCATGAGCCACTGCACCTGGCATTCCTCTGCTTCTTTTTAAGCCATAGCGATCACTGAATTTGTAACTGCCAATCAAGCTCTCAGCAATACTATAACTTAAGTCTCTATTTGCTACAAGGAAGACCTTAGTATTTGTGGTTTCTGTCTATATTTACTGAAATAATTCATCAACTACACACTAAAAATATTATTGTAACCTTGCTCTGGAATCATTAGATTGTTTTTACCAGAAATGCTATTGCTTTTGTTTGAAATTGACATGAAAGCTTTGTGGTGGACTGACACTTAGATGATCCCCCCATGATCACTGCCTCCTGGTGTTCAAGCCTTTGTGTAATCCTCTCCCTTTAAGTATGGGTGGGACCTGTGTCTTGTTTCTAACAACTAGAACATAGCAAAGGTGACGGGATGTCACTCCCATGACTATGTTATCACGTTTGCCAAAGGCGAAGGGATGTTTCTCCTGTGATTGTATTATGTTATAAAAGACTCCCATTGCTACAGCAGATTTGCATTAGAGCCTTGCTCTCCTTGCTGGCTTTGAAGAAGCAAGCTGCCATGAGTGCTGCAGCTGCAAAGAACTGACTCTGCTAACATGGGACCAGTCCCTTTTCCCCAGTCAAGCCTCCACATGAGGACTGTGTCCTGCCCAACACCTAAAGTGTAGCCTTGCAGAAGACCCAGCTAAGTTGTGCCTGAACTCCTGACCCATACAAGCTGTGACATAGTTAATATGTGTTGTGTTAAGCTGCTAAATTTGTGATAATTTGTTATGCAACATAGAAAATGAATATACTTCAATTTCGCAAAGTCTTACTGAGAACATATTGAGGACTAGGAATAGATAAGCTACCAGTCCAAGAAAAACTAAATATCATTGTTACGTTTCCTGTGCTCTTTACTTTCCTTCATCCTTTTTTCCTTCCTTCCTTCCTTCCTTTTCTTCCTTTCTTTTTTTTTTCAAACAACAAAAGAATGGTTAACTTAGAAAAACAAAAGAATGGTTAACTTAGAAAAAAAATTATTTGGAAGGATATTGAGTGGCTCATGGAATTGAGGTTAGAGCAAAAACAAGGGAGCAAGGCACAGCAAGGATCCCTCAGAAGAACCACATGCTTAGCACACCACCATTTGCACCACCCCCGGTTAGTCACGCTGCCAAACTATGCAACCCCTGGACACTCCATCCCTACCACTGAAGGCCACCATGGCAAATCTCTTCAGGCCTGTACCTTTATGGCAACCCTCGTGTTGAGAATCTGGATTGAGAGCATCTAATGGTGACACCTAGGGCCATGTGGCCATGTGCCCAAGGGCTGATGGCCAGGAGATGGCAGAGGGAAGATCTATTCCACTTTCAGCTAGAATTATATTCATCTACATGAGAAAGGTACTAAGATATGAGACAACCAAAAGGACTCGACATTTATGCTTTAATGAATGACTTTGAAGCCATTCATCTTGTTTGGTGAGTTGGGTATGTATCATAGCCCAACAGAAATAAGAAGCAAACTTCATAATGAAAACAATAATATACAAATGACCTGAAAATTCATTGTTCATGGCAAAATCTATCCTGTTAAATATATGCTACCCAAGATGAGCTAATGCATGGGCAATGTTTAAAGGCATGAAAATAATTAAGAAAGCATGGAATTTCTGTGAAAGTAATAATTTATCTTCTATTTTAAATTTGTGAATCAAATAGTTTAATAACATTTTTCTTGGAATCCAACTGCCTATAGACTGCCTGATAGACTGCAGACAACCTTAAGTGATTTATTGGCTACTCTTTGAAAAACACTGATATAAAGCATTCAGAAATAGGTCTCAACGTGTATGGAAAATAATATGTAACAAAGGTGATACTTCAAATGAATCAGAAAATTAATGAATGATGTGTAGAAGCGCATTGGCAAAGAAAATAAATGGGGATCCCAACCTCACCCCTTATGTAAAAATACATTTCATATATAATAAAATATATATAACCTTTCATGCATATAACAAAAAGAAACCATAAAGGCAGCAGAGGAAAGCATGGTTTAATTTTTTTTTTTTTTTCTGAGACAGGTCTGACTCTGTCACCCAGGCTGGAGTGCAGTGGCACAATCTCAGCTCACTGCAACCTCTGCCTCTTGGGTTCAAAGATTCTCCTGCCTCAGCCTCCTGACTAGCTGGGACTACAGGTGTGTACCACCATGCCTGGCTAATTTTTTAGTTTTTTACTTTTAGTAGAGACAAGGTTTTGCCATGTTGGCCAGGCTGGCCTCGAACTCCTGGCCTCAAGTGATCTGCCCACCTCGGCCTCTCAAAGTGCTGGAATTACAGGCATGAGCCACCACACCTGGTCCAGTTTTGAAAAAATAAATTAGGAAGGGGAGAGCTTTTCTAAATGGGATACAAAATCTAGAAGCCTTAAATAAAAAGCTTATAAAGATGAAAAGCTTTCTTATTTACATACAAATAAAAAAGGCCTGCATTTGTGTCATTCATGATAAAGGCATAATATCCCTAATATAAAGAGCCATTATAAATCAACAAGACGACCTTAAAGTAAAATGGGGAAAAGCTAAGAATGAAGAGTTGGTCACAGAAAAGAAGTACATACGACTGGCACTAGACAAAACAAATTAAAACAATAATTAGAAATGATTTTTCACCTATTGGGTTGCCAAAGATTTATAGGCCTGCTAATATTAATTGTTGCTGAGGTTGGTGGGAAACAGAGGCACTCTCATACACTGACTGTGGGAGTATAAATAGTTAGAAACATTTAGAAGGAAAACTCGGCAGTATCTATCAAGATTTTAAAGCTACGTACTTTTGATCCCACAATTCCAACTTTGAAGAGTTTGTCCTACATTTATTTAAGTAACTGAAGATTTCTGAAATGTGTGCTTTATGTGGCATTTTTGTAACAGAAAACACACACACACACACACACACACACACACACACATCCTAAATGCTCCGTCAATATGAACTAGTTAAATGCATTTGAGTACATGCAAATAATGGAATAGTATTTAAAATATCCATGTATATCAATATGGATAGATATCCAATGGATACTGTTAAGTGAAAAATTATTGTGATGTAACAATATGTATAATCTAATTTGGGTTTTAAAAAGAAAAGATATACTAATGGAGATAAAGTAACACATGCCATCTGCAGAGAACAAGAATGTGGAGAGGATAAATGTCATGCTTTTGAATATATTTGTGCACCATCTTAATGATAATAGTGACCCTAAGAAAGTTCATTTTTCTTAGAGTAGATACATGTTCTGTGCGTAGAAATTACTTCAGTTCCTCAGGCTATCTAAATTAGTCTTTCCTTTCTAAAAAAAAAATGAGAAAATGATTTAAAATATTGGTGCTGATTTTTAAATTTGTGACGCCCCACTAATTTGTGGCTATGAGATCCCATGAAGGCAAGGCCAGGTTTTATATTTGCTGTGGTATTTGTTTCATTTGCTAGCCATAGACGGTGAGCAAATATTTGTGGTATGCAAATTACCCAAGATCTGCCTGAAGCTATCTGCATATGCCCAACTACAAAGTCATCAGCCTGACACCTTATAACACAGATACTATTGTCTTTTATCATCTTGGCATGAATCCAAGCCTCATTCTCCAATGGAATAAACCAGAGATAAATCATCTAACTGGCTCATCCTCACTATCAGACTCCTTTGTTGTAAACACTTATGGTACAATGAACACAAACTGATCAGTAGCACAAGGCACAGCTGGCACCAAGACCTCTGTTTAAAATCAGATGACCTCTTCTTCAATAACCTCTGAGGATATAAATACCATCTTCAAATATATACAATGGCACATATCAAAATTTTTAAAATTAAGTTTCATTTTTAGCAAAACTGCTCTCTTATTAAATGAAAAGGACTAAGTGTTCCTATTCTGGCAAGATCAGGCAGCAGGAAAACATATTGTTTAATTATAGCCTTTGAAAGGAACGGTACATTCTTAAGATGTAACTTTCCAGAAGAGAACTTAGAACATATATTAGGACCTTCTCCCAAAGAGGTTGCAATTCCATAATTATATTTTTATTGTTGGATTAGCTGCAAAAGGAAAAAGAAATCTTGTTCTGAAAGTTATCACACTGCAAAAGGCCAACATGGGACTCAGAGCTTAACATTTTCTAGGCCATTTTCTACATGAGATTATTTTACTTCCCTGTTGGAAGACCTGCCGTAGTACAGTAAAAATGATGTCAGTAGGCATACCTGCACTGACTAGTATTTTGTAAAAGTAGGATAAAATATAATTATCATAGTCATTTTATGATACTGCCTTGTTAAGTAAAATATTGGCTTCTAAACGAGGACCGTTTTTACTTTCATCTTAAATCTATAGTTCATCTTACAAAGTTCATCTTCAAAAGGTAACTGGACATCTAAATGCGAAAAAATGAATCTAGACAGAGACCTTTATAAAATATCAAAATCGATTATGGATCTAAATATAAAGTACAAAACTACAGAATTCCCAGAAGATAACGTAGGAGAAAATCTAGGTGACCTTCAGTATGGCAATGACTTTTTAGATACTACACCAAAGGCATGATCCATGAAATAAATAATTAATATGCTTGACTTCATTAAAATTAACAACTTCTACTCTCTGAAAGACAATGTCAAGATAATGAGAAGACAAGCCACAGACTGGGAAAAACTACTTGCAGAAGACATATCTGATAAATGATGGTTACCCAAAATATAAACTCTTCAAGCACAACAATAAGGGAATGAAGAATCCAATTTAAAAATGGACAAAAGACCTGAACAGAAGGTCTCTCTAAAGAGGTCCTCACTAAAAAGGAAGACCTCACCAAAGAAGATATACAGGTGGAAAAGGCAAGTGAGCATATGAAAAGATGTTCAGCATCATATGCCGATAGGGAATTGCAAATTGAAGCAACAAGATGCCACTACTCATCTTTGAGAATGGTCAAAATCCAGAACATTGACAACACCAAATCCTGGTAGAGACGTGGAGCAACAGGAACTCTCATTCTTTGCTGATGGGAATGCAAAATGGTACAGCCACTTTGGAAGACAGTTTAGCAGTTTCTTATAAAACTAAATATACTCTCACCCTATGATTCAGCAATTGCACGCCTTGGTATTTAACCAAATCGGCTGAAAGATTATGTCAGCAAAAAGCCCTGCACACAGATGTTTATAGCAGCTTCATTCATAATTGACAAAACTTGAAAGTAACCAAGATGTCCTTCAGTGGGTGAATGGATAAATAAAATGTGGTATGTCCAGACAGTGGAATATTATTCTGTGCTAAAAAGAAATGAGCTATCAAGACGTGAAAAGACATGGAGGAACCTTAAGTGCATACTACTAAGTGAAAGGAGCCAATCTGAAAAGGTTATATACCATATGATTCCAACTATATGATGTTCTGAAAAAGGCAAAACTATGGAGACAGTAAAAAGGTCAGTGGTTGCCAGGATTTAGGGGGGAAAAGGGATGAATAGGTGGGGCACAGAGGATTTTTTAGATCAGAAAAACTACTGTATATAACTACTGCTGTATATAACACTGTATCAGTGAATGTATGTCATTATACGTTGTCAAAATCCATAAAATGTACAACACCAAGAGTGAACCCTAATGTTGGGCTTTAGGTGATAATGATGAGTCAATGTAGTTTCATTGATTCTAACAAATCATCCACCATTCTAGTGGTGGATGTCCATAGTCGGGGGGAGACATCCCCTGACACCTGTGAGAATTCATTGTACTTTGCTCTTTATGTTGCTGTAAACCTAAAACTCCTCTAAAAAACAAAGTTCATTAACTTTTAAAAAGTCAAACACATTTATTTGCCTTTATTTGCAAATTCTAGCCTATTTTAATAAATTGGTGGCGGGGGTATCTAAATAGTTTCTTTAAAATAACATACATACTTAGGTAAAATACAAGATAGAATATTAAAAATATTCTTATTCTTCCCCAAATAGAAGCAGTCTAAAGAACAATATCATGTGGACCTCAAAGCAGCAGCCTTCCCTAGGTGAGTTTGAGGCAGTGCTCGAGATAGGGAAAACAAAAAAGGCAGCTTGAGGCTCTCCTTGTAGTTGATGTACTCCTGCTTCTCTACTTCTGGAACAATGCAAATTGACCATCTGCTTAGAGTCAGGGCCAGGGAGGGGCAGGGGGCCAGGTTGGGAGGTGAACCATCTTTGTTCTTTTCCCTGTTCCAAGGGCTGATCCATAACAGTGCATTTCTGGCTTAGCCCCATCACTACTTACTTTCATGTATTAGTTTCAATTTTCCAGCATAAATGGCATGGTACTATAACAGATATAGTCATAGCCCTAGAAATGGAACAAATTTGATCAAAAAAGGGACTGCCAAATAAAGACAGAATCTTAGGGTTTCCATCATTTTTGTCTCTTTCTACTCTGCTTGTCTCTTAATGATGTTTTCTAGAGTGTGTCCACTTTACGAGAAGCTCAACATTTCTAAAATTGTCTCACTCCTAGAATGTGCACAGGGTTCCCAGGACCAGACTGCAGACTGAACTTTGTCAATGAGACCTCGTTTGTGGGGTTTGAAAATGAAGCTGGACATTATCGGTTAAGAATTCAGCTGAATTTATGGCCTTGTCTTTTCCCTATTAGTGTGAGAAAGTCTTCCATTCAATTTAATACAAAGTAACTGGGTGTACCATAGGCACGGAAGCACACAAGCTCTGCAGATGGAGCCAGGAAGCAGGCTAAAAAAAGCTTGCCTGGCCAGGCTCAGTGGCTCAGGCGTCTAATCCCAACACTTTAGGAGGCCGAGGAAGGAGGATTGTCTGAGGCCATGAGTTTAAGACCAGACTGGGCAGCACAGTGAGACCCTATCTCTAAAAAAAATTTTTTTTAAATTAGCCAGGGGTGGTGGTCTGCACCTGTGGTCCTAGCTACTAGGGAGGCTGAGGCAGGAGGATCGCTTGAGCCCAGGAGGTTGAGGCTGCAGTGAGCTATGATTATACCACTGCACTCCAGCCTGGGCAACAGAGTGAGACCCTGTCTCTAAAAAACAAATGAATAAATAAAAATAAAAAAGAATGCTTTCTACTAGAAGGTTAAATCTTCTTGAAATGATGTAACATATGGCATGTTAGATACTACATAAAACTCCTCTTATAAAATGCTGCTGTGGGCATTCAGTGTTTGTGTTAAGTATTTAATTCCTTGCTTTGTACCTTCCAACAAGGAAGGCTGGTATTGAAGAAGGGAGAGAAGAAAGGATTTGTGGCATAACTTGTTGCTACAGTTTGTGTCACTTCGAGCAGCCATTAAATACATGACTTGCATGAAGCACTGGTTATTAAGAAGACCTAGGAATGACTTTTTGTGAGAAAGACTTGGAGTTCAAGAGTTCTCTCCAATGTGAACCATCTCAGTTCTTTCCCTGCTCCAAAGGCTGATCCATACCAGTGTATTTCTGGCTTAGTTCCATCACTACTTATTTTCACTTATTAGTTTCAATTTTCCAGTATAAATGGCATTGTACCATAACATGTGAATTACGTATGATGTAGACCTGCTCTGTTCAGTTTCAATTAAACAAAGGAATTTACTTTGCCTTGCCAAGCGTGTTGGATGAGTGAATTCATTACCATGATTTTTATTCATTTTATAAATAATGTGTCAGGAATGGGGCTTTGAAAGGTTAACTCATTTAATCCTGCAACGACCCTATGAAGGATTAATGATAGTTGTTTACTGAGTCAATAACAGTTATCACAACACTTTTAATTTGTTTTTGAGCTATAATTAAGGCATGGAGGTTTCAGATTAATAATACAATTTGGATAAAACTGGTAGGTAGTTATAGAGATTCTACAATTGTATTTAATTTAAACATGTCATCAAGTCAAACATTTGGTATATTAACATTATTTCTTAAATTTCCTCTAAAGGTAGCCAGAAGGAATATGCCTTACTATAGCTTTCTAGACATACTTTGTTTCCTCAATGTTTGCATTCATACAAAACAAGAAAATATTTTAAATGATAGTAAATAAAGTCTTTTAATTTTTTGATCTTCATTCAAATAATATTTATAAACATTTATCTTAATATTATGAATTATAATTATGAAATATAATGACTTATAATATTAAGAATGACTCAAATCCCACTATTAAAGTTATTTTGGTCATGTATCCAAGATTTTCATCTTCTTCTTGTCACAGAGATTACCTTAATAGAACTGTGAACCACAAGAAGATGAAAACAGAAGAGCTGTAATACTGTTGATTGCTTTTCAGAGGGCAGCTTGGATCACATCATCTGCTCACTCACGAAGGCTATGATGCCACATGTTGCAGATGGCACATTTTACAGGTTGTTCCCAGCAATGAATAACACACGACACAGAACACTCCAAACGAAGCTGAGCAGCACCCTGACCGCTCCTTTCATTTGAATTTCATTATCTCAGGGCTTGACATTCTCATCATGGAAGAGCGCACTGCTCTGTTTTGGGCTCCCTCTCAATACGCATCTCCTTGGAATTTTTTCCTCCTCTTGGCAGCACACTCAACATGTAAACAACTCCACAGTACTTATGTACCGTGACACAATATTTCAAGCTAAGGGCCACCTACACGGTGGAGCATACTCATACTCCATAAAGTGGCTAGTAAAATCTTCAACCTACTCACACCCACAGTTCTCACTAATTTGTATGAGCTTCCATCGCAATACTCAAGGACATTTTGTAGAGGTACCATTAGGATGCCAAACTGTATTTCTCCATCACCGTGAGGTACTGGTTAGTTTGGAATAAAGCCCAAATTACCTAATTTAATATTTAGCTAATTCCTTGTCCAATGTGGAGCTTGATAATAATTCAAATGCTGAAACTTCACGTGGTTTTAAAAATACCACTGAAAGGAAAAATTTAGACTGAGTGCCAAAAATATGTTCTGCTCTTTCTCAGATGGTAAAATTCTGTCCCCCTCAGCAGACGTGGTTAGATGTCTATCTCTTTCCCCCTCCAGAAGATGCTTAGGGAGAGGGCATATGACCAATATGATTTTCATATAATAGATCTGTATTTGTATTTGGAGTTACAGAATCTTATTATTTCTATGGACATCTTTAAGAAAACTATAAAATGATACCCTCCCTCATTTCAGGATATAACTCACCACCATTATCTTCTGTACTTACTGAACATGTGACTTGAACTCTATTAGGTACTGGAGATCAAGAGTTGAATAAGGCCATCTCTGCCCTCAAGGATTTGCAGTATATATATATATATATATATATATATATATATATATATATATATATATATATATCTCCTGCATTTAAACATTCATCTTCTTTCCCATTGGCCAGAAAGTAAACTGAATAATGAAAATATTAGCCTAGTGAGGATTGTGACCAGCACTGCTAAAGAAATCAGACTTTGCTCAAGTGAGAAAGACCATGGGTAGGGTAAACAATGATCTCCCTCTTCCCCCACCTTCAGCCCCTCCCTGCCCTGAGATATCTACCTCCTAATCCCTAGAGCCTATAAATGGTACCTTATATGGCAAAAGGAACTTTGCAGACATGATTAAATTAAGGATTCTGAGATGAGGCTATTACCCTGGATTATCTGGATGGGCCTAATGTAATCACAAGGGTCCTTATAAGAGGGAGGCGAAGGGCCAGAGTCAGAGGGAGAAGGTGCAAAGACAGGAGCAGAGGTCTGAGATGAGAAGATGCTACTCTGATGGCTTAGAACCTAGGAGAAGGGACCACAGGCTAGGGAATGCCAGCAGCCTCTAACAAGTCGGTAAAGGCAAGGAAACAGATTCTCCCCCAGTGCCTCCAGAAGGAATGCAGCCCTGCTGACACTAGACTGCTAGACTTCTGACTTCCAGAACTGTCAGGTAATAAATATATGCTGCCTTCAGTCACAAAGTTTGTGGCAATTTGTTACAGCAACAATAGGAAACTAATGCAGACAAATGCATGTACACAAACATTCATAGCAGCACTATTCATGATAGCTAAATGGTGGGGAAAACCCAATGTACTTTAGCAAATGAATAGAGAAACAAAACGTGGTACATCCATAGAATGGAATATTATTCAGCCATACAAAGGAATGAAGTATTGATAACCTGCTACAACCTGGATGAACCTTGAAAACATTAGGTTCAATTTGAAAAGCCAGACACAAAAGGTAACATATTTTATGATTCCATTTATAAGAAATATCCCAAATAGGTAAATCAATAGAGATAGAAAGCAGACTGGTGTTTGCAAGAGTCTGGGGGAGGGGGACAATAGTCATGACTGCACAATGGGTATAGGGTTTTCTTGAGGTAGATGAAAAGGCTTTGGAACCAGATAGAAGTGGTGGTTGTACTTTGGGAGGCCGAGGTGGGCGGATCACAAGGTCAGGAGATCGAGACCAACCTGGCTAACATAGTGAAACTCCATCTCTACTAAAAATACAAAAAATTAGCTGGGCGTGGCGGTACGAGCCTGTAGTCCCAGCTACTAGAGAGGCTGAGGCAGGAGAATCGCTTGAACCTGGGAGGCGGAGGTTGCAGTGAGCCGAGATCGTGCCACTGCATTCCAGCCTGGGTGACAGAGCGAGACTTCTTCTCAAAAAAAAAAAAAGGAAGTGGTGGTTGTACAACATTGTGAATGTACTGAATGCCACTGAATTGGACACTTCAAAATAGTTAATTTTATGTCATGCGAATCTCACCTTAATACAAAAATTAAAAGATGGGGAAAGACTCTTGAATTCCGCAAGGCTACCTGACGTAGTAGCTGAGTATATTACCCATAATTAGGAACTCAATAAATATTTATGAAATTAAATGGTATAAAATATCTGTGTTCCACAAATTTTTTTAAATTAGTCAAGATCATTCTGGTCTAAGTCTGATGAATAAGGCAAGTTATCGAACTGAGTAAAGCTATCTTAGTTTTGAAAATAATAATGTTTAGCTACAAAGTTAGAGACTCACATTTCCCTCTGCCTAGCAAACTTGAACCTGTTCTTCAAACATCCCAGCCCAAATATCATCACCCTTGGAGCCTCCCCTACATCACCAAGTGGCACTTCCCTCCTGGACCTTCTAACTTGTTTGGTTCATAGATACCTAAGCACTTCCAGTTCTATGTCTCATCGGTCTCCTCACAACAGTGTTGGCGTCTCAAGGGTAAGAAATAGTTCTAATCTATTGACATACACTGAGCAGGAAGCGCCAAGTTGGCAAAGGAAAGCACTAATAATCAACCTAACGTTTTAGTTTGTCTTGTAAAGTAGCTCCAAAGACAATTCTAAAAGAGGAATTCCAAACTTGTTTTGAGTAATATCAATATATTAAATTGAATATATACCTGCTCAATGTGATAGCTGAAAGAAAATCTCCTTGGTTGTTTAAATTCTAATGTCTTTGCTAAAACCCTTCCCTGTCTTTCTTTAATTGACACGCTTCACATCATGCCCCTGGTGTACATAGCACAGGCAGGCAGAAGCTCTTAAGAGCAACGTTTTCCCGAAATAAACGTGTTAATTTGGTCTCTATAAGGATAAACAACAGGTCTTTGTTATTAAGGAAGACATGATTTATTATTTGTGTAATCAAGCTGCCACCTTAATACTGCAAGGTTTTTCTTAAGACATGGGAACATCTTCTGATAACAATGCAGTTTTGTGCTAATTTTTTTTTTTTTTTGAGACGGAGTCTCGCTCTGCTGCCCAGGATGGACTGCAGTGGCGCAATCTCGGCTCACTGCAAGCTCCGCCTTCCGGGTTCACGCCATTCTCCTGCCTCAGCCTCCGGAGTACCTGGGACTAAAGGCGCCCACCACCGCGCCCGGCTAATTTTTTTTATTTTCAGTAGAGACGGGGTTTCACCGTGTTAGCCAGGATGGTCTTAATCTCCTGACCTCGTGATCCACCCATCTCGGCCTCCCAAAGTGCTGGGATTACGGGCGTGAGCAACCGTGCCCGGCCGGTTTTGTGCTAAATTTTAAACCAATTTGGGCCACTAAAGGTTTGGCAGGGGTAAGGGATAGTCGGTGTAATTATGTGCCTTCATTCTGTTGTCACACAAAACAAGGTAAAATTCTTAGCATCTTTCTTTGAACTGGGCCACTTCCTGAAGCTTGAAACAGCACAAAACTTAAAAGCATTTAAGCAAATTGAAATAAAAAATAGCGTTCACCTGAAACTGCACCAAACTGATCAAAGAAGGTTTTACAAAGCTATGCTTGCAAATCTCCCAAATTTTGTAACCCAGTCACATTTAGATGGCCAGTCACTGGAAAGAAACTCACCTTACCTAAAAGAGCTCTTCAGTTGTCCCTGCCCCACCACTCTGCTTTACCTTTCTTCATGGTTCTTACCACTTCCTGGCATTTTATCATACATTTACTTGTTGATCTGGTCACTGTCTGTTGGCTTCAATAGAATGTAAGCTCCATGGGAGCAGGGACTCCATGTGTCTCATCACTGCCCCATTCACTGCACCCGGAAGAGTGCCTGACCCAGTAGGCACTCAATTCATATTTGCTAAATATGTCTTTCAACTAAATTATATTCTAAAATTATGATAAACAAAGAAAATAAGAACTAATAAGCTTCATCAGTTATTTTTAGCAAATTGCAAAGTTCCCACAGTCACTGGTGATATTACATCTATTGGAGACACACCGCACAAGGGGAAATGGAAATCAATATGCAGCAATTACCTATTCGATAAGTTATCAATAATATTTATTATCCTTTTTGATGTTGTGAGTAGTTTATTTTCACGGTATGTGGCTTAAGTTATAAATAATATTTGCTTATAAAGATTAAGTTATAAATAACTAATAAATTTATAACTTAAATATTTATTTTTTGAATAAACTGTACAGGTAGTGATATAGTTTAAATTCTGAATCACCAAGTAAAAATTTGATATATCTCACAATAAATAAGAATTCTGGCACAGAAACTATCTAATTCTATTGTACGTATACATGACTGTATTTTAAACGATAGTCACATGATGCCCTCAGCAAATATTCATAACACCATATTCCTTGACTATACTTTTTTTTTTTGAGATGAAGTCTCATTCTGTCTCTACACTCCATGTTGGAGTGTAGTGGTGCAATCTTGGCTTACTGCAACCTCCATCTCCCGGGTTCAAGCAATTCTCCTGCCTCAGCCTCCCCTGTAGCTAGGATTACAGGCATGCACCACCACGCTCAGCTAATTTTTCTATTTTCAGTAGATACGGGTTTTCACCATGTTGACCAGGCTGGTCTTGTACTCCTGACCTCAAATGATCCGCCCGCCTCGGCCTCCCAAAGTACTGGGATTACAGGTGTGAGGCACCGTTCCCGGCCTCCTTGACTATACTTTATCAGCTCTTTGCTGTGGTCTCCATCTCTGATATCTGACACTGTACTCAGCTTGTAGGCACAATGACAAACGCAGCTTTACCATCCTGGCCAAGCCTTTACACACTCAGCCTCTCTAGTAACCACCTCAGCTGATCCAGGGCAACCGTGGGGTTCCAGCTTTAGGCCTGGAGCTCCTCAAGGGCAGATTGAACACATGTCCCCATCCAAGCAGACACAGGCTGGAATTTAGCCATGTGAAAAAAGCCGCATACCATGAAAATAAACTGCTTCCCACAACATTAAAAAAGAGTGGTGATATAATCCCAAATTGCTGATTTTGGCCTCAAGTCTGTCCTCAATTTAGGAAGGTGGAAGAAAATCTAGTTGAAATGTCCATGTTGTGGTGATATTGTGTGAATATGAATTAGTAACTATGACTGCGTCTTGGTCATAAGAATTAACAAGATTTTGGCCAGGCACGGTGGCTCACGCCTGTAATCCTAGCACTTTAGGAGGCCAAGGTGGGTGGATCACCTGAGGTCAGGAGTTCGAGACCAGCCTGGCCAACAGGGGGAAACCCTGTCTCGCCTAAAAATACAAAAATTAGTCAGGTGTGGTGGCAGGCACCTGTAATCCCAGCTACTCGGGAAGCTGAGGCAGGAGAATTGCTTCAACCCAGGGGGCAGAGGTTGTAATGAGCCGAGATTGGGCCACTGCACTCCAGCCTGGGCAAAAGAGCAATACTGTCTAAAAACAAACAAACAAACAAAAAAAACAACAAAAAAAATTAACAAGATTTCAGAGCTAGTTCTAATTAACAAAGAAACAAGTTCAATAATAGCTTACACTGGGGCAGGGTGGGGAGTGGGTGGGGAGGCAGGGTCTTCATATCACTCACCCCAAGTTACTCTGGGGTAGGGACCCATGTCATTAGCAACTTATTATGGGGGTGCTCTGAGTGTACCCAGAATATTGTGCATCATACATGGTAAGACAATATAATATGTGCTGCTATCCAGTTAACTGATTAAAACATAATTTATTGGCTTTTAAAGCAGGACACAATGACTGTACAAACAAAACCAAAAATAGAAAAGTCTAGAGTAAAATATAAAAATTCCCCTTTTATTCTTTCTGTTATTCTTCAGGGATTGAGCATTGCTCTATGCACACACAAAATGTTTTTATAAAAATAAAACCAACTTTGTATGCTGTACTCCCATGAACTGATTTTCAACAAGAGTTCAGAATTATTTCTCTCTCATTTGGTATTATTATTATTATTACTATTATTATTATTTCGAGTCAGAGTCTCACTCTGTTGCCCATGCTGGAGTGCAGTGGCATGATCTTGGCTCACTGCAACCTTCTCCTTCCGAGCTCAAGTGATTCTCCTGCCTCAGCCTCCCACGTAGCTGGGACTACAGGCATGCACCACCATGCCCGGCTAATTTTTGTATATTTAGTAGAGACAGGGTTTCACCATGTTGGCCAGGCTGGTCTTGAACTCCTGACTTCAAGTGATCTGCTCACCTGGGCCTTCATTTGGGTATTATGATGACATTTTTTTCTCTCTCCATATATTAAGAGCAAGGGACAATTTAAATATACTAATACATTTTAGGAGTTTGAAAATAATTTCTTTTTCTAGGGAAGGTAATTTGGCTTTTTTCTTATAACAATATTTAATTTATTAATTTAGTTTAAAATACATATACTAAATCATGTCTAAAAATATGCTATTTTTAAAAATTGCTTTTTTCCACTCTCACATTTCCTGAAAACATTTTATTCAAACTCTTCACCGGCATATTTGACATCAGTGTTAGGGAAGGTAATCTGAAAAGTTCAAAGCAAATGGATAAACAATGTCACTAGACTGAGCCTTCTTTAGGTGAAGGCTGGCTTCTTTGTACTCCTCAACTTAGGGCCAAATTTCACAGGTCTTATGCCTTTGATATAATCAAATCTTCCTTGAGAACATTTTTTTAAAGTATATGGTACATCTTCCTTCATGAGATAATCAAATTCAATACACTTGTTACTGTAATTATTACATGTTCTATCTTCTCCTGCAAGGAATCCCTACAAAATATATATTTTTAAATTCTAAATTTGGTTTAATGTCAAACACACACACAAAAAAATCAAGGTTCACAAGGACTTTTCTGGGTTGATAAGGATTTTTACTAACCTCATTAAGCTGCATTTTGCATCGTTTGCATTTGGCTACATTTCTCTAAACTGTCCTTTTCTCCTTAAATATTTTTAAAATCTATGTAATGAGATGGTCTATATACATCATTGTGCTCTATAGAACATTCTGTAGCTTGGTAACAATGGCAGAAGAAGTGAGTCAGCCAGCATGCATTAAATACTTACTGTGTGCCACATCTGGGGTAGGACTAAGGAAACCAACGGTAAGGTAACATTGCCCTTGAGCAGTTTCCTGGCCAGTGGGGAGACCAGATGTACGCGAGGAGAACAGCACATTGCCAAGCAAAGCAGCAGGAACACACAGTACTTGGGATGAGAGGAAGAGTCTGGGGAGCTGGGACCTAGGACTACATGACCAGAGGTGGTGACAGTGCTGGTGACACAGGGGCCTTGTGTGACGTTTTGGGCTTGAATTTTATCCTGAGGTTTGGGCAGGATCTCTGGAGATTTCTAAATTGGATGATGAGGAAACATTAAAAGATATAACCTAGCTGTCCACCTCCATTATGTCAAGAACCAGGAAATCAACCGAACTGCAACTCGGCCCGAATAAATGTAAAAAATTCACAAACTCCAGCCCACACAAGTGAATCATACACTGCCCAAGGCCTCAGTGGGGTCTGTGTACTATCATTTTGAACAAAAGGATAACACTCTTGATTATTTGGTTTCCCAGACCACACACACAAAAAGAAGAAAACAGCAGATTAGAAGGAGGGAGATGGGAGCTGCCAGAAGCAAGTGCACAACAGCAAAATGTGAGAGGTGAGCAAGGCAGGAACTCAGGGAGCCAGAGCAGGGGGACCTGGGGCCAAGTGATCACCTTGGGAGGTAGCTGAGAGGAAGAAATGAGCTACTGTTCGCAAAGATTTAAAGTCCACGTAGGTGCAAAATGAATCTATGTTACATAATACTTACTACTCAAGCCAAGTACAATCAACCCTAAACTACAGATGAGGAAAGTGAGGCTCATGGATATGCCCAAGGCCCCATACCAGCAGGTAGAACAGGCTCAGCCAGGAACTGCATTCTTCTTTTACAACTCTAATTCCATTCCTTTGCACAATCCCACACTATTCAAGGGTTGGGGTATGTTCAATTTGAGAAAGCCAGTAAATGTGATTAAATATAAGAAAGAGTTGCAATTTAATGATTCTCATGCAAAATACCAATTAAAATAAAGCGTTGGTGCTTGACAGGTGAGCTTCCTTGTAGCTGCTGGCTTCCCAAGTCCTGTGCTACTCTAGAGAGAGAGGCAGGAACTATGGGAAGGATTTGCCCTTCTGCACCGAGGAGGCCTGAGAGGGCTCGGGATCCACAGGAACTCATTCGCGCCCTCCTGAGTTTTCTTTGTTGTCAATTCACACCAAATTGAAGAAGCCAGAATGAAACCTGTGGGGGCCTCCTGATGTTTTCTGTAGACCCGTTTCATAAGCCAGGTGTCTACCTTGGTCTCTCCCTATAATCTGTCCACATTCCCTACCCAATCCTCCAATCCCTTCTCTGAAACTGGATTTCCAAGCTCAGTCTCTGTGTGAAAATGCTAAGGCTTCTTTAATGATCCTGCTCTTGTTCTTTTCCTGGAGGTTTGCACTGTCCCCCATCTGCTGCCCACCTGCCATATAAGTATATGCCCTGCATATGTGGGCTCCACTAATTAATGAGCCTCTATTGGAATTTCCAGCTGATTTCCAGTCCCTGATCACCTGGTTGCATATCCTAGTACAGAGAGCTTCAACATAGCTGATGGGGACAGTTGTGTTTTGTGACCAAAACTGTGACCAAAGCCTGTCCTCCAGTGAGACAGCCTTTGAGGCCAGGGCAAATACAACCACATTTCCCTAAAAACAATATTGCATGCGTCCCAAAGGGTAAACTGTGCCTGGCTTTCCCCCTGCATAAAAGCCAATGGAAATCACATTTGGCATGGCCTATGCCTTGTGGGTTGGCCGATGGCCAAGCATATACTCAAGCAGACATGGATTTTATATGTCAGGGCAACATTTTTTATGTGCAGTTAAGCTGTGCATGAGGCTGCTGTCTGAAAAAATAAATAAATAAACTTCTCTGCCTTAGTTTCATATCTATAAAAGCAGAACTGATGATTTGAAGTATTTACATAATTCACCGGAGAACTGTGAGAAACAAGCTATATTTGTAAGCATTTTTGAAGATGAGAGGAATTTGGTGAAGTATGTACAGCATTTTTTTTTTCCAAAAAAAAAAAACTTCATTTCTTACTAGCCCTGCATTGAAAACATAATTTTCTGGGACATGATTTTGTTTTACAGTAACCCAGGTGCTCAAGGGTACTTTGGGAGTTTTTGTAGTTTCGAGGTTCCATGAAAACCTTCCCTGAGACAGCTAAAGACAAAGCCCACATCTGTTAGTATAAGAGACACCTTTGTTTATGGAGCATTAGGGCTGTGACAAAAAGACTGACATAAGCCAGGATATTTAGAAGTTAAAGCTGGAGCTTTATTCTAAATGTATGCTACAGAGCTCCTGGTTTTCCACGAAGTCTGGATTTTAAAAACAAAGTTGGCTTTAATTTTCAACTATCTGGCTTTTTTCAACTATCGTCACAGTCATACAGTTATTTAAACAAATGTCTTTGAACTTCCTTAACTTAAAAAAGTGACCCTAAGGTTAATGAATGTTGTGAAATGCTTACTGTTTGAACAAATGAACTGACCCCCCACCCCCGACCGAGTGACATGTTCTGTAAGTACCACAAGCAAGCATGATCGGCGCTGTGAAGACTATAGAATCTCACACAGGGGACCTAAGATATTTTCACTCTTTATACCATACTGACCGCTGTCAAAGTTTGGGACTGGCTATATTTCCTTTTATCCCCTTATTAAAAATGCCCCAAGTCAAGCTGCTTTAAAAATGGAGGGTTGCCAAATTTCCCTTACTAAGAAAATAAGACCCAGGATGTGAAGTGCAGAGGCATGCAGCAGGTGGTAAATTAAAGACAAGTTGGGTGTACAGTTTTAAGCAAGTCTCAGTTAATGATACAAAAGCTACCGAGTCCCTTTCCACAGTAAGTGGAGGAAGAGAAAACAGAATGTACCACCATTCCCATGCAACAGTCTCAAAGAAAGATGCTTCTTTGTGTACAGGTCAACACTGTGTACCCTTCAGTAGGGTATTTCAGAGCATTTTTGTGCAAGGCACAAGATCTTTAGCATTCTAATAATAATGTGCTTTCACACTGGCAATAAGCAAGTATCTTAATAGCACACGAAACAGTAGAAACCTATTTTGTCTGAGTGGCTTCATTATATGTTTCTTAGACCGATAATGGGTCTCACCAGGGCGTAGAGGAATCATCTGTGAAGCATTTCTTAAAAGTACCCCTTTCTTCCCATGGGAGATTCTGAATTAACTAGGTCTGGAGTGGGGCTGGTAGGGCTCTTGATCAATGATAGGTAGACAGAAAAATAGATCACAGGTAGGTAAGCATGCAGGTAGATGGATGGATGGATGGACAGACAGACAGGCAGGAAGATTTTAATTGCACAAGTGATTCTAATGGGCTCCTCAGTTGAAGAACTGCTGCTCATATTAAATTGCATATGGCCACAGCATTCAATTCCAGTAAGAATTAATTCAGAGTTTCTATATAAGTAGTAGCACACAATAAAAGACACAGCTCAGGCTTGATTTCAGCTAGTGTATTCATTTGCCTGCTTATGGAACACACCTCCTCTGCCAGGTACAGTACTTAGTATAAGGCTCAAGAAGGAGACGTGGCCCTGTTCTTGAGGAGCACGTGAAGCAGCATGATGGTATATCTGCTACGTGTTCCAACAGGGGTAGAAGAGAGTTTTCGGGGAGGAGAGGAGAGGAGTGAGAACACTCATTCTATCCAGAGGAGTTGAGGATGGTTTGGAGCAAACGGGGACACTTGAGCTGAGGCTAAGACAAGGAGGAGGCTTTGCAATATGGCAATAGGGGACATGCAAGTGAGAGGGTCTGGGGAGAAATGGTGGGGGCTGGAGCAGGAGGGGCAGTTAGGGAAACATTCAACCCCTATCCCCCCCCAGCCTCCCCTGCCAGTCCCTGGTGGATCCTCCCAATACTAGATGCTTCACTTGTATAAACATTTGGAGTTTAAAACCCTCTGACACTGACACCTTCTCAAGTGACGCTCATGACCATGTGAGGTAGTTAAGTCAAACATTGTAAAAGATGGTTTTACTAAATTGCGCTGTTTCTATTAGAAAGCATATATTAACCATGTTGTAAAAAACACCATTTATTAACCAAAACGCCAGAAAAGCAAGTTATCAAAGCATCCCTAGGCTTTAATATTTAAGGTCACTATCAATTTAAAATGATCTGAAACTCATTCTGGAGTGTGCGTGTGTGTGTGTGTGTGTGTGTGTGTGTGTTTGGAGCAGGAAGTACAAGGTGGAACAGGACCTATTTCTCTATCACTAAAAAGCAGGGCGCCTGTGGTAAGTCACATGGATACAGCAAATATAGCATCGATGTCTAATCGTGGCTCTGACCCAGCCTCTTGGTACAGATACAGTTAGTGATGATTAAATCATAGCAGTGCTATTTGGGGGTCTAATAATGTACCTCTTCTATTATACAGAATTTGACAAGAGATGTTTAACATCTCTTTTTAGTTAAATTTCACATGTAGTCTCTTTAGAAATAGTTTTTGCCACTGTGGTGAATCTTCACTTTTAGTATTTAATTTGCTTCTAAGATGTTGGAAAAGAAACCAACCTTCCTGATTAGGAAGTAGGTGACTAAGTCTCTCCGTAACCACCTTCTTTGATCCAGTCTACAGACTCCACAAGGGTGGATTATAGAAAGTCTGGCTTCAGTTTCCGTTGTTCCTATCCTGATACATTGCCTGGAAGCAGTATTTCACCTCTGCTCTTTTCTTTCAGCCATTTCCTTGGAGGTCTCATTAATCTCACAGCCTCACATCTCACCTGGAAGCAGATAATTCCCAAGCACAAAATCTCAGCTAGACTGGCCTGCTAGACTGGAGGGAGGAAGGAGGGAGAGAAAGGGGAAAGAAAAGAGAGAAAGAGAGAGGACTCTAACAGTGGTTGTCACCCTCATGGCTCATTAGAATATAGTGGGGAGCTTTTAAACAAACACCAATGTCCTGACCCCACTCCAAAGTCCCGGACTGAATTTGTCTAGGGTGGGGCACAGAGATGGGTATTTAAAAGATTTCCAGGGGATTCTAATGAGTAGCTAGAGTTGAGAATGACCACTCTAACTCTTTGGAAGACATAAAAGATGTCTATGATGTGGCATCTGCCCTCAAGACTTTTAAATCTGGTTGGGAAGGGAAGACTCAACTGGAGAGTAATCTCAGATGAACTTCCAGTAAGTACAAAACTGGGTGTTGAATTCCATCAGCGTCATGAGAAAATTCAGGGCTTGGAGACCAGTTGGGAAGACGTTGTAAGATGGGATATGTGCTGGGCCTTGACACAGGGCTGGGATTGAAGTAAGTTTCCTCTCCCCTTCCCCACTGCCACCACCTCCATCAAGAGCCTTCTAAGTGGATTTCATTCTTAGGAGCTTCCACTCTTACTTCTTTCCAGTCCATTCTTCCCAGTCTCGTAAAACCCTTCAAAGGCTCCTGAAAGCTGGTAGGACAGAGGCCAAGCCTCAAGGCCCTCCCTGATTGGTCTGAGGCCCCTACCTCTCATCAGGCCCCAGACACACTGGCCTTGTTGCTCAGACATCCCAGTCAACGTCCTGTCTGGGGGCGTGTGTGTTTGCCGGCCACTCAGCTTGACACATTTTTACCCTGGCTCTCACGTGGCTGATTCCTTTTCATTCCTTAGGCCTCAGCCTGCATGCCACCTCCTTAGGAAGCTTTCTCTGACTACCGAGTCTGGCGTAGCCTCCACCCCAACCTCATTCCTTATCCAAATACCAGTTGATTAACTTAGCAGCACTGATCACAACCCCAAGCATTTTGTCTATTCATTACTAATTTTGCTTTCTCTACTAGAAGGAAGGAGCATGCTGACAGAAGCTCCGTTTCATTCTCTCATATCCACACTAACTAGGACATTGCGTGGCACAGAGTGGGTGACCAGGAAACATCACCAGGATGTATGGATGAATTAACGACTGAATGGCAAGGAGGAGAAGGCGTTCTAGGTGGGAAGAACAGCAAGAATGAAGGTACAAATGCTTTTGTGGATACAGAACAGACGTGGAACAGACTGGTAGATGTAGAGGATACATGGAAAATAACAGAAGATACAGGTTAATAAGTCAAATATAATCATTACTAATAACAATAAATATAAGGATTTGAACTTGACACCTGTAAAGGTATAAATGCTGTGCCAGGACTGAATGATTCAGGTCTAAGAAAGGAAATTATGATTCTAAAGTCCAGTCCTGAGGCACAATTTCAATCACTATTCCTAATTAGAAGATTAAATATTTGGAAAAAATTGGTTTATGTGAAAAAAATTCAAAATAATTTTGGGGAGATAGCTGGATGTTGGGAATTATCTATAAAAATAATAAAAGAGCTACCTATAAAAACAATTAGGCAGATACTTTATACCAAGTGGTAGGAAACCCTGAAACTTTGAAACCATAGCTCTGAAACCTGAAACTGAAACTTTGAAACTATGGCTTCTCTTGACATAGATATCAAAATTTAAATGAGATTATTGTTTCACTGTGTGTTTGTCAAATCTTGTACTGGTTCACAGAGTAGTACAGAGTTTGGAAAGAGTCATGTGGAATGTAACGTGTTAGCATTACTAGTGAAAGAAAAAGGACTATTCAGGCACAGGTGTGGTCAGATGAGACAAAGGCACAGGTACTCTGTGGTCTTCCCTCTAATCATGATCTCTCTGGAAGAAGAAGAGAGAAAAAGTAAAATTCTTTCATATTCCAGAAAGGTGTGTCTGCATTTCATTTAAATATCATTAAAAACATATGGGAAAGGCTCTTTCCATAATTTTTGTTAATGACTCTAATATTATCACATCTTTCAAATGAAAATTTTGAATAATTTTTTTTACAATGGTAACAGATTTCATAGGTGGGCTCTATCAAAAAGCATTCTATTTTATAAATTGTCATAAATTTATGAATGTTTATGAAAGAAACACTTCACAACTATATTTTGTCTTATCCATATACTAACTTCTATCCAAGAGGGTATTCAGATGTATAATAAGATCATATGACATTGATATTTACAAATTAATTTGCTTTTTAAAAAAATTGCTCCAACTTAATTAAACATCATTAAATGTTTGTTGACTTAATTCAGCAAACATTTACTATACACTTACTACAGCCCAAGCACGGTGCTCAATGCTATGGAAAACACAAAGACCAAGAATCCCCACTCTTAAAGCAGTAAAACAACATGAAAAATGATGAGTTGAATTTTGCTATTGTTACAAAAGGCTAGATTCAAGTTTATAAATTACTGGCTTATTTATTGGGTGAGCTCTTAGCCTCAGCTACTTATATGTAACTTGGGGGAGATAATATTTACTTACAGAGTGACTGCAAGTATTAATGATGTAACATGTGTAAAATACCTAACTTGATGCCTAGGACATAATGGACACTCAAAAAAGTAAGGTTCCTTCCTTTTAAGACATTTGACATTTAGCTAAATATGATTTGCCTTTGTTATATATGTTCTTGGTACCTGATTTACAAAAATAGAACTTTGAAGTTGACTTTTTACATATAACATCTTACATCATCTATTTTTAACATTTCATGTGAATTGTTACATTTGGATTGATAAAATCTGTGCATGACCCCCAATCTCATAGATGTCATTGAATTCCACTCCTTTCCAAAGCAGGTTCAAGGCCTAGCTCCCTTTCTTTCTTTACTTCATCTGATGGTGATGTTTATGAGCAGTGAAAGGTTAGAGGCAAGGAAAGAGAAGAGAAATCCTGGACATAGATGACACAGATATTTAATTTCTAAACAATCAAGCACTGACACTTATGGAAGTTAAGTATCATGAAATGTACATATTCATGTACATGTGCAATGGAATTTCATGTACATGAAATGTACATACTTATGGAAGTATGAATGCTTGATTGTTTAGAAATTAAATATCTATGTTAAAAGTTACTTACCAAAAGTAACTTTTTGGTAACTTTGCTAGTTACCAAAAATGGCTTCCTATATTTGGAAACAGGAAGTTGAGAAGAACTCCGGAGAGGAAGAATAAGGTAAAAATGGAAAGTGAAACTGTGAATGAAGGGATCTTAACAGTGCATTCCAAATTGGAGTTATCTACCTTGTAACTTGGTATCCCCTGGAGAACCTGAGGTTAATATGATTGGGAAATGCTGCATTCTGTATTCCATCTTAGGAATTCACAACAAATATTAGCACCCACAGGAAATTATATGCCAATTCTATCAGCATCTTTCTTTTTTGAGACGGAGTCTCACTCTGTCACCCAGGCTGGAGTGCAATGGCGTGGTCTCGGCTCACTGCAACCTCTGCCTCCCGGGTTCAAGCAATTCTCCCACCTCAGGCATCCAAGTAGCTGGAACTACAGGTATGTGCCAGCACACCTGGCTAATTTTTGTATTTTTAGTAGAGATGGGGGTTTCATTATGTTGGTCAGGCTGGTCTCGAACTCCTGACCTTGTGATCTGCCTGCCTTGGCCTCCCCAAGTGCTGAGATCACAGATGTGAGCCACCACGCCCGGCCTCAGCATGTTTCTTAACATGCTAAGAAACCTGTTGAATGCTGTTAAACTCAACAATTCTTAAAATTGCCTGAATGCTAAATTCTTTGTGTGTGGAGGTGGGTTGGGGAGTTTATTTAATAACCTGTGGAATTAATATGGAATGGCGTATAATTTAGAAAATGTTGATTACTGATTCCTCTATCACCAAAATGCATTTTTGCTTGTGCTTTATATCTTTTCTAACAGTTGTTCTCGACAGAAGCCATTTGACAAGGATTTCTATTTCATCTTGGTGATACAGAAAAATCACAATTCATTCTGCCTTTGGAAAGATGAGCGTTTGCAAAGAAAGAAACGCTCAGAACAAATTCCAGTGATCCTGAAACAAAAGTCAAAACTTCATTTCAAAAACAAAGACTTTGTCCTGCTTCTGCACACTCTTGGGCCATGACTGTCAGTTTACTCGCAGGAGGTCACAGTCACTACACTATTAGAGTAAAACTAGGAAGAAAATTTAGTCCCACTTTCACAGTACTTTTATGTTTATATATGAACTGATTTTTCCTTTTGGCATTTTTATTTTAAAACAGTTATTTTGGTAATACTAGCATTTTGAAAACAGATGCTCCAAAAAACAGATTATTTATCAAATTTTAACTTTTTGCTTAGAAAAATATCTTTACATGGGCCGGGCGCGGTGGCTCACGCCTGTAATCCCAGCACTTCGGGAGGCCGAGGCGGGTGGATCACGAGGTCGGGAGACTGAGACCATCCTGGCTAACACGGTGAAACCCCGTCTCTACTGAAAATGTAAAAATTAGCCGGGCATGGGGGCAGGCGCCTGTAGTCCCAGCTACTCGGGAGGCTGAGGCCAGGGAATGGCGTGAACCTGGGAGGCGGAGCTTGCAGTGAGCCGAGATTGCGCCACCGCACTCCCGGGCGACAGAGCAAGACTCCGTCTCAAAAAAAAGAAAAACAAAAATATATTTACATGAATCCTGGATGCTTCTAAGAATATTTATTTTGTGAAACCTAAAATGCTAAAATAGCACAATGGGTTTCACAATAAATTCAAAGGAAAATACTGTCATTTGCTTGGTAGTTAATAAAATGTTAAATAATAATCTTTACAACATAAAGGCATTTCAGAGGATAAGAATGAGTTTCTTTTTTAATTTAAAAGAAAATCTGTTCTAATTTTTTATCAAGTTTTTTAGAAGAGCTAGCAACATTACATTCCCCTACATCAAGGCTGACAATCCCCTAAATAAAGAATCCACACATACGTACATATATTAACAATACACATGCAAATGCATGTGTACATATTATGTACGTGTGTGTGTGTGTATATATAACATTAATAAATTTCTAAAAAGTATCATGGTTAACAAAATTATAGATAGTAAGACCAAGAGATCATGAAAGTGGAGGATTAGAGGAAACAAAATTTTAATTGCAAAAAATAGAGTTTGCAAACATAGTCAAATATTCTAGAAAGCATCCTCTTTCAAAACATATGCATTCTTATTGGATCTCTGCCCCATTAGGTAACCCTTCTCCTGAGTCACCATCTTTAGCTGTTCAGGAACTTTGGCATGACAACCTGGGCTGCTAAGGTTTTGAACCAGCTTGAAATGAAATGTCTTCGTGCTTACATTTTCTTATGTGACAGCCTGGCCTTTACCCTAATTATTGCAATGCTTAGGAGCATGTTTCTCTTTGCCTGGTCTTATTTCCATCTATAAAAAAAGATGAAGCATTTGAAAGTTTCCTTTCTCTGTACCATCCCATAGAATCTCCCACAGACTGGAGGGAGAGGAGGCAGGAATCCTTTTTAATCCTTTAAGTGGATTAAATAGTCATCAGTGAACCAACTACTATGGCTAGTGGGCAACACACAAGGTATTTCAAACCCAACAATGTCAAAATGGAACTCACTGTCTTTCTCTGAAAACTCATCTTGTGTTCAGTAGTGCAGGACTACTGTCTTAAATTCTCTAACGGGAAACCTCCAGGGTCTCCTTTGACTGCTGCAGTTCTCCCTGCCTCCATATCCACTCGTCGTGCTCTGCTGATGCATATCCAATGCATCCCCCAACCCCATGCCCATTGCACCACCCACATAAATTTCCAGTTCTACTTCTGAGACAGCCACTTGACTAGTCTCTTTGCTCAGAATTGCTCACTTTCCCACACTGTCATCCACACCACTTTCAGAGCCACGCTGCTGGAGCATATATTTATTTGTTCATAAAGCAACCTGCTTCAATCTTTTGATGACTCTCTAAAACGCCAACATGCATTGTATGCTGCCATATGCCAGCCATTGTACCAAAAGCTTTACAGGAGTTATCTTATTTTCTCCTCATAGCAATCCTATGAGATGGGTACCATTATTGTCACCCCTTACCAATGAGAAAATTAAATGCATAGAGTTTCTATTACTTGTTCACAGTCACTGGGATGACAGGTAGCAGAGCCAACGTTCAGCTAAAATTATCTGATGCTCTCGACTACTCCACTCCAAACCCTTCCTCAGTCTGGCTCCAAATAACTCTCGAGTCTCTTTTGCAGGGAGCTGGCAGACTGTGACCTTCTCAAACTCAATGAATGTACATCAATTGTCAAAAGGCTTTGAACCACTGAGCTAGAATGCACGGTGAAGGCGCAGGGGCTCTCAGCAGCTGCCACCTCCCCTCCAAATGAGTGTGGCTCTTTCAACCCACACATGGTAACTGAAATATCTTGATATCAAGTAGGGAAAACCCAACACAATAAATTCTGCAGAACTTTTTTTTTTTAACAGTACTCTGCACTGTAGAATATGGGATTACATTTCAAAAATTGTGTTTCAGATAAAAAACACACACCAATCAACTTTGCCTCTGAATGTCTTATCACAGTTCATTCACGAGAACCACTTGATGGAGGTAAGGAGGATAGTGGCACTGGCAGAATGCTGATGATGCTTGTAGTCACAGGTGTGCCATTCTAAAGCACCATCTATTTGACTTGTTATATAACTTCTAAGAAGAAATAGCCATTTGAAAAAAAAAGAAGAAAATGTTAGATATTGCTAAAATTGCCCTGACATATTCCACACACACAGTTTGATAAATATTTTATTGTTATTCCAGGAAAAGCTTTTAAAGGAATACAGAAGCCAGCAATTATGGGGAAGGGATGTCTCCTTCTCTGAGATAGTAGGAATGTCAGCTCTTTGCTGCTAAGGAGAGAAAGGACAGATTCACAATGCCATGATAGCTGAAATGTACACACACCCACCAAAAGGGCCGGAGTCCCAAGCAGCTCATCTTACTTTACTTGTTAACAGCAGAAACCATGCACAAATATCCTGATGCAGCGTTCTATGTGACTTGAATAAATGAGGGACATTCAACCTGTGTGGACCCATTGCTGTGCTTCTGCCTGTCAATTATCCAAACTCCCACACAGAAAGCCTTGCTAGAAGAAGGTCTGGCTCCTTGAAACTAATGATCCAGTTGTCAGTACGAGTGCCCCGCTCTAAACTACTAGCTCTGAAATCCAGGGCCTCAATTCATTTCTGATTAGAAAAATTTAGGCAAATACTCAACATCATTATCTTCTTTAAATTAAATTGGAGAAACTGTAGTGCTCCAAGTTATTTCAGATTTTTCAGATTTTTTTTTTTGCCACTTACCAGTTTTATCTTAAATGCTTCCCTTACAGTCAATATAATGTATTGAAATGTCTGTATATAATGGATGTTTACATTTTCCTCCTGTAAGAGAGGCTGCTTACCTCATCAAAAAATTACCATGAAAAGTGATCACTGACAGCCAATTATAAGCCATTATAAGAAACATGCTATTTCTGAAGCATTCAAATTATGTGATTTAAAACCCGTTATTCTATTCAAAGGTATGTATGGCTATATTTGAGATTACACCTAAAATTTGAAATGATATAGAAATTGCTACTTTACAAGCCACTCTCCACAGTGTTTAAATAATCTTAAACTCATCAAGAGCAGAGGTATTTTATTAATTGCATTTAATAACATAACTAGAGATTGTGAAAACATCCCCCAAAGCTCTAGTTACCCAAAAAAGAAAAATAACCCTTAGCATTTTTAAGCCTACATAAAGTCTGCCACAGGAGTTTCTTTCCTTTTTTTAAATGGCCTTTAAATAAATATATGAGTCAGTTTAAAAAGGCATTTACTTGAATTAAAGTGATCGTTCTGCCAGAATGTCAGTATAATAAATTGTGGGTGGCAGAAGTTTTAAATGAGGCTAAATTAGAGATTCTAAGTTTATTTATTTAATTTTTACTCACTCTACCACTGTAATTAGAGAAGCTTTTGGTTGATCTTCAAATTGTGCCTTGTCATGGAATACCATACCTACCTGCTTTTATGACAAGCCCTATAGTACATTTTTTTTAATGACCAGAATGGGGGTATAATCCATATACATGCATCCAGCTTCACTCCTGCTACTACTACACACACATCCTTACACTTGTTTCATTTCTTCCACCACCCTAACATTTTCATCCCTGATATTATACTGTTCCACTTTATTTCAATATCTTCAATGGCAATGACCAAATAATGTTAGTCACAGAGTTTTGTTCCTGGTAAGCTATTTCATAAAAGAACCTAATACACGCTGACTTTAAAATCTCTGCTAGCCTATGCTACCTGTGCCGAGGACTGAACTAGCTCAATTTCATAAACAAATATGTTTCACCATCAATGGGTGGTCTTGTAGTGTAGAATGTGTTTTAAATGATGTAACCTCTTAGAAGAGCTGACCGTGTCTCAAGGCATGGGAAGCATCACCTTCAAGCTGATACCAGCTGCGTAACTGAACTAATGAGCTTCAGGAGACAGATAATCCATAACACAGCTGGGAGAATTCTGCTTGAGTGCCGACAACACTGAAATGGGGCATGATCTCACAGTATATCTCCTCTAAAAGTTCAATACAGCAAAGTAAAAAGAAAAAAGTTCCACCTGATAATTTTATGCTAATTATTTAATTGACATTAACATACTTCAATCATCTGTTTGTCTAGTTATCAAGTAAAGATACTAAAAATAAGTACATTTTTAAAGGTTCACAATTGACCACTAATGTCTCTATTCTGAAATTAAAATATCAGAGGCTATCGAAACATTTTCGACATTGCATCCTAACGTGAAGATGAAAGCATCAGACCAAAGAGCTCTTATGCTGTTACACTGTGCATATTGTAATATTTACACAGAATTTTTGCTCAGCTCATTAACTTAATTCCATCTACCTTGTGCCATCCCTTAGTAATAGTTTTTTCACTAACTGTATGCATTTTCCACCCATCGCTCTGAGCACAAAAGAATCAAACACCACACTTGCTTCAGCCTAAATAGCAGTAGTCTTCACAAAAGGTGAATTTGGAATACAATCTGCATTCCCAGTTCCTAAACTTCAAAGTAAACACTAATTGTCTTGTGGACAATGCATCGGGGTTCACATATTACACGCGTCTCAGTCTTGAACATTTAAGTGCAAAACGAGAGCAACAAATAGGCAAACCTTCCGCAGTAAAGGATGCGGGCTGCAAAGGAAGCCAGCAGCTATGAAGAATTCATGCTTGATTTACCCACCGGCGTTGTCCATGTCTCAGGAGTGGCGAGGCGAGTTCTGTAGCCTGGCAGCCGGGAAGCCCTGGCTCTTCTGACTAACGAAGCACCCTGTCCTTCTGCTGATTATCAGCCCTTGCTGGCACACTGAGCATACTTCATGCACTGTCTGCAGGAGACACCGCCAGGAAATTTATATCTCCAAGGATGACAAACAGCCATTAGCTCCATTACAGGCTGATTAAGAGAGACTGAGCCTATCAAGTGGGTACTTGAATCCCCTGGGGTTTCCACCTCTGCTCTAAGCTAAGGAGGGGGAAAAAAATCACTGCAATGTTGAATGTGTTGCACATTTCAGGAAAAAAAGTGCACATGCTATGCAAAACACAGAGCTTTCCAAAAGATGCCAGGGCAAACAGGAGCAGGAAGAGGCACTGATCATGAAAAGGTAAAAAGGAATATTTAAAAATACAATACATTATCCTTTCCTTGGGGTTTGTCTAAATATGGTTCAGCCTTTATCATTGACCTCACTGAATGACTGGGCAACTTTTCAATTTAAAATTTTAAAGTGTTTTGGTTGTTGTTGGGGGAGGAGGCAGGGAGTAGCAGATAAAACATTGAAAAATAAAGACTATCTTTAATATCTCTGTTCCAAATAAATATTAGGAAGTTGAGTATTGCCATTCCATTTTAGTTATGTTCATCATGACTAGTTCTTCTATTTCTGATCAGCATTTCTGCTCACCTATCCTAACAGAGAAATTCAAATATTTTCACCGAATGTCACTAATAATTCAAGAAAGAACTGTCAAAAGAGGTTAGGGGATTCTACAGTCCGTTATCATCTGTGGCTAAAGAAATGTGAAGATCAGGAAAGACTGACTAACACAGGAAGGCCCTACTTCACTTCTTTCGTTTAATTTGGCTGTGTAAAGATGACTCTCAAAGACACCAAAAACTGCTTACGCTGTCAGGACACAAGGGTGAACACAGTGCTGGAGAAATCAGGTGCCAGGCCTCGTGGCTGTCATGACATTAGATGCTGGGGACAGCGCAACTGTTTTCTCAAATATAGTACAAAGATTTGCAATGACCTCATAGGACCTACGATGAAATGAATCCACAGTATAGTTAGGCTCTCCAGGTCTTTTATACAGACAGAATTTTAAAAAAACAGTTCATAGTGTTATATCCCCAGAGTTGCCAAATTTGAAAGGCAATTTGTTTATTAAGCATTTCTTTATGCCATTGGAATTCCTAGTGACACACCGGTCACAAATTATTTATAGTCTAGTTTCCCATTGTAACAGCTTCTAGGTTTAAGTATTTTTGTTTTTAATGTAACTTCAGGATTTCCTATAGATATGAGGTTCTTTTATTGTTTAAACAAAACACTTTGTTTACGTCAGTGATAGTTCAGAAATGTTTTCCTCAAATAAAAGCTGAATTTCTCAGTGATTTTTAACCTGAGATTTTTAACCCTGTCATTTCAATTCTGTCACACAATTTTAAAGGTATATCACTCTATGAATTTAAAAAATCATCTTTATATATTTTTAAAAAATTTGCTTGGATCCCGTAAGACTGAAATCACTGGGTTTCTATACCTCGTCTACTTGCCCTGATTAAGACCTGCCAACTATCCAGAGTGAGTGTTATAAGCTCCAAATCTAGGACAAACTAACTATTTTTAAGAAAAAAAAGAGGAGATAACAGGGAAATAAAGGTAACAGAGAGAGAAGATACATCATCAAAGCTGAGATGTGGGTAAGGAGTAGCTAAGAAGTCTCATCTATTGGCAGTGCCTATTGCCTAATATGAATATATTTATATTAGCTTTGTCCACAGTTCAAAATCTGACTCTCAGTCATTTTTATTAATACTGTTAGTCCTTAAATGACAAATGGATTATGTTCCAAAAGTTCATTTTATTGGTCGTTCGAAACACACTTTTTTTTCCATAAATACTGACTGGCTTCCAAGGCCAGTCCATTAAGCACTCCCTAACTCACAATGCGATTTATATAAAATCTAATCTTTACTCACAAGTCTAAAATCCAGAAAGTTTTAAAAATATTGTTTTTTGTAAGTTTCGCTCCAAAATGCATTTAGTGTCATAACTTGAAGTGACGTGACGCTATTAAAAATCTTTACTTATTCCACTTAGAGCAAATAATCATGTTTGCTACAGAAATGTTTAATATTATAGGTTCTAAGAATCTTCCCAGATCCTGCTAGGAGTGATTCATAATAAGTAGCATATGTTTTCTATTACCTTTCTAAAATAAAATTCTGAATTCTGAAACACAACTGACTCCAAGGGTTTCAGTTGAAGGACTGTGGTCCTTCAGTCCATTTTTGCAATTTAAAATGGTAGATGACAAGTATTTGTGGTGATGGATGTGTTAATTAGCTGGATTTAATCATCCCACATTGTACACATATGTCATTATATCACATCATACCCCATAAATATATACAGTTATAATTTGTCAATTTACAATAAAATAAAAATAAAATGGCAGAAAATAATTCTTAATACTATTTTGTCACAGGATTCCCCTAGGTATTTAGGAACTTAACATCTCCCTCCCTTGCCTATAAATACTTAAACATCTCCACTAAGAGATAAACAAGAAATGGGCAACATGGAAAAATGTCTAGAAATCAGAAAATTAATGTTGAGTGTCCATTATAAATTAAGCCCTGTTCAAAAACTGCATTCATTGCCGAGGACCTAACTGCTTCCCAATTCTCTGTATTGGTAACTGGCTCCACCACTGCCCCTCCTCTGTCCCTCCCCAGCATCAGAGGAAGGGCAATGCAACCGTGAAAAAGCACAGTAAGTGGACCATTTTCCTCAAGCTCCAGGGAGAATCCACTCCCTCCCTTGATTTAATTCACACCCACAATTAATATGCTGTAGCTGGGGAATGCCTGGTTATAAAATGTTCACCAGGCCCTTTCCTATGGCCCCAGAGATGCTGTGGGCATGGTAGAGGCATCGATAAGCCTAATGTTCTCCATTATGTTTCTAAACATGGGGTTCGTTCCCATTTTTATTAACCTTCCCATGAGTATATACTCAGCTTGCCTAGAGTTCGACAAACTTGTTTGAGGCTGGGGTAATTTGGAGCACCTGCATCCAAGTACCCTCAGTGTGATCCCACCTTCGAAAGAAGGACACAACCCCTCACTATCTGGGTTTTTTAAGAGAGTGTTTGCCTGGGGTTGGTTGTATGATGTTTGGGATGCCGGGCCTGTCTGGCTGAGGTGGCAACAGCAAGGCTGCTGTGGGGCCCTGAGTCTTCAAACGCATCACCAAGCACATCTTTCTACAAAAAAAAAAACCCTATTAGCAACTGTCTCTCTCAGTTTTAACAAAGAAGATAATGTCTTGGCTCCCTATAAAAGTTCTGCTTGCTTTTCTTTTTTTTCTCTTTTTTTTTTTTGAGACGGAGTCTTGCTCTGTTGCCTAGGCTGGAGTGCAATGGCGCAATCTTGGTTCACTGCAACCTCCACCTCCTGGGTTCAAGCAATTCTCATGCCTCAGCCTCGCGAGTAGCTGGGATTACAGGTGCTCACCACCTGTAATCACCACCGCCTGGCTAATTTTTGTATTTTCAGTAGAGATGGGTTTCACCATGTTGATCAGGCTGGTCTTGAACTCCTGACCGCAGGTGATCCACCCGCCTCTGCCTCCCAAAGTGCTGGGATTACAGGCATGAGCCAGTGCACTGGGTCACATTACTTCTTAACTTTCCTACGAGAAGCTCTCACTTATTGGAAGCACAGAGAAGAACTGATGGCAATAGGTGGCAATAATACTCTGCCTTTCCTAACTGAAATTCGAGCCCAGGGGGATAAAGGCCAGTTCAGATGGATTCTATGGAGAAAAAGAGCAGAAACACCACTCCAAGGGGCAGAGAGACTCCAAAATCACAGGCTAAAAAGAACATAGTTTTACTTTTAGAGGATGAATTGGAATCCTTTCTTACAAGATCAGGCTCTGTTTCTCAGGATGGAGAAGTAAAAGAGTAAACTGTCCACGTAATTAGATTGCTTGGTCCAGTAGATCTCTTGGATACTCAAATGGGCCTATCTGACTATTTCAACCTTTTGAGTTTCTGATTCATCCAAAGAATCAGAACATTGACTACCAATGAGAAAGCTTGCTCCCTATTCATTTTGGAACATATTCTACTGAAAGTGTCTTCTTTTCTTTTCTCTTTTTTTTTTTTTTTTTTGAATCAGAGTCTCTCTCTGTCACCAGGCTGGAGTGCAGTGGCATGATCTCGGCTCACTGCAACCTCTGCCTCCCGGGTTCAAGTGATTCTCGAGCCTCAGTTCCTGGATAGCTGGGGTTACAGGCACCTGTCACCATGCCCAGGTAACTTTTTGTATTTTTAGTAGAGACAGTGTTTCACCATGTTGGCCAGGTTGTCTTGAACTCCTGACCTCAAGTGATCCACCCACCTCGGTCTCTCAAAGTGCTGGGATTACAGGCATGAGCCACCCCACCCAGCTGAAAATCTCTTCTAAAAACATTTGAGCCACTGCTTTTACAAATACAGCTATCAAATAGTTTTGACAAGCAAAATGCTTGGATATATAGCTCTCCAAGGTACTAAACCAAATCCCTGAACTATTAACCAAAAACAGTTGATAGGAGAAAGTTTTGCAACAGATAGTGTTTCCAGGAAGATCTGGGCAAGAAAGATTATACATTTATCCAATGTTCTACTATGTGGATTTTAGGCCAATGCTATTTGACATGACTGTTTTCTATTCTGCCTAACTATTCTCCTTTTGAGGTTTCTCTTCTGATGTAAGGTGTGGGGAGGGGTCTCCTGAATTTCTGGATAACGTTTGCTTCTCTTCCCTTATTCATGGTCCTTGGAGTGTGCCTGATACCTCTTTTTTTTTTTTTAAGGCAGAGCAACATACACTGCTCCTTGGCTATAATTTTTTTCCCTGTTATATTCAAAGTTGAGTCCAATCCCTCTCCCCGACTGCAAAATCCCATGGCAGTGGTCCCTATACCTATTGCAATGGTCCCAAATAAAACCTGCCTTACCGTGCTTGAACAAGTGTCATCGAATAATTTTTTAACAGCAAATTGTTGGAGGTAAAGACATTTTTAAATGTCTTCAATTAGTTTAGCTACTTCCAAGTATTTTTTTTTTTTTTTTTTTTTTGAGACAGAGTCTTGCTCTTGTCACCCAGGCTAGAGTGCAGTGGTGCAATCTTGGCTCACTGCAGCCTCCGTCTCATGGATTCTAGCAGTTCTCCTGTCTCAGCCTCCTGAGTAGCTGGGATTACAGGCATGCACCACCATGTCTGGCTAGTTTTTGTATTTTTAGTAGAGACGGGGTTTTGCCATGTTGGCCAGGCTGGTCTCAAACTCCTGACCACGGGTGATCTGCCCACCTCGGCCTCCCAAAGTGCTGGGGTTACAGGCATGAGCCACTGTGCCCAGCCCACACTTACCCTCTTTACCATCTTAATGCAGAGGCTGTGAAACTTTTCTGCACATCCAGATTGCCTGGTGTCTGGACCTTACATAAGGCAACATCCATCAGACACAGTCTTCCGACAAGTTTGGACTTTTGGCCAAGGTGGTTTGGTGAATCCACACTTGGACAACACCCCACTGCTCCAAACACATAGCAATGATAGATAAAATATTAAATAGGTAAATCACAGCTAGGCACAAGAAGCTAGCTGACCATTTCGATGAATGAGCAGGGAGCCAAAAGCTGAAGGCTGTGGGTGAGGTTTCTGCAATGTCCTGCTGTACCCAAGGGACAAAAGCAGAGGTCAAGGCCAGATGCGCAGCTCCTATGTAGTAATGGCTCTAAAAGAGCTCCACATGAGAAAGGAGCAATCAGAGCCAGGCTCTGCTTGAATGGAGAGTCCTGGCTCAAGAAATGAGGTTGGAAAAACAAATGGCTGATGCCTTAGTTCCAGGAGCCATGGCTTTATAAAGCCTTGAGGGGCAGGGAGAGGATAAGTCTTCATAATCAATAATTAACTAAGCTTCACGTGGGTCCCTAAATACTGGATCGGCAGTATGCCCTCAAAATTGAGCAGAAATTTCCTCAAGATGTCATTAGAAAACCTGACTAGATGGGAAGGTTAGAGGGACAAGGTGGAGATGACTTCAAAACCATAAAACTATTAGGGAGGGGGAGAGCGAGAGTGAAAACAAAACTAAAGGAACTAATGTTAGGCAGCACAATGAGGTGACTATAGTTAACAATCGTATTTTATATTTCAAAATAACTAAAAGAGTGGAATTGGAATGTTCCTAACATAAAAAATGATAAATGCTTGAGGCAATGAATATCTCCATTACCTTGATTTGGTCATTACAAGTTGTATGATTGCATCAAAATATCAGATGTAACCCATATGTATAACTATTATGTATCAATAATAATTAAAAATTTTTTAAAAATTAAAACCACAAACAAGCAAACAAACAAAAAAGACCTTCCACTGAAAATGAAGGCATGAGTTGAATTCCAAAATATTTTAAGATTGCTAATACATAAAAAGCGTGGGAATGTATTTCTCTTACAGTAACAATGCAGAAGAATGAGCAAAAACAAAGGACCATCTGGGACCCAGGAGTCCACACAGATGGCACTTACTCAGCAATGAATCTCAAAGTGAATGCCCTGGTGGCTGGAAAACTAAAAAGCCTATCTCCGTGAAAGGCACAAAAGGAACTCTGCCAAAGTCATAGAGAGAGGGTTCCTCAATATGTGAAATATGTTTAGCTTTTCTAATAAAACCAGTTAACCCAAGAGTGCTTAGGAAGCAAATTCTGACATCTAAATGAGATTTCTTAGGTGTCAGTCTAGTGTGCCTTAGCCCAGCATTGTACTCCTAAAAAAACCTGCAAGCAGCCCTCTGAGAAGGAGGCTCAACATTGGCCTGGCCCTGCAAAAACATGTTGGGGAAGCTCTGGCCATTGCAGTGAAAATCAATTCATCAGACACTTTGACCAGCAACCTGTACAGATCTAAAGGCCATCCCAAGACGGCCTTTTTTTCCAGAAGATTCTGATTTTCTCAAAGAAGATTCTGGGCTTTCTTCCTTCTCCTCCAGAATTGGAACCCACAACTGACACCTGTATCTGAGTCTCAAGCCAGAGACCACAGCTTTCATTTTTTGAACATTGACTATTTACCAGGCACGGTGCCTAATACTTTCTTTATGCATTTATTTCATTAAAACATAACAGCAAGAATGAGTTTGGTACTATTATTATTCCCATTTTATAGATGAAGAAACTAAGGCTTGGAGAGGTTAAGAAATGTGCCTCAAGATGCACAAATGATAGATCTGGATTCAAACTCAGGTCTTTCGTATTGTAGCATGTTCATGTGTCATCTCTTCATTCTACAATATTTACCAGGAATGGCCAGGCTCAATGTATAGGCCCAACTTCTTTTTATAGAATCTTATTTTATTGAACTTCTGCTTTCAATGCAAAAGCATAATTTCTTTTAAAGCTTCAGGCTTCTGTCTCAATTTGACTAATGAAATGTTTAAAGCTATTCTTTTTGCCTTGGCAAAACAAAACAAAACTAAACAAAACAATCACTTCGCCCTCAATAGCACTCAATAGTCTTGGTATGAAAATAAACATGGTAGAATTACTGCCTGTAAAAGGCATTGAGATACAGGCCTCTTTCTAAATTCCAGGAGATGGCTGCATTTAAAAATTATTCCTGAAGGAAGACTAAATTATAAATCTGTAAATCAAAGCAGAAGGATATATGCTTACCATTATTTAGCTCAATCTATTTATCACTTCAAGGATTTTTAAAAATAGTTTTTAAGAACTGTACCTATACTTTATTATGGCCAATGCTCAAAAAATTATTGAGTTGGCAGCAATGCCACCAGGTCACTGGAATGCAGAGGAAGGCATCTGTTTGACATGGTGCTGACTATTGGCAAAAAAGGGCTTCTGAACATATCGATCAGCCAAAGGGGTAGCCTGTTGCTTAAAGGGCAGTTACAGCTGCTTATGGATGAGTCTACTGTTACAAAACCAGCAAACAAAGGGAAAAACTGGTTCAGAGAAGCTGCTTCAGGAATATACAGCTTGCACAAGTTCTCTCCACAAGCCACCAGTTAGTTGGAAATATGATGGGTACCCATCCTAATAACATAGCAAGTTCCCCTCCAATGATGTGGCTGGCAGGCTCATGCCGGCCGGACGGCGGGCAGCCTGCTATCCATACTCAAAAAGGTGATTCTCTCTAGTAGACTTTAAGAAAGGGTCAGACTACTGTTTTCTCAGATTAGAATCATGAGCTGCCAACTGGTAGTCTAATCAAATCCAGCTCACTGACATGATCATTTGGCCAGGCCAAACCTTGAAAGCTTTAGACAAGGCATCTGCTCTGAGTTTGCCAAAGTTTCCACCACTCCCAATTGTCTCACATTGAGCTACACACACTTACATGGCCTGCCTGGCTCCTGAAAGCATTTGGGCCCAAGTCAGCAGAATGGCCTGCTGACCTCTCAAATCCCTTGCAGACTCATGACTCTATAAAGAAAGGGTGGTATGTCTTAATACAGCATAGAAAGGGGGAAAGGTATAGGTTGGATCTTAATGAGCTGTTCTTATAGGCTAGCAAGGGAAGCACCCTTTGCAACTCAAAAAATTTCCTCCGTAGGCTGTTTGGGATTCATCAAACAAGTATTCTAGGCTCTGCTTGACTTAAATTTAAATTAATAAGCATTTCTTTAGTAATACGACATTTGTTAAGTTGGGTTACTTCTTATCAAACATGTATTGATTGCTTCCATGAAAGACGTAGAAATCTTGTCAAGGTCTTCCTCGTAGCTCCCAGAACACTACTGAGTACTCAACAATTGTTTCTAGAATAAATACATGACCAGATAAGTGATGGATGAATCAATAAACAGTGTGGTCCAGGCAGGGCCAAAATTCCTAAAAATGCCTAAAAAGCATGTTACTTTTTTCTCTCATGAATCAATTTCTGCCTGATCTCCTTAAATAGCCTAATGAAAGTTTAGTTTTCTCCTACGAAAGTACACTTGCCATCTAGTAGTTTTATTTTTTTAAAGAGTATTAACACATAGGCTTTAGATTAATTGAGAGAATGATTCTTTTTCACCATTCTGCTTTTGTCTCCTTATCCAGGACTTCATTGAAAAAAGAATTGGAGGTGACCCCAATTTTTCAGATCAGCTTAGGACACCTAGAGCAAAGCGCTGAGTACCCAGAGGGTCATCAATAAATGCCTGACTGATTTAACTGGGGACTGACCTCTCTGACTCCTCCCACTGCCATCATTGTTCTAAAAGAGTCAGGGGTGAGATGCTATCTAAATTTAATTACAAAGGACTAATCTACTATGTTTACTATTCACGCCACTAAACCTGGAACAGATAACAGAAAGCATCAATGCCAGCCATTTAAATGGCTCTAGGTGGACTTGTTAGGACCACAGCAAACACTTAGCTAGTCTTTGAGACATGAGGTCTAGTGATTCCTCTAAGGGGGTCATAGAAAGTTCCTGGGAGCCATAAAAAAAGGAGATAAAACATCTGCATCTGATACGAAGGACAAAGCCAGGAAAGGCACTGGATAACAGTCAAGGTTAACCAGGTTCTAACATATCCACAGGGACATAGGCCAGGAAGGGGAAGCCATGTGGTTGTTCTTAGAGAAGTGCTTTGCCATCAGATGACTGCGATCCCTCCCTGGCCCACACTTCTGCTTTTACTTTCCTTTCCTATTATCTTTTCATCAGTATTAGTTTCCTGTTGCTACTGTAACAAATTACCACCAATTTAGTGGCTTAAAACAGCCAAAATTTACTCTGATGGTTCTGGGTCAGAAATCCAAAATTAGTCTTATCTTGTAGGGCTCAAATCAAGGTGTTCTGAAGGGCTGCATTCCTCTGGAGGCTCTGGCTTGGTCTCTTCCACCTCCTAGGCTCAGTTGCATTCTTTGGTTACAGCCTCATTGCTCCAAAATTTGTCTTCATTGTCACATTGCCTTCTCCTCTTTTAACCTTCTTGTCCCTCTTATAAGGAATCCTGTGATTACACTGAGCCCAGCCAAATAATGTAGGATCATTTCGCCCAGGATCATTAAGTCAACATCCTTAACGTCTTCACATCTGCAAAGTCCCTTTTGCCATGTAAAGTAACATATTCACAGGTTTAAGGGGTTAAGATATGGTTCTTTTTTGGGGGCGCGGGGGGCATTCTTCGACCTACTATATCATCACTGTCTTAACAAACTACATGCATCAAGTCACCTTAACTAAAGTTGCCTCTCCCCAGGAACAGGCTCAGAAACAGCCAAAGCCCCCACCGCTACTTCCGTAGGTGCACCTGAAGTCTTGCGTGCTGAGTAACAGGTAGAAAATATGGCAGGTGGTAGGAGGAGCATCAGGAAGGGCACCAGCAATGGGCTTTGAGCAGGTAATGAAAGAGAATTTCTCAGGATAAAATGGTAGCGAAATTATAAAAAAGAATGTCAATATAATGGACCTGGAGGATTTCCAATAATCTAGCTCTATATGGCATTCCAAAGCCTGGGTCCAGCATGTTCAGTGGCTTAAAGGAAGAAGTGTTTAGGTCAATGCTGAATAAAGACTTTAAAAACCTCTATGCTAGAACACAAATGGAACCATGTATTGTTTGAAGGGGGAATCAGATCTCCTTAATCCTTTTATCACTGGCTCCCATCAGGAAAAACAGACAGCAGAAGAGGAATCCAAGAGTCCAGGACAAATTACAACTGAACTCTGCAAAGATGACATATGTAATACACCTTATTCCAAACATGTTTGCTCACATTTGGCATGTGGGTTGTAGAGAGTAGGGATTTCACTTTATTTTTAGGATGGTCTGTGGGTAGAGGATGATATTCACCTTGAATAAAAGAAATCACATTTAATGAAAATGCATGAGGTCTTTACTACTCACCTGGAAGCCAGTATTATGTTTCCGTACAACTGCTCAAGGCAAAAAAGCAAAACCACTGAGATACCCTAGACCACCTCAATATTCCTTCAAGGGAGGGACAGCAAGCAGCTCACGAATGGTATGTCTTTCATTTCTTGGAGGCTAGGTTGAGCAACTATCTTCCTGGAAGTCATTCCTGTCCCTCCCTACAATGGGTTTTCCCAAGAGAATGTGTTCTTCCACAGTGTGGAGCGTGAGAACACAGAGGGGAAAATACATGCCAAGTGTAGAAAGATCCAGAGTATAGAGCAGAAGAATGTGACCTTGATGTGCATACTGGGAGCAGAAACGCAGGAGGGAAGGAGGCAGGAGGGCTGTGCTGGCAGCAATAGGGCTGTTGCAAGACACAGGCAGAAGGCAGATGGGGCTGCTGGCCAGCAAGTAAGTTCACAGGACTTTCAGCAAGGGCTGCAGAGCCCTAGCAACAGCCCCAGAGTTGGACGCCATGATTCTTTTTATTTTTATTTTTATTTTTTTTGAGATGAGGTCTCACTCTGTCACTCAAGCTGGAATGCTGTGGCACGATCACAGTTCACTGCAACCTCAAACTCCTGGGCTTAAGCGATCCTCCTGCCTTAGCCTCCCAAGTAGCTGGGACTACTGTCACATACCACCACAGCCAGCTAACTTTTTTATTTTTAGTAAAATGGGGTCTCACTATGTTGCCCAGGCTGATCTCAAACTACTAGGCTCATGTGATCCTCCCACCTTGGCATCCCATAATGCTGGGATTACAGGCATGAGCCACAGTGCCCGGCCTGATGGCTGTGATTCTTACACAGAGTTTTGGTGTTTTCAAAAACATTCACTTGTCGAAAACCTATTATATTATCCACTCAAAAACACTGGCTGTTAAGCATTTATTACTGATATTCTGCTAACAATCTGGGGATACAAATATAAGTAAGAGTGTCTCTCTCTTAATGCAGTTCAGGTAAATGTGAGCCTCAATAACAAGATCACCACCAAGAAATAAACCTTCTGAGAAAGGACGACCCGCTTAGTTAGCCGCTCCCAACTTGGAAAACAGAACATACGCTAAAAAGACACCAAATGAAGACCTAGAGGAATAAAGGGACTCACAGATCTGGCTTGCTGGGGACAACAAAAGTATTTTTCATGGCCAGTTTTGCAGGCCTGAGGATCAAGATTCAATTAACATGTGGATAGTGCTATAAAATATCTGTAATTCATTTGAGATAGTTAAATTACTTAATAAGCATAATGATTAGTAAATTATCTAAATTTATAGAATCTCCGCCAACTGAATCATTCTCAAGTGTTCTTTTATTCTTTAAAGTACTATTTTAAGAGTCTCCAGTAGATAGTGCTTATACGAGAAATAGTTTGAACCATAGAAAAACTAAAAAGGAACAAACTTTTCCCTAAGTGACGCTACCTATAACCCACCCAACTCAGTAGACAGGAAGGGAGAAGGAAAAGGTTAAAGGATTAATGTTTAAATAGCACCATCAGCATGTAATGATTCACCAGTGTGTTTATCTTTGGAAAGCTAAATTAAGTAGAACATTCTGGTAACATTCTTTATTTTTATTCTAACAGCACTTTTTTCTCTCTTTAAAAACAACAACAAAACCACCTCTAGTCCTCTTCACGAAAGAGGGCTGGGTACTGGAACTAATGTAGGACTCTGTTCCCTTGAAATTTGGATACAATTTTAAATTTGTCATCTAAAATGTGGCTATTGAAATAAAATACATGGCATGGAACTTCAAGTGAGCATCAGTTTCTCAAGACACACCTTATAGCTTGCTCTGTGAAAGTCTGAATTAAAAATATGTTAGCTCATCAGTCATTTGAGTCTGGAAACATTTAAATAATTAAGCTCCAAATGCAGTCAGCACCATAGAATTCTCATGACCCAGGCCTTGCCTGCTGTGCTTCAACAGGATTGAAAAACTCCCCCGGAGCCAAGTAAATGTGGCCCAAATCCCTGCATTTTGGTCGAATGCTGGAAATAAAGTTACCTTTACTGTTAAAAAGCTAGAAAATCAGAAACCTGTCATGTACACTTCTCCCTTTACCTAATTAGCCTTTAGTGTGTCATTTGACATACTTAACTTAGTTCATATATATTTTAGTGCCCATCCTCTAATTGAACTTTTTAATAAGCAACATCATTCCTCGTCCATCTATATTTTGCATCAAATGCGTCACACCTTATGAAGGTGTCTAAATTTGTTCTTACTATGAGAATCTAAAATTGTCTTGCTTCTAAAACCTGGTTTGAAGATCTAACAGAAAAAGACTGATTTTAGGAAGCTGTATGTTATTCATAAAATCATTATGTAACAGTCTTCATTTCAGAGCTTCCTTCAGCTGATGTGTTTATACAAAGGAGCTCTGCTAAAACAAGCTGATTAGAATAAGAGGGCGCCTATGATGTCAAACATCCCCACAGACCTGACTCACCCCACCTGACAGCAACGGCAGCCAGCAATTCTGACCTGGTTAATGAGAGCAAAACAGGGCCAAGCACTTGGTAGCAGCTCCAGCCCAGTCTCTGTAGCTCAGGCTGTTGGTTCCAGATCCATGGACGGCAAACTCTAGAGGAAGCCCATGTGCGGCTGGCTAGGTATAGGCCAAGGCCAGCACTGAGGCAGAAGCCTGGGCTTGCTCCCTGGACCATAATCAAATCAGGGGCATTCCTTACTTCACTTCCCCTCCAGTAGCAGCAATACCCAGTTTTCATTCAGTAGAGAAGGAGTGGGGCTGAATCTCCACCAATCATCGTGGATTGTTTCCATATTCCACCAGGATACTTACATTGGTTCTCAACACAAATAATTAGCCTTTAATGGTTTTTCAGGTGAACAGCTCTCAAACACACTATTTTCTTGAACAAATTCATTCCACTGACACTCACTGAGTGCTGGCATAAGCCAGGCATTGGGCAGAGCAGTAGGGACTCAACAGTCAACAAGACCCTGCTCTGAGACATCATAGTGTGGTGGGGGGATAATACACATGCAATGTCAATGGTTTTCATTCATAGTACAGGTCGACTGTCCCTTATTCAAAATGTTTGGGACCAGACATAATGAGATCTTTTGGGGATGGGACCCAAGTCTAAACAGAAAATTCATTTATGTTTCATATACACCTTATACATGTAGCCTGATGGTAATTTTATTCAACATCTTTTAATAGTTTTGTGCAGGAAACAAAGTTTGTATATATTGAACCATCAGAAAACAATGGTATCACTATTTCATATTGGTTCTCAAAAAGTTTCAGATTTTGGAGCATTTCACATTTCAGATTTTCAGATTAGGGATGCTCGATCTGCAACATGGATAAAAACAGACAACTGGAATATTCTTTTAAAAAACTAGGGCTAGTTTACAGCCTTACATCCACAGTAGGGACAGCAGAGAAAAAGTATGCATTAGAATATTGTCAAATACAAGAGCATGGAGAAATGGTTGCTATTATCATAGAACTTGAATGTCACGTTTGTGTTTTTGAAGTGAGATAACATAGAGGAAGGTGTCCAGTACAGGGCCTAACACATTCACTATTTCCCTATAAGCTCCTCGTGGGCATTCAATATTTAAATGAATCAATACTTTAATCAGATAATGTAGGAATCATCTTATAAACATTTCAGTGATCTACATTTACAGATCTTCTACCTCTGAATATAAACAAAATTATGAAGAACTTCTATAGGACTTCTATAGATAAAATTAGGTTTTACTTAAATTGCTTAACCAAAGTTTCTATCATTTGGCTTTTGAATGAATTAATACCCATTCAAGATATGAAAAGAATATGTATCTTTAACCCCAAAATAAACTTGCTGTGCTGTTACTGCTGAACTAAGAGTCTCTTCTGTAACTATTTGAAGCAGAAATGAAGATATGCCAATAATCTCCAATAAACATCCTTCCAGTTTCAACTGAGATACCTTTTTTCTAGAAAGTATTCTCTGGCCTACCGAGACCAGTTAGACACCCCCTGTGTTTCCTCCTTGAGATCCTGACCTTCCATCACCCTAACACTTACCCACTTACCATATGGCATAGCAACTGTCTGGCCACTGCTCTGCAGCCCCCACAGGACTTCCTATGAGGACAGGGCCATAATTTGCTTTGAATTCCCAGCATCTAATACACAACCACACAACCTGATGCCTAGTGGATGTTCAATAAATACCTGTTCAATGAGTTTAGATGTGAAATGGAATTTTTCCTCTCAAATAGATAATCTCATGGGGGTTCCTTTTTTTTTTTTTTTTTTTTTTTTGAGGCAGGGTCTTGCTCTGTCACCCAGGCCGGAGTGCAGGTGCAGTGGCATGATCTCAGCTTACAATAGTATCGACTTCCCAGGCTCAAGCGATCCTCCCACCTCACCCTCACAAGTAGCTGGGATGTGTGTCACCATGTCCGGCTATTTTTTTTTATTTTTTGTAGAGACAGGGTTTCGCCATTTTGCAGCCTGGGTCTCAAACTCCTAGGCTCAAGTAATCTGCTCGCCTTGGCCTCCCAAAGTGCTGGGATTACAGGCTTGAGCCACCGTGCCCAGCCCAAGGTTGGGATTCTTAACAATAGCTAATTTGTGTAATGTAGACAATGAATATGGAATGAACTGGGGATGGAACCCAAGTCTAAGTAGGAAATTCATTTATGCTTCATATACGCATGGCTTTATCGATGAGATGGACAGACAGAGGGAAGGACATTACTAGGTTAATGGAAAGAGCATAAACAAACGACCGGAAAGAGGATGAGTGACCAAATCAAGGGAATGGCCCCTATAGAGTATTAGTCGATGTGAATAGCGCCCCCTGGAGTACAAGTCCTAGTGTGACTGGGACATCTTGGAATTAGGATTTCCATCCAAGGCTTTGGATGGAAAAATCTCAGTTAATTGGGGTTCCCTACCTCTTCTTAGGCTTACCTTTTCCTGAAATTGGGTAAAGCTCTAGAAAACTTACTAAACAATAGTAAACATGCAGGGGATCTGGATGGAGAGGATGGTTCATCTTACCATTGGTGTTATCCAAGCCTGCCCATTACATTTGTAGGGACTGGGGCAAGTACACAAATGGAAGCCCCCATCCCATATGCCTAAATATTTAAAAGCTGTAAATCAAGCTAACGAACTATTAGTTACCATATGTTCTATCCTCCAGCCTTAACCAATACACCTTCATAATGATCTGGAACATGGTGGCACTGAGAGAGTTGGCTCCTGGCCTGAAGCACCCACTCCTCAGAGCACCACCAGGTCTGTCCCATTGTGTCAGAGTCTGCATGCACCTCTCATATCCACAAATGCACTTCTGTCAACACAACCCACAAACAGCCATGCCCAGGCTAACCCTCGGGTCTAGGAAGACCAGAAGTACAATCTGCCTTCAATCTCCTAAAAATAGATCTAGGGAAGTGGCCCAGGAAAACCTGGAAGTGGACAAATTCCCTGTTTGAGCCAGGAATTCTAGGGCCCAAAGTAACCAAAACATGGCATAGGAAAGGATGTCTGGGTTCCAGGTGGCTCCACATTCCCTACCCTGGGAGAGATGGATAATTGGAGGAGGCCAAGGTGGCGCCCAGAGCAGGGAGGCCCCTTATGCCCACATGTCAGTGCAGCATTGGGATCGTCATCTATCGCCACTGGAATTCTCTGAGATGTCCTCAATTCCATTTGGCCTTCACAGCCCTAGGCAAGAGGTTCATGGAGGTCACTGTTGTGTCATGCCTCCTTCCTGAACTCACAGCAGCCTCAGGTCTGCGGCCTCTCTGGGCTGTGTTCATGCTGCTCTTGGAAACACATAACCCCTGGCTGGGAAAGGACCACCTTAGTCCCTCCTGGTCTCATATGCTCTTTCTCTGCTCCTGTAACAAGCTGTGGAACAGGGAACTTGATGACACTCTCCTTGGCCACCTACCTGGAACACCTAGAAAAAAACAGGAAGTTTCTCTTTCTTTCTCAACATGCTTGATGCAGGGTCATTCCAGAGTGTCCTAAATGTACCCTGGAATGGCCCACCTCCATGCTTATCTCTAAAGAATTCTTCCCACCTTTTATCTTATGCCTGGCCTACACTTTTGAAATTCAAAAGTCAGGAGCTGACTTCATTGTTCTCTGCCTTCAGCTCTGTCACGTATTCCCAAGCAAATGAACGTGGAATGTCTTGGCTGATGGGGCAAAAGGAAGCATCACAAGGCACAAAGAATTACAGAAAAAAAACCTGTTAATATTTCAAAATATTGTCTCAAATACTTACATAAAATTATCATAAGAAATGCTGTATTTTTATACAAGTACAATTCTACTTGGCCGACTGTTGGTAGGATATACACGTCGAGTTTTCATGGTAGTGGGTATGGATTTGTTCTGCTTCATTTTTGGTCTCGGCCAGTCCATCTAGTGACACGCAGCATGTGCTGGCAAGATTGTCATTGGGATAGGGAATGGGCTGAGGCCACACAACAGGGCAAAATTAACCATCCACAGGAAGGTATCATAATAGACCCTTCAAGGGAAGGGTCTAGAGGCCTGAACTTCCTTAGCACAGAAATTCAGCTATTAAGACATAAGGCTTTTTCTTTCTTAGATCTTCAGATATAACATCTAAGACAGCGTGTTCCTGTACATAGAGAGATAGAAAGAAAGCCATTGAACTCCTGGAGTGATATTTAAACCTAAAAATTGCACTGAATGGTGTTCATTTGGTGTTTTCTTCCTTTCTCTTTTTCAATAGCACCCACTTGTGATTGCAAATGCCTAATTACTGTTCAATCTAGGATGCTGTAATTAGCTTTCTAACACTGATCTTACATTAAGTCATGTAAACAGCATGGAGGAGGTGAAATGCTATGTTCCTCTTGATGAGTGTCTTAAAATAACAGACTTAAGCAACCACAGGCTGACAGACATTTTCTGCAAAAGCACATTTGAAGTCACAGACTGGCATTCTCCTCTGAACAATTCCAGAAGCTCATTAGGCCTTGCATGAAACACTGTGATGTTTTTATGAATGTGGGTCCTCCATCTTCATGGTGGTGAGTTCCTAAAAGTCATCTGCAGCACATGAAAAGTTTTACTGACTGGAAGACCAAATACGGGGAAAATACCAAACTAAAAATCCATTTTATAAAAAGACAGATTTTAATGAACATAAGGCTACCTAAAATTCCACTCTTATGTAAATCAAATTTATTTTTAAGTAAGTAAAATTTTCTTTTATCACTAAGAACCAGTAAACTAACGAATTTTAAACTCTGCTACCATGAGTTTTAATTGCTGAGCACAGAGTTTTCGTGACTATAATATTCTGTAATAAATTCAACCTGGGCATGATCATTATATTTTTAGACACATTGCTGGGTTAGGTTACGTTTTGTTTAGGAATTTGCCATCTACTTTGATAATTGAGACTAGTCTGCCATTTTCCCTTCTCCTATTATCCTTGCCTGGTTCTAGAATGAGCTGGGATGTGTATCGTCATCTTCTATAATATGAAATAGTTTGCATAAGATTAGTGCAATGGACTGAATTGTGTCCCCTCCCCTAAATTTATATGTTGAAGCCCTGGCTTCCAGGACCTTGAAATGTGACTGTATTTGGAGATAGGGCCTTTAAAAGAGATGATGGTATTAAAATGAAGCTGTTAGAGTGAGCCCCACTTCAATCTGGCTGGTGTTTGTATAAGAAGAGGAAATTTGGACACAGAGACACCGGAAGTGAACACACAGAGAAAAGACCACCTGAGGATACAAGACGGCAGTTGTATCAGTCTGTTCTCGCATTGCAAGAACTACCTGAGACTGAGTAATTAATAAAGAAAAAAGGTTTCCTTGGCTCATGGTTCCACAGGCTGTACAGGAAGCATGACTGGGGAGGCCTCAGGAAACTTGGAATCATGGCAAAAGGCAAAGAGGAAGCAGGCACGTCTTACATGGCTGGAGCAGGAGGAAGAGAGCAAAGGGTGAGGTGCCCCACACTTTTAAACAACCAGATATCGTGAGAAGTCATTCACTATCATGACAACAGCAAGGGGGAAATCCACCCCCATGATCCAATCACCTCCCACCAGACCCCTCCTCCAACACTGGAGATTACAACTGGACATGAGATTTGGGTGGGACACAAATCGAAACCATGTCAGCAGCCATCTGCAAGCCAAGGAGAGATACCTAGGAAGAGACCATACCTGCTAACACCTTGATCTTGGACTTCCAGCCTCCAGAGCTGTGAGAAAATAAATTTCTGTTATTTAAGCCACCCAATCTGTGGCATTTTGTTGTGGCAGCTCTAGCAAACTCATACGATGAGAGTGATTTGTTCCTTGAAGGTTGAATTGAACTCATAAAATCTTCAGAGTCTTATGAAGCATTTTGATCATTGATTCAAATTAGCTAATAGTTATAGGTCTTTTTAATTTTTTATTTTGTCATAAGCCAGTTTCAGTAAGCTACATTTTTTAGGAACATATACATTTCATCTGTTTTCAAATTCATAGATATCAAATTGTTTATAATATCTTCTTGCTACCTTTTAATTTCTGCAACTTCTACAGGCTTGTTCCTTTTTATTTCTAATACTGTTTTTTGTGCTTTCTTCTCTCTCATGGATATTCCCAGGTGTGTCATTTTCATCAGTCTTTTCATAGAACTGACTTTTAGTTTCGTTGATCCTCATATATTTGTTTTCTATTTCATGAACTCTTACATTTATCTTTATTACATTCTTCCTGCTTTCTTTGGGTAGATTCTGAGAAAGCCTTACTCTGAGGACTGACATTTGGGACATCTGGTTTTCAAACTCTGCTCTGCAAGACCCTAGTGACACTCTGGTGGTGTCTCAGAGGTTACTCTGGAGAGCCACTCATACCTTTGAGAATGTTCAGATCTTTTCATCAAAGCGGCTCTACTTTGATCAGTTGGGCTTCCGTAAAATTTGGGGAAAAAAGGGTTCCATTTTCTAAAAATGAAATGTTCTCAAAAATTTGAAGATTATTGAATGACCAGGCCAATGAGGTTTGTTTCTCCAACATCATAATGTTTAGTACTTGTAGACACTTATATTTCTATTGACAACATACTGGAGTTACTAAGTACCACCTTATAGCTAGGGAAAATCTTTCCATATTTGTCAATGCCAGAACCCTTTTAAATTGGGATCCTGTAATTCTATCTACTTGTATAAGATCAATGATCTTAAGTATAAAAAGGCTTTAGAAGATCTTTCACTGCCAGTAATATTTAGAATTTGTGCTGAGCATTAGACTAGTATTTTATTTTATTTTATTTTATTTTATTTTATTTTATTTTAGAGACAGAGTTTCACTCTTGTTGCCAGGCTGGAGGGCAATGGCACGATCTCAGCTCACTGCAACCACTGCTTCCCGAACTCAAGCAATTCTTTTGCCTCAGCCTCCTGAGTAGCTGGGATTACAGGCATGTGCCATCACGCCTGGCTAATTTTGTATTTTTAGTAGAGACGGGGTTTCTCCATGTTGGTCAGGCTGGTCTCTAACTCCTGACCACAGGTGATCCGCCCGCCTCAGCCTCCCAAAGTGCTGGGATTACAGGTATGAGCCACTGCGCCCGGCCAATATTTTACTTTCAATAACCCTTCAGGTAGAGTTCCCATGGGATGGATGAAAAAGTAGTGAGTCTCAATTTCAAAATAGAAAACTCTTACCTTTAAATATCTCATTCATTTTTTGAATATGACCACAAAAAACTATCTCACCTTTTTTCTCAACAAACTCTGGACTTAATCATTCCACTTGCCCCAAGAATACTCACTGGCAGTGCTTGCGGCTGCAGTGTTTGCTCCAAGATAACTTTGCCACCAAATATCTTGCTTTTATTATTATTATTGTATCGCTCTAGTATGTTGACTTTGGAAATAAAAGACATTATTCTATTTACAACATTCTGTTTTTAGTAGTGGTATTTTCATTTACAAAATATAGTAATTCTTGATCGCTGAAAATGTCAAATCCTAGAAAACGTAGCATTCCTATGTCTATGCCTGATGTTAACATCGTTCTTGAACAGTTGTTGGCCGAAGATTCATTTGATGAATCTAATTTTTCCGAAATAGATTATTCTGATGATTCAGATGATTCTGATGTTAGTTCTGTTTAGAAATAAATCCAAGAAGTTTTTATGTTCTATTTTCACACTGAAAATCAGGAAACTTGCTTCAGCCTCAAAGAGCGTGTTTATGTAAAATTAAATGAACACTGGTAGTGAGCTGTACCTTTTTTTTCTAAACAGGAAAAGGGTTAATCTAATCTTATATGAGGAGCTAACAGGCTTTCGACACAATTAATCCATTATAGTTCACTGCCACAAACCATTTCATGTTACTGAGAGGTAAGTTAGAAACAACATCAGATTGTCTTTATTAATATAAAACTTTGGACAACATAATGAGGTAGGAGGCGGGACTCGACTTCAAAGGCTGGGGCTCGAACACTGGACCAGATTGAGGACTAGTTAAAATAGGGCAGGGCAGAAGCAGTTTTCAATTAGACACTCCCACCAGGGTGCCATGTCAGTTTACCAGTACCATGGCAACACCTGGGAGTTACCGCCCCTTTTCATGGCAGTGACCCAATGACCCTGGAGTTCTTATCTCTTCCCTAGAAATTTCTGCATAAACCGCCTTTTAATCTTCATGCAATTAAAACTGGGTATAAATATGACTGCAAAACTGCCCTGGGCTGCCACTTTGCCTACTGGGTAGCCTGCTCTGCAGCAGCAGTCACGGAGCTGAAACACTGCCTCTTCAATAACGCTGTTCTCTTCTGCCTTGGGGTTGCCTTTAAGTTCTTTCCTGGGCAAAGCCAAGAACCCTTGTGGGCTAAGCTCCACTTTGGGACTTGCCTGCTCTGCATCAATAATTTATCTCATATCAGCCTTTGATTCCATGGACAAAAATAATTTGTGGATTTATCTATATGATTTCACATAGATACTCTGTAAATGTTACTTGAATGTTGGTATCATCTTTCATTGCCAAAAAGTAAAGTGTGATGGTTTCGTAGAAAAATAAGATAAACAGTCAAATGCTGTACAGCAGGACTATTAGTTACAACCCTCTCTCTCCTTCTCTCTCTCTTTTTCTACACTTGCAGCCAAGTAATTTGATTTAACATTTAGAATAATTATCATGTCTTTCCACGATGGCAAATAGATGATCGTCTGTCTTCATGCAGTTGATGTGGACCAGGAGTGGTAATTAGCTGAACTTCCTAGCTAATTACCACCAGAAAAAAAATAACAATAACAAAAATCTCAATTGCTAAGATAAAAACTTCTCTTCCATTTAATATGATGCATAAGGCCAGGGTCTCATCCAAGCACATGATAATGTGTTTCCAAAGTTTATGGATTGTTTCAAAGAAGAAAAATAATGTGTCCCTGCCATGAAGTGCTAGCGGCCCCAGCTTAAAATCCCCTGCTGCTGGGCTCATCCACTTCCCGTTTAAACATTCAGCGCTACATTAATTCCCTAGCCAAATCTAATTTGAAACAGAAATTACCTAAGAAGTCTTATTCTCCCACATCATTTTGAGGAGCTGGGGGACAAAATTGCTCACAGAGTTCATTCGCACACAGGTATTTTTTGAGCACCTATCAGGTGCCACGCCTGGTGATAAGCAGGGAGGGTCTCTGCCTTCATGGAGCTTGCTTTCTGGTCCCAATTAGTCTTTTTCAGAACACAGTGTTCCCAAGATGACACCATCAGACTCCAGTATGTTCCCTGAGCTACAGGGCCACAGTATGGCCTCCTGCTTGGTATGCGGCACTGGCAGCTCTTGTTTCTGAATCCAGTTCCTTACTCCTGAAGCCCTAGGTTAACTGCAAACCTGGTTTCCTAGTTCCAATGTGTTGTTCTTGTGCTGCCTGGAATCTCAGCTTCTATTTTAACTGAGATTTGGCCCTGGCCAAGTCATTCTTTCCCTGAAGACTGGAATTCTGCTTCCAGCCTCTTCCTGGTAGCTGGAATCTTGCTCCAATGGACAGACCTGCTTCCTGACAGTGACTTCTTAGCTGGGTTTCCAACACCTTCTCTACCTCAAATTCCCTTCCTCCATATTCTTGCTGCCTCATGGTGCAGATGCAGTCTCTACCCCACTAAGCCCCCACTCTCTGTCCCTGTAGCCTGCTAGACTCTTCCACTGGTCCCCCTTGGTGTACGGGTCTACTGCCAGGCCTTGGTCCTGCCCGTCAACAACTCCATAATTGCTGCTTAAATAGTCATGTGTCCCCCAACAACTTGAGTTATGACAGCCAAGCCTATAGAAGGTATGACAGCCAAGCCTATAGCTTTTTTTTTTTTTTTTTAATCTGGGTAGGACCAGCCAGGGTCTTGGGGTTTAGAGGAGAATGCCAGCATCAGGGAAACTCTTCTCTCCCTCCCCTGCTTCCTAGCCTTATGTTCTTCTCCTCCCTGGTGCCCGAGTCCTAATCTTTATTACCTGCCCATTACTTGGGTCCCAAAGAAGGAAACTTCTGACCCGAACTCAGCCACTCCTTCTAACCCTATACTTGTCCCTCCTCATGACAGCAGTGGCTAAAATGATTACCCAGAGCCTGACACTCACTGGGCCAAGTTTTGTGTGTGAAGAGGTCACTGCACTGATAGACAATACACATTTGCTCATTTCCTACAAACAAGTAGTAGAACTTGACCAACATTTGTTGAATAGTTACATCAAATCCTATACATCAGGCTTGAGTTTGGACCTTCTGAGGTCTTCTAGGCTGAATGACAATGTACCTTAGGCTCTCCAGGGAATGCCATCAGTAAAGGCAGCCTGTTCTGATGTCATGACTATAGGGAATGTGATGCCTTATTTGAATTAGGCGCTGTTTGTTCCACTCTTTATCTTTTTTCCTCCAGAACTGAGGCTAGTTGATCTTCCCTTGAAAGTTCAGTCCCCCTGAGTAGCTAAGCCCAATCCTGTCTGTACAGTGGAGGGACTCAGGATGCCTCATCCAACACTCGGAGACGCAAAATGAAGTCTCTAGTCCATTGATCTCTGTTCATATTCAAGTCTCCAGTTTTCTGGTCCCAGTCCATGACGGGCCTCCAAAAGTACAACCACAGCCCCAAGAAGTGGTTCTAGTCAAGAGTTAACATCTTTAGCATGATGCAGGGTAAAAAGAATGTATCTCACAGGAGGTGGTGATGGGTCACAGCTGTTTGGCACAGCACAGTAGTGGAACATCCTGGCTTAGGAGGTATTAACAGCTAACAGGCAGACAGGGATATAGGCAACTTCAGGAAGATAGCCTGCCAGTGGGTAAAAGAGCCTCAACCACCATTTGTAAATCCATTGTTTTATCAAACTTTTATTATGAATATCCTGAGTGCTAGACACAGTGCTAGGAAGAAAAAGTGTAGAGATAAATAAGACACCGTCCCAGCACTCTAGACCTCTCAGAATTCTGGAAGTCCTCCTTTGAATGAATTCTGGTTATGCTAGGTCCCTCTCTGGGTATGATGCCTGGCACCTATTATAGTAGTCCAGGTATTTTCCAAACAATGAATCAACCAATCAACAAATGATAGTCTGGCATCTAGCATGTAGTGAGCAAATGTATTTCCACACCAATGTCCAAAGTCTTTGGGTGTATAACTGGCAAAATCAAGCTATCAGTTCTGGGAAAATTACAGTATTAGGCACATAATATCTACAGTCTCTACTTTAGCCCTCGCTCTCTCCATACTAACACACTGCCTTCCAGGCAAGACAAAGGTGTTGTACAGCTCTGTTGCTGCACCATTCAACAGTATTTGTATTCTATACACCCTTTTTCAAATTCTTGTCAGACTCTCTGCTTTTGTGATTAAGTACAAAAATATCATTGTGTCACTCAGCAACTTTAGGATAAACTTTGAGAGAGGATAAACCAATTTTTTACCAATCATAAAAGTGAGAAAGGGATCATATTGTCATTGTAAACGGTTCTGGGCAACAATCTGAGGACTGCTGCTAGCATGTGTTTCTGTAACCCATTCTCACATGGTATAAGTGCTTTCATTCACTAAATCATGGTTTAGTAAAAGGGACTCAATCTTCTGGGTTCCCAGAAATGGACGGATTGTGGAGGAATGCTCTTTATCACTACCGTGGCCATGGTGAATTCACAGATACCAAATCCTGGCTATTATGGCAAGAATGGTCGCCCCATCATTATATTCAAAGACAAGAATAGAAATTTAACTAAATTCTAAATTCTCTGAGAAGTCTTCATATCCAAAATAGAAAGACTCATTATGATGTTTCTAATTAAAGTATGTGAATGGTGATTGCATGTTTTAAGTGCTTCAGAGTTTGAAATTAAATTCTATTTGTGAAAGCTATTATTTATATATTTTTATACCTAAAATCTCTGTAGCCTTTTTTCTTTCAATACAACTGAATCCCTCAATAAAATCTTGGCAGAGCCATCAATTTTCTTATGCCCTTTTTCTGCTGCCAAATACATCACGTACCTACTTAAACAGAATGCTAGAAGAATGAAATAGTTTTGTTTAGCTAAATAATTTGGAGAGCTAAATACAGCCACATTTAGAAAGCATTTTCTTATCTTGCTCTTATTCTTTAATATTATATTGTAAACAAATTCCCATGTCATTAAAACTGTTTACAAATATGAATAATACCCTGTAATTTCTATCGTTTGTTTATTCATTTCCCTTTTCTTAGATATGAAGGTTGTTCCCAAGTTTTTTTTTTAATGTTATAAATGACACTATTTGAATATCATTATAAATCCATACCTGATCATTCCTCAGGAAAAAAGTTGCAGGAATAAAATTGCTAAATAAAAATGAATGACAGTTTTTAAGCTTCATAACTAAACAACCAAACTGTTTCCAGGTACCTGTCACTGGGTCAAATCACCTGCTTCCTGTCTTCCTGGTATCCTGCTTGTCTCTGGTAATTTAGAATCTAATTTTTCTACTATCTTATTTTCCTTCTGACTCACTCTCCTAGTGGCGTGTTTCCTAGGGTATTTTGTAATTTTGACTTCTGAACTCATGTTTAGTTGAGCAATGTATGGGAATTGCAGGAAACCTGGGCTGAGATTCTATTTCCAAAACGATTTGCTCTGAATTGTGCTGGGTGCCCCACAGTTCTCCAACTAGAACCACTTTCAATTATTAGTTTGGCTTGGCATTTACAGACCTAAACAGGTGGTATAAATTCTAGTGCCAAATCTATGTGAGGGTGTGGACTATGGTTATGAATTTTTATGAGAGTGATAGGTCTTTTTTTCTAGCTTTTCCTCATATTGACGGTACAGCCTTTTGTCCAGGGTTTATGTGACTCACTTAGGCATTAAGACCCAAGGCCTTCATGCCAATGCCCAGGATTCTGCCTTTTGCCATCCCCATGTATAACTGCAAAAAATAGACTGGGTTCATCTAAGTCTAGGCAAGGGCAGGATAACTTTCTTTCCTTTTTGAGGGGTGGGGAGGGGAACAGGGTTCTCACTCTGTCACCCAGGCTGGAGTGCAGTGGCGTGATCATGGCTCACTGCAGCCTCGACTTTCCCAGGCTCAGGTGATCCTCCTGCCTCACCCTCCTGACTAGCTGGGATTACAGGCACCCACCACCATGTCCAGCTAATGTTCGTATTTTTTGGTAGAGACAGGGTTTCATCATGTTGCCCAGCCTGGTCTCAAACTCCTGGACTTGAGTGATCCGTATTTGTCATGCAGCAATAGATAATTAATACACATATCCATTCATCCTTCCCGCCATTCCTCCTGTTTCAGTGGAAAAAGAGCTTCTTCTCCAGGCCACCGTCTGCAGAAAAGGTCCCTTCTCTCCTTCCCAGGTCTCACTGAGTAACCCCCAAACAAGCGCCCTCTCCGAGATCATGCCTGACTGGTGGGTTCCTTGTGCTCTTCCAGCACATCTGTCAGCTCACCTCCTTCCTTGTCTTGACCTCCCAAAGTGCTGGGATTACAGGCATGAACCACTGCGCCCGGTCAGGAGGATAACTTGATACAGTCATCTACATACCTCCCGGTCAATTACAGACATCTACAGAGTCTATGCCATAGTCAAAGGAGCAGAAACCAGGTAACCCTCATCCCCTGTCCACACGGAGACTTGAGAACAAGGGTAAAGTTCTAGAATATTGAGCCAAGCCCTGAGGTTGGCCTTGCCTTCAGTGTCTGCTTATCACTCTGGTGTCCAACTCCCTCTGGTTTTGGCCCTGAGGGATTTCCCACACTTTTCCAAAATGTTGGCTAGACATTTAAAGAATATATCTGTTTTTGAGCTCCTGATGTGTAGGTGTTCTGTAATGGAAGACTTTTATAGGATATCTGGTCTGCTGTGTTGCCAGAAATGGTCCCTTCTGTAATTTCAACACCTGGTGTCACTCTCTCTCCCACCCTAGAAGTTTTAGCACCCACCTCCCAGTTTACCTCCACCCTGGTTCCCTCAGCATTCTGGGTCACTTCATTTGTGTAGGTGACCCATCCAAAACCTAAGTCTCTTAATTATCTCACCTTCTTGTCTTCAGAGACATTTATCTTCACGTTCCTTCAGCCACCCACACTATGGAGGCCAGGACTAAGTGGCTCCCTTCTTTTATTTTTTATTGTTTTATTTTATTTTATTTTTTGAGACGGAGTCTTGCTCTGTCACCCAGGCTGGAGTACAGTGGCATGATCTCAGTTCACTGCAACCTCTGCCTCCCGGGTTCAAGCAATTCTCCTGCCTCAGCCTCCCAAGTAGCTGGGATTACAGGTGTGTGCCACCACGCCCAGCTAATTGTTTGTATTTTTTGTTTTGTTTTGTTTTGTTTTGTTTGAGACGGAGTCTCGCTCTGTCGCCCAGGCTGGAGTGCAGTGGCACGATCTCGGCTCACTGCAAGCCCCGCCTCCTGGGTTCACGCCATTCTCCTGCCTCAGCCTCCAGAGTAGCTGGGACTACAGGCGCCCGCCACCAAGCCGGGCTAATTTTTTGTATTTTTAGTAGAGACGGGGTTTCACCGTGTTGGCCAAGATGGTCTCGATTTCCTGACCTCGTGATCTGCCTGCCTTGGCCTCCCAAAGTGCTGGGATTACAGGAGTGAGCCACTGCGCCCGGCCCCAAGTTGACTCCCTTCTAAAGGGATGGGATATCACTTTTGAGACGAAGCTATAGAAAGATCATGACTCCCATCTTGCTATCCCTCTCTTGATTTTCTTTCTGGCTCATGCTGAGAGAAGACAGTGGTCATGTTGTGAGCTGCCCTATGGAGAGGCCCACGTGGCAAGAAACTGAGGGTGGCCTGCAAAACAACAGCCCATGGGGAACTAAGGTCCCCAGTCCCACAGCTCACAGAAAACAGAACCCTGCCAACAACTACGTGAGTCAGCTTGGACGCAGCTCCTCCCGGCAGAGCCAGGAGATGACTGCAGCCCTGGCGCATACCTTGATTGCAATCTGGGAGAGATCCTGAGCCAGAGGGCCCAGCTAAATGTGCCTGGATTCCTGACTCACAGAAACAATAAATGTATTTCCTAAGCAGCTACACTGTAGGGTAGTTTTTCATACAGCAATAGATAATGAATACACACCCACTCATTCTTCCCGCTGATCGTCTCGGTGCAGTGGAAAAGGGTCTTCTCCTCCAGGCCACCATCTGCAGAAGAGGCCCCTTCCGCTCACCTTCCCAGGTCTCACTGAGTGACCCCCAAAGAAGTGCCTTCTCTGAGATGGTGCCTTATTGGGGGGGTTCCTTGGGCTCTTTCATCACAGCTGTCCGCTCGCCTCTTTCCTTGTCTCTCTTATATATGAAAATCTACTTAAAAACTACACACATAATAGGGCAATTTGCTAAAATGGGCATTTTTGCTGGTTTGGGGGATGTTTTGTTGTTGTTGTTGTTTTGTTTTCTACTAAAGACTCATCCTCCCTGCAAAGCAAAATGTTTTCCTTCCTTCAACCAGGACCTCTCTTGGCCCATAAGTCTCCTTTATGCAAATTTTTTGACAATAAAAATAGTATTTTATTTCCCCCACACTTTCCCTCCTCCAACAACCCCCAGTACACCTTTCCCTTCTTGTTCACACAGCTATGTTACAATAAGAAAAAAATAAGTTTTGGAGCAGGTCACAGTGGCTCATGCCTGTAATCCCAGCACTTTGGGAGGCCAAGGTGGGGGGATCACTTGAGCCCAGGAGTTCAAGACCGTCCTGGGCAACATGGCAAAACCCTATCTCTACAAAAAACACAAAAATTAGCCAGGTGTGGTGGCATGCACCTGTAGTCCCAGCTACTCAAGAGGCTGAGGCAGGAGGATGGCTTGAACCCGGGAGACGGAGGTTGCAGTGAGCTGTGATCACGCCACTGCACTCCAGCCTGGGTGCCAGAACAAGATCCTGTCTCAACAACAAAAAAAAAAGTTTTGGGGGCAGGATTATGAGGGTAGAGGGGATATGGGTAAAAACACAAATCACAATAGGCATTTTTGAAAATACGTTATTCCACTTGGTCATCGTCTTCTCCCTCATCTTTGAGCTGCTTTCACTTCTGACTCCTTTCTTCTTCACCAAGGTCTTCTTCATCTTCTTCATCATCTACCTCTCCATTGTTATAATCGTCTTCATCCTCCTCTTCTGCACTCATGTCCTCCTCTTCTCCTTCCTCCTCCTCCTCCTCCTCATCCTCTCCTCATTGTCCAGGCCCTCCACGTAGCCCTCAGCATCCAAGTCAACAGCAAATTTTTTTAAAAGGTCCTTTTCCTCCTTTTCTTGTTGGCAGGAGTGATTTTGTACCCAGCTTGGCAAGCAGGGTATGGGCTGCATTTCGGCCCCATTCTTCCCCACAGTCAATGCTCTTGAGCAGTGAACAACCTACACATCCTTCCATGGCTACCATGCTCAACCTTTCTTATGGGGAAAGCCTAATGCCACGTATCTATTCTCTTGACTTCTGGCCTCCCCTGCCTCCCTGAGGAAAGTTAAGGGCCAAGAAGAGTTGAATCAAACTAGATCATCCTAGAAGGGGAAACATGGAGGATGAGGCATTGCACTGACAAAGGGGAACTGCTAAATCTGGCTATGACTTCCCCATCCTGGACCGTGAGGATGGAGGTCTGGGGACCCCTCTCCAGCTCTCATGGAGCCCTGCACTTGACTGCAATGGTTCCTTTGTGAAGGAACAACAGTAAATGAAGCTCCTTCCCTCTTTGCATTTGGACTATGGCTGATTTAATCCATGAGAGGGAAAGGGAGGGGCCTAGTAAGCAAGTTGACTGTGGAATTCTCACAGGTGTTGGCAAACGAACGGGGGATAGAGTGTCTTGGACCAGATTTAGACAAATCTAGAAAAATAAATAATGAGAACTTACCTGCACAGTACATGCTACTATAACATTATATTGATAGTCATATTTCTCTTACCATACCTCTCGCTTTCCCTTGGTTTTGGTTGCACTTCTTGAACCTTTGCTGAAGCTCTTATTTCATATGTAAGCTACCTAAACAGGTGCTTCTAGGCTCTCCTTGCATCTCTCCTCTCTCACTTTTTTTTTTTCCATCGACGATATGGTTACCAGGTTAATCTCTTTAAATGGTTTTCAGGATCTCACACTGGTACCCAAACATTTTCAACTGTTATCTACTGTTTAGAGGCTGTAGTTCAAATGTCTGAGTTTTGTGATTCAAAGCCTTGCACAATAGGGTTCCGATATATCAATTTGGTCTCATCTCCTCTTCTAGCTTGTAATTCCAGCGAAACTGAAAACTCACACGGGGCATTCTCATCTCAATGCCTCTGCTCATCACATTTCTCCTGGTTGGAGTTTTTTTCACACCTTTTTTTGCTAAGTCAAAATCTTACATAATCTTTAATACTATTTAATGTTTCCCTTCTCACAAAGCCTCTCCTGACCTTTTTAACTGCTAGGGTCCTTCTCTCATCTTCTCTACTGTTATCTGGGATCATAATTTTATTTCCCTATGTTAGGTGATATTTTATTTTAAAATACTGATGACCTTGACTGTGAGTGCCCAAGGGCAGGGACCAAGTTGGCTACTTTTATGTGTCTTTTTTGTTGCCTGGCACAGGGTTTTGGACACAGAGCATGCTAAAATACAATTTTAAAAGACTGAATCTTCCCTCTACCAGAAGATCCACTGCAGCAAAATTCTTGGTGTTCTTAAAATATAACTTAAAATTGAAAAATGTTTTTTACATTTCATTCAACTTCTCAAAAGAAGTTCATCTAATTATAAGGGTAAATAACAACCCCCAAAATATATTTTATACAAATTAAAGCACATAAATATATAATCTGATATAGTAGTTTGTTGCTTTTTGTGTATGTTAGCATAGAGTTTTAAGTAGTATATACCTATAATACAAGCAGTGTCAGAAAATTTAGACTTCTTCAAATAATTTTTTTTTTTTTTTTTTTTTTTTTTTTTTTTTGAGACAGAGTCTCACTCTGTCACCCAGGCTGGAGTGTAGTGGTACGAGTTCGGCTCACTGCAACCTCGGCCTCCTGGGTTCAAGTGATTCTCATGCTTCAACCTACCGAGTAGCTGAGACTACAAGTGTGTGCCACCACACCCGGTTAATTTTGTATTTTTAGTAGAGATGGGGTTTTGCCATGTTGGCCAGGCTGGTCTCGAACTCCTGACCTCAAGTGATCCACCCACCTCTGCCTCCCAAAGTGCCAGGATTACAGGCCTGAGCCACCGCTCCCAGCCCCTCTTCAAACAATTTTTAAGTTAACTTTAAAAACCACAAATATTCCCTCTTTCAACTTCTGTTTTAAAACTGAAAAGCTAAATGTTAGAAATAAACTTTTCCCTTGAAGCCATTTACGTAGTCATGAACACTATGCTTAAAGTAAATAAATGTAAAATCTGTTAAACTTTTTGTTTTCTTGTATTTTAAGCACAGCTTCTTTTTGAATTAATGCAATTCAGCAAACTTGCTTTTTCAGGAACAGAAAATCACCCCACGACTTGTAAAATACGTAATCTAGAAAATGCGTGAGAAGAGAGACCTTCCAAAGCTATGTCATGAGAGCGGAGTGTTATACAGCAGCATCTCTTCCAGTTTGTCCCCTGGGTGTTATATAACTCAAAGGTAATTAAAGGATTCAGGCTTGGATCGCAAATTCTAGCACACAAAGAGTAATCTAATGTGAAGACACCAAGCTTGCAGATGCTCCAAGTTTCCAGCCAAGATAAAGAAAAACCCTTTGGATATGCAGATTATAACATCTATGTTAGTTCTGTTGGACATCAATTTAGAAAAGATTCAATTTAGTCAAGGACATTGGCTTTGTCTGATATATCTCATTCCAGAAATGTGATTATGCTCTATTGGCTGAAAACAGCAACTCTTAAAAAGTTTCTAAAAAACTTCAAAAATATTTGTTCGAAGAACTGGAACATAGACTTTTTTTTTCTAAATTGAAAACAAATGTCCACTTAGAAAGACTTAATGTACTTAAGAATCAATTGTACTCTGCAAACAATTTACCCCAATAGGGACTGGATTTTTACTTAACAAAACGGTTCAATAAAGGTTTTAAAATGATTGGAAGATAAATAAACATTAAATAGTTAAAAACAAAAAGTAATTTATCTCATATTGCTTCTCAAGGACTTTAGTACTTCACGAGAGAGAACTATTCAAACAATACATTTATAGGTACATCTGTCTTTTCAATGGAAGCTATTAAGCACCAACATCAAGTCTCTGGTGTCTTACCAGTATTACATTGGCTGATCAGTATGACCACTGCACCATCTAGTGTCCACACGGTAAAACAGCAGCTAGGGAGCGCTTTTTCTCCAAGTCCATCTTTCTGAAAGCCATCCTCTAAACTGGCGTTTTGATAGTTCATCATCAAGAATATAAAGGACAGATCATTCATATAAAGACTAAGTCACATTATAACATTTCCAGGTGTGCTAGAAAATTAAGACATGGTGCTTATAAAAAAGTACACAAATTATGTAAAACGATGTTTAAAACCTAAAGATAGGAATATGGTAAGTTATTTTTAAAAGACTTTTTGTAAAAGAGAAAGCTATCTCATCGAACTATGAACCACGGATAGAAATCATGATGTTCAAAGACTATGTATAAACAATATGGAGAAATTAATTCGTAGATGTAAAGTAAAACATTAAAAACATGAAAATATATGCAAGAAAATAACTGGCTGAAAATGTTTTTGGAGTGTTGATGATTATTTATTTGCCTATTTTTTGTTTATCATCTCTTAATTATGTTCCAAATGGATTATTTGTTACAATTAACTAGCCAAGTAAATACTGAGAAATCTAATCTGCCAGTCAACATCTAGGAATTCTGTATAGATAAAGGAAAATCTGGCCAAATTTCACAAGTCTATTAACGTGTTAATTTTTACTTTGGGTAAAGGAGTGTAGGAGGTTGTTGTTGTTGTTGCTGTTTTACACCACGCCTTTAGTTTTTAAAAAATTGGGGGAGAGGAGGAGAAGGCCAGCTGTTAGATTTAGAACAAAAATGAAATATTTATAGGAGACAGTCCTTAGTCCTTTGGGCTCTTGGAAAATATTCACATCAAATTTCCAACATAACTGACTCAGAGCCACTGCTTTTTTTTTTTTAATGCCATCAAAAGAATATAAAAGTATTTTGAAAAGTTAAACACATTCCGGGGAATCATTTTACCAGTATTTGCAAAACGATTCAACCTAAATAAAATACAGGTGATCATAAGAAGAAATTTCAAGCAAACTTAATGCCACTCCTGAGTAGAAAAAAAAATAGTTATAACTTTAAAAATCTAATTGCCTACTATGAGAGGTATCAATGTTGAGAGACATTGAACCCACTTTTATGTTTAAAGAAAACTCTTTGAACAGGAACTTTTAAGGTAGCATGGAGGACAGACCTCCAATGGCCATGCCTTTGTACAATCCCTTAGCCTTGAGTGTAAATGAAACTTGTGACTTGTTTTTATCGATAGAATGTGGCAAAGGGAACAGGACACCACTCTGTGATTATGTTACATTATCTAAGACTCTGCCTTAGTGAACTAGAGACCGGGATTCTCCTTCCTGCCTTGAGGAACTGAGCAGCCACGCTGAGGAAGCCCACAGTGAGAGCCTCTAGCAGCTTCCAGTGAACAGCCAGCAAACCAGGGGCACTCAGCCACACAGCTGCACGAACTGAATCCTGCCTGCAGGTGTAATGAGCTTAAAATAAATTCTTCCCCAGTCAGGCTCCAGATGAGAACACAGCCCAGCTGACACCTTGAGTGTGACCTGGCAAGACCCTAAGCAGAGAACCCAGCTGAGCTGCTCGCAGGCTCCTGACCCATAGAACCTGTAACTTGTTTCAGCCACTAGGATTGTGGTAATTTGCTATGCAATAATAGAAAGCGAAAACAGGTAGCATATTAAATAAAATTCACGATTCCATAAACAGTTATGGAGAACCAGACCCAGTTCTGGGCCTAGTGGAAATTAGGCCCTCAGAGTGCTGCTAAATGGAAGGACTAAGCTCCATACAAATATAAGAAAGGCAGGTAAGTGATTTAGTCCACAGTTTCAAGGACATCATAATTTAGTTGAAGAAAAACAGCCACATAATTAACTAAGATAAGTGCCAACACAGGGACAAATAACATGATAGAATGCACAGAAAAAGATCTGTTATCAACAGAAACTTTTCCAAGCTACAGAAAACCAAAATCAAAAATACTTAGAAAAAAAAAAAAAGGAGGGAAAGAAAATTCATGGGTTCACAAAACTGGTTTGGAGGTAGGGCTGGCCTCAGGCTTAATTGCATCCATTCTCAAAGCTCAGAAATTCTCTAGGCTCTTCTCTCTTAACCTTCACAGTTGGGCTGGCTCCCATGGATGACAAACATAATAATGTAGCATCCAGGGACCTCCATGGAATAGAGAAGAAACTTCCATAAGACCTAGTGAAAGTCTCCATGCATCTCGATGGCCTGAATTGGATCAAGGACACACCCTTAAACCAAGCACGCAGCCATTGATGACTGGCCAAAGCCAAGTAAAGCCCAGGAACAAAGAATGGGTCAATCTCTCTAAATCACATGGTTGATAATGTGGGTTAGAGGTGGTTTCCCCACAGGAATATAACACTAAGGCATTTTCAACAGATGTTTACCACATGACCCTACTAGTTCTGAGTAGGAAGATCACGAATGTAATATACAATGAAATGCAATATATAAGAAAATTATACATATACCCAGTGAAGGGTCTATGAGAACATTAGGTACTAGTCTTGCCAGTTTTGTAAGGACAGAATTATTTCAAATTAGAAAGTAAAAAACATTTCATTTTTTATTTTGGATTCTTATCTGATGATGACCAAACTTCCACAGATAAAAGACATTATGCTTTTAGAATTTGATGATAATAGATTCATAGCAGTAAGATTTGTGAATTTCAAAAGAAAATAAACCACTGTTGGCTGGGCACGGTGGCTCATGCCTGTAATCCCAGCACTTTGGGAGGCAGAGGCAGGTGGATTGCTTGAGGTCAGGAGTTTGAGACCAGCCTGGCCAACATGGTGAAACCGTGTCTCTACCAAAAATACAAAAATTAGCTGGGTGTGGTGGCATGTGCCTGTAATCCCAGCTACTTAGGAGGCTGAGGCATGAGGATTGCTTGAGCCCGGGAGGTGGAGGTTGCAATGAGCCTAGATCGTGCCACTGCACTCCAACCTGGGGCAATGGAGAGATTCTCCATTTCAAAAACAACAACAACCACAATGACCAAAACAAAACAAAAAAACAAACAAACAAAAAAACCACTGTTAGTGTTTGAGTATGAATCAATCTATAATAAACACATAGTCACAAACACTCACACACATTCTATTTTGAAAAAATATATAGTTGGGATATATTTGATGGAGGCATTAGACTCTAGTTTTGGTCAAGAAACTTTCAGGTTCACTTCAGTGTTGAGGCTGTATATATTGATCAGATTGACTGGAAAATTGTCATGAGATCCAGAGAAACAGAGATGCTGTTATCAAAAATTCAGCAAAGAGGGAAGGTGTCAGGACAAAATATGATGAGGGGAGAATTCAAGCCAGTGAGGAGCTAAACTGCAGAAGATATTTACACGGGGCCAAAAGAATTTCTTAGCAAAAAACAAAGTCTACAACAACAAAAAGTCTAAAAGATATTGGACCTGTAGTTACCTACTAAAAAGAAATATAGAAGCAAGAAAGAGTAAAACAGATTTTTTGGTGAAAATCCTAGTTGTGTGGCTTCCCATTTTTTAGCATATGTATCAAAATAGGCTATGCTCCTCATAATCTGACATGTTTTTGGGACCAGTGTTTCATAAGAAATCAGTTCTGTAGATGGTAGAAGAATATCTAATATCTCCTACATAGAGATCTCCCATATGGTAAATATTAATTTTCCAAGAACATGAACAGAACGTTATAAATCTAACATTAAAATAATACTGAAAGCAGGGCTCATAGGAGAAAAGACTGATTCTAAAGCAGGGACAGAGAAAACACAAGATGAGTCTGGAACGTCTTGTGGTCCCAGAAAGTAAGGAAATGATTTTTTTAATGATGGGAGCATGGCAAATGGACACAGGAGTAAACTTGTACCAAACTCTCGATAGCCAATTGTACAACAATGTGGGCAACAAAATGAGTGATGATTGACCGGCCTGGGAAACATAGCAAGACCTCATCTCTATAAAAAAATTTTAAAAAAAATTAACCAGGTGTGGCAGTGCACACCTGTAGTCCCAGCTGCTCAGGAGGCTGAGGTGGGAGGATTGTTTGAGCTCAGTCAAGACTTTGAGGCCACAGTGAGCTATGATTGCACCACTGCACCAGCCTGGGTGACAGAGCTGGAGGGTCTCTAAAAAAAGAAATAAAGTAGATAGTAATGGATTATAGGATAAAGGAAATATCCATGAGACCACACTAATACAAATAAATAACTGAATGAATAAATAGCTCAGAAGAGGTAGCTCTTCATTGTAGTAGAATTCCAATTGATAAATGCAGAAGGATGATAACTAGAAAGTCACCATCTGACAAACACCGCAATGATAATTGTTACTAACAATGATAATTGTTAGTGGGATAATTGGCTAAATTTGAATGACAGCTGCAGATTAGTTAGAAGTACTGTACTGTACTGCTCTTTACCTACATTCCCTTCTTGATTTCCATCGTTGTACTACAGTTTTGTAAGATATTACCATTTGGGGAGTCCAGGTGAAGAGTATACGAGAACTCCATGTACCAGTTTTGCAGCAGCTAAAAGTTAAATGATCTTAAATTAGAAAGTTTTTTAAATTTCATGAAAAATAGGAATATAATTTGCGTCTTCGAGTCTCAGGGGCATTTGATAAACATCGATCACCACTTGCAGAGCCATCCCTTAGGTTAGGGAATCAGGGCAATTGTCTTCAGCCTGAATTTTGGAAGAAGAGGAGGAGTCCGGGGAGGGATTTGCAATAAAGCGGCATCTCCACCGTCAAAAGTGTGCTCAATAAGATAGAGGCCCCCTACCAGAACGAGTCGATGAACCTGCTACTTCTCCACTTGCACATGCACCTCACGCTGGCCATGGCTGCTGTGCAAAGGACTGATCTTCATAAAAAGGTGTGGGGATTAGGGAAGGAGAGCAAGCGGGGAGAGGGAGAGCCCCAGGAGAGTGGGGAGGGGCCTGCCACACCTGGGGTGAGTTGCCAGTCACCTCATCAGGACCAGCTCTGGGAGCTGAACTGAAAAGGCACAAAACTGCCAATCGATAGAAAGCTATTGATAGAACATTTTCATGGCTGTATTTGAAATGCAGTCGATGTCACCCCCCAAAAACAATAATATTTACTTCCATGTCACTGGCAAGTGTGTTACTCCTCATCTCACATTTTAATCTCCAGCACAGTGAGAGAAGCCGAAGTACAAACCCTGCATAAGATGACTGTGAGTACAAAGACATTTGTGATTAGGGCCAGCGGGTGGCTGAATGGAAAAACAAATGGGGCTTCACCTGTGACTCAGACCAACAGCAACCTCGTTTTTTAATATCAGCAAAGCAAATCATTATTTCTAAAAATGTCATGCACACATTTTAAATTCTTAAATGTTATGATGCCACGAATGCTGATCTTTGGTTAAATCTGATTTGAGCCTAACACACTTAAGGGAAACAGAATCTCTTAAGAGCAGAGAATAAGGAGAAAAACAATGAAATTGACCTCAAAGGATTGGACTGGGACTTTTATTATTTAGGTTCCTAGATTTAAACATTTTTTATAGTAATGTTTACTCATTCAAAAACATCTACTGAATCGAATTCTGTGAACTGGTTGTCAAAAATGAAAATCTCCTGGTCTGGTGGAGATTTCTTTAAGACATTCCACCATATAACTTATCACACGCAGCACTTCCCAAATCTTCAGTCATTTGAATAGCATTTCTCAGACTTTTGCCATATCTGCACATCAATTATACTTTTATCTGCTGGATATTTCTCCTTAAGTCACTTCATTTTCTCCAATGTTATTGTAAAAGAAGCATTTATGCAACCACTAAGAATGGGAAAGACACATCACTTGCCATAAGTGGAAAAGAATTATACATGTAAATATTTAAAAAACAGGTATGTCTATCTATATTCCACATAAAAATATCCTACATACCACCAGTGGTATGTAGGCCACAGTTTGGAAAATATGGCAATATAATCTAAATAATATAAATACATCAAAATTTTCAGGATGTACTCCCCACATACAAGAAAGGTTTAAAATCAGAGAACAGACTGAGGCCATTTTAGAGATGGAATGTGTAGTCAGAATAAACACAATTGTGCCACTGTCACAAATAATCCCCAGATATCATTGGCTTGACATCACAAAAATGGATTTCTCAATTACATAAAGTCCATTGTGGGCCACATGATTCTCCAAGGAGACTGTTGCCATGGTGACTCAGAGTTGAGGCCAATGGCGGCTCCACCATCCTGTGGCTATGATTCCTGAACTTGTGGTCTCCTCAGTTGATGAGGTGAAGAAAGAAAGCCTGGAGAATTATGCACGAGCTTCTCACTGTCTCAGCCCACAAGTAACACACCTCTTTCCCTCACAGCCCACACTGGCTGGAACCAATCACATAGCCCTGCCTAACTGCAAGGGAGGCCAGAAAGTGCAACACTTTCTCATGGTCACGGGTGAGCACGAAACATCTCTCCAAATATGGGTTGGGAAGATTAAGAGACTAGTCCAGAAGAAAACAGTCTCCAGGGAGAAATATATCTGGGAATAGGAATCGAGAAAGCAACCAAGAGAGCAGAACTGAGTGGATGAGAGGAACTGTCAGACCACATCTGCAGCTCTGATTAGTCAAATCCGAAATGTGCCTGTTGATCTACTATTCCGTGGAAATACTGGAATCACCAGCTCAATAATAAGAGGAAAGTAAATAATACCATACTTGCGTGGATAATTCCCCTCTGCTCATACCTTCATTCAGGTCAACATAGATCTATCATACTCCTACAGTGTATAAGGGACGTGCTAAGCTTGAAGTACATTCATTCTAAAAATCAAAATACAAAGGCATGGGAAGACTAAGAAAATTTCATAAACCTTCATTAAATTATCAGAAATACCTGGGATTCTCAGCTCCATTTATAAAGAAACCAGAGTTACAGTTCTTCCATTACTGATTGCTTTCTGGATTGAATATTTGAACTCTGCTTTAGTGATTCCTCTTGCTTATATGTGGGAGGAAGACCCCCTACCCTGAGCCAGCAGCTGGAGCACAGCCTGAACACACAGGTTCTCCCTCCTTAAGTGTTGGGCTCTAGATTCAAGGTTTGAGTACCATAGCCTTGATCAGCAGAGAGAACTAACTACCTAGTTTCTACAGCTTTGCTTACTGCCTCTAAAGATAGACATTAACACCTTATTTTTGAATATTAATTTAGAGTTTACAAGGGCCCTATAACCTTAATTCATCTCATCTCTGTAACAGTCCTGTGAAGTAAGAATTATGGTACCCATTTCATGGAGGAGAAAACTCAGGGAACTCAGGGGACAATCCTTTGGTGGTATCTCTAGTTGGTGGCAAAACCAGGTCTGGGATTCTGTTCCCTTAACTCTTGAGTGTCACTACTCAGTGGTTTTGTTTTCCAAGGAAGAAGGCCTGGATATTATGGATTTTTTTAAAAAAATCAAGGTAAAGGAAAATATGTAACAACAGAAAATAAGTGTTTATAATATCATGGTGAATTTAGAAAGGGTAAAATTGCGTATGTGATTATAATTATGTGAAAAGATGCATAGCGACTATACCAAAATTCTCTCCAGGGCATGACAGAGTCGTGGGAATCGCTGGAACGTTTCTAGAGGTAAAGTTTGACGCTCAATGCTTCAATTGCTTCTGTTTTTAAAACCCCTTCTCTTCTCTCCCAAATCTCAGAGCATACTTTAAACCTCGATACATCTAAGGATTACACAGACAGGTCAAAAGTTTCACAGAGCAAACAACACAGAGGGAAGTTCATTCCTCAACTCAGTACCCCAGTGTAGGGAAGGTTCTAGCTGATGCAGACTGGCATTTCAAAATCAAAGATAGGGGGCGGTGGCTCACGCCTGTAATCCCAGCACTTTGAGAGGCAGAGGTAGGTGGATCACCTGAGGTCAGGAGATCGAGACCAGCCTGACCAATATGGTGAAACCCTGTCTCTATTAAAAATACAAAAATTCACCAGGCGCGGCGGCGTGTGCCTGTAGTTCCAGCTACGCAGGAGGCTCAGACAGAAGAATCACTTGAATCCAGGAGGTGGAGGTTGCAGTGAGCTGAGATCATGCCACTGCACTCCAGCCTGGATGACAGAGCAAGACTCTGTCTCAAAATAAGTAAATAAGTAAATAAATAAATAAATAAAAGTCAATAAATAATAAAAATCAAAGACCAAAGCCTGTATGGAGAAAACTATAGGAGAAAGTGTCTCTTCTCTCTAAATGAGAGAACGAGAGAGGGAGGGAACCATGAATTTTGCTGCGTATCTAAATTTTTGGGGGTTTTCAAAAGCCAAACACACTTAAACCACATCTGCAGCTTTCACAATGACTCCAGAATACTTGGGGCGCTAAAGTCACTTTGGTACTTCGAGGTAGTGAATTAAAGAAGTGAAAGTGTTACAGTGACAAGAGAGGCCACTGCTCTGGGAAAGACACAGAAAGGAGCGCGACGTGTAGATGATGAGGAACACGGAACTGAGTGTGTGGCTGCTAATGGCTTTAGATAAATCATCTACAGAGACGCTTCAAAAGGAAATTCTGAACCAAATGGAATGGGTCAAACTTAATCGGATCCTGATCCAAACATTCATTGATGAGACAATGGGGGAAATTTGAATGCTGACTGACTAGCTAATGTTATTAATGTTAAATTTTTTTTAGTATGATAATGGCATTGTGGGGTTTTTTTTTTTGAAAAGTCCTTATTCTTTAGTATTACATGCTGAAATATTTGTGGGAAAAATAATATGATGTCTGGAATTCATTTAAAAATATTCTGAGGTTAGGGAAGGCAAGCAGATAGGCATGAGGAAGAAACAATTTTGACTATGAGTTAGTAAGAGGGACAGGGACCATGTGCATGAGGGATCATTAGACTATTCTACCTACTTTTGGTTTATATTTAAGTTTTACTAAAAAATGGCTGGACACAGTGGCTCACATCTGTAATCCAAGCACTTTGGAAAGCCAAGGTAGGAGGATTGCTTGAGGCCAGGAGTTCAACATCAGCCTGGGCAACACAGTAAGACCCCTTTCTCTACAAAACAACAACAACAACAAAAGAATAGCTGGGCATGGTGGCATGTGCCTGTAGTCCCAGCTACTTGTGAGGCTGAGGTGGGAGGATGGCTTGAGCCCAGGAGTTGGAGGCTGCAGTGAGCTACGATTGTACCACTGAACTCCAGCCTGGCAACAGAGTGAGACCCTGTCTCTAAAAAAAAATACAAAATAAGTAAATAAATGATAATAATAAAATAAACTGGCAAGATGCAGTGGTTCATGCCTGTAATCCCAGCACTTTGGGAGGCTGAGGCAGGAGGATTGCTTGAGGCCTGGAGTTCAAGGCCAGCTTGGGCAACATAGCGAGATGCCATCTCTACAAAAAAATAGAAAAATTAGCAGGGCATGATGTGCACCAGAAGGCCTAGCTACTCAGAAAGCTAAGGCGGGAGGATTGCTTGAGCCCAGAAGTTGGAGGCTGGTGATCAGCCCTTCACTGTGTCTCATTGGGACCTAAGGATAACCCCCCACAAGCCTCCTGACTTCCACCCTGCCCATGCCCCTACCCTCTATTTCCAACACAGCAGCAAAGTGAATGCTTTTTAAAAATTATCTGTAGGTCAGTTCACTCCTCTGCTCAGGACCCTGCGCAGACTCCCCTTCCCGCCCAAAGTGAAAGCCCGCAAGACCCTGCCCTCACTCCACCCTGCAGCAACCATAGGCCCAGATCCAGCTTGGCAGGCTCCATTCTGGGGCCCTCCTACCTCCTTTACCCGGAATGCTCTTCCCCCATCATCCACTGGTTTTCTGCTCCAGGACTCTGTTCACTTATCACCATCTCAGCAGAGCTGCCTCTGCCCACCTAATGCCCCTGCTCCATGCCCACCATTTTTTGGCACTCTTTTTTTTTTTTTTTTTTTGAGACGGAGTCTCGCTCTGTCACCCAGGCTGGAGTGCAGTGGCGCGATCTTGGCTCACTGCAAGCTCCGCCTCCCGGGTTCACGCCATTCTCCTGCCTCAGCTTCCCGTGTAGCGCCCACCACCACGCCCGGCTAATTTTTTGTATTTTTAGTAGAGACGGGGTTTCACCGTGTTAGCCAGGATGGTCTCGATCTCCTGACCTCGTGATCCGCCCACCTTGGACTCCCAAAGTGCCGGGATTACAGGCGTGAGCCACCGCGCCCGGCCTGGCACTCTTGAATTTCCCTTGCTGCTGTACTTTTTCTTTTTTCTACTTACTTTTTCCACTTTCTAACATATTATGTATTTTTGTATGATGTGTATCCCTTATTTTCTGTATCTGAGCAGAGAGAATTTAATCTTGGCTAGGCTCGCTGATATCCTGCACATACCTAGAACAATGCCTAGCATGCAGTAGGTGCTCATTAAAATGAGAAGAATGAGAGAATGGATTCGTGAAAGCTGATTTTCATTCCATTCCAGCCACTTGCAACCACAAAATTCATGAAACATATCTATTGGCTTGAACTGCCATTCTTGCTAGAAGAATCTGCTGATGGTGATCAATGTTTTATACCACCATTTTATTGGTTTTCCTACATTGTAAAACCAATGTTTTACACCTTTTCCTTTGTAGAAAAGGGGAGCATCTCTACTTGTGATCACTATTCATGTATCTGGAGAAAAATACCAATCAATACATTTCCCATTATACCTCCCACATAGAAGGTTTTCATTTTGCTGAGGTTGCAGTTGTTATTTTAGGGACTGTTACTGTTTGTGACTTTGCCATTGAGATTCTGCCAAAGGCTCTGTTTCTGATCAGCAGGCCTTCCGAGAACTGCCGTCCGATCAGCCAGTGGCATTTACCAGGCACCTTCTCAGGGTGCTGAGCCCTTACATGATGCAAAGCACAGCCGAGGCCTCGTCAGCAGCTCAGCCATGACATGCTTCATATCCCACACGATTCACCTCTTGATCTTTAACTGTTTCATGGAGGGAAATTTTAAATCCAGGCTTCCCCCTCTAATGAATTCCCATAAATGTGCATGGGTGTTAAAAATACAAAATCCTAGCAAATGTTTTATATGATATAACAGCAGACTCCAATCCAGCAAAATAAAATAAATAAAATGACTAATCATGTTATAACTGTTTACTTAATTTTTACTCTTGGGCATTATTATGTGTCTCAGCCTTGCAAAGTGCTGTGATTACAGGCATGAGCCACTGCACCTGGCCAACTTATTTTATTATTAACTTATTTTTTACTATTTTTTAGAGACAGGTTCTCACTCTGTTGCCAAGGTTAGAGTGCAGTGGCATACATATATATATATATATATATATATATATATATATATATATGCACACACACACATACACACACACATATATGCACACACACATATAACTAAGACAGACTAAAAACTTAAAAAAGTAAACAGTTTAACAATTTTCTAAAGCATTTCAATAACCCAAGTTTGACTTCTCTCAGCTTATGTGAAGTAAAAAATTCCATAGACAGAAGTATAATTAACTTTCAATTATTTATTTATTTGAGACAGGATCTCACTCTGTCACCCAGACTAGAGTGCAGTGACACGATCTCAGCTCAATGCAGCCTCGACCTCAAGGGTTCCAGCAATCCTCCCACCTCAACCTCCCAAATAGCTGGGACCACAGGTGTGCGCCACCACACCCTGCTAATTTTTTGTATTTTTTTTTTTTTGTAGAGACAGGGTTTCACCATGTTGCCCAGGCTGGTCTTGAACTCTCAAGCTCAAGTGATCCACCTGCCTTGTCCTCCCAAAGTGCTGGGATTACAGGCATGAGCCACCGTGCGCAGCCAGAATAAATATATTTTAATGTTAGGAAAAAGCACTTGCTGCTGATGATTTTGCAGAAAAATAAGAGAATATGATGCTTATGTTGATGGAATCTTACTGATTCCCTAAACACTATGTCAAGAGAAAGAACACAGGGTTTCTTCTTTTTTTTTTTTTTTTTTTTGAGACGGAGTTTGTGTCGCCCAGGCTGGAGTGCAGTGGCGCGATCTTGGCTCACTGCAATCTCCACCTCCCGGGTTCAAATAATTCTCCTGCCTCAGCCTCCTGAGTACCTGGAACTACAGGTGTGTGCCACCATGCCTGGCTTAATTTTTCGTAGAGATGCGGTTTCACCATGTTCGCAAGGATGGTCTCGATCTGCTGACCTCGTGATCCACCCACCTCGGCCTCTCAAAGTGCTGGGAGTACAGGCTTGAGCCCCCGGGTTTCTTCTCTTGATAAAAAGCCTATAGTGCCCTGTCTCACACGTAACTGGTTTACATACTTTTGAACTACTCTCTGCATTTGGGTCATTGGAACACTTTACTGCTAATTTTTTCAGTTGTTTCTTCCCTTCTTGTTGCTTTTTTTAAAAAAAGAATTGTGGTAAAAAATACTTAAAATAAAATTTACTACATCAACCATTTTTATGTGTGCAATTTAGTGGCATTACGTACATTCACCACTGTTTCCAGAACTTTTCATCAACCCAAACAGAAACTCCAAACCTGTTAAACAATAACTCCTTTTCTCCCCTTTCCTCCAGCCCCTAGAAGCTTATACTCTATTTTCTATCTCTAGGAATTTGCCTATTCTAGGTAAATCCTCTACGTGGAATCATACAATATTTATCCATCTGTGTCTGGCTTATTTCATTGAGCAGAATGTTTTCAAGCCATGTTGCAGCATATGTTCCTCTTTATGGCTGGATAATACTCATGTACATAAATACCATATTTTGTTAATTCAACTACTCATTACCTTTTAGGAATAACTGTGGATGATCTATTTCCAATGCCTTAGATATGTTCTTTAATGTGCTTTTTTCTTTCACAATGAGAGTCTGTGGCATGAATTGTATATACATAAATTTTAAGACAGGATTATTACCCTTGAAACTCAGAGTCACACTGGAGAGGCAGTCAAGTGATATAGTTTGGATATTTGTCCCCACCCAAATCTTATGTTAAATTGTAATCCCCAGTGCTGGAGGTGGGGCCTGGTGGGAGGTGTTTGCGTCATGGGAGCAGATTCCTCATGGCTTGGTGCTGTCTTTGCAATAGTGAGTGAGTTCTCGTGAGACCTGGTCACTTAAAAGTAAGTGGCACCTCCAACCCAGTCTCTGGCTGTCTTGCTCCTGCTCTGGCCATGTGACGGGCCTGCTTCCCCTTTGCTTTCCAGCCTCATTGTAAACTTCCTGAGGCCTGGGGAGGCCAAGCAGATGCCAGCACCGTGCTTCCTGTACAGCCTGCAGAACTGTGAGCTAATTAAACCTCTTTTCTTTCTAAATTACCCAGTCTCAGGTATTTATTCATAGCAGTGCAAGAATGGCCTAATACATCAAGTAAACAGATTATTCCAACACAACAGAGAGCACTGTGACAAGGCTACGAGGTCACAAAGGGAAGAACAAGGAACTCTGGCTGGCGGTGAGAGTTTTCAGTGAAGTAACAATATCTGACTAGGGTTTTGAAGAATGAGCAGAAGCTCTGCGTCAGATGAAGAAGAGACAGGAGGCCCTCCAAGCAAAGGAACCACTCATGTCAAGACATGGGGCAAAAAGAGAGGATGTATTTGGAGAACAGAGAGTAACCGAAGGCTATCATTCAATCAGTGATAGTCTTCATGGAGGTTAATATCAAAGGCAACCTGAATTTCCTCAGACTTCATGAGCTGGCGGTGAAGGGTGAGATCACACAAGCAGTAATAACCCAGCTCTCCCTGGCTCACTGCCTTACTTACTGGCCTTCTGGTACTCAGCAAAGCTGTCCCCATGAGTTTGGGAGTCTCCATTCCTGTCCTTCCACTCCCCTCAAACGTCTTTCATTCAAGGTCACGTGGTAACTTGACTCCTCTCACCACTACTTCTGTGGGAATGCAGAGGCCAGGCCAGAGCCTGTGGGTGCTGCCCTCCCCAGAGACTTCACTATGCCCAGCTCCAGGGAGGACTGACTGGAGGAGGGGACCAGGCATCTCCCCTGCACTCTGGGCCCACAGCAACCCTGTATACCAGCCCGTATTAACCTTGCAACGCCTTCCTCCAAAAGGCTGAGACTTCAACCACAGGACCTGGGTGGTGATCACCACAAAATTTCTTCCTGAACGTTCTTCTCCAACAACTTCTCACATTCAGTTATTCATTCAACAAACATTGAGCAACAACCTAATCTTCTGGGCTCTGGAGACCGAGTTAAAAAGGAGACAGCAGGCCCCTGCCCCCGCTTCCCGACAGGTCACCACATCTTGAGTGCTAAGACTGTCATCACAGGGTGAGGAGGGGAAATGAGCTCAGAGGGGCAGAACCTTCTGAAAGGGCAGAATGGTTCAAGCATCCCGCCAAGGTCAGAAGGTCAGTGCCTACTGCATCTTCCTCTCCTTCAATCCCTGCTTGTGTTTGAGGTGTGTGGGGCCTGGCCCAGGCTGGCAGCCAGTGAAGCCTATCTTGTCCTAAGACTAATCAGCCCAGCCCAGCAGCCAGCTTCAGGAGTCTGGCCAGTTTATTACTTAAAGCCCCCCAGAGTCCTTGCTGGTTCTAAGCCTAGAACTCCTGTCAACTCTTGACATTACCCTCCTCCAACTCTCCTACCTAACACACACACACACACACACACACACACACACACACACACACACCCCTCTGCTTTGCATTTTATATCCCAATCCCCCAGAGTTCCTCACTATTTCCCAAAATAAAGTCCTTATATGCCCTCTCATCTGTGCACCCAAGCTGCTACCCTTGGCTGGAACAAGTTCCGCTCCCTCCCCAGCGAGCACCTACTGGATCCTTCATGACAGCTTAGGTATCCAATACCTCCTCTGGGTGACCTCTCTTGGCAATCCCAGTCTAGGTCAGGTCTCCCTCCTACTATAGCCCATATTACATTATGTTGAAATGTAACCTAAATGAACTAGTCAAAGGTCTGTTTACACCAAAATAAGCACCCAGACACAGCAACTAATGGTATCTTACTCATTGCTGTCCACATAGTAGAGTCTCATTCAGAGCTGATTAAATGAATGAGTGGGTAAATGGTAGAATCAAAGTGGAAGAGCTCAAGACAGTTGCCACAAACTAGGCTGGGTTTCTTGTCATTTTTAACTTGCTACCAGTAAATCACATGGATTATGGATGAATTAGACTAATTTAAAGATACAGAATCAAATACTTGGTTCAGTTTCTAATCAATGAATTGACTGATTAGATCAATCCATTGCAACTGCAGGGCTCTGTTTGTAAAGACAGAAATTCTACAAGACACTTTTCTTCAAAATCCTTTCTGTGAGTACTGAGTTATTTAATTAAGGACAGATTTTAATTTTTAAAACCTAGTGAATTATTTTTTCATAAATAACACCATACAATTATTACTAAAAATGTTTTAAAAACACCAACTTTCTGTTTTCCCGAAACAACTCCCAAATGTGCAAGAAATTTACAACTTATGTTTTCATAACAATCCTCATAACCCCTACTCTCAATTTTTGTTTTAGTATTGAAAAATAACAGCTGGGCACGGTGGCTCACACCTGTAATCCCAGCCCTTTGGGAGGCCCAGGCAGGTGGATTACCTGAGGTTGGGATTTCAAGACCAGCCTGATCAACATGGAGAAACCCCGTCTCTACTAAAAATACAAAAATTAGCTAGGTGTGATGGTGCATGCCTGTAACCCCAGCTACTTGGGAGGCTGAGGCAGGAGAATCGATTGAACCTGGGAAGCAGAGGTTGCAGTGAGCCGAGATCACACCATTGCACTCCAGCCTGGAAAACAAGAGCAAAACTCTGTCTCCAAAAAAAAAAAAAAAAAAAAAAAAAAAAAAAAAAAAGAAAAGAAAAATCACTGGTATTTTTATTGATATTTCTAGTATTAGAAAATAACTGGTATACTTAACAATATTTGTTACATGGCAGAATAAGAGAGGGAAGAGGAGAAGGGGTTATCTTACATGCTCATGAATGAATTATATTCAGTTCCTTCCTTCATTGTCTCTTTCCACTTCAGATCCAGAAAGAATTAGGAGTGGAGGTAGGAGGGAGAGATGTCAGGATAGGGTTACCATTGATATATGTAGCATCACAAACTAATAAATAACTCATGAATCCTCTGCTTCTTCCTCTCCTTCCTTTCTCCTGATATTTCCTCAGTAGGATCAGTGACGATTTTGAAACAGCCTGGTCTCACATCACATTCAGGGGATTCTGCCTCTGAATTCTTAATAGCCTGAGAGATGCAGTTGGGGCTGACCTGCTTGATCATATGCAAATTAAAAGCAGATGTCAGTAATGAGAACATTCCAGCCAAAATCCAAAGCTACCCCAAAGGAGCGGAGCATGAAGGCACTTGCTCTATTGGAAGAGTCATCTATATATTATAGCAGGGGAAAGCCTTGATCTCATTCCAGGAAATCTTCACGACCATTGAAGATGAGGTGGTTTCTTACTGGGTACAGCCCAACCACATGGGTAGCAGAAGTCAAAGATGGGCCGAGGGGGCTAAAAGCTACCATATCTGCTTCTGATTGTCAAGTGTCTGGAGAGACCCTTTCAGTGCACTTGTAACAGATCTCCCCTTCTCCCAGGGAGTGGGGATGGGAGAGGCCTAAGCCATACACATGCATTTCAGCTGGTCAATCATCAGGGAGGTGTTTAGGGGCCCTCGAGCTACCTAATCACCATTACTGGTCCACTGTTTGCAGCAAGGTCCTGAAATCCTCCTCAGAGGTCTACAAATCCTAACGTACCTGTACTCAAAGGCCAGTTGGGAAACAAAGAGCATGAGCTCGACTTTGTAAAACGATCTCTACCTCCTCGCATTGGAAAAACGCATGAATGTATCTTAGCACTACAGAGGTCATTGGTACACACTCCTTACCTTTCTCTACCCAGAATATTACTAAAGAAAATGACAAAGGAGACAGGAATAAGTGAAATAGTGAGCTTTCTGGTCTCCCCACCATGTAGCCTAAAAAATGAAAATGGACATGGAAACAGTTAATTTCATCCTCATAACAGATCTGACACTCAATTTTTTTAAAACCTAGTAGTTTTACTACATATGAATTTAGAAATTTAATATTTCTAATGCAAATAGGACATGTTTACATAGTAACGGGAAAGAGGTAGGTGAAAGGGAGAGTTGAAGATTTTGAAGCAAAAAAGTAGACATCTTTTTTCTCCTATCATATTTTTACATGTAAATAGGGGAAAACTCTTTCTTAAAACACAACCACAATATTATTTCACACCTAAGAAGGAACATTAATTCCTTAATATCATCAAATATATCCAGGATAACTTTTTTTTCTTACACTTTGAATAAGAATTCAAACAAAGTCCATATATTTTGATTGTGCAGTGTTTCTTATAAATCTCTTTCCATCTATAGGCGCTGGATCCAGGGCAAAAATGAAGACATAAGGGACCTTAGGTGACAAGGAAGAAGCTCCCAGGCAGCATGTGGGATGGACCCAAGGAGAACGTCAGAGAGAAAGAGTTCAGTCTGGTGTCTCCTGAAGCAGGTGAGGTACACCTGGACATGAAGGATCCCATCCATCCTTCAAGGGTATTGCTGAGGCAGGAATGAGAAAACAAAACAAAGCAAAGGGGGAAAAAAAGCACAATTCTCATGGAAGATGGTTCCAGCTTATTCCGTAGAACCCTGGCCTAATTTTACCTTCAAGAACATGACCTGACTTCGCTTCCCACTGACAAGGTGTCAACTTTTACATTTCTATTGGGGTTCAGGCAAAAGAAACAACACGCCTGTGTTTCAAAGGTGGCAGCATGCTGACGAAGGAGGGTGGGGTACGCAAGGAACTGGTTGCCTCTAGGACTCGCGACAAGACCTTACGGAGAAAGAAGTCAGCCAAGGAAAAACGACTGGAGTGTGGAAGAGTCTGGAAGAGCTGGACCAGGTCCACATGGTCCGGTCAGTTCTCGAAAAATCGAGACCCTGTGTGGTGAGGGTGAGCCATCTTAGCAGGAAGGTATACCTCCCTGCCCATGCCACCTCCAACACTTCCAGACCTTCTCTTCCCTCCTTCCCCAATCCCACCCAAAGCTCCAGTTCCAGCAAATGTGGGAGTGCAACGAATGGGGTTACGGCAGCAGCCCTGAACTTGGACTCAGAAGACTTGGCTTTAAATTCTGCCTCTGCACTTACTGGCTGTATGACCCAAGATGATTTACCTCCCTCTCCACTTTCCCCATCTGTGAAATGGGGCAAATAAAAGTCCCACTGGATTCAAAAGGTTATGAGGATGAAATATGGTTGAGAGATGAGAATCCTTTTAAACTTCTCTGCAATACTAGTGATGATGATGATTAAAGTAACTTACTTGCAAAATAATGTGAATGGCCATTACCTGGCCTTTAACCCTTCAGGAAGTGTTTACTCTTCAAAGGGAAAAGTTTGTCAAACCAAGTGAATCCTCTTGCCGAACCACATGGAGAACATATTTTGGAGAGAGATGGTAGGCGAGCTCCTGTGGCCCTCTCTAACTGAGGCTGGGGTTAGGGAGGGAGGCCCTTTCTTTCTGGCCTCATTTTTGTTTCAAAAGGAAATGTGGTCTCTCTGAGGGAGGAGGACAGACAGGCAGCATATCTTCTCACGTCTTTGTGCATCATTTTTATTAGTTCCTGGCCCATATTTTTAAAAAAGAATACTTACTCTTAAATGACACACTTTAAAAGCATGCTTTTCTAAATGGCAGCAATTGGACCCCATGGTGTGGCCAGTGCGTTGAGTCTGAAAATTCCATGGTGATGCGTCGCTGTGGTCCTGTGGTGATGTACGTCTTCCTTCTCCTCTAGTTAGCACCCTGTGAGCTGAGAGGTTCAAATCTGATAGCAGCTGAAAGCTTCAAACCTAGAGTCCTCCAAGCTGGGAAGCTGAATTGCTGCTCTAGGGCTGCGTTTAGATTGATTTTTTGAATGCTGTCACTGCAGAGGAGCTAGTCAACTTTTCTCAAAATATTTTTTCTCATCTTTTTCACTTTCCTCTCTCTAGTTTGACATACGGAGTTATGAATGTACTTTCTGGTTTTGTTATATGCCTCAATTTTTATTTTTGATGATTCTATCAAGCTGGCTGCCTTCAATGTTTTCTCCATTTAGTAAAATGCACTACTTCCTGTATTCCTCACCTCCCTCCACCAGATATTCACTCTCCTGGCCCACGCCTTGTGCCTGGCACGCAGGAGCATTGGAGATGCCCCACACCTAAAGTCCATACCTTAATGTCCTGAAATAAATAAATGAATTTAAGGAAGAAAGTCTGAAATGAACTGGGGCCGAATTATACAGTAGCTGGTATCACAAAATTCTAATCAAAGCTAGGGACTTTAGTAATGATCCCTGCCTGAAGTCCTAAAAGCATGCTCCTTTGTTAATTTCTTAACCATCATGAGTTTTCACTGTCCCTTCTGCTACTACCTTCAATGTAACACTACAAATAGATTAATTACTAAGAGTAAAAGGTTTGGTCTCTTTTCTTTTTGTTTTTTTTCTGTTTCTTTTTAAAAAAATTAATTGTGAAATAGCAAATTTAAAAGGATCATTTTTTTGAACAACAGTCTTTAAAAAAAAAAAAAAAGCTAAATGTCATAGTGCCCTAAATTCTTTTGTGTCGGTGGTGATTATATTGTATGTCAAGAAACCATCCTGAGGTGATAATTAGATTTTATCTGCAAATGGAGGTGGGAGGATGAGAGTAGGTGGTAGCGTCAACATTTCACCAAAACAATAAGACAATTCACACGATGAGGTAGGAAAAATATTACTCAAACAGCTGGCTGGGGCTACTGTGTGATTAAGGGAATTTTGACACCATAATCATCTAGGGTGGGGGTATATTTTATTTGCCTATGGCCAGACATTTAGGAAGGCAAACTGGAGCAAGAGGAAAAGCAGGAAAAAATAGACTGATAACCAAAATGTAAAATATTTCTGTGTTGATCATCAGGGAAGTGAATAACACAGGCCACAAAGACCCCTTTTTTTCCCACAGAACTTTTCAACAGATGGTTATACTAGTTGTTTCAGAATTAATACCAAGGATTGAGGGTTGGAGGCATGCAACTTAGAAGCAGTGCTGGTGTGAAAGTGATAAGGTTTTTGGCTCCAAGTAACACCTCCCAATTTGTACAGCAACCACAATAGAAATGTGCTTCAGGCAAGGTGGCGTCCTACATTTTAACTTACCCCCAAGAAAATATCCTGAATTTCACAGGTGTTCTCAGTAATATGACCTGACTGAAAATAGCTTCTCTTCTGTATTTTTCCCCAGGTTAAAATTAAGCTCGGCAGGCTCGACGTAAATGTGCAGACAAAGCAAAGCAGGAAGCCTCCCACACTAAAAAGGGAAGATAAGAATCACAGAAGCTGGGATGGTTTTTATTGAAGGGCATTTCAAAGCAAATACAGACATCTACAGCATATTTGTAAATCCTCCGTATGTGTATGGAAACACACACCTTCACACATCAAAACTGGATTTGTTCCTGAGTAACAAAACGTCCTAAGAACAAAATGAAAGAAAACCAAATAGCAGAAAAATACTTCCAATGTATATACCACAAAGGATTATTTATCAACTCAACACACCAAGAGTTAAGAAAATAATGCAACAGGAACAAAGGGCAAAGGATATGTACTGGGAAGACCACAGAGAAAGAAAATGCAAATGGCTAATAATATAAAATATTTCCTAGGTTCAATAGTAATCAGGGAAAGACAAAATTACACTTTTGACCTCTTAGACTGGCAGTGACAAAGATTATTTGAGTGACCAAGCTTTAGTCAGGCTCCTGGATCTTCTAGGCCCATCTGGGCACTTCCTCGTAAAATACAGTTTTAACAAAAGCCCTGCTAAATTGGTTTACCGAGAACTCCCACCCTCAATCGAGTTCCTTAGCCCTTCACCTTTCCTCAGGTGAGGGCTGATCATCCTGTCCTGTCTTCAGCAAGACTGCTCTAACGCTGACGTTTCCTTTTAGTAATTTTCCATCCACTGACACCCACTTGTAATTTATAGCCAAGGAGCAAGATACACTGCTCCTTGGCTATAAGTTATTTTCCCTGTTACATTCAGAGTTGAGCCCAATCCCACTCCCCGACTACAAAATCGATAGCAGTGGTCCCTATACCTATTGCAATGGTCCTAAATAAAACCTGCCTTACCGTGCTTGAACAAGTGTCATCGAATAATTTTTTAACAGCAAATTGTTGGAGGTAAAGACATTTTTAAATGTCTTCAATTAGTTTAGCTACTTCCACGTAATGTTAAAATCTCCATCAATTGGCTAGTTACTGTCCCTTCCTGAGAAGAAGCAGACACCATAGCCCTGCATACTGTGGATTCACTCCTAAGTTGATATTGATATGAATGAAATAGTTATCTCCCAAACTTTGCTTTCTACATTTGTATCAAAAAACATGATGCCCCTCTGCCCAGCGCCCCCGCCACTGGATCCCCAGTCTCACTCAGAGAAAATGTCAACGTCATTGCGGTGGTCTACAGGGGCCCAACCCGGGATTCTTTTCTGTTCCTTGGGGCCTTTGCCCTTGCTCTTCTCTCTGCCTGGAAGGATCACCCCTTAACTTCTCTCAGGCCTTTCTTCAAATGCCACCTTCTCAGTGGGGCCTGCCTTGGTTGCCATACTTAAGGTTGCAATCTGCACACCTTCACCCCGGCACGACCTATACCCTTCCTCTGCTTTGTAATCACCATCTAATATTGTTTATTTAGTTTGTGTATTGTCTCTGTCTCCCAGCAAGACTCTTTTCTTGATCAAACTCTAGTCAGCTCCCCTGAGCCCTCTTCTCAACTAGGCCTCAACCTCAGCCTATAGAGACTCGAATAAAACATGAATACAGTTTCTAACAGCTCAAGGCCTGCATCTCTAGAATGACCTTAACTCACCTTAAAGTGCCTGTCTGAGAAAACTCAAAACTGTCAAAATAATTTACTGTTTGTTCATCTAACATCTGAAGATGGGGCTCCTGTCTCCAGCCTCTGTGGGAGGGTGGGAGCCTGACTTCCATAAGCACCAGTTAACAAACCCAGCTGGGTTTACATGCACCAACTCCCCTCTTCCTGGTTTGTATGATATTTTCACTTCCGTGAATTTACTGAACCTCTGTTCACCTCCCTCTATACTCCTTCATTCTCTCTTTAAAATGCACAGTCACTTCTGTACAAATTGAAGTTGTTCAGTTCACACTGAATAGTTCTCTATAGCAATAGTCTATCACTCATTAAAATCTCTCCTTGCCACTTTAGTTTCCAGCTTTATCTTTGACACCCTCACTATACTGCAGTCTCTATGAGCTGGATTTTTGTTTTCTCACTGGCACATAATAGAGACTCAGTAAATACTTGCTGAACCTTGTTGATGGGTCAAGAGTGGTGCATGGGTTTTAGCCCCTCAGCCACACTTCTGGGCTGGGATAAGCATGTTTAAGCATCTGGATGAAACATCATTGCTCATTTCACTCCTTAAATACCTGGCAAGTGACAGGCAGCTGGACATCAGAGATCATGCCGGTTTTCCTAAAGGTTTCTTCAATGTGTTTTTTGGTTTGTTCGGTTGGTTGGTTAGTTTTTTGCTTTTTTTTTTTTTTTTTTTTCTTTTTGAGATGGAGTCTTGCTCAGTTGCCAAGGCTGGAGTGCAGTGGCACGATCTTGGCTCACTGCAACCTCTGCAATTCTCTGGCCTCAACCTCCTGAGTACCTGGGACTACCCACCACCATGCCCGGCTCATTTTTGTATTTTTAGTAGAGACAGGGTTTCACCATGTTGGCCAGGCTAGTCTCAAACTCCTGACCTCAAGTGATCCACCTGCCTTGGCCTTCCAAAGTGCTGGGATTATAGGTATGAGCCACCGCATCCAGCCTTCAATTTTTTTTTAATTCTGATAGAGCACCATCTACTACATGCTTAATATTATCCATAAACAGACATGTCTGAGCACAGAAGATCATGTTAATGAAAGATTATTGAAAGGTACTGGGTGAAGAGTACTTGCTTCACAGGAACTTTTCTTGTTGGTTGTTGTTATTTCCCTGCTTCCCTGCCCTTTATTTCCATTTGTGGTTTTGCTCCTTAAACTTCCCTTCAACTCCTACTCCCTCAGTGACTCTCTGGGTTTTCATTCTTAGAACTTCATCAGAAATGCTTTGGCTGTGAATTCCAGTGACTTCCTTCAGATGCAATCTGAAGATGTCCTTTCAGTTTTTATTCTTTAGGTTCTCTTAGGTGAGCTGGGGGCCATTAACCTCCCTCACCACACTCTTTCTTCCCTAGACTTCTAATTTTTTTTTTCCAGCTGTGGCTTCTCACTATTTTCAGGTGACTACAAATACTCCCAAGTATAATCAGTCGCTTTCCAACAAATGCCTTATAAACAACTACTATGGATGAGGCACCATTGAGATTACAAAAGTCTACTACTCAAAGTGAACTCGAAGAGAGGGAGACAGTCTATACTCACATGAAAAGTTAAAGTTTATTGCATATTGCTTGCTGAACAAATTATTAAGCAAGCACTATGCAGTAAACTTTAATTTTTCATGTGAACAAAGCTATGTAGGAAAATTCCAGTGATACCCAAGGCAATAATAAATGGTCACATTATTAATCCAACCAGCAAGTCAAAGTTCTCCATTTAGAGCTTAGCCTCCCCCCATTATTACATTTCTCTCTTCTACAGGGCATTTTCAATGGGTATTATAATATCAACCACAGATAACAAAATTAACATATCTTCTTATTGCAGCCTCAACCCTATTTTCCAACATCTTCATAATTATCATTGCCGCCACCGACACTCTGATACTAAGGTGTATCTCAGCATCTTTAGTCTCCCTAGAAGGAGGTCCCTATGTTCAACCCATAGAAGCAATAGTTCCCAAGGTCTCCCTTCCTTCCTGTTCCTATCATCACAGCCCTGGTCCGGGTGTTGAGAAACCCAGCTCATCTTGTTCAGCCTTACCTTTTTCTAGTCTACAAAAGGCACAACAGACACTGAGAAATGAAGAATTAAAAATGCTTCACAATTGTAAAACTTTTCAAAAGTCCACAGTAATCCACACTTATCTGAGGTTTTACTTTCCACAGTGAAGTAAGGTATTTTGAGAGTGAGAGAACACATTCACATACTTCTTACATTATAATTATTAGTTATTGTTGTCCTTACTGTACCTAATTTTAAAATTAAACTCTATCATAGGTATGTATGAATGGAAAAAAATACAGTGTATACACAGGGTTCAGCAGTTGCTATCTGCAGGTTTCGGGCATCTACTAGGTGTCTTGGAATGAATCCCCCATAGATAAGGGGGGACTGCTGTATATCCATCTTCTACTCTTGTCTTTTCATGTTTTGGGTAATGTCACCTTAAAGAATGGATTTGAGTTTTCTGTGAATAAAATGTGTTAGTCTTTGGGGTTTTTTTTTGTTGTCTTTTTGTTTGTTGTTGGAGACAGGATTTCACTTTGTCACCCAGGCTGGAGTGCAGTGGTGCAATCATGGTTCATGTAGTCTCAACCTCCCAGGCTCAAGTGATCCTCCTGCCTCAGTTCCCAAGTAGCTGGGACTACAGACACATGCCACCACACTCAGCTAATTTTTGTATTTTTTCTAGAGATGGGGTTTCACCATGTTGCCCAGGCTGATCTCGAACCCCTGGGCTCAAATGATCTGCCCTCCTAGGCCTCCTAAAGTGCTAGGATTACAGGCGTGAGCCACCGCACTCGCCCCTAATCTTTGTTTGTTTGTTTTTGTTGTTGTTTGTTTTTTTAAATCTATTCCCGCCTCTTAATTGTACAGTCCTCTAGACACTGGACACTAGAGGTTTTTCAGAGAAAGTCCCAGAAGCCAATTCATATGGACACTCTTGAAGCAAAATATTTTTTGTAGGTAAAAGTTCTAAAGCCATGCTCTCTCTCTAGATCCTTCAAAGCGTGGATTAGTTTAGATACTTCATCAAAAAACTTCATGAAAAAGCATGACACCCTCCGCCCATTATTTACTATATAGATAATATATAGTAAGGTTTGCCAAACAGGAAAGCAAGAGTAGACTTTTAAGTAGCATGGAAGTTTCCATGGATGGGATGTTGAGGTACATCAGTGCTATAAGGAATCAGTCCTTAAAATAGTTGACAGGCCCATTAAAAGCTCTCCATACAGACTTGCTTCCCTTGAAGTGTGGTCCGAGGACCAGCAGCGTCAGCAAAACTTAGAAGCCTGTTAGAAAGTGCACAAGCTCAATTCCCACTCAAAACCTACTGCATTTCAACAAGATCCCCGGGTGATTCCTATGTTAGAATGTGTATGAGAAAGTCTACATTAGATATGAGAAATGCTACATTAGATAATACGACTCTGTCATCTACTCATATGTGAACTCAGAGTGGGAGCTCTGGTCAGCAGGCCATTACGTTTGATTTGAGTAGTCCACTGATGCATTGGGATATCACTCCAACTCCCACCTAGCAAAAAATGGTAGCCTTGGCACTTTCTGGTGTAAGCTGACCGGGACTCTCAGTTTTCATCCTTTGTGGTGTGCCTTTGTTGCCTATTGTCTATTAACAGTGCAGCAAAGTGATCATGGCTGAAAACCACAACCTAGGATTAAGAGCTTGCTTGTTGAGGCCAGGGACCGGCTGAATCATACCGAGACACCCCACCCCCACTCCTAAGCATGACTTTAACACAGGTGAGGGCCTGCAAACATGAACATCAAGGGAAGCCTTAGAAGAAGGCTCAATGAGCAACTGTTAAAGTAGGCGTGTGCAGAAGAAGGGAGGAGTGGCAGCCAGGCAGCTCAGGAAGGGGAGGTGGAACAGGGACATTTGCTTACAGATTTTAATGTACAAGGCAGGTTTTTCAGCACCAGAAATTTCAAAACACCTTTCTCCCTCCATAGCTGCTTAGCAGCTGCTGAGTACCCCCCAGCAGGTTCCTGGGCTTGGGCAAACATTCTCATCTTGCCATTGCCTGTGGCCGGCCTTCTGAGAATGTGTCAGCTGCCTAAGGAGCAGTCACCCCCATAAAAAAACAATAAATCCAGATCTGGATAATCACATGTGACCTCATGCAAACTCTAAACCCTTGCTGAGAAATGTTTCATCAGATTAAGCCAAAGGAATGCCATCCCGCACCCCGAGCAGGCCTCTGAATCCAGGGTCACCCTTGGGGACGTAATCCCCAGAAAGCAAGGGTTTGAACTGGCCTCACTACCATATTGTTCCATTTGGGAAGAGACCTAGGCCTGATCTGCCATGTGAGGCCCACTATTAATCTTCCTGAAGGAATGAGGAGATCTGGTTAAATGACCACTGAGGGCTGCCTTGAATGGAAACCAAAGGGGCCCAGACAGCTCTGTGGAAATGTGCACCCTACAGACTGGCATGTTCGCTGGGGAGGAGATCAGGCACCATGTCAATCTGGGTCGGGGGGAGAGAATGCCTGTCTTCATGGCCAAGCCTTCTTCCCTGTACTCTTTATACTCCTCAAGCCACAGGTGCCCCCACCTCACCCCAGCCAATGATTTCCATCATCCTTCCTATTCTTATCTTGTTGTTCCCTAGGAACATGCCTCATTCTTGCTTGTTTCCCCCACAACTCTAAAACACCTATGGTGCAATGAAACATCCACTTTGTTATGTTAAAAAAATGCTTCCTTATTTCACATAGTTTTCTTACTCTACTCTTTCCTTTCTTTCTTACCTAAAAGACATTAGGCTTTTCTCTGTGACACGTAGGCTTCCCAGAAGCCCTGCAATTTCTTACCTCCCCGGGCCCCAGGTACAAGGAGGTAATGAATGCTTTTGTTGTGTTTTCCCAGTCCCCCACCTCTCATCGAGGAACTGTGCTCTCCACACCTGCAAGAATACACCCCAGTGGTCTCTGTCCAACAAAACGGATATAGCTGGTGTCAGGAATGGCTACCTGGCCCAGGCTGGTGTGTGGAATTGGATTCCAAGGGAAGCCCTCTCTGCTAGCTTTAACAGAAGACATGTAAATAGGGGAAATCTGAGGAGAATATATGCTCACAGCATCAGAGAAGTCTGGGAGGGAGGGAAAGACAGAAGGATGGACGGTTGAATGGATGGAAAGACAGATTAGTTAGGTAGTGTTACGGACTGAATGCTTATATCCCTTCAAAATCCAAACATTAGAACCCTATCCCCTAACATGATGGTATTATGAGGTGGAGTCTTTGGGAGGTAATAAGGATTAGATGAGGTATTGAGGGTGGAACCTTCATGAATGAAATTAGTGTCATTATAGGAGCTCACAGAGAGCTTTCTTCCTCCCTCTGCCATGTGAGGACACAGCAAGAAGATGGCCATCTATGAACCAGGAAGCAGGCCCTCGCCAAACACTGAATCTGCCAGTGTCTTGATCTTGAACTTCCAGCCTCCAGAACTGTGAGACATAATAAGAGAAATAAACTTCTCTTATTTATAAGCCAACCAGTCTATGACAGTTTGTTATAGTAGGCCAAAATAAGATAGATAGATGATACACATGATGATGATGATGAAGATAGATAGATTAATAGATGATGGATGATGAATGGATAGATGGATAGATAGATGATAGATAGATAGATAGATACATACGTACATACATACATACATAGATACAGCGGGCAAGAGAGAGTTAGATCAATCCCTGGAAACAAAAAGAGAGTGCCCTCCTTGATCACAACCAATGTATCAATGTATCAGTTCCTGGCCGCAAGGTATCATGAAGCCACACTCTCCTTCCCGGTTAATGGCTGCTCTTGTTAACAAATAGACAAACAAACCCCTTTTCCTTCATTCGAAGAAGGGAGTCTCTATTGCTAACTATAGAAATTTGTTCATTTTGTTCAAACCCTTGCTATTACTTAGTAATCCTCTCATTCATATCTGATTGGGTCCCTTCTACAAATGTCACAGTGGCTGTTTCAAAGCTCCTTTACTTTCTAGATCTCACAGTCACTGTGTTAACAGTTCCAACTGATCTGCTTGGTTAGCACATATGACCTTGTGTGGTTATATATTTTGGAGGTACGCAGTGTTACTATAAAGTAATGTGAATGACTTAGCTGTCCAAATGATTGTTATTCCCACCAAAATAATCATGCTGGGAGACAATAAATGTATTCCTACTATGTGGCCACTGTTACTGCCATTTATGGAATGCTTTTTCAAATCTTCCTCAGTGACAGTACATCTATGTCACTCAAATGTAGACATGATTTTTAGAAAGAGCTACAATTGAGGTATAGTTAGGGCAAGAGGATAAAAATATGGGTCACATATTTTAGTCACAAAACTTTTGTTGAACACTGTTTTGCCTAATAAGATTATAATGGGAATGAGTACATACTCTTCCAATATGACAACTCTAAAAGATAACACTCATTTGAAGACATAAATTCTATAACACTTACTAACCATAAGCCATATTCTTTTTTTTTTTTAGATGGGGTCACACTTTGTTACCCAGGCTGGAGTGCAGTGCCACAATCACAGCTCACTGCAGCATCGAACTGCTGGATTCAAGCAATCTTTCCACTTCAGCCTCCTGAGTAGCAAGGACTACAGGTGCGCACCAGTTCACCTGGCTAATTTTTTATTTTTTATTTTTTTTTTTTTTGAGATGGGGTCTCACTATGTTGCCCAGGCTTGTCTCAAGCTCCTGGACTCAAGCAATCCTTCTGCCTCCACCTCCCAAAATGTTGGGATTACATGTGTAAGCCACTGCGCCCAGGCTAAATCACATTCTTTATCATTATCACACCTTTCTGTCTTGTTCTCCAAACATCTGGAGTAAAAATCAAAGATTTATAATGACCAGTAGTTTGGAGAAAAGGGGTTTAATATGTTTGTTCTTGATATTTAGGCTACTTGAAGATTATTTAATAGAAATTATACCTCCAAAGAAGATATGCCAAACATTCAGGTAGGTGAAAATATACATAAAACAAAAAAGATCATAAATCAACATTGATGACCTGACTAATGACCATTAATTATTATGTCACATGCTTACAGTATGTGAGTTATGGACCCAAAATCAAAGCATTGTACCTCTGACATTCTTGCCCTAGCCACAGTCCAAAGTTCTAGAGAGAGATAACATGTTTTTTTTTTTTTTTAAGTCACAAGTTTCTTCCTGTTACGAGGGATAAGCAATAGCTACTCTTTCTCAAGACTTCACAGAGGTATCAAGAAACTGCAAAGTAAGGCATATAAATGTCAAATTTTAGCCAACAGGTCACAAAATAAGTTAGAGCTCAGAAATCTTTCTAAGGCACGCTGCTGCAACCTACTTCTCTGTGCAAATTTCAGCAAGTGTGATCAAAGATAATGAGTCACTCAGCATGGTATTTTAAAAACACTAAAGCTGCTTCAATGTTTTTTCCTGAGTTTCACTGTAACCGAAACTACACTTGTACCTTGAGACAAGATATGGTTCTTGGGCATGAATTAAACACATGATTCTAAAACTGAGTTGTTTTAGATTAAAAGAATCCACCTAAGTAATGATCACCGAAATGTGCTAGCCTGAAAACACGGCAGAACACTCCATCACGAGTAAGTCAAATTTGTTCTTTATGCTAGAAATGTGGTGTTGAATGCACCTTAAAGTAGACGACCATTGACTGGGGCCTTAAAAATACTTTTTGATAGAAAGTGATATTTATTCTGATGATCTCTTTCATAATTCAGAGTAAAACATAATGCGATTTTCCCTCTGTTGGTGGAGATAAACATGAGTTGTTTCTATGAGGGGTGATAGATATGTACTAGGGTGGGGTAGGGTAAGAAAAGAGTATGCATTTTGAAGTCATGAAGATTTGAGTCTTGGTTCTATTCCTTCCCTGCTGCCTGAGGGACTTGGGTGGATTACTCCACTCTTCTGAAACCAGGTTCCTTACCTGAAAAAAGGAGCTGATACACTGTTCTCTCACAGGGTTGCTATAGAGTGTGATCATGTGGGGAAATAATGCAGGATTGGGCTAGCATGAGTGCACTTCCTTCTGCCTTCGTTTGCCTACACTCTTGCATCCAATACCCAGCACCAACATTCCCAGGAGGCTGCAGAGTCCCCGTGGCTGGGGTTCCATCACCACTAGCCTCAGGCTGAACTGACACTTATGACTTCCTTTTCACTCTTCACTTCCATAGGTGTTGCCAAGTGAGGTTTACACACTAACCCCAAGGAAGTTCTAATGATCTCATGGGTAGCTGTATAAAAAACAAAAACAGGCCAGGAGCAGTGGCTTATGCTTGTAATCCCAGCACTTTGGGAGGCCTAGGTGGGTGGCTCACTTGAGGTCAGGAGTTCGAGACCATCCTGGCCAACATAGTGAAACCCCATCTCTACCCAAAAATACAACAATTAGCCAGGCATGATGGCACATGCCTGTAGTCCCAGCTATTCAGGAGGCTGGGGTGGGAGAATCGCTTGAACATGGGAGGCAGAGGTTGTAGTGAGCTGAGATGGCACCACTGCATTCCAGCCTGGGTGACAGAGTGAGACCTGTCTCAAAGAAAAAAAAAAAACAAAAATCTCTCATTATTTTTAAATTTTGGAAATCCCCATTTTTACCCAATCTTCTATTTACACATTTTTAAAAAATCGTTTTAGGCTAGTTTTTGATTTATAGATACTTAATGTCAAAAGAACTATTTTTAAGGTAATTCATGCATTAATTCTACAAGTATCTACTGAGCACCTAGTGTGTACCAGGCTCTCTAGTAGGTACTGAGAATGCAAAAATAAATAAAATATGCTTTCCATCTTCAATGATTTTATGGTGCAGGGAAGGAGAAAAATCCATGCATCATTTGAATGCAGCACAGTAAGCCTTACAATGGAAGCATGCGAAGGTGCCACCACTTACACAGTACTTTAAAGTTCAAAAGCACTTTTCACACATTTCAGCCTCACAATAATCCTATGAGCTATGTGTTACTGTTACTAATTATTTTCAGGTCAGATATAAGGAAACCTAGCATAGGGAGGTGACTTAAACCTAGCATAGGGAGGTGGCAGGTGTCAATCTGTCCTAAGATTACACAGATAATAACCAGATTCTGTGTATGGGGGAGAAAGGTGTGATACCTTTTCTCACCTATCGTAAGGGTCATGGCAACACTCCTGTAACACAAGACAGGTTAACAAGAGGAAAGCCTAACAAACTTCTTGAATCAAAGTTTTATTTGATATGGGAGCCTGCCCGCCTTCCTTCCTTCCCACTCCCTCCCTCCCTCCCTCCTGGAATGAAGGTCTTATGACCTACTATCACACAAGGCAGGTCAAAGAATTTCTTTACGGCTAGTTCCTACACAAAAAGGCAGGGCAAGTTTAGAGTAACATTCCTAGTTTCTACAACCCACCTCAGGGAAGAGGAATTCTAGTCTCTGTGGCCTGCATTTTGGGAGAAAGGGGAACAGAAGATAGGAGGTCAAGAGAAGGGCAAGAGAAGGTCAGAGAGAGGCTTTACTTCTGAGGCCCTTCCAATGTCCTTCAGTTAGAAATACTCAGCACATCAAAGCACCACGCTTTGCGGTATTGTTTTCTGAGCCCTGACAGTCCCAATCTCAGTTGTCTGTGCTCTTTCTACCATTGTCTCTGTCTTTCAGTGTTCATGTCAGAATATACTCAGAATATATCCATATCAAACTTGCAAATGCCTAAATTGTGTCTCCCAGGAAAAAGGCAAACACAGCAACCTCCCATACTCAGTCTCTGCCCAGCTCTCTACTCTCCCTTCTCTCCCAAAAGAACCCTGCTCAGAGCCAAAAGCAACTGCTGAGTGTTTTCTGATTATGCCAGTTTGTTTCAGGCCTTTTACATGTACTGTTTCCCATCCCCAAACACTCTTCCTCCCCAACCCAACTCCATCTTTCAGTTCCTCCTTTTGCATAGAGATAGCCCAGGTTTCACCTCTTGCCAGAGGCATTTTCTCCCCACAGCCATTCCCTATAGCCGACCATCCTAGGTTCTCCCCCAGGCCCAGGACAGGGCACTAATCATAGCTTATACTTTATTGCACTGTGGTCTTTGGCTTATTGGCCTGTCTTTCCCCACTAAACTGTGAGTTCCTGAGGGATGTCTTTGCAACCTTTGTGTTAGCTCACTAGCCATTTGTTGATTGAAAGAAGAAATGAAAAATCAAGATATGCCCTTGCCTACAGCATCTTCATCAGTACGTAGGGGCCAGAATAAATCCACGGCTTTAATATCTGTCTCAGAGCTGCCACTGAGGTACTGACACAAACTAGAGCTTAACTAGTTTAAGTAAATTAGCTCTTCATGCATCCTCTGAAAACAAGAACAGTCATCATCATCATCATGTTATTTACTGAGCATGATGCAAGGCCTATAGCTTAGATCACCAGAGACACTGCTGTGTCTGGCCTGCCACACCCTTTCTGAGTATCCTCTCTGCTTTCAGTCTAACTCCAGAATCACAGAATCACATCTGCTCACCTTTGTATGCCCAGTGCCTGGAACAGTACCTGGCACATAGCAGTAATCAATAAAGACTAATTGAATGAATGGACGAATGGAAACTGGCCAGGCTCAGTCCCTTCTACATGGCCATGTTGGCACTGTGACTTCATGCTCCACAACTGGTTTCGGCTCCAGTGAGTATCTGATCAAAGGCAACAAATCCAGAGGCACCTATGGGGCATATGATCTCTGTCTTGCTGTATAAAGGTGGCTTCACACAATAGGTCTTTTCTAGAGAATTTGAACTATGAAATATGAAGAAATTTTCCCCAGGTAAACACAAGGCAAGAGCTAAAAGGAAACAGAGGAAGATTGCTGTCAGGTAGGTAGGACCCCTGATGTGCCATTTTAAGCAGATGGATGAGGAAACACCTATGAAGGAGAGATAATCTGTTTTGATTAGAGAATAAGAAAGCTGGTCAACAGAGAGACAAACAGAAGCTCAAGCCTGCTGAAACCATGCCAGCCTAGGAAAGGGCTAGAGAAAGAGGAATTGGTTGCCTCAATTCCTGACAACTCTCTGGTGTCAGCCCCAGGTCAGGTGCAATCTGACCTAATAAGGACCTCCTGACTTAACAGGTGAAGCCAATTTTTCAAATGTGCCAAGCTCTGATACAGGACTGTCATCAGCTGCTATGGTAACTTGGTAAGAATCAGATAGGAGATGCCCCTTCTGGAATGAAGCCTGACCGGCGGTCAGGCTCCTGGGTAGATGAGAAGCCCATGGCTTTTGTGCAAAGAAAAGGGTGCTCTCCCTGGGGGAGAAGGAAGGCACACATGTCCACACCAGGTACACAGCTTGACCTGGGCAAAGCGCAGGCTGGACCTGAGCCCACCAGCACCTGCTCCATCCAGCACCCTCTTGTACTGTCCGAGCTGGCCTGGGCAGGGTGGCCTTGCTATTCCCTGACCAGGGAGAGACAGAAAGTAAACTTAGAACCAGATGGTCTTTGTTTGGAAAAAAACCCACTCTGAGTTACACAAATGTAAAGTGAGCAGGTGTTCATTGTTCCTGGCCTAGGGCACCTCCAGCTTAGCTCGTGGCTGGGGCTCAGAAGCCTCTTGGGACCCAGACACCCTTTCGGAGCACAAAGCATCAACTCAAAGAGTTACAACCTTGGAGGTCAGTAAGAAACATAGTAGAAGCACCAGCAAGGGATAAGCAAGCACAAGCTTCCCCCAACAGCACAGGTGACCCAACAGCAGAACTGGTCTTGGACAGCAGTATCTCATGGAAGTGGCCAGGAAGCAGTGCATATGAACTGATAGTACATTGAGGTATGCGAGATTTCTCACTTCCACTCAGCACTGAACACACCAGGAATTAAAGATTTGAGAAAAAGATCCTGGATTTGCTGTTACCCCTATGCCTATATATACCAGGGCATAGGGATACTGAAGAGATGAATCACAGTAATAAAAAGATGAGATTGTACTTGCACATTAAGCTAATGAAGTGGTCCACACACCTATACTGCTTTTTTTGGAGGTGGCTTGAATGGTTCTCTGATCTATGCAGCCCAATGTGCAATGTGCAAGACTAAGCATCATCACATGAAAATAAAAACATCTTTTGGTCCTCCCTATAGCCCACACAGGTCCAGAACAGCACCTGGCACCCAGTAGGCCAACAGTCGGTACTTGCTGAATCTTTACATGGTCTATGCCCCTGGCTGTGTGTCTTCAGGTTCTTTACTTACTAAACACTGTGCTTATCAGAACAGCACATCAGAAACCACTAAAAAGTTATCAAAGCTCCTTAATACCGAACAGGATCTGTCTAAAACTTAAGAGAATACATGACCATATACTATGAGAACCTTGTTTCAAGATTTTACTTTAAAAATTGAGTTAAACATCACTTTATTTACAAAGAAATACTGGATTTTAAAAATCCAAGGCTGGGAGCAGTGGCATGCGCCTATAACACCAGCTACTCAGGAGGCTGAGGCAGCAGGATCCCTTGAGCCTCAGGGTTTGAGGCTGCAGTGCACTATGGTTGTACTGGCGAACAGCCATTGTACTCCAGCTTGGACAACACAGCAAGACTCCATCTCAAAAAAAGAAAAATAAATTCAGAACTTTTGTTGAATTCCAGAAGTGTGAGTTCAAAAACCATATGGCAAAATGAATCCACGTTTTTATAAACATAATAAAAGAGTTTATTCATAAATTCCACTGTTACTTCAATTCTATCTTTAAAAATTGCTTATTTGAAAATATTTTGTTTTCTTAACTTTTTTGTATAGATTTTGAAATATAAAACTGGCTTGGGTTTTTTTTTTCTGATAAAGCACTTGCATTCTTATGTGAAAAATTCCTCAAGCCACAAATTAAATAAAATCCCTTGAAGTCTGAGACGCTTGTCTTGACAAAAATCTAGTAATAATCTAGCATAGTCAGGGGAAGCCGATTCTCTTGGGGTACCCTCACGGTATTTATCAACACAGTGCTAGCACAGAACAGGTCTTTAAAAATATATATTTAGTATTAGACTGACTGTTTGCAGCAGTGGGCAAGATTTTAGAGGCTGAGTTCCAAGTTTTTATTATTCTTTCCTGGAAAGAAGGATGGAGGTGGAGCTGTGGGGGAGGCTGGGGTAATGATTGCAGGTAGCAAGGATGGTCTGTCGTTCTGGAGGGAGGCTGTTCTCTGACAACTCTTGGCAAGCACTCTTTCTTCCCCTTCCTCTTCTCCATTTCAGGTCACTGTCACTGCAAAAGGTGATTTCCTTTTCCCCTCAACACTCTTCTAAGGACCCACAGCAGGGAGTTAACTCATGATTAGAAATTATCCCTTAGGAAGAACATCTGACAACTAGCTGGAATCAAAAATAGGAGCAAGGAAGGCTGCTTGGGAGACTGCAGTAGTAGAAGAGAGGATGTAGCAATAGGGATGTGAGAAGGTACTAAAACAAATTCTTCAAACTTACACTTGTATCACGGTATCACAAGACATACGGCAGCAAGCCAGGGTGACATAATATGGCACAGGACAGCAGTTCTCAAACTTCGCTACTCATTAGCGTCATCTAATGGCCAGGATGCACCTGATGCCAATGAAATCAGAATCCCTAGGTGTGCGACCCAGCCACAGGTTGCTTCGTTGTTAACTCCCCAAGCAATTCCTACGTGTAGCCAAGTTTGAAAACCAGTGTGGGAGAGCAGCACTTTTCAAACTGCAAGGTGACTAAGAACAACCTGGGGATCTTATTAAAATGCAGATTCAGTTAAGCAGGCCTAGGGTGGGGCCTGAGATTCTGAGATGAGGCCACAGATGCTGGTCCGGGGCTGTTTTGGCAAGCCACACATGACCTTGCTCTAGGTGCTGCCTCTGTGTGTGCCCAGAGCTTCTGGAGAAGGGCTGGAAATTGGGCTACTATAGTGTTAGGCCAAGGAATGTTTTTACAAGGCGTGTAACCCTCTTATTGTGCCTCTGAGATAATTCAGAGATCCCAGCACAGTCATCTTGCTGATTCTCAGATCCATCCTGCATGGCTTACAGAGGCTGCAGAGGCTGTGGGGCATGCTGGAGAAATACTCTGTGTGTCAGTGAAGGACCTGCTCATTCTTTTTCTCTCTGACTCTAAGAGCAGGGAGCTCCTGATCACATTTAGTCTGCTCTTAAAGGGATCCGAGGCTCAGTTCTGAAAATGAAATCAGGTACATGAAAGATGTTCACTCTTCTACATCTGTGCCAGCATCCTGCGGCACATGGGACAACTGAGCTGAAAGGTTTCACTTCCTAGCATCCGTTAAGAGGACACAGAAAAGACAAAGAGTCCTCAGAAGTAAAATAATTTTATAAATTGGAGCCCATGGTTCACATGATGTACACTTTGCACACTCACATTTTAAATGTCTTTGCTGTCCTTTTTCGGCATACAGGCCATAATTTCCATCCATGAAAATGAAAAATGGCGATGCAAGCTATACTTTGTCTACAATCACCAACTAGGTGAATTCTCAGTGGTCTCTTTAGAGTCTCTGAACAGTTAATCTTTGTAGAAATCAATCAAAATAATCCATGGCTCGAGTTCAGTTTGGCCAGCACACCAAGAGCAGGTGGTTAAAAACATTCGGACTCAATGCTTTTCACAATACAAATTCAGAGGATGAATCTTTACACAAATCCCACTACCTCTATTCTAACAGTTCTGACTTGTTTCATCCAATGCGATCTACAAAGTCACAACGGCAATGCTTTTGAGGTTTTTCAAGTACACATGTTGGGCGGCAAAAACAATATGACAAGAATAAGAAGACAGAAGGCTATGGTGAGAGAGTTAGCCAGCTGAAGTGGAGTCAGAGGCATGGAAATGTGCTTTTTTGAACAGGAAGCTCAGCTTTAGCTGAGGTTGAGTTAGAACCCAAAGAAGGCCTGATCCCGGAGCACAGAGCCTGAAAACCAGGGCAGTGGTAGCTGGTACAGTGCACGTTCACGCCCCGGCAGGGCTTTTGCCGCTATGGGTAGTTTTTGATGCTAGCTAGCTTCATTTCTAATTTCCCAGCTCCCATGCATCCTACAAAGATTGCACATCAGACAACTGGTGGAAACTTGACGCATCTGGTGGACTTTTAAAAAACAGTCCTACAATTCTTAGGCTAATGCTTTGTTCAAAAGCAGTTTAAAATGATTACTTAATCCACATAACCTCCCAATGTGGTGGTACCATACTATGATTCCCACTCTGAATACTGAGATAGGAGAGACAAGGTTAAGTGATTTGCCCAACGTCACACAACTCGGCCGGCAGCATCGGCCTTAGCTGAGTTCCTGATTTCGTCGGTCCCGGTGCACGGGGCACAGGGCAGCCTCTGAGAACACATGGGCCGGTGCTACCGCAGAGGGGCTAGCTTGAGGCTTTTGTGTGTTTGTGTGTGTGTGTGTGTGTGTAAGACGGAGTCTCACTTTTTCATTCAGGCTGGAGTGCAGTGGTGCAACCTCTGCCTCCCAGGTTCAAGCGATTCTCCTGCCTCAGCCTCCTGAGTAGCTAGGACTACAGGCATGCGCCGCCTCGGCGGCTAATTTTTTGTATTTTTAGTAGGGACGAAGTTTCCTGACCATGTTGGCCAGGCCGGTCTCGAACTTTTGACCTCAAGTGATCGGCCGGCCTTGGGCCTCCCAAAGCTCTGGAATTACAGGCGTGAGCCACCGCTCCTGGCCGAGGCTTTTTCAAAACATGTTAAAGGATGAGAGGCACAAACAGCCCGCCAAACTCTCCCCTGCTCTCCCCCATTAACCTCATGGGTTTTTGCAAGGAGGAAAAACTCATATCCCGGGTCCTCTTACCAGCAACCCGCAAAAGGCGTCTTTATTTCAGAACCATAAGCAGTTAGTTGGGAAGCCTCCCAAGACCTGCCCTGGTCCCAGCCCGCAAAGTGAGGGAACCGCACCCTTCCGAGGGACCAAAGTCGCGCCGAAGACCGAGAATGTTCCTCTTTCTGATGGAAAAGCCTCGGAAGCCAAGCTGCGGTGCTGCCTGGCGCCGTGCAGCCGAGAGGGAGCGCTCCCTACCCCAACCCAGGCTGCACACTCGCCCCGCAAGGCGCACCAAGCCGTCGCCTGCTTTTAGCATCTTCCGCCTAGGGTCGCCGAGCCCGGGCGGCCGAGGAGGCGGCAGTGTGGGGAGTTCAGCCTCCGCCCTCCCCTGTCCCCCACCCCCACCCCGCCGCCAGCCTGCCGGGCCAGTGCCCGCGGGCGCCCCGGGTTGGCCGCGTCGCCCTCGCGGCCACCTGCCCGCGGCCGGCCCTCCCCGGCCCGCGCCCCGAGCCGCTCTTACCTGAGCCGGAGATGTGGACCCGGAGCGGGCGGCCCCTGCTCGAGGACGACGAGAGGTCGCTCTGTGAGCGGCCGCGGGGGCTCGGGTCCCCGGGAAGCCAGCGCAGGGCAGGCGCCGCCGGCGGGGCGGGCGCCTCGGGCTCGGGGACTGGGACCGCCGCCGCCTGCCCGGCCGGATCGACCGGGGACGCCGCGGGGCGCCAGCCCGCCTCGGCCATCGGCTCCCGGCGGCGGGGCCGGAGCACCGGGTGGGGCCGGCGCCGAGGGCTGCGCTGCCCGCTGCTGCCCGGCTCTGCCCCGCGCGCCGCGACCCGGAGGCAGCGAGAAGGGCGGGGAGGTGGACGCCGGGCGCCGAGGAGCCGGTGCGGAGGGCGGGAGGAGGAAGAGGACAGAAAAGTTTGCACAGGAAGGAGCCGCCTACAGCCGGCTCTCGCTCCAGCGGGCGAAAGCTGCAGGGCTCGGAGCTGGGCCGCCCTCGGTGCCCGCGAACCTGCCCGGCTGCTCCTCCCCCAAGCCCCGGGCACTGGCCCCCGGCAGGATGGCAGCAGGGGGTCCCCTCCGCGAAGCTCTGTTCACCCAGCAATCCGGCCGCAGAAAAGCCGAGTTTGGGCTTCTGGAGCTGGGATGCAAGGTCAGAGCTAACGATATCATTTCCATTGTGGTGGGTGGGGGTGCCATGTACACATACGTGAGCTGCCCTATGATGGAGCAAGAATGATCATACCCAGTTAACAGATAGGAAACTCCGGCGCAAAAATGCATTGCACTTGCCGGGTGGATTAGGGGCAGATTCTGGAGTCCCTTGTGAAGTGAAGCCTAATGCCCTTCCCCATCCGCACCCACACCCCTTGCCCTCAAAGCCCATCTCTACCTCTCACGGTTGCCCACATCCCTGGGTATCTGTCTGCTGGGTGTAGGGAGCAAAAAATAGCTTCCCTCCACCCTTCTAGGTTCTTTGGCTGGCCTATGAATTAAACTGCCATAAGGCAGATTAACAGGACAAAGAAAACCCATTTTAATTACCAACGTTCACATGGGAGTTTCACAAAATATGAGGCTCAAAGGGTCAGATGATTGAAGCCTGTATAGCGTCCTGAGTTACAGAAAAGAACAGGATCTTGGAATTTGGGGGGCGGGCAGGTGACACAAGTTATGGGAGGGTCGGGGAGGAAGTGTATAAAGAATAAAGGTTGTCTCGTGCAAATTTTAAAAAGCTGATCAGGTAATAAGGAGTTGTTTTCTAGCGGAAGCATAGGTGTTAATCTGTCTGGGCCTGCTGTGATCCCAGATTTTTCCATTCCTGACAGATGAATTCCTATTAGAGGATCTGCCTTTTTTTGGGGAGGGGAAGGAGTTTCACTCTTGTGGCCCAGTCTGGAGTGCAATGGCTTGATCTCGGCTCACTGCAACCTCTGCCTCCTGGGTTCAAGTGATTCTCCTGCCTCACCCTCTCCAGTAGCTGGGATTACAGATGCCCGCCACCACACCCAGCTAATTTTTGTTTTTTGTTGGGTTGGTTGGTTGGTTTTTGTTTTTTAGTAGAGACAGGGTTTCACCATGTTGGCCAGGGTGGTCTCGAACTCCTGACCTCAGGGTGATCCACCTGCCTCCGCCTCCCAAAGTGCTGGGATTACAGGCTGAAGGATCTGTCTTTAGGCAGATAAAAGGAAGTTCGGAGAAAGCTCCTTCTTGCAATTGCCTTCCCCAAGCACCCTCAGTTTGAAGTAACCAGCCTGCCAAAGCAGCGTATTTTGGAGCAGCATTTTCTGAACTCCTTCATAAGTAAATACTCAAAGGTCATGTTTAAAAAGCCAGTCTTCCGAGAACTAAATAAATATCACAGATTTGATGTCTGAGTCAATGCTTTCTAAAGGAAAGGCAGCTGCATTGATTAGAAATATCTTAGTTAATGCCACACCTTGTAGGATTTTGCAGAATGAGCAGTGGAGATTATGCTGATTCAGCTGGTGATTTCAAAGCCTAAGCTTTATCAATCTCACGATTAGGCCCCCAAGTTGTGACTCGCCCAGAATTAAAAGACTGTAAGTCAGGCTCAGGAGTCATCAGTCCTCTGAAAGTTCATGGCAAAGGAGGAACGTCCCTTGGTTCACCCACAGACCATAGATAGCCAGTGAGAAGAGATGGAGATATGGGGGGAAAGAAGGGACAGCGCTGGCAATTACTCCTGTTAACACACACACCCCGATTCTAGGTGCTATGTCAGGCATTTTGCACGTATTATATCATTTAATAAGAGAACAAACCTAATCAAGAAGGTAAGAGAAAAGAGGAACAAAAACCAAGAGTACATGCTGCAGAAGCACACCGACACGCACAAAGGCCTTAGTAGCAACTAGGTCATGATACACACACACACACACACACACACACACACACACACACACACACAGCTCACCCTTGATCATTTAAAAGGGCTTTCACTTATAATTCTCACAGGAACTCTGTAGGGAAGATATGATTATTCCATCTTTGCTGCAAAAACTGTCCAAATATAGGCTAAGCATGGTGCTGCAACAACTGTCCAAATACAGGCCAGGCATGGTGGCTCACACCTGCAGTCCCAGTATTTTGAGAGGCTGAGATGGAAGGATCCTTTGAGGCAAAGAGTTCATATCCAGCCTGGGCAGTATAGCAAGTCCCCATCTCTGCAGAAATTAAAAATAAAAAAATTTTAGTCCAGCTGGTGAGGCAAGCCTCTAGTCCTAGCTACTCGGGAGGCTGAGGAAGGAGGATCGCCTGAACCCAGGAGTTCAAGTTTACAGTGAGCTATGGTCATGCCACGGCACACTAGCCTGGGCAACAGTGCAAGAGCCTGTCTCAAAATAAAATGAAATAAAATAAAATAAAATAGCAAAACTAATAAATCAAATCTGTCCAAATACAGGCCCCTTTTCACAAAGTCAGCCAATGTTGTCTGGTCTTGCTCTAAATATTTGCTACTAACAGTCTGTTTAAATTTATACTACTCCAAATGTGACCTTACTTTCTTGATATCTTGTGTAGTTTATGATAGGAAAAAAAGGTATCTCTGCCTTTAGAGAATTCACTATGCGTTACTTTAGACAATAGGTCATCGATAAGATTGAGAGTGCACTGAGATGGATTTTACAGTTACCCTGAATAACCAGCATTAGATTACAATGGCATTTCTCAGCACCGTTTGCTATCTAGTGTATTGTATTACCTGATGATGCTGTCTGTATTCCCTCAGTGCACTTCCTCAGCAAGAAGCTCCCCCTTCACAAGCTGCCTTCTCTCTGGGGCACACATTCCAGTTGCCTATGCCTGGGTCTCACCCCAATTTTCTCTCCCCATTGCTTACAACATGAATGTTCATACATTCTTCTGGACTGCATGCTTTTTCCTTTTCTGGTTAATCTTCTGTGTCCTCTCTTGTGAAGAGAGGAATTAAATGAGGAATTAAATGCTTTCAAATACAAGAAGTCTTCTCTGACTCATTTTTCAGTTATTTAGCAATTCATCATTTCAACTTTTATTAGATAATTACATATTTGAGTGCCTTTTTGGGCCAGGCACTGTGCTAGGCTCTCCATATCGTCAAGGAACCTCTCAGCCCAATATTCCTCCATTCATTTTCCCATGACAGTCAATCTTCTACAGAGAGTAGCGTATACTCCAGAAGCTATTCCCAAGTTCTTACAGTCCCCCTTCCCCATTCATTCTTCTACCATCTGTAGTATGACTACTGCTCGCCCTACTGCATGGAGCTGCTTTAGCAAAGATCACATCTGAGCAGCTCATTGTCAAATGTACTGGGAACCTCTCAGGTCTTACTTAATCTGATGTCTTCTGTCGCTTTTAACACTCTCGACCACTGACTCGTTTTGTGGGCTCTGCTTCCCTGGTTTCTAGGACACTCATCTCCCCAGGTGTTCCTTCAGCCCCTCTGCTTCCTTGTTACCCTCTTGTCAGGGTCTCTTTTTTCCATCTGCCCATAGGTACTGTTCCCCAGATGTCCAGCATCAGCCCTCTTCTCTTCCCACTTGACTTGTTTCTCCTGGGAGATCCCAGCTTCGGCTTTGACTTACACACAAATGACTCTCTCCACCCCAGACCTCTCTCCTGGGCTTCAGATCCCAGCATCTAGTTGCTTCCTGGGCTTCCCTTCTTGATGTTTCATTGACATTTGGCAGTCAACACTCCCTGAGCTGAACTCCTCCTCCTCCTCCTCATGAACATGCTCTGTCTATTCTCTTAGATAAATAAATATCTTAATACCTTAAATAAATATCCTCAGAATCGGTTTCCTCCCTGCTATTCCATTGCCACCTCTTTAGTTTGAGCCTCCATCTTCTATTTTCTCCTAAAGGAACTCTCTATCTCCATACTCACTTTCTTCTACTCTGCCCCCATCCCATTTCTGGAATGATCTTTCCAAAGTACTCACAAGACTTCGCTACCCCTCCATTTTAATTCCCTCAAAGCAAGTGTCTATGAATATACACAGAATAAAGTGTATATTCCTCAGCATGGCATATCAGGGTTCCGTACCCTACCCCAAACTCTTTCCTTGCTGCTGTTATACATACTGTGGCGGCTCAGGACACAACACCTCAAAATATGACTGTAGGAGGCCAAAATATGCCACTCTGGGATATACTTCTTTGGCATATTTTGAGCGGGTTATTCTGAGAAACTGCAGACACAGGAGTAGCTCTGAAAAGCTGTCCTTTGGTAAAAGAAATTTACTTCTGTAAAGGAAAACAATTTTTTAGGATTCTCATCAACCAGGGAAGATCTTATCATAGAAGATGAGAATGAAGGTTGACACCTTGCCCAGATGGACTTTGTCACAGGCTGATACAGATTCTTCTGATAGGCTACTCTGAAACAACTTTTATTACCCGAGAGAATTTTTATCTGCACAATAAGACAACCTTTGTTTGCCACACATTTCCTCCCCTCACCCTCCCATGATGTGTGTCACCACCACTCCCAGAAGCACCAAGCCCCTCTTGCTTTCTGTAGCTCAGGGATACTATATGAGCTTCAATCATCTGACTCTTCTTCCAGTCTCAGATTTTGTGGGACTCCTGTGCATATATACATAATTAAATATGTTTTTTTCCTGTTAATCTGCCTACTGTCCATTTTTCATAGACTCAATTATCACACCCTCAGAGGGCAGAAAATCTTCCCTCTCTGCACAATACTCCACTCCCTAGCCATGCAGACCAATTCATCATTCTCTGAATGGCACCTCCTCTTCCTCTCGGGGTGCCTTTGAACTCCCGTTTCCTTTGTCTGCAGCATCATCCCCCGCCTTCTCTAGCATGACCTAATTGACCAACTGTCACTCATCCTTCAAGCCTCAGGTCAAGCGTCTCCTCATCTGTCTTAGTTTGTTTTCTGTTGCTTCTAATAGAATACCTGAAAGTTAGTAATTTATAAAGAAAATGAATTTTCCTTATAGTTATGGAGGCAAAGTCCAAGGTCAAAGGGTCACATCTTGGTGAGGGCCTTCTTGCTGGTGGGGACTCCCTGCAGGGTCCGGAGGTGGTGCAGGGCATCACATGGCGAGAGGGCTGAGCGTATTAGCTCATGTCTCTCTTCCCCCTCTTATAAAGCCACCAATCCCATTCCCATGATAAACCCATTAATCCATGAATGGATTATTCCATTCATTAGGGCAGAGCCCTCATGATCTAATCACTTCCTAAAGGTCCCACCTCTCAATACTGCCAGGTGGGGGATTAAATTTCAACAAGAGTTTGGAGGGGACAAATGTTCTTTTTTCTTTTTTAATGTGTATTTTTTATTTCAATAGCTTTTGGAGTACAAGCGGTTTTTGGTTAAATGGATGAATTATATGGTGATGCATTCTGAGATTTTAACGCACCTGTCACTTGAGTAGTGTATGTTGTACCCAATATGTAGTTTTTATTCCGTGCTCTCCTCTCACCCTCCCCTTTCTGAGTCTCCAAAGTCTATTATATCACTGTCTCTGCCTCTGCATACTCATAACTTAGTTCCTACTTATAAGTAACAACATACAGTATTTGGTTTTCCATTCTTGAGTGAGTTCACTTAGAATAATGGCTTCCAGCTCCATCCAAGTTGCTGCAAAATACACTATTTTGTTCTTTTTTATGTCTGATTAGTATTCCGTGTTGTATATATACCACATTTTATTTATCTACTCATTGGTCAGTGGGCACTTAGGTTGGTTCCATATCTTTGGAATTGTGAATTGGGCTGCAATAAACATATACGTGAATGGGTTGTTTTCATGCAGTGACTCCTTTTCCTCTGGGTAGAAACCCAGTAGTAGGATTGCTGGATTGAATGGTAGATCTACTTTTAGTTCTTTAAGGAATCTCCACACTGTTTTCCAAAGAGGTTGTACTAATTTACATTCCCACCAGCAATGTATAGGCATTCTGGAGGGGACAAATATTCAAACCACAGCACCATCCAGGAAGCTTTCCTGACACTTCCCCAACCTCCAAGCCAGGTGAAGTGCCCATCCTAAACAGTACCATCAGGCTCTTATGTCACTTTTTACACAGGATTGCAGTGGCTGGGGTGCTAATCTGTCACCCCTACTCCCTTTGAGCTACCTTAAGACAGTAAGTACTGATTCTTGCCTTTATTTTCCCAGCACCACTGTGTATTGAATGAATGAATCAATAAATGAAGTCTATTTGGGGAGTAGACATTAACAAATAATTACTTGGCAGTCCATGGCAACTGACAAAACTGAGATTTATGTAGAAGGGCTGAGGAAACTCAGAGGAGCAGTCACCTAACCCGCTTGGGGTGGAGAACCAGGGAAGGCTTCCCAGAGGATGTGGTGTCTGCAATGCAAAGGCACCCCCGGATGAGGAAGGTCATCTGCAAGGACAGAGCCTTGAGGACCTGGGGCTCCTCTGGATGCTGTAATGTAGCACTGCAGAAGAGGAACCCTGTGGGGAGTAGTTCAGTTTTGAACCTGACGAGGTGGACAAAGGTGGGCTAGGATTCACTTTTCAAATACCACTAAGTCTATGCAATCCTAAAATGATTAGGCATCCTGCTTATTTGAGGTTTTGTTTACTTCCAGTTTTGTTTATCCTGTCCCACCTATGCTATAAGATTTCTTTTTCCGGCCGGGCGCGGTGGCTCACGCCTGTAATCCCAGCACTTTGGGAGGCCGAGGCGGGCTGATCACGAGGTCAGGAGATCGAGACCATCCTGGCTAACACGGTGAAACCCCGTCTCTACTAAAAAATACAAAAAATTAGCCGGGCGTGGTAGCGGGCGCCTGTAGTCCCAGCTACTCGGGAGGCTGAGGCAGGAGAATGGCGTGAACCCGGGAGGCGGAGCTTGCAGTGAGCGGAGATCGCGCCACTGCACTCCAGCCTGGGCGACAGAGCGAGACTCCGTCTCAAAAAAAAAAAAAAAAAAAAAAGATTTCTTTCTCCTTAGACTTGTCCCTTGGTACCACGGACATGTTGGCCAGCACGTAGGAAATGTGCCTGTTTGACACTGATTTTAAAAAAAGAGGCATCCAGTACAGCTTTTCAAAGCAAAATGTTTCTAAACTCTATTAGTTTATTTAGCTATTTTCATTGAATACCATTTCCAAAAGGTTAGGGATAAAAACTGAAGATGAAATAAGCATAGTTTTAATCATATAAGAGTGTTTAATACCAAAAATAAAATTAAAAAAAATAACAGAAACAAAAAAACTGTACCTCACTGCTTTACCACTCTCTTTAAAGTGATGACTTATGTAAGATTATAAAAGAAATAAATGAAAATTTATCAACTAGCTTGTTCCGCCCATCAGTGCTAGGAACACTGCCTTCAGCAGGAGCCCAAATGTGGGCTGGGATCTGTCTCATCTCTGGCCAGTGTCTTCCTCCTCCTTGCTGTGCCAGGAGCCCCTCTTAAAGCCACAGTGCCACTTGGAGGGCTCTTTATACATTGCAGATTCACTTACAGAAGGAGGAATTGTTATTCAAAGGCTTTAATACATAATGAAAGCTATCCACATTTCATAAATTAGACAAGCTAGGGAGCTAAACGACCTTTGTAACTGAATTTGTCCCTATTTCATCACTAGTAGTCTTTAGATGCATGAATGTGGATTTTTCATGGTAATGGAAACAGGTGTGACACTCTGGTTAAAATCAAAACTTCCTGAAGGCATTCCTTGAGACAATACCCATCCCCTTCTAACTAATTATTTTTATAATTGCAGTTTTCTTTTGCTATCTTCCCCATCCCCCAAATATATTAAAAAGTTTTATTTCTCAGAGTTTATATGCAAAACATGCACATAAAAATATGGTATGTTTTCTTATGAAATATTTTCCCAAAATACTTGGCATTAGAACTAAGTGTCTTTCACTGACAATAGCATTTCCTTAATATAGGCAGATAAAAATGACTGCAAGTAAGAGAAAGATCAAAATATTATCTGAAAAGAAACGGCAGAGATCAAAATTGACGATACACGATGAAAATGAAATAAGAGAAAGGCAAGGAATCCAGGTAATCAGCAGAGTGAGGATAAATCACCATCTGATAGTGAAAGTAGGCCTGCTTTTAAAGTCACTTAAAAAAAAGAGAGAGAAACAAAAAACAGGAAGTTAGTTTTGATGGTCTCTAAGGCCTCTTCTGGTGTGGAATGTGATGGTTCTGTGAAATTTTTTCTTTGTTTTCATTTTAAAATCGAAGATGAATTCATTTTATGAGAGAGGCCAAAGCTGGCTCATAGTTTTGAGCCCATCCCACCATTTCCCTCTAGAGTACCAGGCTGCAAAAGTAAACACCTCCTTTACCATGCTCTCTTCCTCCCACTCTTCCTTTCTTCTTCTTACTCTAAAACAAACTCATAGAAGTGGAGTGTAGGATGGTGGTTATCAGAGACTGGGGTGCGATGGGGTGGATGGAGAAAGAGGAGATGTTACTCAACAGGTCCAGGGTTTCAGTCAGTCAGACGGGAGGAGGAATAGGTCTGGTGCTGTATCGCAACAGCATGGTGACTATACATATTTTGGAATATATACATTTTGTGGAATAATGAAAAGAGAGCATTTTAGGTGTTCTCACAACAAAGAAATGATAAATATTTGGGCCAGATGCAGTGGCTCACGCCCGTAATCCTAGTTTTGGGAGGTTGAGACAGGCAGATTGCTTAAGCCCACGAGTTCAAGACCAGCCTGGGCAATATGGCAAAACCCCATCACTACAAAAAAACTACAAAAATTAGCCAGGTGTGGTGATGTGCACCTGTACTCCCAGAGACTCTGGTGTCTGAGGTGGGAGGATCACCTGAGCCCAGGGAGGTTGAGGCTGCAGTAAGCCATGATTGAGCCACTATACTCCAGCCTGGGCAACACAGTGAGACCCCATCTCAAAAAAAGATAAATATTTGCAGTAATAGATAGGCTAATTGTCTTGATTTGATCATTCCACAATCTATACATGCCTTGAAACTTCATGTATGCTATAAATATATGCAATTATTACTTGTCAATTAAAAATACAATAAAACATAAATAAATTAAAACAGCTACTATGTCCTAACAGGCTCAGGCTCTGTGCTGGGCACACAGAAGTGAATAGGAATCTCTCTAATCTTGGACTAGCAGCATAGGAGACAGGGGTGTACAAACTACAGTGGAGAGATAAAGGAGGGAATAATTGACCCTTTTGGGGTGAGTCAGGAAAAGTTTCAGGACACAAGAAGTGGCTTATACAAGTGAGTAGGGATAAAAAAGAGGAAGAGGCAGGGAAGGCATCCCAGGCAGGGAAAATACCATGCATGCGGGCCCAAGGCAGGAAAATGGAAGCGAAGAGGAGGGAGGTGAGTATGGCTGGAGGCTTGGAGGAGAGCGGGGACGTGCTGGAATGTGAAACAGAGGCCTGTAAAAAGATTTAGGCACAGAAGAAATGTGATCAGCATCACTGTCTTTTGCTTCAATTTTGATACCTCAATTTGATCCCTAAGTAATGCATACGTTTAATTTGTGGTGGTGTTTTCAGGATTGAAATTCGTGTATATAAAGCACTGGGTGTAATGAATGGCATGTAGTAGGAGCACTGCTCTAAGACATTCAGGATACACATTCTATTTCTTTGTTTCTATAAATCACACCTAGCTCAGCTCCTTCTACAAACATTGCCTAAAAGACATTTTCCAGGATGCCTTCCTTGTCTTGAACCAAACAAGAACTTTTGGGCTTATGAGTGTAGGAAGACAGGAGGGGACTATCTTGAGTGTTAGCCTCAGCAATTGCTGCTTCTGTGACTCTAACTCTCTCATTGAAGGCAAGTGATTCACTAGGGACTCCTTCCATCCCTGCTACACTCAGCCATGGGTTTTTTTTTCTTTTATACCTTTATTTTTAATTGACACACAATAATTGTGCATATTCGTGGGGTACATAGCGATGTTTCAATACATATAATGTATATGATCACATCAGGGTAATTAGCATATCCCTTATCCCAAACATTTATCATTTCTTTGTGTTGGGAACATTCAATATCCTCCTTCTAGCCATTTGAAACTATATAATATGTTATTGTTAACTATAGTCATCCTATAATGGTATAGGACACTAGAACTTATTTCTTCTGTCTAGCTATAATTTTGTACCCTTTAACAAATCTGTTCCTATTCCTTCCTTCCCTCTACTCTTCCCAGCCTCTAGTATCTTCTGCTCTACTTTTCACTTCTGTGAGATAAACTTTTTTTAGCTTCCATATATGAGTGAGAACATGCGGTGTTTAACTCTCTGTGCCTGGCTTTATTTCACTTAACATAAGGGACTCCAGTTCCATCCATGTTGCCTCGAATGACAGGATTTCATTTTTATGGCTGAATAGTATTCCATGGTATATATACACCGCATTTTCTTTATCTATTTATTTGTTGTTGAACACCTAGGTTTCACAACGTCCTTTGAGTAGATCTCCAAGACAACCCAGAAATCCCTCCTTCCATGTCCTCACTCCTCAGAGATTGCTGGGGAGTGCTAAGGTGCCCGTCACTAAGATGCCAGAGGTCTTGACCCCATTCACAGTTGGGAGGTAGGGATGTCAACACACCTGGGGATTGGGTCCTCCTTAGTCCCACCCTCAAAAACTAAAGTCAATTGCTGGTGGGAATGCAAAAGGGCCCCTTTGGAAACTAGTCTGGCAGTTTCTTAGAAAGTGAAAAGTAGACATATCAAATGATCCAATAAACCCACTCATAGGTATTTACCCAAAGTAAATGAAAACTTATATGCATGTAAAACTCTGAAAGCAAGTGTTTACAGTGGTTTATTCATAGCCTCCCCAAGCTGAAAACAACCCAAATAAGTACATCCAACAATGGAATACTAGCCAGCAATACAAAGATAGGAACTACTGCTACACACAACATGGAAGACTCTCAGATACTTATACTAAATGAAAGGAGCCAGGCTCAAGAGGCTTCATACTATATTGTTCCATGTAAATGACATTCTGGAAAAGGCAAAACTATAGGGACAGAAAAACAGACCGGTAGTTGCCAGTTATTGGGAGTGGAGGATGGGATGACTATTTAGGATAATGGAACTGTTGTATATCTTGATTGTGGTGGTGATTATGCAACTGTATTCTTCAAAAGTCAGAATTTTGTGCCCAAAAGACAGAAATCATGAAGAGAAGTTGTGTAACTTCCTTTTGCACATCACAGGTCCCTATAACTCATGTGGAAAGGGTAGCCCCAGAGGGAGATATCTGCTGAGAAGGTGGGTGGGTGCTTCAGATAGAATTAATGAAAAAAATAAACATGATGAACAAAATATCAAAACTTTAAATAGGATCTGACACTGAACTTGTACAACTGGCCTCATTTGCTCAAGCCTCATCCCAGCCTTGGTAAAGCTTTATGTTTAAAAATAGCTAGGCAGACAGCTATAGTTTGAGGACTTGATTTTTTAAAACACTGTATTGTATTAAAGTTATTATTTATCTTGATTACTGAGTTTTTTTGTGCTCCCTTCTATTTTCTTCCTGGGATGAGAGTCTCACTTGCCTGACTCTAGTCCCTATCTTATTTGAGTGATTATGTAGAAAGGAGAAAATAGAGACCTATTCATTTGAACCCTGTGCAGAGCAGGCCATGCTTGTTTCAATGATCACAGGTTTCAGATTAAGCCTGGTCCTCCTGCCTTCAGAGCAGCTGCCTTCATTTACACTAGAAGACAATGGACAGACCTGGGCCAGCAGAGACCTCTGAGTGAGCTGGATCTGAATTCTCCCACTTAGAATACCCTGAACCTTGGGCATGTTCCCACATTTCTGAAAAGGGAACAATGCTATCCAACCTGCAAGGTTGTTATAAAGACTAAGACATCATCTGCAGTGCCTAGCATATGGATTGCACAGTGGGAGGCGCTTAATAAATAGGAAGTATTTGAATGTCTGAGGTGCATTTTGCCAAAATCACTCATATGATGAAAGGTTCATATTTTACAAAGTAAAGACAAGCAACATCAACAATAACAATGACAAAAACAAAACCGTATATTATCCACTTGGAGTTACAGGAGCTCCAAAGTAGAGAGGGAGGCAGGGCAGGAACCATGACCAGAAACTTTGTGGTTGCTCGCTCAGACAGTCTTCCCAGAAAAACACCTCTCTCTGTCTTGCCTAATTCTCTGCACAGGTGGACATTTGCATCCATAACAATGTCCACATTCACAATGGGGTTCTAGAGCTCCTGGTTAAGAGAGATCAGAGAGAGCTCAAGTAAGGGGCATCACTGAAGCCCCTCAGATCCCCTGACCTCCTTGCTATGCTTCTCACCTTCTCAGGAATGAGGATTGAATCCCAACCCTCAAGGCCTCCATGCGACCCAGGGGTGACAGTTCTGGATCTAGCAGAAGTTCTTCTATTTTGTGGCATGAGGATGGTCACTTGCTTGCTTCAGAACTGAGGCAGATGTTTCTCTATTTGCAAGATCTGCTGTTACTTCCACTGGAGTTTGCTAGGAAAGAACAAAGTGGCTGGGGCCAAGCTGCCATCTCACCTAGAAGTGCTCGATTCATGTTCTCTGAGCAAGAGTGTATTACTCCATTCTTATGATTCTAATAAAGACATACCCAAGCTGGGTAATTTATAAAGGAAAGAGGTTTATTTGACTCACAGTTCCACAGTGCTGGGGAGGCCTCAGGAAACTTACAATCATGGCAGAAGGGGAAGCAAACACGTACTTCTTCACATGGCAGCAGGAAAGAGAAGTGCAGAGCAAAAGGTGGGAAGCCCCTTATAAAATCGTCAGATCTTGTAAGAACTCACTCACTATTATGAGAACAGCAGCATGAGGGTAACCTCTCTCATGATTCATTACCTCCCACCGGCTCTCTCCCATGACATATGGGGATTATGGGAACTACAATTCAAGATAAGATTTGGGTGGGAATACAGCCAAACCATATCAAAGAGTATATTATGATCCATGCTGATATGAAGGAAAATTATTCTGCCTTGGTATGAGATGGATTGTGAAAAAGAAGGACAAGATTTGCTGATTTATTCAAAACATATTTACTGCATGCTTACAATATACTGGCCCTCTTCTAATCAATGGCTGTACTGTAGAGAGCAAAGTAGATAAAGTTTTGCTCTCAAGAGACTTAAATTCTATAAGAGGCAGATTGTGCTAAGCAGGAAATGGCCCCTCAAAGACATCCATATCCTGGGCCAGGTGCGGTGGCTCATGCCTGTAATCCCAGCACTTTGGGAGGCCGAGGCGGGTGGATCACAAGGTCAGGAGTTCAAGATCAGCCTGCCAACATGGTGAAACCCTGTCTCTACTAAAAATACAAAAATTAGCTGGGTTTGGTGGCGCATGCCTGTAATCCCAGCTACTTGGGAGACTGAGGCAGGAGAATTGCTTGAACTCGGGAGGTGGAGGTTTCAGTGAGCCGAGATTGTGCCACTGCACTCCAGCCTGGGTGACAGAGCAAGACACCGTCTCAAAAAAAAAAAAAAAAAATACATCCACATCCTAATCCTTGTAATCTATAAATATGTTGTTACATGGCAAGGGGGAATTAAAATTGCAGCTAGAATTAAAGTTGCTAATCAGCTGACCTTAAAATAAGATTATCCTGCTTTATCTAGGCAAGCCCAATATAATCACAAGAGTCCTTGAATGGGGAAGCGGAAGGCAGAAGAGTGAGACCAGAGAGACAGCATCATGAGAAAGACTCAAGCTGCCTTTGCTGGCTTTAAAGATCAAAGGGGTCCACAAAATAAGAAATGAGGGCAGCCTCTAGAAGCTGAAAGAGGTAAGGAAACAGATTGTCCCCTGGAGCTTCCAGAAATAATGCAGCCCTGGCCACAGTGACTTTATCTCAGTGAGGCCCATTTCAGATTTCTGTCCTCAAGAACTGCAAGATAAATCTGTTTTCAGCCACTAAGTTTATGGTAATTTGCTACTGCAGCAATAGGAAACTAACAGAGAGATAGAACCAAATAAAATGAATAAATGAATGAATGAATGAATGACATAATGTCAGGAAACAGTAAGTGCTCAGATGAAAACTAAAGCAGGGCAAAGAGATGTGTAGTGAAGGGAGTGAGTGATGGGTGATATAACAGAAGTGATGTTTTTGAAAGATGAATGTGAGCTCCAGAGAGGTTAGAGGTGGGGAACTTGGAAACAGAGCCAAGCGATGTAGTCACATGACATGACCGAGACCCCCAGAGGCAGGCAGGGCTGGGTAGGCTCTTTCATGGGTCTCCCAATAGCTAAATCGTGGAGCTAAGTTGGTTGCTTTATGTTCCACACACAATACTCATAAGAAAGGCCTGGACACAAAATGTATTGCATAAGAAAAGAGAAATTGACTTAATCTTTTCGGCAAGTCATTTGAGAGTCCATTAACTTCTTCTCTTATGCACTTGGTCTAATCCAATACTGAGTCATTTCTTTGATTCATTCTTTTTTTTATTTACTTCTTGGTTTATTCACTTATTCATTAACTCATTCAATCAATAAGCATTTCCTGAGCACATTACCAAGTCTTGGGAGTACAACGGCGAGAAAAACAAATCTGGGCTCTGCCTTCATGAAGCACACTGTTGATTCTGTTGAAGGTTTCGTGTAAAAATACCAAACGACCACTAAGTTTGACATCCACTAATCAAAACCAGCACTGGCCTAGTCTTCCTTAAAATAGCTCTGGTCCATTCTTCTCTCTCCAACTCCACTGCTACAGCCTTTTCTTACCTGGGAGAAGTCGTCTCTAAAGGGGGTTCCCCCACCTGCATCCAGACCCTCTGCAGCACATCCTCCCTCTGCAACACATCCTCCTGCAACACATCCTCCCTTCCCCACCTGCATCCAGATCCTCTGCAGCACATCCTCCCTAACACAGTCAAAATAATCTTTTTAAGAAACAGATCTGCCCCATCACTCCTCTGACTAAAATCCTTCAATGTCCTCTCATTGTCTACCAAAACTGATCCAAGCCTCCCTATGATGTGGCATATTCCTCAGCCTTCTGGTATCCTATCTGCTTGACTCCACAAGGTGCTTGTGTCTTTCCTGCACTAGTGCCCTTGCCCAAGCTGCCCTCTCTGCTTAAAGTGCTTTGCATTTCTTCCTAGACAGTCTGCTGGACAGTCTGGACAGCAAATGTGTAGAGGTTGAGAGCACAGAGTTCATATTATTTAAATCCTGGTTCTGCCACTCAGTATAGCTGAGTGACTTTGGGCAAGCTAGGCAACCACTCTTTGTCTCAGTCCCTCATCTATAAAATGAGTGTAACAATATGATAATGGAAACGATCACAGGTTGGCGATGAGCTAATATATGTAAGTAAAGCACTTAGAACACTACCTGGCATACATACAGAAGCAGCTAACAGGCATTAGTTATTCTGTATCTTCCCACTGCTCAGCACCTCTACCCTGCACATATTTCGATAATTGTGCTTTTGGTCCGTATTGCATTTATTTATTTTCATGTAGGCTTGGCTCTTCTAGTCTGTCAGCTTTTTAAAGTCAAGGATGTCCTCTGATTCAGCCTTGAATCTTCTGGACTTGGCACATTTGTTAGTATATGTTAGGTGTTCAAAATGAATGAATGAATAAATTCAATAAAATGTGATTTTTAAAAGAGCAAAAGAAATAATTGAAAAAAATCATGTTATTTTGAGCATGTCACAAGCTATTATGAAGTACATAAACCAAATGGAGAAATCTTAGTGTTTTATATGTATCCATACATTTAAGATCACTTTTTAATATTTTCAACAAAAGAAGGGCAATCTGGGAAATCCTCATGTTTTATGTTGCTCAGTCACTGATTTAAAAAATTCAGATATGGATCTTATCTTCAAAAACAAACAAGGCTGGGTGTGGTGGTACACCCCTGTAGTCCCAACTCTTCAGGAGACTGAGGCAGGAGGATCACTTGAGGCCAGGAGTTTGAGATGCAGCGTGCCATGGTCACATCTGTGAACAGCCAGTGCACTCCAGCCTGAGCAACACAGCGAGGCTTAGTCTCAAAAACAAAACAAAACAAATAGCAGTTTCCAAAAAATTGTAATGAATGTTTCATTTTTATGATTCCATTTTGCTTCATATGTTAATGAATAATCTACATGGCTTACTTTTTTTTAACTAATAAAAAATAGAAATTTATTTCTGGCAGTTCTGGTGGCTGGGAAGTCCAAGGTCAAGACACTAGACACAAACAGCTGATTCAGTGTCTGGTGAGGGCCCACTTTCTGGTTCATAGATTGCACCTTCTTGCTGTGTAGTATTTGGGCTGTCTCCTGGGTCCTGCAGGAGCTATCCACTTCCTTCAGAGGGTCTGTGGATTCTCTTGGCTTTCCTGGTATAATCCTGCAGTAGTAGTTCTGGAGCAAAAATTCACAACGTGAGTCTCCACATGCTGCTCTGTCCCTCTGAGTGTCAGCTGTAATTTAGTCCTGCCTCCTATCTGCCATTTTCCTTCCCTGATTCCATGGTTTACATTTTTAATATTTTATTAACAAAAGTAACACATCTTCTTTGAAGAAAATTAGGAAAATAAAACACAGAAAATGAATCTTATGCAGATATTTAAGGGAGTCTTACTTTTTTGGGATGAACATTGAGCAGTTCTGTAGTCAGATAATAATATGAGCTTCACTGATCTTCACAGAAGGAATGAAGTTCTTTCTGTTAAGTTCTCAAGTATCAACATCCATGGATAAAGAGGATGTTTTGTAAAGGCAATGGGATGTGGCCTCCATCTAGAGACTTCAAGAGATTGGAGTCATGCGTATTACACAGCCTGCCAAAGGGATTCTTCAGACAATTAGAGAAAGGGGTCTCCAGCTTGGGACCAGTCTGCAGGGCATGGCTTTTCTTTAAATGAGCCATCACCTCACCACTGCTCACACTTGCTTCTTTATTTTGACCACTGTGTCAGGATATGATCTTGGATAGCTCCATAGGTCTCATCTATGATGCCTCACATGGAGCTCATAGCAATTCCTTCCTTTTCAGCCTGTGTCCACGGTGCTATCTTCAGCTACTCCAGTAAATAGCCCCCAGGGCTCTAAAATGGATAAGATCCTCTGCATGCCTCTTGGCTTATCTAGTCTTCCTTACAGATCTCATCCTACATTGCTTTCATTGAATTGAACACCACCTCTCTCCTAGCAGCACTTTCCCATTGTTCAAATGCTCCACACATCTGTCTCATGGCAGCACTTCATTGCTTGTCTCTATGGGTTTATTCTCTTTTCACATTGGAAGCTTCTTGATGGCTCGGTTTATGTCCTGTGCACCTGACCCATGTAGTTGGCCTCTGCCTGGAACATCCTTGCTCCCACTGTTTGCCTAATTCATCAACTAATTATTGAGACCTCATCCAAATTTTAATTCCTCAGGGAAGCTTTCTCTGATGCCCAGATTAGATTGGGATCCCAGTGCTTTGATAGCATTCCATGGTTCATGCCATGAACTCCAGTTTGCAGTGTTATATTTAGGTGGTCGTTTGTTTAATGTCCATATTTCCCACTAGAGAGTCAGCCATATAAGGAATAGGGCTGGGTCTGTGTTCCTGCCATTGCAACTGCTGAGCTCAGCTCAGTACTTGACACAGAGCAGAGGCTGTATAAATATACTTCAACCTACTGAGATAAAGACGCAATTAACAGGTGGGGTGTAGTGGCTCATGCCTGTAATCCCACCACCTTGAGAGGCTGCAGTGAGAGGATAGGTTGAGTTCAGGAGTTGGAGACCAGCCTGGCCAACATGGCGTAACCTCGTCTCTACAAAAAGTACAAAAATTAGCTGGGCATGGTGGCGCACATCTGCAGTCCCAGCTACTTCAGAGGCTGAGGTGGCAGAATCGCTTGAGCCCGGGAGGTGGAGGTTGCAGTGAGCCGGAATCGCACCACTGCACTCCAGCCTGGGTGACAGAGCGAGACCCGTCTCTCACACACACAAAGTAAATTGGTAATTAATAACTGAAATAAGGAACAGAAATAATGACCAATGAATGAATGAATATAGTGTTTTCATTCACATAATAAACCGAGTCTAGGCAGCTTTCCTCAGTTTAGCAGGATGGTTAAAAACCTGGGCCCTACACTATTTAGCAAGTTATTTAACTCTCTCTGCCTCTTGTCCTTATCTGTAGATTGAGGATAATAAAAGTACATTTGGAGGTACTTTATATACTTGAATGTACCTTATGAGGACTTAATAAAAGCCTAAATATATTATTCAGAACAGCCTAGCTTATAGTAAGCACTAAACTCAGTAAGTATATGCCAGCACCCTAAAGAAACCACCTTTGTCTTGAATCATGAAATTTCCATGATCACTACACCAAATCATTGCTATTTTAACGTACCTACCTTGGCTCACATTGATATAAATATTTAATCAAATCTCTTTGTATATTTTTAGTGGTTGTCACTCTGTATCTCTAAGTTCTCCAGAGCTGACTTACCTATCAGGGTGGCAGGTGCAGTGCTGGCAATACTTGTCGAGACCCACAAAAATGTTTTAATTCCATCTAAAATCTGAAGGAGAAAAAAAAACCTTGTAAGTCAAAGAAAATGTTTTAATATGTAATATTCATACATTCACCTGTTTACCAACATTGTTGTAGAATACACCTCTATGACTTTTTTTTTTAAATGGAGGAATAAGAGGTCTGTGAAGGCAAAGGTGCCCAGGGCCCAGGAAAGTCACAGCACAGCCTGGCAGTTCTTAACCTGCTCCTCTGCATCAGAGGCTTCACTCGACAGTGAAATGAAAGAATCAAAACACCAGTGTGGCTTTACAACATTCATACACCATCAGAATACATCATACATCATCAGAATACCTACATATACATACAGAATACATATATATATATACAGAATACTTACCTATACATACAGAATACATCATACACCATCAGAATAGTGTATGGCAAGGACAGACTGCTAATTGAGAAAGGACATCTCAGCACTAGGTAACCTTTCTATGTGGGTTCTAACCCCCAAAAGTGTGTGCACCCATGAATAACTTGCTAAGTAGTGTAGGGCCCATGTTTTTAATCATCCTGCTAAACTGAGGAAAGCTGCCTAGACTCTGGTTATTATGTGAATGAAAACACTGCATTCATTCATTCATTGGTCTTTATTTCGGTTCCTTATTTCAGGAGGACTCCTCTTCACTCTCTTTCATCCGTGTCTTCTTCCCCACTTGTTCTTCAGCCCTTGCCCGTTGCCTCCCCAACATATTTCCTGCACCTGCTTGTGCTCACCTTTGCCAGTCCCTCCTTGGTTCCTCCCTTGCTGTCTCCTCCCCTGTGCCCCTGCTGGCATGCCTGCTGTGATGAGCTCAGCCTGAGGCTTCTCATGTTGCTTTGGTTTTGGGGTTTATTTTAGCATCTCCTCTTGATACCTCCACCTCTCCCCTCTTCTCTTGTCTTTATTCATTATTCTCGCTTATTGTTTGTCTTTGTGTTTTAGTTTCTTTTTTATTCTAATTTTGGGACACTCTTGGTTTTGAATTTCTTTGTGTTTGAATCTTTTTTTCCCCCCCAGCTCCATTCTCTGATGTCCTTTCTCTCTCTCTCTTTTTCCCTCCCTCCCTTCCTCTTTCTTTCTTTTTCTTCCTTCCTTCCTTTCTTCCTCTCTCTCTTCTCCCTTCCTTCCCTCCCTCCCTTCTTTCCTTTCTCTTTCTTTCTTTCCTTTCTTTCTTTTTTCTTTCCTTCTTTCCTTCTCCTTCCTTCCTTCCTTCCTTCCTTCTCTCTCTCTCTCTCTCTTTCTTTTCCTTCCTTCTTTTCTTTTCTTTCTTTTTTTCTTTCATCTCCTTTCTCCCTCTTGCCCAGCCCTATCTCAGTTCTGTCAGTTCCTTCTTTCTTTTTTTGCTTCCTCTTCCTCTTGAGGACCTGACCTCTTCCCTCCCACTTCTAACCAGGGCTGTGAAAACTCCGCCTTCTCTTCCAACTGGTGCAGCCCAGGGGACACTGTCTCCCTCAGCCATAAGGGCCACTGGAAAGGAGACTCAATGTGTGACTGAGACCTCATCTCCCTGAATTAGGCCTCCGTGCACAGCCACTCATTAGATCATTCATTTTTCCCGGAAGACATTGGGAAGGACGGAAGTAGAAGGCAAATGTGTCATGTGTTCTGATGCTTAGCTGCATACTAGGATCATTAAATTACCTGCCACTGACAACCCTGGTGCAGAGAAAAAGTGGCAATTTGTTCTTGTTTCTAGTCACCCTACTTGCCTCAGCAGACAGCATGCTCCTGTCCCCCATGCACACACTGGGTGGTTGGTGATCAAATTTAATTATTCTACCTGCATTAAACATAGTCAAATCTTGTCAATTAAACAGCATCTTCAGCAAATATGTAGGCTGTTCTTTGGGTAACAACGCTCAATATTGCAGATGCCTCCCCCTCCCCTGCTTCTCTCTAAGGTGGCATGGAGTAGGGGCGGGGTTCTCCAGCTTCTGGGAAGGAACACGCCGTCCCTGCCTTCTCTGGTCCTGGAGTGCTGACACCCGTTCTTTCACTGTTCCCAGATGAAGCCTGAAGCTGCTCTAATTCAAGATCTGGTCTGTATCGGGCTCCTGCCCCCACCACTCAGTTTCCACAGACAGGCAAGAGTCCTCTGAGGAATGGCTGTGAACCCCAGGTCCTTGGCACAGGAGGCCCTGCCACAGAGAACCACTCAGGACAGATTTCCAGTTAGGTTCTTGGCTACTTCTGGGTCCTGTTTGTGTCACTCGAATATCAAGGTCACCCCAGGAAAGGTAAAAAGCAGCCTCTCCATCTGTCTAACATGGCTGTACCTTGCTACACTTGCCAGTTAGCCTGAGTCCTAATCAGGACATTTCTGTCCTGATTCTCATTTAGGACTTCAGGTTAAATGGGAATCAGGACAAAATCTCTGCTTTCTGTAGGCTCCCCTGAATTGATCTAACACACACATGGTAATACTGGTCCACACGTAGACGAGGCTTAACATGTACTTCTCATGATTTAATTCTCACAACACCCCTAGGAGGGAGATGCACGATTATCACTCACATTTAATAGGTGAAGAAACTGAGGCACAGAGGTTGAACGCCTTCCCCAGGATTACACAGCCCTATGGCAGAGGCTGGCGTGGGGCCACAGCCTGGCAGCTCTCCCCTCTCTGCTGACACCCCGGGGCCTCCTCCCTTTATTCCTCTCTGCTTCTCTTCCCTGCCCCCTGGCCTGAAAAAGGCGGGTTTTCTTTTATTTCCCCCATGCCTGCTCTTCTACCGTGAAGCTGGGATATTTACCAAATAAAGACTGGTTTGGGTTCAGTTCCTTTTGAACCTTTTCTTCTGCATGTCCAGAGAGAGACTGCATTGATGCCAGCTGCCAGGCAAATGTTTCACTTCTTCCACTGTCCACTTCAGAAGAATTCTGGGGACTGCCAAGACTGGCTGGTGGCAGTCATCCAACTCCCATATGGAGATCTATCCAGAATGTGTCCTCGAGAGCCTCGCTCAGATATCAGCTCCACCTCGGCAGCTAATCTTATCCCTGTGGACACACATGGCAAGACTGCTTCCTCTGGCAGCAGCAAGGAATTTGGCTAGGGCTGGCCTCTCACCATCTCCCGCCTGGGCACCCTGAGTATCAGCAGCTGCCCAACATGCGGCTGCTGGCCGTGATGGTTCCAGAAGGGAGGCACGCCCTTCTGTCTTCATCTTGTACCCCAAGTAACCTCAGACAAACAGGATCAGAGTTGACAGTGTTCCCCATCAAGGCCACAAGCCCTTCAAATGCCTTATACATGAGCCATGTGTACCTGCAGAACCCAGGGTTTCACTCAGATTTCTGGATCCCCTATCAAAACCTTTAAATACACAGTTTAAGCCTTATGAGGTGTGATTCTATTGCTCAGTTAGCAGTAGCTTTAAGTGCAAAGACTAGCTTTGTAAGGCATTACAAACGTATAAAATGTGAATGGAATCTACAGCAGGCAGGTCTTTCCCTAAAGGACCATGTTCTAAACGACTTCATAGATTTATTTCTTTCAGTCATTTAACAAATATTTTTAAGTAGAATCTCTTCTTCCTCTTCACTTTCAGATAATACTATTTACTATTCCTTTCAAATCCTATAGCAATGGTTCCCAACCTGGTATATTAGGATTCTTATGTGTCCTGAAGGGCACTAAGGGAGGTCTTTAATATATTTTCAGTATTTCTTACAGAAAATAGACTTTTATGATAAGGTTGTACTTACCAGTTAAAAACATTTCTTTGCCTTCAAGTGAAATGACAAATGACCCAAGTGGCATCCATACAGATCTGATTACCACTCTTTAACTGAAATATATGGAAGTGTAAATAATTCATAACATGATAAAAGGGCTTTGGAAGATGGGCGTTTCTGCTATGTGGTGTTCACATGGGGAAAGGATGCCCACTTATGAGAGGACAGGGTCCTGCTGCCGCTGCATTGTCACCACAGTCATGTCTACTCTCCCTATGGCAGTTCACAGTATCATTGTCACTGTGAATATTGTCTTTTGCACTTATTACACAAACTTCTGATTAGAGAGGATGTCAAGGCATAGTGGCTGAGAAGCCCATATTTTTGTTCAAGTGTGCCCCAGGGTTCAGTGGCCACTGAGGCCCTAGATCATTCTGGGTTCCACAAACTCAATAATAAATATTTGTCAGCCCAGGCACCGTGGCTCATGCCTGTAATCCCAGCACTTTGAGAGGCTGAGGCAGGAGGATGACTTGAGATCAGGGGTTCAAAACCAGCCTTGCCAACATGGTGAAAATACAAAAGTTAGCTGGAGGTTGGGGTCTGTAATCCCAGCTACTCGGGAGGCTGAGACACGATAATTGCTTGAATCCCCGGGGGTGGAGGTGGCAGTGAGTCAACACTGTGCCACTGCACTCCAGCCTGGGCAACAGAACCAGACTCTGTCTCAAATAAAAAAAAATTGTCATCTTTATCACAAACTGGAGCTATTGCAATTGGATTCGTTGAGCCCTTTCCTCTAGAACACCCTCACTGTAAAAAAACAAAACAAAATTGGGGACTCTTACGGTGGAGCTGTGGCCCCGGGGGGCCATCTGGCATGTCATGGAGAGGAAAAATGCCCCTACACCTGCAGTGACAGCGCCCTCTGCTGCTCCCATCTCTCTGCAGAGATGGGTTGGGATAATGCAGGCAACAGCCACTTAGTGTCAAGTTCTTCACTCAATAATTAGAACCCCAGTTCACTGGAGAGCTTCAACAAACATTTTGAGTGCTGCTTTTCTGCTGTAATTGTAGGCACTACAGAAAAGAAGGTCATTATGAATGCCCTCAAAAAGCTCACAGTCTGATGGGAAATCAGACCTGTACCACCTAGCTACTAGAGGATGCGTGAAATCCTATGTGTGCTTGGAAGGAGGTGTTATGAAGCAGATCAGGGAAAGTACAACATTCTGGGAGGGAAGGGTGGTGGCAGAAAGCTTCACAAAAGAAGCAGCATTTGAATTGGCTCATTGAAGGGTAATGATTTCATGGGGGCAGAAGCAGTTGAGGATTCTGGCTTTACTTTGAAAACACTTACGAGGTGGAGGAGAGGCTGGGCTTGGTGGCTCATGCCTGTAATTCTAGCACTTTGGGAGGCCAAGGCGGGCAGATCACCTGAGGTCAAGAGTTTGAGACCAGCTTGTCCAACATGGTGAAACCCTGTCTCTACTAAAAAAGAAAAGAAAAATACAAAAATTAGTCTGGCACAGTGGCATGTGCCTGTAGTCCCAGCTACTCTGGAGGCTGAGGCAGGAGAATCCTTGAACCCGGGAGGCAGAGGCTGCAGTGAGCCTAGATCATGTTACTGCACTCAAGCCTGGGCGAGAGAGCGAGACTCTGTCTCAAAAACAAACAAACAAACAAACAAACAAACAAACAAACAAACCAAACAAGAGGTGGAGGTGATAAGCTTCCCAAATATCCTTTTGATTAATCTTTCCAAGTTGCTGGCCTTTTTTCCCAAGCTTGCAGGTTTCTTAAACATTCATTCCACTGGTTTCACCTGTCTCAGATCATCTCCTTGTTCAATGCAGTGGTTCTCAGGAAAGTTTGGACCACCAATCAGAAACATCACAATTTTGTTTTCTTTCTTTTTTTTTTTTTTTTTGAGATGGAGTCTCACTCTGTAGCCCAGGCTGGAGTGCAGTGGCACCGTCTCTGCTCACTGTAACTGCCTCCCGGGTTCAAGCGATTCTCCTGCCTCAGCCTCCCGAGTAACTGGGACTACAGGCGTCCGCCACCACGTCCCGCTAATTTTTTGTATTTTTAGTAGGGACGGGGTTTCACCGTGTTAGTCAGGATGGTCTCGATCTTCTGACCTTGTGATCCGCCCGCCTCGGCCTCCCAAAGTGTTGGGATTACAGGAGTGAGCCACCGCGCCCGGCCCAACATCAGAACATCCTAGAAGTAGGAACTGGGTAGAAACGCAAATTCTTGGGCCCCAACCTAACTGCTGAATCTGAAGCTCTTGGAATTTCATCTGATACAAATTCAAGGTTGACAACCACGGTTCTAACATGCAGGATCTTGGGAGCTGATACAGAGGCCGAGAAGGATCTAGGTTGCTTTCCATGTTCCATCATGGCGAGACCCGGCTGAAGTTCCTGCCTTGACCTTCTCGTGCACGCTTCGGACGTGTGGAGCAGCCACCAGGGTGGGCTGGGGGCATTGTCTTCTTGGGCAGTTTCTTGGTCAGGGTCGTGTCTGCTTGAGGGCAGAGGCGCTGGCCACAAGGCCCTGACTCAGACTCATATTTTCCCCTCAAGAGGACAGAGCCTTAGCAAAGCCGTCCCAGCTGGCTTTGGGGTAATGCTGGCCTTAGTTATGCTGAGCGATGCAGCCCTCCTGAGGTCATTCGGAACGCCCGGGAGAGTGGCCACTCCCGCCCCAGAGGGGGAAGGGTGGCCGGTTTCCAAGTCCGACTTGGTCAGGTGACCGCGGCGCGGCATACTCAGCGGCAGAGACGGAAGAACAGCGCTCCCGAGGCCGCGGGAGCCTGCAGAGAGGACAGCCGGCCTGCGCCGGGACATGCGGCCCCAGGAGCTCCCCAGGCTCGCGTTCCCGTTGCTGCTGTTGCTGTTGCTGCTGCTGCCGCCGCCGCCGTGCCCTGCCCACAGCGCCACGCGCTTCGACCCCACCTGGGAGTCCCTGGACGCCCGCCAGCTGCCCGCGTGGTTTGACCAGGCCAAGTTCGGCATCTTCATCCACTGGGGAGTGTTTTCCGTGCCCAGCTTCGGTAGCGAGTGGTTCTGGTGAGTGCGCTCCCTTTTGTCTCGTCTGCCGCGCTTTTGTCCCCACCCGCAGCCTCCAGCCACCACCCAGCGGGCCTGGTTCGCCGCCTGGTGCTGCCTGCACCCTCGTCGGTTTCACCTCCCACTGCGTTACCCGCGTTTCGCACTTCCGGGTGTCGAATATGTGGTTTCCTGCCTAAGTGCTTCTGCTGGATGAACAGGGAATTTTTCTTCCGTGTGACTGTAAGAGTTTTCAGATACTCCTGACTCCTCAGCTTCTTCATAGTTGCGCATATTAAGCTGTAGTTATGACACTACAACATCGAGCTACTACAGACATTCATCAGTTTGTGCAGGGGCATCACACGAGCGGTGACTCAGGCACAATGGCCTATGGTTGCTCTGCTGCTACCTGCCAATTTACAGTCGTTCTGCCATGAAGTTATGGTTAAAACATAGTCATGAGTATGTGAAACGACTGTTCATTGAACACCATTGGCTACTTAATGTTAACATGTTACCCATGTGTGGCTCTAGGAACTTTTTAAAGAGGTTCTAGAATGGTACTCTTAACACAACCCAGTTATCATACTGCCGTATGAAAGGTGCTACACAAAAATCTGTGCGTTAGATTTTACCTTGAGATCTATGTGAAAATGTGCATGTAATTTCTTAAACTGTTGCACATGTCTTTTCTGACTAAATGCTACAAGTATTAAGTCCTTCAAAACAGAAATATTTTGTGTGCATATATAGAAACATACACATAATATATTCTTTTTTTTTTTTTTTTGAGACATAGTCTCATTCTGTCACCCAGGCTGGAGTGCAGTGGCACCATCTCGGCTCACTGCAACCTTCGCCGCCCGGGTTCAAACGATTCTCGCGCCTTAGCCTCCTGAGTAGCTGGGACTACAGGCGCACGCCACCATGCCTGGCCAATTTTTTTGTATTTTTTAGTAGAAACGGGGTTTTGCCATGTTAGCCAGGCTGGTCTTGAACTCCTGACCTCAGGTGATCCGCGGTGGCTCATACCTGTAATTCCAGGACTTTGGGACACATAATATATTCTTAAGTAAAAGAACGGAATCATTAAACAGTATTTATTTGAATCAACTATATACTACATAAATAGTATACATCCAAATTAACATACTATATTTAGTAGACACAATACAGAGTATGAACTATATATTATATTAACATTACATAGTATACATGGTACCATGCTCTACTCTAGGGGTAGAAAAATTACACCTCCATTCTGTTAGGGTCTCTGCTGGGTCCAAGAATTAAATTGACATTGTGTGACTAAATTATGTGGGGAGACTTAAATAATAAATTTTAGCAAGTTCTGTACAGTATTCTACTTCTTGTCTTTGAAGCTTAGGATGTTGCCTTTCCTTCTAGTACAGAGTGCCTTTCATACTGGAATTTCATCTTCTCTCCTAAGAAACAGCACAAAGGGCAAAGTGCTCTTCATGCACCTGCTATTTTTCGAGTTTCTTTACCTTTAAAAATGTGCCAAAATAGCATATTTTAACCCTTTCATGACAAAGAAATTGACTACCTGCAACCAGTAACCTTTCTTATTGGTAGGTCAATTGATGTAAAAAATAAAACTGGATAAGCTATGGAGAATTATTCATATTTTAAATAATTCACCTTCTAAAACAGAGACTCTTTATTCTTATGCCAAAACATAGCTACTTCAAAAAGATGTTACAAATCTTTATTTGCATGTTTTGGGCTGTAAGGAATCTTGAGCTTGTTTTGGAAATATTTTAGATTAGTGTGGTACATAATTAACAACTTTCTTCCCCCTAAATTGTATCTTATATTATCATTTTGTTCAACCATGAAGATTAGGTAAAGATATATTGGTGCCAAAGAGGATTTGACATTTTTGACTGAGACTAGTACTATGCCAAAATAAAACAGCTAGTTTTGAGTCATTTTATTCTTTGCTATGAATAACTTCATTTTCTACAGATAAACCCATGGTTATTTTGACCTAGAATAATAAAGATACTTCTCATACTAAACAAAATAGAGAACAGATTCCTGATGATCTGAAAATGCATTAACCCTGTGGAAGATTCTTTAATTACCTGTGATTTCCCTTTGTATCCTCTGCTCCTCACTCTCAATTTGACTTTCGGGGAATCAACAGTATAGATGAGTATATGTGACTGTTTTAAATGTCTATTAAAAACCAAATATAAATGATAGACCTTTACCATAAATGCCTCTTTTCATCTCTCAGCATGAAATTCAAGTCTAGACTGTAGGGGACAGTGCAGGTTCAAATTAGATGATGCTAGGAGAAATTCCTTATTCTTGTTCAACTTTCTGAATGTCCCAGTTTCTCTTTTGCAGTTCAATTTAAAATGTAATGCCCGTAGTCCCAGATACTCAGGAGGGTGAGGTGGGACGATCGCTTGAGCCCAGGAGTTCAAGGCTGTGGTGTGGTATGATCATGACACTGCACTCCAAACTGGGTAATGGAGCAAGACCCTGTCTCAACCAATCAATTAATCAATAATAAATAAATAAATAATAAAAATGCTTCAAGGATTTTAAACCCAACTAAAAGGTATAATGATAGGGGCTTGTTATCTCACATAACAGGAAATTTAGAGTAGTCGGTTCATTGATGAAATCAAAGACACGGGCTCTTTCTTTCATCCTCAGCCTGGGGACTTGTCCCTTCATGGTCACAGGATGGCAGCCAGGCACCATAACTTCACACAACCCTGCCCAAAGGCAGGAAGGCCAGTGTCTCTTTTCATTAGGAGGGAAACCATTTCCACAGTCCCCAAAGTTGGCTTTCCCTCAAGTTCCCTTGGCCAGCATGGATCTCACATCCCTGTCGCAGCTGTAGTGGAAGCTGGGAAATTACGTAAATACGACTTTTGGGCAGGCAAACAGCATGCCTGCCGCATAGTATGCCCTTCAATTATTTCTTCTTAGCAGAGTCTCCTGATCGTCTTGGGAAATATAGTGCTGATTATGGATTTGCTTATCCTGTAGAAATACTCATATGAAAGGAATGGTGATAGAAAAAGCAGGAGGTGGGTCAAAAATGGGGGTTGCATCTATTTCATGAGGATAGTTACTGCTGTGTTTATCTAAAATGTGTAGATGTGCTTTTCCTCATGAAGTCTTGCTTACGCAGTTTAGGGTCAATATACCATTGCTTAGAATGAATGCGTATAGCAAGTAATTGTTGAAGGTTGAGTCCATTTATTAAAATAACAGCATCTTTTTAATTTTACTTTTGCCTCCCTTTCTGTCCTGTGCCTCCAAAGTGTTCTCTACTACTGAATATAATAGATGCATATTATGTTTTAGGCATGTAGTCTTCCTTTTAGAAGCCCTAATCACTTATGTTACAAGGGACAATGTGTAAAGACATATACTACATGTTGTGATTTAAAAGTGAAGAATTAAAAGAGAATGGGGCTGGACACGGTGACTCATGCCTGTAATCCTAACACTTCGGGAGACTGAAGCAGGAAGATCGCTTGAGCCCAGGAGTTTAAGACCAGCCTGGGCAACATATGGAAACCACATCTCTACAAAGAAAAAAAAAATAGCCAGGTGTGGTGGCACGTGCCTGTGGTCCTAGCTACTCAGGAGGCTAAGGCGAGAGGATTGCTTGAGCACAGGAGGTCAAGGTTGCAGTGAACCATGATTCCATTACTGCATTCCAACCTGAGTGACAGAGTGAGACCCTGTCTTAAAAAAAAGAGAGAATGGGTAGCTGAGTTGCCTAGAATGCTCTAGTTTATGAGCTGAGTGGATATCACAGGGGGATAGGTGGAAAATGAGAGGGGGTTTAGTTTGCATAAGCTATCTTTAAAGCCAAGTCAAACTAATGGGGAAGTGAGAAAGAGAATCTGGGTCCTATCTGTGTGAGGGGTAAATGGTAAGGGGAGCTGGAGCAGTTCTTTTAAATATGTGTGTATGTGCTGTTTATGCACTCTTTCCTTTCCTCCCCTTAGGTGGTATTGGCAAAAGGAAAAGATACCGAAGTATGTGGAATTTATGAAAGATAATTACCCTCCTAGTTTCAAATATGAAGATTTTGGACCACTATTTACAGCAAAATTTTTTAATGCCAACCAGTGGGCAGATATTTTTCAGGCCTCTGGTGCCAAATACATTGTCTTAACTTCCAAACATCATGAAGGTAAGTCAATCCAGCCTATGGAAATTGCTGACAATGGTTAAGAAATGAAAAGTTGTTCTTTTGGAAGAAAAAACTAAAGCAAGGTCTAATTTTCTCTTCGGAGCAACCATAAGTGGTGACTGGCACTTGCTTATGACTTAGGGACTGCACATTCAACCCAAATTGAGAGATGTTAGGAATACAGAAAGGATCATACCCGCCACGTAACAGAGGAAAGATGGTCACGTTTTGTCACATGTATTTTGAACAATATTTCCAAGATTTACTTAAAGCTGTTTGTTGAAGGGAGTGTGGGTTGCAAGTCAAAGTTCATCTTGGAATTGCACTCTTTCCTTCCCCTTCTCTGTAATGCATCCTGTGAATGCATCATGGGGATTATACTGCTATAGTCTTGCATCATTACGACACACCTGGCTGCACTTTTAGCCAACTCTTAGCTGGCCAAATGGTGCAAATAGTGGATGAACTGATAGTGATGAAAGTGATGAAAGTGACCCAGATCACCTGGAGGGAAAAGGATTGTGGAACTGTAATGGTTTCCAGAAAAATCAGAGGTGGTAGAAGAATATCTAAACCCCCACACATTTAAAATCCATTCTATTTTAATAGAATGGATTCCACCCATTACCACTCCAGTATTTGTAAGGCCAGGGAAGCATTAACAAATTGTTTTTGTTCCAACGGCTTGTTCATTCATTAGTTTCTTTTGCATGATCATCTTTGCCTTGGTATAAAAAAATTTGCACTGGATGTGGTCGCTCATGTCTGTAATCCCAAAATTTTGGGAGGCCGAGGAAGGAGGATCATTTGAGCCCAGGGGTTCAAGACCAGCCTGGGCAACATAGTGAGACCCTGTCTCTACAAAAACAAACAAACAAACAAAAACTAAAAAATTAGCGTAGTGGTATGTCTCTGTAGTCCCAGCTACTTGGGAGGCTTAGGTTGGAGGACTGCTTGAGGCTGCAGTGAGCGGAGATAGGCTTACTACACTCCAGTCTAGGTGGCGGAGGGAGATCCTGTCTCAAAAAAAAAAAAAAAAAAAAACGGGAAACTTTGCCTTATTGTTTTCTCCAGGGATGGGATGGGAATAGGAGAGGAGAACCAACACAAAAAATCTGGAATGATCATAGGATATTTTTCCCTTTGGCCACATTCTGGTAGCTTCATGATTTTCTCCTGTAGATATTTATCCTGCTGAGATGAATGTCTATCAAGTGTATTTGCTTGAGAACATGCTGATTTCCTGATGTCTAGGAACTTTCCCAAGCTGTATGGCACAAAACATTACATAGTGAGTTTATTTAATAAAAATTGTTAATCAAACTGTGAGGAGAGATGATGTAGCCCACATGTATACATTTTCTGGGACCCATGTTGTCAGATGTTTTCATTGCTCATGGAAAATGCATACTAAGCTCAGGAAGGAACGTCGCAGTGTAAGCTTATGGTGGTGATATTCAAATGAAGACTCAAGTGGTTTTAGTACTGTCTGACATTAGGGCCTGTCAAGTTGAGTAACTTTGAGTATGACTTTAGATATCAACACTGCTCTGAAGCTTACCACAGAAATGATAGGAACAAGAGTGAGCTGTTTTAAAAAGCTTATTAAAATGAATCTAAGGCTAGGTGCAGTGGCTCACATCTATAATTCCAACACTTTGGGAGGCCAAGGAAGGAGGATTGCTTGAGGCCAGGAGTTTGAGACTGGCCTAGGCAGCAAAGTGAGACCCTGTCTCTGAAAAAATAGACAAAATTAGCTGGGCGTGGTGGAGTACACACCTGTAGTCCTAGCTACTTGGTAGGCTGAGGTGGGAGCATCACTTGAGCCCAGGAGGTCGAGGATGCAGTGAGCGAAGTTCGCACCACTGAACTCCAGCCTGGGTGACAGAGCCAGAACCTGTCTCAAAAAAAAAAAAAAAAAAAAAAAAATCGAAAGTATGAGTCATTCTTAGACTTGTTCTAATTTACCAAGAGTAAAATGTTTCACCAAATGTACCTTATAAATGTCTATTCTCAAAGATTCTTTTAGATTTTAGTGGAATAGTAACAATGTATTTAAGTCTCTAGGCACTGATGAAATTTTTGAGGCTTTCATATTTATTATGTTTTAAGTATTTCAGTTTATATATCTCTTCTAACATTTTTATATGGAACAATCAGTAATCTAAATACAAATTCCTCTTAAAAACGAACCACTTCTAAGTGTTTGTATAAAGGTATACATTGTTTTTCTTATCTATGTAGTTGGTAGACTATTCACTTTTGGGTAATTTTATTAAAGAGGAACATCCAAGCTTATGATTTTATAGTAGGATGAGATTACACGTGGTGAGTATATTTTAAAGTATAGAACTATTGGGAATAGTAGGGGTTTTTTTTTGCCCCTCTGGTTAAATAAATAATCAGGCTAAAAGAGATTTGCTATACGTGGATCACCAGTGTTCTAAGAATCACACTATAATAAAATAAACAATCCTAAAACTAAGCAGTAGACTTCAAGCTTTGGTTTAGAAGACACTAAGAATCTTGCAGGAGTGCATCTCAGGATCTTCATAATAAATAGTGGTAGTCATCATTTAGCATGGTACATGTATATGTTCCCATCTTAGTTGTGAGCTGCTATTGTTGATTGTTTATACCTTGTGCTAGCAGTTGGCTGGAGACATAGCAGGGAGCACTGCAGACATGATGCAATCCCTTAAGGACCTTAAAATCTAAGAGGGAAAATACTGGAGATAGATCAGACCGTACAGTGATATACCCTGAAAGTTGCTTTTAAAAACCTGTCTCACCTTGTTTAAATTCTCACTTCTCATATAAAAGCACAATATATGCTATGAAAAAATGGCCATAAAACAGTCATTTGTAGGAGCAGGTATTTATATATCGCATGTACTATGTGATTTGTTTGGGCATTTGTGTGGGTTGAAATTTACTAAAATAAAGTTGACATGCTTACAAGGGTTTTCACTATAATTTTCTAGGCTTTACCTTGTGGGGGTCAGAATATTCGTGGAACTGGAATGCCATAGATGAGGGGCCCAAGAGGGACATTGTCAAGGAACTTGAGGTAGCCATTAGGAACAGAACTGACCTGCGTTTTGGACTGTACTATTCCCTTTTTGAATGGTTTCATCCGCTCTTCCTTGAGGATGAATCCAGTTCATTCCATAAGCGGCAATTTCCAGTTTCTAAGACATTGCCAGAGCTCTATGAGTTAGTGAACAACTATCAGCCTGAGGTTCTGTGGTCGGATGGTGACGGAGGAGCACCGGATCAATACTGGAACAGCACAGGCTTCTTGGCCTGGTTATATAATGAAAGGTGTGTATGCTATGAGATTGCTGCAGTTACCCTCCATATTCCTAATATATTTCTAACATTTTAATTCCTTCACCTCTTGAAATATTTCATTTTAAGTCATTGGTGGTATGGGGGGAGAAAATCATTGTAAATAATACTTATTAGATATATCACTATTTACTCAACATAATCAAGGGTAAATAAATCAGGAGTAAAATCCAACTCAATGGTCTGATTTTGAGATCAGACTAAAAATCACAGGATCAAGAACTTTGAAGGTGTTAATTTTGTGGGTCCCCCCTTTTTCTCTCCTACCCTGGTCCTTTATGGCCTCTATTCTGGGACAACTCTGTTTCTTCATCACTATTTCTGACTATTTGCTTCTGAATCCCGCAGACTGCTTCTTTTTATCCTCTTACCTTTTGGTCATCTTTGCTGCCCAGCCAATGTCACCCTTGTTTGTCTCCTCTTTTCCTTCATCGCAGCCTTTTCACTTTCTCCAGTTTTTTCCTATTGCTTCCTGGTATGTTCAAGGCTGCCCTATTAGAACAGGGAGTTCTGATTAAACTCCTCCATTAGGCTTAAACTATATGGACCAAATTTGCATGTACACTAGAAAGCACTGGGTATTGTGCTACGAAGTCAGGCAACCTTCTGCTTGCACTTCCTGGGCCCACAAAGGGCACAAATACAAATATTCTGAAGAACTCTTGATACTTAAAACAGCAGTGTGTCCAGGTACTCCTTCCAAGGGAAAAAACTGGGAGCCATCACTTCAATTTGTGACTCAAAACTGTTCCCTCTATGTGGCGTGTATTTCCCTCTTAAATATGCCACCTGCTATGATAAGCAATATTGTGGGGATATTTCACATGATATCAACAGTCAAATTTTCTGAGATTTTTCAATATTAGGCACAATGGTAAGAGAAAAAGAAAGGCTAGACTACATGTATGAGATCATTGAATCATTGAAAAGAAAAGTGTCTTGGGTATAAATTCAGTTTTGGCTACCATTTACAATATGGAAGGGAGCTTAAAATATTCATATAATACTCTTATGAGTGCTATATGTGCTGGGTACCAGGCTAATGTTTTACATAACTTATTTTTGTTCTAATCATAGATGAGGAAATTCATTATTCAGAGGAGTCAGGTAATTTGCTCTAGGTCTGGGAGCTAGAAAGTGACAAAGCCAGAACTCCAATCAACTCAGGTCTGTTTGACTTCAAAACCATGGGCTTTCCACTGTACTATGCCATGGTCCCTTTTCAGAATTGTATTTCAATTACATGTCTTTTCAGTGACATTTCTTTTTGTATAAAAAGCTTATACCTTTTGTTTTAAAAAATTGTATGTTTCATTTCAGCCCAGTTCGGGGCACAGTAGTCACCAATGATCGTTGGGGAGCTGGTAGCATCTGTAAGCATGGTGGCTTCTATACCTGCAGTGATCGTTATAACCCAGGACATCTTTTGCCACATAAATGGGAAAACTGCATGACAATAGACAAACTGTCCTGGGGCTATAGGAGGGAAGCTGGAATCTCTGACTATCTTACAATTGAAGAATTGGTGAAGGTACAGTGAAATGTCTGGTGGCTATTAACATAATATTCTTAATAGTGTGGTCATGTAGGAATTATTTCTTCTATGGCTCAATGGCCTATAAATATAGGACATTGTTCTATCCTGTGTTTGTTCTTCTAGGCAGTGACTATATATACATGTATAAATATATAAATGCAACATATTAGCACATTAAAGATGGAATTATTTTATTTATCTAAAAACATTATTCTTAATTTTTTAGCAACTTGTAGAGACAGTTTCATGTGGAGGAAATCTTTTGATGAATATTGGGCCCACACTAGATGGCACCATTTCTGTAGTTTTTGAGGAGCGACTGAGGCAAATGGGGTCCTGGCTAAAAGTCAATGGAGAAGCTATTTATGAAACCCATACCTGGCGATCCCAGAATGACACTGTCACCCCAGATGTGTGGTAAGTCATTCTTGTTACCAAGTACTCTTTTATAAAGGAAGAGATTTAAAATTTATCAGACATATAAAGAAGAGTAGGATAAAAAGAGAAATTGGATGAATTCCTACATATACAAAGCACTTTCCAAACTTTGCTTACTCTAATATAAAGAGAAGGGGAAGAATTTGCATGTTTTGAAACATTTATTGTTTATCAGATTGAGCTTACATCATTTCTAGGTATCTCCCAGTAGTGGACAAATTTTGGCTGAAAGTACTCAGCTCTTAGAAAAATTGTAAGCTGTTCAGACCAATGAAAAATGCTGAATGGTTAGTCTAAAACGGAGATTACTGTTTAACCAGTTCGGTAAATTCTGACTTTTGCAGATGTTGCATCCCATGAAATTAGCAAACAAGAGGTACCCAATGGCAGAGAAAATGTTAGATTAAAAATGAATCAAAATAGGGAGGGTTCAGGGAAGATGCTTCTCTCTGAGCTTGAGGAGGTTCTGTGTGTCAATGAGTACCCGAATCAGACTCCACAAATATGACAGTTTCTGATATGGTTTCTTAACATATATAAAATAAGATGAGTATTGGTGAAGTTCTAAAAATTCGCTTTCAGTTGCCACCTGAGTACTGTCTGATCAAATAGGAACCGAAAGATTAGACTAATTGTTCTTCAATCTACTTGACTTATGACTTAAAACATTAACAACCCATTGAATAAAATGGAGTAAGGCAATCTGGACAGAGCAAATAATTGTGGAATTTTAAAATGTTGATCTGGGAGAAGCCATAATGAGAACTCAATACCAATCTCTCATGTGACAGAGAATAGTAGAAATCTGGTTTTGGAATTTGCTTCTTACTTTTGAATACTTACATTTGAATATGAGGGTATCTGATCTGGGACTTCACAATCATTAACCATTATTCTATTGTGTTTATTTCAAGAAATAAACATAAAAGCTAAATATTTAATGTGGCTTATAAAACTGTGAGTCTGGCTCCTACCAACTTCCCTGCCACTGAGTGGTCCTGCTCTCCCTCCTCACCATAGGAGCCTTCTTCCCCCAGGGTTCATCATGCCCACCTTCTTGCAGTCACCTACAGACTCCCAGGTCAACCCTTAAAATCCTTTGAGAGAGCCCTGGCTTGCTGTCCCTGTCCCCAGAACTACTCTTCACATAATTCTTAGAGATTTAAATTTTTATTCACAGTTCTAATTACCTGCACCTCCTGTCTTCTAGGGGTCTTGTCCGCTTGACCTTTGTTACCTGTTCCTTTGCATTATCAATATACAAGGTCATATTGGTAATGCAAAGTCGAACTTCTTACTCAACACTTCCACTTGGATGCATAGCATCTTAGACCTGTACGTCCACAACTGAAGCCCTGAGTTTTAAATTTTTGCTGTAGACTAGCTCCACCCACGGTCTTCTCCATCTCAGTTAATGGCAGCTTTATCCTTTAGGTGGTTGTCAGGCCAAAAACCTTGGTGTCCTTAACTTCCCTTTCTTTTATAAACATACTTTAGACTTTGCATTACCAATAACTGAACCCCTTCCACGGCTCCAGTTTGAAGGATTCTGCCATCTACCTACCACTTCTTATATTTTGGCTCACTCTGCATGGCACTTCGGCTTCCAAAGGGATCTATAATCCAGTGATCATACTATCTTTTAATCCTATCATCTTTTCTCTGTCTTTTTCCTTATCCGGGACAGATTCTGTGGCCCATCACTGTAACTAATCTATTGCATACACCCAACTCCTGAACCCTTGCTCCCTCTGCCATACTCACTTGACGGAACATCAACTTTAAATACAGATCTACTTATTCCATGCCTGCTTCTGGACAGCTAACTGTTAACTATGGAAACACACACACACACACACGCACCCAGACACATACAATGTAAAATTATCTCACTTTTGGCTTTAAGGTCAACCCTTGTGTCCTGATCCCATTGCAAATCATCCACCCAAGGATTGTTATAGCAATTCTCCCCTTTAACTCAATTTCACTTGCATTTCTAGTGATCTTCCCATTTCTCTCCTTTCCTTTGTAGTAAAACGTCTTGAAAGGATTGTTTTCACTTGCTATCTCTAATTCCTTGCTACAGTTTTTCTCTTGAACCCCCTCTGGTCGAGCTTCCACCCCCACACTCCAGAATTGCTCTTCTCAAGGCCCACAATAACATCTGCCTTGCCAGTTCCAGTGATGAGTCCCCAGTGCTCATTTTCTTAACTTACTGGCAGTGTCTGCCTCAGTTTATCACTGTCTCTCCTGGTGTTTGTCGTACCTTTTGGCTCTTCCTTCTTAGTTAGTTCCTTTGCTGATTTCATCTCATTTTTCCAACCTCTAAATCTTGAAGTGCCCTGAGGTTTAGTCTTTGGACTTCCATTCTTCTCTATCTTTTTTTGAGTGCACTGGTGCGATCTTGGCTCACGGCAACCTCCACCTCCCAGGTTCAAGTGATTCTCCTGCCTCAGCCTCCTGAGTAGCTGGGATTACAGGTGTCCGCCACCAAGCCTGGCTAATTTTTTTGTATTTTTAGTAGAGATGGGGTTTCACCATGTTTGGCCAGGCTGGTCTCGAACTCCTGACCTCAGGTGACCCGCTTGCCTTGGCCTCCCAAAGTGCTGGGATTACAGGCGTGAGCCACTGCGTTTATCTTAATGTCCCAGGTGATCTTATCCATTTTCATGGCTTTAAATGCCATATTGATGATCTCCACATTTCTATTTCCAGTGCAGACCTCTTTCCGAACTCCAGCCTCAATAACTTCCTACTCAGCATTTCCACTTAGATGCATAGCATCTTAGACCTGTACATCCAAAACTGAAATCCTGAGTTTTAAAATTTTGCTATCAACTAGCTCCACCCATGGTCTTTCCCATCTCAGTTAACGGCAGCTTCATCCTTTAGGTGGTTGTCAAGCCCAAAACCTTGAAGCCCTTAGTTTCCCCTTCTTTTATAGTCACAGCCAACCCATTAGCAGATATCATCCTCTGCATCTTTGAAATATATTCAGAATCTGTCCACTTCTTATCCTCTCTGTGGCAACCCTCATCCTTTTAGTTTCCATTGTCTCGCCCCTGCCTGGATTATTTCAGTAGCTTCTTAATAGGTCTCTATTTCTACCCTTTAACCTATTCACCACAAAGCAATCAGAGTATACTTTTAAATAATAATGCCACTCCCATGGTCACATTTCTCCAATGGCTTCCAGTCTCAGAGAGAAGGCCAGGTCCCATAGATGCTTACAAGGGCCTATAAAATCTGGCTCCTATCGCCTCTCTGATCTTATCTGCCATCACCCTCCCCCACTTCCTCTCCTTCAGGCACTCTGCCTTGCTAGTGCATCAACAGGCAGAGCACACTCTTGCACTGGGGCTCCTGCACTTGTCATTCTGTCTGGAAGGTTTTCCCCAGACGCTCCCGTGGTGCTCTTATGGCGCTCCCATGGTTCTCTTCCATGCCACCTCTAAGAAGTCTTCCCTGACTATTCTGTTTAAAATAACACTCCCAGGCCCCTCCTTTCCTACCTAGCATGCCCTGTCCTTCTAACCTGGCTTGTTTTCTCCATAGCATTTAATCAACACCTGACATATTTGTTGATTCTAATTTCTTCCACTAGAATGTAAGCCCCATGAGGACAAGGACTTTGTTCAATGTTGTATATAGCTCTAAAACAGTGTCTAGCATTTTAAGATTTCAATAAGTATTTCTTGAGTAATTGAATGAATAAATGAATGAAATCCACTTTTTTTTTTGTCCACAGCATACTTCCCTTACCTTCTTCTTTGCTCCCATTCATCCTTTAAGTCTCAGATTAAATGTTATGTTCCTGGAGAGGCTTCTTTCTGATGTTCTAATCTAAAGAGATCCTTTTGTTATAATCTCTCAATTTCCTTTTCTTTCATGGTGCTTATCAGAACTCACACTTTCATATTATTTGTGTGATTGTTTAGTGTCTGCTTTCCCCACTCTAGTCTAAGCTCCATAAGAACAAGGACTATGTGTGTTTTGTTTTTTATTGTAACTCTAACACTGAGCACAGTACTAGGCACAGAATTGACACATGCATATCTTGTCTTGTTGAATGAATGAATGAATATAAAAATTTGAATAATACATGAAAAGCCATGAAGCTCTTGCATCCTGTCCCCTTAGATCATCTCCCTCCCCTTTTCAGCTCCATGAGAGCAGTCTGATGAAGAGGAATGCTAGCTCAGGAAAATCTTTGTCTTCCAAGAACTTCCTTTTGGTCTTGGGGGAGGAAGGTGTTTTTTTATACCACCATGAGGCTATTTTTCCTTCCCTTCTATTAGTGGTGACATTGTGGAAGTATCTGTAAAATAATTCCAGATTGTTCCTGATCCATAAATAGTGAGAAACATGGGATGTAACTTGCTACTATGCTCTTTATTTTTTTCTTTTAACCAGGTACACATCCAAGCCTAAAGAAAAATTAGTCTATGCCATTTTTCTTAAATGGCCCACATCAGGACAGCTGTTCCTTGGCCATCCCAAAGCTATTCTGGGGGCAACAGAGGTAAGAGGGAATTTTACCTTATTCCTTTAAATTGCTGATTAGAACATCTTGATGCAAACATTAACTTTTAAGGGGAGCCTTATAACTGTTTCACTTATACTTCATAAAAGGAATTGTAAATGAGCTCCAGCCAAGCATTGTGGCTCACACTGTAATTCCAGCACTTTGGGAGGCTAAGGCAGGAGGATGTCTTGAGGCCAGAAGTTTGAGACTAGCCTGGGCAACATAGCAAGACCCCTGTCTACAAAAATTTTTTTTAAAGTTAGCTGAGCATGGTGGCACGCACCTGTAGTCCTAGTTACTCAGGAGGCTGAGGCAGGAGGATTGCTTGAGCCCAGTAGGTCAAGACTACAGTAAGCTATGACTGCACCACTTCAGCCTGTCTCTGAAAAAATAAAATAAAATATAATAAAATAAAATGAATTTCACCAATGACAGTGTTTGGTCAAAATCTTTGAAACTTTTTGTTTCCCAGAAAACTAAGCTGATAAAACAGCTGCAGTATCTCTATGCATATCACTGTAAAATAGACATTATTCTTCACAGTCATTTTACGTTGTTCAAGTTCACTGCATGCATCCAAAATGATTCTTCTCATAAAACTAGAATTCGGATGCTTTCCCTGACACCCCACCCCAGAACATATCTGAATACAAGATGTCATGACTCTACTATTTTATGTTTATAAAACATTTTGGAGAAAGTTAGAGATTAATCTAACTGTTGAAACCACCAGATCTGGCATTGAGTTCATTCTGATATATTTTATAACTTATTTTTTTAAATAAATTATCCCTTTGGAGGTGAACTGTCCATATGGGGGTTCTCCTTGCATCACTTTTCTGCATTTCATTTCTAATACATGTGGTTGATGAGGCAGAAAGAAGATGAGTTCAAATCTAATGTTTAATTACAGCTTAGTAGCCCAGGTATGATACTGATTATGTTTTTATTTTATCTATGTTCTTTTTGGTGCCAATTAACATTATTATTTAAAAGCTCATGGGCTTTGTTTTCATATTGATCCACCTGAGAAGCAAAGTTTTTGGTTCAAAATAACCCTAGAATATGTAGGGAACTTATTTGAATTTGCTTAGTATAGTAAGACTAAGAATATAAAACAATTACAGTAATAATTGATCAAATTTATGTATTATTGATTAGTGGAGGTTATTAGAAAATCTGGGGGAGGAACGCTGAGTAGATACTTGGGCAGACTCTGGTTTCAGAGCCACTTTCTGCTCCTGATCCTCTCTTTAGCTTTTTCTCCACTCTGAGACTCCATTCAGTCTTGAAAATTCTCCTTCCCCAACCCCTGCACACTTCTATTTCCCTCTTGAGAGTAAAATAGAAGCAAGAATATAGAGGCAAGATACATACACTCAATTGGATGAAGAGTGATTGTGAATCACTAAATAAAGGTAAAAATGAACCTCTTGTCTACAATTTTGTTTGAACTACTAATCACTCCTTCCCAATAGAAAGTGGGTGAGATAAAGAGATAAATTTGGAGACATTTGCATGTATGTTTTTAATTTCAGGTGAAACTACTGGGCCATGGACAGCCACTTAACTGGATTTCTTTGGAGCAAAATGGCATTATGGTAGAACTGCCACAGCTAACCATTCATCAGATGCCGTGTAAATGGGGCTGGGCTCTAGCCCTGACTAATGTGATCTAAAGTGCAGCAGAGTGGCTGATGCTGCAAGTTATGTCTAAGGCTAGGAACTATCAGGTGTCTATAATTGTAGCACATGGAGAAAGCAAATGTAAAACTGGATAAGAAAATTATTTTGGCAGTTCAGCCCTTTCCCTTTTTCCCACTAAATTTTTTCTTAAATTACCCATGTAACCATTTTAACTCTCCAGTGCACTTTGCCATTAAAGTCTCTTCACATTGATTTGTTTCCATGTGTGACTCAGAGGTGAGAATTTTTTCACATTATAGTAGCAAGGAATTGGTGGTATTATGGACCGAACTGAAAATTTTATGTTGAAGCCATATCCCCCATGATTATATAGTTATGCATCACTTAATATGGGGATATTTTCTGGGAAATGCATTGCTAGTCAATTTTTTTTTGTGCCAACATCATAGAGTGTATTTACAAAATCCTAGATGGCATAGCCTACTACACACCTAATGTGTATGGTATAGACTGTTGCTCCTAGGCTACAGACATATACAGCATGTTACTGAATACTGTAGGCAATAGTAACAGTGGTATTTGTATATCGAAACATATGGAAACATAGAGAAGGTACAGTAAAAATACTGTAAAATAAATGGTGCACCTGTATAGGGCACTTACCACGAATGGAGCTTACAGGACTGGAAGTTGCTCTGGGTGAGTCAGTGAGTGAATGTGAAGGCCTAGGACATTATTGAACACTGCCAGACTTTATAAATACTGTATGCTTAGGCTACACTACATTTATAAAAAAAAGTTTTTCTTTCTTCAATTATAAATTAACATAAGTGTACTGTAACTTTACAAACGTTTTAATTTTTAAAACCTTTTTGGCTCTTTTGTAATAACACTTAGCTTAAAACATAAACTCATTGTGCAAATGTACAAAAATATTTTCTTTCTTCATATTCTTATTCTATAAGCTTTTTTCTATTTTTAAAATTTTTAACTTTTTACTTTTACAGAAACACACACATTAGCCTAGGCCTACACGGGGTCAGGATCATCAATGTCACTGTCTTCCATCTCCACATCTTGTCCTGCTTAGAAGGTTTTCAGGGGCAATAATACCCACGGAGCTGTCATCTCCTGTAACAATGCCTTCTTCTCACAGACCTCCTGAAGGGCCTGCCTTATGCTGTTTCACAGTTAACTTTTTTTTAAGTAGAAGTACACTCTAAAATAATGACAAAACATATAGCACAGTAATGCATAAACCAGTAACCTAGCCATTTATTAAGTACTATATACCTTACATCATTTTATGTGCTAGATTTTTATATGACTGGCAGCACAGGTTTGTTTATACCAGCATCACCATAAACAACATGATTATCGTGTTGTGCTACCTTATGATGGCTATGATGTCACTAGGTGATAGGAATTTTTAGCTCCATTATAATCGTATGGCACCACCAACATATATGCAGTCCATTATTGACTGAAAAGCTGTTATGTGGTACATGGCTATATTTCGAAACAGGGCCTTTAAAGAGGTAACTAAGGTTAAGTGAGGTCATAAGGGTGGGGCCCTAAAGCCAATAGGATTGATGTCCTTATAAGAAGGGGAAGACACACCAGGGATACAAGTGCACAGAGGAAAGGCCATATAAAGACAGTGAGAAGGTGCCATCTGCAAGTCAAGGAGAGAAGTCTTTGAAGAAACCAAATCTGCTGATACCTTGATCTTGGATTTTCAGCCTCCAACACTGTGAGAAAATAAATTTCTGTTGTTTAACCTGAGTAGGGGTTGTGTTTTCTATTCCCATTTGCTGCAAGGTATGTTTACCAAAGGCTGTTTGAGTTTGTGACTGTAGTGGGTCAAATAGTGTTCCCCAGTAATTTATGTCCACCTGCAACCTCAGAATGTATTCTCACTTGGAAATCATGTCTTTGCAGATGTAATAGGTAAGTATTGAGATAAGCTGATATTGGATATGAGTAGGTTCTAAATCCAATGACAGTATCCTTATAAATGACAGAAAAGGACACAGAGACAGAAGGCCATGTGACGACTAGGCAGAGATTGGAGAGGGAGCATGGCCCTGCTGACGCCTTGATTTTGGATTTCTAGCCACCGGAAGTGTGAGAGAATAAATTTCTCATTTTAAGCCACTTGTGGAGTGGTAATTTGTTACAACTGCTCTAGGAAACAAATACAGTTACCAAACAAACTGATTATGCCAGGTGAACTTTTTATGATGATAATATGAGCCAAGGACGCAAGCGTGAAGAGTTCTAGTTTCTGTTAAAGCCAAGTTAAATACTTTGGAAAGACTAGATAAAAGTTTGTTGACTTTAAAAATTTAAAAAAAAAAAAAAGCTATTGGTTAACTGTGGGCAAAACTGCTCTAAAAGATTGGGGGAAAATATAGTAAAAATCTTCAAGAATTCTGCATCTGTGGTTCACACCTATGTAATGTAATGCATGTAATTTGTATAAGAAAGATAATTAGATTACAAGCTCCAGCTTGTAATCCCAGCTACTTGAGAGGCTGAGGTGGGAGGATCCTTGAGGCCAGGAATTCAAGAAAGACAATTAGAGAACATCTATCAGCAGACCTATATGGGAAGGCAGCTATGCTGTACCACTATATCACCAACAGCCCGACTGAGTAGATGTACACTAAAAAGTTAGAAAAAACCTGGATCCTATAGTAAATAAGTGGTAAATATAGAATATTTAAAGTTAAAATGTCTATATATGTACTTTTTATGACACCCTGATTTAAATAACTTTTTAGATTAACCAAACAACTAAAGGTTTCTGATGAGAGGGCTCCTGCTATACTATTAGAAGGCAGATTTGTACTATCTAAGAACAATTAACTTTATTTTTGTATTTATTCATTTTTTTGAGACAGAGTCTCACTCTGTCGCCCAGGCTGGAGTGCAGTGGCATGATCTCAGCTCACTGCAACCTCCGCCTCCCAGGTTCAAGCGATTCTCCGGCCTCGGCCTCCCAAGTAGCTTTAAATACATGTGGTTTTTACCTTGTCATCTCTTCCACTGCCACAGTTATACAGACGCATATGATTCCAGGAGATAATTTTCAGCTGATCAAATTTGTATCCTTACAAGGCTACACCTGTTTAGTCTCAAATTTTCCCTGGATGAAATCCTGGGTTAATTTTGTTGGAAGAGATGTGTGCCCATTACACACTCATTCCCAAATTTACCAAAATGCTATTTTTCATTTGCCCCATTAAAAGTGAGAATATCATATTTTGTCAAATTTTGAAAAGAAGCATATTCCCTCCTCTCCACCACTACTTTTTTTTTTTTTTCCCAGACAGGGTCTCACTCTGTCACCCAGGCTAGAGTGCAGTGGTGCAATCATAGCTCACTGCATGCAGCCTTGACTTACTCGGCTCAAGTGATTCTCTCACCTCATCCCTACAAGTAGCTGGGACTACGGACACATGCCACCATGCGTGGCTAATTTTTTTGTAGAGACAAGATTTCACCATGTTGCCCAGGCTGGACCATTACCTTTTTTTTTTTTTTTTTTAAAGTTAATTACAGCATTTGAGGAAGAGGATCTAATTCCACACAAAATGGAAGACTCTAAAATGTACCCATTAAACTGCTAAAAAATAAATTGAGTGGTGAGAATACCACATAAGCCCAGTTTAGATTCTGAGTGCTGTCACCCTGTGATTACAATTATACAGACTCTTCCAAGCTTATAGCTAGAGCTCCTGGAAGCTATTTTATACACTGATGCAAGGACAAAAAAACCACAACTCAGGAAGGAATTAAGTCCTGAATTATTGGCTTCATCACATCCACCCTCTCCACCCCAAAACAGCACAAAAGAAACAGTGACCACACCCTGTAGATCTTTTTGTGTAAAAGAGGTAATGAAGACCTGGGATGGGAACAAGTCATGAAGATCTGTCTTTAAAAGGTCCCTTTCAGGTAAATTTGTACACACCATCAAGCAACAAGCCTCTCATCAGTTAGGGTTAGGAAACCAAGGTTCAATTCTCAGGAAATCACAATTTCATTCATTTACTCAATATGAATTTACAAGGTGCCTATATATTATCAGCTTCCACTTGCAGCCATTTCTAGATAAAAAAGAAACCTGGCATCTCTACAGGGGCCACCAAGTTCCCCAAATCTACCACTGAAGGGACCTTTTTGGAACTGGGTTTCTTCTGTACCCCTGAAAGGGTAACACCTTAAAGCTGAATCATCTTTAACCTGGAGGTCCAATATGACATTTAGCAATACTTGCATCCCAGCCATACAACATTAAAAGATACACTAAATTGTGAAGGTATCTATGCTGCAAAATAATTTAAACAATTCTACAGCATTCATTTATGCTTGAAATTCCAGTCCTAGACCAAGCTTGTGGCCACTAGCATAGATGTTCTTGCCACCCAGGAGAGCTGACAGTGTCAGTATGAAACCTGGCTTTAGGGTTTAAGTGTATCCTAAACCTATCAGGCTGGAGTTGTTCACTTTAGTGGAGAAGTGGGCTTTAGGATCGATCTGATACTTGGCTGCTATTCTGAAGCGAGTGTTCCTGTTTCTTGCTGTCCCAGCGAGACTGACAGCAGTCTCCAACTTCTTGCTCACCTTCTGCTAATTGGAGCTGCCAAACTCTGTCCCGTCATTCACATTAGTGTGAAGCTGGAATTCATCAGTCTTGTGGCCAACCGCAAAGTTGCTCTGGGTCACTCAGGACTTTGTGGTCTCAAAATTGACCTGGTAGCTGGCCAGCCAATCCTCATAACCCAGCACTTAAGAGTGCCTCGGACTGAAGGCTCAGCAATGTCCAAATCCACGTCGCAGCCCAGGTTAATGTGCTCCCACTTGTATCCTGTCTTGATTTTAGCACTTTTCCCCCAGTGTTAGGCGAGAAGGATGAATGGAGGGTCAGCTTCAGTCCACATGCTAACTGGTCTTCCATAGTAATCTCGGTGCCTAGTGTGTTGTCAGTGTTCCATTTCTTTGCAAATGTCAGGCCATATTCGGTCTATCTGTACTTGGTTTCCAGACTGCCTGTCACTTTGGTGGTCTCAGTGTTGGCTGAGCCTGAGCTTGTAAATTCCAATCCATTCTCAGATTTTGTTTTCAAATCAGGTTTTATTAAGCCAAATCCATATCCCTTGGTGAAGACATGCTTGGCAGATTTGCCAAGATTAGCATATGTGAGTGGCACAGCCATCTTCTGCTCAGAGACAATGCCAGTGGGCTCAGAGGTGTCTATGGTGAGGGCTATGGCTCCACTACCTATTTTTAAAAACATTCTAGACACAAACTCCCTGGCAGTGAGCTTCAGGCCTAGCCAGGCCTTAGAAGAGATGTCATAATTTATTTTCTACCTTCTACTGTTCAGCTACATGTTACGCTGGAGGAACATAAAACAATGTTACTGAAAATATATGTCAACATACTAATGATATATAATGATTTATTTACTTTTGCCCTAATTACCCTTCTAAATGAAGAATTACAGATGTATTACTAGAGATAATGAATTATTTCTTTTTCAGAAAGTAAAGCTATTTGCTTTTTACTAAATGAACAAGTTAACAACAACAAAAAAGCACCAAGTACACGACCAATTAAAATGAAACTTAAACTAGCATGCTCTCTCTTCCGAAATAATAACAAAAATGCTATGGGATAAGTAAATTAATAGCTGAAAAATATTAACTCAACAAAATAATATTTTACTAAAATAGTTTATTGCAATAAGATTTTCACTGTATTCAAAATCAATACAAAGTAAGTTTTTAAAATTATGTACAAATGATTAAAACTATGTAATTAGGTGAGTAAACAGCATCAACACAATTTTAGCCTCTAAACCAATATGTAACTTTCTAAGGCTTTTTAATAAAACCTTAAAAAATATAGTGAAGAAATAGCAAAGAACATAGTTCATCATAGTTGTTGGAATTCACTATTTCCATAAGAATAAAAAAGTCCTCCATCAAGGTATATTTGAGACAAATAATTTATTATTTTGAAAGGTAGCTGGAGAAAAGTCTGATTCACTTCTGTTTACAGCAGTCTAGGGAACATTATAATTAAATAGCATATTTTTCCAAACTTCACACATCCTAGACCTATGTCTCCAACAGATTTTTCCTCAGTATTAATATGGTAAAGTACACTGAATTTTGTATTTTTATATATATATATGTATATAAAATATCTATATTGATTTTTAGTCAGTTTGGAACAAATGTCCATGTGTAACAAATTATTAACAATTCTGATATTTGCACGTGTATATATATATGCCCACAAAAACTGGTCTGTTGATGAATCTAAAAAAATATATTAAGATGCCAAATAAATTGATTTCATTATGAAATGAAGACTTTTATTAAGAATATATTTTATCAGGCATTTTGATAACAAACTGTTACTCTAAGTATAGGTGATTTACCCAGTGTATTTTAAAAAGTAAATGAATCCCACTGTAGTTTTTCTTGAAGGAAAAATCATTTCTCCAGTTGCTGAGGGGTACTAAAAGCTTCATACACATTAGCAGCAAAGTCTTTCACTTGCTCCATTGTCAACAGATCCTAGCAAAGATGATAATATAACATTATAGTTTGCAAAACATATAGCTAATTTGAATTAATTTCTGCAATCAAGCGATGAATTCAGCTCTAAGTTTTGTGGTAAAGGCCAAGAGGCAAACCATTTAAGAAAATGAGTAGTTTTTCTTGTAATAAATTCTAGGAGATAGTTATTATTTAGGTTCTTATATGAGGGATGATGGTATCATAAGCGTTCAAGTGTGACTTTGAGGGACAAAAACCCCAAATAGTCTTCAAATGAATTTTGGTGTATGTCAAGTGCTAGATAGGTATCTGTTGAATAAATAATTGTAGGAGTAAAGGTACTTTTGCTGGAAGCTGACATAACACGGTTAAGGGTGTATTACTTTCTAGAAGATCTAACATACGGTATGAATATGTGTAGTAAGTGCATATTTTACATATACACACATACATGAACCACACATATACACTATAGTGTAAGGGTTATTAACACCCCAAGGGATTTGCGAATGTGAAGATAAGAAAAAAATTACACCTTCATTTTCTTTAACTTCTAACCAAAATCTGGTATCTCTTTCAATTATGAATGTAGGCAACAAACTGTGATAATATTAGCAGGTTGTATGACTTTGTCTTCAATAGAAATCATAGGCATTTTCATGTCATATGACAGTTGTGGAAGTTATCAGAACTCTCATTATATCTTGGTATTTAATGCATGAATAAAGAAGCAATACCGCTATATCATACACTTAATTTTAAAAGAAATTTTGAAAACTATATATGATTGGTTTCCTTTATAATATTATGTATTTTATTGTATGCACTTATAAATATTGTTCTGAGAAGGGGTCCATAGGCTTCACCAGTCTGTGAAAGGGTCCATGATAGAAAAGGTTGACAGCCTCTGAGAGTGTCAAAGAAATGGGAAGTAAACCTGTCCCTAGTGATCTCTGTTTCTTAAGTATCGGAAAATCCAAGTGAGGTTTAGACATGTCCTAATCTCAATCAATTCATGGTTAAATTATCTCATCAGAGAATTTGATGTTATTTAGTTTCAAGTATTCAGTCTAGGTGTTCAATGAAACATAGGTTTAGATCAATGTTTCTCAAACCAGAATTTACAGACATACTTTCAGGGGCCCAAGAATTTGAGGGGAAATTTTGTGTTTTGATTTCTATGAAAATGTAAAGAAAACTCAAACACGCTCTTGATTATTGAGAAGATAAAATATATAACCTACTATTGTTCCTGATTTTAGGGCATTTGTTTATATTTATGTTCTTATTGGCTTTAAGTAACATTACTTTAACTGTCTTGTGCTAATGAGAGAAGAACAGAGGCAGAAAATCTTTCAAATGAAGACCAAATCATGTAAAACACATGATACAAATGAAGCTTTCAGAATAGTTACAGTAGATAAAAAAAAAAATACTAGCAAGTCAGCTTCAGAAAATGCAGGCTGAATGCTCAACAGCATGAACAGTAGCAGACAGGTCCACATTCACTTTGGCACAACAAATTATTAATAGTAGACGTCAGCCATATTATAGAACAATCTTTTTTTGTAATTTAGATTCTACTTGACAATAAAAGTGCTTTGGTTTTGAGTTACGAAAAAGCTCTAATCTTAAGGATCTTATTGAGTTTTTAATTTATACACTAAAAATGATTTAAACACTGGAGGACTGTGGTATATGTGTGTACATATGTATGTGAGGTGTATGGACAAATCTGAGAAATACTACCATTGTAGTGCAAAAGCAGCCATAAACAACACATAAACCAATGGGCATGCTGTCACCCAATAAAACTTACAAAAGCTGGTGCTTGGCTGGATTTGGCTCATAGGTCATAGCTAACTTATATCAGCTTTATAATAAAGACTTTAATCTGTTCAAATACTGTATCCTGATGCAGCTTCTAGGATGTTTCAGTAGTCTGAGATAAAAATTATGTATCATAGGGTTGGTTCACACTATAAAAGCTCTTTCCTTATGTTATCTGAAAGCAATCTGAAATAATTTATCTCCTGCTTATGTTATTTGAAAGCTATTTGAAAATAATTTGAAAAACCACCTTTCTCGATTGTTTTCTGATTCTCCCATTTCCTACCTTTACCAACTACCATCCTAATATCTTCTACCAAAGGGGTCAGCAAAGTATGGCCTGCAGGCCAAATCCACTGCCGCCTGTTTTTGTATATAAAGTTTTGTTGAAACAGCCATACTCTTTTGTTCATGTACGTTTCTGACTGCTTTCACACTGCCAGAGCAGAGTTGAATAGTTTCTGTAGAGAATGTATGTTGCATTAAGCCTAAAGTATGTACTATCTGGCCCTGTACAGTTTGCCAAACCCCTGTTCTACAGCATTCCCACCATAGGCTCTCCTACACACCATTGTAGTTGAAGTAGTAGCAGTAATTCGAAAGGACTAATTTTATGTAAATTAGCATTCTAATCAAGGCAAAGGCTTTATAAAAAGATAAGTGGAAATAGTAAAGCATATGACAATTTATTAAGAAGACCACTTGGTATTTTAACTCATAGAAATTATAGTTTAAAAAATTAAACTATAATTGTAATAGCCTTGTCAATCAATGGTCTAGTATATACATTTAATATACATCCAGTTACAGTAAAAAACTTTACTAAACATTAGTATCAATGGCGTTTTTACCATATTGAAACATTTGTTTTTATTATCAATTATATCGATTTTAATTAAAGTGTAGTGCATAAAATTATTTAAGCATTAAGGCTGATGATGCTTTATGCTTGGTTGTAATTTCCACTCATCTGTCAAAATGAACAGCCTACTGGCCAAGCCAGGGACTTCTACAGAAGAGGACAAAGGTAAAGGTAAGGTTTAAATGCCCCAAGTTATGACCTTTTTCTCACATTGATATAGATGTGAAGCTTAACATTCAGTAAAATGAGATCAGTCTTATTCACTATTTCTTCTGCAATATGAGTGCCAAGCTCTTAGGGGTGAGAAAGAGGACAGAAGACTGAAGAGTCCAGTGTGGGAAAATGTGCATGTGAAGGACAGGCTGATGACACCACAGTGAAAGGAGGAAACGAACTCTTAGTCTCAGTGCTCTCCACGTTCCCAAGAGTAAAAAGTCTACAGAGAGGATACACTAAATTGTCTGAGACAAGTTACACTAAGAAGATGTCAGCTTTATGCTTAGGCCATAGGGTCTCTTCTCATTGTACATTATTGAAGCAGTTTGCAACTGGCATTGCAAACAATTTTTTAACTTATAACACAGTTTCCAAGTTTGCACATGACTCAGAAATTCAAAGTTATTTTGTTTATAATATTTGTCTTACTCAATGAATTACTGAATTACTCAATGAATTACTGAATTACTCCATGCATTCCAAATGGAAATGAAGAAATAAGATGGAGTTATAGGTAGTCTGATAAAACATTTAAATGACCCACTGTTTATGTGGCTTTTAGTGAGCATATTATTGATGCACTATTAACTGTTACATTTTATTAATCACTAAAATGCTTTACTTCTCCACAAATTTTTTTAGTTTTCCTCAAAATGTGTAGAACAGGATCCTTGATCTGCCCCAAGGATCAATCTTCTTACTAGCACAGCTTAATGCAAACATTCATGCTATATAAATTCAACTGACCACTATAATACACCTGGACTAAAATGTAGTCCCACAGTGTTGGACTACAACACGGAGAAAGGTACTCCAAACTTACACATTTGCTATGGTCCGTTATTACTCTCATGGGACACTCTACCATACTCTACATGTAGTTCCAAGTTCTGTGATTTTTTGAAAAAACCTCTCAGCAGAGAATGTAACTTTATGTTAGACAAACATGACCACCACCACAAATATAATTTGCTTTTAATAACACTCCCAAGCTTTCTTCTTACCTGAACAAAATGACTAGGTGTTTCACTGCAAACTGAATGGATCTGTCCGTTTACTATTGGAATTATCTTAGCTAAAGGCAGGCTGACACTGGAAAGACTGAAAAATCATTACAGTAATGATTATTTTCTGAAATGACCCCACAGGACTTTAACATCTTAATTATAAAAGTAATACATAGCCATTGTAGAATATTTTTGGAAATCTATTAAAAAGGAAAAAAAACCCCACAATTCTATCGCTTAGAAATAACAACTCTAATTGACATCATGACCAATTTCTTTTGGCGTTTTTTTACACATATCTTTGTTTTTTTGTGTCTACCAAAAACCTCTAACCTCCTAAGCACACTGTTTTTGCATTTTTATTGTTATGAGTATTTTCCATCTTATTAAAAGTTCTAAAGTGTTTGTCTGATTGTTTTTTAATGACTATACAGTAATCTGTCCTCTAGCTGTGACAATTTATATCATGAGTTCCCTAGAGTTGGGCATTTCAGTTTTTGCCTAAATTTTCTTAATCTAAGTAAGATTTTGTATAAACATGAAATCACTGGGTCAAAGGGTATGAATGTATCTGCTCCATTATGCCTTCTTTCAACATCCAACATTATCCTTTTCTTTAATCTTTCACATCTGATAGGTGAAAATAGTATCTTACAGGTTAAATCTGCATTTCTCTTAATTACTAACAATGTTGAGTATTTCCCCCCTACTCCAGTGAACCACACCATTATCTATCAGGTTCTAGAAGCAGCAAATATGGGCATTATCCCTGGCACTTCTTTCTCTTGCCTATACCCAATCAGATATTCTAAAGATTTCTCAAAAGAAATCTTTTAATAATCTTAAAATCTTTTGAAAATCCTTGGCACTTCTTTCCCTTGCCTATATTCAAATAAGTGCCAAGAATTCTCCCCGTTGCCCAACAGATTCCAAGCTGAGCATTATCTCTTGCCTGGACTACAGCAATAACTTTTTAACTTGTTAGAGCACAATAAACATTTGTTGGATGCATAAATGAATACATGTATGTATCACTGTATGTATGTGATGCAATGACTTAAACAACAAGACTCATTTTTGCGTTGGGGTTGTAGATTTAGTCTTATTACATTAAATATGACATCTCATACATTTCAACCTAGGGCTACACTAAAAATTTCCTTTTAAATATCATGCAAGTGCTGAAGCTAGGGTGTACAACCAGTGTGCTATGCTGAGATTTGAGGCAATGCTTAAAAAAGAATAAAGGAAGTGGGAAGATTTATGTATTCCTGAGGGAAGCAGGCATTTTTTTTTTCATGGTACCTTTGTGGCATTTTTCAAAATCTATCATGATTTTGATTACTTGATTGCTCTGTCTCCCCTCACTATCATGCAAGCTCCATGAGGTTACACACCATGTCTATCTTATGCACTGTATTGTCCCAGCACATAGTAAAAGGTCTTGTGTACAGTGGACATCCAATACATACTTGTTGAATTGATTAATAAGTCTTCATTCATCCATTTGTCTGTCCTGCCCCAGTCCCTGTTTACCCAATTCCTTTTCCACAAACCAGTCAAAGAAATCATACAATGTAAATTCCATTACATCACTCTCCTGCTCAAAACTCTCCAGCAGCCTTCCAGTGTTCTCAGATGACAGCCATATCTGTATATGCTGCATTCTCCAGCTTTGTCTGACACCACTCTTGTTCTATGTATTCAGCTACCATGCCAGCCTCTTTATAAGTCTTAAAATGTACTTAGGTGGCTTCAAAACCTTTGCCCTGTAGCTTCTGCCCAGAATGTCAACTGTCCCACTGTAGTCTAGGGTCATATTTAATAGCTTCCAATCTTAGTAGTTCAAATTATTTCCTCAGGAAAACTGCTTGACTGTCTACTTTTGTTTAAATTTTTCTATTATACGTTCAGTGTTCTTCTCCTTTATAACACTTCTCATAGTTTATACAATTATATTTACTATTTCCCCAATTAGATTGTAAGATCTATGGGAACAGAAACCTAATACAGTGCCTGATTCATAACACGTGTTCAATAAATCTTAGATTAACAAACTGGCCATTTCCATCTGCTCTTTTGTGAATTATCTGTGTCTTTGATGCACATTTTCTAAGAAAGAAAATTTTTCTTTCCTTAGGTGTTTGCTTCCTTAACTGATGTGCAAAAGTTCTGTATATAATGTCATTACACTCATGGATGATATATATACATAAAGAGAGCAAACATTTCCTCCTGTATATTATTTGCATTTAATATTGATGAAAAGCTTATAAAAAGCTTGTTTGATCTTGAAGTTTTAAAAATTATACAGTCAAACCTAGACTTCTTTTATATAAAGTTCTTTACTTTCATTCTTAGAAATACCTTCTCCATCTTGAGGTCACATAGTCACCTGTTTTCGATCAGTATATTTGTTTTTACTTAGTATATTTAAATGCTTAAACCTCCTGAATTTTATTAGTCATTGTAAAATGACTAATTGTTATTCGTCTTACCAACATATATTTTGCCCACAATCATTACTAACATCCTACAATTTTTAGGGCTACTTCTGGATTTTACATTCTATTTCACTGACTTACCTATTATTTTATGAGTAACAATAATTATACCTTATATTATATATTATATAGGAAAAGCATATCCATTGCTCTTCTTTTCCAATAACTGCTTAAACATTCTCATTCCATTATTCCTCCATATTACCTTTATTATCATTTGTCAGGTTTAAGATGAAAAAAATCAACCATCCTCCAATCTCCAATAGAATTTTGATAATATTTTGATTATATTTTAGATTAATTTTGGAAGGCTAATTTTACACTTTTTAGTTGACTCTCTTGGGTTTCTAAGTATAAAGTCTGTCCCCTTCATATAACAATAGCTTTTTCTTCTCCCTTTTCAAAATTGATATCATTTTTAAAGATAGCATGAGTTTAACTTAGAAAACCAACGGTCAACTAACAGTTTATTAAAATGGTAAGAACACTCAGTAAATTGTCTATTTTCTTTCTTTTTTCGCTATCCAACAGTAAAAGTTACCTATTTTCAAGATATAAGTATAGAAAAAAATCAACAGCTTTCCTTAATTGAATCTCAAAATTGGTCTTCTCCTAGCCTTACTCCATTAGATAGAATAATAGAATGATGCTGAATAATCTGTCAATAGTGACCATCTTTATACTGTTTTTGAACTTAATGGAAATCATTCCAGTTTTACTATTAAGTATATTTGCTTTTGATTTCAAATACTCTTTTTTTATATATTTTTTTAAGAGACAGGGTCTTATTCTGTCACTCAGACTGGAGTACAGTGGCATGATCATAGCTCACTGTGGCCTTGAACTCTGGGGCTCAAGCAATCCTCTTGGTGGTTTTAAAAATTTTTGTAGAGACAGGAGTCTTGCTATATTCCCCAGGCTGGTCTTGAATTCCTGCCTCAAGCAATCTTCCTGCCTTGGCCTCCAAAAGCATCAGGATTACAGAAGTGAGCTATCATACCTGACTCAAATATTATTTTATTATATAAAAATGTATTTTTTATTTCTAGTAAGAGGTTTTATCCATAATAAATGTTGTTTTATTGAATGTCTTTTCAGCAACACTGAAGATAATGTTTTTTATCTTATTAGCTTATTAATGTTATGGATTACCAAAATAGCTTTTCTAGTTTTAACCCTCCTTACATTCTTAAACCTTAATTAATCATAGTGTTGGAGAATAATTAAAAATTTGGAGAAAAATTTCTATCTCAGATAGACATTATTGAACAACTGGCTTTACCACTTGACCTGAAGTTATTTAATTTTTCTGTGTCTTAGTCTCCTCACCTGGAAAATGAAGAATACTAGTACGTATTTCCTAGGATTATTTTAAGAATTCAATGAGAGACATTCTGAAAAATACCTATCATCAAACTAGCACATGGAAAAAGTATTAGCTGCTATTATTATTGTAATATACTTCTGGATTTCATTTTGCACTTTTGACTTTTAAATATCCATTATACATTATATTACATGCATATGTAATACATATAATACATTAATACATATATGTTGCATATATATTTTATATATATATATATATATATAAATTAAAGCCTTTATTAGTTTACCTCATTTTTCAGTTGATTCTCTTCAGAGGTCTGGCTTATTAATTATAATACACGTAAATAATATACTTTGTGTCTTTGCCAATAGTTAAAAACCTTACTTCTTTTTTTGGGGGGGCAGGGGGGTCTCACTCCCTCGCCCAGGATGAAGTGCAGTAGCACAATCACAGCTCATTGCAGCCTTGACTTCCCGGGCTCAGGTGATTTTCTCACCTCAGCCTTCCAATTAGCTGGGACTACAGGCATGTGCCGCATGCCCAGCTAATTTTTGTATTTGTTGTAGAGATAGGGTCTCTCCCTATGTTTCCCAGGCTGGTCTTGAACTCCTGGGCTCGTGCAATCCACCCACCTCAGCCTCCCAAGGTGCTGGGATTACAGGCCTTAGCCATTTGTTTTTTCTTGACTTACTATGATGGCTAGACTTTCACAACACATTAAACAATGATGACAATAGGCTTGATGGAAATGTTTCTAGGGTTCAATCATGGAGCATGAAGTTGGTTATTGAGATGAAACAGAAAAACTTATATAGAAAATATCTACTGAGTGCCTTGTATGAGTAAAGAGACATGAAAGGGCACAAGATAGTTTTTGACTTTTGAGAGGAGGCTTAAAATGTAACTGAGGAATAAAACTCCAATTCAAGGTAGCACATGTAGGTTGTACATGAAAGTACAGATAATGATTACTATAGTTCAGAAAAGAAACACTATCATGGCTGTTGTGGCTGTAGTATAATTTTTACAATTCTTCAGTGTACAAAATCAAGTATTTATGTTAAAATAACCATTACAATTATGTATCACTACTTGCAAAATAACGAATATCTTGCTATATACAGATTATGGTGAAATTTTACTAATTGGAGCACCTTGATTTATACAGTATATAGGATTGGTCTTGAGCTGAAATTTATTTTTGTATAACTTAAAATTTTTTTAAAGATTTTATGTTGATATTTAAATTACTTCAGAGAATATACTTTATGGCTGTAAGCATTCCAAATGCTTAATGTCAATGTCAAATTAATCTTTTCTCTACAATAAAGAAGGGTCTCAGAGAATCTGGTAAGTAACTTCTGGCCCTATGTATTTAAGAATTAAATTGGATATTGCACATACATATTGCCTATCAATTACTGTGTCCCCAATTAAAAAAAAAATTTTAAAGCTACTTCAAAGGATGTGTCTCAAATTTTAATGAATGAGTTTACAGTCAGTCAACATTAATTTAGTACCCATTATTTTCCGAGTTTGACATAAAAAACTGCAAAATAGAAATCCTTAAAGAGTATAAATTCTAATATGAGACCAAAGATATTTGTGTTGGGATAACAAAGATATAAAAAACCGTAAGATACCTTATGGCATACATAAGTCCATGATTTAGTAATAGTTATGATTAAAATCACTAACAATTGCACTAATACATGTTCCTAATTCTGTAATAAGGACTGGAATGAATACATTTAAGCATTTGTAGAACTATAAGGAGCTAATTCATCAAATGAGAATCTATACCAACAATGCCCGGGTATTATAAGGAACAAAATATTGAAATATGCAGACCAAAATGGCCTGCAGTAATGGAATAACATTAGAGAATGCATTAAAATTAAAACATATTGTGAGTTTTGTATTCTAAAGAGTTAAAAAAAAACAATAATTGGAATTCAACTTATAGAAAGGTAATTACAACTAAAGTACTTCAATATAGTGGCAAAGTTTCTGGAAGACTCCAAGTTTTAATACTGAAACCAAGAAGGAGCTTCTGCTAGTGAAGAAGTTGTTGGTTTAACAGAGTTTAATTTGTTAAAAAATGAGGCACTCAAATTTAATAGGTTTGTTGTTGTTATCTGGAACAAAAAGACAAGCAAAGCACCATTTTTTTAGAGCATTCATTAGTATAACATTTTTATATGTCATCTTACCTATTCATAGAGTTACCATGTTGCAGGTCCTGTTCAGTAGGTCGAAAGAACTCAGCCATATTGTCTAGAAGTCTACTAAAACCTCGGTTTAAACAGGTATTCAAAACTGTACTAAAATCTGGGCTATATAAAGTAAGAAGTATAAGTTACTTTTTAGACTCTGAATGGAAGAGAAAACAAATTCAGTAATAACGTGGTTACCTTTGAAAGCCACCAACATTTCTAGTCATAATCTAATACTGTAAAATATATCAAGAAATCAATCTTTAAAAAGTATTTAAAAATGAGCTTATTTAGCACAACATAATGAGAATATTCATCCACTTCAGATTTTTTATACTAGTCAGCACTTTGTACAATGAATTTTTTAAAAAATATCAGTACTAGTACTACTAATTTTGAGGAAACTCTTAAATTTCCTTATAGTCATAGATTAGTTGGCTTTACATCCTCTAGCATGATATTTCAGTGAGACAGAAAATATTATTGTGTACAGATGAGGAAATGATACTTGAGGGATGAAGAAGCTTGACGAAAGGCCTGTGATTAGTAAATTGGGGAGCTCAAACATGAGACCGGGGTTTTTTGATCTTAATTATACTCTCTTAGTTCCTCACAAAACTCTTTAATATAAAGAATAATATATAAAGATGCCAAGAAAGCTAGAAAATACCTAGTTATGTTCCAATTTCTTGACTACAGTGTGCATGTGTATGTGTGTATCTTTCTATCTACCTACCTTTTCTCCTTAGTCATCTCTATTTTAAAAGCATTTTAACGGCTTTATTGAAGTAGGACTTAGAGGGCATAAAATTCACCCATTTTAAATGCACAAGTCAATGATTTTGAGTAAATTTGCATAGTTGTGCAACTATCGCTACAATCCAATTTTAGAACATTTTCATCACCCACTAGGCCCATTTCCAGCCAATTCTCATCTCAGTCTTAGCCCCAGGTAACCATTAATCTACTTTTGGTCTATATAGTTTTCTGGACATTTCATAGAAACAGTCATACATATGTGGTCTTTTGTGTCTGGCTTCTTTCACTTAGCATGTTTTGAAGGTTCTTCTATGCTGTAGCATGTATCAGTGGTTTGCTCCCCTTTTTTGCTACATAGGGCTCCATTATATGAATACATCAGATTTTATCCTTTTGTTAGTTAATAGAAATCTGGACTGTTTCCACTTTTTGGCTATTGTGAATAATGCTGTTGTGAAAAATCTGAACAAGTTTTTGTCTAGAGATGTTTTCATTCTTTTTGGTAGATACCTAGGAGTGGAATTGCTGGGTTGCACGGTAATTTGGGCTGAACTTTATTCTTTTAAAGGTAATATGGTAAGGTTCCAAGAAGAAAAATGATTAAGGGGATGAAAGTTGAAGAAATGGAAACTGAAGAAAAGATCATCATAGTACCTACCTCCTAGGGTTACTGTAAGGTTTAAGTGAGTTAAGATAGATAAAGCAGTATAGAACAGTGCTTGCTGCATAAGCACTCAAAAATGTTAGTTTTTATTCTTATTATTGAATTGAATTCATTTAGGCCAATGAAAGAAATGAGAAATAGGTGAGCTTGCTTCCTATTTCACACACATAAAAATAGAAGCAAAGAGAACTTCCACATACTTGTCCCACCCATCTACCCACTTACATGCATCTGACCTATCCTCAGCCATCCCTACCTGACTCCTAAACTATTTTACTGTGTATTGAATCTCATTCCTTTCTCCTATTCAAAGTACTTTGTTCTTAAAATTAATGAGCTTTTCTACATCAATTTTTCCCTCTATCAATTCAGTAAATACTTATTGAGCATCTACTACATGCAAGGCACTGTTCTAAGAGCTGAAGATACATTGGTGAGCTAAACAGACAAAAATTACTCGTCTCATGGAGTTTAGTAGAAAGGTGTATATAAAAAAGTGTTAAAGTCAAAATCTCCTGGCTCCCACATTCCCCTTAAATACTGTCTATTTCTCAGAATCTCTCAAAGCAAAATGTTGCAACAGTTGTCTGTGCTTGGTCTCTGCTAAACTCTAATTCTTTTGAATTAGCTTATCTCCACTGCTCCTCTGAAACTTCTCAACAAGATCAATCAACAACTCCATCTAATGTTATTTCTCTGTCTTTATCTCCTTTGGCCTTTCAGGAGCATTAGACCCAATCAATCACAGTCTCCTTGAAACATTTCTTCAATTGTCTTCCAAAATACCTCATTCTTTTGGTGTTTCTTTTCTTTCGCTGGCAGCTCCTACTCAGTCTCCTTTGCTGGCTCTTCCCCCGATCCCAAACTCTAAATGTTGGACTGCTCTATGACTTAGTTGTCTTCTAGTCTCTATCTGTTCCTATTCCCATGTCTTTAAATACCATATACAAAGTGATGACTCCCAACATTATATTTGTAAACTAACTTGAATTCCAGACTTGCATATTCAATTGCCAATAGGCATATCCACTTGGATATGCTTAACACTGCCAAAATGTAAATGGCAGTTCCTATTTCCTCAAATGCTCAGCCCCAATACCTAGGAGTCATCCTTGCCTCCTCTTTCATAACCCACACTAAATAATTCCACAAGTACTACTGGTTCAACCTTAAAAATAAATCTATTATTTAGCCACTTGTTATTGCCACCACTGCTACCACCCAGTTCAAACTGCAACTGTCTCTTGATTAGACTACTTCAACTCTTGAAATTGGTTCCCTCCTTCTATTCTTATCTCTTTATAGTCAGCTTACCATAGAGCAATGAGATCTTTTATAAACACAGATGATGTCACTGCCCTGCTTAAAATTCTCCAATGGCTTCCCATACATTAAGAATAAAAAACAAATTTCCTATCATGGACTACAAGGTTCAACATACTCTGGAGTTTCCATCTATCTCTCCAATCTCACTTCCCTATTACTTTTCTCATTCACTGTGCTCCAGCCAACAATGGCCTCCTTGCTATTCCTTGAACAGGCCAAGCATTAGGATCACTGCAACTGTTCTTCTGCCTTGAACTGTATTCTTCTGGGTTACAAGGTTCACTTCCACAGTATATTCAGGTCTCTGCTCAAATGACATCTCCTCAAAGAGGCCTTTTCTGACCAACCTATTACAAACAGCATCCCTGGTCACTCTCTAACCCCTTACCCTGCTTTGTGTTTCATCAACAAAGTTATACATACTTGACATTACATCAAATTTATTAGTTGATTATTTTTCTCTCCCACTAACATACACATTCCAGTAGGGATGAAGACCTAGCATTTAGAACAGTACCTAATATACCACAGACAGCCAATACATAGTTGATGAATAATTCAATGAGATAAATGAATTAAGTGAATGAACAAATTATTTCTATCTATGAAGTGTAGAAATTTCAATCCAGACAAGCTCCTGAGGGTGGAGGACTAGGGCTATACATTTGGCTTTAACTACTAGCATAGTAAAGTAATGGGAGTATAAAACATTGCCTGGGAGGCAGTTGCCAATGAAGAAAGAACAAATACCTGGGAAACACTGATGGCCTTTTTTGTTTTGTTTTGTTTGTTTGAGACAGGATCTTACTCTGTTGCCCAGGCTGGAGTACAGTGGTGCAATCACGGCTCACCATAGCCTCAACCTGCCAGGGCTCAGGTGATCCTTCCACCTCAGCCTCCCAAGTAACTGGGACCACAGGTGTGCACCACCATGCCTGGCTAATTTTTTTTCTTTTGTTTAAGATGGGGTTTTTGCCATGTTACCCAGGCTGGTCTTGAACTCCTAGGCTCAAGCAATCTACCTGCCTCGGCCACTCAAAGTGCTGGGATTACAAGCATGAGCTGCTGCACCAGGTTGGAAACACTGATGTTTAAAGGAAAGACAGAGATAGAAAAATCTAAGAAATGATTTGAGAGGTGGGAGAAAAATATAGATTATACTGTCATGAAAGTCATGTGAGCAAAGAATTTCAAGAAAGGCAGTGTCAAATATCAGAGAAAGGTCAAGTAAGATGAACATTACAGGTTCATTGGATATGGCAAAAGATCACTGATGACCTTCTCCAGAGCTTCATGAAATGATGAGGTGGAAATCTGAATAACAAAAAAGTGGACAATCCTACTGAGGAAAAACAAAAGACTGGAACTCGATGAATTCAGATAGTAGAGTTAGTAGCTGAGTTACCCTAAGAAATCCCTGCTTCCCTCCAGTTTGAGTAGGAAATCTTATCTAAAGGCTGGGGAACAGAGTCAAAAATTTAATTTTAATATAATATTATACCGACCATGTTGTTCAAGAAAAACTAAAAAATAGTCTCAAGTACATTCAACATACACACATATTTTTCCTGCTACATGAAGTATACATACCTTTCCAACATGTCTCTAGTTTCATTGAGAAGTTTAATAGTGGTAATGTCTCGAGGAGAAAGTCCACAGGCCTATAGAATTAAAATGTCACACTTAAGGTTTTCAAACATTAGCACAGGGTTATGATGAAACTAATCACATTCATAAATAAAGAGTTTAGGAAATCTAAGTCTATGTTCTATCAACAATAAAAAAAGTTAGACCCTCCCCCACCAAAATAAAAACCTGTAATGGTTTATGTGTGCAAATAAGTAGAATTTAAGACATGAGTAAAAGTAAAATTATACTTAGTAAGAGCTCTGTTTATCTGGCCCTTCTTGGATAGATTTCTAGTATAGTCAGACAAAGAAGAAATAGGTTTTGAGTTTGCAGAGGTCTGGGTTTTTTTTTTTTTTTTTGAGACGGAGTCTCGCTCTGTCGCCCAGGCTGGAGTGCAATGGCATGATCTTGGCTCCCTGAAACCTCTGCCTCCGAGGTTCAAGTGATTCTCCTGCCTCAACCTCCTGAGTAGCTGGGATTACAAGCGTGCGCCACCACGACCGGCTAAGTTTGTATTTTTATTTGTATTTTTAGTAGAGACAGGGTTTCACCATATTGGTCAGACTGGTCTCGAACTCCTGACCTCGTGATCCGCCTGCCTCGGCCTCCCAAAGTGCTGGGATTACAGGCGTGCACCACCGCACCCGGCCTTTTTTTTTAATTTAATTTTACTATTATTATTTTTTTGAGAAAGGGTCTCACTCTGTCATCCAGACTGGAGTGCAGTGGCATGATCATAGCTTAGGCAACCTCGAACTCGTGGGCTCAAGTGATCCTCCTGCCTCAGCTTCCTAAGTAGTAGTTAGGACTACAGGCATGGGCCACCATACTAATTTTTCATTTTTTTTTTTTTTGTAGGGGTAGGGTCTTGTTATGCTTCCCAGGCTGGTCTCAAATTCCTGGCCTCAAGCCATCCTCTTGCCTTGGCCTCCCAAAGCATTTTTTTTTTAAGAGACAGATTGGTGTTGCCCAGTCTGGAGTGCAATGGTGCAACCATAGCACACCACGGACTCGAACTGCTGAGCTTAAAAAATCCTTCCTCCTCAGCCTCCTGAGTAGCTGGGACTATAGCCATGCACCACTATGCCCATCTGACTGATTTTTTTAATTTTAATTTTTAGAGACAGGATCTCGCTATGTTGCCCAGGCTGGTCCTGAACTCCTGGACCCAAGTGATCCTCCCCGTCAACCTCCTATGCTTTTTTCTTTTATCAGTAAGAGATTTTATCAGGATATGTGTGTGTCTTTTTTCATCAATCTAGTCTGAGACTCTATGTGTCCTTTCAATCTTAAATTTCAGGTTTTAATTCAGTTCAGTAAGATCTGGTCCATCATTTCTCTCTTCATCTGTTCTTTTGTTTTCTTTTTGGTCCTGTTTTGAATTTTGAAAACTGTAAATTACTTTAGAGTCCTAAAAAGATTTCTTAATACTCTTATTGCGTCTCCTTGAGATTCTATTTTGTAAGTTGTCTCCTGTTTCATTAATTCTGTTCCATCTGTTCTGTTTGATCAGTTTAGTCTCTATCTTTCAAGTTACAGGGTTTCCTTAAATGGGATGCAACTTTTTTTTTGGCCTACTCATGAATGTAGGATCTCTCAGCACCCAAACAGGTTCATCTTTGTCTCTGGCAATGGGAAATCCTGCAGGCAATGAAAACAAGGCATTCTGTTCTAACAGGGCCTCTCTGCTGAGGTATGGCATAGGGGGCCTCTCTGTTCTAAGGCTTTTCCAGTTGTCAAGTAAGAGCTGTTCTCCCAATTACAAAGAATGAGTGCAAACCAGCAGACAAACGAAAAATTACTAATTTAGGAAATGAGCCATAACCTGCAATCTGGCATTTCTATTATTTTTAATCAATGAATAACTTACGTAACAACTACCCAGGACACACCAGTGTTTAGCAACACTATAGTTGATAATTTTTGGATTAGACATTGTTTCTCAAGTGGATGACTATAACCTCCTCAGTCCATTTTTGTACTTTCATCATTAACTTTTTTAAAAAGCAAAGGTGATTGTGTTATTGGACTGGTTAAAATCTACCTTTCTTTGTCTACAAATTGGAGTTCAGACTCGTTATCTTGGCATATAAAGCTCTTTATAATCTTGCCCTGACCTTCAGCTCTATGTTCTGCTACTTGATCTGATACAAAAATACGCTGCAGCCCACCAATTGAATTTGTATCTTCAGTTCCCCAGGTGTAATGAACATGTCTTACACATTTTACATCTCCAGAATACATCACAGTATCTACTGTCACATACCTGATAATAAAAATGTACTGAATATCTAAAATTGTTAAGTGCTTCTTACTAGAAATCACTCATAATGGCTGTTTTTCTAAATTAATGGGTTTTACTTCAATTACTGAAATATATGCTTTTCAATCACTTACCTTTCAAGAGACTCAGAAATCAAAATTTCAAGAGAGTAAAATTTTAAAAGAATAGAGTAACTGGTTTGGTTAAATGGTTATGAATTAAGCACCTGCACTGCTAATGGAGTTTCTTCATCTGGCATCATATAATGGCATAATAAAGGTTTGGATCCATCTTTATTAATCCAAGAAGAAGACTTATGCTGCTCAACGAGATTTCTGATTTCTTTTAGTTTTTGCTCCAAGTCCAAAAGGGACAAAGAATGTTTAAGAGAAACACTAGAAACAGAGAAAAGGGAATTGGGATAAATAGAAACTATACAACACATCCTATATACACTCTTTTCTTAACAGGCTACTATCTAAAATCCTGTTTCTTCTGCTTACACCTGTAACTGCTGACTGGAATAGAATGGATTACGAAATCAGCCACTAGTTAAGGGCCATTACTACAGAGCCAAGAAAAGTATTTCTCTGGATTCCATAAGAGAATTCCTACTGTAATTATAGATATTACTAGTATAAATGGGAGGTAAAAGCCTCAGAGGCAGATTTTAAAGTAGGTCTTTTATCTCATGACCCAAATATTTCTGATTTGTATGAAATCAATCAATTAACAATGAAACATTAAAACTTTCCCCTCTGTATAAAAAAAAAGATAAAGAAAATGGATCCCACAATGCAATATCCTAGGATGGTATCTGATTTTATTACAAAGAGTTTCACAAATCACCGTTTGTCAAGTCACTGGTTTCACTAGAACAATTCTAATTTTCTTTCACTCATTAGAATCAAGAAGTCAGAAAAGTCAAAGAAAAATGCCTTACCTTCCTAAAACCTTCTGCACAGCTTGTTTAATGACAGTGATCAATTCTGTCAGGCCTATTAAAGAAAAAACAAACCTAAAAGCCTTGCTTAGTTTAAAAATTCCTCAATAATAAAAATAAATGAATTAAAATTAGTATAAAAGTCACAAATAAGAATCTTACCATCTCCAAGTAGGTGCTGAATACTTGATAAATACTGCTGTTGGACATCTGGGGGAGCAAGAATTGTCTGTATAAAACAGAAATACAGTTCAATTATCCAAGTTTTAAACTGGTAAATAAGAAATGTTTTCAATAAAACTTTGGCTGAGATTTTTCAAGATCTGAAATGACGGGAAAAATAGTAATTTTTAACACACCAAAAATTCTAGTTTCAACATATAAAAATTATTCATAATACTAAAAGTTCACAATCACATGAAATATAAAAATATTTATTTCATAGAAATTGTTATCAGGATAAATAAGTTAAACTTTGAACCTCCTGAGGGAAAGAACAATGTCTATTTAAGTCTATTAAACTTACAGTGCCATTTTTGCCAACTGCTGCATTATCCAGGTAAATATATCCACCAATTATGTTTAACTGGACCCGCAAAAGAACAACCAGCATACAGGTACTGTATACAGCCACAGTACTTCTTGTGAAACCTTCACAGAGAAAAGAAAAGCATTTGGTACTGTGATTAATACAAATGTGTAAAATCATGAACCATCCTAAGGTTATTTTTTTGTAAGATGACTTTTAAAAACATATTTACAACTGTTTCTAGTATAAAAATATATCAATTCAAAATATTTCAGTCTCTCCTCACAATTGTTTAATAAAAATTAGGTATGATCCCTTAATTGAAACAATAACCAATGAAATATATTAGGTGAAAGAGGTATATACTATTAGCTTAGAAAGGAAAACAAGGAAAAGTCTGGGAAGCACAAAGAATTGTAGCTTCAGAACTCTTAGTTGTCAATGGAGCTATTTTCAAGTAAGAGAAGAAGGCTGAGTGTGGAAGAACTCTAGCCTTCAATGGCAGCCCGAGGAGGATGAGCCTGTTTAAGGACTACAGGAAAGTACAGAAAGACTGGGGAAGCCTGGTAAGACAGGCCTCCCAGTAGCTTAGGACAGGGTGTTCAAAACAGAGGAGAGAGTGAAGGTGTTGACTGCTGCCGAGAGTCCTAGCAGAAGGAAAATGTCCAGCAGATCTGGTAACACAGAAGTTGTTACTGACGCTTGAGAGACCTGCTTAGGTGAAGACACAGGTGTGGAAGCCAGGCTGCAGGGCTGTAGTACATCAAAGCGTGAGGGAGTGAAGAGAAGAAAGGGAATGTAGAAATCTTGGTCATAAGGATTATAAGAAAGCATAGGCTAGGCACGGTGGCTTATGCCTGTAATCCCAGCACTTTGGGAGGCCGAGGCGGGCGGATCACAAGGTCAAGAGATTGAGACCATCCTGGCCAACATGGTAAAACCCTGTCTCTACCAAAAATACAAAAATTAGCTGGGCATGGCAGCACGCACCTGTAGAGCCAGCTACTCGGGAGGCTAAGGCAAGAGAATCGCTTGAACCCAGGAGGTGGAGGTTGCAGTGAGCCAAGATTGCACCACTGCACTCTACCCTGGCAACAGAGCAAGACTCCATCTCCCCTCACCCCCCAGAAAAGGAAGTATAAAAGCTGAAAGGAACTACAGGGAACTAGAAAGGTTTGTTTTCAAATAGGCAAGGCTTAGCTGAAATTGGATCCCTTTCTCACACCTTATACAAAAATTAATTCAAGATGGATTAAAGACTTAAATGTTAGACCTAAAACCATAAAAACCCCAGAAGAAAACCTAGGCAATACCATTCAGGACATTGGCATGGGCAAGGACTTCATGACTAAAACACCAAAAGCAATGGCAACAAAAGCCAAAATGGACAAATGGCATCTAATTAAACTAAAGAGCTTCTGCACAGCAAAAGAAACTACCATGAGAGTGAACAGGCAACCTACAGAATGGGAGAAAATTTTTACAATCTACCCATCTGACAAAGGGCTATCATCCAGAATCTACAAAGAACTTAAACAAATTTACAAGAAAAAATCAAACAACCCCATCAAAAAGTGGGCAAAGGATATGAACAGACACTTCTCAAAAGCAGACATTTATGCAGCCAACAGACACATGAAAAAATGCTCATCATCACTGCCCATCAGAGAAACGCAAATCAAAACCACAATGAGATATCATCTCACACCAGTTAGAATGGCGATCATTAAAAAGTCAGGAAACAACAGGTGCTGGAAAAGATGTGGAGAAATAGGAACACTTTTACACTGTTGGTGGGACTGTAAACTAGTTCAACCATTGTGGAAGACAGTGTGGTGATACCTCAAGGATCTAGAACTAGAAATACCATTTGACCCAGCCATCCCATTACTGGGTATATACCTAAAGGATTATAAATCATGCTGCTATAAAGACACATGCACACATATGTTTATTGCAGCACTATTCACAATAGCAAAGACTTGGAATTCAACCCAAATGTCCATCAATGATAGACTGGATTAAGAAAATGTGGCACATATACACCAAGGAATACTATGCAGCCCCAAAAAAGGACGAGTTCATGTCCTTTTGTAGGGACATGGATGAAGCTGGAAACCATCATTCTGAGCAAACTATTGCAAGGACAGAAAACCAAACACCACATGTTCTCACTCATAGGTGGGAATTGAACAATGAGAACACTTGAACACAGGGTGGGGAACATCACACACTGGGGCCTGTCGACACTGGGGCCTGTCGTGGGGTGGGGGGGGGGGGGATAGCATTAGGAGATATACCTAATGTAAATGACGAGTTAATGGGTGCAGCACACCAACATGGCACATGTATACATATGTAACAAACCTGCAGGTTGTGCACATGTACCCCAGAACTTAAAGTATAATAAAAATGAAAACAACAACAACAACAACAACAAAAAACAAATAGGCAAGGCTTAAGCATCATTCTGCTGACAAGGATTAGCTGAATGGATGGGAAAACAGGATAACAGTTCTGAGACAAGCAGATACGTAGGCCCTAGTTTAGCTTTTTGTTTCAATTTTTTATCACTAACAAAAATTTACAATACAATATCAAAGTAAATCTATGATCTGGATTGGAATAAAAACTTCCTTTAAAGCACATTAGAGATATCAGTACCTAATAAAGGCATATGTAGTCTAGGACAATTTTACCTACCATCATCATCATAATAACAATAGCATTACCACTAACATTTACTGAATGCTTTCTATGACCAGACATTGATCTATTTGCTTTACCTGTACTATATTATTTAATACTAACAACAATTCTAAAAGGCAGGTAAAGAAGAGTCATCCTAATAGAATGCAAACATTTCCCTTTATAAATATTTTAAGGATGTGCTGTCACACAGAATATGCAGGCTTACTTATTATCTTCAGATCCTCCCATATTTCTAGCTTGTTTGAAGGCCTAAAGAACAAAATTTAAAAATATGAAAATAATAATCTAGATAATCTAATAGAAAACTCTGAATTTTATAGATCTATTTTTACTTTTTAAAAAAAATTAAAAGCAACACAGCATAACTGCAGAAAAGCAAGCCCACAAAATACGGTAAAAAAAAATTTTAATTCCAGTAATCAATAACAACCACTTTAACTGGTATATATTCTTACAATCTTTTTCTCCTTGAGTGTTATGTATAGATAGATTACAAAATCATATAGGAAATGCAGAGGAAATATTTCTTTCTTTTCCCTAACTTGCTGTTTTAGAAATAATGAAGTAGGTCCTATAATCCTTCAAAGGTAAATATGAAGTTTTTTTTGTTTTACGATCATAAACACATGAATTTACACATATATTTCATGTGTATCAATCCACTGTAGTTATTATCTCTATCGATGTTCAAACTGCCCATCTTTCACTTCTGGAAGACTATTCACATTGCCTCCTGAATCCTTTTGATTTGTATAATCTTTTATTAGTCTTTTATAGTATCTACAGTTTCTGACATGAAAACTTATTCTGGGTTCATCTCATTTAATTCTTGCTGCAGACTTGATATCACCAATTTCACTGGGTCCTGTTTTCTCATAGCAGGAAATGGTAGAGACCAAAACCTTCGATGCAGAATGTTCATTGCTACTGGGTAGGTCATTATTTCTAAGATTTTTTCAGTGAACTAAGCTAATAAATGTTTATTTATTTATTTATTTATATGTGCATATGATCAAAAAGGTAATATACATCATGAATTCATACTGATATTTCTAAATTAGTCAAAATTTAGAAAATTAGTCTAAAATTAGTCAAAAGGTTTTTAACTTAATCTCATTGATCTTACATCTGTGTTTCTTTTTGTCCACATAAAAAATAGGTGAAAGCAACATAATTACTAATTTGTTTCATCCCTCACTCTATACACAACAGTCTCAGTGTAAAAGAGTTTAAGGTTTCTGTTTTTCCAATTCTTTGTGTGTGAAGAGTATATATCCTACTAAGGATATACATGAAATTTCTGTTTCAAAGTAATTTAGCACAGTTTCTGTCTTTGTAGTTACACTACCAACAAGAATCATATTTAGGTTAATTTGATTTATGGTACTATATATTTTTGGACATTATTTTTTAAACACTATAGTTTTATAATATTAAATATTTATATGGTTCCCAAGTCAAATTTATATAATACAGTATATTCAAAAAAGTCTGTTCCTAACCCCCTTCATTTTCTCCCTTCTTCATAGATGACGACTTAAAAAATGCTTAAACTTTCCATTGTTTTGCTTTATATAAGTGAATATGTATATATACATTTATATCTGCCCCCTTAGATAAGTGAAAAATATTATACACATTTTTCTTTACCTTTTTAAAAATATAGCAATATATCTTGTGGAAATCATTCCATAGTACTACAGTAGTCCCTTCTTATCCTTGGGGGATACGTTTGAAGACCCTCGGTAGATGCCTGAAACTGAAGATAGTACCAACCCCTACATATACTATGTTTTATCCTATACATATATACCTATGTTAAAGTTTAATTTATAAACTAGGCAGTGTAAAAAATTAACAACAATAACTCACAATAAAATAGCACAACCGTAATATGCCAGCATCATTACTCTGGCACTTTGGGGCCATTATTAAGTAAAATAAAGGTTCCTTAAAAACAAAGCACTGCAATACCTCAACATCCAATCTGATGGCCAAGATGGCTACTAAGTGACTAACAGGTAGATAGCATCTACAGCATGGATCCGCTGGACAAAGGGAGATTTCTTCATGTTATTCACAATGGCACACAACTGAAAGCTTAGGAATTGTTTATTTCTGGAATTTTCCATTTAATATTTTTAGACCATGGTTGTCATGGCTAACTGAAACCTTGGAAAGTGAAACCATGGATAAGGTGGATGGGACTATTGTATACAGATGGTAGCCACTTTTCTCTTCTAACCAACGTGTAGTACACCATTGTATGGATGTACTATGTGGAGGTAGTTTAGTGCTTTTCAAACCACTAGTGGAAGGATCCATTTTTTTTCCTTTTCCTTTCCAATCTGTCACAGAGCAGCACTTTTGTTAAATACAATAAAAATAAATTACTAGAAAACATGAAATAAAAAAAACCACAGATATAGAAAACACAAGTCCATATTCTTTATTATTACTTTCAGACATAAATTTGCATTCCAACAAGAAATTGAGTTACTATTACAATTTTAAAGATACTACTAGCTTCTTGTCTTTCTTTGCCAATGAGCAGACTCTATAGTTTCAGTTACCTCTTTCCTAGATGGCACAGGTTCAGAAAATGTGTTGAGTAACTCATGCAAGACACTGCTGCAACCTTAATCTAATCTAGTGTTCAAGACTCACGGCAGAATGTCATATGTATTCGGATTAAACTGGGAATCAACCACAATTCAAAGGTGAGGTATTTAATGTATCCTAAGTGACTCATATCTCTTTTTGAATGCTCCCTCAGAAAAATTTCTAAGTACTTCTTATAAAAATTCTAAAAGAAAAAAGATAAGAAAACAGTGGTTCCGAAAATTTCAATATAGAAAGTGCTTAGTAGTGAGCCATGATTGTGCCACTGTACTCCAGCTTGGGCGACAGAGTAAGACTCTATCTAAAAAAAAACCAAAACCAAACGAACAAAAAACTGTATTTTATTTGGGATGATTTTGGTGGGAGAAGACAGTAATAGTTACCCAGGACATTTCTTCATGTTTACACTTAACATTATTAGACCTTAAAAGTAGATTTTTAAATACTGATGCTATTTTTTTTTAAAAAACTCCAAAATCTACATAAAAGATTCCAAATCTATGTAGAACAGAGAAAAGTACCTTCAACACAAATATTCCTTTCAAATGATTTGTTTGATGGAAATCAACTGCAAGTTAAATACAACCAGACTCTTTAATGTCACTAAAATACCTTCATGGAGAAATAAAAAGTAAAGAGAATTAAACGAATCTTTTCGAAGTGTTCTACTTCTCTTATGATGGAGGATGTTTAAGATTTTTTTGTTTTTGCCATTGAAACTTCATTGCCATTATCAGTCTTCAAGAAGAGTGCCAAATATCAAAAACAGTGATAACTGTTTATTTGCTGTTATGAAGTTGGCAAAATAAGACTATCAAATCATCTACTTATTTCTCATTAGTTATTATCTTAGTTATTATCACAAATAGTTTAAAGAAAAAAAAACTTGCTCAACAGGCTTATATGAGACCAGAGTCTCATATAAAATTAATATAAAAGCAGTCATAAGATTGGAGGCCTTATTTAATGATACTTTGTAAGGGATCAAGCCCTTATTTATGCAAATATTTTTCAAATGGATATTACCCTTCTCCCCCCACCAAATTACAAATAGTAATTTCAAATCAAAAGAAAGCCAAGAAGAAGTAACATTGAGATATTTAAAGAGGAAACTGAATGAGGAGAACTGTGGCCCACCTTAAATTCTCCAGAATTTAAGAAATTCTCCTCCCTGTGTACCGATTAAGAAAAAAAGAATCACATCTTTTCTTTAAAGCTGTCCAGGATAATCTATCAAAATTAATCCTTTGGTTTTTTTGATACTCCTAAATTTTCCTTTTACTTTTTGTCATTGCACTAAATATGTCCGGAATTACGATAATTTATTTAGTCTACTTCCTCCTTTGGATGAAAAGGTCTTAAAGAGACTTGATCTTAACTATTAAATCCCCTAAAGCACATGGAACATAGGGCCTTGCAGGAAACAGATTCACCAAGAAGGAAGAATGCCACCACGATTATTTTATCTGTATTATGTTGCTTGTATAAAAATGCTATTCACTTATTTAACTTGTCTTGCCTTCTCATCATGACAAAAAGGAAATTAAAATCTACTTCTTTTCAATTCCTACCTATGTACACACAAATGGTAATTATTTATTTGATCAAAAGCAATCTGCTTATATGTTTCTTCTTCATAAAACTGTATGAACTAATTTATAAGCTAAACCTTATATCTGTAAGAAGGAAGGAAGGTCTGTCTACCTCTAAGAATGAAGAAATTTAAAATGGAAAACCCCCATCACTAGCATTCTGTTTTAATCAGATAAAAGAAATCTCAAGTACACAAATCCACTGTTATTTTGGGAAGTATTCTCTGAATATAGTAAGTGTTTTTAAAAAAATTCCCCACTTGTTATGTAGCCTGTCTGAGCACTCAATTCCTACTGCAAAATGAATAATAGTAACCGCCTCACAGGGATATTGTGTAAATTAAGTGGGAGCATATATGGAAGGTACCTAGCACCAGGGCTAGCACAGTGAGACAGTTTAGAAATAGAACTACTTTTCCCCTGGCTATTTGAAGGGTGATTAAAGGCAAGTGATTATTTTAGGAAGGCCACAATGATTAACATTTATTTAGTGAAACCATTTCCCTGCCCACCCTCCCATCATTGTCATCAAAATAAGAAGCCATTTCCTGCTGGAAGTCTTCTCAAACTAATACAGTATCATACCAAATTACAATACCCCAACACATGCTACATGCAATATACAAGGTTACATATGTGAAAGTGCTTTTGGAAACAGCAAACTGCCATGGCAATGTAAATTATTAGTATTGCATGCTCATGTTATGTTTGTATTTCATTTTGTTAGTAATTTAAGATATAAGTCCTGTATATCTTATTTATTTAAAACGTATGTTCACATGCTGTATTACACCGTAAGCTCTTTCAGAAAGAAGCACAATATTTAACGTAACTTTGTTAGCTTCACAGCATCTGGTTCAGGAACACATTTCACAAGCACTGCATAATTAAATTTGTGAACAATTTCAAAGTGCTATAAGGTCTATTTATATGAAAAACAATACATACAAATATCATTGCCTTGAATGCTTTATGCAAAAAAGTAGAGCATAGACAAAATTAAATGTAGGTTAAATGATATAGTTAGTATTTTTCTTACTGAGCCTATATAAACTTTCATTAGATAGAAAAATAACAAAGATTTTTGAAAAGTCTATCAGTTCATTCTATAAACTTTAAGTGTAGTGCTTAAACAGAAAATGCTGTAACTTGCATTTACCTGTTTTTTAGCAGAGCTGTGAGGCTCTCGGAATTCAGTTGCTGCATTAAGGCCTCTCTCAGTGTTGGAAGCATGGACAGCACTGTAATACAAACAAAAAAAATAAAAAAGGTCACAAGTGATATGACTGCCCTCACTAAGAAATGCGCATTGTTTTAGGCTATATGATAGGGCTAGCAACTAGCAAGAGTCAGAAGGGAAAGTCAGGGCTAGACGATTCAAATTATTATTATTATTATAAAACGATTATATCCTAACAAATCATTTATCTGCTTATGTAATTTAACAAAATTATATAAACATTATGATCACAGCAACACAAGTACACACAGAAGAAACAATAGAAAGAATTATTCTCAGATTTTAACAGTGGTGGTCTTTGAGCTATGGATTATGAACAATTCCTTTTTTTTCTTTTCCATACTCTCCAAATTTTTTACAAAAGTGTTTACTTCTGATTTAATGACAATGATCAAAAGCATTTTTATATTCAGCTATACTTTTTCCTTCATTTTTCATTCTAATTTTTAAAAAGTTTATTAAATACTACAAAGTAATAAACATTTATTATAACCTAGACAAAAGTGCACTGGGTTAGGAACTAAGAGTTGCTGAGTTTTAGTTTTGTCAGTGGGTATTATTTGTTACTGTTTATTGTACATGTTTACTGTTTGTAATACTACAAAGCAATAAACATTTATTATAACATAAATAAAAGTGCACTGGGTTAGAAACTAAAAGTTGCTGAGTTTTAGTTTTAGTTTTGTCAGTGGCTGTTGTTTGTTATTGTTTCTTACTCCCAGGAATAATGTGAAGATGAAATGAGACTAGCAATCTATGGGAAAAAAACTTCATGTGATTTTTAGGAGTTTATTTATGGCTCTACATGTGGAATAAGAAATGCTGGAGAATAAGAATCTGTCATGGGATTAGAGAAAAAAAGAAATGGAGGAATACACATATAAAAATGTAAAATGAGTCTCTAAACCCTAAAAAAGTAACGATAACAAAATGAAAAAATATGAAGACCACCACATTCCTTTTCTTTTTGAGACAGAATCTCACACTGTCACCCAGGCTGGAGTGCAGTGGTGCAATCACGGCTCACTGCAGCCTTGACCTCCTGGGCTCAAGCGATCCTCCTGCCTCAGATTCCCGAGTAGTTAGGACTAGAGGCGTGGGCCTCCATGACCAGCTAATGTTTTAAATTTTTTGTACAGATGAGGTCTCACTATGTTGCTCAAGCTTGTCTTGAACTCCTGGGCTCTAGCAATCCTCCCACCTTTGCCTCCCAAAGTGCTGGGATTACAGGTGTGAGCCACCACACCTGGCTATGAACACCACATTCTAAAAGGGAAAACTTCTTGGGTAAGAAAACTACTTATATTTACCCCAAAGCACTCTTTTTTTTTTTTTCTAGTATATCAATTACATCTTATCCAAAGGAATAGAAATTTGATATTATTTGTAACACCATTATCATTGCTCATGTTATGAATTGTACAAAAAATGCAGAATGTGCAGAAAGCTAATTTGGAAAGTTTCACTGAACCTATATTTTGGCTCTTAGAGATTAAATATTTTACTTTTAATTGCCTATAGTCAGCTATTTGTTCATCTTAGGGTTGCATCATGGAAACGTGTGACCCCTATCTTTTGCTGGAGGAGCATACATAATTGACAACCCCATCTGCCACTGCTCTGGATCCATCACCATGTTTGCACTGCTCCCAGCCAATGACACTGCTTGTATGGGCACAGTAAAGCAGGCCCATTTCTGCAGGTCTCCTCTACCAGAAACTTTGGCTTGCAGACTCTTCATGGTCTCCCAATGCTTTCTTAGAACTGTGCTGTAGTCTGAGACTCTTCTTGCCTAATCTTTCTTCCTTCCTTGTCTTTTTCCCTTCACAAATGTCAGACCTGCACTGTGGCCTAAATGCTTCGCTTGCCTTCTTCTGCCTCCCTTCCCCTTTATCCTTTACAGGCATTTCTACTAGTAGATCTCTTGTACATCTAATCCCATCCTAGCATCTGCTTCCCAGGGGACCCAAACTGACACAAGGGTCCATGTCAAACTGCGATGTATTTTAAGACCCCAGCAGCTACATTTTACTTTTTTTTTTTTTTTTTTTTGAGACAGAGTTTCACTCTTGTTGCCCAGGCTGGAGTGCAATGGTGTGATGTCAGCTCACCGCAACCTCCACCTAACAGGTTCAAGTGATTCTCCTGCCTCAGCCTCCCAAGTAGTTGGGATTACAGGCATGCAACACCACGCCCGGCTAATTTTGTATTTTTAGTGGAGATGGGGTTTCTCCACGTTGGTCAGGCTGGTCTCAAATTCCTAACCTCAGGTGATCCACCAGCCTCGGCCTCCCAAAGTGCTGGGATTACAGGCGTGAGCCACCATGCCTGGCCCATTTTATTATTTTTTGAAAATTCAAATAATAAGCAGAAATGGACCATTCCCTAAAAATTCATTAAAATGTCCTAGGCAGTGGCAATATATTGAATGCTAAATGTAAATTTAAAAAGTTATCATTTACCAAGTATTTATCATACATCAAGCACTGTATAGGCATTATCTCATCACGGCCTCACAAAACATTTATGAAGTGGCTTTTATAATGTTCATTTTACTCTCAGAATTGTCATTATGTATAGTATTTATGATTACTATTCGCTTTGCAGAATGAAGGTATTTTTCTGAGTATTACTACTTCAAATATTAAAAATCATACTCCAATTGTAATTTTGGATGTGCCTCTTACCCTTCTTAATCTCAGCCTCAAGTAAAATGAGGTAAGTAAACTAATAATAAAGGCCTTTAACTCTAAAAAATTTCTAATTTTAAAATTAAATAAGGAGAATGTACCTTTATAAATTGTTTCTAAATTAATTGTTCTTGAAAGAATGTTAGAGAAATGAGTAAGCTTTAAACAATAGAAAAGAAAAACAGGCTTTGCATGGATTTGAGAACTAATTCTTCAGTTATGCCAGTTAGGACACACTGTTCTCTTCAAATATGGGCAGGTTGATTTTGTGATGGCATTCTCCCAGGACTATGTTTCTAGCTCTGGAGGTTAAATTATTGCCATTAATTAACATTGCCTGAGTGTATACTATTGTGGACGACTCACAGGTCTATAGTTGCCTACTGTAAATTTAATAAACTTAATGACTCTTTCCTATGGCCCACAGGCCCGATGGGATCAAGCCTACTTCTGCAGCCTTGTTTCCTATCACTGCCATTGTTCATTCTGCTCTAGCTACATGGCCTTTTTGCTGTGTCCTGAGAGTACCAAGCTTGTTCCCGCCTCAGGCATTTCACATGGCTCCCTCCATTGTAACATTTGGTTTCTGCTCAAATGTTACCTCAAAGAAACCTGACTCTACTGATCCCCTGTCTTAAAGAACGTTCCAGCCCTCACATGGCTTTATGTTCCATATGGCAGCCATCACTGCCTAAAGTTACTTATTTGTTGTTTATCATCTTTTCCTCTCCCTAGAATATAAACTCCAAAGGTCAGGGGCTTTTTGTTGTTGTTGTTCACTTCCTGCTTCCCCAGGCCTGGATACAAGTATTTGCTAAATGAATAAATAAAATGAATGAACTGATTTTTAAAATTCACATTAAAATGATGTAATTCAGTTAAATCATTCAAACACTTGCTAGATTTACCATCTTTTCTTTGCCTTTTCCTCTAAATTTGATCCCGGTGATATGCAAATTAATACAACCGTCAAACAACTTTACACATGTATAAATATTTCTCTGTCTTACCTGTCATATTGCAAGTCCTCTGGTTACTTTCAAAATGATATTGTCGTCGTGCTTGGGCAATGTATTCTGCAGCCTCCCTTTCCTGTATTTCTCTGATTTTCTTCTGTCCATATTTCCCCAGAATATATACTCCTACAATCATTAAAAAAGTACTATATTCATTAGAGTACCAAAAATTCTACACAGTATTTTTAACCTACTTTATGCAATTATAAGTTTTATATTAGTGGATAGCTAAAATTACATTTTTAAAACCTAAATAAAGAATTTTGTAAGATTGGCCCAAAGAAAAGGAAATTAGCATTTTTACAGCCAATGACAGAGGAAATGATGGGCACATAAGGACCAGGTTTGAGGAAGGGAAAGGAATTAAATCTAAAAAGTCTGGCAGTGCCTTTACTAGTAGACTAGAGATATTCTACATGTCCAGCAATGGAGAATTGTTTAAATAAATGATAGTCTAGCCATACAACGAAATCTTATGTAGTTATTAAAAACCACATTGCTAAATAATGACTCAAGGAAATATCCATGTTATACTGTTAGGTGATAAAATAAGATCCCAGAAATGTTACTTTTTTTAATGGAAACAGATACAAAAAATAGGTGAGTTTTAATTTCTAAAATATAACAAACAATGATCATTGCTGAATGGTGGGATAACAGGTCATTTTGTCCTCTATATTTTCTTCAATGAACACAAAATGCTTTTTAAAACTATAAGATAAAAATTTTAAAAGGAACAATGAAAGAAAGGTAGTTAGTCAGGCAGAAGTCTATTTATCCATCCATGTGTTAGAAAAATCTCTTTGAGATAAGGAGAGAAAATACAACTCTCTCATCTAAAAATTAGTAACTTAACTGGAAAAAAAAGAGGGAAGAGGGTACAGAAACTCCTAAATTCTAACACCACAGGATAAGAATATAGGTGGTGTCATGTGGCCTGTGATTTAACAGATTTCAGCATAGGCAGTATGATATATATGTGTACATTTTAGTCTATATCTGAGGGGCAGTCAGTTTTCCTAGCTGGGAATGTGAACATTCCAGAGTGGTTAGTTAGCCACACTTGATCAAAAGCCACATTCCAAAGCTTAAGCTCTTCAACTAGCTTTTATCACTGATTTAGCACCAAATATTTTTGATTAGCATAATGATTATCAGGAATGGATTTTCATAGATTAATGGTTTTCAAGATACTGGACTAGCTAAAACATTTTAGTAATATTCATATGAACTAGAATATACAAATCAAGCAAGTCCTTCACCTTTGCCTGGGATCCTTAGCCGCTAGTTCAAAGGATTCTTAGTCAACTGAGTTAACCAGGTAGCCAACCAAATCCTACAGCTAGAATATTGTTGCATTTTCTTCAGGTAAATCTTTTATAAGCAGTTCTGCGGTAGCATGAAACAAGGGCAGAACACTGGGACTTCAATAAGCTTACAGAACAGGTTGTGTTACTTTTAATCTCTGTTTGCCAGTAGATGTTTTTAAGTGTGCCAGAACTTGGTTTCATTATAACCTGAGAGCAAGGCTGTAAGGAATTAACTAATGCTCACCTACCTCCCACTGTCTGTGACCCCCAGTATCTACTAAACATAACCTAAGAATTGTGCATGACCTAAGTAATTAGATTTGGTCTGTCACAGGTAGAAAGTGGGTAGCCCTCTAGCAACTGCAAAACAAATACATATCCTGAATTATTTTCACTAATACAGGTGCTATAGGTGAACTGATAAGATATTACATATTCTTAAAAATAGTAGTTCAGTAAAAGGGTATGTGCTAAAAACAATTAGAACTACAGTATGATTGCTGTTGCTATGTTTATATGCAATTAATGTATTATAACCAAGCTTAAAGAAGAAATGAGAGTTCATATAAGTGGCTACATGGCTACCTTTCCTGTACTCCATTCTAAAGAAACTGATGATAGTGCTACAATACCAACAAAGGAAACTGACTTACATTTCACAAAGTTACTCTATGACAGGCAATTCTGACATAATAGATCTGAAGGAATTGTTTGTATCTTATTTGCACAACAGCTTACTGAAAGTTACATGTAAAATGATTATTTCTCAAATTATACTGTAAAATCAACACTAAGATGACACTTTTTGCACAGCTAAGAATTTTTTTCTTTAACAATAGTAAATTTGATTGGTGTGTTTCTCTGGGGAGAAGGTCCACTGCTTTAATCAGAGTCTCAACAAATCTGATGATTTTTTTTAGGAACTGCTATTTAACACATTTCAGCATAGGCAGTATGATATAAGTGTGTACATTTGGTCTATATCTGAGGGGAAGTCAGTTTTCCTGAGTGCGAAATTTTCCTGAACGTGAAATCAGAATGTGAACATTACAGAGTAGTTAGTTAGCCACACTTTGATATTCTAACTAAACTAAAAAAGAAAATGAATTGCCATGGGAGCCCCAACACCTCAGAATGTGACCTTATTTGGAAATAGAATCTTTACAGTGGTAATCAAGTTAAAATGAGGTCATTAGGGTGGGTCCTAATTCAATAAGACTTGTCCTTATAAAAGGAAACTTGGACATCGACAATTGCAGAGGGAAGACAAAGCAAAAACAGAGGAGATGCCTATCTATGAGCCATGGTGAGAGGGTTGGAATAGATCTTTCCCTTACACTCTGCAGAAGGAACCAATCCTGATCTTAGACTTCTAAATTTCAGGATTGTAAGATAATACATTTCTGCTGCTTAAGCCGCCCATTTTGTGGTACTTGGAAATCAGGCTAAAATCACACAATCCATTATTTTTCTTGATTTTAGCACTGAACTAAGTTCTTATACAAGGTCTAATTCATCCAGGCTCATAAATTCTGATTTTGTCAGATTTGTTCCCTTAGAAAAATAAGAATGAGGACAGGTAATTCATTAGCTAAAACATGGAGCTCATGACTATCTATATACTCGACTGGCAGCCTAGCCTGGAAAACAGGAGATATTGACGGCTCTGGTATCAAGTAGTTATGTGACTTTTGAGAAAGTCCCTTCCTCCCTCTGTGTCTAAATTTCTTCATCCTCAATATGAAAGACTGGGATTATATGAGCTTTAATGTTTCTTTTGTAGCTATGACTTTATGTATTAACAATGAAAATATTTACTAAATACCTTAAAAAATAAATGTCAAATGCTTTGAGTTTTCCATTAATAACATTACTAGAAAATAAGACTTCTAGTCTTTCCACAATTCAGTTGTTTTAAAACCATCTCTTAGTCTTCTCTTTCTGGATGAAAATCCCTACAATGCAACTATTTCACAAGGTTAATAATTTCAAAAAAAGTTTGAAAATAACCTATTGTTCCCAATCCAACAGATCACAAAATCCTACTACAGTATTCTGATTCTATTTCAGACACATTTTCTAAATCTTGCCAATTATCTACAACTTCTTTATCACTGTCACCACTTAGACTCTAAAAATTAATGCTCTTGAACTGGTTCAATAGGTCCCTAACTCTTCACTTTCTGGTCACACACCTGTTTAACCTATCTTATATATGCAAAGTGATTTTCTAAAACATAAATCTCATATCACTCATGTTTTTAGAATCCTTCAACATCTTGCCATCATTTCTTAATGTGGTTTCCCTGTTCCACTTACATTAGAATCACTTGGGACAATTAAAAATGTAGCCTTTAAAGACACTCCTTGAAAATACCCCTAAATGGGCAGGGCGCGGTGGCTCATGCCTGTAATCCCAGCACTTTGGGAGGCCGAGGTGGGCGGATCACGAGGTCAGGAAATCGAGACCATCCTAGCTAACATGGTGAAACCCCGTCTCTACTAAAAATACAAAAAAAAAAAAAAAAAAAAAAAAAAAAATTAGCCGGGCGTGGTGGCGGGCGCCTGCAGTCCCAGCTACTCAAGAGGCTGAGGCAGGAGAATGGCGTGAACCCAGGAGGCGGAGCTTGCCGTGAGCCGAGATCGAGCCACTGCACTCGAGCCTGGGCGACAGAGCAAGACTCCGTCTCAAAAGAAAAGAAAAGAAAAGAAAAGAAAAGAAAAGAAAATACCCCCAAATGTCTTATCTTGCATGATGCTGCATCCCCAGTACATAAACTCTGACTGGGACTCAGAACGCAATAAATATTTGCTGAATTAAGGAATTCTTGAACTGCACTCTAAACCTAAAGAATCAGAATCTGGAATAAAGGATCCTATGTTTTATTAAGCTCCCTAAGTGATTTTTTTATCCATAGTAAACTCTAGCAAGCACCAATACAAAGGATAATGTCCAAATTATGTAGAATGGCTTCATAAGGCCCTTCACAATCTGTACTCTAGCTACTTTTCCAAGTTAATCTTTTGCCACTTCTCATTTGCATAGCCATAGTGAAATACAGTTTCATTCATAAAAAGCAATGTTGCTGAACCTCTTGAATTGCTCTTTTTCCTTCTGTGTCCTTTCTCCTTTGCTAGCTCTACAACTTAAGCAGAAATTCTTCCTTATGGAGCTTTGCCTGACATCTTCACACTTTCTTCTCATCAATGCTCCCACAACACCCTGCTCTATTTTTGTACTATACTATCATACTACTTTTATTTCCATTTCTGTACCATGAGTTCAAAGTCAGGATCTGTCTTATTCCTTTGTATTTCCAGAGTAAAGTACAGTGAGATCAGTCACTTACTCTCATTCAAATGTTTGTTCAATGACAGAATGAATGAATGAATGAATAAAAAATGTGAAGCCAGAGATTACAGGATTTAAGGTATAAATCCAAGTCAATGTTCTGAGGTTTTCAGAAACCAGTAAGTCAATAAATATCAATCTGGTTGCTCTCTGTTCTCCAAAACTTTTTCCAGTGCAATGGTTCTCAAAGTGTGGCATGGGCACCCCTGGGGTCTTTAAGACCATTTCAGGGAGTCTATAAAATCAAAACTGTTTTCGTAATAATACTAAAATGTTATTTGCCTTTTTCATTCTCATTCTCTCATGCGTATACAGTGGAGTAATTGAGAGGTTACATGATGTGTGATACCACAACTGACAGAATATAGAAAGAGATGAGAATCCAGCTTTCTTCAATTAAGCCAAACATTAAAAAGATTTGCAAAATGTAAAACAATGACACTCATTAATTTTTTGAAAATGTTATGTATGTTAATATGTAATAGGTTTATTATTTTAAAATGAATTAATATTTTAAAAAATTTCATTTTAATTTTGAATATCATAACTATTAATAGATATAAAATTTAGAAAGCTTTTGAGGGTCCTTAATTTTTCAGAGTGTAAAGGAGACCTTAGATCAAAAAGTTTGGGAGTCAATTCTCTAGTCTTTTCACAAACTGGTCAAATTATGCCAGGCTCAGTGGCTCATGCCTGTAATTCCAGCACTTTAGGAGGCTGAGGCAGGACGATTGCTTGAGGCCAGGAGTTCAAGACCAGTCTGAGCAATGTAGTGAGACCCCTGTCTCTACAAAATAATTAAAAATTAGCCAAGCATGATGGTGCACACCTGTGGTCCTAGCTACTTGGGAGGCTGAGGTGAGAGGATCGCATGAGTGAGGAAAGTGTGAAGATGTCAGGCAAATCTTCATAAGGAAGCCTTTCTACTTGCCTTACATTGTAAAGCTAGCAAAGGAGAAAACAAGGCTGCAGTGAGCTACGATCACACCATTGTATTCTAGCGTGGGTAACAGAGCAAGATCCTGTCTGAAAAACAAAAAAACAAAAAAACACAAAACCCGAACACACCCAAACCCCCCAAACTGGTCAAATTATACAAACGCGTAAACCAATTAGTTACCCACCCAAAATCTGAGGAAACAGAAATTGTTACTTAAGAAGGCCTGCTACTCAAGGTTTTACTTACTTACTTCCCCCACTATTGAATGCCCAAACTTCTCTGCGCATGCCTGTTGATATACTACCCAGCTTTCAAGCCTGTCAAAATGTGTCTCTTCTTCCATGAAATTCTTCCTGATTTTTCACAACTGCATATGCTACTTGCCAGTGTGATCTGTACAGCATTTTTTCACCTCTCTTGTTTTTCTGTATCTTAATTACATGTATACTTGCTTTTCCTTCCTATCAGACTATAAAGGCCATGAAAGCACAGTGATATAATATGGAAATAGAATGTGCTTTGTGGTCCAACACACCTGGGTTTGAATTCCAGTTCCCCTTCACTAATTCTGAGACCTGAGGCAAGTTTCTTAAATTCTTAGGGTTCTTGCTGCCACATTTTTGAATGGGGATAATAATAATTGTCTTCTTGTCATTCTGCTTAAATAGGAAGAGCTTAGCACAATGCCCAGCGTAAAGTGGGCACCCAATAAATAGTAGCTGTTACTATTAAAAATATATAAATCTTGTATTTCCATTTATATTACCTTCAGCATTACAGGCACTTGATAGGTATTTCTTAAGTTAGACTAATTAAAATCTAACACACTGTAGAACTTTCTCCCTGAAGCAGAAAGAACATGAGACTCAAACAAATGCCAACCACGGTCATCTACTCTTCCTTTCTTTTCAGACTGACTCCTTTTTTGATATAAAACACTAGGATTATTTTCTCTTTCTGGCCGTCTGAACTTTTCTATTTTTTGCATTCCTCTTATTCTGTAACTATAAAGCTCTTGTTAGTTTTTTAAAAAAATTATAAGTTTAAGTATACTCTTTTGCTTCCCCTGTGATTATTTCTAATCTACTACAAAGTTGTTCCATAAGCTGAAGGAGTATTCCTTCTGAGATCGCTAAAGAGATAATTTTCCTTCCTTCAGTAAACGCAAAAATACTTTATTTGTATTTCTTCAATCACACATATATTTTTAGCTTTTATAAATAAAATGGACTCTGTAGTCTTAGGATAATTTAAATATACATTAGATACTAGCGACTGAAGATATCAGAAAATACCTTTTATATATAAAGGATTTCTCGAAGGTGTTCAAAATTTACATATGCTTATTATTGATGTGTGATAGACCTCAGAGACATGCAAAACACCATCCTTGGCTCAGCAACAAGAACTCTGTTTCAAACTTTCAAGCATCACCAAAATCTGAACTATTGATGCTAAAGGTATTAATTGCAAATTGTTTGGGGAGAACAGAATACAATCTAATACGTACTGTTAATTTCAAATTGTTTGGGGAGAACAGAATACAATCTAATACTAAGAGAAAAGCCAACCAAATTCTTTGGGAAACTCTGTTCTTGATTTTAAGTACTTTTGTAAACATAGCATGTAATAAGTGATGAGACTATTTCTCAAAAACTCAAGTTCTAACAAATTTCCTCTTTTATAGTTCCTAGATGTCCTTTTCATATAATTCACAAAACTTTTATTCCCTCCTTCAAATCCCTGAATATTATCACATGAGCATTGTATGAGGGAAAAGCGTCTCAAGATTTTTATCTTATCTGTTTCTAAATCTCCTCTGGGCCTGTGCAACTCAGTTATGTCAGCTAGATTACAATGATCCCAACCTTGAAGATCCTGAGGAAGATTGCACAACATCCCTCAAGCATTTTTCTTACTGCCATAGTTTGTATTCTAAAATGGCAGAAACAGAGCTAAAATATTGATTTGTTTTTCTTTATCTAATCCATATCTTTCAGTCCTTTAGGACAACTGCGCTGTTTTCAAAAATTCAAATCGACTTTAACCACCACCCGAAGTGCAGCCTATAGGTAACTTCCCTAGATTATTATTAAACTCCTGAGAAGGGTGAGAGCCAAAGTATCAAGAGTGCCAAGGAGAAATGCAGAATCTCACAGGAAAGCAGAATTTTTTTTAAAAAGTTCCTGTAAGAGAATGGTGCCTTGAAACAGAAACTTAAACTGTGATGAGTTCTCCAAAGGTCCGTGAGAAAAAAGGATAGGTGAGAAACAGAGTTAAGAGTCGGTGACAGGGCAAAGGGCACAGAGGCATTTCTCAACTGCAGAGATGGGAGAACCCTGGAGGTTGGCCACCTCCCTTTTCATCCCATGGTTGATCGAACTCCCTCTACATATCCCAGACTAGGATCGCCCGGCCTGTCCTTATTTTAGAAGAAGTCACCTCTCCCACCCCCTTCTCCCAATGCCCCCTTTCAAGCACGTTGTCACCCACCTCCAAGGACCGTGCCCAGGAAGATGCATTTCTTTTTGTGGCGTTTCAGAAAATTCCATACAGACCTCAGCATCTTTAGGCCCTAGGGGTGTGGGCTGACTAGGGGTGAGGGACTGCTTCACCAGGAAACTGTTTCTTCGTCACCTGGCCCAGATGACCCAGCAAGAGCGCCGTCGTCCCGTTCTGTGCTCTCCCGAAATCACAAACGTGACTTTCCGCAGAGACTGTCACCGGAGCGGCAAGGGGGCGTGGACTACAGCAAAGCAGCTACGCTTTCTGCCGCTGCCGCCGCGCAGCCGCCGCCGCTCACTGGTCCGACAAGCCCAGGTCCGTTCAGAAATAGCTCCCGAGTGCCTTTTCATTAGACTACCCCCGGAAACGGGGTCCCGGGCCCGCCGCGTTCCGCTGCCCGCGCTCCTCCTCTGCCGCGGGCTCTGTAGCTGAGTGGTGGCTGGGTATGGAGGCGAAGGCGGCACCCAAGCCAGCTGCAAGCGGCGCGTGCTCGGTGTCGGCAGAGGAGACCGAAAAGTGGATGGAGGAGGCGATGCACATGGTGAGGAGCCCGGGAGGTAGATGCTGCGGGGTGGGACCTTTCTCCAGCCCTCAACCCGACCCCGGCATTTGAGCAAACGTTCTTTCTCGTCACCATAATTTTTATGGCAGTCAGATGTTCTGGGTGAACAACTGGCTTTACTGCCTCGAAACTTTCTGTAGCCCATTCTCACAGTGGCTCTGGGCGAAGGAAGGGGAGGAAATACACAAATTATTTGTTTCATTGCGGTGGAGTATGCTGCAGACTTAACATTCTGTCGCCGGCTGGCACGTGCTGCCTCCCTTTCCTTTCTGTGGTCACACACTCTCCAATCTACAAAGTCACATTATTTGAGGTTTTGGCCCTTGGAACATGTCCAGCAGAAGGAAGGAAACTGAGAACGTTTCTGGTAGAGAGCAGTATGGAAACAAGTCCCTGTACAATCGGCGTCTCGCATTCATTCATTATTTCCTCTGCCCTTTTACTTCCTTCCCTCACTCCCTTCAGGACTGCGAAATAAAGGGGGCTTTCAACAGAATGCTGTGTGCTAGCGAGCTTCTTAACTGGGAAAAAAAGTTTGTTTGTAAATATATGTATTTACATTTTAATAACTACATACAGCCACGTGCCACACAATGACCTGTCGGTAAAGGTCGTTATCCTGGAGCATTAAATCTACTCACCTTAGCCCTATTGTCCCATCCAAGTACTAACCAGGCCTGACCCTGCTTAGCTTCCGAGATCGGGGGACATTCAGGGTGGTATGGAGGTAGACAACCCTAGTTTCTATGTAGACTTCTGGGCTAAACACTTTCGCTACCTTTTAGGTTGACCCTGGGCTAGCACATGTAAATACATTTACATACGTTTACAAACAAACTTTTATCCCAGTTAAGAAGCTCGCTAGCACTTTTCAGCTCCATTATAATCTTATAGGACCACATATACAGCGGTGGTGCTATAGGATTATAATGAAGCTGAAAAGTTCCTGTTGCCCAGTGACATGTAGCCCTCCTAACAAGTACTTTTTTTCCTTTAAGACCTTGAAGAAACTTGTATATGCTAAAACCCAAGAAGCAGCTGCCTCCTTAATCCTGTGTAGGAGGACGTAAACTATGGAATCACATCCCTAGGTGTTTATAATACAATTAAGAGACAAAAAATGTCAAAGCCAGAGAGGTCTAGAAATTCTTTGAAAACATCTACATGTTTAAAAAGATACAAAGTAGCATGGCCAGATGCAGTGGCTCATGCCTGTAATCCCAAAACTTTGGAAGGCAGAAGCAAGAGGATCTCTTGATCTCAAAAGTTGAAGAACAGCCTGGGCAACTTAGCCAGACCCCGTCACTACTAAATAAAAATTTAAAAATTAGTAGGGCATGGTGGCATGTGCCTGTAGTCCCAACTACTCAGGAGGCTGAGGAAGGTGGATTGCTTGAGCCTTGGGAGATTGAGGTCGCAGTGAGCCGTGTCTGTGCCACTGTACTCCAACCTGGGAGACAGAGCCAGACCCTGTCTCAAAAAAGAAAAAGATACAAAGTAAAGGAAATACAAAGAAGGAAAATATTTGCGACATATATAAAAGGACAGGTTTAATAACCGTAGCATATAATTTATATAAAATCTAAGTACTTTCCGACGTAAAAGGAAAGATGTATACCCTAATACTGAAAAAGGTCAAAGGCTATGAATATATTTCTTTTTAAAATTTCTTTTTATTTTTAGAAGATTTTTTTTTGGTTTAGACAGGGTCTCTCTGTGTTGCCCGAGCTGGTCTTGAACTCCTGGGCCCGGGCAGTTGTCCCACCTCAGCCTCCCAAAGTGCTGGGATTACAGGTGTGAGTTACCACACCTCACCTGAACATGATATTTCTAAAAGAAGTGACGAGTGAGTAGCCAGCAAATAAATGAATACACAATTTCACTATTAATGAAATTCAAATTAAAATGATACACAATTTTTTACCTGTTAAATTGGCAAAAGTGAAAGCAATTTTAATGCTTGGTGATAATAAGGGTGTGCATGTTTGAGGTGTTTGTTGGTTGGGAGGAGCTGAATTTAGAAAACCCTTTTTTTTTGTATGTAACATGTATATTACAGTTTTTATTTAATATGCTGATAAAGTTAACTCTAGTTAAGCCAAAGTTGAAAGTTTTAAGTTTAATTTACTTTTTTTAAATTATTATACTTTAAGTTCTAGGGTACATGTGCACAATGTGCAGGTTTGTTACATATGTATACATGTGCCATGTTGGTGTGCTGCACCCATTAACTCGTCATTTACATTAGGTATATCTCCTAATGCTATCCCTCCCCTCTCCCCCCAACCCCATGACAGGCCCCGGTGTGTGATGTTCCCCACCCTGTGTCCAAGTGTTCTCATTGTTCAATTCCCATCTATGAGTGAGAACATGCGGTGTTTGGTTTTCTGTCCTTGTGATAGTTTGCTCAGAATGATGGTTAACAGCTTCATCCATGTCCCTACAAATGAAAAGGATGAACTCATCCTTTTTTATGGCTGCATAGTATTCCATGGTGTATATGAGCCACATTTGCTTAATCCAGTCTATAATTGATGGACATTTGGGTTGAGTTCCAAGTCTTTGCTATTGTGAATAGTGCCTCAATAAACATTCTTGTGCATGTGTCTTTATAGCAGCATGATTTATAATCCTTTGGGTATATGCTCAGTAATGGGATGGCTGGGTCAAATGGCATTTCTAGTTTTAGATCCTTGAGGAATCGCCACACTGTCTTCCACAATGGTTGAACTAGTTTACAGTCCCACCAACAGTGTAAAAGCGTAGAACACCCTTTTATTAGGACAATTTGGCTAGGCAGATATAAAAGGCCTTAAAAGTGAGCTTATCCTTTGATCCAGTAATGCCCTTTTTTTTTTTCCCAAAGTGAAAATATTTTAATGTTTTCTTTTTCTGGTTATGTAAATAATTCATGGTCATAAAAAATTCAAACTATAAAAAAGGGTTAACAAATTATGTAAAAATTACCTAAAAGTCCTACTATTAGAGATAATACTATTAGTATTTTGGGAGCATCCTTCCATATCTCTCTGTCCATATGTAAACAGCCATATGTACTTTTGCATAAATGGAATTATATGTTCTCTTTTTGATTATCAGCAGTTTTTTTTGGTAGTCTTAATATATTAGTCACTCCTCCCTACCTCATGGTATTTCTGTTGCTATGGAGTGACTACCTAAAATGGGACAAAGGATGTATGTGCTTTGAAATTATATAGATATTCCTGTATTGCCTTCTAAAACCATAATGCCTAATATCGTAGCCACTAACCACATGTGTCTATTTAAGTTTAAATTAATTAAGGTGAAATAAAATAAAATCTAGCTCCTCAGTTGTATTAGCCACATTTCAAGTAGTCAGCACCCACATATAACCACTGGCTACCGTATTGGACAGTACAGATCAAAGGACATTTCCATCACTACAAAAGGATCTGTTGGATAGCATATAAGGTTATCAACTTTACTGCTTTTTAATAAAACCATTATTTTTCATGGCAGGTTTCTTTCTGAGAGCTAAGCATAGCATCATCATAGGTTATCATTTTAATCATCATAACATGTTCAGCATAACATTCTAAAGATAGGCTTGGAAAAAAGAAGTATGACTAAGTAATAGTGTTGCACTCTTGGTGTGTTCCAGATACTATGCTATGCACAGTGTTTTCATGTGGGCCATGTTATAAGCCCCACAGAAGCCCTATCAGGTGAGTATTATTATGGTCCTCATTTTCAGATGGGATATTGAAGCTGAGAAAGTTCAGTAACTTCCCCAAAGTTAGAGAGCTGGGAAGGATGGGGCTGTGATTTGAGGCCTGTCATCTGCTGTTAAATACTGGCCTGGCCTGCCTCTCGGTGTTAGGTAGCTCACTGCTTGCCAACATATCCTCTGCTCTCTTTCTTCCTTTTCAGTTTCTTTACCTGAATACTGTGTATCTACTGTGTAATTTAATTGAACATTTAGATTTTTTTCTTCTGTGAATTGCCGAGGCATATACTTTCCCCAATTTTGTAATAGTTTGATTTAAAAAATCGCACTGTAGGAGCTCTTTGTATTTTACAGCTGTTTCTAGGAATAAATCACAAAGAAGCAATATAAATATTTATATAGAGAAGTTCTTTACTTGTTTATAATAGTGAAGAATTTGAATCACTTAAATGTCAAATAATAGGAGACTAGTTGGTTGAATCAGATATGTTCATAAGGAGAAATACTGTACAACCTTTACAAAATCATGTGATGAAAAAATATTACCCAATATAGGGAAAGGTTAACAATACATTTCTAAATGAAAAGGGCAGACTGCTGAACTGTATATACAGTGTAAATCTATTTGACTTTTTAAAAACTGTAAATATGTGTATGCAGGGCATAGGAAAAAACAGAAAAAACCCCCGTTGCTTCAGAATAACAGGGATTATATTTTGGGGTATTGGGATTCTTAGTGGGTTTTTTTTTTTTGATACATGAGGTTTTTTTTTTTTAATCGCTAAGTTCTCCACCTTGAACACATCTTACTTTATAATTAGGAAAAAAGAAAGATTGACTAACTATCTATACATATGTGTATAGAAAAAATGTTGCAAGTTTTCTAGAAAAAAGTCAATTGTATTTTTTTATAGTGTGCATTTTTGGGGCAATTGATATTAATATAACATTATGCTAGGCTCTGAGGGAAATTCGAAAAGAAAGCAAACACCACAGACACCATTTCAACAAATGTGGTATGATTAAGTTTTTGCTATGTGTTAGACCTTGTGCTGGGTGCATAGGCTGCAGAGGTGAGCAAGAGAAGCTTCGTAGTGCCTGGATCTAGTGCTTGCCTTCCAGGAACATACTGTTTAATTGATGAAATTAAGTCAGGCACAGATGAAAAGGTTGGTAAGTAACATGTCCAAAGACCACAAGAGACAGATATAAAGTGCTGTCAGATAACAGCTGGCAAGGTCCTTCAACACGTCCGTTGAGATAAATGATAGAATTCCTTCTAAATTTTAAGGGACCAAAAGGATGTGGGCTGGTGGAAAGGAAAGGTTGATCCAAGCAAAGATACTGTCATGTCCAAAGAAATCAAGAACTTTGTTTTGGGTTAGAAGGAGATCTATCTATCTATCTAGAACAGGGCTCCCTGACCTCAGGCTCAGGTTTAGGGGGATCTATGAACGCTGAAACTATATATAAAATATTATGTGCGTGTGCCTTTTTCAAGTGAGACAGTCCATAACTTTCATCAGTGTCTAAAAGGGGATTTCTGCTCTGAAAAGGTTAATAACCTAAATGAATAATGAAAAGTTAGGTTGGTTCGGTTGGCCAATGGGAGGGTGGGTGATAGTTGGGAGACCTTCAGTGCCATATTGAAGAATTTAAAGTTGATGGAATAAAAACATTATCACTTTTTAAATCCCCAAAGTTAAACTATATAACTGTTTCTGCTAATTACTCAGAGAGTAATCACTCAGAAGAGAGTAATTAGCAGAAACAGTTATATAGTTTAGCCTTTTGGACAGGATGATGTTCTACCTGAGAGTTCTGGCTAACTTGTTTGTTCCCCCTAATTTTTTGTCTTTATAGGAAATATTTCTTTAAGGACTCATCAAACTGTGTGCAAACAAGGTCTGTTTCCATCTCTCCCCCTTTTATCATGACATCACTAGAAAGCAGTTTATAGTAGTAATGTCTTTGGAGAAAATAATAAACTACGAAGTCTCTTCCATCTAGGTGCTTTCATTATCTGTATCTGGGCAGGCCCTGACTAGAGAAAAAAAAGAAATTATATTCAAGGACAAAATAGAGACCAGTGTTTGGGCTGGGAAGAACAGAGATTTTATTCTTTAATTTTGAAGGTTGATCATTTGTTACTTTATGAAAAACCTTGTAGCCATTTTTAAATAGTATCTGATCTTGGTCTTTCCCCCTAAAAAAGGCAAGAAAGGTTAAATTCAAAGCTACCTGCACAAATTTCAGACCCATTTTGCCTGAGCTTTTTTGCATTTGTGAAGAAGTGATCAGACTTGACAGTAGAGTTGTTGGGAGAGTTTGAAAGTATGATATGGGTATGGGGTGAAATTGATTTCCAGCTTAATTAAATCTATTGTGAACTTGTTAGTGAAGCAAATCTACATGTTAATTGTTGTAAAGGAGTTCCCCTCAACTCACTTCCATGGGGCTTTGTGTTATTCTCACCGCCCCCTCCCCTGCCTACCATTCCAGTTGCTTACCCACTCATCCTCAGCATGGCAGGCTCGGCCATTCCTCAACAATGACGTTATTTGTCCTTTTAAAATATTCCGATCGCTCATATTTGCTCTCTGTTTCGGACAGCAGTGGAAGGCATTTCAGGAAAAAAAACTGTGTTACTCAAAATAAACATGAAGATAATATTGAGAGGAGTGAAATGAAATAAATTTGCTAGACGGAAAAAGAGAAAAATCCAAAGGAAGGAATGGAAGGCACAAACCCAGTAACATGGTGGCGTGGGTGCTATCTCCAGGTGAACAAGACAGAACTTGCAGGCAACATGGAATCTCATCTCCCATCCCACTCACGTCCTTTCCACTCGGCCCTGCATTCTCTTCTGCAGGTTTGAGATGGCCCACATAGCCAATGTAGAGCTCTTCAGGAGATATTTTTACAGAAAATCCTGATCACATGGCCTCCATTTGTTTATTCTCTTGCCGTTTTTGTTTTTTTTTTTAACTTTTTTTTTTTTTAAGACAGAGTTTCACTTTGTCGCCCAGGCTGGAATGCAATGGCACAATCTGGGCTCACTGCAACCTCCGCCTCCTGGGTTCAAGCGATTCTCATGCCTCAGCCTCCCAAGTAGCTAGGATTACAGGCACCCATCACCATGCCCAGCTAATTTTTGTATTTTTAGTAGAGATGGGGTTTCACAATATTGGCCAGGCTGGTCTCAAACTCCTGACCTAAGATGATCCACCTGCCTTGGCCTCCTAAAGTGCTGGGATTACAGGCATGGGCCACTGTGCTCAGCCTATTTTTTACTTTTTTTAGAGATGGGGTCTTGCTGTGTTACCCAGGCTGGAGTGTAGTGGCATGATCATAGCTCACTACAGCCTTGAACTCCTCTTGCCATTTTTTTTATCCTTAAAATTTCCATGTCTCACTCTCTTGCCAACTGTTCTCTCTCATTTGGTCCCTTGATTCACTCTAAACTCAAACCCTGATAAAGCAGCTGATCGGTGAAGTGTCTGTTGTTACTAAAGTAGAAGTTAGAGGCAGAACAGTGGCAGAGAGCCCTGGAATCTGGCCCTTGGTAGGTGCTCCACAAATGTTTGTTGAACAAATGAATAAGTGGAGCCAGGTTGTCTATGCCCTAGTCCCAGCTCTCTCACATGCGCTAGTGAGAGATATATACATGTATAAAAAAAAATCTCCCTGTGCCTCAGTTTCCTCATCTGTAAAATGGGGAAGATCATTATAGGCTTGTAAATGAAATGAATTAATACTTATAAAATGCTTAAATTAGTCCTGGATCAAAGTAAGCTTTCAATAAATTGTAAGCTCTTATGTTCAAGCTCTCAGAACCAGAATACTCGAGATGCAGACAAAACATTACCTCTCTTAAGAGGTTTGTTGGGGAAAGTATAGCTGGAGTTAAAAATTTAACCTCTTAGATAAGTCACTGTTCAAGCTACTGGTTTTCATCTCCACCATTCCACCTAAATTGCCACCACCTTGCTGAATTAGACACACTTGACCACCCTTCCTTCTTGGCCTAGTGTTTTTCTGGGATTGTCCGTAACACCAAATATTTCTCTAAACTCACTAAACATCTCTTTTTAATTCCCATTGCAAAATCCTTTTTGTTTACCTGTACTTATTTTTTAACTTTCATTTTGAAATAATTATAAGTTCACAAGAAATTACAATAATAATATACTGGGAGGACCCAAGTGTCTAGTGTCCTTCAGTGGTAACATCTTGCATAGCTATAGTTCAGTATCAAAACCAGGAAAAATGCATTGGGAAAACTGCAGAGCTTATTAAGATGTCATCAGTTTTATTTGTACGTGTGTGTGTGTGTGTGTGTGTGTGTGTGTGTGTATGCGTGCCTATGCAATTTTGTCATGTTTAGCTTTGTATAACCACCACTGGAACTGTTTCACTACCACATGGCTCCCTTGTGCTACCTCTTTATAGCTGCAGCTTCTAATCTGTTCTCTGTCTATAATTTTATAATTCAAAAATGCTATGTACATGAATCTGTAACCATTTGGCTTGGCTTTCTCCATTCAGCATGATTCCCATGAGATCCATCCAAGTTGTTGAGATTATCGATAGTTCATTCCTTGTTATTGCTGCATTGTGTCCCATGGTACAGGTGTACCATAGTTTGTTTAGCAGTTCACCCACTGAAGGGCATTTGAGTTGTTTCCAGTTTTTGGCTATTACAAATAAAGCTGTTATGAATATTTGTGCACACAGACATACATTGTGTGAGCATAGGTTTTCATTTCTCTGGGATAAATGCCCAAGAGTGGAATTGTTGGGTCATAAGTTAAATGCATGTTTAGCTTTTTAAGAAACTGCCAAACTATTTTCCAGTGTGGCTGTACCATTTTATATTCCGACCAGCAGTATATGAGTAATATCACTTCTCCACAGCCTTGCCAGCATTTGATGTTGTTTTTACGTTTCACTTTAGTCATGCTGATGGGTGTGTAGTGATACCTCATTGTGGTTTTAGTTGACATTTCTCTACCGGCTAATGATGTGAAAACATCTTTTCGTGTACTTATTTGCTATGTGTGTTATCTTCTTTGGTGAAATGTCTGTCTTTTGCCTTCTCATATAGTTTGGATATTTGTCGCCTCCAAATTTCATGTTGAAATTGAATCCCTGGTATTAGTAGCAGGGCCTGGTGGGAAGTTTGGATCATGGGGAGGATACCTCATAAATCATTTTTATAGTGGCAAGTTCTCACTATATTATTATCATGAGAATATACCATCCCCTCCTTTCTTTCTTCTTCTCTTACCATGTGATGCCTGCTCCCATTGCCTTCTGCCATGAGTGGAAGCTTCCTGAGGCCCTCACTGGAAGCAGATGCTGATACCATACTTCTTGTACAGTCTGGAGAACTGTGAGCCAAATCAACTTCTTCTCTTTATAAACTACCCAGCCTCAGGTATTCCTTTATCGCAGCACAAATAGATGAAAACAGTCTTTTTCTAATGGGATTATTATTTTATTGTGGAGTTTTAAGAGTCCTTTATATAGTCTAGATACTAGAGTGTTGCCAGAGATGTGGTTTGTAAGTTTTTTCCTATTTTAGCATGTTTTTCTTCCTCTTTGCTGCATGTATTAGTTTCCTATGGCTGCTGTAACAAATTATCACAAACATGGTGGCTAAAAACAACACAAGTTTATTCTCTTATAGTTCTGGAGGCCAGAAGTCTGAAATTTTAGTGAGCCCCAATCAAAGTTTTGGCAGGGCCGAATAACTTCTGGAAGCCTGCCTTTTCCAGGTACTGAAGTGACATTTATGACCCATCCCTCCATCTTCAAAGCCAGCAGTGCAGCATTTTCAAATCTCTCTCTCTCTCCTTCCGTTATCACTTCGCCTCTTGCCTTCTGTGGGTGCCTTCAGGACCCACCTGAATTTGGGATAATCTCTCCATCTCAAGATCCTCAACAAATATTTTTTGCATGAATAAATGATTTGTCTCTTCTGTGTACCTTGATCTCTGTGTAATTCTACACTTACCTTAAATAAAATTCTTAGTATAATAATTGCCATAGCTACACTGGTAGTTAGCATTTCCATTCTCCTTAACTGTCCGTCTTCTTCCTGGCTTTCTTCTCTATAGTAGCCTATGGTGCATTTGTCTATATTAACCAAACCTCGGGACTCTTCAAGCCTTTTGAACTTGCATAAACTGGACATGCTTTAACCACTGTCACAGAACTGGGACACAACCGGCCTGTGGATAGTTCATAAAATAGTCCTGAATGCAGTCTTACTGCATCAGATACTGTCTTCTCACATCTCTCCATGCCCCATCTCTGACCCACCAACCAGATGGAGAAAAGAGAGGCCCAGTTTGCTCCTGCTGTGGGCGTCTCCTTTTTCCTCTAATGGCCAAATGAAGAATAAGTGTCCGTTGAACATGGTGGGAATAACTGAGGAAATCCTGTATGCCTTATAATAGGAAGTTGTCACTAGTTAAATAAAGTAGAACTGGGAGTAAGAGACTGGTGCAGGAGACAGAAGACACTGTTTTAACAATGCCTTCAACTTTGCACTTTATATGCCCTATGATGTGTGTAAGTACCTGCACTTAAGTGAGAATCAAGTCTTCCAAAGTCTCTTCAGGGCTGCCACAGTAAGGAATACCTTGCCTTTCTGGAAACAGCTGTACAGCAGTTATATTCTTTTGACTGCATTGAGATGGGAATGAATGTACACTAGTCCAAGGGTTGTACTCTTCCCTTATTCTGACTCTCAGAGGCAGTATCAGGTTATACTGAGGCATAACCTGCCTGCTTAAGCTCTCCGCCTGAAGGTAGAGTTAATTTTCCTAGGGCCCAGAGCTGCTATCATGGGACAAGAAGAAAAACGAATGGCCTGTGATAAAGGGAACTTTGAGAATATAATAATTGGTTTGCCATTCCTGGGATGGTAGTCATGGAAGTGTTCCTAAACTTGTTTTTCTCATTGATTTTTTTCAGTTGAGGTATACTTTATATACAGTGAGATGCACAGGTTGTAAATGTATCCTTCAATCTGTTTTGAATAATGCAAACATCTCTGTAATCCATGTCTTTATCAAGATCCAGAAAGTTTTCACCACCTCAGAAAATTTTTTTGTGTACCTCCCCAATCAATCTGCACATCCTCCTCCATGAAGCAACCACTGTTCCAGTTTCTGTCATTGTAGTTTAGTTTTATCTATTCTGGTACTTTGTGCAAAAGGAATCATATAGTATGTGTGCTTTTGTGTGTGACTTCCTTTACTTAGCATGTCTATGAGGCTCATCCATGTTGTCACAGTATCAGTAGTTCCTTTTTATTGCCGACTAGTATTCCATTATATGAATAGGACACAGTTTGTTTATCCATTTTCTTGTTGATGGCCACCTGTGCAGTTTCAGGTTTTGGCTATTAACATTCTTTTTCAAGGTTTTGGTTCTTTTTCAAACTTTCTTTCTTCTTCTTTTTTTTTTTTTTTTTGTAGACACATATTCCCTTCTTTTAAATACTTAGGAGTGGAATTTTGTTATAGACTGTGTGTGTGTTTACTTTTTAAAGAAATTTCCAAAACGTTTTTCATAATGATTGTGCCATTTTACATAGAGTACTTCTAAACTCTTATTGTCTCACATAGAGTAGAAATTGTGGGACAGGGTGACATCCAGTCTGGTTACCTTTAGCTATTGGGACTCTAGAGGATAATTTCTATAATTTTTAGAGAAGCAAAGGAATTTCAGTGAGGAAAGGATTGTAATAAAGGATCTATAAGTGTTATTTAGTCCCCTACCTTTTTGCAAATATGTATTCTATCTCTGAAAAGACACATAGACCCTGGCACTTCAAGAACAGTGGTCAGTCACAGTCTCCTTTGATCACGTCTATTTCCAATGAGAAGACATCAGGGGCTCTGGACCTATCAAGGGGATTTTTTTTGAGTCTCCCTTAACATGGACACAACACAGAACACGGGCACTAAATACCGTAATGGAACTATATTCCAGAAAAGGGAAGGCTGCACTTCTTTGTTTCAGTCTTTGTACATGTGTATCTTGTTCATGCTGCATCTCTTTCTCTCCTATACTCTCTTCAAGTATGGAGTATTACGTCTTACATTTTCCACTTTGTGTTTCAGGCCAAAGAAGCCCTCGAAAATACTGAAGTTCCTGTTGGCTGTCTTATGGTCTACAACAATGAAGTTGTAGGGAAGGGGAGAAATGAAGTTAACCAAACCAAAAATGTATGTGAGTTGAGCAGTATAATTGCAAACATACAGTAGTGATGGGTGGACTGGAGAGAATTTACCACAGTTGGTGTGAAGGTGAGACTGAATATAGTCCCGTAGCTGCCAGTGGTGGGTAGCTTTTCTTAACGTCTCTCTTTTTCAGTATCATTTTCTTCCTGATTTTGAAAGTGATACATGTTGATTTTTTTTATTGTGGAAAATTCAGAACAATTTAATGAAGCCATAAAATCTTAGTGAATAATTTTCTGTTTCATAGAGTTTTACTCTAATGCTTGAGTGAAACCCAAGAGGGGATTTTATTTCATCAGAATGTCAGCATGGAAGAAACAAGTCTGTCTCTACTTTAAGCCAATCTAATATATGAAATTTTCATTTTATAAAATAGGTCAATTTAACTCATAATACATTCCTTTTTTAGTACCTTTAAATAATATTTTCATCCTAGTAAGTTAAAAAAGTATCCTCAATGTATAGCTTTGGAGGGAGGTATGAGGATTATATAAAGGAAGCTATTCCTTTATCAGATAATTCAACAAAATAGGGTCTTCAACACCAGCTGCCTCTGTAGCTACATGTAGCATGTACATTTTAATAGCTTGTATGACTTTTATTGTGGTTAGGTTGGGAAGTTCATGGTTCAAGGCAATGCTTCTTAAACATGGTATCACAATAGTGTGTCATGATAAGTATACTTGGGAAGTATAAGTAAACTACCAAATTTTATGATTACAAAAATTCCTAGGTGGACTCAAAGATCACTTATACCTGTAATGCCATTCACACAGACTTTTATCTTGTCATATGATTTTGGGAGCCAGAGAATAAGCTGGTGTTGATACCAGGGCTGTGGGAACTAGTTCATCTATCAATCACATCTATTGAAAAGAAAACTGATATTTAGCAAAACACATGTAAAATAGGAATCCAGATTCACAAATCATTTATTTACTTATTTATTTTTAGCCATAAAATAGAACAGGATTATATTTTAATACGTAACTTCTGTACAACCAAAAAAATAAAACACCACAGTAAAATAAACTGGAATAAACATGGTATTTCATTTGCAATGCTTGACAAAATGTTCACATCCTTAATCAGAAATGAGTTCTTAGAAATCAGTAACAGAGAGACTAATATTACAAGGGAAGTGAAAATAAAAGGAACAGAGGAAAATGAAATAACAACCAATAAGGCTACATGAAGATGATCTAACTTAACTTTAACAGAAGAAAAAAGCAATTTCTTTGTAACATTAGATTATCAGTGATTAAAAATACTGATATCTAATGTTTGAACAGTTTTAGGGAATGGGAAACGTTCAAACACTGGGAAAGCTTACATTGATTATAGGAAATTTACTCAAAATGTAGATTTTGCATATACTTCGCCCTAGCAGTTCCAATCAATAGGAACTGTTCCGACAAAGTAGTTGGACAATTCAGATTTATATATAACCATGTTCACTGCATAGAAAATCTGTAGTTAATATGTCAGCCCCCCAAAAAAACTTTTTTATCAATTTGCTTATGAAAAATAGTAGATCGAAGTGTAGAATTAGAAAGAAAAAAGACACTTAAATAAAAATATAGTATTTCACAAAATTCTTTGTCCTTTGAATTCTTGAAAAAGACAACTTTTTAATGAATCAGTTTTAAATTTACCCTGTAATAAGTGAGAAGCATGAATATATGTAAGTCATACTTTTAATTTTTATTTATTTATTTATTTTTTTTACTATGGAAATGCTTTAATAGAGGTGAACACACAGCAAGAACAGCAAGTGCCCACACAGACATGACTATCACAGAACACATTGTGGGCAAATGAAGAATTCATACCACCCCCGCCCTTAACCCAGTAACAGAAGGCTCTACGCCCCCATTTCCTCAGTCCACTCCTCAGACTCTCCCTCCTCCTCAACAGTGGCATCCTGATACTGTTGGTACTCTGATACCAGGTCATTCATGTTGCTCTCGGCCCCAGTGAATTCCATCTCATTCTTGCCCTCGCCCATGTACCAGTGCAGGAAGGCCTTGCACCTGAACATGGCTGTGAACTGCTCTGAGACGTCTCTGAGCAGCTCCTGGATGGCCGTGTTGTTACTGATGAAAGTGGTGGACGTTTTTAGTCCTGCGGATGGGATGTCCCAGAAAGCTGTTTTCCCATTGTAGGGGATCCAGTCAGCAAAGTAGCTGCTGTTCTTGGTTTGGACATGAAGCATTTTCTCCTCTACCTCCCTCATGGACATCCAGCCCCTGAAAATGGCAGCCTCTGTTAGATAGAGGCCATACTGGGGGTCATAGGCAGCCATCATGTTCTTAGCATCAGACATCTGCTGGGGGAGTTCAGCCACTGTCAGGGCCTTCTTTGTTGTTTAAATGCTCATTTTGAAATACCTTTTTAAAATTTCAAATACAGAAAGTAGAAGCAGTTCTATCTCATTTCTCTATGCAGAACTATTAAAATTTTGCCATATTCTTCCAGACAGTTTTCTTTCATATAAATCATGTAACAATATACAAATATATACAGTCTTTTAATTTTAACTCACATGTGCAATAATTTCAAACAATGTTAAAATAATTACCATTATAACACTGAGAAGTATTATAACTGCCAGGGTAGTCATTCCCATATAGAATTAACATTTTTAAATTAGCCGTTACCTTTTCAGTTAGAAAAAAACAGAAGCATGTACACATACCTCTGCAAACAATTAGCTGATGTTTGTTGAAAAATGACATAATTTTAAATATCAATTTAAAATACTGTAAAACATACAAAAATTCTTTTTGAAAAAGATGTTTTGAAGAATTTTTAAAAATGTTTTAATTACATTCATGTTGAATCACAAAGCAGTTATTAAGAGGATATTAAAACATGAGATAAGTAATAAACATAATACAGCAATTAATGAATGTATAGATACTTATTTAGGAGTAGAATTCTGTATTTTAAATCGTGGTCAAATTTTCCAATTTGCATTTTGTGTATGATGTCTTAAGATGAGAACTTTGACTGTCCTAACAATACCCATCTAACCCCATCCAGTGACCGGGGTTTCTTCTATATGCTGAAATTAACCTGGGTTTATTTTGTTATTCCGTGTCATAAAGAAGATTACTCTATAACTACAGCATAGAAAGACTCTTGACCCCAAATGAGAAGACCTGAGTTCTACTTTTGGATCTGATACCACCACCACTACCCAGTCGCCACCACCACCTCCTCTCCCAGCTGTATGTGATTAACACATGCCAGCTTTGCTTAGCTTCTTTTTCTTTAGTAGTAAGAGAGTTGACTGAGATGATTGAGTTCAGCAATTGTTTATTGAGAGCTGTAGGGAGATTTGATTCCATAATTCTAAATCTGATTTTTTGAAAGCACCTAAGTTGGGGAAACCTTTTTTTTTTTTTTTTTTTTAAACTCTCCACTTAGTTTTGGTGTGCAGCCAGGTTTGGGAACCTCTTCTGTAAAGTACCTTCCATCTCTGGTAATTAGTTCTGTGATTCACCCATGTAGCCCCTTGGCCAGCTCTGCTCCCATCTGCCTCTAGCTTCCATGGCATCTTGGGCCACTGTGCTAGCACTTTTCATACCCTGCCCTATCTCACAGGTAAATGAGCCCTACCAGATTTTATGCTTGTTGAGGACAGAGACTTTTTATCCTACACAGAATTTATTTAGCCCAGTGGCTTGTGCATGGTTAATACTCAGTGTAAATTATTGATAAATACTATTGTCATGAATATTATAAATAATTATTCCATATAGAATCTATGATTCACTTTAAGCTATTTTAGTAAGGGAGAAAGAAAAGGAGACAAGAGCTAGCAGAGTACATGTGTAGTATTATGTGGCACCATGCTTCATGTAATTCAGATTTATAAGGTTTATAAGTGTAGATACCAGTGTATACCATTTTACATATGGGGAATCCTAGACTTACAGAAGTTAAGTTACTTGCGTAAGTCCACATAATTGGTAATGTCACTGTCAAAATTCAAATTTAAATGGAGTCACTTCCACATGCTATGTGATTTCTCCTATCCTCTACTGCTTCCCATGAAGTGTCTGAAACCAATACCAAATCTCTACTTCTCTAGAGTCTTCCAGTATATAAAACCTCATTCCCCAAAAGTGTAAGAGATGACATTCCAGTGAACTTAATGTAGATTTGCTTGGAGTGAGGTCAGTGACAGCCTTGAAAATATATTTGAAACTAGAGCACAAGCTTATGAAAATTTTGCTTCCCCTGAAATATTCAGAAACCATAGACTTTATCTTTTTTTCTTTGTTTTTTAGACTTACCTTCTCCATGGCATTTTAATTGAAAGAGTTTTCCCTAAGGTACTTAGGTACTTAACTAAAAATACAGCATGATTCCTGTGGCATCTCTGATTAGATATCTTTCGCAAGTGAGGTTATGGTACTTGAATTGGGGAATACGTTGTCCACTGCTAAGGGTGTCTTGAAACTGTATTCATTAAAATATTGGCAGAAAGGATAGGCGCATATTTTGTACTTAGTTTTTGTATATTTGTAAAATAGTAGTCACATGAAGCAAACAGCATCAGTGCAAGCCCCTTTCTCTTTTCAGGCTACTCGACATGCAGAAATGGTGGCCATCGATCAGGTCCTCGATTGGTGTCGTCAAAGTGGCAAGAGTCCCTCTGAAGTATTTGAACACACTGTGTTGTATGTCACTGTGGAGCCGTGCATTATGTGTGCAGCTGCTCTCCGCCTGATGAGTATCCTTTGACTTCATGAGTTAATGTATCGTACCATTCGTGTGAACAAGAGAGTGGCCAAACACGTAGCCTGTTTTCCAAAATATGAAAACACAGACTTAGGAAACACCTTGTAAAATATAGTGTGTCTTAGCCAAAAAAAAGAAAAGCTTTTTAAATAGTAAAATGACCTATTTCTTTTCATATCAATAAACATGGAATGATTAAACAAATAATCTAGAGAAAGAAAATATTAGAACTGTCTTAAACAGTTATATAAAGGTAAATCATAAATTAAGTTGAAGTGGATTATAAAACAGTTTGCAAAGGAAAAGTCCTAAAGAATATGCAGCTAAGTTTTGCCTTTGGATAATGGATTATGAGTGGTTTAAATTTTTTTTTCTCTGTTTATCTGGTTGGTTTGTTTGCCATGAATACTAATGTATCAAACATTATCAGTAAAAAGTAAATAAGAAGTAAGAAATCCTTTATGATATTCTGATTGTAAATGGAAAATGAGTAAAGTTACAGCTCTTTGGATTGTCTTGCATGGATTAAGCAACTTAAATAGTGCAGAGACTCTGTAGGGACTTCTAAAGATCTTTTTAAAAAATTATTTGAAAATTGAAAAACTCAGCTTTTTAGTTCCTTATTTTTTATGTACTTATTTTACTATGTACGGATGGATAATTTTAACACTTTAAAAATAATACAGAGGTTTTTGGGTATGATAAAATGTACAGTCTCTATAAAAGGGTTGTTATAGGCAACTTAGAATTCTCTCCTCATCCTGCCTTACAGAGTGGCTAAGCTTTAGTCTATTTTGTATTAGGGCACAGGTTATATTTTATTTGGGGCAAGAACAGGGAAGAATCTTTTATTTCTAAAAGGTGAAAATCCCTGGATTAAATTTCTGCATCCTTTCTGGTTCTGACTCCCTAATGATTCTGAAAAAGTGATTTAGGAAAGAGCAGAGAGAGCCCTGAACTGTGAACTTTAAGCAAACACATACTCAGTTTTCATTCTGTTTGCAGTTGTTAAATGTCAATTTCTCAATACTTTAACCCCTTTTCTTCTGTGTAGCTGGATTGTATGGTTTATAAGACGAATCCTAAGCTTCACTGGTTTGAAGAGTAGCATGAGCGTTCCTCTCCAGGATGGCTGGTATAAACCTACTCTGATTTTGTCACGATACATACTTGAAATGTACATTCTATGCAGGACCTTAATTCTGTCTTATAAATCCCGCTGGTTGTATATGGCTGTCAGAATGAACGATTTGGTGGTTGTGGCTCTGTTCTAAATATTGCCTCTGCTGACCTACCAAACACTGGGAGACCATTTCAGGTAATACAAACTGCTTATGCTTTTTCTTTCTTGCTAATTATTTTCATCTCTTTATGGGCTTGTGAATAACTAGTGTGTGGCCAGTATACGAAGAAACGATGATAGAATCAGACATCTTTGATCTCAGGGCCTCTGGTGGAGTTCATTTATGCCTCAGTATAAGATGACAGGGAAGAGTTTCTAGATGAGTGCCTACCTCTCTTCATTAACAGACTCCCTCCTGAAGGAGAGTCCACCCTTCGCAGCTGACTCCGAACACTCTTCACCAACACCGTTAGGTATGCCTGAAGACACTCTCGCTGTTGGAGTTTTTATTCAATGAACGTTACCAGCTCTATGCTCTACCAAGTTTGGTGATGCTTGGCCTGTGTCAGTGACGCTAGAGACTATTTACAGCACACACAATATTTTTGTACAAATTTAATCATTTTGCTTGATTGCCACATCCTTATTTTAGTATCTAGCAATCACTGTATTTTCATGTCTTTTTTTGTGTGTCTTTTTAATGTTGAAATTTCCCCCAGACTTAAGAATCCATGTCTTTAGTCTCCTAGAAATTCTCCTTTCCGTTTAATCTTGCCACTTCTCCCAAAGTTTTTATGGGTCAGACTATGAACAAAAGGAATTTGTATTTCAGAGTTTGGCCTGTGACTATACCCCTACTTTCATTAATTGGTTTGATTGTTTTTCTCTCCAAGATGTAAGGTTAATGTAAAAGTATTGTGCTTTAAAAAGAAAAAGCTTTAACAGATGCTGGATATGGCTGGGCAGTTCACTTCAAAAACCTCAGGGGTTCCTAGAATACTTTAAGGACCTATGAAGGACTAAATTTGGCTGAGTCTCACTGAGAACGAGTTTTTAAAACGTTCTTGAGTTTTCTAGCTCAACATTAGCTTTCCTATCAACTTCTGTGCATTTGAGAATAAATGCTGTTTAACATTACATCAGAAAAGAAATTGTAATGCAATGATGGAGAGTAAAGGATACAATTGGTTTGATCATTAAAGACATTTAGAAAGTGATTTGATTTTTCCAATCACTTCTGTTAGTAGCTCAAATTTTGCTTACATAACTCTTTGCAAATGAATTGCTGACTCCATATTTCCTTTATGAGAATGATCTAAATAATTTTTCAGTTTCTGGGCAGAACAAAGATGAGTCTTTTGATGTCATACATGGGTGGAATATTTCTCTCCAACATGTCAGTGACATGAGGGCACAAACACAGTCCTTTCTCACACATCTTTGTAGTCGATGCAGCAGAACCAAAACAAGTTCATTTGCAGTGTATATACCTAGCCACATCGGCTCAGCTGCAAATCAATGCCTGTGGCTTGCAGCCATATCTCCAGGCTGAATGCCAAATTATGGTTTTTTTAAAGGTGCTTTTAGATTCTAAGGAGAACAGTGGTGGCCCAGGCTCTGAATGCTGGGTATTCTTTTTTTTTAATTCGTCTGGGCTTAGGAGGCAGCAGGTGATTGGGAGGTGGGATACTGTTTCTTACTGCAGAATTGCAGATTCTTTTCATGCTGTATTATAAGCAGCATTAAAATTTCTAGAGGCCTACAGAACTATTCTTTTCAAAGAAGATGGTGATTAATTATAACACCTGCTCTGTTTTTTAAAATTTTTGTTTTATGGCTGGGTGCAGTGGCTCATGCCTGTAATCCCAGCACTTTGGGAGGCCAAGGCGGGCAGATCATGAGGTCAGGAGATCGAGACCATCCTGGCTAACATGGTGAAACCCCGTCTCTACTAAAAATACAAAAAATTAGCCGGGCATGGTGGCGGGCGCCTGTGATCCCAGCTACTTGGGAGGCCGAGGCAGGAGAATGGCCTGAACCCGGGAGGCAGAGCTCGCAGTGAGTGAGCCGAGATTGCGCCACTGCACTCCAGCCTGGGCGACAGAGTGAGACTGTCTCAAAAAAAAAAATTATTATGAATGTTTGCTTTTTATTAACACCACAAATTTGTTGCTATAATGGATACTTGAAAATGTAAATAATATATTATATTGGTGTGTTAGGGCGGTGCAGTTTCCTTCGAGGCCTGTAACTCAGCAGTTCTCATCCCGGACTGCCCGTTAGAATCACCTGGAGGCTTCTGTGCCTGACTCTGCTCAGTCCCTGCCCCAGACCATCTGAATCAGAAGGCAGGGGGCCAACAGTGCTGTGTTTCCAGAGAGTTCCAACTGGTTCTCCTGAGCAGCAATGGTTGAGAACCACTGCTCTCATCCCACGTAAGAGGAGAGGGCTCTGAGTGTGCGAGTGGAGTGGAGGGGGACCTCTGGGGAGCTCCAGCACTTAACACAGCAGGAAGCAGGGGGCAGCTGTGACGGGACTGGCTGGCAGTGGTTAGGATGGTAAAATGCTGAGAAGCCAAGGGAGGCAAGAGCGGTCAGACAGAGCAGGTGTGGCCAGTTGCCTCCAGGACTGCAGAGTTGAGGAATCTGAAAGGAGGCAAGTGTTTTGGTCAGTAGGGACCTGGGGATTTCTGAGAGGGCAGACTCAGTGAAGTGCTGGGAACTCAAGCCAGTGAAGATGAGGCCACTGAGGAGTGAAGGCAGGAGCAGGGTGTCAGCCTTTGACGGGACAGGGTGGATGGAAGGTTATTTGTTATGGCGAAGGTTTATGCAGGTGTCGGAGGCCCAGGCAAGGGCAGACTGAAGACACAGGAGAATGGGAGGTTCGTTCTGAACAGCATCTCACAGTAGCTGGTCCTCCTGTCCTCTGTGCCTATGCTTTCTGGCTCCTTCCTTCCAGATGCTCATTGTGTCACTTCATGCACTTCAGAAGGGTGCTTGGTTTTAAGTCCAAACTCTTCTGACAAGCTTTCAAAGCCGTACATATTTTTACCCCAATTTTTTGTCTTTCTTTCCTTATGCTTCCTTAATAGTCTCCTCCTCTGTCAGCTGATTTCCTCACACACAACCCAGGCTTCTTCTTGCCCTTTCCCTGAAATGCTCTGCTTAGCCTCTTTAAATATTCTCTATCTCTAAGGCAAGTTCAAGTTTCATGTTCTTCAGGTAATATTTCATATAACACTCCTTACTGTTAGCACAATTTCTTATTTATTCTTTCACATGTTATGATTTCTTTTCCCCAGTTAGATGCTAAAGATAGAACAAGCTGTATTTTATTTTTTAAAATCCTCTGTAGCAAGGGTTGATAAACTTTTTCTGCAAAGGGTTAACTAGTAAATATTTCACCCTTTGTGAGCCGCTTACATCTCTGTCACCTAGTCTTTTTTTTTCTTTAACAAAGCTTTTAAGATATAAAAACCATTCTTAGCTCACAGTTCTCAGCTATGGAACAGATTTGGTCCACCAAGTATAATTTGCCAACCCTAGCTCTATAGCATGGAATGCTTAATGGACCACTAGTAAATAGGAGCAGATAAAAATAACTAATGCTTAATGAGCACTTATGATGTGCCTGGTATTTAACAGGTATTATCTCACTTAATCCTCACAAAATCCCCTGAAGTAAGTGCTATTATTGCCAGCATTGTATAAATAAGGCATGGAGAGTTTAAGTGCCTAACCCAAGATCACAAAGCTGGTAACTTCTATAATAGTTAATGGATGAATAACAGTTGATTGGGAGTGATGCCTAATAACAGTTGATTGGGAGTAATGAAAAAGATGATATATCAAACATCTTTTGGAAGTGTACCTCCTTACCCATGTTACTAATATCCCCAAAGTTTATTAACATCTGAAATCTGTTTACATAATCATGTATATATATGTTGTTTTTATGGGATACAGCACACATTTTCATAGGCCTATGTTTATTCTCAACTTTCTCATTCCATCAGTGTATCCCTGGATATCGGGCTGAGGAAGCAGTGGAAATGTTAAAGACCTTCTACAAACAAGAAAATCCAAATGGTCAGTTTTCTGTTGTGGATAATGTCCTTCCCTTAAATCCATACAAAGAGAATCTGCTATGAGCTTACCTCTTCATTTTCTTTTTCTTTTCTATTCTTTTCACAGCACCAAAATCGAAAGTTCGGAAAAAGGAATGTCAGAAATCTTGAACATGTTCTGATGAAAGAACCAAGTGACCCAAAGTGACCTGGACAAGATTCATAGACTGAAAGCTGTTGACATCGTTGAATCATATGTTTATATATTGTTTTTAATCTGCAGGAAAATGGTGTCTCTCATCATTTGCTCTGTTAAGGGAACAAATTAGCACTTTTTAGAAGTCTGACAATTGTAAACAGTTATTAGCTTTTCCAGAAGCTGATTCCCATTTTAAGATGGGGGAAAATTAAGGTTTGAGGTTTTAGAAATTAGCAAGTAGTGCATACCCTTCTAGCCACAAGTGCCCAGTCCAGGCAAGTGCTGACTTCTTAGAGAATGTGTGGCCAGACCCAGGGACCTGGAGTGTGTTTGGACTGCAGTTTGCCACCCTGAGAACACCTTCTCCAGGACTGGCATTTCAGAATCAGATTCTTCATTTTTTGCAGCTACGATGTTCTTCCAGGGCACTGGGGGCTGTGACTTCTCTCTAAATTGTATATAAGTTGTGTATATAGAGACCATAATTATATGGTCCTTAGAAAAGACTTTGCTTTTATAAAGCATTTAGAAAAAATGCATACTTTTAAAACAAGTGCTTGAGTTGTCACTTAAAAATTATAGCATATTGCTATAATAAAACCTTATTTATGTCTTATTTGAAGATGAATAGTCTTAAAAGATAAAGACATAAATGGGACAATTGTTATTGAGCAAAAAACCAAATTATCCCACCCTCATGGAGCTTATATTCTAGCAAGGGGAGATGGATATGATAGATTACACAGTTTATTGGAGGACAATAAGAGTTATGGCAAAAAGCAAAAGGAACACAGGGTAAAGGGGATAGGTGCCATTTGGTGGTGAGAATGCTGACTGAAAAATAGAATGATCAATTTAATCTGAAACAAATGGTTATTTCTTTTATAATCCATATAATAAATTTAAAATCTAAAATGTAAAATTTTGAACACAACACTGGAAAGGGTATCCACAGCAGGAAGTCCCCAGTTCACCTCCATGACTACAGGGCAGCTTTGCACAGCCCTCTGGGCGCACTGTGTGCCTCTGCCCAGAAGGGGGCCTCGCCGTTCCACCAGAAGCTCAGCTCCAGGCCCTGGAGGGGCTGCTGCTCCTCAGTTGCATTTCTTCAGTAGATTCATTTCCTTGATGCAAAGCATCTGTATTTGTTGGTTCTGTCATTTGAGCGATGTCTCTGACTTGTTTGTTTTGAATTACATTACAGGCTGGAATGTAATTGTGGTGAAAGTATTTTTATATTGCTGAGAGTAGCAGCTAATCACAGTTACATGCTTCAGAGGACTTATAATTGCTTGGTTTTGTGTGTGTGTGTGTGTGTGTGTGTGTGTGTGTGTGTGTTTAACTGCATTTGAAAAGTTTTATGGAGAATATGCATGATTTTAAATCTGTGATAATGTTACATGCACCTTCAATTTCATCCACTTTAAAAATTATCTTCTCATTGAATTTTAGTGCTTCTACTAGTTTGTTCCTTTTTGCAGTTGGTCGTAATTCATTTCTGGCTTCTTATGCTTTCCTGCAAGCAGATTTCATTGCATTTATTGTGTTCATATCATTTTCTTGGGGATTATTTGTAGGACAACCAACCTGGAGTTTTGCCTCTCTAGAGTACCACCCAGTAAGTCTGGCTGAGCATCTTATGTCCAGTAGGTTCTTGGTAAACATTTGCTAAATGAAATTACTGATTGAAATTTGGGGAAAAGTGAATAAGAAGACTATCTAGGACAAAAAGCCAAAGCCGAAAATAGTATATGAGCATTCTAGCCCAGAGACTGTCGCTACTAAAAGAATGAAGGAAATAATAAAGTGATAGACAGGGAAGGATAGAAAAGACTTAACAATATACATATGTTCCGTCTTTGCTGTTTTGGAGAATGATGGATAAGTAGTGTTTCCTGATTCTGAAGCATAGCTGAACAATTTAATTGTGGTTTACCATCTTTTTGGTTCCCTCTTCAGTAATTAACCTATCGAAAATCTGTCCTAAATGTTTGGACTGGGGCACAGTTCCCTCCATCGCTTTGGGAGAAAATCATTAATATGGCATACTGCAGATTGGAGGGCAGGACCACTGAGGGTGTCATAGACATTAGCTCTATGGAATTCTGCTAGCAATTTCCAAGTGACAGTGAGGAATTATGGATATATGTTGAGGTCATTCAGCTTCCTGAGTACCACATTCCCCAGCTACTTAGACACGGGTTAAAATATTAAGATGTCCTAGTTCAACAGCTTGAATTCCATTGATTGATACTGATAGTGCCTGTCCAAGACACCAGCTGAAAGACTTGTTTTGTGTACAAAATAGTTCTGAAAGTGGTGAGATACAAAAAGGTTTTAGAATCACTGCCCTGTTGAGAGAAATTAGGGGGAAATGATTACATTTAGAAGCTGCTAGAGTTATCCAGTGTTTGCTGGTCTTTGCAACAAACTGTGGAGAATGGGTGGTATGTAATGCTTTGGTAGGCTTCAATCACTGATAAAAGATCATGTTAAAATATCTTTGTGCTTTCTTGTTACTTGGCACAACCATCTCTTCCTGTGTTGTATTTGGAGTATCATGGAGAGAAAATAGATGGCCAAGAGCTTCAGTGTAGGCAAGAACTCTTAATTTTTCTTTAAACTTTTTACTGGGAAAAGTATATATATATAAAATACACACACACACACACACACACACACACACACACACACACACACAAACACAACACACCATGGCCCTTTACCCCGAAATGCTTCAGTATAGTTATTGACTTAAGTAAATTTAACATTGATATACTTGAATCTATCATTTGTATTACAGTTTTGTCAGCTGACCCAATAATGTCCTGTAAAGAAGTTCTCCCACTACCCTATAATCCCAGGTCCAGTCTAGGGTCCAGCATTACATTTACTTGTCTTGAATCCAGCTTTTTCTTTTTTTTTTTTTTTTTTGAGATAGGTCTCACTCTGTCGTCCAGTGGCATGATCACAGCTCACTGCAGCCTCAACCTGGCTCAAGCAATCCTTCCTCCTCAGCCTCCTGAGTAGCTGGGACCACAGACTCATGTCACCACACCTAATTTTTTTTTTTTTTTTTTTTTGTAGAGACAAGGTCTCACTATGTTGCCCAGGCTGGTCTTGAACTCCTAGGCTGAAGCAATCCTCCTTCCTTGGCCTCCCAAAGCACTGGGATTATAGACGTGAGCCACTGCACCGGTCTGCCTTTAGCTTCTTTTAGTCTAGAACATTTTCACTGGCTTTCTTTGTCTTTTATGACATTGACATTTTTAAATAATACAGTCATTTTGCCTCCTTTCTGTTTTCTTCTTCTTTTTTTAAATAATAGAATGGTCCTTGTTTTAAATTTATTTGATATTTTCTTGTGATTAGATTCAGGTGCTGGTTGATGTTAAGTTCCTCACAGGATATCACATCTGGAGGCACACAAAGGCCGTCACACCAAGGTGATGTCAATTTTGGTCATCTGGTCAAGGTGTTGTCCTATTCCTTCACTATATAGTTACCTTTTTTCTCTGTTGCAATGAATAAGCAGTCTGTGGGAAGAGGAGCTGTTACATTTTAAACAGAAAATGTATTTGACACTGATGGAAAGGAGAGGAGGAAAATTAATGACATAAATTTCAAAGCAACTATTAAATTATTTGATTGCATTCTTCCTCTTTTACTGTCTGCCAAAATTGATAAAAAAAATTTTTCTAATAAGAATGTTTTAAATAGTGATATCTTAATAAGCATCAAAATTAAGCCTGAGAAATAAATTCTTTCCTTCCTAATTTCCTCCTCAGCAAAAGTAATAATTATATAAATTTCATTATGCCTGATAAGATAGGGTTTTGGAAAATAGACCTAAGATGTTTCTGATACTGCAGATGACCTATGGTGATCCAATGGGATAAACACTCTAGGTAGGTTGTCATTTGGTCATAAAATATGAGTTATCTTGGGTTTCCATAGAGACATCTAGACTTAAAATGTTGTAAGCACTGCTACTTTCAAAATGTCAGTAAAAATAGCAAAAGCCAAAGCTCTTGAAAAAATTACTTAAATCTTTTTTAAAAGTAGTATAGCGCCTTGTTAAAAATCTGTGGTGATGCCAAAGCTTGTCTTTCCCAGTGGTCCTACGTGAACTGGCCTTATAGCCCCAGGGAAACCAGACACCAGGAATTGGTTTCTCTGCCTTTTGGCAAAGGAATAAGACTACATTGACTTCATCTATGAAGACAACTGCCAACTATTTCCTTTGTAAATTGCTAATTTTGTGTAGTGAGGAAAGGAGCGATGGGCGACGTGATTTTTATGGATTAGACTGGTGAGTTCTGCTGAAAGTTTGACATCTTTAGGATCTTACATTTTCTTCAAGTTGAGCTAATGAAAACAGGCTCGTGACTATTTATCACCTGATTTCTAAGTGGATATTGGGTTGAACACCACATATCCATGACTATTAAGGAGGCTTCATGGTGTAGTTTGACAAAGGCTCTCTCCTTGACCAAACTTCAGTCAGGCCCTAAGTCCTCTTTTTAACCAGGCCTCCACCTTGGCCCCCATTCTTGATGGGCCTATACAGCCCAGCTTTAGCAAGAATCCTGCTAAGCTAGTTTAGAGAGAATCCCACATCCCCAATATCTATGAAATTTCTCATCCCCTACTTTTGATGTGTAAGTCCTTGGCCTCCCTTCAACGAGAAGCCTGTTAAGTTCATTTTGCAAGAACTCTACTCTTGATATCTCCTCTTAGTAATTTCCTAATCACTGACCCCCTCACTCTGCCCATTAGTTATAAACCCCCACATGTTCTGGTTGTATTCAGAGCTGAGCCTGATCTCTTCCTCTTGTTGGGATAGTTTTAAAACCTGCGATAGTTTTAAAACCTATCACTGTAGTCCTGAATTAAGTCTTCCTTACCTTAACAAGTGTCAAAATAAATTTTTCTTTAACATGTTGAAGCATGAACTTGAGAATCTAGAGCAGGAGTCCACAAAGTATGGCCCATGGGCCATATCCAGCCCGCTGCCGGTTTCGGTACCACTCATGACTTAAAAATGGGTCTTACAATTCTGAGTGATTGAAAAAAAATCAAAAGAAGGATAATATTTAGTGACCCATGAACCTTATATGGCAATCAAATTTCAGTGTCCATAAATAAAGTTACATTGGATGACAGCCATGCCCATTTGTTTCTGTGTTGTCTGTGGCTGCTCGTGTGCTACAATGGCAGAGTTGAGCAGTGGTGACAAACCATGCGACTCACAAAGGCCTAAAATATTTAGCGTCTGGCCCTTCGAGAAAATGTTAGCTGCCCCTGGTCTAGAGTAGGTAAAAGGCTGAGATTGGAAGCTGCTTGTTCAAATTCTGTGATTGGAACCGAATGATGTGGCTCATTGTACAGCTCATGGTGAATTGCTTCAGTACCATGGTTTTGTTTTTTCCTTTTGAAAAGTTGGTCTATAAATGTAAAGGAAAAATCTAAGATACCAAAATATGTTTTCTGGCTTAGAATGTTTTATTTCCTTGTATACATTTTAAGAGAGTGGCAAGGAGAAAAGATAATGTATCATTTTATTTGGGTTTAGAATAAATAATACATTTTATTTATGATCATCATGTTTAAAATATTATTTTCTGTTACTGTCTCTGTTTTACATCAAGTAAGCTGAGGCACAGGGAGATTATGTAACTTGCCCAAGGTCACAGAGTGCTAAGTGATCACATCACTCAGAAGGAGCTAGTTAAACCAATGTAACAGCCTTCAAGTTTTAGTGGCTTAGAACCAAAGCTTATTTTTCTCATGCCTTGCTTCTTGTCCATCTCAGGTCAGGCCAGGAGCCTAGGCTAAAGGAAACTTCACCACCGGGGACATCAGCTGCTGTGGCCAGAGAAGAGAACATGGTGAATAATGCTTCATACCTTAGGGCAGGGCTTCTCAAACTTAAACGTGCATAGGCATCTCCTGGGGAGCTTATTAAATTCACATTCTGATTCAGGAGGTCCTGGAGGGCCTGAGATGCCATGTTTCTATCAACCTTCTAGGTGATGCCCATAGTGCTGGACCATGGGCCACACTTTGAGTAAGGAGGGCTTCCTGGCTTTTGCCCAGAAGTGACACATCACTTTTGCTCTCAAAAGAATTAAAGCAAGTCACATGGCCATGCCCAACTTCAAGGCAGCAGATAATATAATCCATTAACTACATCAGGGAGAAGAGAATTGGAATTTTTGTGAACAGCTCCAATGAAGAGCAAACAATGTGAAGCTAGGATCTGAATTCAGGCAGGCTGGCCCCAGAGTCTGTGCTCTTAATTATAACTATATACAGTCATGGGTGTTGGTCCATTCTCTATAAAGAGAATGCCTGCCAGGCAGACAGCTAGTCAGGGAGTTACAGTTGACTTGTGTGACTTGACACCGGGTGACTTAGGCAGCTTTAGAGTTCAGTGCAGCAGTTCTCAGCATGGTGCTGCAACTCTGAAGTGTTTCAATTCATTTTTTTATCTTAAAGTGCCAACATTTATGAATTATTGTTAAATTAAAAACATAGCTGGGAGCGGTGGCTCACACCTGTAATCCCAGCACTTTGGGAGGCCGAGGCAGGTGGATTGCTTGAGCTCCTGAGTTCGAGACCAACCAAAGCAACATGGTGAGGACCTTGTCTTTACAAAAAATACAAAAAATTAACCAGGGTGGTAGAGCGCTCCTGTAGTCCCAGCTACTTGGGAGGCTGAGGTGGGAGGATTGCTTGACCCAGGAAACAGAGGTTGCAATGAGTACCTCTGCGCTCCAGCCTGGGTGACACAGCAAGGCAACGTCTCAAAAGAAAAAATTAATTTTTTTGAGACAGAGTCTCGCTCTGTCACCCAGGCTGGAGTGCAGTGGCGCGATCTCGGCTCACTGCAAGCTCCGCCTCCCGGGTTCACGCCATTCTCCTGCCTCAGCCTCCCGAGTAGCTGAGACTACAGGCACCCGCCACCACGCCTGGCTAATTTTTTGTGTGTTTTTAGTAGAGATGGGGTTTCAGTGTTCACCAGGATGGTTTCGATCTCCTGACCTCGTGGTCCACCCGCCTCAGCCTCCCAAAGTGCTGGGATTATAGGCATGAGCCACCCCGCCCAACCTTTTAATTAATTATTTTTAAAAACATACCTTTTAGTAGAATCAAGCCTCTATACTCTCTCATCTAACATTCTGCTATGCTTTCTTGTTTTGGAGAAGGGGAAGGGTTAAAGGCTGGAACTGATGGTCTGGAAGAGTCCTAGGCTTGTAGTCAGCACAACAAACTCAATTCCCAGATGGTGTTGGCTGAGAATATGCAGATATGAGCCTGCTGCCTGTACCCATAACTGGGAACTTCTAATATGGTCATAAACTACTGAGTATTGTGTGTGGGAGTGGTGGGTCTCAGGCCCACATTAAAGTCTTAAATAGAGAAAAATGGACTGGATTACCGTCAGCAGAGTGCTGAGAGAATATTACATCTCCTTTGATTGACCTTTTGATGTCCACAGAAAGCCCACATCCCGTGCCTGCAGCCACCCACTTTGCTGTCACTTCCCAGCTGAAGTGAGGAGGGACTGTTCAGAAACATCGAACTGAGCAAGGTCTCTGTCTACCTCATGGAAAACCTGATCTGGAAATGACACTTGGAATAAAATAAGATTACTCTTCCATTAAAAGGAAATCCACCCAAAAGAGAGAAATAGTGGTATATTTCAGTTTTACATAATAATTTCTAGAGATAAGATAACCCATTGCATTAGTTGATTCAGTTACCAATTTAGCTAAGTGTGAGGGAGAACATGGGCCTTGACTTTTTTTCTTTCAGAAAATCAAGTTTGCCATATTGAAAAATGCTGTCAGCTCTGCCCACCGGTTCTGTCATTAATCATGGGAAGAGCTGATCAGGTTTTGATTGTTTCTCCAGAGGCACTTTTGTCATGTAATGCATATATTTCAATTAAAATATGCAGGAGAATGCAAAGTTAATAATTAAGGGAAAATAATAAAGTGTTGCCATTGCTATTAATTACTAAACCAAAACCTACAGTGTGATTTTTAAAAATTAATGGAACAGATAGAATTCTACTGTTTGCTAGTTTTAATCCTAGTCTCAGAAGGTATTACCAGTTATCTCTCTTGGATGTTTGTGCCCTTTGGAAATGACCTATTACTAACTCCACCAGTAATCCTGACTTCATATGCAATTGCTGTCAGCTCTTAATCTAGCTTGGGCTGGCATTGTTAGAAAGTCATTTCTTTCTATGACATTTCTATATTGGAGGCCTGAATAAATGAAGGATGTCTGATTTTTATGTCAGCAATGTCACCATCATGATTCAAATGCTAAAGAATTTCAGGAAAGATTAAATTTCCTCTTGACCTGAGAGGAGTCCCATCCTCTTAGTGATGAGTTCCACAGGTAAGCCTGATACACTGCCTGGGGTTCTCTTATCCTAAGCACATTTATCAGCTTCATAGACCTCAAGGATTATGTTACTTTTCCCCCTCAACGTTCCACAATCTCTATGAAATCTTTCCCAATTACTCCAGCCCACAATAATCGTTTTCTTCAAACTCCTACTTAGTGTCACATAGTTTAATACTCAATTGGTCTCTAATTACAGTACTTAGATTGTAAGCTCCTCAAAAGCAAGGATTTAGCCCAATGATAGGCCCAGAGGTGGTTTCTGTAAATGCTGAGTGATGGATTTGCAGTTCTGGACGGTTTCCAGTAAGCAGGACAAATGGGTGAATTGGCACCACCGAGAGGACGCTGTCGTGGATTACTGAGCAGGCCCTCTGTTTACCGGGGGCTTTGCAAAGGTCATAGCTGCCAGACAGTTGGCCAGCCACAGTGGCTCAGCTTAGGCCCCCAGATGTTTTCCTCCAGCCCATTGGAAACCAACATTTTGGACTAGGGCTTGCAATTATTCAAATTTGGTATTGAGAAGTCAGAAAGAACAAGCAGTAGAGGGGCAGGAAGGTAAAATATTTTATTTTGATTTTTTTTGAGACAGAGTCTTGCTCTGTCACCCAGGCTGGAGTGCACTGGCATGATCTTGGCTCACTACAAACCCCACCTCCCAGGTTCACGCCATTCTCCTACCACAGCCTCCTGAGTAGCTGGGACTACAGGCAGCTACCACCATGCCTGGCTAATTTTTTGTATTTTTAGTAGTGACGGGGTTTCACTGCGTTAGCCAGGATGGTCTCGATCTCCTGACCTCATGATACGCCTGCCTCGGCCTCCCAAAGTTCTGGGATTATAGGCGTGAGCCACCGCGCCTGGCCAGGAAGGTAAAATTTTTATATCTGCTTTGCTAGGAGCTAACTTAACTGTGGAGGCATAAAAATGAAAGGGAGGACATGTTACATATTTAACAGCAAGTGCTGTGCTGTGTAGACATTTATATAACTCTCTTGCTAGGTTAGTCCAGAAGCTGGATTAATATTTTAATCATATTCTCTTGAGAGGAAAAGGCAGCTGGTGAAATTGTTGGAGGTGACATGCCAATCTACATAGAAACCAAGTGTGGTTTGGAGACCACCATGGAAATAATAACTTCAGTCATTAAGTGGAGAATGAAAGGAAGAAAGAAACCAGATAAGTTTTCCAGGATCAAGAAGTTATTTTTATTATAAACTAACCTTAGGGAGACCATAGGCTTTATTATTATTTCAACATTTAAATTCAAATACTGATGGTTCTGTCTCTTCACTGGTGATTGCTCTTGGCAATAGCAGAGTTAGCAATGAGTGCAATAGAACATCCTTCATCTTTATTTTTAAGTTGTCATTTTAATTGTGGATATAAACTTGTTATGTAGGCAAAGTATGGCAAGGAGTACACAACACGATTCATACAGGCTTTCTCCTGTGAACTTGACTACCCACGGCCTGAATTCTAACAGTTGGCATAAGTTCGCTGGCATCCTGAAATCTAAAGGAAAAGGCCCTTCTCCTTTTTTGTTTCCCTGCAGACATAGATAACACCAAATCTTTACAATGGTCTGTAACTGGCACTAGCAACAAGCGTCTGGAGTATAACATGGGTTAGGCTCTGGGAAAGTTATCTTTTGCTTGGGAACGCCCATCCAATGGAAATTGATGTTTATATTATTAACTGGGAATTTGTTTGTGCTTCTGAATTTTGTGGGATTAAGACTGGTGCTATGATATTCTCATGTGTTCTGTTGACCCTTAGGTATTTTAGAAAAGAGGAAACTGAGAGTCTTAGGGTTGAAATAATCAAACTTTGGAGGTGCTAAGGCGCTACTCCAATTATATTGGCAGATGGCCCAGGGTGCAGCTGCTAAAGAATGATCCCAGAGTCCACCCAGATCCCCAAATACCATCTCTTCTGCCTGTAACTGAGCCAGTAAAAGGAAAAAGGGTAGAGAGCAGAACTTTGGACTGAGATTTCTCTGTGGGAGCAACAGATTGAATTGATAATGGGAAAATGTTCATATTGTTAACGTTTATAAGGTGGCAGTAAATTTCAAGAATTTTATAGCGCTGGCATATTATTTGGGCCATATTTTCATCTGGTGCTCTTTGTTCACCCTGCTTGGTCGGGTAACATACTGAGAGGATTTGAGATGAGCAAGATAATTGGGGCTCATCGTGGCATTGTGGCTGATGTAATCAATGTCCTGATCTGTTTCAGCAGCTTCTGGGGGCCACAACAAAGACACATTGATGAAGACCCTCTCTTTAACATTGGGAGGATATGGAGGAAGAGAGGTAAGGACTGAGGAAGTGGTTCCATGAAGGAAGGACAGGATATTCTTGAATTCTCTCCTGATCTCGTTACCTGAGGAGGACAGCAGCACTGAGGGTAGACTATGGCTCCAGTGGTTAATTTCACCAGATTAAGAAGAGACATAGCCAAAAAAGGAAGAACATTGGTGTGTAAGGGAGGGACAGTCACTTCTTTGTTCATGCTATTAGTTGATTAGGTAAAGATCATTTGATTTGTCTCTGTGCTAGTGGGCAGAACTACAGTGTACAGTTGAAAGTCACTTTGGACTCTCTTTTCTCATAAAAGGAAGGGTGAGATGGCTTGCAAGTAGGCTGAGAAACATTATTCTTGACATTTGTCCAAACTCTCTGCCTCCTGTCCTTCTCTCTCATGGGTGTGGTTTTTCTTCACATTTGGGTATGAAATCTGAGATTCCATTTCTGATCTCTACTTAGGATGACCATAGGTAGTTCAGTACTAGTGACCTGTTTTGAATCAAGGCCTATTAGGCTCACCTAGCTTAGGTAGAGCATGGTCCACAGAATCTAGGCTCACTAGAAATGGAGCTGACAGAAGGCAGACTCATCTGTTAGAATAACTAGTAATAGCTAATGTTTATTGACTATCGTGTGCCAGGCATGGCTCTAAGGACTTTGCAGCTATAATTTCATATAATCCTTGCAGTAACCTTGGGAGGTTACTGTTCTTATCCCCACTTAAGGAGTGACGAAAGAGAGCTTTATGGAGTTTAATGCTCACATCACAAAACCAGTGAGTAGCAGAACCAGAATTTTAACTCCAGAGCTCACATTTCCTAACCATCATACTAAACTATTTCAAAAAGTTTATCCAAATAGGAAAAGAACAAAAAGGACGGTGATGAGTGTCATTTTCTGTCCAGTCCTCCAGGGGAACAAAACCTCATAACTTGGGTTTTTGTTTTTAAGGTAGAGTCTTACTCTGTCGCCCAAGCTGGAATGCAGTGGTGCGATCTCAGCTCACCGCAACCTCCGCCTCCTGGGTTCAAGCAATTCTCCTGCTTCAGCCTCCCGAGTAGCTGGGATTACAAGCATCCACCACCATGCCCAACTAATTTTTTTGTATTTTTAGTAGAGACAGAGTTTTGCCATGTTGACCAGGATGGTCTGAAACTCCTGGCCTCAAGTGATCCGCCCGCCTTGCCCTCCCAAAGTGATGGGATTACAGGCGCAAGGCACCGTTCCTGGTCATAGCTTGGGTTTATTCATGAGGCTAGCCTTTGGCTTCTCTCAGCAGGCTGTAAGTTTGAATGTCTTTGTCTACTCTGTGTTGGGGTGCGGGGGTGGAATTTTTTTTTTTTTAATTTTAACAAAGTAACTCTTCTAGAGAGAAATGAACACTTCTACTCATGAGAACAGGTCCCAGGATACTTAAACTTATAGCTTAAAAAACACAGTTGGGCCAACATCTTGGTCCTTTACAAAAACTGGAAGTAAAATTTCATGATTTTGTAAACATTTTCAATGAGACAGGTCTTGTTCAGAATCCACAGATGAATTTCTAATACTTTTGCGTTTCTATAAGTGTTTCTCCAAAAGAACAGAACATATTATCATTGTTTTTGCTGTTGTGGTTAGCATTAGGTATTGTTCTAAGTGATTTACATATATTTTCCCACTTACATTGAAATGTGTATAAGAGGTACTACCATCATGTATTACTTATCTATTGTTACAGCAATGCTGTGTAACAAAAAATGCATAAAACCTCAGTGGCATACAAGCTGTCATGATTGGCTAAAGAGATCTTGGCCTGTCTTGATGGTGCTGGCTCATGACATGTAGAGTTTGGCTCACTGAAGACTGATCTAGCCTGGTCTTGGTTGGGATGAATGGAGCAATTCAGCTCCCCCATGTGTCTCTCAGCCTCCAATAGGCTGGGCTGATTATGTTCTGTTGGCGATTGCAGAGCTACAAGCTCTGATCACAAGCTCCAGAGAAGCCTAATTGCATAAATCCATTTCAACCTCTGCTTGCAACCTGTCTGTTTGGCTAAGCCTAAAGATGTGGCTTTCATCCTTAATGGACTCCATCCATCCCTTCGGAGAGCACTGGAAAATGGCATGGCAGAAGGTCTGGATATAGAGAATGGTGAACAGTTGGGCCCACTGCTGCAATCTATGACGTATCCTCATTTTACATATAGAGAAACTAAGGCCTAGATAATAAGTGGCTTCCCTAGGGTCACATGATAGTAAGTGGCAAAGCTGGAATTTCAACCTGGGTTTGTCTTTCCTCAAAGCTGAAGCTCTTAAAGATGTAGTATAAAGGCAAGATTTAGAAACTAGCTGTGTCTCAAATTCCTTTCCAGATATGAACAAACTTTTAACTCCCTTTTTATGCATTTTCACCAATGAAGACAAAATGCAGCTGTTGATATTAGGTAATGTGAATGCTGTGAAGAGTAATTAATGTTAGTAAATTCTCTGAAAAAGTGTTGGTGTTATGATCAAAGAAATATATACTTTAAAATCACTGACCTCCTTTTACACTTTGTATTCTTTTAGAGCTCTCTCATTTGCCATAGTTTAGAAATGTAATGACTGTAAAATCTCTTTGTAAAAAAATTTTTAATAACTTTTTTAGAGATGGGGGTCTCGCTTGTTGCCCAGGCTGGAATGCAGTGGTTATTCACAGGTATGATCATAATGCACTGCAGTCTCCTACTCCTGGCTTCAAGTGCTCCTCTTGAAATTGACTACTCAGCTTCCCAAGTAGCTGGGACTACAGGTAAGTACCACCGTGCCCGGCTTAAAATCTCTTAATATTCTTCACTCCCCTCCCTCTCAAATCAACATGGCAGTGTCCTAGTTTGCCTATATTAGCAGTAATTATAAGTGAAAATGATACCCTGTACAAACTGCTTTTTTAAAAAATAATAGTAACTCCAATCAATGGTGTCCAGCTTTTAAAAATGATAGTAACATCTTTAAGACTATACAAAAAGCTGCACATTTTAACAATTGACAAATGTGGATTTATATCAACTGCCCCTTTAACAGATGTGTCCCAGCCTAATTTTGCTTTGTAACTTACTTGCTACTGTTGTTATTCCTTTTTCCTATTAAGTCAATTTCATGGCACATGTTTTGAAGAAAGTTCACTTTATATACTTCTATTGACCCTAGAAGCAAAATAGCATAAGGGCACATTCAGACACACTGCTTGCCAAAACTGCATTCCTAAAGGATAAATTATTTGGGGTACCCTTTTGGCTCTTGGCCCTCTGGTCCTGTCCTGGACCATTGGCAATATAACAGAGACAGCTTTCTGCTTCTCAAGAAAGGATTTTTTTTACATCATCAGAAAACATCAAGTGAATCAAGAAAGAATAGAGCTCTGAGGACCACTGAAGATTCATGAGGATCTTTGTGAATGCTCTGCAGATGAAAAAGGTATTGGGGATCACTTTGAAATATGGAGTTAGGGAGGGAGACTATGAAGAAAAAAGAAAAAAACTTGGAGAGAAGGAACACCTTGAAGATGAAGACATTGCATCTAGAATGAAGGGTGAAAAAAAAGCTGATACATTTCAATCAATGTACAAGTGATTGGAGCAGACTGAGAAATTCAATTCAGATTCTTTGTGAACATAAAAGTTTTGTGAACCTGAGTATATGTTTTATCTTCTCATCCTGGTTTCCAACATTAGGTGGCTCTGACCTGCTCTCCCACAAGAGTGTAAATTCAGCAAGGGTAGGGGCTATATACATGTCTTGACTGGGGTTATTGTCAAGGGTAGCCCAATGTGTTATGTTTGGCATGCACTAAATAAATATTTGTTAGCCAAATTTACCAGTAACCAACTAATACTTCTGGTGTTTTCCTCTGGTAAGAACTCAGAAACTGCCTTTACCTTGTACAACAAGAGAAAAATCCGTGAGTTGGATGTAAAGCAGAAATTAAATAAAATATAATTCCAGTATTTAATTGTGTCCCAAAGGAAATGTATCTTATTATAGTGGAGAGGGAAGGAAGGAACATCACTGTAAATCAAAGGACCTGTCTTCTTTTCGCTCTGGTTTTGATCTTAGTCATGTGATCTAACAGCAGTTTTCCCCTGTATGCAACAGGAATAACAAATGATGTGTCATATATGAAAACGCTTCAGGAAAAAAAGTGCCAAATTAATCCCGGGTACTACCATTATAAAAGGCATAAGTTAAACTGGTAAGAGTAATACCAGATAACTCAAATCAATTGTGCTAAAGCCAGAGCCAGTATCATGTCTTTTTCATCTTATCCACAACTTCAACGCCTAACACAGTGCATGGTCAATAGCTGACACTCAGAATGTCTTTACAGAATTAATGACTCATCCTTAACTACAATATAGAATCAAAGATAGTCTCAGATAATTATTCTAGTTCCTTTGTTTTAGAGATGAAGATTTTCATATATACTTATTATCATGCAGTTACAGAAGATACATAAAATAAATACTCAAATTTTAAAGAATTTTTTTGCTGAAACAATAATGGAAGTAGTGGTATTTGTTGATTCAGTGAAAATTTTCAGTCTGATTACAGTGTACATAAGTGGTCTAAGATATATAGGGTCATAAGACACAGTTTCTGCCCTTAAAAACTTCCTATCTCTTTGTTTTACAAGACATCATGAGCCCCCTGCCTCAAATTAAACAGTAATAAAAGGCAACAGGAGAGCCCTAGTTGAGTTTTTTTTGGATGAAAGGGACAGACGTTTACTCTGGCTAACTTTAGGGGGGAAAAATATGTGACTCACAGAAATGAAGGAAATCTGGGGGGCCAAGTGCAGGAAAGACAAGGTTCTGTACCTACCAGGATCGAGGGGTAGGGCCTTCAAGACAGGTTTACCAGGACCCTGCACCCAGAATGGGTATCTATCCATTTCCTTCTTTGTTCACTTCATTCAAGATTCACATTTCTGGGAGAGAAAGTACAGTTGGCATGGCTAGGGATACATGGCTCACTCCTTGGCCAGGGAAGAATAGCTAGGCAAGACTGATGAAATGGGGATTGTGTAGTTCCCCAAAGCGCAACTGGAGTACAACTAGGAGATGCAGTGGATCCTCCCAACAGTTAGTATTCTTAAAGTACAGAGAAGGGAGATTCTGGTGAGACTTTACAGAGAAGGGACGTTCTGGTGAGACTTTAAAGGGGCTTAAGCTAGACCTTTAAGGATGAGTAAGAATGAAATAAATGAGGAGGAGGGAACATTTCAGGTGGTGTTAAATGAGGAGAAAAGGCTTGTAGTTAAGATAGAGTCAGATGTCCCCACCAGAGTCAGAAGTGGCAAAATGGAGAAGAAGATGATTATTCCTTGGAATTGTGTCAATAGGAAAGTAAGGATAATGCTAAGTTTAAAGGGACAGATAATTCTGGCAGAGAAACAGCAAGTATAGAGATAACTAAATAGCAAATATTTGGGAAAAGCTTAAAGGAGACATATGTACTTTTGAAAGAAAATCCAAAATAAAGGATATGCTGGAAGAACCTTCTAGACATGAGATTGAGAACCCAAGTGAGGGGGTGAATCTTGAGGAAGGATAGAGTCCCTGCTTGTTCAGAGGCTGGAGCATAGGGTGGATGAATGTTGAGATATCAGTACAATGATTTGGATGACACTTATTCTAGATATACCAGATCTTACCAATATAAGGTAGAAGTCACTGCCAAGGGAAGGAGTACAGTGTTGGATGAGGACTCAGAGGTGAAGGTGCTTTGGGATCTCTACTGTGGTCAGAGTACATAGGGATCAACAGGGAGTCAGTAAAAGATGACAAAACAGGCCAGGCGTGGTGGCTCACACCTGTAATCTCAGCACTTAGGGAGGTCAAGGCGGCCAGATGACTTGAGGTCAGGGGTTCAAGACAAGCCTGGCCAACATGCCTGGCCAATTTTTAGGAGAGATAAAACCCTGTCTCTACTAAAAATGCAAAAATTAGCTGGGCATGGTTGCACGCACTTGGGAGGCTGAAACACAAGAATCGCTTGAACCCAGGAGGCAGAGGTTGCAGTGAGCTGAGATCTGCCACTGCACTCCAGCCTGGGCAACAGAGTGAAACTCCATTTCAAAAAAAAAAAAAAAAAGATGGCAAAACAACATCTCTGTCTAAGTTAAAATTAGCATGAATTTCAGTTGCTTTTCCAAATGACTGGATGGAAACACTTTTTGGTTAATATTCAAAAGCTAGGGTTTCCAAAACTTTGGAGCAGATTATAAAGATAAGATAATTTATTCAGGAATTTAGCCTTTGTTCCTAGACTTAAAGGATTATTGGAAATATTTGGAAGACAGCAGGGTGGCATATTTTATTTGTGATATTTTGTGTCCCTTATATAAATGGAGACGTTGCCACAGAAGTGTCTTGATTTTATATCCTTTTCATAAAATAAATGCATTACTAGAAACACCAGACATTGCAGTGTTTTACTGAAATAGGATCCTGTTTAGCTATACTCACCCTTTTTCTATGCTTGCCCATTATTTTTCCTGGAGTTACCTCAAAAAATGGATTAAAGGAAAAAGCATGAACCTACAAGCAATCCTTAACCTCAAATATTTGATCTATGTCATCACATTTAAGTAGTTCAGAATCTGTTTGGAAAAGATAAATGCGAGACTTTGGCTTCTCTTTGCCCCTTTGAAAGAGTCAACATTGTTAAGGCTTATTATTAAGCCAGATTTTTCCCATGCCTAAGTCACCCAGCAGTGGCCCTTTCTCAGTCTGCCTAAGGCAATACACAAACAATTGTTTTGTTTTATGTCATAGTTCTGTTTCTGCAAACATTAAAAGGAAACCAAATGCTACTTGCTCCAAAAGAGGCCATGAATCACGTTTTAATAAAAATAATCACTCACTATTTATCTATTTTGTAAGTTTAAAATTTCATGTCCTGGATTTACTTACAATGAGCTATATCAAACCTTTAGAAACATAACCTATGGGGTATCTGCCTGTCGTTAAATAGGGCCTTCAATGCATAGTATATAGTTTGTTCAAGGAGAAGTGAACTAGTCATTGATGTGGCTCATTACAACAATCACAATAACAACTATTCATTAGTCTGTTTTCACACTGCTATAATGAAACACCGGAGACTGGATAATTTATAAACAAAGGAGGTTTAATTGACTCATGGTTCTGCATGGCTGGGGAGGCCTCAGGAAACTTACAATCATGGTGGAAGGGGAAGCAGGCACCCTCTTCACAAGGTAGCAGGAGAGAGTGAGTGCTTGTGAAGGACGAACTATCAAACAGTTATAAAACCATCAGATCTCATGAGAAGTCATGCACTATCATGAGAACAGCATGGGGAAACCACCCCCATGATTCAGTCATCTCCCACCAGGTCCCTCCCTCAACACGTGGGGATTATGGGGATTTCAATTCAAGATGAGATTTGGGTGGGGACACAGCCAAACCATATCAAACTATTATGAATTCTGCTGGTTGAGTTTGTAGTAAGTTCTTTACAAATATCATCCATTGAATATAAATAATCATAATATAAATATAGAGATAATTGCAATAAATAACGTAAAGTAGATATTATTATGATGACCCATTTTTCAGGTGAGGAAACTGAGGCTTAGGGAAATTAGGTAACTAGCCTGGCATCACACAATTAGTTAAGTTACAAGGTCAGAGTCGAATCCACATCTGGATGGTTCCAAAGCCCGCAGATTCACCATGCATTGCTATTTTTTTTTTTTTTTTTTGAGACGGAGTCTCACTCTATTGCCCAGGCTGGAGCACAGTGGCTCGGTCTAGGCTCACTGCAAGCTCCGCCTCCCTGGTTCACGCCATTCCCCTGCCTCAGCCTCTGGGGTAGGTGGGACTACAGGCGCCACCATGTCCGGCTAATTAATTTTTTGTATTTTTAGTAGAGACGGGGTTTCACCGTGTTAGCCAGGATGGTCTCAATCTCCTGACCTCGTGATCCGCACGCCTCGGCCTCCCAAAGTGCTGGGATTACAGGCGTGAGCCACTGCACCCGGCCCTGATGTGCTGCCGTTTTATCTCTTCACTCCTACCACACGGTGGCCAGCAGTGTGCGGGAAAAAATTTAGTGCTGCTTTGTCCCAGCTGCTTGTTCAGACCACATGGTGCCTTAGTGAGCTCACAGCTCTGGCCTTGGCCTGGTGACCACCTCGATGTGACCCTCCTAAAGTAAACACTGCACACCTCAGGTCTCATGCTGCCCTGCTGATGAGTGGGCTCCTAATATGCTGAGTCATTCTCAATGCCCTTCTGCCAGTCTTGACTGCTTGCACTCCAGAGGGTTGCTTTTGGCTTGCTGGCCCTGGCTGCAATTTCTTCCTGCCAGCTTTGGCATGCCTACCAAAGGGTGTATTTCTTACTTGCCTGATGGCTGTGGTACAGCTCTGGGCCCAGAAAACCCATTAATTTTTAGTATTTATTGAGTATCTCCATCACCTCCCATGAGATCTCAGTCGCATCCTTGGAGAGGGGCCACTTCCAAATTTGTTTATTCTTTTTGTACTCTCAGCTCTAGAATATTCTTTAGGGCTGTCTTTACACCTTCATAGTTATTTCCCTGTTCATAATGAACTTCTCTATTCAAATTACTGCATGACTTGTGCCTCCTGGCTTGGATTCTTGACTGATACAAATTCCATTTTGGATTTCTTTCATCATCCCTGTTGATTTTGTCTATCTATATATCTTGAGCACATAAATCACTACTATGGTTGCCAAAAGTCAGAATTTTATAAGAAGGGTTACTCAGAAAAGAGTCACTCCTCTGCCCCCCACTATCCATTCTATCCTGCTCTCATTTTCCCATCCTTTCCAACCCAATTCTACCTATTTCTTGTATGTGACTAGGAGTCATTCCCTTCTCCTTGTATGTGACTAGGAGTCATTCCCTTCTCCTTATGTGTAACTAGTCATTAGTTTCTGGTTTATTTTTTCTCTATTTATTTTTGCACTATTGAGCAGATATGTGTATAATTTCTTATTTCCTTTTTTTCTTACACAAAAGATAGGCTTTTCTATTTTTTCACATTTTGCTTCTTTCAATTAACAGTATACCCTAGTAAGCACAGCATATCAGTTCATAGGCATCCCTTATCACTCATTTTTTATGGCTGCATAGTACTCCACTGAGTGTACTATAGTTTATTCACCTACTCTCTTAAGTATTCAAGCTCTTTCCAACCAATATCATAATAAATAACCTGTGTATATGTATTTTTGTACTTTTAGAGATGTATATTTAGGGTGGATTCCTAGAAGTAGGACTGCTTAGTTGAAAAGTAAGTGGATGAATCATTTTGTTAGTCATCACCAAATCCCCCTCTAAAAGGGTTGTGCCAATCTGTATTCCCACCAGCAATGCATGAGAGTACCTGTTTCCCTCTATTCTTGCCAACAGAATGTGTTGTCATACTTTTAAATTTTTCCTTATCTGATAGGTGAGAAATGCAATAGTTTTAACTTGCATGTCTTTAATTATGGGTTGTTTGAATATCTTCTCATAAGTTCAAATGCCATATATATGCTTTTAAATGAGTTGTCTGTTCATGTCTTTTTTTCTATTTTTCAGGTAGCTTTAATCATTTCCCTCGCTAAGAATTATTTGAATATTGAGGATATTAACCCCTTATCCATGTTATAAATTATACATATTTTTCCCTTTTGACTTTGTTTATGGTTCTCCTGCAATAAAAATGTTTTAATTATTTTATGTAGACACATTTATCAATATTTAATTTTTCTGGATTTTAAGTCCCTATATCAAGGTTAAAGAAAAATTCACCCATATTTGCTTCTTGTATTTGTACAGTTTAAATGTTTACATTTAGATCCCTGATCCATTTGGAGTTTATTCTTGTATATGGTATGCAGTACAGATTTTATCTTTTTCCAATGGCTACCGCATTGGAAATTTTCCCCACCTCTGCCCTAGCAATACCTGTTTAGGATACACCTACATTTCCATGTCTTGGGTCTCCTTGGGGACTTTTTATTCTATCCCACTGGCCTATTTTTCTATTCCTGTGGTCAGGCCCAGACTGTGTTAATAGAGGCTTTCTAGTATGTTTCAGTGTCTACCAGAGCATTTCTCTTCACAGTTGTTATTTTAATTGCTTTCCTGGCTATTCTTGCATGTTTACCTTTCCATATTCATGTTAATAACAACTCGTCCTTGATAGTTAATTTTATGTGATACCAAATTGAGGAAGCAATTCAGGGACCCAGAGATACATTCCCATTAACAATTAATAATTCAGCCAATGGGAGGTCATGCAGAGACCTGGGCCCCAGAAGAAGATTGAGGACAAAGCACCAGTAGCGCAGATTGGGGTGAAGAAAATTATAGAGGTAGGAGGCAAACCCCAGGTAAGTACCGTAACTGGAGTCACAGTTGGCTAGAACATCAAGATAAGAAGGTGAGAAGTGGTGGCCGTGCCCTGAAGAGAGGAAGGAACCATAGCCTTACACCATGGTGGGAAAGGGCCAGTAAAGATGATGTAGGAGCCCATTTGTACTAAGTCCTCAGGTGAAGTGAATTTACTTATTCATTAAGAAGAAAATATTCCCAGCCCTCTTTTCAAATAGTCAACAATATAGCTTTCAAGAGTGTTAAGTGTATTTATGCTTTACACATATCTGAAGTAAGGTTTGCTTTATTTTATCCCTAGAAAAATCTAAGTTTTTTTCTTGGAGTGTTCAATAATTTGAAACTAAAAATTTTAAAAGCATTTCAAACAGCTCCTTTACCTCCCCTGCCCACGCATTTACCAAAATAAATAAGGCCACCATGCAAGCCACTCTCTGATTTGCATGGCAGTGAGATCTGATGCAAATTCTCACATTTTAGGCCATTTCGGGGTTTGTGGAAACGGCAAAGGGTTCCTTTCTTTAAATAGTCCTGGGCATGATACCCTTGTCCAGGATATTTTGACATTACTGTTACTGCAAAGTAAACACATTTGAGGAAATAAAATGCTAATGATAAAATAAAAATTTGGGGTGGTATCAGGTTTGGTTTTTGCTGTAAGAAAACATCCCAGTCTTGAGTGGAGAGTTAGAACTTGTGGCCTGGCTGTCGGCTGTGGCTCTCACCTCACTCCCATCCTGCTCCCTGCCATAGAGGGCTGTATTGTTCCTAACCCCCCAACATCCCCTACACACATTTCACTTCTTCCTCCTTCCAACCCCCACTGCCCCACAAAGAAAGCAGGATTGGATGCCCCTTTGCACCCCTCCAAATTCTTCAAAAGCATATAAAAGGTACATGTCATGCTCAAGGGCTTTGTATGTTTAGTCTGGCACTTATACAGAATCCAGCACTGCATCTGTTCATAAACAGGTAGTGTATGATAACCCCTGGTTCATCCCACCTGGTGAGAAGATTGTGCAGGTACCACCTCACCCTTTGCTCATCCCCATGCACCATCTCATCCTGCCCCACTGCCCAGAGCAGCTGAGGTTCCCATTCTGTGTTCCAGGTCATGGACACCATTTAGTTAATGAGGATTGATAAAGACACATTAACTATTAGAGGGAACTGGAGGAAAGGGAGAGGGAATTCATAGTTACAGAGCACCAACTTTGTCCAAGGCAAAAGTGCTTTAAATACCGTGTTTCATGTAATTATCATAGCTCTCTATGAACTGGGCATTCTTATCCTCATTTTTCACAGAGTCATTTGTGAGTCAGGAATTTTCTCACCTCTCCCTGACCCAGACGCTGTGGTGAATTATGGTACGTTTGATTTACTGGCTAGTGCATAGTAAGTGCTCAAGAATCTTTGGTTATTTGTAGCTTAATCATGGACTTTCGAAAATTCAAAGCCTGACCCCCATATAATTGTTTTCAAAGTTTCAGGCGCTGGCAGGGATATTTTGGTGGATTATCCCTGTCATGCAGGGTAGAAAGAAGACTGCCTTGTCTGAACCTGAGGAAGGTTTCTCTGACTTCTCTGATTTTGTTTCTTCTCTTTTCCGTGCCTTTGGCTGACCCCAAATTTAGAAAACCTCATAACATAATTTGGCTCTCTAGATTTTCTGAAAAGTAAGTCTGTCCCTCATGACCGAGCTTACTCTACATGCCAAAATGCCAGCTAAGTCTGACCTCAGAAGTACGGAGTGTGCTTCTCCCCATTTGAAAATGTTATTCACATTCCCTTTAAGGATTATTCCCAGCACAAGGGGCTGCTTCTGAATGCAGCCAAACGCAAATGATCAGTCAATATATGTAAATCTGCTTGACCTCACTAATCATCAGAGAAATGCTAATTAAAAATAAGAGAAGCCATTTTTTAAAATCCAACAGACTACTCCAGATTCAAAAGATGGATACTATCCCCAAGTCAGCATGGATGTAAGAAAACTCTCATATATTTTGACGGAAAAGAATATTGACGGACATCTTTAGATACCCAATTATCAGTGTTGATCAAAATTTGAAATGTGCATATTTGTTAGTTCACTTTTAGTTGTTTTCTGTCATTCTATAATTGCTTTTCCTTTTGTCTAATTTTTTCTTCTTTCTTTTCCTTCTTTTTTTTTTTTTTTTTTTTGCTTGAAGTCTTACTGGCTGAAGTGTCTTTCCTTGTGATGCACGTCCTTCACCTGCTTTCACTTATGCTCAGTTTATTCCTGCTTGCTTAATTTGAGAGAAGGAAGCACATATAACCAGGTTGTTTTTTATTTAAGGGAATTTCCTGAGAGACGCCCTCATTCTTCAGGCCCAAAAATAAATGGGAGATGTGTCTTCAAGAAAAGGAATGAGCAGCTGTGGTGAGAGGCCTCCAGCAGAGGCTGACTCTATGCCATTCTGGGGGTGCAGAACTGGGTCGCCACATGGATAGTTCACTTCTTCATCCATGGCCTGCCCAGCTCCTGGATCTTCTCTCCCTAAGTGAAGACCCAGGGCTGCCATTAGCCCACTTGGGGCCTAGTGTGAATTACAAGGCCTCCTCTTTGGGTGAAAGCACCCCTCTGGCTAGTGCTTATGAGCAGATGGGTGTCTCTGGGTGGTTTGTCTTAGCTTTGTTTAGAAACCATGGAAGGGGCTCTATCCCAGCCTCTTTTATTCACCCTCTGGGCCAGGCATGCTTTAGCGGGGCACCACCTGTGCAACCTTACCTGGGGGCCCTGAAAGGATGCTAGTTTGTCTTGCAGAGCCAATGGGAAATTGACACGTTGCCTGAGCTGTAATGTGGGCTTCAGCCTCCTTGCCCACCTGAGACCAGGCGTTAGCATTTTTGGTAGAAATGTTCAGTAGTTTTGTTCGGGGCATGGCCATTTCTTTGTTTCATTAAAGACAGAGTTTTCTTCCATGAGTTTTAAGAGACAGGAGTAGAGTAAAATCCCTGTTTCCTCAAACATGTTTAGCCAGAAGCTTAATTTCAGAAACATAACATTGTAACTTATTTGAAATTGTCTTTCATTTTACATTTTTTTTGGATGCCTGCATACTCATAACTGGCTTCTGTCAGTCACATGCATTTATTGCAGAGAAAACGTACTTAGATTTCTAGTTACATAGTGTTGTTCAAAAACACTATTTTTTCTTGACTTTCGTGCCAGTCAAATATCACCTCATCATCTTTGGTTCCTATACTGTCTTCAGTATTCTTTTGCAGTTTTCCCAAGAATGCTGCTGTCTGGGGAGGTATACAAAAGGGTTCTACATTTTGATTATGGCACATTTCACTTATTTTCAGTACACGAACCCCACGTTACTTAGTTTCAAAATTCCAGTGGACTGTGATGACAATTTTAGCTAAACTATCAGTCTGTTGCAGGCTTGGTGGAGTGGTTTGAGTTAGGCTATGGCTATTTGTGTGTCTACCTTACAGGAGAAGAAAGAAACAACAGCTATTTGATAAGGAAAGGCCAATTCTGTTGAGCATCTTTTTTTTTTTCTGGTTCTTTTTACTTTCTGTTTTATTGGGTTGTTCACTCCAGCAAGAAAAAGACCAGCTTATATTTGGCCTCATAGGTAAAAGTGGAATATGGAATCCACATTAATTGGTGCCATTTTTTTCCTTATTAATTCTGTTCTCTTACAGATTGCCACCCTGGGCAGCTGGTTTCGTTCGTGGGCAGCCACTAGTGAGGAGAGCTCTTCAGCTCCTTCTTCCCTAAGGTCTATGATTTTGACATTAGAAAAGACTTGATTTCTATGTTCATGACTCTCCTGTAAGACCGCTCCAACAGGCCAGGATGGAGGCTCCTTCTCTTGTAGGAGGCAGCTTCTCCTGCATACTTAGATTTTGTGACCCAGGTTTCTGGATTTGAACAACCGCCCTATTTGAAAACAGCTTCAAAAGAGCACCCGAGTGTCCCCAGGATCATACTGAGCCATTATTTCCTGTTTTGTAACTTTGGTGGGTGGAATAACTTTTTCCTCAGGAGAGAGTCTTTTATTTTCTTTTTCTTTTTTTTAATAATATTCTCCGGGTTCCAAGTAAATTTTTATGAGGAGGAGCCACAAAAATATATTGGGAGGAGAGGGGTAAAGACAGCAAAAAAGTAATGCATGCTTTAATATAGCTGAGTTGACTGAAAATCAAAAATAAAATTCTAAGCCCCTCAACCATCTGAATGGATGCCTCATCTCAGCCAAGGACTTTCCAAAGTTAACCTGAAAAACTAGTTCAGGCCATGATGGGAAGTGGGATTTGGACATGCCTCATTATACACTTCTCCCTTTTTGAATTCGGGCACAGCTGACCAGCATTAACATCAACACAGAGCCCTAAGACCAGCAGAACAACTCTAAGTCTGATAAGAAATATTTACAAGCTGGCCAGGCGTGGTGGCTCATGCCTGTATTCCCAGCGCTTTGGGAGGCTGAGGCGGGTGGATCATCTGAGGTCAGACATTCGAGACCAGCCTGGTCAACATGGTGAAAACCAGTCTCTACTAAAAATACAAAAATTAGCCGTGCATAGTGGTGGGCAGCTGTATTGCCAGCTACTCAGGAGGCTAAGGTAGCATAATCATTTGAACCTGGGAGGTGGAGGTTGCAGTGACCCAAGATCATGCCACTGCACTCCAGCCTGAGTGAGCAGCAAGAGCAAAACACCATCTCAAAAAAAAAAAAAAAAAGAAAGAAAGAAAGAAAGAAAGAGAGAGAGAGAGAGAAAGAAAGAAAGAAATATTTACAATCTATTCTCTCTGAAACCTGCTACTTGGAGGTTTCATCTGCATTATAAAACCTTGTTCTCCACAACTCCTTATTATAACCCAGACATTCCTTTCTGTTGATTCCAGGTCTTTAGATAATAACACTTTCAACCAGTTGTCAATCAGAAAATGTTTGAATCTGCCTATGAGCAGGAAGTCCCCTCTTCCCCCCACTTTCCCGTTGTCCTGCCTTTTCGGACCATGCCAGTGAACATCTTACATGTATTGATTGATGTCTTATGTCTCCCTAAAGTGGTATAAAACCAAACTATAGCCTGGCCACCTTGAACACATGTTCTCAGGACCTCCTGGGGCTGTGTCATAGGCTGTTAGTCACTTAAATTTGGAGCAGAATAAATCTCTTCAAATATTTTAGAGTCAACATGACAATGGCTTAGTCTAACCAGCATGTTGTAGGACACCATAAAATTAAAAAAAAAATCCAAGTACCAAACAAATCACTCTTCAAGGGGAACAAGCTGAGAGTAATGGGTACAGAAGGTGGCTGTTTTAGGTGGAAAAGTAAAAGAATCAGCCACCCCCTTTAGGGTTTTGCTGAGTGTTGTAGATAGGGCTAGGACTGCAGTGAGCAACACCTCAAAAATGTGTAAGGCCCACGTGGTTGGGAATTTGCATTCAGGTGTAATTGAAGCTAAGATGTTTTCCAAAACTATTAACATTTCTTGGCTTAAAAATTGGGGAGCTAGCACACTGGGCTGCCTGGGGCTGGTTGTACAGGGAAGGCTGAAGAGAAGAGCCTCAGAAACACCAGAATCGTTTGAAGCCCCTGGGGGTTTTACATAGCTGAGGAGTTTTACTTGTTCATTTGTGTGTTTACACCCTTGAGACAATACAATCTCAACAGTAATCGCCATGTTAAGTGGTAGTCATGCCAGTCTTGCTAAGATATATCACAGTTCTCTGTTTCTTCAAAGCATGATGACCAAAAGAAAACCTTTTCTGGATATTTAAGTCAGGGATAGCTTTAAAAACCTCCACGGCTGCCACGCGCTATTGATGGAGTTTGCTCCTGGGCCTGTGGAGGTTTGTAAGCCAGCCTGGAAATGCTCCTTTTAAAACTCTGCCTGCTTTTCATGCTTTGTTTGTGTTGTTTCTTTCCTGGCTGTGTGCAGTGCTTTGTTGGTGCTCTGAGGGTCTGTCCTATGGTTCTTGGCCCATAGAAACTTCTCTTCTTTTTATGTCTTGGCAGCTCTCAGGCTCCTGGAAGATTGCAACCCCTGCAAACAAGCTTGTTAAGGTTTTAAACATGAATCAGAGACATCAGCAAAGGCCAAATGGGACATCCTGCAATCTTTAGCGTGGACCACAAGAAGCTATTTTTTCACTATAGGTGCCTTTCTTGCTTACTTCCTGATTTCTGGCTTTGTTTTATGTGGATAAAGGTTTGGGCTAGTGTAATTTAAGATAAACTAGGAATCACCATAATTTCAAAGAAGAAGAAAAAAGTATGGTAAAAGCAACATTGTATTCTTTATTCAGAGCTTGTGTTATATTATGTTCACAATAAGGGAGAGTTCCCTTTACTGCTGTGATGCCAAGGGGTTGGGCATTAGGAGAACTGTGGCCAAGTCTTGTGGGTGGGGAAATCTAAAACAGCCACTTCAGATAGCTTTGGATTGGGAGAACTCGGTAGACGGAAGTGTGACTTCCTGTCCTGGTTTTGTTGCTGCCTCAAAAAAATTACCCATTTACTCTAGATCTGTTTCCTAAATTGTAAGTTGAAAGATTTAGAAGAGAAAATAGGATACTTCTAGCTTAACATTTTGAGTTATGTGTGTTTCTACTTAAAGATCTTTAAAATACAGGACTCCTGGCACATGGCCAAATGGTAAATACCAGCTCGAATGCCATCCTGAGATCAGATATCAGGACAAGAGCAAGAGAATGAGTTACCTGGGTCTCTCTCATCAACTCTGACTTGACAGAACAAGGCAGGCAAGATTAGAGATGAGCACCACCTTCCTGGCACTGTAACCTTTTCATCAGCATCCATTAGACAATGGAGGATGAAGTGACTTCTCTGCTGGGGCCCAGAATCCATCAGAATTGATGACTAGGAATAATTATGACACACTCCTGGCCAGTTAGGCTTCGGCTGGTATTTGTTGTGCTGCCTGAATTTTATAATCCTCTTTTTGGTCCTAAAAACATTAAATCTCTTTCTGTGTGTCCCACGTTTAATAATTTTCTGTCCCTTGAGACTTTGCCGTCTGCATGCTGAGTGTAAAGGGCTTATTCTGAAAATTTCTAGCAGCTTTTGTGTTTAGCAAAACTGCAAAATTCATAAATTGTAAAAGGAAGTTAGGAGGGGCGAGGAAGCACATTTCACTTTCAACATATTGTCAGAAATGAGTGAGCTACAGTCTGGGACAAAATCTTGGCCATGAAATGATGACTTGATACCCATCATTCGATCTGTCACAGTGATAAGACCAGGCAGATTGGTTCTTCCTGAGGGTGTGGGGGCCTCCTGAGGATGGCGGCTGGTTTGGAAGAAGAGCTGAGATTTTCCTCTCTCCCTTTCAGACTGTATTCGCACATGCTCACCAGTAACGGTGTCTTAGAAGAGCCACTGAGAAAACCGTATGCAATATGCAGAATGCATTGTATTTTAAATTTGGATGTCATTCACGACCACACACATGCTTGGGAAATGTTATTTAGATATTCATGGCACAGTATGTATACTTGGGAAAATATATATGTGGAAGGTTTTAGAGTCTGGTAAGATTCTAAATTCCTGTATGGAACTGTCTGCCTTATAAATCTCAGGCACCTATCTGGTTTCTAGTCAGTTGTCATCCATTCACTAATATCACCGGTATTCTGAGAGATTCTAGGATTATTCACTAGGGTCTAATTCATCACTGTGTCTCCATGTTGAATTATAATAAGCCTATTCAACCTACATTCCTACCTTGCTTTCCTATTACAGATAAAGATAAAGTCCAATTCCTTGCTATCAGTTACAAGGGCCCCTATGATCTGGTCCCTGCCTATCCCTCCAGTGTCCACCCCTATACCTCTCCCTTCCTATCACTCTCCTTCTCAGCCACACTGGCCTTCCCTCTGTTCTTAGAACACACTGATGTCATTTCCTCAGGACCTCTGCTGTCGCCATTCCTTCTGCCTGGAATGCACATCTTACTTGGCAAAGTTGGCTGCTTTTGCGATTTAGGTCTCTGCTCACGTGTCACAACTTCGGAAAGGTCTTTTCGAACTCCTCTGTTGAATGTTACTCCCTCCCCACCACTTCATCACATACATGTTTTATTTTTCTCTAAGCACTCATCACTCTCAGAACTGATCTTTGTTTCACTGATTTCCTATTTGTCTGTTTCCCAGGCAGGAATGCAAGCTCCATGGCAGTAGGGACATTGCCAGTGTTTTCCAGGTACCTGGCCCAGGGTGGTGGCTGAGTCCACATTTGTGAACTCAGTGGCTGCACATGTGCTTTCTGCAAAGCCAGCGTTATGTCGTGAGAGTCAGAATAACAACAACAAACTAAACTACAAAAAAGTTATACCGAACAGTGGTCCCTACCAAGTTATAAATCTGTGCTTCCTAGGGGATTCACAGCACTGGCTCTTGGAGAGATGAAAAAGTAAAACTCTATTACCCCATGGAATTTTCCACATCCGCTTGCTTGCTCCCATCCTTGTCCTGTTGTGACCCACTCTCTCCCTCCGGATGGTGAATGCTACTGGTATCTCCTAAAGCCTGACTCAGGAGCCGCCTGCCTGAGGAAGCCCTTCCCAGAAGCCTCCTCTCCTGCCTCCCTTCACACCTCTCCCCTGCATGTCTTCTACACTCTGATAGCATCCTGACTTATATTTGGCTGACATTCTTTTCTAGGGAAGCTACTTTTTCTTTTGGTGCATTGGTAGGGAGGAGGGGGATAGGCAAGAATACTTTTTTTTTTTTTTTTTTTGACAGTGTCTTGCTCTGTCGCCCAGGCTAGATGTAGTGGTGCAGTCTTGACTCACTGCAACCTCTGCCTCCCTGATTCAGGTGATTCTCCTGCCTCAGCCTCTCAAGTAGCTGGGAGTACAGGTGCATGCCAACACGCTTGGCTAATTTTTGTATTTTGAGTAGAGATGGGGTTTCACCATATTGACCAGGCTGGTCTTGAACTCCTGACTTCAGGTGATCCACCCACCTTGGCCCCCCGAAGTGTTGGGATTACAGGCGTGAGCCACTGTTCCTGGCCTTTTTTTTATTTCTTAGCTGAAGCTACCTGTGTGTCTTCTATTAAATGTGCCTGCCATTGTCTTCAGAAAGTAATTTCTTTCCTGAGAAAAGCAACAAAGGAATGTTTGTCTACTGCCTACGTTTAAAAATGCCCAATAAGAGTGTTTCCATTCAGAATGGCCTGCCCTCTCCAGTGATGACAGCATGCAATTCCATGGTTTTCAGTGAAGTCACTGACTATTGTGAATCTCAGAGTTGGAAGGGCTGTGGAGGTCTTCTCTGCCAAACTCCCACCACAGGCAAGACGCTGCGAAGCCTTTCAGCACAGTAGCAGAATTACAGAGTAGAATAATAGGGTTAGTCATTTCATCTTTTTTCCTGCCTTGGGCGGGAACAAAGCTAAAGCATCCTAAGCAAATAGAGAGCTTTCACACCATTCCCGCAGATTTGCTCTTTGCAGGACCCTCTCTTTGGTGTTTCCAAAGGCAAAACTGTGGTGTCGAGGTGTAAACTGACAACACAGGAAGTCGGTGGTGGGGCCAAACCAATCTAGATGTTCAGGCCCCAGTTCCAGGCTCCTAGACCAGACCGCATTCCTGCCGTTTCCATGGGACCCAAATGTTTGTGTGGGTGTAGTAATTTCCAGGAGGAGCTGATTACAAGGCAGCTGCCTCACCTCTACTGGTGCCAGGAAAATGAACCCAGTGACCTCAGGCGGCAGGCATTTCCCCACATCCTCTACCTGATGTTCCGAACCTTGAGGTTTCACAACTCAGCTTGACTCAGTGTAGGGTGTTATTTAATTACACAATAAAACAGGGCTACATAGTTTGCTGTGTTCACACCTGTGGGATGTTGAGCTACAAAAAGCAGAAAAGGCGAGAGTGGAGGCCAACGAAACTCTATAAATCATTTTCATTTCCCATCACCCCTGTGTCTGATGCTCAGGCGGTTTCTTTCTTCTGTCAATTTCTCTTGCGTCCCTGCCGCTCAAGTAGAAAACAAACAAGGAAAGAAACCAAAGAGCATGATCCAGGAGAAACATTTTCTGGGAGGTTGGGAGACCTCAGACCCAACTTAGGCCTCCTGTGTTGGTCCCACTGGGTTCCCTCTGCCTCTGTCCTGTGGGAAAATACACTGTGCACAGGCCAGCAGCTTGCATCTAGGCTAAGCGAGTCCGCCCCCGGGGTTGGTGCTTCTATGTACGTGTGTGCATGAGTGTATGTGCAGAGAGGAGGCTGTGGGATAGAGAAGCTGTGAAAAGGCTTAAAATTTAACCTCCAAAGAGGATGTTTTAGTTCCAGAGAGTCCCCACTAAAGAATTCTAGCACAAAACTAGGGATATATGCATCCTTTTGTCAAAAGGTGTCGCCAAGAAACACGTCAAATACTTGTACTTTTCGTTCAAACTCAGAGTTAAGTCACAGTTAATGCACTCATCAAGACTGTTAAATAAAGACTCCAGTCAGAACAGAAATATCTAGAGCTCCACAAGAAATCTGCTGGTGCAGACTGTCACCGGCTTTGAGATGCCTGGCTCTGCTGATGTCACTGTGTCCTGAGTTTCTCTCTGCGCTTGTTATTAGCCATGTTTACACTGCCTCTCCGTTCCCCACCCCAAACAGTCATTTTATTTGAACAACTTCTCCTATATCTCTTTCTTCCAAACAACAAAAAAAGGGGAGGTGTTGCCAGTGGCCTCTGATGGAGAGTCAGGGATTCATGGCTGTGACATCTAAATAGCTACACAACAGAGCCAAGGTTGTTCCTGCTTTGCTAAGTGACAAGAAGAGCACACAAATGACTTTCCCTGAACTTCCAGCTGTTCTGCACTTTCATGCATTTTGGGCCAGTTTACTCAGAATTATTAAGATTTTATAGCACATTGGAAAAGTGATTGCCAGGTCGTTTTCTAAAGCCTGAGTTTTCTTGTGTTTTATGCCTGGCTCAGCTTTCACCTGGTAGCATAGAATTTTTTTGGTTTTCCCACTTAAGAGGAGGAATAAAAGAAATGGGCCTTCAGAACCATTTTTAACAATTTAGAAATGAACACAACTCCTTTTTCTGTCTCTTGGCTGGTTTGACAGAGAACAGGGTTTCTCATTCTAAGATGGGGACTTCCAGAGGGATCAGGACCCCTACAGCTCTGGATGTCCTCAGCTGGGTTTTACAGGCAACCCAGGTCTGGGTGGGATGGACTACTAATCTCCGCTTAAATTACATGTGGTGGTGGCAGGTGGCGTGGGAACTCAAAGTGTGCTTAGAACAACCTCTGGAACGGAACACGTGGGGTTCCAGTCCCAGCTCCTCCATTTACTGGTGGTGTGACCTTGGTCAAGTAACCTAATGTCATTATGTATCATAATGATAAATGACATCATTCCATGATCAAGAGTGGCTACCTCATAGGATTATTGGAAGGGTTAAAGGAGCTTATTTACTTGGGTTATTATTCTGGTGTATAGTAATTGTAGGGCAAAGAGAAGAGATTTGTTAATCACTGAGAGATCGGGAGGTGAAAAGGTTAAAGAAATCTGAAAACTATTGGAAGAGGGCAATCAATTTGTGGAATTGACATTTCATTTTTATTTTACAAAGGTTATTTGGGGTTCTTGTAAACGTAGGTGTGTCTCACCTTCTCTGCCACCCTGACACTTATGCTACATTCATACAGCTTCCCCAAGGACCGTATTTTTGTCGTCTCAAAGTTGGTTAGACTGAGATCACATTTATTGTATTTAAAAAGAACGTGGCCCATTTTTGAGCTCTTGGATTATACTTAACTATTTTAAAAGATTAGAGGAAGTTCTTACAGAAACTACCTTGGTGAATTCTGGAATTATAGACATTTTTTCCCAAAATGCATCCCAAGAACCAATTACTGATTTTACTACAAATCATTGGAACAAATGGTTACACGTCATCTCAAATGGAGAAAGGTCTCTTTTTTGACCAAGAGGAAGGAATTTCTTTTTCTCACTTTTTTCTTCTACTCTCAATGGAACTCCAGATCAAAATTGTTTACATTCTCAAATATCCTTAACAGAGTGATGCCCTAATGCTATAATCAGCCATGTTGCCATGTTCGAACACAGTACAATGCTTTTTGTTCATCTGTTATCAAGCTTCTTTCTCTTTAATTCTTTTCAAGAAAATGGAAATTCAGTGGGGAGAAATGTACCTGCGTATTAGTTCTCCCTGTGTCTGAGGTCTGCGGGGATGCAAACTTGAAAGACGCTTCGACTCCATGGGGCAAATGTGTCTCATCTTCATCAGCTTCTAGGAGGGAGTCTCAGACCAGCGGAGCCGGTGCCTGGGGTGGGCAAGTGTCGCCTGGCTCTAGGATCAGAGGAGTGGCCTTGGGGGCCAGCACTTCATGGCTACATCACCATACGCCATGTGGCAGGCCTGGGTCAGGGGACCATAGCCCCTGCCCCAGTGTTCTTTTCCCAACTCCTCCTCCTCTTCTTTTCCCTCACCTGTCCTGCCTTCCACCTCCCTGGTCTGGCTCTTTCTGCCCAGTGGGGACCTTTCTCTCCACACTTAATGGAGCAGCACCAGGCATAGTGTTGGGGGTGAACTCAGGACAGACTTATTACCATAATTCTGAATTTCCTAGGTTTTGTCAGTGTAAGCCAGATGCTTAATGCTATTTTAATGCAGTTGTTTTGCGTGTGAATAATATGCTCATTTTGCCAAACCTCAAGCCCTGGAACTAAGATCTCATAAAAATGCCTAGAGTCCAAAGCTAATAGCTGTTATTCAGCTGTTACAGGGTAAGGCCTAAAATGTTTCAGATGGATGTTCTCACCAGGGCAGCGAGTGACATGCACCTTCGAGGGGTGGCTGAGGCTCTAGATGCTTGAGGAGTAGGAAGAGCTGTGCTCCATCAGGCCGTTCCAGTTTGCCCCTCCACATGGAGGTCTCTGGTATAGAGATTTAAAGTTTATTCTTTCCTCATTCCCTAGAGACAGCTTTCTCTTTTGTGGTCCTCTACTCAGCGAATACCCTCACCTCCAACCCAAGCTGAAAGTCTTGGAAGTCATCTTTGACACTGGGCCCCATCCCCCAGTCTGCATCCCCCCACCATTTTCATCATATATATCCAATCACCACCAACATTTATTCAACAAGTATTTATCAAGGCCCTATTATGTGCCAGGTCCTCTTGTGAGTGTGATGATAAAAGGACCACCTCCTCATAAGAGGCAGTGTAGGGTCATGGTTAAGAGTACGAACTGTGGCCCAGAGCAGTGGCTCATGCCTATAACCCCAAAACTTCGGGAGGCAGAGGTTGGGGGATGGCTTGAGCCCAGGAGCTCAAGATCACCCTGGGCAACATAGGGAGACTCTGTCTCTACAAAAATTTTCTTAAAAATTGGCTGGGCATGATGGCATGGGCCTATGTCCCAGCTACTAGAGAAGCTGAGGTGGGAGGACCACTTGGGCCCAGGAGGTGGAGGCTGCAGTGAGCCAAGATCATGCCACTGCACTCCAGCACTCCAGCATAGGCAACAGAGTGAGACTCTGTCTCCAAAAAAAAAAAAAAAAAAAGAAAAAAAAAAAAAGAGTATTAACTGTGAAGCCAGACAGCCAGATTCACATCCTGGCACTGTCATCTGTTAACTCTGTGACCTTGTCCTCCCATTGTACAATGGATTAATAACAGTGCCTCCCGGTACCTCCTTCATAGTTACTTTCTGGCACATAATGAATTAGCATTTCTAATGCACTCAGTGCCTGGCATATGGTAAATACCATGCAAGTATTTGAAGAATAAAAAATAGGAGGAGGACATGAGTGTCAAACTGGCACACAGACATGGAGAAGCCCTGGGAGCTCTGAGATGCCTGGGCTGGGATCTGCAGGACCAGTAGGCAGCAAAGTCCCGTGAGCTCCATCTCCTGCTAGTCTCCTAGCTCAGGCCACTGCCATCTCTCATCTGGAGCACAGAGGTGCCCCTCTAAGTGGTCTTCCTTCCTTCTCCTCCTCTCCAGGCTCAGCCAGCAGGGCTTCTCTAAAATGTAATCTGATCATGTCATTTCCTAAACGACATTCTTCAGTGGCTCCCGAGTGCCCTCGGGTTTCTGCCATACTCCTCAGTGGGCTTACTGGGTCTGCATCATTCTTCTTCCAGTGTCTCTTCATTACTCTTTTCCTCCTCTCCTTAATGTCTGGGACACACTTGCACATGCTATTACTTCAACCCCACAGAATTGCTGTTGTCTCTGTCCCCACTGGCCTTGGTACTTTGAGTTGCCTCCACCTGGAAGATCCGTCTGCTCCACCCCACCTTTTCCCTGGTAAACTCCTATCTTCCTTCAGACTTCAGGCTTTTGACCTGACTTGCTCAGGGCGACCTCCCCTGGTCTCCACTGTGAGGTTCTTTGCTTCTCCTCTGTTCTCCCACGGTCCCTCTCAGGGCCCTATCACAGCATATTGGTTACTTTTTTATTGTGTCATTTTTCTCTTTACTCTCAAATAACATGAAGGAGAGTAGCAACTGTCTTTCTTGTTCAAAAGTGTATCCCCGGAGCTTGGCACAGTGCCTGGCATGCAGTAGACTTATAGTACATATGTTATGGGTTGAATTGTGTCCCCCCAGCAAATTTATATGTTGAAGTCTCAATCCCCAGTACCCCACAATGTGGCCTGATTTGGAAATAGGGGTGTTGCAGATAGAGTTAGTTAAGATGAGGTCATACTGGAATAGGGTAGGCCCCTGATTGAATATGACTGGTGTTTATAAGAACACCATGGCCAGGCGTGGTGGCTCACACCTGTTATCTCAGCACTTTGGGAGGCCGAGGCAGGTGGATCATGAGGTCAAGAGATCAAGACCGTCCTGGCCAACATGGTGAAACCCTGTCTCTAATAAAAACACAAAAATTAGCCAGGCATGGTGGCATGAGCCTGTAGTCCCAGATACTCGGGAGGCTGAGGCAGGAGAATCACTTGAATCCAGGAGGCGGAGGTTGCAGTGAGCCGAGATTGCACCACCGCACCCCAGCCTGGTAACAGAGCAAGACTCTGCCTAAAAAAACAAAACAAAACAGAACAAAACACCATATGAAAATATAAAGACACACACATACATGGAAGGTGATGTGAAGATATACTGGGAGAAGATAGCTGTTAGGCTGTTCTTGCACTGCAATGAAGGAATACCTGAGGCTGGGTAATTTATAAAGAAAAGAGGTTTAATTAGCTTATGTTTTGCAGGCTGTACAGGAAGCATAGCACTAGCATCAGCTCAGCTTCTGAGGAGGCTTCAGGAAGCTTCCAATCATGGCAGAAGGTGACGTAGGAGCAGAAATCTCACGTGGCAAAAGCAGGAGCAAGGGGGTGAGAAGTGCCACACACTTTTAAACAACCAGATCTTGTGAGACCTTACTATGGTGAGAACAGCACTAAGCCATGAGGGATCTACCCCTGTGGCCCAAACAGCTCCCACTAGGCCCACCTCCAATACTGGGGATTACATTTCAATGTGAGATTTGGGTGGGGACAGATATCTAAAGTATATCAATAGCCATCTACAAGCCAAAGAGAGAGTCCTGAAATAGACCCTTCCCTCACAGCCCTCAGAAGAAACTATCCCTGCTGACACCTTGATCTTGGACTGCTTACCTCTAGAACTGTGAAACAAATTTGTATTGTTTAAGCCATCCAATGTATGGAACTTTGTTATGGCAGCCCTAGCAAACTAATATTACATGTTTCTTCAAAGACTGGATTTCCGACTCTTTTAAATGTGCTCCTATAAGTAAAGACTTAGCACATGCACAAATATACCCCAAACAGCTCCATATTCCACAAATAGATGGACTCACAAGAATGGCAAGCGCAGGTGGCTGTTAGTCATCGCAGCAAGCCGCCAGTTTTAACTTCCAACGACCCCCTCTCCCTGGGTATTCCAGGAACTTCACCCGAGTGGGCAGGGGAGGTGCACCTCTCTGCAAGCCCCCATAGCAGGGGGAACATGAGCTGGTGGGCCAGCAGGTGCTTGTTTTTCCCTCCCAGTCAGGAGAAGCAACTGAGAAAAAGCCAGAAGAGATGGGGGTGGGACAGAGCAAAGATCAAGGAAGAAGAGAAATAAGAGCAGGAATGCGGAGCCAGTGTGTGTTCTTTCGGCCTCCAGAACCACACCATAGGATGTCAGGTTAGGTTGTACAGAAGCCAAGATGTCAGGCGGGAATTTCCACCCTTCTTAAAAAAAGTTCTCCTCCTCCATTTGATTGCAGCCTCTAATAAGCAATTCTTCCAAATTTCTTCTGACTTCAGAAGTTCAGAGTATGTTGAGCTGAAGAAACACCAGGATCATAATTATGGTTATTATAGGGAGCTGTGTGCCCATCACCACAGCATCTGGCTGTAATCACATACTTAATGGAAGGCGAGATGATCTGTTGCTCATAATGGGCAGTTTCTGAGCCAGGCAGCCACCAAGTGCCCACCCTCCCACTTGGAGGCCCAACAGAACAGATGTTTGTAGAAAGAAGAGATGCTTATGTCTGTCTGGAGGGCCAGTGACTTCAGAAACAGTGTCAGGGAAAGCAAGTTCCGTAACTGGGTCATGGCACATGTATGGCTCAGACCAGCCAGTAAGGATGAGAAGCGGGCTTTCCCTCCACTCTGGGTGGCAGGGAAGGGGTAGAGTGGGGCTGATCTCATTGTCCTCTCACAGATGGTGAAGTAGAAAGCTGACTGTGGGGTGTGAACCATCATTTATTCCCATCAGTATCAAGTACCTTGCCTCATTCTTCAGCAACTGAGATGCCCAACACACTGAAAGGGCAGAGGGAAAATCCCTCTAGCCAAACAAATCCTTTGAAGCGTGATTATCTTAGTCTGCTCAAGCTGCCATTACAAAATACCACAGACTAGGTGGTTTAAGGAGCAGAAATTGATTTATCACAGTTCTGGAGGCTGAGGAGTCCAAGGTCAAGGTGCCAGCAGATGCGGTGAGGACCCCTTTCCTGTCTTGCAGATGATCACCTTCAGCATCTTCTGCTGTGTTCTTATATAGCAGAAAGAGGAGGCTCAGGTGTCCCTTCCTCTTACAGGAGCACTAATATCATCATGGGGGCTCCACCCTCTTGACACATCCTAACCTAATCACTCCCACAGGCCCCACCTCCTAGTATCATCATACTGGGGATTAGGGCTTTGACATATGAATTTTATGGGGATGCAAATGTGCAGTGCACAATAATTAAACTTTTTCTGTAATTTGTGTGTGTGTATGTGTGCATGCCCATGCCATCCACTTCTTTTTTCAGACTTCAGGTTGGAGAGCTGAGAAACCTGGTGCCTGAGCAGGCCTCATTCCCTACAGAGAGGGCCTCTGACCCCCTCAGGCCTCACCCTGTCTGAATCTACAGACCACAGTGCTTACCTTGTGCCCTGCACTTGCTGCACGAGGTCTTGACTATAGTAGAGTCAGCTCATTCATCAGTGAAGCCCTTAAGATTGGCACTATTAGAAATCCTGAAGCCATGTGATTCTACTGTGCCACATATTCCGGGTACTTTAGTCAACATCCTTAAACATAAAACCCTACAGTCATCTAACCTCTCTTGGATGACCATGCCCACAGTTTCTATACTTCTCCCTTATTCCAGTCTTCTGCTGTTGCTTGCCTTCTATAGTTCCAATGAAAATAAACTTCCTTATTTCCTTAGGCAGTTTTATATCCAAAAATCTTCTGTGTGTCCCCAAAGGCATCTCAAACTCAACATGGCCAACAGGGAATTTAAAATTTCCTTTTCATAAGAATTTATTTTTGCACATTTAAAAAATTATAATTTTCAGGGCATGTAAGAAAAATATTTTTTGAAATAAGCATACCTTTGATATAGAAATCATACTATATGTGTGATCTCTAACTAAAAAAATTAATCAAGAACTATGACCTCATATGCTGAACAAGACTATTTGCCCGTCCATCTGTCCTTTTTCATAGCCCCATTGTGGGGCTTTAGGATATACTTCTGTACACATCTCCATATCTACAAAGAATTAAGATGCTATATCAAAGATATCCAGAAGTTATATTTGGTAGAGAATTAATTGGCTTAATTGCTGATGCATAACACAGACCACTAAAAAGCAACATGAGATATAGGACAAGCAAAATAGAACATTGTCACTAAGGTCAGATAATGGAAAGACAATCACATCCTTTAAATTAGATGCATTGAAAACAAAGTCACTTCTTCAGAATAATTACATAAACAACTTGCAAAACTCCAAAAGTAATAGCACAGAGCAATGATTTTAATAAGGCACTTTAAAGACAGCAATCAAACATATAAAAATACCAAATATAAAAAATATTAAAAGCGGTAACCATAGAACTAAACAGGGAAAAATATTGTATTAACCTGTTCTCATATTGCTATAAAGAAATATCTGAGACTGGGTAACTTATAAAGAAAAGAGGTTTCATTGGCTCATGGTTCTGCAGGCAGTACAGGAAGCATGAGGCTGCTTGGCTTCGGTGGGGGGGCCTCAGGAAAGTTTCAATCATGGTGGAAAGCAAAGGGGAAGCAAGCGTCTTCACATGACCAGAGTAGAAGGAAGAGAGAGATAGGAGAGGTGCCACAAACTTTTAAACAACCAGATCTTGTGAGAACCCACTCACTATAGAGTACCATGGGGGGATGGTGCTAAGCCATTCATGAAAACTCCACCCCCATGATCCAGTCACCTCCTACTAGGCCCCACTTCCAACATTGGGGGTTACAATTGACCATGCTATTTGGGTGGGACACAGATCCAAACCATATCAAATATGCATTCCTGGCCTGGCGCGGTGGCTTATGCCTGTAATCCCAGCACTTTGGGAGGCCGAGGCAGGTGGATCACCAGGTCAAGAGATCAGGATCATCCTGGCCAAAATGGTGAAACCTCGTCTCTACTACAAATACAACAATTAGCTGGGCATGGTGGCACGCACCTGTAGTCCCAGCTACTTGGGAGGCTGAGGCAGGAGAATCGCTTGAACCCAAGAGGCGGAGGTTGCAGTGAGCCGAGATCATGCCATTGCACCACTCCAGCCTGGTGAGACAGAGTGAGGCTCTGTCTCAAAAAAAAAAAAAAAAAAAGATTTCCTTCTAGACAGTCTTTTATTTTCTGAAGTAAAGACTTTAAAAAAATTATATAAGGGCAAAAAATATTTATCATATATTTTTTAAAGCTACCATCAAAGTTCAAGTTTCCATAAAAAAGAGAATATTTTCCTTCAAGTCAATGAAGTTCTGATTTATACATTTTTTTAGAGAAACAATTATAGTCTTCATGCTAAGTATAGGAAAAAAAATAGCATTTAATTATGTTTGTCAACTTTTTTATTCAACATACATTTAGTGAGTGTTGTGTGACACTGTTTCAGATGCTGAGGACAGAGAAGTAAATAAGACACAGTCATTGGTTCTAGAGAACTTAGCCTAATAGAGGTGGATCTACCATTGGCAATCTTAAAGTTATCTCCCTTGGTCCATAAGATTAAACTCTACTTCAAACTCTGGCATGCTTGGCATCTTGTTACAAAACAAATAATAGTGTACCTAGTTTGTTGCTTATAGCACCATGGCACTATTAATATTAACTATCTACTGATTAAATTAACTCTCATAAAGGATTCTATAAAAGCTTAGAGGGCAGAATGTATTTAAGGATAAACAAGTACTAGTCAGCTTCAAAAACAGCATCAGAATTCTGCTTTCTCAAAAGTCAAGAAAACCAAGAAAAAATTCATTCTGATTATACATAAAAATGCTGGAAAGAGATCATCCTATACATTTTGCACGTGTGCAAATATCATATATGAGGAAGTATGAATTATTGCACCGTCGTTATTAAACAATGAAGCATGCCAAATCAGCTGTCAGGTTTTGAGGAAGAATCATAGCCCTCTTTCAAGAGTTCCCACCACGTTTTCAGGAAACGTGCATTTTCTGTAGACAAGCCGAAGGCAAACTCTTCCACTTGAGCTGATACTGCAAATGGGGCTTCAAGAAGTTTCGTTCATAGTGCTCTTCTCAATAGGAAAGACACGTAATCAACTTAGATGCCTATCAATGGTGGACTCGATAAAAAAAATGTGGTACATATATACCATGGAATACCACACAGCCATAAAAAGGAATGAAATCATGGCCTTTGCAGAAACATGGATGCAGCTGGCTGCCATTATCCTAAGTCTATAATCCTAAGTGAATTAAAGCAGAAACAGAAAACCACATACCACATGTTCTTACTTAGAAGTGGGAACAAAATATTGAGTACACATGGACATAAAGAAGGGAACAATAGATCTGGGGCCTATTTAAGGGTGAAGGTGGGTGAGAGGAGAGTGAGGACTGAAAAACCACCTATCAGGTATTAGGCTGATTACCTGGGTGACAAAATTATCTGAGTGACTCAAATGCCCACAACATGCAATTTATCAAACAAACCTGAACATGGACCCCTTGAACCTAAAAGGAAAGTTGAAAACAAAAAAGTGTGGTTAATGAGAATGCATCTCCAATCTGCAGCTGCTGTTCCTCCAGTGGATCCACCATTTGGCTGCTGTCCCTGCTTGGAACTGGCCAGCTCAAATTCACGGGAGCGCTCAGGGAAGATGCCGAAGAGAAGTCTGAAGTTAAGGGAGAAAAGGAAGGCAGCAGGGGTGGTAAAGAAACTTGCAACTCCTCAGGGTCAGCCATGGGGAAGGGTTGGGATGGCAGAGCCAACCAGAGCAGCCAAACCAACACTAACTCTCTTTCAACTACTTGCCAGCAGTGAGCTTTTAATATCCCTTTGCCCACCCTACCACCTGTGAAACTGTGTCTCTACCATTGGCTAGTTCAGTTGGTAACACCACCACCTACTTACCTGACTTATCCTCCTCCCTCACTCAACATCCTACCTACCTATCAAGTCCTGCAGGGTTTACTCTCAAAATACTGCGTATGTCGAAATATAAGGGAACCTGGCATTCAGAGTAGAGCCCCGTGGTGTTTTTTTTTTTTTCCAGTTAGAAGATCCTCTCCATAAATCTCAACATTTTTTGAGGGGAGCTAATTTAATTGATAGATAGTCAAATGTCTACCTAGCTATATTTAAATTATTAATTTAGCTATACATGCATGCTTAAAATATAAGATACTAATTTAGAATTTAATATCATCACTCACATTTCATCAAACAGTTCCATTTAAATTCCTTATGTGTAATTTTGACGGCAGGGGCTTTGTCATCTCTGGAACCTCCTGTAGAATTAATACTGTTTTCTAGAGCAAATCGTGGTCAGTTCTGTGGTGTTTAAGACACTGTATTTTTGGAGTCCAGATGTGATTGTGTCTCTGGAAATATTTTCAAAAGTCACAAGAACCCATAGAACAGCTGTTTTTTCAGCTGTAAACTGTAAGCCTCACTATGTAATTACTTATATCTTCATTTTAAAGTCATCTTTCAAACATTTGTTTATAACACCATCCAGTACTTGCATTGGTGAGGTCATAATCTTAGGGAAAATATTTCTTAAAGTCCTACTTTTTTTCTTGTCAGTTTCCAAATGATTTCAGTAAGAACCTCCTATGTTCAGCATTCTTTTATGTATCAGGCTAGGAAAATAGTAATTTGCCGCTAATTGAAGAGATCCTAAGAATCGATATTGAAGAGTTCAGGTCTCCCTTCATTCCCCTTAGAGCAGGCTTTCTAGAACCCTGGCCCAGGGATGTTTAAGTATCAGAGGGAGCTCTCCCTTCAGATGAGCTGATTCACTGGGGTCCAGGGCCCAGGCTCTAAGCTGGACTTCAGTTGAAATCACTATGTGCCAGAAATGTCTCACCCCAGCTCTAGCCTGGCTGGACTGTGCTTCTCTTCAAACAGGGCTTCCTGTCTCAAGACCTTGGCATGATCCTCTTCCTCCTGCTAGATGCTGTTCTCTCTCACTCCCCATGTTTCCATATTTCAACCTACTTGTCCATTGCAGTTCAGCTTCTAAAACGATCCCAAATCCTGGTTAGCCATTTCACACTTTGGATGAGAAGATATGAATAATTCAGCCCAGTCCATCACTATCGTAAAAGCAGCTGAAGATCAAGTTCCATCAAGGTGGAGCCAACAACATCTTTCCTTACATTTTCAGAGGAAAGCAAGCATATCTTTAGAATAGTGATGAAACCTGCCATGCAGGCCTCTGAACATTCTCTTGTGTATTTTCTGTGGCCCATTATGGTAATTTCATCTCCTCTTTACCTTTTTTTGTAACTGGGTGATTATACTGCCAGTCCCTGGGTACTATAATTTGCATTGCAATATGAGGCTTCCATTTAATGCTTGCAAATTATGGGACCAGGGCTGAAACTCCAACGTGGGAGTTGCTTCCACATAAGTCAGAAGAAGTTACATATACATGAGTGTGGCTCTGGGAATAAAGAACTTCTTTTCGTAATCACAATTTAATATTTAAAAATAAAATCTCAGTTAACAGAAAAATAATAGGAGCGGGATTACCATAAAAGGCAGAGGAGAACTGAAGTGAAGTACTCTCATGAAAGTTTCGTAAAATACCACCACACACATATTACACACTTGGGAGAAATCCCATAAAAGTTCTACACAGGAAGAGGCAATGTTCTTTCTGCCGCCCTTCCATTTCAGCAAGGATTTGTTCTGAATTCTGAAGTCCCTACAGGTGAGTGCTCACAGGCATTGCAGCATTTCAAAGGAAAGAAGTTACTATCACTGGCCTGGGAAGATGGGGAAGAGGAATGAGCTCTATCCCGGGAAATCACAGGTGACTGCTATCAGAGGACAAGGATTTTCATATAGATGTGTTCTAATTCTGGTATTTCTAGAAGACATAGTTTTTTTGTTTTTGTTTTTGTTTTTTGTGATCTCAAATTCAGGGGAAAGCATGGTGTTTTGAAGGAAGACAATTTTCCTAGAGGTAAGAAGACCTGGGATCTAGTCTCATTTCACCTCCTAACTATCAAGTAACCCCTTAGTAAGACCTTGGCTTTGTTATCTATTTATTATGGAGATTGAATGACAATATCTTGAACATTTAATGCTCTAGTCCGGCTACCTAGTGCTTATTGGTTTGTGAAGACTAGTGTAGCAGATTCATAGTCTATAGCCACCAGGGCAAAATCTTTATCTGAAGTGTGTTACTCCAGCATTGAGCTAAATAAAGGAGTTAGTGGGACACCGGATCTGGAGCCTGAGAGTTGGCTTGTCTCTGATTTGTTGGTCTGGCAAAATGTATTCTATTCTGCACAACTATCTGCCATGGAGTTAATTTTTCTGTGGAAGATGTGCACACAGGTGTATGTGTGTGAGGGAGAGAGAGAGACAGAGAAAGACACACAGAGAGAGAGAGAGAGAGAGAGAGAGAGAGCCAGCTATGCTTCAAGAAGTGCAAAGTTAAAATACATGGAATTAACAAAACCAAGGACAGAGAGGTGAAAATGAAAATGAGACAGTCCTGAGCCAGATTCTGTTAGAAAAATAGCAACAGAAAAGTACCAGTACTTATAAATAACGCTGAAATAATGCTTTGTTCTCTGCAGTTTAGCTATATGTCTGTATTTAAATAAGATTTTTTTAACTTCCCACAGTACACTGATGTATAAATAAGATTTATACAGAGTAAAGCAATTTCAGGTTCTAGGAAATTCCTTAAGTAAAATTATTTATTTAAAAATATTCATATTAGATATGATAAACATTTTCCACTTTTCAATTAAGGTCTGCTTATTTCAAGAAATATCTAATACAATAAACCAAGATACAAATTTCAAGGCTGCTACCCTACAACAGAAAGATACAGATGTTCTTTTGCGCTTTATTGTTATAAAATTGGACACATATGGAATTGTTCATAATTGTTCCCATAGTAGGAAAAATGCATAGTGACAATTATGAACCTAAATCTCTTTTTCTAGTCATTTGACCTATTTGGAGGCAGCATGGTAGAATGCAAAGAATAAAAGCTTTGTCAATCGTGGGCTCAAATCCCAGCATTGCCACTTCTTGTATGATCTCGAGCGAGTTCCATAATCTATCTAAGCTTCAGGTTCCTCTCCTATAAAAAAAAAAAGATGGTATTTTAGGAGATGGTTTTGAAAATTAGAGATGACGTATTTAAGTACACAGCAACTGGCACTTGATAGGAACTTTATGATAGCAGCTGTTTGCAATGGACTGAACGTTTGTGTCTCCTCAAAATTTTATGTTGAAACCCTAATCCCAATGTGATAGTATTTGAAGATCGAGCCATTGGAAGGTGATTAGGTCATGAGGGTGGAGCCCTCATGAATGGGATTAGTGCCCTTATAAGAAAAGGCCAGAGAGCTAGCTAGCTTTCTTTCCACCATGTGAAGACACAGCAAGAAGTCAATAGTCTGCCACTCAGAAGAGGACCCTCACCAGAACCTGACCATGCTAGCAGCTTGATCTTGGACTTCCAGCCTCCAGAACTGTAAGAAATGTTTCTGTTGTTCATAGTCCACCCAGCCTATGGCACTTTATTATAGCAGCCTGAGCTGACTAAGACACTATTGTTATTCCATTCCATTGACCTGGCCTGTTGCAACACTCCCAGCTACATGTCTACGTGTAGGATGAGAAAGAACTAGTATATCCACAATGTGGACATGAAAATAAGTTCTCTCTTCATTGAGATGGAGGGTCATGGAGGAAGTCCTGCTAATATGGATATACATGAAAACTACTCTCTGGCAGTCACCCCTGATTTTCCATGCTCACAGTGACGCGCATAGAATGGGCTCTCTCATTCTCATCCTAGACGCACCATCATTATAAACATTTGTGCTCCCATTGGAAGTTCCAATTTTTTGTGCTCTCATTGGAAGGTCTAATGACCACTTCTGAACGAGATTCTTACCTGCATGAGTTGGGAAGCTGAGCCAGAGGTGTCTAGGATCACTTCCAGCCGCAAACAGAATTTAAGGAGAACCTAATCTGGAAGAAGCGTTAAGGAAAAGTGCAAACACAAAAAGCTTGGCAGCTGAAAAGAAGTCCTGTCACTCCAACAGCTTCTCATCATTTAAAAAGAACACACACACACACACACACACACACACACACACACACAGAGAGAAATGCAAATGTCTGAGGGTGGTCTGTGCAGATCTAGCCCCTGACTGCAACATTTCCCACAATTTTCTCCTCACTCTGCCTTGGCTGCCCTGGTCTAGCTTCAGGCCTGCACTCCTGTTCTCTCTGCCTGGAAAGCTCTTCTCCCTGATCTTTGCGTGGCTCAGACCCTCATTATGCACAGGTATCTGCTCGAAGAGAAGGCCTTCCTGACCCTCTCTGGGTAAGAGAGTGCCCGCCCCATCTTTCTCTTCCTCCATCCCGCATTTTTTTCCTTCTTTCCCTTCCTTCCTTTCCCTAACCACTACCCTGCTTTCTTATTTTTTTTTCTTCATTGCACTTAACGCGACTGGAAAATTATTTATTCACTTTTTCTTGTTTTCTTATGTCTGTCTTTAACACTAGAATTTAAGTATCATTAGAGCGAGGGATTTGTACTTACATTGCCGGTATGCAGTAGGCACTCACTCAGGATTTGCAACATGAATGAATAAATAAACAGAGAAGCAGGAGACTGGATTGTCTCTTTGAGTAGATAATGACTTTCCAACTCCATGATTCTGCAAGTATTTTCCAAATGCAATTAGATTGGGAGTATTAATGAATTTCTGTTTTCAGTTTACACAAGGTCATGACTATTTAAACCAGTTCCTATTTAGTAGCTATTCAAGTAACTAATTCAAGTAACAGTAAGTAATTCAAGTGACTGTACTCAAAGTTAAGCCAGTGAATCTTTAGGTTGGATGTGAAATCTGCCATACAGGTCTCTGAGTATTCTCTTGTGTGTGATCTGTGGCCCATTACATAATTGGACAAGTCTTAAAACTACAGAAGTGTTTGGGTTCTCCACTACCACAAAACCAACAGTACTGTTTATAAGCAATATTTAGACCCAACACTGTTAGCTCAAGGAGGACAGGAAGCACATTTTTTTCCTCTCACCGTTTCATATTCAGAATCTAGCACAATACTGGGCACATCATTTGATGAGGAGCTTAACAAATGCCATTAAATAAATAGACATTCAACTTTTATTTCTCCTGGTGACTTTAGCATTGTAAACAGCTAATGAGACTATTGATCATGCTCTGGCCTTTGCATCTTAATACCCACCCAGTACAGTTACTAGGGTGCTGACACCCCAATCCTTTCTCCTTCCTTCTGATGAAATGGCACCTCATTCTTCTTGGTAATCATTTTCCTGCTGCCTTGGTGTTTGTTGGCCTCATTCAGTGGATGTTGCTTTTATAGCTACCTCTGTTTGTGTCTTTGTCCCTACCTGTTGCTCCTCTGGGCTTGCTGTTTGGCTGTAGCCACCACGACGGCTTCTGAAGATGAAGCATAGTTACATCACAACTCATGGACAAGGTTTTCTCAGCTCGACCCTGAGTGGGTGACAGTGTCATCCTCAGAGTAATCAGAGGTCTTTTTCAGTGTCTAACATGCAGTCTGCTCCTTCAATATGACAACACTGCCTTGAAGACCTCAGAGCACCTTACCCAAGACTGTACTAGAAGATGAAGGAAAGGCATGTGACTCTCCCTGACCCCACTTGAATATCCCCAATAGCTTACATCTTTTGATTTTCTTATCAAAAGAGAATCAAATGCTCTTGATTCTCTTATCAAAAGATGTTAAGGTAAAAACACCTTAGGATGTTTTCAAAATCTTCCCCACCTGGGACAACCTTATCTTACCCATGGATGCTGGGCAGCCCTTTTCTCCCCTTCTGGTCTGAAAAAGTCTTCTTTAGCATCCACTCCTAGTGCCTCAGGAGCACTCCTGCAAATGAGACCCTAGAGATCTGGAGTTACCAGCAGAGGCAAATTAAATCCCTACTTGAATTTTTGTTACATAATTAATTTAGTCGACCAATATCCAAAAACAGAAAAAGATAAAAGAAAAGTAGAGAGCTTTGTTATAATTTTAACAACTATTTTCCAAACCTTTCTAACTTGATATTTACTTATTTAAAAAATATGTTCAGGCTCTCCTCTCCTTAAAGGAGTAAATTTTGCTCTGTTGCCATTAGCTTTACACATCATCGAAACCCTGAAATTCCATAAAGCATCCTTAATTTTAACTTTATTTAATGTTTTTATTTTTTAGAATAAGAGTTCAATGACTGACCCCCACTGCCCTCTGAGGGTAGAGATTACCACTCCCGAATTCACAAAGTGTGTCTCAGTGAAGAACGTCTCTGTCCATCAGCAGAAGACCCAAATTTCTTATAGAAAATGGGCTTTTAACTTATTTTTTTTATGATCCAGGACCAAATATAAGATTTTATTAACATGTAGGCTAAATTTTTCATGTTCAGTATAAGCAGTGGACCTCAGGGAAAAAAAATAGAGCATATAAGCCCTAAAATGTTTTAATGAGAAAATTTTTTTATTGATGCCTAGTATGTATCTGAGAAGTGTTAAATATTGTTGATGCAAAGAAGAATGAGCCATGTTCTACACCCTTAAGGAGCACAGTCTAGTAGAACAGAAAGGCTTACTTATGTTAGGTTTAAAAAATAATCACCCTGCTGGACATAATTGATATATTTCAGACCTCTGAAGGAATGGAGAAGGTGGAGCCACTTCCTTGCCTGCTTTAGTCTGTGGTTTGGATGAGGGAGGTGGATGAGACATTGAGAACCAAGAGAGGGCATTTCTCTATCCACCCTCCCTCTCTCCCTTCTTTCTTCTTCTTCATTTTTTCTCCTCCTTGTCCTCCTCCTTTTTCCTCTCTCTCTCTTTCTCTCTTTACCTCCTGACTTCATAAAACCCCTCCACTTGCTAACATTTCCTTCTGTCTCCCCACCGATGTCTGTTCTTCATTTCCTCTCACAACTCAGTGATACGTATAGGTGAGGAAAGATGCTTCTTTGGACCTTCTGTCACCAAATGGAAATGATAATGTCCAAGTCTTTGAGTTCTTTAAAGGCATTTGCTCTCTAAAGCATTTTTACAACAGCCCTGTTCACTGAAGGCAAGTGATGCTCTGGAGTCAAGAGTATTTTCTTTTGCCGCAAGGAGCAGAGGAGGTTGTTTATTACACACTTGGAGAGGTGCCAGTATATTTGTTGAATTTATTGCAAACCTGCTTTAGGGTACGATTGCCTCATTAAACTCTGTTTTTTAATGCACAAGAAACCCAATAAGACCTGATAAGACCATCTGGACCATACTAGGGGCAATGCTAGCTATTAATACCTGCAAATTACTTACACTTTAAAATAATCCATTTCAGTCTGACTAATTAAGTCATATTTTCTCCAGGAAATAGCAGCAAAACGATGTTTTAATAGTTCGTTAACCTCCTTTTGCATCATTTGACTTGAGGCATGATAGTTTAAAAAATTTTTAGAGGATATATTTATACAAAATAATTTTAAATTATAACTGATGTTTATGTTAATAATATCAACTGTATACTGACTATCTGGTATGAGCCATTAATACACATGATGTATATTATTTTCATTTTATACACATTTCCATTTCAAACTGTATCCATGCAAGATAGGTAGTGTTCTTGCTATTTATCAAATGAAAAAAATTGAACACCAGAAAAGTTAAGTATCTTTCTCTAATTCACACAGCTAGTAAATGGCAAAGCCAAGATTTAAGTGTAGTTGTGTATATTAACACTATCGCATGTATATTTATGTCATGTAAATTATATGATAAATCATTCTCATGTTATTTTATTTTCAAAGAATTGTTGAAATTGAAATATAACCATTTTCTTTTCTATATAAAAGTAATTGTATTAATCTGTTCTCATGCTGCTAATAAAGACACACTTGAGACTGGGTAATTTATAAAGGCAAGGGGTTTAAGTGACTCACAGTTTAGCGTGGCTGGGGAGGCCTCAGGAAACTTACAATCATGGTAGAAGGGGAAGCAAACATGTCCTTCTTCACATGGCAGTGGGAAGAAGAATGAGAGCTGAGTGAAGGGGGAAGCCACCTATAAAACCATCAGATCTCATGAGAACTCACTATCACGAGAACAGCATGGGAGAAACCACCCCATGGCTCAATTATCTCCACTTTGTCCTGCCCTTGACGTGGGGATTATTGCAATTCATGGTGAGATTTGGGTTGGGACACAGAGCTAAACCATATCAGTAATATAGGCTGATTGGTGGGAGAGGAGATGACAATTGGTGATAGATGTCAACAAGTCTTTCTAGGATCAAGAAAGGAGATTAATTGGTGACTGACAGCAGAATATGGACAACTGAAATCGAACAATCTGCAGAAAGAGAATATGAAAGAAACAGTTGATGTGTGCTACAGAGCTTTGGGAAGGCTCAGAAGTAAGGACTTCCCGCAGTGGTGTGCTGGTTAAGAAACTCTCTAGCAAAACAAGAAAATCTTTGATTTGTAGTGTTTGTTGATTTCTGTGTTGCACACCCTCCCCCTATAAGCAATTTCAAGCAACCAATAGGTAATTTTTCAACCCTCTTATCCTCCCCTCTTTTGGAGCCTCCAGTGTCTATTTTTTCCATCTTTATGTCTATGTGTGCCATTGTTTAGCTTCTACTTATAAGTGAGAACATGTGGTATTTGATTATCTGTTACTGAGTTATTTCACTTATGATAATGGCCTCCAGCTCCATCTGAGTTGCTGAAAAGGACATTATTTATTCTTTTTCTATGGTTGCATAGTATTCCATGATGTATAAATGCTGCATTTCCTTTACCCAATCAACTGCTGATGGACACTTATGTGATTTTGTGACTTTGCTCTTGTGAATAGTGTTACAATAAACATAGGAGTACAGGTGTCTTTTTGATATAATGATTCCTTTTCCTTTGGGTAGATACCCAGTAGTGGGATTGCTGGGTTGAAAGGTAGTTCTATTTTTAGTTCTTTGAGAAATCTCTGTACTGTTTTCCATAGGGGTTGAACGAATTTACATTCCCACCAACAGTGTGTAAGAGTTCCCTTTTCTCTGCATCCTTGCCAACATCTATTGTTTTTTTGACATTATAATACTAGGCATTCTGACTGGTGTGAGGTGGTATCTCACTGTGGTTTTAATTTGCATTTCTCTGATGCTTAGTGATGTTCAGCATTTTTTCATGTTTATTGGCAAGTTGTATGTCTGGTTAGAAGTTCTTTTAAGTAGGAGTTAAACTCACTCTACAGAGAACTTCCATGACCTCAGTCAGAGACAAGAATTTATTCTTGGAGATAAAGAACCAGGGCCATTTAGCCCTCAGGCACAGCAGAGGAAGAGTGAGTGCAGTACTGAAACTTTAAAAGATGAGTGTATTAGTCTGTTCTCACACTGCTAATAAAGACATACCTGAGACTGGATAATTTACAAAGGAAAGCAGCTTAATGGACTCACAGTTCCACATGGCTGGGAAGGCATCACAATTATGGCAGAAGGTGAATGAGGAGCAAAGTCACATCTTACATGGCAGCAGACAAGAGAGTGTGTGCAGGGAAACTGCCCTTTTATAAAACCATCAGTTCTCATGAGACTTATTCACTATCCTAAGAACAGCATGGGAAAAGCCTGCCCCTGTGATTCGATGACCTCTCACCGGGTCCCTTCCACAACATGTGGGGATTGGAGAGCTGCAATTCAAGATGATATTTGGGTGGGGACAGAACCAAATCATATCAATTAGCATAGGAATTTTAATGTCTAATGGCTTTCCAGAGAGCAAGGGGAGAGGATGCAGAGAGAGAGAGAGAGAGAGAGAGAGAATGAGAGAAAGAGTAAGAGAGAGAGAGCAGAGGAAGTCGGAAAAATATTATAGAAATAATGTAAGGAAACTTCTGAGAACTGGCAGACATACATTTTCAGATTGTAAACGCCTAACAAAACTCAGTACATTGAATTTAAAAGACTCACACCAGGGCACATTGTGAAATTTAATAACACTGGGAATAAAGAGACAGGCCAAAAAGTTTTGAGAGAGAGAGAGAGAGACAGACAGAAAGAGAATGGCAAATAAAGAAATGGGGATTATAATAAGTATTAGGCTTCTCAGCATCAACTCAAGAAGCTCAAAAACAGTGAAGCACAGTTTTAAATATCAGTGGAAATTATTTCTAACCTAGAATTGTGTCCTTATTCATGAACCATGAAGACAGAATAAAGACCCATCCAGACATGTAACAAGTAAAGAAACCAAAAAAACCCAACTTCCCATGTATTCTCTCTTGGGAAATCTTTGGAGGCCCCTCCCTCCCTCCCTCCCTCCCTCCCTCCCTCCCTCCCTCCCTCCCTCCCTTCCTTCCTTCCTTCCTTCCTTCCTTCCTTCCTTCTTCCCTTCCTTCTTTCCTTCTCTTTTCTCTTTCTTTCTTTTATTGAGACAGGGCTTTGTGCTGTTGCCTAGGTTGGTGTGCAGTGGTGTCATCATAGCTCACCGAAACCACCAGCTCCTGGGCTCAAGTGATCCTCCCAGCTCAGTCTCCCAGGTAGCTGGGACTACAGGTGTGTGCCACCAACGTGGCTAATTTTTAAGATTTTTGTAGAGATAGGATCTCATTTTGTTGCCTAGGTGGGTTTCAAACTCCCGGCATCAAGTGTTCCTCCTGCCTCTGGCCTTCCAAGCTGTTGGGATTATAGCTGTGAACCACCACCCCCAGCTCTGAGGCTTTTCTTATGTAAATAAAGAATAAACCAAGAAAGAGGAAGACATGGAGTCCCCAAAACAACGGCTCAAACTTGGGAGAGAAGAAAAGGGAGTTTCCAGGTGGATGGAGACAGCAAGTTTCAGGGTGTCACCCGTGGAGCAGGCCAAGCAGCCTGGTCACATGGAGCAAAAGGAAGGAAGGCCCCCAGAGAGAACCTTTCAAGTAAAATGATGAGATGGATAGATGGCCTGATGTGTTTGATCCTATTGAGAGGGACTTCATGCTTCTGATGAAAAGTTTGGGTAAGGATTAGTAATAGCGAAATTAAAAAATTAAGCAAGCAAGCAAACACATGAGGCTATTATTATAATAGCTTCAGAAAGTAAAAGTTGTGTGAGAAAGTATTTCTAATCATAAACACCACCTGGCTCTACGGTACAGATGTTAGAGCATCAAACTCCACAGCGTGATGTAATTTGCTATATGAATTGAGATTTGATGTGATCAAGGAAAACCAGAGATATGGCAGTTGCCTGGGAACATTTTGATTTGTAACTATCATAGCTTTTCAGTAGTTTCCCCTTGTCATTCTCTTGGGGTGTTATTTTTCCCCCCAACAAAATTCTGCCTTCTCTAGGATCCTATGATCAATGAAAATAAGTAACACTCTGGAGCAATTCCTGTCTTTATTTAAGCAGGTGCTAAATAATTATAGACATCGTTAACATTTAAAGGGTGTATTTCCTTTTAAGTCCTTAAAGTACATGTTCACATTCATGTTTCCTATGAAAAGTAAATTTCAATGAGGAGAAGAAACGAAATGGCAAAGCAGTTTAAAAAGCCCAAATCTTGACTGGTTCTGGTAAATAGAAATGTGACAGGTGGTTTCACCTTCCTGAAATCACTATTTTATTCTGAAAAGAATGGAAGTGACTCTGGCTTAGAATCCCTTTAGTAATGATAGGGACTTTGAACTCTTCTTTTGTAAGGTGCAAGTTGTGAGTTACATATACTTTCTAGGGAGTCATATGCAATTAACTGATGTGTTGACATCCAGAGATCAGTTGTGCCATGTATCTATTTTCCAGGCTTATTAATTTAAAATAGCTCCACAATGAAAATAAGGGTTGACACTGAGGGTTACTAGACACTGAGGGTTTGTTTTTTTTTTTCCTGGAGTTATTGTTCTTATGTCCTGGAATTTACTTTCTTGACAGTCTTTTAAAACTATGATGGTATCTCATATTTCCCCAGTGGTTCTGCCTGAAGGCAGAGAAATAGATTTCAACGACCTCTCAAGACCCCCTTTGAGTCCCAATGTGTCTGAGTTTGCCACCTGTCCTGCAGGCCACCAGAAGGTGTCAACCATTAACCACAGGAAGTTCTATGGCCCCATGAAAATAGTGATTAGTAAGAGAGGCATACCCGAAGTTGACCTGCCATCCATGCACCTGATTTTCTCCTTGGATACCTTAAAGGTGTTAGAGTTAAGATGAGAGATCTCCATAACATCCAGAGAATGGATCTACAAAATTTCAAAAGATATTATTTTCTCTCATCTTCTTAGTGATACAATTTGTAATGAAGGTAAACCTGTGAAGATTCATTGCTGTGTTTTTAAAAGCTGTAATTGCAGAAACTTAAACCTCCTTAATCTGGAATTTGGGCTAAAAACCACCACTAAATTAGGAGACTGCCAATACTCCTTCTTTTAACCATACAGACGAAATATAATCTCACTAGAACTTTTCTTAGAACCCATCTGGATGCCTGGGAAAAGTAATATGAAGAATTCGAAATTTTCCTAGGCATGTAAAATAATGAGCATGTTTTAATGTGTTTCAACTCAGTGAAAAATTTTTACTCCGTGAGTGTGAAAGTAAGATTTGATCTGGAAAAGATTTCTGTATTATATTAGGGCAACTTATTTTTTTTTTTCAGATAAAGCTGTATCATTTTACAAAGTGCAACTGTATGAAGATATAGAGAACTGAAACTTACTTTACAGCAAAATCTGAGCAATTTTATGATTAAACAGTTTCCTTCTTCCCTGGACACATAAGAATAATAAAAACTGTCCCAGAATTAAGTAATTAAATCTTTGTTCATTCAGACATTCACTCAACACTTCTTTCTTGTGGTCGTGTTTCTTGTGTTAATGGATTATTTATATTTTCCTAATTTTTCTTTTCTCTTCTGTCTCCCTCTTTCATTTATAAGAGTGCTGGTGGTTACACTGGGCCCAGCAGGATAATACAGGATAATCTCCCTATCTCTCCAAATCTGATTAGCAACCTTAATTCCATCTGCAATCTTAACTCTCCTTTGCCATGAGATATAACACATTCAGAGGTGCCAGGGATGAAGACATAGACATTATTCTGCCTACAGCATCATGTCAATTCCTACCACAGTAGTCTCAGGCTGATCCATTAAAAAACATATGTTAGCTGGGTGTGGTGGCTCACACCTGTAATCCCAACACTTTCAGAAACCAAGGTGAGAGGATGGCTTAAGCTGAGGAGTTGGAGGCTGCAGTGAGCTATGATCACACCACTGCATGCCAGCCTGGGCGACAGAGAGAAACCAAGTCTCTAAAAAAACAACAAATAACATATGCTGGATAACATCACAACTCTATTTGAAACCTTCCAATAACTTTTGATGTCTGTTAGGGTAAAAACCAAAGTCCTTGTAATAATACTTCCCATGCCTTTTATGGTCTGACTCCCTGCTCCCATCCCTGACTTCCAGCTTGCTCAGCCCCAGCCGGTCCCAAATACACCCCACCCCTCCAAAAAAATCTTGCCTCAGGGCGTTTTCCTTAAATATTCACATGGCTGATTCCATTAGCTGCAAAAATATAATCAAATGTCACCTTATCAGTGACTTTCTTGATAAAATAACTTCTCTCATTCCTCTGGCAATTCTTATCACCCTTATTTGATTTTATTTTCGCTGTAGCACTTATCTTTATATGACCTGCTATATATTTACTATTGTTGTTTTAATGTTCTGTCTTACCCATGTCCGCTAGCAAGGCTGTGTGTAGGATGAGAGTAGGACTTTTGTTCTTATTGTTCACTGTTGTATCTCCAGTTCTGAGAAAAGTGCCTGGCACATAGAATACTTTAGTGAATGCAATAAATGGATGGATGGATGGATGGTTGGATGGATGGATGGATAGATGAATGGATTGGATGGATGGACGGACGGATGGGTGGATGGATGGATGGATGGATGGATGGATGGATGGAGTGCTGTTGTTTTACACAGGGCAGAGTTTATGAGATGAGGGAAAATGACCCGTGTTAAGTAGAGTGCTTGGATGTATCACAAATATGTTTTTGAATAAAAGGAATTTTCTCAGCTTTATCACTAAGTGAAGAGGTACAGAGATTTCCTTTGTCAACATGAGTAATTTTTCCTAGAATTATAAGAATTTGCTCTAAAAACTCTTCGGGAGAGGGCAGAATGCCCAGGAGCACACCCAGCTTGTGGCAGATGCCATGTGGAGCCTGTGCCCAGGAAACTGCACCCAGGTCCAGGGAGCCTCACAGCCTCAGATGAAAAGAGAAGCTCGGCTTAAAGTCTACATGTGTTTAAATTTGTTTTTAAATTCTTCATTTAGAAAGGTGAAAATGGGGCCGGGCACAGTGGCTCAGGCCTGTAATCCCAGCACTTTGGAAGGCCAAGGCGGGTGAATCACTTGAGGTCAGGAGTTCGAGACCAGTCTGGCCCACATGGTAAAACCCCGTCTTTACTGAAATACAAAGTTAGCCGGGTGGATTACAGCGCATGCCTGTAATCCCAGCTGCTTGGGAGGCTGAGACAGGAGAATTGCTTGAACCCTGGAGGTGGAGGTTGCAGTGATCTGAGATCGTGGCACTGCACTCCAGTCTGGGTGACAAGAGCAAGACTCCATCTTAAAAAAAAAAAAAAGAAAGAAAAGAGAGGTGAAAATAGACCAGGCATGGTGGTGCCCACCTGTAATTGCAGTGCTCTGGAAGGCTGAGGTGGGAGGAACACTTGAGCCCAGAATTTCAAGACCGGCCTGGGCAACATATGAAGACCCCATTTCTGCAAAAAATAAAAACAAATTAGCCAGATGTGGTGGCATGCGCCTGTAGTCCCAGCTACTTCAGAGGCTGAGGTGGGAGGATTGCTGGGTCCCAGGAGTTCAAGGCTGCAGTGAGATGTGATGGTGCCACTGCCCTCCAGCTTGGGCCACTAAAGGAGACCCTGTTTCTTAAAAAAAAAGTTGTGTGTTGGGGGGCGGGGGAGGGGCAGTGTGCGAGAGAGAAAATTCTTCTCCATTAAATTTCTGCCAAATTGTTGTCTATTTCTCAGAAATATTGAAAATAGTTAACTTACCCGTGTTAGCACATATGTGTTTCAGACAGAAATCTGCTGACACACCAATTTTAAGTGGTAAAATGTGTAAACTGAAAACAAAACACAAAAAAGCAGTACGTGCAGAAAATTTTTAATCTCAGGGTGAAATTTTCAAGGACAGTGGAACCTAATGGTAATTTATTGGAAGTAACCCAAATTTTATGCAAAAAATGCTCCAGGAAGAGTTGACAGCGCTTCCCTTGAGGCAAAAGAAGAACCATAGTACAGAAACTGCTTTATTCTTTTCTGTGCCCTGAATCATTTTCTGAATTTCTTACTTCCCATTCCCATTCTAAAACTTTTGCTTTAGCTGTGTGGTTCTTTATATAGTGTTGAAATTGCAAAAAATAAACAAAAATGGCATAAGGTTTTATGGAGTTTTATTGCTGCATTTTTATCCTTAAAGCAGACAAAGAAATAGCTGATAAAATTCAGAGTCCTTCCATATTTATCCAGTATCTGCTTTTCAGGTGCATTAATTTTATATACACCTTTTGGAGTGATGGATATACTCACTATCTTGACTGTGGTCATCACTTCATGGTATATACATACATCAAAACATCAAAATATGTGTTTTAAGTGTGGGCAATTTATGCCAACTCTACCTCAGTGAAGATATTTTTAAAATTTTAAAAATGCACACACACACACCTTCTAAAGCTACACTGTCTAATGAACTCCCATGGTTATTTAACTTAATTAAAATAAAATAAAATTAGAAATTAAATTCCTTCATTGTACTAGACACACCTCAAATGCTCAATAGTTTCATATGGCTAGTGGCTACCCTATTAGAGAGTGCAGACACAGGACATTACCAGCACTGCAGGAAGTTCTATTGGACAGCATTGCTGTAAATAATTCTCCTACTTAGCCCTCGTTTTCATTTCTATGCCTTTACTTTATGATCTTGTCAAAGGTGAGGTCTTCTGCTTTTAGCCTCCACTTAGAAACTGGGGCAATCTTTCTAAAATGCAAATCTGCCCTGGTTACTTCCTGCTCAAAATCCCTCAAATTTCCCCACAAGATGAAATCCAAACTCTTGCAAATGTAAGCTAAGGGAAGGACCTTTCCGTCCTCATTTTCTGCCCTGTCTCTTTACTCCTTTATCTAGGCTCCTGTTCTCTAGAAACATTAGCGAATTTGCTCCTCTTTGCCAAGGAAGCTCACTGTTTGCATCTCTACTGGGTGCATTTATGCTTACACTTTTAAATTTTGAAAATGATCATACCTATGAAGTCTTCCAGCTCTCCTTGGATTTTTTGTTTTTTAAGAGATGGGGTCTCACTCTTGTCACCTAGGCTGGAGTGTAATGGCACAATCATAGCTTGCTGCAGTCTCAAACTCCTGGGCTCAAGTGATCCTCCCGCCTAAGCCTCCTGTGTAGATAGGACTACATGGGTGTACCACTATACCTGGCTAAGTTTAAATATTTTTTTAGAGATGGGGGATTCTCACTAATTTGCCCAGGTTTGTCTCAAAACCTGGACCTCAAAAGTGATCCTCTCTCCTGGGCCTCCCAAAGTGCTGGGGTTCCACGTGCAAGCTACCATGCCTGGCTCTTTAGACAATTAAGTGGCAAAGTTTGCCCCGTGACATCTGCACGTGAGTCTATTTATTTTAGGAATCTATTGAGACTTTCTTTGTGGGTTAATGTATGTCTATTTTTATGAGTGTTCTATGTGGACTTGTAAAAGAAGGTACAATTTCTGTTTATAGAGTAGGAGGTTTGATGTGTGTATTTTACATCATCCTATGGATGACATTTTGATACCTGAACTGTATTTTCCATGCTTATACATACTCTAGAATATTATATATATTTTATTAAACATAAAATTGTATTTTAAATATGTTTTTCTAAAGGATTTAAGCCTAATTTTCTTGGTCATAATAAATTGTGTACATTCATGCATCATTCAACGATGGGGGTACATTCAGATAAATGTACCATTAGGTGATTTTGTCATCGTTTGAACATCATAAAGTGCATTTCCACAAACATAGATGCTTCAGCCTACTACACACCTAGGTTATATGTTATAGCTTATTGCTCCTAGGCTAGAAAACTACAACATGTTATTGTACTGAATAATTTAGGCAATTGTAACACAATGGGAAGTATTTGTGTATCTAAACATACTAAATGTAGAAAAGGTACAGTAAAAATATAGTATAATCTTATGGGACCACTGTCATATATGCGGTTCATCGTTTACAGAAATGTTGTTATGCAGTGCATGACTGTACTTGAATTATCTTCGTTGGAGACAAATAATTTCATACAATTTTAGTCTCCCCCCATTCTCCTCCAAATATTTCACCATTTTTAAACTCTGAGGTTTCATGCTAGGCAATAATAATTGTGGAGAGGGTTATGAGGTTGCTTGTCCCTGTTTCATGATCTTAGACATCTTGTAGGGATAGTCAACCACTGATCATACCAGTTCCTATTACCCATCTCTTTTACGTGTCATCGTTTGAAAATCAGAAAGTGCATGAGGTAATTATGTGACTTATTCTCTCTCTACCATCTCTATGACTATGCAGAGTATATACACACATCACACAAACCTATGAAACTAAATCTGCAGTGCTGACTCATTCCCTCCCTTGAGGCCTCTTCCCTATTTGACTGCTGGAACCCTGATAACTGGGCCTCAGACCATCCAATCCTCCAGGCAGGAGTTTGAAAGAGCCTTCTCAGGGCATCTAATAAACCCAACAAGAAAGACATACAGATAATAAAATTTGATGCCATCAAACTCTCCAGATAAATCCTCTAATGTGAAGTGTTCAGTGGACAGTTCCTCCCACCTACTTAGAGCTACATATTGATTTTTAATGTTCCTCTCTTAAATATGAAGAGACAGCCAAGAACTCTCTCACTTCTGAGGAAAGTCCTTAAAATGAAAAAGAGACAAGAAAGGGAACCAGCAGCAAAAGTAACTTGCAGAAAAAAAGCTATACCAAAAGAAAGAATGTATTTAAAACTTTACTGATATCCTCAAGAAACAAAAGAAGACATTGTATGCAGAAAGCAAGAACAGGATGCTATAGGATAGGAACATCCAGGAAACTAAAAAAGAGCTTTTGGAAATTAAAAAGCTGTTAGCAGTTGAAGAACTCAATTGAAGAATTAGAAGATAAAATCAAGAAATTTCCAAGAAAGTAGAGCAAAAAGGCAAAGAGATTTTAAAAATATTAGAGGAACAATGACTACTCTTTATTAATCAAATTTTACATTTATTAATATGTGAAATAATTAATAATAATAAATTTATTTGAGGACAAATTTTTTTTTTATCACCTGATCTGGATTGGTCCTTGCAGGCAACACAAGAGTTGAGGACATGGTGGTATGGAATGTCTGAAAGGTGACCTTGACTTGTGGTTGATTAGCTTGAAGAACACCTAAAAGAGATGTGTAATAGGAGCTGGTATTATCAGTGGTTGACCGTCCCTACAAGATGTCTAAGATCATGGAATGGGGCGAGCAACCTCATAACCCCCTTGAAAATAATCTTTTTAACAGTTTATTCCAGTTTTCCCTTTTGATATGACTCCTATAGCTATTAGGGCAAAAGACTAAGACTCAGGCCAATTTTAATATGTGTAGTCACAGATTTAATCCTTCTAAATCTTATGTAATTTTCCACTGCCTCCAAACTTTAAGGATGATGAACACTGCATAGGAATTGTTTACATTAAAAATTACTATTTTTTTAAAATAAAAAAATTATTTGCCCTTAATAGCATCTGGACTTCCTCCCTCAGTGTTCACAAATTTCTCTTGTCTCAGAGTCCTGACCATGACTATCATTTATAACACTAATCTTTTCTTTTTGTTGTTGTAATTACCAAGATTTACATTCAGGTTTTATTTTTCATTAATTAGAGCCAAGTGGACAATTTCTCTTTGGGGTAATTTATAGATGTGGCATGTTCTAAAAACACTGATCTTTCCTTGAATTACATTGTGGTTTATCTTTCCTTTGTGTTCCGTTTCTTCAGTTGGATTGTGAACTCATGAAAGTCAGCAAATTACCTTACACTTTGAATTTGCCCTTTAGTTCCAACCACATTGCATTGAAAAAGTAGCACTGGCTTCTATCTCTTGAATTCTTATTAGAAGTGAGGCCATCTTCATAGCCAGCTCATTGAATGTTTACAATAGCTCTGCGAGGAAGGAGACATTATTATCTCCACTTTTTGGATGAGAAAACTGAGGTTTACAGAGGTTAGTAACAGGGTCCCCCAGCCAGTGAATGGCAGAACTGGGAATCAGAGCCATGCCTGTCTGGATCTACAGCTGGAGCTCCTCCTAAGAACTATGCTATTTGAACTGACTATTCATTTCCTTTTGTTTCAGACAGAATAGTTTTCTTTCAGCTTCAGAAAGGTCAGCTTGGGAATATGTCACAAAAGGCAATGAAAGGTGTTATTCTGTTCATTTCTCTCTTTTCTTATCTCTCTGCTGTTTCTTAAGATTGCCCCTTTCCACTGTCCCATGGCTGGGACAGTGACAGAAATAAGAGAATGTTGGAGGATGTTGGGGACAGAGTTTTCGGGTCTCTGGCAATTACCAATATGCTAATCACTTAATCTTCAAACAATTTAACAGTAAAATGTCCAATGTCCAGAAATAACTTCTTTCCATTGCTATCCCGTATGGTGGGGAGCACAATAGAATACTGTTCAAGGTTAGCAGGGGGCCTGGCAGAATCCCAGGTCCACTCTGAACCCACACCCACACCCTTGTCTCAGGCCCCCTCACCTGTCATTCCTCTAGAGAAAAGCGGTCAAGCTTCTCAGTGGTGGGGAATGACCACCACTCCCAGTGCAGGCTGTGAAACCCACGGTCTCAAAAAAGGAGAAAGAATGCAAGTTGTGGGGAAGGGAGTGTTGTGGACAAGAATAAAGAGAGGGGACTGAAGCCTAATAAATAGGCAAAAATAATGAGTTGAGAAACAGGCTTGCTAGAAAATGGCCAGAAATCTGTGAGAAGAAGGAGGAGAGTCCCTGAGGAGAAGGGGAGGGGACAGGAGAAAGAGAAGGGGTCCCAGTGAGAAGAGCAAATTGTGTACAGCCACCATTAGCTTGGGATGGATTCCAGAATCATCCTCAAGTTATTTTTCTAGTACTATCTTTCAAAATGTAGAATTTTATACATGTAAAAGAATATATACATATAAAGTATGTTATAGACACACACACACACACACACATATATGTTAATTTTTACATCGTTACAATCTCATGCCTAAATAAAGTGTGAGAAAGCACATAGTAGGTAAAACAGGTCCTTTTCCTGGGTGACCATGCAAGAAAGGAGATATATTTTTACCGGGAGTATGGGATGATAATTTTTTCTCCTTTACTATTTAAAAGGGTGTATTGCAGGTAAAAAAAAAATTAACTTTTGGGGATGCAAATAGCTTTTCCCAGTGTCCAGGGCTTACACCCTTGTCTCCTACATAGCTGAATTGGAAAGGTGCTTTAAGCTCAGGCCCTCCAGCGGGGAAACAGTCTTTTCTCCTGGCCATAGTCTCAATTGATATTAAAATTATAGAGCACTTTGTGGCCCCAAATAACTTTTTATTAGATTGTGTGGCAAGAAGTTAACTTCATGAATGTTATTTGCAAAAATTAAATAACTCCAAAATTTTGAAGGACACCTATCAAGAGACATCTGCCTCAAAAAACAATCCTGACTGAGAATTTAGTTCCACTGGGTTGTGGCACTTCGTGGGTGACTTAACCCAGATATTTCCCACTCCTGTTTATTGAATTTCTTCCCTTGTTCTCTGGGACTCTGTCCCAGCCCAGATAACAAAGTTGGAGGCACACAGAACTTGAGGACAAGAATGTCAAAAGTCCTCAGCCCAAATGTGAGGCAGGAGTGATTTGGGAGAAGATGCAGTAGGCTATCACTAGTCCCTGTCACAACCAGAAGAAGAGCCTCTAAGCTGGAAGGGAAGAGAGTTGGCATAGGTCTAAGAGAGTTAGACACCGGAACAGGGGGCCTTGCAGCCTACTCTGGGTTGAGTCAATTTCTTGGTGGGATATAGCAGGAAGAGAGAAATACCACACAATTTGGAGGTTGCTCACATAGAGGCACTCCATAACTTGCTTTTGATATGGAATCCTCTCTTGCAGAGATATAATTGATAAGGTGGTATATTAAAATATGAATGCACCATTTATTTTTCTTTTGGTGGGAATTGTGGAAATAGAGTTTATACAGATCTCTATGTTTATAGGACACAAACCATGCAGATGGTCCATTTGTGTGTGAATTTGCATGTTTTATGAATCCTGACTATCAATAAAAAAGCATTTGACTATGCTAGAAAAAAATTAAATTATCTTTCTATTTTCTCTATTGAAAATCATAATATAAAGCCAATAAAATATATACAATCCCAACTCCAACAAAAAAGAAAGGCAAGGAAAAAGTAGCATAGAGGTGTGGCAGGCACTCAGTGAATGAGAATATTTGTTACTGTTCTGGATTTTTTTTTTGAAACAGAGCCTCACTCTGTCACCCAGGCTGGAGGTCAGTGGCACCATCTCGGCTCACTGTAACTTCCACCTCCCAGGTTCATGCAATTCTCATGCCTCAGCCTCCTGAGTAGCTGGGACTACAGGCGCACACCACCATGCCTGGCTAATTTTTTGTATTTTTAGTAGAGATGTGGTTTCACCATGTTGGCCAGGCTGGTCTCGAACTCTTGACCTCAGGTGATCTGCCCACCTTGGCCTCCCAAAGTGCTGGGATTACAGGCATGAGCCACCACACCCTGCCCCTGTTCTGGATTTTTGTGTGTGGCATTTGTCAGCTTTGTAAAACTAATAATTTTTTGAAGAAATGTTCATGTTACTAATTTCATATTACATTTTTTCTTAAATAGGGCCTCCAACATACTTAAATCTGCTGTCCTACCACACTGTATCTGCTCCTGATTCAGTTATAGAAAAAAAAATTAGTAATCTTGGCACATTTACTTCATCTCTCAAAAATATACCCATGAATATCTCAATATAGGGAATAAATATCATTTTATTCTTAGTGGAAATAGCATTTCAATGTTTTCTTTTTTTCCTAATAGTACTAAATGCAGTTTCACTCTATGAAATCAGTCATTCTTTATATGGAGACACTGTGGTATAGGGAAAGAGATGCTCTGGGGACAGACAGGAAAACACTGAATCTTAGCACTGCCACCGACTGCAGTGGGCTCTTCAGAATGTCACTGGTCCTACAATCTCAGTCCCCTCAGTTTCTGGAAGATATGTGATAGACATACCATTATGAATCCGTCTCACCCCAGGATCAGGCCTGTCTCTATTTCAGAAGGCCCCTGTGTCTGCCAGACATAAAACAACTCTTTCATGAATAGATATTTAATTTTGTCAAATGCTTTTTCTGCATCTGTTGAGATTATCATATGGTTTTCTTTTTTATTCAACTAATATAGCAAATTGATTTATTTTATGACAGCAAACAAATAATGTATTACTGGGATAAACGCTACTTGTTTGTGGCATATTATCTTTTTTTTTATATTGCTGGAGTCAACTTGCTAATGTTTTGTTAAGAATTTTTGTGTTTATGATCTTGAGGGATGCCGCTCTGTAGGTTTCTTTTTTGCTTGGTTTGTTTGGTTTTGATATTAGCAGGAATGTCTAAAATATGTAGAGCTCCAGACAAATATTTTTTGCCAGGCCTTTGTCTATATAAACAATTTGATTTAAAACATATTACAAAATTCATCAGCCTATGTGAGGTCTAGTAAAGATTTAGAAAAATGGGTGGAGAAGAAGTACTTATACATTTGTTTATTGTCTAATTATTGTTCATAAAAGCTTATTTTGGTAGCATCTCTTCCTGTTTAGGTCCAGAAACCATCTCCTCCAGTTGTTTATTATCAAAGGCATAGCTTCTGGCTTCTGTTCTGTCTCCCATTTTGAGAAAATGTAGCAATGCTGTTATTACTCACAATGCTGGAACCTGTTTGCATTGAAACAGCATAGATCTTCTTACCTTTCCAATGCCCCAATATCACTTCTTTAATGTTCGTTACATCATTACTCATGATGCCACATCAACCATCGGCTACCCATGAATATTAGCTTTCAAAGACTCACAGTAAAAGTTGTTACTGTGCTTTGTTGGTGATGGCCACAAACGCAGGTCTTACCCACAGTGTGCAGAAAAAATGTGGGTGATATTTTGTGTTCTGGTCATGTTAAATTTACTGTTTAGGATTTTATAGCATAAATGTTGGACTCTTTAGACTGTAACCAGTGCATTTCTAGAATGTGATCTCTTTCAATGTTGACTATGCTGTTGCCATCTACACACTGCCACGAGGGGCCCGTGGGTAGGGTAAGCAGGCAGTCCCATTTGTGCAAGAAATATCCATTCCTCATCTGGTGTGACTTAAAAACATCCTGGGAGAGCACAACCACACCAATCAGAGGCAAGAGAGAACATCAATCAGGCCAATTGATGCTGCAGGGCAATGTTCTCAAAGGCCCCCCAGCGGGCTAATTCTTTAAATATTGACATGACCAGAACACAAAATATCACTCACATTTTTTCTGCACACTGTGGGTAAGACCTGCGTTTGTGGCCATCACCAACAAAGCACAGTAACAACTTTTACTGTGAGTCTTTGAAAGCTAATATTCATGGGTAGCAGATGGTTGATGTGGCATCATGAGTAATGATGTAACGAACATTAAAGAAGTGGTATTGGGGAATTGCAAAGGTAAGATGATCTATGCTGTTTCAATGAAAACAGGTTCCAGCATTGTGAGTAATAACAGCACTGCTACATTTTCTCAAAGTGAGAGACAGAACAAAGCTAGAAGCTATGCCTTTAGTAATAAACAACTGGAGGAGATGGTTTCTGGACCTAGCTTCCAGGGGACTGCCTGGCATACCATATGAAGCTGATGGAAAGGGCCAAGTGACCAACCTGGGTGTTAAAGGTGGGAGTGTACAGGGCAAAGGATTCTTGCTACCATGGGCAAAAGACACCTGCTGCCTTTAGGTGCTGTGATCATGGGCAGCATTGCAGTCAGGATGTAGATGGGTGAGAGTCCAGGCAAGGGTCCAAACATGTGGCTCAAACCCAAGGCTTGGCAGTGACTTCTTGGTAGGTCAGAGTCCTGAACTTGCTCTGTGTCCGACATAAGTGAGAATCGCTCAACATCAGCATGTTTTCAGCATCATTCTGGGAGACCAATCTTGCATGATCCTACAAGAGCAATATTGTGTTGCCCGGAGGGAGCAATCTGCTTGCCAAGCCTCCCTCCTGGAGCTGGATCTTTGCCATGGGATCCTGGGATAACCCCAGAGATGTAAGTCCCTGAGTTCCTTGGGCTTCTGGTTGATACCATGAGCAGTGTAGAGGGTCAGAGAAGGGAGAATCTAGGCATAGGGCCCATGAGAGTCCCAGTCCAAGCTCAAGGCACCCTGCCCAGATGACATTGCCAACCCCAACAGATTCCAGGCAGCAGAGCATGACTTAGAACATCTTGAGGAGGGCATGCCAAGTGGAGTTTCTGAAGCATAAGGGCACGAAGCAGAGGCCAGTTTTTTTGAGTCCAAGGGCAGTACTGGATATCAGGATGATGTAGGCCTTACAGAATGAGTTGGGGAGTTTCCCCCTCTCCTCTGTAGTCTGTGTTTGTATGGGATTGGTGCTATTTCTTTAAATATTTGATAGAATTCACCAGTGAAGACATCCGGGCCTGGAGTTAACTTTGTGAAAATCAAATTAGGAATTAAATTTCTTCAGTTTTTATAGGGCTATTCAAGTTTTCTTTCTTCTTCAGTTCATTTTGGTAATTTTTGCTTTTCAAGGAATTTGTCTATTTTATCTAAATTAAAATTATTGGCATAAAATAATTCATAATATTCCCTTATTACATTGTTAATGCCTATAGGATTTATTATGCAGTTTAGTATTTCCCCTCTTTTATTTCTGATATTGGCAAATATTTGTCTTCTTACTTTCTTGACCAGTCTAGCTACAAGTTTATCAATTATTTTCAAAGAAACCGCTTTTGGTTTCATTGGTTTTCTCTATGGTTTGGCTGTTTTCTATTTTATTAATTCTTGCTCTTATCCATATTATCTTCTTTCTTCTTCTACTTCAAGTTTATTTTTATTCCTTCTTCTACCTTCTTAAGGGGAAAGATTATTTTAGTCCTACTTTTCTAAAATAAGCATCTACAACTATACATTTCCTTCTAAGCACCCGTTTAGCTATAGCACACAAATTTTGATATGTTGAATTTTCAATTTTACTTAGTCGGATTTAATTCCATTGTAGTTGAATAATATATTTAGTATGATTACAGTATATTACAGTATATCTGTGGAACAATATATATGTAATTGGACACCCACAAAAAGAAGAGAAAAAGAGGAGAGTCAGAAAAAATATTTTTAAATATTTTGAGACTTGTTTTATGGTTCAGTGTCTTTTTAAGTATTTTGAGGCTTGTTTTATGGCTCAATGTAGGGTCTATCCTGATGTATATCCCATGTGCATTTGAAAAGCATATGTATTCTGTAGTTGTTAGATGGAGTGTTCTATAAATGATAATTAGGTCAAGTTGGTGGATGGTGTTATTTAAATTTTCTATATCTTTATTGATTTCTTCTAATTACTCTATCAATTACTGAGAGAGAAGTTTGAAATATCCAATTATAATTATGGATTTGCCTATTTCTCTTTCAAAACTATTCTTTTTTGCTTCGTACATTTTGAAACTCATTCGTTAGGTGCACGCACATTTAAAATTGTTATGTCTTCTTGAAGAATTAAGTCTTTTGTCATTATAACATGTTCATCTTTATTCCTGGTAATATTCTTTGTTGTAAAGTTTACTTTGCCTATGATTAATATAGTTATTCCACCTTTCTTGTGACTAGTGGTATATTGTCTATATTTTTAATTCTTTTACTTTTAACCTGTGTCTTTATTTTTAAAATAAATTTCTTATAGGTAGAATATACTTTTGTCTTGCCTTTGTGCTCTTTCATAAAGTTTCTGTCTCTTGTTGAATAGTTTAGATTATTTACATTTAATGTAATTATCGAGTGATTGGGTTTAAATATAAAATCTTCTGATTTATTTTCTTTGTCCCATTTGTTTTATGTTTCCCTTTTTTCTTGCTTTCCATTAGATTGTTTTTATTAACTTTATTGAGAAATTACTTATTTACAATAAACCATGTCTTCTTAAAGTGTATACTTTGTTGAGTTTTGACAGCTGTAAACTCACATGGAATCACCAACATAATCAAGATACAGAACACCTCAATAATAGGATAGTTTTAGTATTCCATCTTATCTCCACTATTAGTTTATTAGCTATACCTCCGTTTTTTAGTGGTTGTCTTGGAGTTTACAAATTTTATCCTTAATTTATAATAGTTTACTTTCGAACAGTATCATACCAATGAAGAATTAATGAAGAAACTTACAGCTATACACGTTCATTTTCTCCCTCCCATCCTTTGTGCTTTATATGTTTTCAGATATTTTACTTCTAAATATATTTTAAATCCCACAACACATTGTTTTATTTTTTGTTTTAAACATTCATTATCTTTTAGAGAGTTTATAAGATGAAAAAAATGACTTATATGTAACTGCAGATTTGCCATTTTTAATGTTCTTCATTCTGTGTAGAGATCCAAGTTTCCGTCTGGTTGCATTTACCTTCTGCCTATAGCACAAGTTTGTTGACAAAGAGTCAACTTCTGTTTGTCTGTAAAAATCTTTTGTCTTAATTTTTGAAAAATGTTTCTCTGGGTATGTAATTCTAGGTTGACAGGTTTTTTCAGCACTTTAAAGATATTGTTCCATTTCTTTGGGCTTGCATCATTTCTGATGAGAAATCTATAATAATTTTTATCTTTGTTCCTCTCTAAGTGTACCTTTTTTTCTGTGGATGCGTTTAAGATTTTTCTCTTTATCACTTGTTTTCAGCAATATGATTATTATTTCTCTTGAAGTTTTCTTGGTTTTTTATTCTGCATGGGGTTTGTTGAGCTTTTTGGATTTGGGGGTTTATAGTTTCTAACCAATGTGAAACATTTTCTGCCATTATTTCTTCATATATTTTTCCTTCCTCTCCCCTTTTTCTCCGCTTTTTGTGGGTGCCCAATTACATACATATTATTCCACCGATCACTAAGGCTATGTTGAATTTGTTTCCTCTTTTTATTCTCTGTGCATCAGTTTGGATAGCTCCTATTGCAATGTCTTCATGTTCACTGATTTTTTTCCCCCTGCAGTTTCTAATCTGTTAATCCAGTTCAGTGTAGTTTTCATATGTAAAAGTTCTATTCACAGTTTTATACCTTCTATTTGTCTCCAAGACATGTTAATTTCTCCCTCTGCCTTCTTGTCATATGAAATATATTTATAATAGCTGCTTTAATGTCTTTGTCTGCTAATTTCATCTCCTTTATCAATTCTGTGTCTATTTCTATTGATTAATTTTATCCCTGTTTTTGGGGCAAGTTCTCCTGCATCCTGGCATGTCTAGAAATTTGACTGGATGCCAGGCATAAATTTTATGTCTTGAGTGTTGGATTTTTTTTTTTGTCTTCCTTAAAGAGAATTGTGATTTATTCTGGCAGGTGGTTAAATTGCTAAAGATTAGTTTAATAATTTTGAGGCTTCTTTTAAAGCTTTTTAAGAGTGGGTCTAGAGTATCCTTTACTCAAGATTTGTAACAAACATCTGACTCTTCCAGGGTCTTTACTGAATGCCCTGTATGTTCAATGAGCCCTCTTCACTCTGGCTAGTGGTAACTTGAATGGTTTCTGGCCTTATGGAACTCTTCTATTTATTCAGCTTATGGTGCCTCAGCAACTGTTCTTTCCCCAAAATTGTAGAGTTTTACCTAATTCATGTGCAGACTGAGTCAGCCAAAGACTAGAGGGGATGCCAGACAGATTTCTGGAGCTCTTTCTCTTCACCACAAATTCTAGTCACTTCAGTCTCCCTGAACTTTGGTCTCCTTAACCCAGTGAGACCACCAGGCTTTGTTTGGGATTCTCCTCTTAGTGCTATAATCTGGGAATTGCCTCTAGGCAAAAAGCCAGTGCTCACAGAGGGCTCACATCGTTTATTTCCCTTTCTTCAGAGATCACAGGCCTAAACAGTTCTGATTAATGTCTGAAAATTGTTTTTTATTATATTTTACCATTTTTCTAGTTATTTATAGTCATGTATGTGTGCATGCATGTGTGTGTGTGTGTGTGTGTGTGTGTGTCTGTGTGTGTGTGGTGATCCAGACCCAAGTATTTGGCAGGAATTACATGGAAGCAGAAATTCCCCAGATACAATATACTTTGAACTTTGCCTCAATATTCTTTGAGTGAGAAAAAAATGCTGAAGATTGCTAGGATCTCTCATAAATGAAAAGCTGTTTAGTCTTAGACATCCTCCCCTTATCTATATTACTTCTAGTTCTCAGAAAACTTTTTATCCCAGAGCTTTAGTTGGAGTTTTGAAATCAATATAGTGATCTCCCAAGTTATAACTTAATTAGTGCCAAGATTACAGTCTCAAGTTGAATTAGTTTAAATGGAAAATTTAGTTCTTAGAGGCAAAATGTTATAAATTGGGAATCTGTCTTGGAAAACCATTTTGCAATACAAAAATTCAAAAATTAATGACTACTATAGTATGAAATTAATATTTTTAAAAAGTGATAAAGTGGTCATAAGGGACATTTGTGCTTTCCTGGAACAGCCTGCTAGAGTCCATAGTTCAGGATAAAAGTTGCCAAATATCTCACCTTTCAAGGGCAGAAAAATGGGTTCTTAATGCCAGTCCTCCACTGTGGGATTTGCTAGCATAAGGCATTCAGCAGAACCAGTTTCTTAAGCCCCACTCTTTTGGGTTTTATAAAATAAAGGACACAGAGAGGGCAAGGATATGGGAGCACTGAAGGAAGCAGAGTCCATAAAGCATGAACAGTGCCTTTTCCCTCCTCTTCCCTTGGTGGAGAGACTGGGAGGCAGGGAGCAAGGAAGTTTCAATGTGTTCCACCCTGTTCTGATGAAATCTGTGTTCTCCAATTTCCCTATACCCCCAGGAAGAACTGTCAGGGTTGGGACCTGGGGGATGCCACTTAGCTGGCAGAACAGTTGATGCTATTGTTGCTGAAACTGTGAGCATGCCCTATGGCAGCCTGTGATCTTCCCTTGGCTGGGCAGGGAGGGATGAGTAAATGCCATGGAAGATGGTCTGGGTTTATCAGAAGCAGAGACTTTTGGGTGGACTGCTTGTTGCCATGGCGTTAAGGGAGAAGAGGACAGGACAGTGCAAGGGTGGGCCCTCATGGAGCTCCCTAAAGAGCTAACAATTTCATCATCCCCACTGGAAAGACAATGCTAGCACTTGATGTTGGTCCCTTTGTATTGGACCAAGAGGCAGAGAAGGAACTCACCACCTCTGATGTCATTTGCTATGAAAGCGTAAGTCATTCTCCTTCTCCAGGGACCAAGGGGAAAGAGAAGGGAGAGGGAGTTTTGAAGTTTGATTTCAAAAAACCCAAGATTAAATATTAAACCTGAGTGGGATAAAGAAATAAGATGTCTGGCCTAGTCAGAATGCAGGGCTGTGGGCCCAGAATATTTTGTGCTGTTTGAAAATGAATAAATTTCATTCTTACATACATCTATGTTAAGACAATTTCATTAAATATTAATATGCTTATGCAAGTATGTGAAACCAAACATAGCATTCAGACAGCTTTTTTGTTGTGTTTGGTTTTACATGCTTGTGAAATTCCTTTGAGAGGATTTTAATGCATGGACTGTTTTGACTGAGCTTTTAAAAATATATATTTTTCATAAAGCTTGGACATAAGATAACTCTCTCTCTTTCTGGCAAATCTCCCTATAGTAAGCATAGACATTTGTCATTACTTTAAAATTCTTTGAACCGTACTCAAAATTATGATCATCTGTTCCCAAAATTTTCATTACTTCATTGATGAGTAGTCATGAAAGCATCTAAATATCTTGGAATGGCAAATGCTGTTTCCATGGTACTTCTTCAATGATCCTCAGTGCTTCCATTTCAATCAATCACATACATGAATTTGAATGATTTTGACTGGCTTGTCAGCACCGGATAATTGCTTTGGCTTAATGAGGGACAACACTGTTGGCCACCCAATTATTAGAAAATCACAGTTATGAGTTTTAGATATTACCATATGGTTATTACTGTATGTACTATTCAGCATAGTACAAGAGTAGCCTACATAAATAAGTAAAAATTCTTATACATTAGTTCCATTACTGCTATTAAAACATTATCACAAACTTAATGTCTTAAAATACACATTTATTACTTAACATTTCTGGAGGTCAGAAGTCCTCAAATCAAAGTGTCAATAGTGTAGTACTCCTTTGGGGGCTCTAAGGGAGAATCCATTTTCCTTCCTTTGCAAGCTCCTAGAGGCTACTTGCATTCTTTGGCTTGTGGCCCCTTCCTTGCATCACTCCGATTTCTGCTACTATCATCACATTTCTTTCTCTCATTCTGACTCTCCTGCCTCCCTCTTATAAGGACCTTTGTAATTACACTGGAACCACTGGGTAATTCAGGATAACCTCTCCATCTTAAGATCTTTAATTAATTAATTATTAATTTTCTTTTTCCAGAGGTGAGGCTAGAAGCACATTTCTCCCTATGATGGCAGACTGCAGATCAGTCTTTACATATAGGCACAGAGAGAGAGAGAAAGAGAGAGAGAGTGAGAGAGAGAGAGAGTAAAGCACAAACATTCTCCTGAGAACTAGTTGGGGGAACAGGAGGTTTCAAGGCAGAGTTTCTTTTTTTTTCTCACCACACAGTGATTATAGAGCAGTAGGTAGAGTCATCCGGATGGGCTATGCTGCTGGGCAAGCCAAGTTGCTATGATGGGTCAGTTGGTGAGTTAGCCCACCTGGACTGGGTGGGTGTGTCTTAGTGCCTTCCTAGCACCTGGAGAGACAGTGCTGGGTGTGCTGCCAGAAGCATGGCTGAGGTTTAGGTCTGGGGTTCCCAAAGCAAACTAACCCACCATGAGAAAAAAAAACTTGACAAAACAAAGGAAAGTCTTAAGTCTAACGACATATTATATTTTCAATATAGCAGTGATGCATACATTTAAATTGTTGCACTGTAAGTTGAATCAATTTTATGTCTAAAACTTACAGGTGTCAACTTCTGTAGATGTCAATGTAGTGGTTAAATAAAAAAGTTATTTCCTGGGGGAGGGGTAGTCACAGGACCTCAGAGGAACTGTACCAGAAACTTCTTAAAAATAATCTACTCCTTGAGATTTCCTCTTCTGTGAGTCATCTGGAGAGATGATTGCCTCCTAAATATTGGTCTTGCTTCCTTCTTGCTTTTTCTTACATTTAATTTTCTATTCCATTAATAATTTCAATTCTATAGTTACATAAGACTTTTTAAAAACAAATAAAAATTTTTACAGAACACTGAAATTCAGCAGGGAAGTGGCAGTGAACCTTTGAGGCACAGAAGGAGAGAAAAGCAAAGAAGAAGCTGGCCCAGAATCAGCTCAAAGCCAGAAGGAACTCCACACTGGAGGGCAAAGCTGAATAAATTGTATGGTGACTACAGTACTATGGCCACCCAGAATCAAAGCCAAAACATCCTACTAAAGCAATGCTATAGCTACTCCCACAAGAAAAAGTCTTACCCTACCAAAGCCAATCCATAATATTGGAAGAAGAGACTGTAAAGTGACTTTTACATCAGATGTGCAGATATTAATGTAAGGACACAAGAAACATGAAAAAGAAAGGAAACATGATACCTCCAAAAGGACATAATAATTCATCAGTAACAGACGCCTAAGAAAAAGAAATTATTAAATGCCTCAAAAAAATTTAAAATATTGATCCTAAGAAAACTCAGGTAGATGAAAGAGAACACAGAAAAATGATACAAAGAAATCAGGGAAACAATTTATGTTTGGAATGAGAAATTGAACAATGAGATAAATATCATGCATAAGAACCAAACAGAAATCCTGGAACTGAAAGATTCCATGAATGAAAAAAATATAATCAAGATCTTCAACAATGAACTAGATCAAGTCGAAGAAAGAATTTTTGAACTTGAAGACAGGTCTTTTGAAATAACCCATTCAGACAAAAAGAGGAAAGAAAAAGAATAAAAAATTAAAAAGAATGAAGAAAGCCTGTGTGACATATGGGACACTATAACGTGAACAAATATCTCATGTTTGGGAGTTAAGAAGGAGAATAAATGGGCCAAGGCAAAGAAAACCTATTAAATAAAATAATAGCTGAAAACTTCCCAAGTCTTGCAAGCAATACAGACATTTAGATACAGGAAGCTCAGAGTTCCCAACTAGATTAAATCCAAAAAGGTTTTCTCATATATATTATAGTCCAGAGGCCAAAAGTCAAAGACAAAAAGAAAATTCTAAAAACACCAAGAGAAAACTGTCCCCATCAGACTAATGGTGAATTTCTCAGCAGAAACTTTATAGCCCAGGAGAGAATGGGATGACATAGTAAAAGTACTTAAAGAAAAAAATTTCCAGGCAAAATACTATATCCAGCAAAGCTATCCTTCAGAAATAAAAGAAAAATAAATTATTTCCTAGACAAATAAAAATGGAGGGAATTCATGATCACTAAACTAGTTCTACAAGAAATGGTAAGGGATTCCTACATGTGAAAGCAAAAGGACAATATCTACTTTTGTGAAAAAATATGAGGATATAAAACTCACTGATAGAGAAGATAACAAAGAGAAAGATAAAAGAATCACATATTAACTCTGCAAATCCCCACCAAATTGTAAAGGTAAACAATAAAAGAGGAAAAAAAGAATCAAAGGCTATATAAAACAACCAGAAAACAATTAACAAAATGACTGGAGTAACAACCTTGAATGTAAATGGTTTATATTGCCCAATTAAAAGACATAGGATAGATGAATGGATTTTTTAAAAAGACCCAACTATAAGCTACCTGCAAGAAATTCATATCACCTGAAAACACATAGACTGACAGTGAAGAAGTGGTAAAAATTTTCCTTGCAATTAGAAAACAAAAGCATGTAGTCATAGCTATACTTATATCAGAAAAAAACAGACTTTGGGTCAAAAAACATAAAAAGAGATGAAGAAGGCCATTCTATAATAATCAAGTAATGAATTCAGCAAGAGGATATGACAATTATAAATATATGTGAACTCAATATCGGAGAACCCAGATATAGATAGTGCATACTATTAGAGCTAAAGAGAGAAAGAGAGAGACACAATACCATAATGGTTGGGGACTTCAACAACCCACTCTTAGCACTGGACAGATTAATCTTGTCAGAAAATCAACAAAGACACAGATTTAATCTGCACTTTAGACCAAATGGACCTAACAGACATTTACAGAACATTTTATCCAACAGCTGCAGAATACACATTATTCTCATCAGCACATGGAACATTATTCAGGATAGACCACACGTTAGGCCACAAAACAACTCTCAACAAATTGAAAAGAAGTGAAATTATATCAAGTATTTCTCAGCCCACAATGGGCTGAGAAAAAAAAAGTGGGCAAAGGATATGAACAGACACTTCTCAAAAGAAGTCATTTATGTGGTCAACAAACATATGAAAAAAAGCTCATCATCACTGGTCATTAGAGAAATGCAAATCAAAACCACAATGAGATACTATCTCACACCAGTTAGAATGGCGATCGTTAAAGTCTGGAAACAAAAGATGCTGGAGAGGATGTGGAGAAATAGGAATGCTTTTACACTGTTGGTGGGAGTGTAAATTAGTTCAACCATTGTGGAAGTCTGTGTGGTGATTCCTCAAGGATCTAGAACCAGAAATCCATTTGACCCAACAATCTCATTACTGGGTATACACCCAAAGGATTATAAATCATTGGCCACCCAGAATCAAAGCCAAAATATCCTACCAAAGCAACACTATAGCTACACCCACAAGAAAAAGTCTTACCCTACCAAAGCCAATCCAAAGGATTATAAATCATTCTACTAGAAAGACACATGCACACATATGTTTACTGCAGCACTATTTACAATAGCAAAGACTTGGAACCACCCCAAATGCCTATCAATGATAGACTGGATAAAGAAAATGTGGCACATATACACCATGGAATACTATGCAGCCATTAAAAAGAATGAGTTCATGTCCTTTTCAGGGACATGGATGAAGCTGGAAACCATCATCCTCAGCAAACTAACACAGGAACAGAAAACCAAACACCACATGTTCTCACTCATAATTGGGAGCTGAACAAATGATAACACATGGACACAGGGAGGGGAACATCACACATTGGGGCCTGTCAGAGGGTGGAGGGAAAGGGGAGGGAGAGCATGAGGACAAATACCTAATGCATGTGAGGCTTAAAACCTAGGTGGTGGGTTGATAGGTGCAGCAAACCACTATGGCACATATTTACCTATGTAACAAACCTGCACGTTCAGCTCATGTATCCCAGAACTTAAAGTAAAAAAAAAATCTCAGCAAAGAGGCCTAGAAGGAACATACCTCAACATAACACAGGCCATATATTACCATCCCACAGCTATCATCATACTGAATGGGAAAAAGCTGAAAGCCTTTCCTCTAAGAACTGGAACAAGACAACGATGCCCATTTTAACCACTCTTATTCAATATGCTACTGAAAATCATAGCCAGAGAAATTAGGCAAGAGAAAGAAAGCAAATGCAGCCAAATTGGAAAAGAGGAAATAAAATCGTCCCCATTTTTAGATGACCTAATCTTATTTATAGAAAAGCATAGAGACTCTACCAAAGAACTCTTCGAGCTGATAAACAAATTCTGTAAAGTTGTGTGATACAAAATCAACATGAAAAATCAATAGCATTTCTATAGACCAATAACAAACTAACTGAAAAAGATATCAAGAAAGCAATCCCATTTATAATGACTACAAAAAATAAAATACATAAGAATAAATTTAACCAAGGAAGTAAGAAAACTCCACAACAAAAACTACAAAACACTTGAAAGAAATTAAAAAGGATATAAACAAATGGAAATTTTATACTTATGAATTAGAAAAATTAATATTGTTAAATGATCATACTACCCAAAGCAATGTATAGAATCAATGCAACCTTTATCAAAATACCAATGATATTCTTCACTGAAATAGATTTTTAAAAAAACCTCCTAAAATTCATATGGAACCACAAGAGACCCCAAATAGCCAAAGCAATAGTGAACGTAAAGAACAAAGCTGGAGCCATCATGCTACCTGAGTTCAAAATATATTACAAAGCTATAATAACCAAAAGAGCATTGTATTGGTACAAAACCAGACATGCAGACCAATGGAACAGACTAGAGAACCCAGAAACATACATACTAGAGAACCCAGAAACATACATAGAACCCAGAAACATACAACTGATTTTCAATAGAGGCACCAAGAACATACATTGGGGAAAGGACACCCTCTTAAATAAACAGTGCTAGGAAAACTGGACATTCATATGCAGAAGAATGATACTAGACTCTTATTTCTTACCTATACAAAAATCAATTAAAATTAAAGACATAGGTGAAATGCTTCAGGAGATTGATTTAGGTAAAGATTTTATGGTTAAGGCTTCATAAGCACATGCAACAAAAGCAGAAATAGGCAAATGAGATTATAGTAAACTAAAAAAGCTCTTCACAACAAAGAAAACAACAGAGTGAAGAGACAACTTGTAGAATGTGAGAAAATGTTTGCGAACTGTTTTCCTGACTATGGGCTAATATCTAGATTATACAGTGAACTCATAAACTCAAACAACTCAACACCAGAAACAAATAATCTGATTAAAAAGTGGGCGAAGGAACTGAATAAACATTTCTCTAAAGAAGATATACAAATGGGCAACAAACATATAAAAAATGCTCAACATCACTAATCATTAGGAAAATGCAAATCAAAACCACAATGAAATATCATCTCACCCTAGTTAGAAATGACTACTATCAAACAAACAAAACATAAGTGCTGGCAAGGATGTGGAATAAAGGTAACTCTTATACACGGTTGGTGAGACTGTAAATTAGTACAGACATTATGGAAAATAGTATGGAGCTATCTCAAAAAACTAAGACTAGAACTAGCATATGAGCCAGCAATCCCAGTATTGGGTACTTAGCTGAAGGAAAGGAAATCAGTATATTGAAGGGATACCTGCATCCCTATATTTATTGCAGCACTATTTACAATAGCTAAGATATGAAAGCAACCTAAATGTCCATCAACAGATGAGTGGATAAAGAAAATATGGTGTATACACACACACATACACACACACGCACACACACACATGCACACACAAGGGAATACTATTCAGCCACAAAAAATGAAATCCTGCCATCTGTGTAGCATAAATGAGCCTATAGGACATTAAGTGAAATAGGCATAGAAAGAGAAATACTGCATGTTCTCACTCATATGTAGGAGCTACAAAAAAATTCAGCTCATGGAAGAAAAGAGTTAGAATTATGGATACTAGAGGCTGGGAAGGGTAGAGGGAGGGGAGCGTGGGGAGAGGTTAGTTAACAGATACAAAATTACAGCTAGATAGGGCAAATGAATTCTGGTGTTCTGAAGCTCTGCAGCATGAATATAGTTAACTATAATTTATTGGATATTTTAAAAAAGCCAGAAGAGGGGATTTTGAAGGTTCAAACACAGAGAAATGATAAATGTTTGAGGTGATGAATATGCCAGTTTCCCTGATTTGATCATTATACATCGTATACATGTATCAAAATGTCACACTGTATCCCATAAATATACACAATTATTACATGTCAACTAAAAATGGAAAAATGATGCTTCATTGAAGGTAAAAATATAACTCATTTGAAGCTAGATCTGACATCCCCAACTCCTCAGAAAAACAAGAACAATAACAGTGTTGTGGATATTTTTGTCTCATTTCTGACTTTAAATGGGAAAGCCTTTGGTGTTTTAGATGGCTATTTCTTATAATGATATGGGATATTTTTATATTTTTCTTTCACTAATATTATCATAAATCAATGTTAAATTTTCTCAAATGTCCTAGAACAACTATAGAGAATATCATGATTTTTTTCTTTTGTGCATTATTGAGGTAGTAGTGTTAATGAAAATTCTATTAAGCCATCCTTGAATTTTTAGCATAGAACTATTTAGACATGAAAACGTATTTAGTGTTGAATTTATGTTGCCAATATTTTAGTTAAAGCAAGTACATTTTTTTCTTTGTTGGCTTTTATAAGGATTATATTAACTTTGAAAAGTAATTTGGGAAGTGTTTCATCATTCTGCAATCTTGGAACATTTAAAATAACACAAGAATTGTTGTTTGAAAGATTTTTTAAGGACTTGCTCATCAAATGCTCTGGACCCAATTCCTTTTTTGGAGATAGTTAATGAAAAATTAAAATGTCTTCCCTAAATGTAAGCTTATTAAAGCTTTCTAATTCTTACTGAATCAATTTTCCCTGAAAATTGTACATTTTATTGATTTCTAATAATTTGTGTCCATGAAGCTAAAAAACGTTCTGTAATTAAACATTTTCTTCCTATCTGTGTTTATATTGTCAAGTATTCGTGTTTCTCTCTCTCTCTTTCTTTCCAGTTAACATGTCATTAGTTTGCATATTTATTGACACTTTTATAGGTGAGATACTGTATTTATTAATCAATTTATCAATTTTGCTGTTTTTCTGCTTATTTAACTTCTGCTTTTATTTTTATTATTTCCTTATATTTCTCTATGATTTGTTTTTGTTTTCTACTTGTTCTGCTGAATATGTAGTTTGTTTTCTTCATTTAGTTTTGTATAAAAATAAAATCTAAGGTTACATTTTTTGTGTGTACAGCTTTGGCCACATTCATTAAGTTTAATTATGAGGTATTGTGTCATTATTTCCTGAATAAATTGCAATCCCTTTTAAATTTTCCTCTTTAACATACTTTTCCTTCCTCAAAGAATTAGTTTTAAGATTATTAACTACCTTTTTTAGAACAGGTAATATTATTAGGTTTTTCAAAAATAAAAAAATAACATGTATAATGAACAATCTCCCACCAATTCTTATTTCCATTTTATCAGTCCCGTTTCCCCCTCTACCATTTAAACGGACAACTTTTTACACTTTTATGTATCCTTCTAAAGTTTTCTTATGTGTATACAAGCAAAAATCCATTCTTTTATCTCCCCCCATCCTTTTTGAAAATCGGCATGCTATACACACTATTCAACATATTTCTTTTTAGAATTTAAAATAGATTTTTAGAAAATTTTCAATATCAGTACACAGAATGTCATCATTTCTTTTCTCTCTTCTTCCTTCTTTTTACAGCTCCTCCTTTTTATAGTAGTCATTAAATGGAGGCATCATAATTTCTAAAAGCAGTTTCCTATTATTAACATTTCAATTGTTTCCATTTTTTCCTATTACAAACTTTGCTGCAATTAATAAGCTTAACATATGTGGAAACAGGAGTTAGCATAAGTTCTGAGTAACAGAACTGCTAGGTCAAATGATTTGTGCATTTGCAATTTTAAAAGATATAGACAAATTCCTTTCTATAAGGACTGTGCCTGTTTGTACTTCCACAAGCAATTATGAAAGTGTCTATACTCTTATTCAATACAACGCGTGGTCAAAGGCTAGAAGTTATGACAATCCAATAGATATAAATGATATTCAGTGTGGCTTTAATTTGTATTTTTTCTTATTATGATTGAAGTTGCATTCTTTTCATTTGTTTAAGAGATACTTTGTTTTTCTCTGAATTATTCACGTTTTCTTGCCATTATTTTCCTATTAGGTTATTGTTTTCTTTCTTTTTTAAGGATCTCTATATATATTAGGAAGATAAGCCATTTGTAAAAATATGTCAGGGTAAAAGATGCAAGATATAGACCCAGCTTTTTTTTATCCAGATCACCTTCCAGTTGTCCTAATGATATTTATTGAATAACCTATCTCCTTCCTTGCTGATTTGAGGTACTACTTTTATTATATTCTAAATTCCCACATGTATTTATTTCTATTATTGTTCTTCCTATTTTGTTGTATTAGTTGGTGTATTCATAGTCAATTTCATACTGCTTTTTTAAATGAGGCATTTATATTTTAATATTTGGTTGGGCTAGTCTTCTAGTTCTTTCTCATTGCTTTTTTAACTCAGAGCTTTCCTAACAATTCTTGTTTGTTAATTTTTACATATGATCTTAAAGATTAACTTGTCTAGTTTCAAAAATAAACAAAGCATATAAATAAAAAACAAAGGTTTGTATTTTTGAATTATAAATTAACTTGGAACTTGGTATCTATGATATAGTCTTGCTTTCTAAGCACATGGTATATGTTTCCATTTCTTCAAACCTTCTTTTGCATCATTTAATAGTTTCAAAAATTTTTTCATAAAGTTGTTGCTATTGCAAAGGGTCCTTTCCTTTCATTATATCCCATTACATCTTATGGATAATAAAACTATGGATTTGCATATATTTGTACTCTATAACCTTATTATCTTAATTTCAAAGTCAGCTTTCAGTTTATTGTTTTGGATGTGTGTGACAGATTGTAGTTTCCAAATCTAGCCACCAATATTTCATAATCACATATATTCTTTTTACAATGTAACATTGATAGTTTCTCATCAAGACATGGGGATCTACATTCCCTTACTTTGAATTTAGGTCAGACTATGACTGCAGCAGAAGTGATACTATGTGACTTCTGACTCTAAGTTATATTAAATAAAAACTTTTCATCTGGGCCTGCTAAGATCCTGGCACCACATTGTGATAAAGCCAAGCAACCACATGGAAAAGGCACACAGTCACATGGAGTGAAGCCAAGAGGCAATGTGGAGAGGCCACATATAGTTGTTCCAGTCACAGCCTTAGCTGAGGCCTCAGTCAACCACCAGCAGCAATCACTGGGCATATAAGTGAGCAAAACTTCAGAGGATTCTTGCCACCAGCCTTCAAGTCACCCCAGCAGATAACCAGTGGCACACAGACAAGCTCAGGCTGCCAAGTCCTGCCCAAGTTGCAGATTCATTTGCAAATAAATATTCTAAACAACTAAGTTTTGAGATGGTTTTTGGCAGTAATAGATGCGGATCACAAGGTCAGGAGTTTGAGACCAGCCTTGCCAACATAGTGAAACCCCATCTCTACTAAAAATACAGAAAATTAGCTGAATGTGGTGGTGGGCGCCTGTAATCCCAGCTACTTGGCAGGCTGAGGCAGGAGAATGGCTTGAACCTGGGAGGCGGAGGTTGCAGTGAGCCGAGATGGCACCGCTGCACTCCAGCCTGGGCAACAGTGCGAGACTCTGTCTCAAAAAAAAAAAAAAAAAATCATTCATCAGCAAATTGTAATGATTTTAGATTTTTTGTTATAATTTTTATAACTCAATTTTTCTCTGGTTGTGATCTAGAGATAAGAACAGCACACTCAATGCGACATATGCTTCCTTCAAAATCTAATAAGACATACCAAGCAATGTGCTTCTTTCATAGTAGTAATGCACGCAAAATGAAATAATTTGATTTTACTTCAGAGGGCATATATTGATATGTCTCATTCAGATCACTGCAGCCCTAGAAACTTCACAAAGGTAGATGGCCCAATTTTTTTAAGGGGGCTGTTTATCTATTACCCTCTGGCATGCCTGTGTCTTCTCAAGTTATCTAGGTTACTTGCTGAATTCTTCTAGCAGTGTGATATAATCAATGTAATAGAAACTTGATTTCCCATGGGACAGTTAGACAAACAAGGTCACTGTGGACTAAATCATGATATAAAGCCATGATTGAAATAACCTTGAGAAGGCAATCCTAAACAAAAAGAATAAAGCCAGAAGCATCATGCTACCTGACTTCAAACTATACCACAGGGCTGCAGTAACCAAAATAGCACAGTACTGAACAAAAACAGGCACATAGACCAATGGAACAGAATAGAGAATGCAGAAGTAAGACCACATGCCTGCAACTATCTGAGCTTTGACAAACCTGACAAAAAAACAAGCAATGGGGAAAGGATTTTCTATTCAATAAATGGTGCTGGGATTACTGGCAAGCCATATGCAGGAGACGAAACCAGACCTCTTCCTTACACTATATATAAAAATTAACTCAAGATGGACTAAAGACTTAAATGAAAAACCCAAAACTATAAAAACCCTGGAAGACAACTGACGCAATACCATCCTGGGCATAGGATTGGGCAAAGATTTCATGATGAATACACCAAAAGCAATTGCAACAGAAGTAAAAACTGACAAATGGGATCAAATTAAACTAAAGAGCTTCTGCACAGCAAAGGAAACTATCAACAGACTGGGCAGACAACCTAGAGAATTGGAGAAAACATTTGCAAACTCTACATCTGACAAAGGTCTAATATCCAGCATCTATAAGGAACTTAAATAAATTTATCAGAAGCAAACAACCCCATTAAAAAGTGGTCAAAGTACATGAACAGACATTTTTCAAAAGAAGACATACATTTGGTCAACAATCATGAAAAAAAGCTCAACATCACAGATCATTAGAGAAATGCAAATCAAAGCCACAGTGAGATAGATACCATTTCACACCAGTCAGAATGGGTATTATTAAAAAGTCAAAAAAATAACAGATGCTGATGAGGTTGTGGAGAAACAGGAACGCTTCTACACTGTTGGTGGGAATGTAAATTAGTTCCAGTATTGCAGAAGACAGTGCGGCGATTCCTCAAAGGCCTAAAAACAGAAATACTATTTGACCCAGCAATTCCATTACTGGGTATATAACCAAAGGAATAGAAATCATTCTATTATAAAGACACATGCATGCATATGTTCACTGCAGCCCTATTCACAATAGCAAAGACATGGACTCAACATAAATGCCCATCAATAGTAGACTAGATAAAGAAAATGTGGTACATATACACCATGAAATACTATGCGGCCATAAAAAAAGAATGAGATCATGTCTTTTGCAGGAACAGGGATGAAGCCGGAGGCCATTATCCTTAGCAAACTAATAAAGGAACAGAAAATCAAATAGTGCATGCTCTCACTTATAAATGGGAGCTAAATGATGAGAACACATGGACACATAGAGGGGAACAACATATACTGGAGCCATTCAGAAGGTGGAGAGTGGGAGGAGGGAGAGGATCATTTTATATTTGTTGTTTATTTATTAAAAACAACTAATAGGTACTAGTCTTAATACCTGGGTGACAAAATAATCCATAGAACAAGCCCCCATGACACAAGTTTACCTATATAACAAACCTGTACATTTATTTCTGAACTTAAAAGTTAAATTAAAAATATTTATAACACATGCACACACACACACATACACAAACACACAAAGAAATAGCCTTGAGAAAATATAGTGAGGGCATTCTGCTATCCTTGCAAGGTAAAAGGAATGTATTTTTATTTTTATTTTTTTATTTTTTACGAACTAGATGTAAACCTTTACGTCACAACTATGTCATTTTCACTTTCTGAAAAGACACGGACCCGGGGACACAGCTGAAAACAGTGGGAGGCCAGATGCTGGCGTCTTCCAGGCGGGAACGTAGCCATGATCACTCTAGGGCCGATGTCTCCTGGGGCTCTCCGGCAGGACAAGACAGGTGCACCGGTACTGTGCAATCCCAGTTTTACTTAGAGCCACCTCTTGTTTGGGGGGGCATTAGTCCTCATTTCATGCCAGATTTTCACTAGAGGCTCCCTGTTCTTCCAAATCAGTTCATGAGGGTAAGTAACATACCATATTCCAAAGAGAGCTCCCCCAAGATGTGCTGCATAATCAAAAAATTTCCGTCCCAGGATCATTCCTGCCATATCCGTGGCGTTAATGGATTGTAGGGCATTTCCTGCTGTGAATGTGAACATTGGAAGTAAATAATGGCAAGCCTCCCTTCTGGGATCTTAGTGCGGACAGCTGCGAGGATCATCATGATGGCGCGAGATGCACCAAGTGATGGTCCATATCTTCGTGTGGCAACTTTACACACATAACTGACAAAATTGGAAATAACACCTGCAGATAGGTACACTGCCATGAACTGCTCTTGACCCAGAATGTTCACTATACTGAAGGAGAAGCTCCACAAAACATACATATTTGCTGCCATGTGAAATAAGGAGAAATGATTGAATGTTGACAGCAACATTGGAGAACAACGGACTTTTGAGGCTGGATTAGATTTGAAATATCAGATCACTGTCCACTGCAGAGAAGGTACTCTCCACAAACAGAATACAAGGACGTTTGCAGCTATGATACCTGAGTCCGCTGGCCATCACTTAGGTTATTCCACCGCTTGTTAATCTCCTTTCTGAAGTCTCCTTCTTTTTGTGGTCTTATGCTATCCAACCAATCAGCTTTTATGCCATCAAAATAACTCTGGACCCCTGGATTTCAGTGATTCGTATTGCCAAATAGCAGCTGATCCAAATGCACAGCCTGTAAACCCAACAGTAAAAAAATAAAGGTTTTATGAGAGTCCTTATAGGATAGGGAGAAAGATAAAAGACTGTTTCTTCCACCAGAGGAATCAAAGCACTTCTCTTGTATGCTTCACCACTTGTTGCCGTGTCTGATCTTCGAGGTTCAACCTTACTGGGTTCTTTTCTGAACCACATTTTTTTCTGAATAAAGAAGTTAAACCTGCGTCTAAGCAGCTGCGGCGGGGCTAGAACCGCAGTGAGCTCCTCGCAGCTGCTGCTGCGCACCAGGGGAGCCCACGCTGAGCCGCAGCCCCAGCCTCTCTGCGCCCAGCCTCGCCACCCCATTTTCCCACTACAAGAAAATTTTAGGACGGGCGCAATGGCTCACGCCTGTAATCCCAGTACTTTGAGAGGCCAAGGCGGGTGATCACCTAAGGTCGGGAGTTTGAGACCAGCCTGACCAACATGGAGAAACCCGTCTCTACGAAAAGTACAAAATTAGCAGGGCTTGGTGGTGCATGCCTGCAATCCCAGCTACTTGGGAGGTTGAGGCAGGAGAATCGTTTGAACCAGGGAGGCGGAGATTGCAGGGAGCTGAGATGGTGCCATTGCACTCCAGCCTGGGAAACAAGAGCAAAACTCCGTTTCAAAAACAAAAAAAAATTTTTTAGTACCTTCATTCGATATCCCAGGGATTATATTGTTTTACTCCAGCAAAAAGACTTCTGGAAACACTGCTATCAGTGGAGCCACCGCCTAAGTAAGCTTACAATAATTTATCATCCTCCAAAATTCATCCATCGTTTGTACACAGTTCGTATTAATTTGCTGTTACTGACATAGCAAAATGTCAGTCCACTGACTGGTGGCTTAAACAATATTAATTTATTTTCTCAAAGTTCTGGTGGCTAGAAGTCCAAGATCAAGGTGTCAGCAGGTTTGGTTCCTCTGAGTCCTCTCTCCTTGGCTTGCAGTTGGCAACCTTCTTCCCATGCCCTCACATGGTCTTTCCTCTGTGTATGTACATTCCTGGTGTCCCTTTGTGTGTCCTAATTCCCCCTTTTTACAAAGATACTACTCAGATTGGATTAGGGCCCATTTTAATGGCCTCATTTTAACTTAATCCCCTCTTTAAAGGCCCTGTCTCCAAAAACAGTCATATTCTAAGGCACTAGGGGTTACGGGTTCAACATATAAATTTTAGGGGGACACAGTGCCACAATGTAACCCATAATAGAGGTCAGACAGGTAAGATACATGTAGTTGTGATGGAAACCAACTCTGGATCCTTCAAGTCTTTGATCCTGTACTAACTGCAGCAGTCATTCCAAGGATGTGGTATTGCTGTGCTTTTCTGTTTTGGTGGATTTCTGCTTGACTTTCCTACTTAAAAGTCCCAGCTCCATGAGTTAGGAAACTAATATGGTAATGCTGCTAGATGCATTCTATATTTCTATCAATTTTGCTTTCAGAAATGGGGGGCATATAGAGTGAATGTGTGTGGGAGAAAGAGAGAGACAGAGAGACGGAAGGAAGAGAGATTTTTAGCATTTAATTACATTTAAATGTAACTAATTTTAAATTAACTTTTTGAGTTTAAATTTTTTTCAAATTAAAAAGTTTAATGCTTTTCATTTTTTAATTTTAAAATGTAATTATAATTTTGGAGTGAATGGTTTTATATCATTTGTTGATCTCTCTCAACATTGGGCAATCAATACTTATATTTGTGTTAAGTAACATTTTATAATTTATATAACATATTTTTCATCTTAAAAATAATTACGGTCAAAGATTTTGTAAAATAGTTTTTTTAAAAACAATTTTGTGGCTGGGCGCGGTGGTTCATGTCTGTAATCCCAGCACTTTGGGAGGCCGAGGCGTGTGGATCACAAGGTCAGGAGATCGAGACCATCCTGGCTAACAAGGTGAAACCCCGTCTCTACTAAAAATACAAAAAATAAGCCGGGCGTGTGGCAGGCGCCTGTAGTCCCAGCTACTCGGGAGGCTGAGAAGGCAGGAGAATGGCATGAACCCGGGAAGCGGAGCTTGCCGTGAGCTGAGATCACGCCACTGTACTCCAGCCTGGGCGACAGAGTGAGACTCCATCTGGAAAAAAAGAAAAAAAAAATTTGTTTTGGAGTTATCAAAAAGATTCACATTTTTTAAAATCCAAAAATTATAGGAAAGAACCAGGTTCAGTAAACCCATTTTCAACAGGTAATAAAAATGAAAAGGAGATACTAATGCTGTTAGGATTTTGAGATGCACAATGCAGACGTCAGGTTCAGGGTGGCTTTGTCTTTATTAGTCAGCATTTGCATCTAGGAAAAGTTTCACATGATTAAATCAAGAGATGCAATACACTCAGGCTTTTCATGAAATTGACATCATTATTACAAATGGTGCTCATTTGAGGCAACTGTGACATTATGCAATGAGAAACATCTGTCCCCTTCCCTCTCAGGTCCCCATGGTGGCCTAGGTTCATGATTACAGCCACCTTTAGGATTAAATACACAAAAGCCTTACTCTATATATGCCCCTTTGACTTTAACATATTTCTCAAAAAGAAGTGCAATAAACTTTTATTCTTTCTTGATTAGATGGAGTTACAATTGCCAAAATAAAAATCCAAGGTCCAATTCTGGTTTTAAAACTAGAAAAGGAAAAAATGTTATTATCAGTAATGACTTTGGGAAGAATTCTTTAACACACAGTGAGGGTGAGTTCTTTTGGAAACAACTGTATTCTATGTTTATACATATTTATATATAAAAGGTGTCCTCATTGGGGGAGGGGGGTGCTGATGCCACCAAGTTCCTTTGAAGCCTTTTCTCCCCCACTGCCAATGCCCGAGGGGAAGGAGTCTTCAATGGCGGCTCAATCTAGCTCTTGCGTTTAGACTTGGATCTCATTCCAATTTAGGCTTTTCTTTCTCTTCTTCCATACCTAGAAATACAGGCAAAGTGTTTTATTTGAGCATCAGATTAAACCACAAGCAGTTTGTTTAATCTGGCTTGCTAACACTACTCACACATCCACTCATCTGCCCTCACTTCTCCCATTCACCCTCCTGACACACCCCCTATTCCCTCCTAGCTAAGAAGGAAAGCCATGCACAACTTTCTCCAGAAACATCCTCAGTGACCTCTCTTCCCCACCCTTTCCACAGAATCAGGACACAGCATCTCTGGGACACACCCAGCTCCTATGGCCTCTGGGAGACAAGGCTTCAAGTTGATTCATGACTTGCTGAGTTTGCATGGAAATCCCAGCTAGACTGCTTTTTAAACCAGCTTCTGGCAACATGAGGTGTGCAACTCATGAGTTTCAAACAGACTTCATTTATTTTTACTTTAGTCCTGTCTCTTCCTAAGGCAAGGACTTTGGATTTTAAAAAGCCATGCTTTTTTTTTTCTTGTTTTCTTTTTAAAGTTCATAGAGAGTTTATTAGCCATAAGAGCTGTTTATTTCCATACTCATGAATCTTAAACTGCAATTCTCTCTCTATTCAACCCAATCCTGGTAGAATCATGTTTTTCTTCCTGAAGGACTTGTATGTACTGGACCAGTAAGAACCTTTGCCTGTTGTCTGTAGAGAATAGTCGATGATGTTTCATGTTCCTGAAGATGAAAATGTTCATCATTTTTAGGAATTATAGTTAAATCTGGCAAGTGCTTCTTGCTTTTTTCTTTTTCTTGTACCTAAACATTTTTTGAATCATACCAAATTCTCAGTTTCTTTGTTTCAATAGCAAAAATGAAACAAAATAACTTAAAATACCACTTTGCAGGTTTTGTTAGTATTCTTTCATAAATTGCAAGCTTTCTGAGGGTAGGGCCCTTCCCTATTTTGTTCCCCAGCACCTAACATAGTGTGTGTGTCTCATTGCAGGAGCTCAATTAATCTTTGCTGAATAAAATTAATAAGCAATGAACACAGAGAAGACCTCAGAAGCCTGGACTAGTGGAAAGCAGAACAAAATATGGGACTCCACAATATGAAAATTATAAAATTTAACCCCAGAGGGTCATAATGTTAGGGCTTACAATAGGAAGGACTCCCCCACCACATAACCCCAGCTCCTGGTATATGTTTTGTGCTGTCAGAGTAGTGGTGGTGGAATGTGGGTAACGTGCTCTGAATGAATGTCCCCAGATGATCTTTTATGTTTGGTTTTCATGGCTAAGGAACTGGCAGAGATCTGGAGCACTTTTTCCAAAGTCCTTCTCAGAAATCCTATGAAGGAAAACTTCAAATTGAGGAGTAAGGACATCTGACGGGAGGAGGAACAGGTTTGAAGGCAAGAAGGTACAACACGCCTTCGTTGTTGGGTAACCACGGAAAGAAGAAAACAGCACAGATTCAGCTCAAACAGCACATGTGTCTTGAACCTCAGCTCTGTCCATATTCCCTCTCCTGTGGAGAAGCTATCAGGGGCTAAGAGCAGTTTGCTTTTCTTTTTAAAGTCTGTTTTTTCCAAAGCGTTCTCCTGCAGATGGGTTGACTTGGCAGCAGTGCTGGAATCTTCAAAAGCGCGGGTGGAGAACGGGGGGTATTCATTGACCTAGAGAGGGAAAATGGCTTCCCACCTACTTTAGTTTGGCAGCTGTGAGGTAGACAGAAAAAATTAGACAGCTGTAAATAATGTTTGCAAGAACCAGAGATAAAATTTCCAGGCAAAGGGCAGGAAGAAACCTATCGCAAAGCGAAGGCAGGATACACTTTTGGGACCAGAGGGGACAAGACTGCAGGGCGCTGAGGGAGTCAGTCACATGCCCTTCCTGCAGGCCGGTGGAGGGCTCCACCAGGGGGCAGTGCTGGGACATCGCTAGACCTGGATGGGCCTGGGGGGAAATGACCTGCACGGGTAGCTGGAGGAGAAGAGGTGCAGGTTTCTGCACACATAGACGTCTCCTGTCTCCCCGCTTGCCTACTTTCTCTGTCCTCACACCAACCTTTTGGTTTTGAAAAGACTCATTTCTGGTCTTACAAAATGTAGCTTTAGTAAGACTGGTCAGATATACCAAAATTGGGATAAAGTCTTAGCTTAAGTAAAGAAATATTTCAGCTGTGAATTGTGTCCCCCCCCGCGCTCCACCCCGCCAAACTGCTACATCGAAGTGCTTAACTCTCAGTACCTCAGATTGGGAGAGAATGCCAAGGGTGTGGCTGGACAGCCATGTGCTAACGAAATTAGGTACGTGACTCACGGATCCAATCAACCTCCACAGTAGATGCCAGAAATAGAGAGGTGGTTATCTGAAAAAGATCCGCGGAGTGCCCTCTTGTCTGACTGCTTGGACCCCCATGACTTGCATGGGAGGCCAATAAGGTTTTTGAGAATTTTATACCAGCAGAAACATTGACAGCATGGACTGAAAGGGACAGAGACAGGATGAAATGAAGGACCAATGGCTTCAAAGATGGTTCAGCGACTGGCTCCTCCTTGGTTGTAGAGGGTAGAACTATTGCCCAGGGCTGTGGGGGTGGGGCTCCTGTGACCCTGTGCCTGGAAGGCAGGGCTATGCATCCCCTCCCCTGTGAGCCCTGAGGACAGAACATCTAGCCAAAGAGGATTATTTTCAAGCCTTAAAATGGAATGGAATTTCCCCCGCTAGCTTCAGACTTGCTTGGGAACCATGATTCTTTCTTTTTTTTTCCCCCTGCAACTTCTCCCTTACAGAATGGGAATGTATATTCTATGCCTGTCCCACCATTCTGTTTTGGAAGCAGATAACTTTTTGTCTGGTTTCCCAGGTTCACACACAGCTAGAGAACAATTTTGCTTCAGGATGACTCATACCCTGAGTGTCACGCATACCCAATTTTATGATATTTAAGATGAGATTTTGGACTTGAGAGTTGATGTCTGAAAGACGTTTGGGGTTGTTGGGATGGAATATTTTCATTGGGTGAAGGACATGTATTCTGGTGGGGAGAGAGTGAAGTATTATGAGCTGAACTCTGTCCCCCACTTCCAAATTCATATGCTGAAATCCTAACCCCCAGGATGTGGTTTTAAAGTCAGAATGTGACTTTACTTGGAGATAAGTATTTACAAATGAGGTCATCAGGGTGGGCCCTAATCAAATACAACTGGTATTCTTATACAAAGGGGAAATTTGGAGACTGGACTGAACATCAGTTAGAAGGCACTGGCTCTGCCATCACCTGTTCTGGAGGGTCACTTAAGATTTTGGGGCCTCAGTTACTTTTGGTGAAAGGAAAGGGTCGGTTTCGATGATTTCCAATCTCTCTTTCAGCAGTAAGATTCTGCAATAATGTGATTTTTATCTTGAAGTTGTAGCTAACATAAGTTACCCAAGTAGACAGAGTTGAGCTATTAAAAACCATTATGGAAAAAGGAGGGTGGCTCCAATGCAATCTTCCTTCTTCTTGGGGGATTGTATAGTAACTGATGTGAAATACTCAGGATTGTAGTACTGTACTCCCATGTCCTCAATTCATCCTAACACACTGCTTTTAGTGAGTAGTTTTTGACTCAACAGCTAACAGAATCAGGCAGCTAATGTGACTGAGTAAAGTGGCCAGGTGAGAACGAGGGAAAGTTAGTCATCTAAAGTGGATAACTGATACTCAATTCTTTTTTCTTTTCTTTCTGTTTTTTTTTTTTTTTTCTGAGAGTTTCACTCTGTGGCTCAGGATGGAGTGTGGTGGCACGATCTTGGCTCACTGCAACCTCTGCCTCCAGGTTGAAGCGATTCTCGTGCCTTAGCCTCCCAAGTAGCTGAGATTACAGGCATGTACGCCCGGCTCATTTTTGTATGTTTAGTAGAGATGGAGTTTTGCAATGTTGGCCAGACTGGTCTTGAACTCCTGGGCTCAAGTGATCTGCCCACCTTAGCCTCCCAAAGTTCTGAGATTACAGGTGTAAGCCACCGTGCCCAGCCAAGGGATAACTGATACTCTATTCTAAACCATTGTCACCAGAATAGAACAGTGGGCTCTGTGTTCCAGATCTTAAAATATTTCCTAAGAAGCTGAAAATCTGGCCTTCATGTGAAATCTCCTATTTTTTTTTTTTTTTTTTTTGAGATGGAGTCTTGTTCTGTTGCCAGGCTGGGGTGCAGTGGCATGATCTCAGCTCACTGCAACCTCTGCCTCCTGGGTTCAAGCAGTTCTCCTGCCTCAGCCTCCCGAGTACCTGGGACTACAGGCACACGCCACCATGCCTGGCTAATTTTTGTATTTTTAGTAGAGATGGGATTTCACCATGTTGGCCAGGATGGTCTCCATCTCTTGACCTCGTGATCCACCTGCCTCAGTCTCCCAAAGTGCCGGGATTACAGGCATGAGCCACTGCGCCCAGCCAAAATCACCCAATTTTAAAATACTGATTCAAAAACAAAAATTCCACGATGTAGGCCTAACAGAACTTGATAGGTAGAAGTTGGGGGAGGCCAGCAGTTTGTGACCCCTCTTGTAAATGAGGATGATACTTACTTGGCACAAAACATCTGTCTTTGTGGAACTAACTAGATGGTCCTAGGTACATAAACTTAATTTTCATATCTAAAATGAATTTTTAAAAAAAGTTAGTCAATCTTATGTTACTTAAAAGAATGGCATAAATTAAACAAATCATTCAAAAAACCTTAATTTCATTATTCATTTTTAACTCCTCATTCAAAGCTGCTAAAAAGCAGTATTCTATTAATGTAGAGTGGATATTTCTCTCTAGTGGTTTTCAGGTCATCCTCTCATAGAAGTAGTAGAACTGTGGCCAAATGACTGTCAAATCAATCAAGTCAAGTGTAAGCAGGTACTTAAGTACTTCCTGAATAACATATATTGGACACATTCGTTTAAGTTTAAATACAGTTTTTCTTCCAAGAAGCTGAGAAAGGTTTATATTTTGTTCTCAAAATATTTTTGTCAAGTAACTAAATACTTCTGTAAATTAATGGAGAAAGATCACTATTTCCATTGAACAGGTGGAACATTATTAAAAGATTAGTGTCTTGTTCCCCAAGCTGTGGCCTGAACAGAATTAAAAATGTTGATACTTTTTCTAATAGAACATTGATTAAAATCAAAAGCTGATGAGAAAAGAAACCCTCAAATTCCTCTGCGCCATTTAACATTGGCTAATACCCTGACACATACAATCTTAGAGGATCCACACACACAAAAGTCTGATTCAGTAACCATGCACAGTAACCATGCACTCACTGTGCGTTATTTGTCTGATTCCATTGAGCTCCTGGCAGGGTGTCTGGCACAAAGCAGGGTGCTCAATGTCTGTGTCACAGAGTCCATTTACTGGGGATGTCTAGAATGCTGTGATTGTGTCAGAGGAAAGAGCCAGGGCTTCCTAAAATCTCCAAACCATCTTGCCTTTGGATGTATTTTCATGCAGGACTCAATCACTACATGTCTGTGCTGGCGCTTTTTCCACCTTTCAATTTTTATGTTATTGTACATACACTTTGGACAGGTTTTGCACAGCTTGGATAAGATTACGTGCCTTGCCAAGATGGAGGCTCTGCCATAAATGGAAACAAAAGAGAAATCAAATCACAGGTTAAAAGAGTTTTTCCAGCCACGAAATATTATCTTTTACTGCTTGTAGCTCTTTGCCACTTTCAGACTTTCCGTGACAGCCACTGGTGAGTCAAGGTGGCCGGAGCATCACACACTGCTTAGATAGAGCTCTAGCAGAATGGTAGTAAGACCTCTCCCAGGTGACTGCACCCACATAGAAAGTGGAGATCTGGGTGACTTTAAAGGAGATTGGTTACATTTAATAATGTATCTATTTAATTTGAGGTCCCTTTAGCTAACTAAGGCAGCATTGTGTTGTTAATGAGGACAAATTTCCCTAATATATATTTTTTGCTAACACTACATTTTTCCCTATAAAATTTTATAGACATGCCTCTTTCCTCTTTAGATTTGGAGGTTTTACTAGCTAACAAGACCAAGTGACTAGTAAAACTTTCAGGTAACTGTCAGCAGCTCTTAAATTCATATTGTAGTTTTAAAAATGGAGCTCTTTATAGGAGATCCTGTGTGAAGGCTAAAAGAAGAGGCTACAGTGGAATTTTCCCTCAGTCTCTGCATAGACTGTTGCCGGCAGTAATTCTCTTGTTTTATGTTCCCTCAGACAATACTTACTTTTCTGTGTATCCCAGATATAGTTGTTCAGAACTTCTCCCAGCAGGTACAGGAAGTTCATTAAGATGGTTGTAGACCCAAAGAAGATGATTCTGGCTCCTGGGCCAATGTGTTCCAGGAAAGGGTACACCCACATGCCAGTTACATGATGCACCCAGCACACCCTGCAAAAGAATCGGAAAGGAGACAAGGACAGGAGTCACTCTTATGGCAGGCATCAAAGCTGCTATGATGCAAATATACACTCCCTCACTCTCCCCATGCTTCAGCATTTGCCAGTCTCAAGTTCGCTTCTGATACTCAGGAGCTACTGGAAACTTGGTTGCTGTTTATTTTCATTTACTTTTTATTCTGAAATAATTTTAGACTCACAGAAGAAGCACAACACACTCAGCTTCCCCTCATGTTAACATCTTGTATAATCCTGGGACAATTGACTAAAATTAAAAAATTAACATTGATATGACAGTACTAAATTATAGGCTTTATTCAGAATTTCCCAGTATTCCTGTGAATGTCCTTTCTCTGTTCCAGGATCCAATCCAGGACCCCATGTGGTCTTCAGTCTTCACATCTCCGCAGTCTCATACTCTGGCAGTTTCTCAGTCTCTACTTGTCTTTGATGATATTTGAAGGGTATTTGAAATGGCTGACTTTATTAACACTGTTAAACAATCTGGTCATGTATTTGAAATGGCTGACTTTATTAACACTGTTCAACAATCTTTTAAATCTCTTCTTTACAGAATGAGACAATATGGCATTGGGCAACCACAGGAGAATAAGACCTAGGTGAGTCTGTGCCAGATACCTTGCCATATGGCCTTCCAACTAGACACCAACACTCATGCCATATGCTGACACAACCATGCATACCCTAGCAGGTACCAGCTTCCCACTCCTCTGATCTTCAGATGTGACATTGATTTCATTTTTTTTCCTATTTTACATTCTTACTTAATCATTCTCTTTGTGTTCCAGAAATATTTTTGACTCAGTGGGAATAGTAACATCATGAATTGCCACTGCTTTCAAAAGTTTAGTTAGAATATCGGCTCCATTGGCTTGGTCCTGACATGACTGCTTACAGCTGTTTTCCAAACATTCTTGAGTTCATTCCTTTATAAACTGTTGGCAATTGTGAAGACTAAATAAAATACAGATAACTCTATTGCATTGGGAATAAAGATGACTTTTCATACTTATGTGTTCTGAGGTCATTTTCCTTATCCTTGGCTTCACTCTAAGTGGTTTATCTACATATAAATATTACTGACAGGGTGCAGTGGCTCACATCTGTAATCTCAGCACTTTCGGAGGCTGAGGAGGGTGGGTCACCTGAGGTCAGGAGTTCAAGACCAGCCTGGCCAACATGGCGAAACCCCATCTCTATTAAAAATACAAAAATTAGCTGGGCGTGGTGGTGCGCGCCTGTAATCCCAGCTACTCGGGAGGCTGAGGCACAAGCATCACTTGACCCTGGGAGGCAGAGGTTGCAGTGAGCTGAGATCACACCACTGCACTCCAGCCTGGGTGACAAAGTGAGACTTGGTCTCAAAATAATAATAATAATAATAATAATAATAATAATAATAATAAACATTACCTACACATGTACCTCATTTTTGGCAGGAAACCTGGGGATCTATACCTGAGAACCTGCGTTATCAATGAGGGTGAGATCCCCCCTCTTCTTGCAGGCGAAAATTCATTCTGGGGTTGGTGGTAAAACAATTTTGCACTTTTTATGTAGAAAGCACAGATACACACACACACACATATACACACACACATATATACACACACACAGATGTACATATATGTATATAGAAACACATCAGTAGGTGAACAAACAATCAAATGTGGCATATGCATGCAATGGAATATTACTCAGCCATAAAGAGGAGTAAAATGTTGATACATGCTACAACATGGATGGACCTTGAAAACATTATGCTAAGCAAAATAAGCCAGACACAGGTCACATATTGTATATGATTCCACTTATATGAGGTACCTAGAATAGGCAATTTCACAGAGACAGAAAGCATGGTATCTATCAGTTACCAGGGACTCGGGGGAGTGGAGAATAGGGAGTTATTGTTTAACGGGAACAGAGTTTATGTGGGGGGATGATGAGAAAATTTTGGGTATAGATACTGGTGATGGTTACACAATGTTGTAAATACATTTAAGGACATTAAATAGTATACTTGCAAATAGCTAAAATGACAAATATTATGTTATGTATATTTTAGCACAATAAAAAATGTTCCTGTGGTGGAAATTAGGAAAAAAAAAACAGGTCTACAAAGGTTCCTTGGTAGAGGGAAGTAGTAATGAAAGAAAGATTGAGGAACAATCTTACAGCAAAGAGGCATTCTCTAGGTCTGTCCAGGTCAGTCTCAATCACTGTCCAAACAAAAATATTTGTATCAAAAAAAGAGGCCATGTTAGTCCAAAGATTCTGTTAGAAAAGCTGAAGCAGTTGTGAGAATCCGCAGAAATTAAATGGTTAGAACTACCCTGTGGGATTCTGAGATATCATATTGTTTGTCCATAAATTAGAAGCAGTTTCATCATTCTGACATTGTCTTAAATAATGTAAGGAAGGTGCTGTGTACCCATCAAATGGTTTATTAATTTCCATGGAGAGAATATGCAATATTCCCCCAATTTAACACCATTAAGCTGTAATTGATGTTGCAAATCAACTTATAAAATTTTAATCAGTCTGTGCTACAGGGTGTTTGCACTGGAGCAGTCGGATGGATCTGGATTAAATGTGAGTCAGGCCATGCCACTATTCTGCTCAAAACTTGCTTCCTCTCCCACTCAGAGTACAAGCCAGAGTCCCTAGATGGTTCTTCAAGGCCCTACCCCGCACTTTTCTGATTTAATCTCCTGTTATTCTCCCCATCGTTCCCCGCCACTCCAGCCCATCAACTCCTTGGTGTTCCTCGAACACTCTAAGCTCTCTCTGCCTCCAGGCTTTTGTATTATTCCCCTGCCCAGAACAATACTCCTCACCACCCCCACAGCATCCCCTTGGGCTCCCTTGTGTCCTTCGGGTTTTCACTCAAATGTCACCTTTCCAGTGATGTCTTCCCTGGCCACTGTATCTAAAAATTGCAACCTCTACCCTCAAACTCTCTATTCTTTCATCCTTTATTTTTTCTCCCAGCCAAATAATATACTCTACTTATTTTTATTTGTCTGTTTATTGTCTATTCAATGAGCAAAGGAATTTTGTCCAATTATGTTCATTGCTGTATTCTGTGGTTCTTGGAGCAGTATCTGGCAGAGTATGCACTCAATAACTATTTGTTGAATTAATAATCTAATGAAGGAATATAAACAGCAACATCTGTTTATTGAGCCATTACTATATGGCAGGCACTTCGCCAATAACTTATGAATTTTTTTTAATCTCAAAAAAAACCTCCAAAATCTTTATGCTTTTTGTCACTATATTTAATTTAAGTCAGGAGTAGGGAAACCTTTTCTGTAAAGAACCAGATAGTAAATATTCCCATATGGTCTCGATCACACCTACTCAACTCCGCCATTGTAGTGCAAAAGCAGCCATAGACAATATGTAAACGAGTGTGGATGTGTTCCAATAAAACTTTATTTATAGACACTGAAATTTGAATTAGATGTAATTTTCACATCATGAAATATTCATCTTTTGATTTTTTCAACTATTTAAAAATGTGAAAACCATTCTTAGCTTTTGAGTCATAAAACAAACAAACAAACAAAAATCCAGGTGGTGGGCTGGATTTGGCACACCGGCTGTCATCTGCTGACTACTTGTTTAAGTAGTTCTTTGTATTTCACAAAGTTCCTTCAGCACACAATGTCATCTAGTCTTCTCAGCAATTCTAGATATAGCATGGCATTCTCATCGTACTATTGTATGAATCAGAGCTTATAGGGTATAAATGAGACTATGTCAGAGCTGCTAATGTAATGTGAAATTCTCAGGTTTGCAACCTACGAGGCAGAGAAGCAGACAGCTCTTCTGAGTGTGGTGCTTATAAACATGAGATGTAATCTCCTTTACTTTGTACAACCACCCTATTAGGTATGATTATTCTCTTTAAACAGGTAAAGAAACTGAGATCAGACTAAAGAACTTATCATAAAACTGGCAAAGCTGGGAAAGAAGTGCACATCTGATTTCTTTTTTGCTGCATGGACTTGCTTCCCTAAATGAGGCATTCAATATTGTCTCCAAAATGGAATTGAGCGTTTCTTGTTTGTTTTGGTTTGGTTTTCTTAACTTGTTAGGTCATCAAACCATCTCAGATAAAGAAATCCTGTTATTTGGGGTTTCACCTGGATCAGTGTGAATGATGCATCCACTTGTCTTAACAAGTTGTGCTTTCACCATTTGTTTCCTTGATTTTTATCAGGGCTCAATTCTCTGCACAAAGATGACTCATGGCCTTGCCCATCTATCTGGAGAGTGCTTAGTTCTTGGCTGACTTTTAATTTCTCTCCTTCTAAGGTCTTCTTGTCTTAGTGATCAAATAACATATGCTTATGGTCATGGTACCAATTTTAATTTTAGCTTAAGAAATCAATAACCATGATATGTGTGCATACATATATATGCACATATTAGCATAATAAGATTTTTGGATGGTCTATTTTATTAAATGTACCTCCGTTTGCATTCACGTTTATGTACAATTAAAAAAATAACATTTATTCATGCCTCCTATCTGAGTGCTTTGTTACTCACAAATGATACAAAGTAAATGGCTTATATGAATGAATTAAATTACACATATACCTTGAAACTGTGTACATCTATAATGCATCGATGAAAAAAAGTAAATGAGGCAGAGCTAACTCCTGTCCTCATGGAGTACAGTGTAATGAGAAACACAGATAATTAAGAATTACAAGTGTAGTCAGAATTAAGAAAGGGTAAGTGTAGGCGTGCCATGGGTACACAGGGATTATTCCCCAACTTTTTTTAAACCTCCCACTTGCCTTTAGTCTTTCTTTCTCTTGTGTATTTAACTTTCTTTCAAACCAATGTTTTTCATAGCTGATGAATATGTTCAGATGCCTTTCATTAAAGCACAATCAAAAGTTTCCAAATACTTCACAAGTACTACTCAAGTCTCTCCTCTTCAAAAGCAAACTTCTCCAATAAGTGGTCCAGATTCACTGACACCATATCTGTACATTGTACTCACTTTCACCCACAGCAGTCTGGCATCTCTTCTTGCTATTCGACCAAAAGATACTGGTTTCTTTGACATCAATTTCTCTTGGTTTTCCTCCTACCACTTGGCTGTTCCTCTTCCCTTTGTCAGTGCACCCTTCACTACCCTACCACTAATTTTTGGATTTGCTTAAATCTTGGTTTCCAAACTGTTTTCTCTTATGCATTCTCAGTTGATGAGTTCATTCATGGCTATGGCATCATGTTCACTACTTATACACAGGTATTTTACAAACTTATATCCTAACCCAGATCTCTCCTCTATTCTAGGCAGTTTATCAAACTGTTCTTAAGACATCTCATTTTGCCCATCTTAAAGATACCTCAAACTCAATATATCTAAAGACAAAATCATGTTCTTTCTCCCCAAACCTCCAGTATTTCTTATTTCTGCAAATAGTACTATCATTCATTCAGTTTTGTAACTCAAACATTGCAAGTCATCTTTGATACTTCCCTCTCTTTCATCACATTTAGTTAATCCATTATCTTTTTTTTTTTTTTACAATTTTATAACTTTATTTGATGTATTTGACAATCAGCAGTTAGTTCTCATCCACATTGACTATCTGCAGATTTTTGAAAGTGGTAACAGGTACATAGGTAACTGAAGTATAGAGCTTATTTGGTGAATCTTCATCCTCAGAATATTTTCTGGACAACCACACATGGTTACAGTATGGGACATTCCTTATTCCTTTGGCCCAGACAGTTTTGTTGGGCCTGGTATCAATGCGCAAATCTGGAGTTCCCATCTCCTTCGTGGCAAATTTCCAGATCTCTTTGAGTGCCCAAGGGGCAGACTTCTTGAAGCCCACTCCATGGACGCGCTTGTGAATGTTGATGGTGTATCATCAACGAGGTCACCACCTTGTTGATGGCAGAGTGGCCCTTTTTGTCTTGCCATCCTTCTTTGTGAGAACCATTCTGCCAGGCCCAAGTTGGAAAGGAAGAGTGTAGCGATTGTCCAATCCATTAGCTTGTCTTATCAAGGTTACCCCTTACATCTCTCTAATATGTTGATTTTTCCCATGTGCATCACCAGCATCTTAATTTGTGTTAGAAGCATTTCTGTCTAGAGGACTGTGATAGTTTCTAATTTGTCTCTACATCTATTTTTTCCTCCTTCCATGTCATCCTCACTGCTGCCAGAGTGATCTTTCCAAACCAGAAGTATGAACACACCATATCCCTGCTTTCAACATGTCAAAGGCCTCCCACTGATTTTTTGTTAGAGACCCAAAGTTTCAACAAAGTCTAGAGTGCTCTTCATAGAGTGGCTTCTATCGGTCTCTTTGGCCCCATCCCATATCTTGCTCCTGTTCCTCTTTGCATTCCTGTCACACTGGCTTTCATTTGGTTCCTTGATCTTGTCATGTTCCCTCCTGCAATGTGGGTTTTCACATATTCTTCTTTCTGCCTGTACTGTTAGTTAGCCACCACTTAGAATAATTAGGTTATATGTATCTTTTCTATATTAGCTCAACTGGTACAACTGATCAATTATCACTTACTCCGGGAAAGTCTCCCCTGATCCATCAGATTAGGACAGATTTTTATAAGTTCTTATAGAACTAGGGCTCTCATTCATTTTTAAAGCTCTTTTATTCATACTTAAATTTGAATATCTTTATTTAAATAATATGTTTCTCCCCCTCTACAGTGTAAGTTCGGTGGGGTGAGGGACTGTTTATTTTTACCTCTCCTTGGATCCTCAGCACTTATCAGAATGCCTGTCACACACTAGAAGAATGAATGAATGAATAAAGTAGCATTTAAACTGTGATAGAAAGGATAAGAATTCATTGAGTAAAGATGGGAGGAAAGAACTTTCTAGCCAAAAAAAGGCATGTCTAAAGAACTGAGAACAAGAGAACGCTCCCAGAAGTTCAAGAAGAGAACACTTTTGTTGTGATCAAGGAAGAGAGGGCAGAAGGAGCAGGCAGGTGCCAAACCATGGGTTGATTTTTAAGCCATGGTAAGAATTGTAGACTCCGTCCTAGTGTGCAAATATAAAGTCTTTGAAAATAAATAAATCTGAAATAGATCAGATTGAGCTGAACCAATTGTATCAGAAATGGTAGTGGCTAGGAGAGGAACAATAGCATTGGCAATGAAAATTAGCTGAAAGATTTAAGAACACTTAGACCAGTGTCTATCAAACTGTTGAGTCATGAGTGTGGCGTGCTGGAGATTGTCATGAGAGCTGGTTGTTAAATCTTTAGGTGGTTTGCAAGCTGGTTGGTCAGTAGCTTGAATTCAGCCATGGTGGGAATAGTCACACCAAGGATATGGGCAAATGTTACACATCAGGTATTCCCTCCCTTGCCTCCAGAAGACCTAGCTGGTTGTTAAACATTTGTCAGTAACTCACTGTTACTAGCATTTTAAAACAGTAACAGAAGTGAACAGAGGAGAAAATATTACAGGGCCTTGCATATAATGATGATAAGAATTATTTTGTGAAACTTCTATTTCAGTTATGTGTGTATACCTGTAAAAGAAATTTGACAGGCACTGATTTAACAAATATAGTTAAGACAACATGGTGATTGATTAGATTTAGGCAATGAGGAAACTGAGATGAGTTAAGGATTAATCACAGATTCCTGGCTTGATTAGCAGGGTGGAAACAGCTGCCATTTCCTGAGAGAGGGAATGCTGTAAGGGAGCCTGTTTGAAGGGATGATGAGTTCAGTCTGGACATGTTGAGTTTGAGGTACCTGTAAAATATCCAAGTGGAGATGTTCTGAAGGCAGTCAGTTCTATGGATTTGGACTTTGAAGAAAGGACTGATTTGGCAATACAGGTATCAAGTTCATTGGCAAAAGAAGATTGTGGTTGAAACTATCAGGACAGACTGAGACCCAGGAAGAGTACAGGGTCTGAAGGAAGTGGGCCCATGAAAGGGCCTTGGAAAAGGTTAAGATTTAAGGGATAAGGTCAAGGATGATGAGCCTAAAAAGGAGATCAAGAAAGATGGGCTAGTAACAGGGAAGCAAAATAGAAAAGTGTGATGTTGTAAAGCCAAGGGACAAGTGGTTCAAAGGTAGACAGCATCTATTAGCACAGGGTCTTCATAGAGAATTATTAGAAAACTGGTTTGCCACCAATAAAGTGGAAGGGAAAGCATTTTCAGATTCCAAGTGGTATGTACAACATTCGAATCTACTTTGGATGTTGACTGGGTATAAATGATATATAGTCAGTTGAAAAAATGACATTGTCAAGCTCAGTAGCTCTTTTTGCTACATGGCCAAATTTCATCCTATTCTGTCATGAGTTGGGGTGGTCACTGGAGCCCTTGAGGGCGCAGTGAGGTCGATATATCATCCTTTACTCTTCTAGCTATGTCACCTTTCTATTTTTGAGATTACTTTAAAGAGGATTTAAAAACTTGCTCTATCATTCACATTTAGATAAGGAATTAGGTTGCTTGAGATCTAGGCTATTAGCACTGAAGACACAGACTCATATGCAATAAGAGCTAATTAGCTAACCACACTGAATGCACATGTGCTAAAGGCTTTATATGAGCAGCTCTTTGGAGAAGGTATTGTATTAGTACCATTTTACAGATAAGGACACTGAGGCCTAGACAGATTAAGTAAGTGGAGAATCTGAGATACACATTTCAGCAGTTTAGTGTTCAGCCTGGATGCCAAGCTCCTGTACTGCTCTGAAGGCTAGATGGTGATGGATGGGGACAGGGCTCTGGAAAGCTTTTCTTTTAATGTTTTGCTCAGAACAAAAAAATGATCTAAGTATAAAATCTCCCTGTAAAGTTTTTTTCCCACTGACTATAAAAGTAATTCATGCTCATTATAGAAAATGTGTGAGATACAGAAATGTTGCAAGATGCAAGATAAATCACTTTGGGTGAAGTTTTAACGCAAGACTAAGTGTCTTATAAAACGCAGAGTTCAGAATTTTACAACTTCCCCTGAGAAGGGGGAAGAAATGCTGCAGACATAAAGTAATAAACACTTCCTTCAGAGAAGGCACTGACTTACCTCTTAAGAAACAGTTACATCACATGTGCATTTAACCTACTGGAATTTACTGCATGGCTTGGCAGGCAATGAGCATGTGCCCCAGGGTGGGATAAGATATGGGATGTGCATCAGCTTCTCACCCAGTAGGTTTCTGTGAGCCTCTCATGGTACCTCCAACCTGAAGCTCCTGAAGGACTTTTCAAGGACAGGTTTGACTTTTGGCTCAAATGCTGATTTTAGACCTGGCCCTCTCTTGAGACCTAATGGTCTAATTTTAGAACCATTCTAAAGGTCCCTTGGACCATTGCCTGAGTATTGATTGCATGGAGACTGCTTCTTGCTCCATTTTTGAAAATCTGAAATTCTGCTGCAGTTTCCTAGAGTTCATGCACTCATTCATTTATTCAATGAATGTTTCTTGAGTCTTCACTCTGTGTCAGGTGGGGTGAGCAGCAGTGGGGATTGCGTGGCTGTGAGGGGCTCACAGTGTGTGTGGGGGTCTGCCAAGATTCCTGATGAACAGCCTGTAGGTCCCAGGAATAGGACAAAGGACATCAGCTTAGATGGAAACAGGGCTCAAAATGGTCTCCTTAGTAAAGTGTATGGTAAAGCCAAAAAATTAATGCATCAATTTCAAATAGAAGGAGCCAATCTGAAATAATATTGAAATCATCTCTAACTCAGGTACAAATATCATTGTAGAAGTCCATTTTTGATATACAGTGGGTTTACAGTATTTTTCAAGACAATATTTTAAGGTATAATCATAGTTTAATATTCATCAAAGCTGTCCCAATTTTTTTTCAGTGGAGCTAGCCCAAATGTACAGAATCTGGGAGGTATCTATACATGGGGCAGGCTTATGCATTTGTATCCTGTGCAGTCACACAGGGTGTTGTGCTCAGAAGGGGATCACACTTGGTTTAAGGATATGCTGTCACCATCTTGAAAGTCTTACATCATTTTTGAACAAGGGGCTCTGCATTTTTATTTTGCACTGGGCATCACAAATTTAACTGGTCCCGCCTACGTAGTTATGAGATCAACGATTAACTGGTCCTGCCTACGTATATTTGGGATCAACTCTGAGCTCATCCACAAATTTGTTAGTTCACCTTGGATACTATTTAACTTCATTGAGCCTCAGTTTCCCTTTTGGTAAAGTGCTATAAACCATACAGCCTACCTTAGAGACGTGGTCATCAGATAATGTAGTTTTTGGCATAGTCAATTTATGTTAGATTAAAAAAAAGCAAACAGAACAAACAAAAACTTTCTACTGCTTCTCCTTATGCAGAAATATATAATATTTTTCTGTACTTCTCACATGCAAGAATGTTTTCAAGGTTACAAGTCCCTCCGCCCATCCCTGGAGAAAGAGGCAAATTGTGAATGCCTCCCAGAATGAATTCCTGTAATGAGGTAATGTGCTTTCTTCCTGATTCTAAATCACAAATATCAGAGTGATTAATCCATAAAGGAGGCCAATAATCTCCTTCAGAACATTTTCCTCCAACACATTTCCTGGCACACGTCTACAGTGATTTTAAGTGATGTGCTTCCATGCAGTCCCACTTTCTAAAGTCTACCTGGTTTTATGGTGATGTTACCCTGGAGAGAATTCAATTTGAATTCCCCTGAATAACATTCATGACCTGTTTTGCTTAACTGGAATCATTTGGAGCTTCTCAAGGCACATAGATGCCAAACATTAAGTAGAGACATCGAACATTGTAGGGAACATGTGTTCTTTCAGAAGGGAGGTAGGGAGTGTGGTTAGCAAGGCACTGTAACGGCCCAAGCAATCATCAAAACACGGCAGAACTGCTAGCTCTGGAGGGGGAGGAGGAAGAACATCTGAAATTCCACAACAGAAAATCATAATTTTCCATATTTTGCAGAAATTATCTTCAGTGTCTCTCTCTGGCATCGCTTATATCCCTCCCTCCACTAGATGCTTATTTTTGGTACTGCAAACAATGTCCTGATATCCCAGCCATGATAATGTCTTCCTTGATCTCGCTACCTCCTTGGACTACCAACCTCTCTCTCTCATCACCAACCTCCTTTAATAAAGAGCAAATTTCCAGACCTTTCTGAGTTCCTGCTCTATGCCAGTGCCTGATGTCAAACTGTAGTAAGGCTATCTCTGTATCATTTGTCACATCTGTCCTCTGGGTGCTGCTTCTACCACTGTGAAATGTTTCTTATATATTTTTTTCATTCAACAAATACGTATTGGCGCCTAGAAGGTGTCAGACCTGTGAATACAGCAGTCTATGAAGTAGATGTGGTCCCTGCCCTGTGACAGAGCTCCCAGTCTATCAGCAACACAGACATTAGATGACACCACAGTATCACACCCTCACTAAGCAAGGGAAGGGTGGTGGTGTCAGGTTTTTTTCCCAGTTGTGTTGTAGTGTTCCTTTTTAATGTTTATCAGAATGAAACCATCAAAAGTTCTAAAATGTTTATATTAAAAAAGCAGAAACTCCCTGCCCCACCAACTGCCCTTTAGTTTCCTCTTCATGCCCTGTTCTGCCCCAGAGGAAGCCACATTCAACCCTTTCAGCGGTTCCTTCTAGATTTCATTTCATTTCATTTTAATTTTTTTTTTATACAGTCTTCCTCTTGTCGCCCAGGCTGGACAAGTGACCTCGGCTCACTGCAACCTTTGCCTCCCAGGTTCAAGAGATTCTCTGCCTCAGACTCCTGAGTAGCTGGGATTACAGGTGCGTGCAACCACACCTGGCTAATTTTTGTATTTTTAGTAGAGATGGGGTTTCGCCATGTTGGCCAGGCTGGTCTTGAACTCCTGGCCTCAAGTGATCACCCGCCTTGGCCTCCCAAAGTGCTGGGATTACAGGTGTGAGCCACTTTGCCTGGCCTAATTCATTTTTTAAAAATTGAAGTATGATTTATATACAAGAAGGTATACATAATTAATGTATACATGATGAGTTTTCAGGTAAGTATAAGTCCATTGAAACCATCACCATAAACAGTGCCATAAACATAACCATCACCTGTAAAACCTTCCTCTCTGTTTTTTGGTGATACAAACATTTAACATAAGATCTACTCACGGCCGGGTGCAGTGGCTCACGCCTGTAATCCCAGCACTTTGGGAGGCCAAGGTGGGTGGATCACCTGAGGTGGGGAGTTCAAGACCAGCCTGGCCAACATGGGGAAACCCCATCTCTACTAAAAATACAAAATTAGCCAGGGTGGTGGCACATGCCTGTAATCCCAGCTACTTGGGAGGCTGAGGCAGGAGAATCGCTTGAACTCGGGAGACAGAAGTCGCGGTGAGCCAAGATTGCGCCATTGCACTCCAGCCTGGGCAACAAGAGCGAAACTCCTTCTCAAAAAAAAAAAAAAAAAATCTACTCGCTTAACAAGTTTTAAGTACACAGTAGAATATTGTTAATTACGGCTTTTATGCTGTACAGTAGATCTCCAGGACTTAGCTTGTATAACTGAAATGTACCCTTTGACCAACACCTCCTTGATTCCCTTCCCAGCCCCAGGTAACCACCATTCTACTCTCTGCTTCTATGACTTTGGCTATTTTATATTCTTGATATAAGTGGGATCATATAGTCTGGTTTATTTCACTCAGAATAATGTCATTTCGGCTTAATCCACATTTTAGCAAATGGAAGGATTTATTCCTTTTTAAGGGCTGAATAACATTCCATTCTATGTCTATACACCTTTTATTTATCATTCATCTCTCATTGGACATTTAGGTTGTTTCCATGTCCTTACCACAGTGAATAATGCTGCAAAAACATGGGAATGCTGATGCCTCTTTGAGACCCTGATTTCAACTCTTTTGGGTATATAACTAGAATCCTGGATCATATGGTAGTTCTGTTTCTACTTTTGAGGATCTTCCACACTATTTTCCATAATGGCTGCACCAATTAACATTCCCATCAACAGTGTACAAGGGTTCCCTTTTGTCCATATCCTTGCAAACACTCATCCTTTTTTTTCTTTATAATAGCCATTTTAACTGGTGTGAGGTGATATCTTATTGTAGCTTTAATTTGCATTTCCCTCATGATTAGTGAAGGGGAGCTTTTGTATATTTGCTGGCCGTGTGTGTCTTTTTTGAAGAAATGTCTATTCAAGTCTTTTGCCCATTTTTTTGATCAGGTTATTTTTTATTTATTTTTTTGCTATTGCATTGGATGATGTCCTTATAGATTTTGGATATTTATTCTTTATCAGCTATAATTTACAAATACTTTCTCCCATGCCATAAGTTGCCTGTTCACTTTGTTGATTGTTTTGCTATGCAGAAGCTTTTTAATATGATGCCGTCTCATTTCTCTATTATTGCTTTTGTTGCCTGTTTTTTGGCATATAATCGTTCATAATAATCCCTTAAAATCTTTTCATTTTATTGCTTCAGTTGTAATGTTTCCTCTTTGATGTCTGATTTTATTTATTTGAGTCTTCTCTTTTTAAAAAGGTAATCTAGCTAGGGGCTTGTTGATGTTGTTTATCTTTTCAAAAAAAAACCCAACTCTTAGCTTTGTTGTTATCTTCTTTTAAAAATTATTATGTTTCATTTCAATAGTTTTTGAGGAACAGGTGGTGTTTGATTACATGGATAAGTTCTTTTGTGGTGATTTCTAAGATTTTGTTGCACCCATCACCAGAGCTGTGTACATTGTACCCAACGTGTAGTTTTTTATTCCTTACTCCCCTACCACTCTCCCTGGAGTCCCCATAGTCCACTGTATCATTCTTATGCCTTTGTGTCGTCATAGCTTAGCTCCCACTTATCAGTGAGAACATATGATGTTTGGTTTTCCATTCCTGAGTTACTTCACTTAGAATAATGGTCTACCATTCCATCCAAGTTGCTGCGAATGCCATTATTTCATTCCTTTTTATGGCTGAGTAGTATTCCGTGGTGTATACATACCAAATTTTCTTTATCCACTTGTTGATTGATGGGCATTTGGGCTTGTTCCATATTTTTGCAGTTGTGAATTGTGCTGCTATGAACATGTATGTGCAAGTGTCTTTTTCATATAATGACTTATTTTCCTCTGGGTAGATACCCAGTAGTGGGACTGCTGGATCAAATGGTAGATCTACTTTTAGTTCTTTAAAGAATCTCCACACTGTTTTCCATAGTGGTTGTACTAGTTTACATTCCCATCAGCAGTGTAAAAATGTTCCCTTTTCCCCACATCCAGGCCAACATCTATTATTTTTTATTTTTTGATTAAGGCCATTCTTGCAGGAGTAAGGTGGTATCACATTTGGTTTTGATTTTCATTTCCCTGATCATTAGTGATGTTGAGCATTTTTTCATGTATTTGTCGGCCATTTGTATATCTTCATTTGAACATTGTCTATTTATGTCCTTAGCCCACTTTTTAATGGGATTTTTTTTTTTCCTTGCTGATTTCTTTGAGTTTCTTGTAGATTCTGGATATTGGTCCTTTGTTGGATGTACAGATTGTGAAGATTTTCTCCCGCTCTGTGGGTTGTCTGTTTACTCTGCTGATTGTTTCTTTTCCTGTACAGAAGCTTTTCAGTTTAAGTTTCATCTATTTATCTTTGTTTTCATTGCATTTGCTTTTGGGTTCTTGGTGATGAAGTCTTTGCCTAAGCTAATATCTAGAAGGATTTTTTTGATGTTATCTTCTAAAATTTTTATGGTTTTAGGTCTTGGATTTAAGTCTTTGATCCATCTTGAGTTGATTTCTGTATAAGGTGAAAGATGAGGATCCAGTTTCATTCTTCTACATGTGGCTTGCCAATTCTCCCAGCACCATTTGTGGAATAGAGTGTTCTTTCCCCACTTTGTGTTTTTGTTTGCTTTATCGAAGATCAGTGGCTGTAAGTATTTGGCTTTATTTCTGGGATCTCCATTCTGTTCCATTGGTCTATGTGCCTATTTTTATACCAGTACCATGCCGTTTTGGTGACTATGGCCTTACAGTATAGTTTGAAGTCTGGTAATGTGATGCCTCCAGATTTGTTCTTTTCGCTTAGTCTTGCATTTTTTTGGTTTCATATGAATTTTAGGATTGTTTTTTCTAATTCTGTGAATAATGATGGTGGTATTTTGATGGAAATTGCCTTGAATTTATAGATTGCTTTTGGCAGTATGGTCATTTTCACGATATTGATTCTACCTATCCATGAGCATGGGATGTGTTTCCATTTGTTTGTGTAGTCTATAATTTCTTTCAGCAGTGTTTTGGAGTTTTCCTTGTAGATGTCTTTCACCTCCTTGATTAGTTATATTTCTAAGTATTTTATTTTATTTTTTGCAGCTACTGTAAAATGGGTTGAGTTCTTGATTTGATTCTCAGCTTGGTCACTGTTGGTGTATAGAAAAGCTACTGATTTGTGTAGATTGATTTTGTATCCTGAAACTTTGCTGAATTCATTTATTAGTTCTAGGAGCTTTCTGGAGGAGTCGTTAAGGTTTTCTAGGTATACAATCATATCATCAGCAAACAGTGACAGTTTGACTTCCTCTATACCAATTTGGATGCCCTTTATTTCTGATTGCTCTTGCTAGGACTTCCAGTATTATGTTGACTAAAAGTGGTGAGAGTGGGCATCCTTGTCTTGTTCCAGTTCTCAGAGGGAATGCTTTCAACTTTTCCCTGTTTGGTATTATGTTGGCTGTGGGTTTGTCGTAGATGGCTTTATTACATTAAGGTATGCCCCTTCAATGCCAATTTTGCTGAGGGTTTTAATAATAAAGGGATGCTGGATTTTGTCAACTGCTTTTTCTTCATCTATTGAGATGATCATGTGATTTTTGTTTTTAATTCTGTTTATGTGGGGTACCACATTTACTGATATGTGTATGTTAAACCATCCCTGCATCTCTGGTATAAAACACACTTGATCATGGTGGATTATCTTTTTCATATGGTGTTGGATTCGGTTAGCTAGTTGAGGATTTTTGCTTCTAAGTTCATCAGGGATATTGGTCTGTAGTTTTCTTTTTTTGTTGTTATGTCCTTTCCTCGTTTTGGTATTAGGGTGATACTGGCTTCATAGAATGACTTAGGGAGGACTCCCTCTTTCTCTACTTTTTTGAATAGTGTCAATAGGAATGGTACCAATTCTTCTTTGAATGTCTGATAGAATTCAGCTGTGAATCCAACTGGTCCTGGATTTTTTTTTTTGTTGGCAATTTAAAAATTACCATTTCAGTCTCACTGCTTGTTACTGGTCTGTTCAGCATTTATATTTCTTCCTGGTTTAATCTAGGAGGGTTGTATATTTCCAGAAATTTATTCATCTCCTCTAGGTTTTCTAGTTTGTGTGCATAACGGTATTCATAGTGGCCTTGAATGAACTCTTGTATTTCTGTGGTATCAGTTGTAATATCTCCCGTTTCTTTTCTAATTGAGCTTATTTGGATCTTCCCTATTCTTTTCTTGGTTAATCTCGCTAATGGTATATCAATTTTATCTATCTTTTCAAGGAAACAGCTTTTTGTTTCATTTATCTTTTGTATTTTTTTTCTTTGTTTGTTTCAATTTCATTTAGTTCAGCTCTGATCTTGGTTACTTCTTTTCTTGTGCCGGGTTTGGGTTGGTTTGTTCTTCTTTCTCTAGTTCTTTGAGGTGTGGTCTTAGATTGTCTCTTTGTGCTCATTCAGAGCTTTTGATGTAGGCATTTAATACTATGAACTTTCCTCTTAGCACTGCTTTTGCTGTATCCCCTTTTGCTGTAACAGATTAACAGCAGATTTCTCAGCAGAAACCTTACAAGCTAGAAGGGATTGGTGTCCTATCTTTGGCCTCCTTAAACAAAACAATTATCAGTCAAAAATTTTGTTTCCAGTGAAACTAAGTTTCATAAGTGAAACTCCCTATGGGAGAAATTGTGGGCAAAGGGGATCTTTCTTGGTACTGTGCTGTGGTAGCTTAGGGGAAGTGTAAATCTGATAGAGGGAAACTACTCATTTTATCCTTTTAAATGCAGCTTTTCTCAGATATTTTGCACCATTGGTGTGCTGCAACCTTTTTCTTGGGTTCCCTAAATCTCACAAAGGCATTCTTCTTCATGAATAGTTGCTTAATCAGTGTTTTTTTGGGGGTAATGGCCAAGGCTGGAGACCTCCTATTCTGCCATGCTGCTGATGTCAACCTCTTTCTGGGTTTTATACCCCTATGTCTTAACAATATCTATATACTGCTATTTCTTGATTTATCAGTTTTATGTATTATCATCTGATTTCCTAAAATAAAAGATATGGCTTCAGTCCTCTTACAATCTCTCCCCTCTTTTTTTCCCCTATCTGTTATCAACTAAGTTTAGTTTTATCATATTTTGAGAAACTAAATCAGTACTCAGTATTTATGATTATTATGATTATGTAACCTTTGCTCATGGCTGAGTCAAGTGGATTATTATTGTTTTCTCATGCCTTTGGTGTTGTATCTAAAAATTCTATGTCAAATTCAAATTCCTTATATTTTCTTCTAGAATTTTTATAAGTGTCAACTTCTACATTTAAGTCTATGATCCATTTTGGGTTAAATTTTGTGAAAGGTGTAAGATTTATGACTTGATTCAGCTTTTTACCATATGGACTTCCAATTGCTGCAGTGCCATTTGTTAAAAAGATGTCCTTTCTCTCTTGAATTGCCTTTGCTCCTCTGTCAAATATCAGTTGCCTACATTTGTGAGAGTCTATTTCTAGCTCTTTATTTTGTTCCATTGGTCTATGTGTCTATTCTTTTTCCAACTCCACAATATCTTGATTACTGTAGCTTTACAGTAAGTTTTGAAGTCAGGTAGTGCCGGTCCTCCTACTTTGTTCTTCTTCAACACTGCACTGGCTGTTCTGGGCCTTTTGACTTTCAATATAAACTTTAGAATCAGTTTTTGCTATCTACAAAATAACTTACTGGGATTTTTGGTTAGGCTTACATTAAACCCTTTTCCCATTTGCCCTGAGAATACTTGCCGGCAGTGCTTGCAGCTGTCGCATTTACCCCGATATACTTTTGCCACGAAATATCTCCCTTTTATTATTATTTTCGCATTGCTTTAGTATATCAACTTTGGAAACAAAAGACATCATTCTATTTATAGCATTCTGTTTTTGGTAGTGGTATTTCCACTTAGAAAATATAGTAATTCTCGGTCACTGAATATGTAAAATTCTAGAAAATGTAGCATTCCTACATGTGATATTAACATCATTCTCCAACAGTTGTTGGCCAAAGATTCATTTGACGAATCCAGTTTTTCCAAAATAGATGATTCTGATGATTCAGACAATTCTGATGTTAGTTTTGTTTAGAAATAACTCCAAGAACAGTTTTTATATTTTCACATTGAAAATCAATCAGATTTGCTTCATCCTCAAAGAGTGTGTTTATGTAAAATTAAATGAGTGCTGGTAGTGAGCTGTACTTTTTTATTTTCTAAATGGAAAAGGGTTAAATCTATAGATTAAGCTGGAGAAGAACTGGTATCTTAACAATATTGGGTATTGCCATGCATGAACACAGAATATCGTTCTACTTACTCACATCTACTTTCTTTTGTGAGAGTTTTATAGTTTATTGCATATAGATCCTGTGCATATTTTATTAGATGTTATCTAAGTATTTATTTTTTGGTGCTATTGTAAATGGTATTGTTCAAACTTCAAATTCTGACTCTTTACTGTAGTTATAGGAAAGCAATTGATTTCTGCATATTAACCTTGTATTCTTCAATATTTTTATAATTACTTACAAGTTCCAGAAATTAATTATTTGGGATTGTCTGCATAGATAATCATGTCATCTATATAAATAAAGACAGTTCTTTCTCCCTTTTCTCTCTCTTTCTCTCTTTCTTACAGGATCTCACTCTGTCACCCAGGCTGGAGTGTAGTAGTAGGATCATAGCTCAACTCCTGGGCTCAAGTGATCCTCCTGCCTCAGTCTCCTGAGTAGCTGGGACTATAGGCATGGGCTACCTCACTCAGCTACTTTAACTTTTTTTTTTTTTTTTTTTTTTTTTTAAGAGATGGGTTCCAGCTTTGTTGCCCAGGCTGATCTTGAACTCCTGGCCTCAAGCAATCCTGCAGTTCTGGCCTTCTAAAGTGCAAGGATTATAGTTGTGAACCACTGTGCCCAGCCCAGTATTTTTTCTTTCTTCCCAGTTTGTATTTACATTTTATTTCCTCTTCTTGTCTTATTGCAATAAGTAGGATTTCCTATATGATGCCGAATAGGAGTTGTGAGAGGGAATATCCTTGCCTTGTTCCCAATCTTAGGAGACAAGTATCAAGCTTCTTAGTTTAAACATGTTAGCTGTAGGGCTTTTTAATTTTAATTTTTAATTTAAATTTTTAAAAAGTTTTGATTGTTGTGGGTTCATAGTAGGTGTATATATTTATGGGGTACATGAGATATTTGGATACAGGCATACAATGCATAATAATCATATCAGGGTAAATGGGGTATCCATCACCTCAAGCATTTATCATTTGTGTTGCAAACATTCCAGTTATACTCTTTTAGTTATCTTTAAATGTTATTGACTATAGTTACCCTTTTATTGATATCAAATACTAGATCTTATTCATTCTTTTTATTGTTGTACCCTTTAATCATCCCCATTTAACCCTCATTGCCACCATTAACTTTTCACGCCTCTGATAACCATCCTTCCACTACCTATCTCCATAAGTTCAACTGTTTTCCTATTCAGCATCCACAAATAAGTGAGAACATGTGAATTTTGTCTTTCCGCGCCTGGCTTATTTCACTTAACGTAATGACCTAAGGTTCCATCCATGTTGTTGCAAATGGCAGAACCTCCTTCTTTTCATGGCTGAGTAGTACTCCATTGTGTATATGTACCACATTTTTCTTTATCCATTCATCTGTTTTTGGACACATAGGTTGTTTCCAAATCTTGGCTATTGTGAATAGTGTTGCAATAAACATGGGAGTGCAGATGTCTCTTCAATATACTAATTTCCTTTCTTTTGGGGTCCCTAGCAGTGGGATTCCTGGATCATATGGTAGCTCTATTTTCAGTTTTTTGAAGAGGCTCCAAACTGTTTTCCATAGTGGCTGTACTAATTTACATTCCGACCAACAGTGGACAAGGGTTCCCTTTTCTCCACATCCTCCCCGACATTTGTTATTGGCTGTCTTTGGATAAAAGCCATTTTTACTGGGGTGAGATGGTATCTCACTGTAGTTTTGATTTGCACTTCTCTAATGATCAGTGATGTTGAGCACCTTTTCCTATACCAGTTAGCCATTTGTATGTCTTCTTTTGAGGTCTATTCAGATTTTTTGCCAATTTTTGAATCAGATTATTATTTTTTCCCTATAGAATTGTTTGAGCTCCTTGTATATTCTAGTTATTAATCCGTTGTTAGACAGGTGGTTTTCAAGTATTTTTTTTCCCAATCTGTGGGTTATCTCTTCACTTTATTGATGGTTTCCTTTGTTGTGCAGAAGCTTTTTAACTTGATGTGATCCTATGTGTCCATTTTTTGCTTTGGTTGCTTGTGCTTGTAGGGTATCTCAAGAAATCTTTGGCCAGTCCAATGTCCTAGAGAATTTCCCCAATGTTTCTTATAGTGGTTTCATAGTTTGAGGTATTAGATTTAAGTCTTTAATCTATTTTGATTTGATTTTTCTATATAGCAAGAGATAGGGGTCTAGTTTCATTCTTGTACATATGGATATCCGGTTTTCCCAGCAACATTTATTGAAGAGACTGTCCTTTCCCTAATGTATGTTTTTGGCACCTTTGTCAAAAATGGGTTTATTGCAGTTCTTTGGATTTGTTTCTGGGTTCTCTATTCTGTTTCATTGATCTGTGTCAGCTTTTATGCCAGTACTATGCTGTTTTCATTAATATATCTCTGTAGTATAATTTGAAGTCATGTAATGTGAGTGTTTCAGTTCTGCTCTTTTTGCTCAAGATAGCTTTAGCTATTCTGGGTCTTTTGTAGTTTCACATAAATTTTAGCATTGCTTTTTTCTATTTATGTAAAGAATGCCATTGGTATTTTGATAGGGATTGAATTGAATCTGTAAATTGCTTTGGGTAGTATGAACATTTTAATAATATTTATTCTTCTAATCCATGACCATGGAATATCCTTCCGCTTTTTGTGTGTCCTCTTTGATTTCTTTCACCATGTTTTATAGTTTTCATTGTAGAGCTCTTTCACGTCTTTGTTAAGTTGATTACTAGTTATTTAATTTTCCTTGTAGCTATTGTAAAGGGGGTTACTTTTTGATTTCTTTTTCAGATTCTTCAATGTTGGCATATTGAAATGCTACTGATTTTTGTATGTTGATTTTGTATCCTGCAACTTTACTGAATTTGTTTATCACTTCTAACAGTTTTTTTGTTGGAGTCTTTAGGTTTTTCCAAACATAAGATCATACAAACAAGGATAATTTGACTTCCTTTCCATTTTGGATGCTCTCTATTTCTTTCTCTTGTCTGATTGCTCTAGCTAGGACTTCCAGCTATAAATTTTTAATAGATGTTCTTCATCAACTTGAGGGAGTTCTCTTCTATTTATAGTCTTCTGAGAGGTTTTTTTCCTTTAAATCACAAGTGGATGTTGGATTTTATCAAATTCTTCTTGTGCATCTTTTAATACGATCATATGATTCTTCTTTAGCTTATTGATGTTGTGTATTACATCAATTGGTATTTGAATGTTGACCATCCTTGCATGCCTAGAATACATTCCACTTGGTTTTGGTGAATAATTATTTTAAATTTATTTTATTTTTAAATTGATACACAATATTTGTACATATATTTATGGGGTACATGCAATATTTTGTTATATGCATAGACTGTGTGCATATACTTGATGCATGATCAAGTCAGGGTATTCGGGAGTCTCCATCATCTTGAGTATTTATCATTTCCATATGTTGAGAAAATTTCAAGTCCTCTCATCCAGCTATTTTGGAATAATTGTTTTTATACATTGTTCAATTGGATTTGCAAACATTTTTGAGGATTTTTTGCATCTATGTTCATGAGAGATACGTGTCTGTAAGTTTTCTTTCTTGTAATGTATTTCTCTAGTTGTTTTGGTATTAAGGCAATGCTGGCCTCAGAGAATGAGTTAGGAGGTATTCCCTCTGCTTCTATTTTCTGAAAGAAATTGTGAAGAATTGGTATCATTTCTTCCTTAAATGTTTGGTAGGATTTGCCAGTGAAGCCATCTGAACCTAATGTTTTCTGTTTTAAAAGGTTACTAATTATTCATTCAATTTCTGTAATAGAGACAGGTCTATTAAGATATTATTTTTCTCTTTGCATGAGTTTTGGTGATTGTTTCTTTCCAGGACTTGATCCATTTTATCTAGATTATCAAATTTGTGGGCATAGAGTTGTTCATAATATTCCTTTATTATTCTTTTAATGTCCATAGGCTCAGTAGTGGGATTCCTCTTTCATTTATTATATTAATAATTTGTATATTCTTTCTTTTTTTCTTGTTGAGCCTGGCTGGAGTTTTATAATTTTATCAATCTGTTACAATAATCAGCCTTGGCTTTTATTGTTTTTTTTTAAATTTTATTTATTTCTTCTTTAATTTTTATTATTTCATTTCTTCTTCTTACTTTTGACTTAAATTGTTCCTTCTCTAGTCTTACATCAGATTAGAAACTTCTAATATATGCATTTAATGTTAAATTAACCTCTAAGCACTACTTTCCTTGCATCTCAAAAATTTTGGTGAGTTATATTTTCATTTTCTTTTAGTACAAAGTATTTGTAAATTTCTCTTGCCACTTCTTATTTGAACCATGGGTTATTTATTAGTGTGCTATTTAATTTCCAAATACTTTGGACTTTTCTAGCCATTTTTCTTTTATTGATTTCTAGTTTAACTCCCATGTTGACTGTGAACATACTTGGTATGATTTCTATTTTTTTAACTCTGTTAAGATATGTTTTATTGCCCCGAATAGGGTTGATATTGGTGAATGTCCTACATAAGCTTGAGTGGAATGTGTAGTCTGCTTTTGATGAATAAAATATTCTATAGATGTCAATTAGATCAAGTTGATTGATGGTTGTTCAGGTCAACTATATCTGTATGAATTTTTTGCCTGCTTTATCTAATAATTGCTAAAAGAGGGGTGTTGAAGTCTCCAATTATAATAGTGGATATGCCTATGTTTCCTGGCAGTTCTATCAGTTTTGTCTCATGTATTTTTATGCTCTGTTGTTATGTGCATATACATTAAAGATTATGTCCCCTTGGTGAATTAATCCCTTCATTATTATGTAGTACTCCTGTTTATCTCTGATAATTTTCCTTGTTCAAAGTATGCTTTGTCTGAAATTAATATAGCTAACATCAGATTTATTTTGATTAGTGTTAGCATATCTTTCTTCATCATTTTACTCTTAGCCCAGCTGTGTCTTTATGTTTAAAGTGAGTTTCTTGTAGAAACATGTATAATATTTTAGTCTTGTTATTTTATCTAATGTAATAATCTTTGTCTTTTAATTGGTGTATTAGGCTATTCACATTTAAAGTGATTATTGATATAGCTGGATTAATAACTACCATATTTTAACTGCTTTCTATTCATTGCACTGGGCATTTCTTTCTTTTTTTATGCCCTTCCCCCTTTCTGTTTTCTTTGGTTTGAGTATTTTATATGATTCTGCTTTTTCTTCTCTCTTACAATACTTCTGATTCTTAAAAGTATTTCTTTTTATAATTTTTCTATACTATAATCAGCTAATAAGTTGTTGCCTTTGTAACATTAAAAAGCACTTCTCTAATACCTCACTTAAAAAGAAAAATCATATGTTTTATTTCAGGATTATTTATTCCTTATTCTATGCTCTTCTTTTAGTGTAGATCCATGTTTCTGAACTATATTTTTCTTCTCCTTGAAGAACATCTTTTAATATTTATTCTAGGGTAGGTCTGTGGATTATGAATTCTCTCCATTTTTGCTTGTCTGAGAAAATAGTTCTTCTTTACTTTTGAAAGATAATTTCCCTAGATATAGAATTCTAGGTTGACGGCTTTTGTCTTTCAATACTCAATACTTTTAATATTTTACTCCATTCCCCTCTTGCTTGCATGATTTCTGATGAGAAGTATATTATAATTCTTATCCTCTTTCTCTATAAGTAAAAGGAAGCCCCCCACTCTCCCACTCCCCACCACCAGCTTCTTTCAAGATTTTCTCTTTGGCTTTGGTATTTGTAGTTTTTCTTTTAAATATATTTTTTAAATATATTTTATATATGGCAGAAACTTTACACACCCCTATGGATGTTACACTCAGACTGTTTATGATAAAGGCTAAAACTACAAGGGAAAGCCATACAATGCTTTGTGGAAATTTCACAGATTAAAGTAACTAAAATGGAGGCACTAAAGGCGTACTCATTCATAAATGTTTTCAGGTATCGTATAGGAAGGAGAAAGGTAAATTAAATTAAGAGTTAGAGCTTTTACTCTTTCCTGAGTAAGTGGCAGAAATGATGTTTTGGTAGGACTGAATACCAGAACAATGTTAAGTCTGAGTACATTATTCTCCTTATTTGAATGACTGAGTACTAGTTGACTTCCCTGTTGACCTCAGAACAAGCCAGACAGCATAACAAAGCCCCCACATGCTGCTATGAACTCAAATAATCAATTCACAATCAAAGAGAAGTGACGCTTATCAGAATGCATTTATTTTAGACAATAGAGACAATGAGCAAGCCCAGGTGTTGAGTCACTGGAAAAAATGAGGACACATAAACTAACAAAAATCCAAAGCTGTTTTCATTCCTCAATGTTATCCTTATACCTTAAAAAGTAGAATTCTTGTGGAAGCAGCCAAGATGGCCGAACAGGAACAGCTCCGGTCTACAGCTCCCAGCGTGAGCGATGCAGAAGACGGGTGATTTCTGCATTTCCATCTGAGGTACCAGGTTCATCTCACTATGGAGTGCCAGACAGTGGGCACAGGACAGTGGGTGCAGCGCACCGTGCGCGAGCCGAAGCAGGGCGAGGCATTGCCTCACTCAGGAAGCGCAAGGGGTCAGGGAGTTCCCTTTCCTAGTCAAAGAAATGGGTGACAGACGGCACCTGGAAAATCGGGTCACTCCCACCCCAATACTGCGCTTCTCCGATGGGCTTAAAAAATGGCACACCAGGAGATTATATCCCGCACATGGCTCAGAGGGTCCTATGCCCATGGATTCTCACTCATTGCTAGCACAGCAGTCTGAGATCAAACTGCAAGGCGGCAGCGAGGCTGGGGGAGGGGCGCCCGCCATTGCCCAGGCTTGCTTAGGTAAACAAAGCAGCTGGGAAGCTTGAACTGGGTGGAGCCCACCACAGCTCAGGGAGGCCTGCCTGCCTGCCTCTGTAGGCTCCACCTCTGGGGGCAGGGCACAGACAAACAAAAAGACAGCAGTAACCTCTGCAGACTTAAATGTCCCTGTCTGACAGCTTTGAAGAGAGCAGTGGTTCTCCCAGCACGCAGCTGGAGATCTGAGAATGGGCAGACTGCCTCCTCAAGTGGGTCCCTGACCCCTGACCCCCGAGCAGCCTAACTGGGAGGCACCCCCCAGTAGGGGCAGACTGACACCTCACACTGCCAGGTACTCCTCTGAGATAAAACTTCCAGAGGAACGATCAGACAGCAGCATTCGCGGTTCACGAAAATCCACTGTTCTGCAGCCACCGCTGCTGTTACCCAGGCAAACAGGGTCTGGAGTGGACCTCTAGCAAACTCCAACAGACCTGCAGCTGAGGGTCCTGTCTGTTAGAAGGAAAACTAACAAACAGAAAGGACATCCACATCAAAAACCCATCTGTACATCACCATCATCAAAGACCAAAAGTAGATAAAACCACAAAGATGGGGAAAAAACAGCAGAAAAACTGGCAACTCTAAAAAGCAGAGAGCCTCTCCTCCTCCAAAGGAACACAGTTTCTCACCAGCAACAGAACAAAGCTGGATGGAGAATGACTTTGACGAGCTGAGAGAAGAAGGCTTCAGACAATCAAACTACTCCGAGCTACAGGAGGAAATTCAAACCAAAGGCAAAGAAGTTGAAAACTTTGAAAAAAATTTAGACGAATGTATAACTAGAATAACCAATACAGAGAAGTGCTTAAAGGAGCTGATGGAGCTGAAAGCCAAGGCTCGAGAACTACGTGAAGAATGCAGAAGCCTCAGGAGCCGATGTGATCAACTGGAAGAAAGGGTATCAGTGATGGAAGATGAAATGAATGAAATGAAGCGAGAAGGGAAGTTTGGAGAAAAAAGAATAAAAAGAAATGAACAAAGCCTCCAAGAAATATGGGACTATGTGAAAAGACCAAATCTATGTCTGATTGGTGTACCTGAAAGTGACGGGGAGAATGGAACCAAGTTGGAAAACACTCTGCGGGATATTATCCAGGAGAACTTCCCCAATCTAGCAAGGCAGGCCAACGTTCAGATTCAGGAAATACAGAGAACGCCACAAAGATACTCCTCGAGAAGAGCAACTCCAAGACACATAATTGTCAGATTCACCAAAGTTGAAATGAAGGAAAAAATGTTAAGGGAAGCCAGAGAGAAAGGTCGGGTTACCCACAAAGGGAAGCCCATCAGACTAACAGTGGATCTCTCAGCAGAAACTCTACAAGCCAGAAGAGAGTGGGGGCCAATATTCAACCCAGAATTTCATATCCAGCCAAACTAAGCTTCATAAGTGAAGGCAAAATAAAATCCTTTACAGACAAGCAAATGCTGAGAGATTTTGTCACCACCAGGCCTGCCCTAAAAGAGCTCCTGAAGGAAGCACTAAACATGGAAAGGAACAACCAGTACCAGCCACTGAAAAATCATGCCAAATTGTAAAGACCATCAAGGCTAGGAAGAAACTGCATCAACTAATGAGCAAAATAACCAGCTAACATCAAAATGACAGGATCAAATTCACACATAACAATATTAACTTTAAATGTAAATGGACTAAATGCTCCAATTAAAAGACACAGACTGGTAAATTGGATAAAGAGTCAAGACCCATCAGTGTGCTGTATTCAGGAAACCCATCTCACGTGCAGAGACACACATAGGCTCAAAATAAAAGGATGGAGGAAGATCTACCAAGCAAATGGAAAACAAAAAAAGGCAGGGGTTGCAATCCTAGTCTGTGATAAAACAGACTTTAAACCAACAAAGATCAAAAGAGACAAAGAAGGCCATTACATAATGGTAAAGGGATCAATTCAACAAGAAGAGTTAACTATACTAAATATATATGCACCCAATACAGGAGCACCCAGTTTCATAAAGCAAGTCCTGAGTGACCTACAAAGAGACTTAGACTCCCACACAATAATAATGGGAGACTTTAACACCCCACTGTCAACATTAGACAGATCAACGAGACAGAAAGTTAACAAGGATACCCAGGAATTGAACTCAGCTCTGCACCAAGTGGACCTAATAGACATCTACAGAACTCTTCACCCCAAATCAACAGAATATACATTTTTTTCAGCACCGCACCACACCTATTCCAAAATTGACCACATAGTTGGAAGTAAAGCTCTCCTCAGCAAATGTAAAAGAACAGAAATTATAACAAACTGTCTCTCAGACCACAGTGCAATCAAACTAGAACTCAGGATTAAGAAACTCACTCAAAATCACTCAACTACATGGAAACTGAACAACCTGCTCCTGAATGACTACTGGGTACATAACAAAATGAAGGCAGAAATAAAGATGTTCTTGGAAACCAACGAGAACAAAGACACAACATACCAGAATCTCTGGGACACATTCAAAGCAGTGTGTAGAGGGAAATTTATAGCACTAAATGCCCACAAAAGAAAGCAGGAAAGTTCCAAAACTGACACCCTAACATCACAATTAAAAGAACTAGAAAAGCAAGAGCAAACACATTCAAAAGCTAGCAGAAGGCAAGATAACTAAAATCACAGCAAAACTGAAGGAAACAGAGACACAAAAAACCCTTCAAAAAATTAATGAATCCAGGAGCTGGTTTTTTGAAAGGATCAACAAAATTGATAGACTGCTAGCAAGACTAATAAAGAAGAAAAGAGAGAAGAATCCGATAGACACAATAAAAAATGATAAAGGGGATATCACCACTGATCCCACAGAAACACAAACTACCATCAGAGAATACTACAAACACCTCTACGCAAATAAACTAGAAAATCTAGAAGAAATGGATAAATTCCTGGACACATACACCCTCCCAGGACTAAACCAGGAAGAAGTTGAATCTCTGAATAGACCAATAACAGGCTCTGAAATTGTGGCAATAATCAACAGCTTACCAACCAAAAAGAGTCCAGGACCAGAAGGATTCACAGCCGAATTCTACCAGAGGTACAAGGAGGAATTGGTACCATTCCTTCTGAAACTATTCCAATCAATAGAAAAAGAGGGAATCCTCCCTAACTCATTTTATGAGGCCAGCATCATTCTGATACCAAAGCCTGGCAGAGACACAACCAAAAAAGAGAATTTTAGATCAATATCCTTGATGAACATTGATGCAAAAATCCTCAATAAAATACTGGCAAACTGAATCCAGCAGCACATCAAAAAGCTTATCAACCATGATCAAGTGGGCTTCATCCCTGGGATGCAAGGCTGGTTCAATATACACAAATCAATAAATGTAATCCAGCATATAAATAGAACCAAAGACAAAAACCACATGATTATCTCAATAGATGCAGAAAAGGCCTTTGACAAAATTCAACAACGCTTCATGCTAAAAACTCTCAATAAATTAGGTACTGATGGGACGTATCTCAAAATAATAAGAGCTATCTATGACAAACCCACAGCCAATATCATACTGAATGGGCAAAAACTGGAAGCATTCCCTTTGAAAACTGGCACAAGACAGGGATGCCCTCTCTCACCACTCCTATTCAACATAGTGTTGGAAGTTCTGGCCAGGGCAATTAGGCAGGAGAAGGAAATAAAGGGTATTCAATTAGGAAAAGAGGAAGTCAAATTGTCCCTGTTTGTAGATGACATGATTGTAAATTTAGAAAACCCCATTGTCTCAGCCCAAAATCTCCTTAAGCTGATAAGCAACTTCAGCAAAGTCTCAGGATACAAAATCAATGCACAAAAACACAAGCATTCTTATACACCAATAACAGACAAACAGAGAGCCAAATCATGAGTGAACTCCCATTCACAATTGCTTCAAAGAGAATAAAATACCTAGGAATCCAATTTACAAGGGATGTGAAGCACCTCTTCAAGGAGAACTACAAACCACTGCTCAATGAAATAAAAGAGGATACAAACAAATGGAAGAACATTCCATGCTCATGGGTAGGAAGAATCAATATCGTGAAAATGGCCATACTGCCCAAGGTAATTTACAGATTCAATGCCATCCCCATCAAGCTACCAATGACTTTCTTCACAGAATTGGAAAAAACTACTTTAAAGTTCATATGGAACCAAAAAAGAGCCCGCATCGCCAAGTCAATCCTAAGCCAAAAGAACAAAGCTGGAGGCATCATGCTACCTGACTTCAAACTATACTACAAGGCTACAGTAACCAAAACAGCATGGTACTGGTACCAAAACAGAGATATAGATCAATGGAACAGAACAGAGCCCTCAGAAATAATGCCACATATCTACAACTATCTAATCTTTGACAAATCTGAGAAAAATAAGCAATGGGGAAAGGATTCCCTATTTAATAAATGGTGCTGGGAAAACTGGCTAGCCATATGTAGAAAGCTGAAACTGGATCCCTTCCTTACACCTTATACAAAAATTAATTCAAGATAGATTAAAGACTTAAATGTTAGACCTAAAACCATAAAAACCCTAGAAGAAAACCTAGGCATTACCATTCAGGACATAGGCATGGGCAAGGACTTCATGTCTAAAACACCAAAAGCAATGGCAACAAAAGCCAAAATTGACAAATGGGATCTAATTAAACTCAAGAGCTTCTGCACAGCAAAAGAAACTACCATCAGAGTGAACAGGCAACCTACAAAATGGGAGAAAATTTTCACAACCTACTCATCTGACAAAGGGCTAATATCCAGAATCTACAATGAACTCAAACAAATTGACAAGAAAAAAACAAAAAATCCCATCAAAAAGTGGGCGAAGGACATGAACAGACACTTCTCAAAAGAAGACATTTATGCAGCCAAAAAACACATGAAAAAATGCTCACCATCACTGGCCATCAGAGAAATGCAAATCAAAACCACAATGAGATACCATTTCACACCAGTTAGAATGGCAATCATTAAAAAGTCAGGAAACAACAGGTGCTGGAGAGGATGTGGAGAAATAGGCACACTTTTACACTGTTGGTGAGACTGTAAACTAGTTCATCCATTGTGGAAGTCAGTGTGGCGATTCCTCAGGGATCTAGAACTAGAAATGCCATTTGACCCAGCCATCCCGTTACTGGATATATACCCAAAGGACTACAAATCATGCTGCTATAAAGACACATGCACACGTATGTTTATTGCGGCACTATTCACAATAGCAAAGACTTGGAACCAACCCAAATGTCCAACAATGATAGATTGGATTAAGAAAATGTGGTACATATACACCATGGAATACTATGCAGCCATAAAAAATGATGAGTTCATGTCCTTTGTAGGGACATGGATGAAATTGGAAATCATCATTCTCAGTAAACTATCGCAAGAACAAAAAACCAAACACCGCATATTCTCACTCATAGGTGGGAATTGAACAATGAGAACACATGGACACAGGAAGGGGAATGTCACACTCTGAGGACTGTTGTGGGGTCGGGGGGAGTGGGGAGGGATAGCATTAGGAGATATACCTAATGCTAAATGAGGAGTTAATGGGTGCAGCACACCAGCATGGCACATGTATACATAGGTAACTAACCTGCATATTGTGCACATGTACCCTAAAACTTAAAGTATAATAATAATAAAATTAAATTAAAAAAAAGAAAGAAAAAAATAAAAAATAAAAAAATAAAAGTGTTAGTTTCTCTGAAAAAAAAAAGTAGAATTCTCTTTTCTTCCATAGTTTTTATATTGTACTTTTATTACTGTGCAATCACAAACTTGTCTTTCATAAGATTCAGCATTAATGAAACTATTCTAGTCACCATTGAGTTCTATTTGTCTCCAGGGCAATAATATAAGACAACGGAGGGTTATTAACCTGGAATAAGATCAAAAGGACACTAGTCCAGCTTAGCGGACAGCTGCTTAAAAGAAAACCTTGGTAGACATCATGCCTTGCCTTGTTGTCACACCCAGAGACCAGGTTCTTGACTCTACTAGCACTATCAATATTCTATTTATTTTCATTAAGCAGTGACATGGTGAGTATTTGGATACTGTCTGATATGGTTTGGCTCTGTGTTCCCACCCAAATCTCACCTTGAATTATAATAATCCCCACTTGTCAAGGGAGGGACCATGTAAAGATAATTGAATCATGGGGGCAGTTTCCCCCATGCTGTTCTTTTGATAGTGAGTTCTCATGAGATCTGACACTTTATAAAGGGCCTTCTCCACACCTTTGCTCTGTACTTCTTGCTGCCGCCATGTGAAGAAGGACGTATTTGCTTCCCCTTCCACCATGATTGTAAGTTTCCTGAGGCCTCCGCAGTGCTGCAGAACTGTGAGTCAATTAAATCTCTTTCCTTTATAAATGACTCCATCTTGAATATATCTTCATAGCAGCGTGAGAATGGCCCAACACCACGTGTAAGCTGCCAAGGCTTGGGGCTTGCACCCAGTCTGTGTTACCAAGGTGAATAACAAAAGAAAGACTGCTACCATGGAAACCTACCTGATGGCCTTTGTGGTGAGCTCCTTGCTACTTGAATACTAGCAAATGCCACACAATAAAGGGCTGATCAATGTTAGGCATAAAGCTTCTATACAAGAGCACTGATTATTAACTTTAATGACTGCCTTGAACATTGCAATCCGAGGCAGCATTATTCTTGTCCAAACTCATTATTAGATAAGCACAGGGGAACTTGTTTTAAGATACACTTTGGTTTGCAAAGCAAGAGTCAACTTATGGCCATCTCCCAATATTTGTCTTTTATAAAAACAAGCTACACAGTTAGTTTAAAGATACATGAACTTAAACTATTAACTTGCAGTGAGCTGAGATTGTGCCACTGCACTCTAGCCTGGGTGACAGAGCGAGACTCCGTCTCAAAAAAAAGAAATAAATAAAATAAAAATAAAAATAAAATAAACTATTAAAAGTGAACTAAGAAGCTGGATCATTGCCAGCTACATCTCAATAGTTTGTCCTCACCTCATTTGTATGTGTCAGACATTTATTCTTCTCCATGATGCCTTCTTCATGGAAAATTCATTCAAAGGCTTACAGTATACAATTTAAAAAATATAGCTCTATTTTCTGTGTGTGGCTATTTTAAAGAATTTATTTGGTCAAGTCAAGCAATATCCGTATTAACTCAATATGCTATAAAAATCAAGACTTTCCTTAATTTAGTAATTTTTAGAAGTATACATGGTCAAATTTTAATTAACAAAAATAATTTAAAAGGTCTTTGAAAGCAATGGTTAGGGAAGGCATATCACTAGTAGTTTTTAATTTTTTCTTTTGAAAAGGGACTTACACCCTCTTCTGATGTCTATCAGGGGTTATCTCTAATGCTAGATTACACTGGGAATCCTGGCTGGTAACTTATTCTTTTCTACCTGTGTGCAACTGGGTAAATAGACTCTTGCCTCTTTCCAGTTGTGTTCTAGAAACCATCATTCAAGAGTGGAGCGCCAAATGTGGACAAAGAAAACGGGAGAATTGCAAAGCTAATATTTCTGAAAGATTTATGTTTAACTTTGATAAAAACTTGTCCAGAAATACAAACAAGTATGTTTTGACAAACATTAATTACTCCAGTTCTCTATTTTTAAAAGTGCAGAAATTCATCTCTGAAGAATTTCCACTGCCAATGTGTTGGAGTGACATGCTCATTGGTCCCCAGTCCTAGTTCTCAGCATCTTCAACCCTCATAGATCCATGTTTCTGAAAGTATGCACCACTCATTCACTGATTTATTCCTTTAAAATTTATTGAGCCCCTCTTAGGCAGCAGGCATCATGCCAGACATGGGGCTCATCTGGTGAATGTCACAGTGCTTGCCCATAAGATTCTAGCCCGGTGGTGGTGCACGGTGGATGTTTCACAGCAGTGTCAGAAATGCTATGATGGGGTGAATGGAGGGTGCCACTTGAAAGGGGCACCTGACACTGACTCAGAATGTCAGGGAAAGCTTCTGGAGGATGTGACATCTGATCTCAGACTCAAGGTTAGATTGGGAATGGCAGTGAGACCTGGAAGGAAATTATCTAGGCAAAGAGAAGAACACTGCAAATCCCAGAGGTGAGTTCGTGGAACTACAAGCAGTTTAGCAGAGCTGATGTGTGGCGTTCTGAGAAGAGGCAGAGCCTACTGTTGAAGAGTTTTGTGTGTCATAAATTACATGACTGTGCAGCATCATACTGTGGTTTTCGAATTCAATCAGACCCTCTCAGTGGCTTGAAATCCCTCTGCTACTCATTTCTCTCTTTAAGCATATGGGTATTTCATAACTTCAAACTTCCATCTTTAGCCAAAAAGAAACAAACCAAATGTCCATCAATTGATGACACCTGTAACAGGCTCTGTTTGACACCTTCAGTAGCCCAGCTATGTGTACTGCTATTCCAGCCATGCTGTTCCTGTAATGCTTCTGGTCATATACTGCTGGTAGACTTAGATGATTGTGGCACCCACACAATGCCCTTCTATGACAGTTACACCTGCCCTATGTCATGCTATTTCTCGACTCTGCTAGCTGAGACTTGGAAGAGTATTCCTAAGGACTGTGAGAAGAAGAGATTACAGTTTCATTATCACAGCAGAGAAGAAATTGTACATGATGCTAAGGAGAAGTGGTACTGCTCTGTCCTGGATGTCAAACAGGAGCTACCATTGCTTACCATCTACCCTGGAGAAGACCACTAAGCTCCCTCACAGTCAGTTGATCACCTCTGTCAAGGAGAGAGTCATAGACCCAGAAGTTCTTTTCAGCCATCCTCCTCAGGTATGAAAGCAGTGGCACTCAAGATAGCACTTCCATGTCACCCATGAGATGTGATGCTTATATTAGAAAAGATCTATATGCCAACACAACACATCCCATCTGGTCTGGTAGTACTACCATGTGTCCTGCTATTACTGGCTTTAGAACACAGACAGATGTCACAGCCTTGGGAAAAAAAAACACAATAAAAATTAAGATTTCCCTTCTTCTGAGTGCACATACTGTGGCTAGCGACTGTCTTGACCTTCCAGCAGATGTGGAATAGCAAGCAAGAGTCTGATGAGTTTGACCTGCCCATTGCCCACTGCAATTTTAGAGACAGTCTTGCTCTGTTGCCCAGGGTGGAGTGCAGTGGCACAAGCATACTATACTACAGCCTCAAATTCCTGGGCTCAAGCAATCCTCCCACCTCAGCCCCCTGATTAGCTGGGACTATTAGCTTGCTATGTTGTCCAGGCTGGGTTTTGAACTCCTGGGCCTAGGTGAGCCTCCTGACTAGGGTTACAGACATGAGCCACCACACCTGGCTACTTTTAAATGGATAGCATCTTATATTAGACTTATCTACTTGGAAGATGCCTTTTTAAAAAGATACCTGTCTTTGTCTGATAGGCAAATAGCACTGTTTCACCTTGTATTCATATTAACTATTTCTTTATAATACATTTTCTAACATTCTTTACATATCTTTGGCTTAAGTTTAGCATGTGTGGCTAGACACTTTGTGTGGCAAAGGGAGAATAAGGGGAACATGTTTATAGAAGGCACTTGGCCTGATGTGATGGGTCTTTGGCTGACTGACAATTTCTTTCAAGCTGTTCACTCCTCTAGGGCCTGATCAGATCTCCACAGAGTACAAATGACAATTCCTGGATTTCTCCAGAGGCTGGCAAGAATTTATGAATGAATTGTCACTTCTTTGTTGCAGTCTTCCAGCAGAGGTAGAAAACGTACATAACCCAGGCTCTAGGACTCCATTTTCTTTCTTATCCAATGTTTTTTTTTTTTGCAGCAGAATGTCACAGGGCTAAATTACTCATTCTAGTTGCAAAATGATTTGTATTTTTACCTGTAAATTTATGCATCATTTTAATTTATGTAAGAGTTTTGTACGTAATTCTCAGCTTTATGGGTGACTTACACATCTTGTTTTTCTACTGTTGCGTGAGAATATCACAGCCCAAGGATACGTCATTGTGCAAGGAAGAATAAAAGTGCTACCAGAAAGAAAAAAAAATACCCAAACTGGAAAAAATAAACTATTGAAGACTTTTAAGTAGGAGGATTGACAGGATAAAATTTGCATTTTAAAAAAACTATCTGGCTGAGACATGAAAATTGGAGGAGAGGCAGTGTATGAAAGCTTGCCAGGAGGGCTAGAGCATCAGAGAGTATGAAGAATGGGGCCTCCCAAGGAGGCTGAGTAGGAGCAGTGTTACAGGAAATGGGCCAACCACTCTACCAATCAACCAATCACCCAACTAAGCAACCACCCACCCAACCAACCACCCAACCATCCAATCACCCAGCCATCCAACCACCCAACCATCCATCCAACCACCCAACCATCCATCCAACCACCCAAGAAACCATCCAACCAACCAACCAACCAACCAATCATCTAAATAACCACCCACCCAATCATGAAATAACCAGTCAAAGAAGGATGCTGTAGAAAGGAAAAATGAAAACAGTTTTGGTGGGGAGAGTTGAGGTGGAATATATATTGCAGTGACAGGAGGAGGGCAAAATGTCAATGGGTCCAGGTGCACTGAACTGCTTTGGCTCCCTGACTATGGTTTCCTCTCCGTTGCTTCTAGGCCATCTGCTTTTTCTGCCTGGGACACTTTTATCCTGGACCTTCACAAAGCTAACTCTTATTCACCCTCCAAGAGGCAGCTTACATGTCATTTCCTCCGGGAAGCCTTTCAGAACTCTCTAAGTCTGGGTTAGAGAACCTTCCGTAGACTCTATTTTCCTCTTGCAAATAGCAGTTATCAACTGGATGACTATTGCTTTTTAGTTCCCTGTATCCTTCAATAGACTGTAAGCTCCTTGAGGACAGAGCTGAAGCTTCTTCCATAGTCTACCTCCTGCACCTGGCATAATGCCTGACACCTGGTAGGCACTCAATAAGTGCTTGTTTGAGAGAGTTAATGAACTTTGTCACCAGTCAAGATGTACCCAGATCTTTCAGAATATTGGAGAATTAAAATATTACAATAACAATAAGCCAGTTGCTTCTCTTACTTTGAAAATTATTAGGGAAATGGGTCTACTTACATGTACAAAGTCAATGTTTTATATGGCTATTTTAGATCAAGTTTCTCTTGCCATTTCCATCCCATAACAAGCAAATGGTCTTTTAGGCTATAAATTTCTGTTGACTCTTGGGGTATAAGCTCATCTCTGGCACAGATAACTCTTCATCTGAATTGTTTACTTTTAACCAGATTTTAATGTGTGCCTCTGTTGGGTGCTGTGGGAGATACAAATGCCTGGGGACTGGTTTCCTCTCAGTTACTGTCAGCTGTGGGAACCATCTGCTAAAGGTGGGACTGGGCAGGATAGGGGTCCCTGTGAAGATGCTCACATACATGTACCCTCCCATGCAGCCCACAAGAGAATATGTTCTGAGTCTTCAAAATGCTCTCATACTCTCAAAGACACCAAGAAGGCACCCCTCGGGGAAATGAAGAGGTTATGATTTTGCTAATTAATGAATATTTCCTCTATGTGGAATGTTTTTATTGCCTGAACTAGGTCATCTCTCCTATAGGATGTCAGTCACTCTGGCAAGGAGCGCAGTCTGTGAGGTTTCTGCTACAACTTTATCAGCTTCAGTTGGCAATTTAAATGAATCAGGCAGGTGGGAGAAGAGACAATAAAGCTGAAATTCAATATTGGAGAAATGGATGGCAGGGGTGTCGTAAACCCTTTATATGGTTACCATTGAACTAAGTGTAAGAGAGGTAGGGGTGTGTGTGTATGTGTGTGCGTGTGTGGGTGTGTGTGTATGTGTAATATATATTCATTTTCTCTATTTGCTTGCATCTAAAACCCACTGTTGCAATTTCTCTTATTAAAGTCTATCTTAGAAATATTTTCTGTGGCATTTTATTGATGTAATGTCTAAAGAAAATGTGCTTGGATTAACTCTTAGAATACTGGAGACAAGGAAGCCCTCTTTATTTTCTTTAAGATAATTTGAAGTGCTAATTCTCTTTCTTGCTCTAGATAGTGAAGGGAGGGGACTTTGGGGGCAGACTTTGGAGAAAGAGTTAATCAAATAACCACAAAACTTCAACTATTTTTTAAATCCCCTGGCAGAAATCAACAGATTATAGTAGTGTAGCACAGAGAAGCTGAACCAAGTCTGGAGAATCAGAGAGGGCTTCCCCGAGAAAAAGAGTTAAGTTGAGGCCTGAAAGAGGAGCAGGATTTGAAACTAACACTGGTGCGAGACATGACTGGGGGAGAGGTGGGATTTGTTTGTGGCACAAAGAAAGTGAAAGCTTTGAAGGTGGATGAAGCTTATTGCTTTTGACAATCAGAGAAGATCACTGTGTCTGGAGCTAGCAAGCAAAAGGGAAGGAGGAATATGATGAGGCCAGAGGTCAGCAGGGGTCCGGTAATGCAGGGCCCCCTAAAACATGTAAAGGAATTTTGGTTCTTATCTTGAGGAGCAATGAGAAGTCATCCACAGTCTTGGAGCAAGGGAGTAGCATGATGACATTTGTTTATAAAAGATTACTCTGGGATCCTTTGGATAGACAGTTCTAGCAGTGGTTGAGAGGAGAGATAACTGAGGCTTGGACCATAGTGTTGGCAGTGGAGATGGAGCAAAGCATAAAGATTCTACAAGTACACTGGAGGTACAGAACTCAGAAACTGGTGAACAACTGCCTGGAGTGGGCCCAAGAGAGATGGGTTGAGGATGTCTCATAGATTTCCAGCATAAACAACTAGTTTTGGGATGATGACAAGGGGATGCAGGTTTGGGGTGGGATGCAGACATCTGGCATGGCATGAGGTTGGTTTGCAGTTGCTAAGTGAGTAGATATGGAGTAGGTTCAGGAGAGAGGTATGGGATGGAGTTCCGAAATGGAGGCATTGCAAACACATGTGGATGGGTTTACCTAGGGAGAGTGGGTAGTAAAACAAGAGGACCTGGAAGTGAGCTCTGAAGAATTCCAACACTGAGGTTTGGGGGGAGTTGAAAGAGCCAGCAAATGAGGCTGAGAGGGATCATCTTCAGAATGGAGGGAAAATAAATGGTTACAACACCTAAATCAGAGGAACAGAGTGTATCAGGAAGAGGGGGGGTTTGTTTTAGTATCAAATTGCTGAAATGTCAATTGAGAAGAGGTCTACAGAGCATTCCATAAATTCAGCAAAGGAGAAGTCACTGGTGACATCAGCCAAAATTTTGCTAAAGTAATGACAGCTGAAGCCACAGTACATTCTCTGTGTGAGTTACTGTCCTATGCATTTTACATATACTAAAGAGTAGTATTAGTTTAATGGTAATGCCAATCTGATGAGAGACTTATTATTATTATCCCATTCTACAGATGAGAAAACCAAGGCACAGAGAGGTTAAGTGACTTGGCCCAGTTCATATGGCAGAAGCAGAATACAGGCTTAGGCAGTCTGGCTCATGAATCCACTATCTCAACCACTATACCACCTTGTCTCTAAGCCTTTGCGGTGTGAGAGTAGAGACAATGCAGACAACTCTTTGAAGGCACTCAGCTGTGAGTAGGGAAATAGGGAAGCAGCTAGATGTACAGGGGCTGGTCCAAGAAGAGCAATGTTGTAAGGTGGAGACTAGGACTACAGTGTGTTCAGATGCTGATTGAAAGGATCCAGCAGTGAGACTGAACTTACAGGAGAATGAAGTGATGGGCATGAATGGGGTCCCAGGAGAGGTAGAAGGGTATGAGGCCAGAGTCCAGAAGGAAGGATTGCTTGCTGAAAAACATAGAGGCCCTTTTCCTATTGTCTCAGGAGGTGAAGAGAGGATGGGTGCAGAAATGATGTTTGTAGGGGGAGATCGAAGGAGTCCCTGTTTAGAGTCTTTTATCTTCTCTGTGAAATAAAAGGCCAGGCCATCTGCTGGGAGGACTGGGAGAGTGAGGTGGAGGTGGAGGGGAGTGGATAGAGATGGCTGGAGAAATCCACAGGAAAATTGCCAAGTAGCATCAAGAGCACAAGCAGCATCACACTGGTGATTTGGGCAGACTATGGGGAAAAGAAGCAGTGGTGTAGGCATGGCTGTAGGGAAGCTGGGGAGTGGGGGAAGGATCATAACCACATAAAACATGACTTCAGGGTGGGGCAAGGTTAATAGCACATGGGGAATTCTAGTTCTTCATGTACTCCCAGAATGTCTGAGAACCAGCTGTTGGGGGTAGGAGAACAAAAAACTCAGAATAATAAATACTGGGGATTGAGACAGATTATATACACAAGCCTTTTCTGTCCAGATGCAGGTCTAAGAAGCTGATTTGACCAACACCCAAGTGGACATTCTCAGGCACCAAGGGCAAGACATACTCTCTGTTGTCAGGCTTTCAACTGCCCAGATAGACTTTTCCTTAGAAGATGAGAAAATAGTGCATTCTCAGCACAGTGCTTGTAAAAATACGCAGATTGGAATAATGGGAAAGCAATGACATTCTCGAATCTCATGGGAAAAGCAGAGCTCCGGAAATAACTTAATATATGAACCATAAGAAAATTTCAGAAAACTCTTTAACTTTCTCAATAGGTTATGAAGAGCCACACATGCTGTAAAGTAGGACCAAAGCCCGTATGAAGAACAGAGGATAAAATGAAAATAAAATAAGGGTGGCGGGGAAGAGAGAGAGAGAAAAAAAGAAAATGAGCCTTTCTCCTAGGGTCTCTGCAGGCATTCAGGAATTTTGTCGCCTAAGAGGAAGGGAAGATGCTCTCATTTCCTGAGCATCCCTATGGGCTCATTAATCCTCACAACTCTGTGAGGCAGGCATTCTTTCCCATTTTAAAGGTGGTAACAATGAGGCTAAGAGAGGATAAGTAATTTGCTCAAAGACCCGAGGAAGACGGGAACTAAACAAGGAGCATCTAACTTCAAAGATCTAGACTTCTGCCTTCCAGGGTAAGGTTCGTGAGGGAAGAAAGTTGCAGAAAGAACTAAGCTGAGGCTCTCTTAGGATGGAGTATTCCTAGCGTATAAACAGAACAACAATGGCCACTGGAACTGAGTGCCAGTTAGGTGCTGGACATTGTATACCCATTTTTCTGATGCTCACGGCAATCCTGCCTGATCACTATCATCATGCTTTTTTTGTTTCGGATAAGGAAATTGAGGCCCATAGAGATTAAGTGATTTGTTCAAGTATTCGTTTTTTTCTTGCTACTATGACACATTGCCACAGACTTGTGGCTTAAAACAACACATATTCATCGGAGAATTCTACAGGTTAGAAGTATAACATAGGTGTCACTGAGCTAAAATTAAGGTGTCAGCAGGGCTGAGTTCCTTTCTGGAAGCCCTAGGGGAGAATCCCTTTCCTTGCCTTTTTCGGCTTCTAGAGGGGGCCCTTGTTCCGTGCTCACAGCCCCTTCCTCTGTCTTCAAAGCCAGTGACGGCAGTTCAAGTCCTTTCTCCACTGCATCTCTCTAACTGTCCTTCGGCAGTCATGTCTCTCTCTGACCACAGTTGTGAATGGCTCTCCACTCTTAAGGATTCATGGGATTAGACTGGGTCCACCTGCAAAAGCAGGCTAACCTGTCCATCACAAGGTCCTTACCTTAATCACACCTGCAAAGTCCCTTTTGCCACATGCCATGTCAGGGAACATATCCACAAGTTCTGGGGATTTTAGGATGTGGATATCTTTGGGGGCTTGTGGTGAGCATTATTTTGCCTTCCATACCAAGGTTAAACATTATTAAAGGGGCTGAGTCCAGGGTTTAATTTAAATTTGGCCAGGAAATCCTATTGACCCTACCTTCAAAATATATCCAGAATCCTATTAACGCCATTTCTACCACCAGGGTCCAGGCCACTTCATCTCTTATCAGGATTTCTTCTATAGCCTTCTCTTCTCTTCTCCTTGTTCTACCCTTGCCTTCAATCCACTCTTAACACATTGGCCAAAGTGATTCCTTAGAAATGTCTCAGTTCATGTCAAGTCTCTGTCCAAACCTTCCAATGACTGCCAATCTGAATTAAGGACAGTCTTTCCAGTGGCCTCTAATGCTCTCCTTCCCTCACCCTAGGAGCTCTGTGCACTCTCCCTCACTCTGCTTCAACACACAGTGGCCTTCTGCTTTCCTTGAACACAGCAGGCTTATTGCTGGAACCCTGAATGGGAGGGGGGTTTACTTATTTATTCCATGCACTCTAAGACCCTGAAGTAGAAGAGGAGGACGTGGACTGGTTCTGAGATGCCTCTTTCCTTTCTGGCGGGGGAAATGGAAGAAGGATGAATATCTTCTGACTTCACTGCCTGTGCTTATGCAAGGGGCTTTCCCTGTCATTGGCAAATCCCTGCTTCCCACTGATTAGTGCTGTGAGGCTGAAGTCCAGGTGCTCACCTCTGCGTCGGGTGCATAAGTGTGAGGTTTGCAGGGGTCTCTGAAGGGTTTCTGAAATGAAGAGCTTCCTTATGTGGGGGATCTGGCTGGCTCCAGCTAGACCTCTTTAACACCCCCTGGCTCCTGTCCAGGGCAGCACACCCCATGGTTTCCTGCTGCTGGAAAACTCTTGCCCAGGAGCCATTCTTTCTTGGGTGGGCCACCATCAAGACAGCTCAACTCCAGCAACCTTCCTCTATGTCAAACCAGATCTACAAGAAACTTTGACATGTACAATGATGGGATCACAGGCGGCTTTACAGCTCCCCCTCCCTCTGCCCTGCCATATCCTTCCAAGACTCTTTTCCTTGCTTAAATAGGAGATATAAGGAAGGCTAACGAGTCAGCTTCCTAAATTCCTGCCTCATAGCTATTATTTACCAGGGATTCTCTTAGAGCCTCACACTTGGCTTTGGTCAGTGTGGAGAGGCCCTTCCTTCCCCCAACAGCTCCCCTAGATCCAAAACTCAAGACTGCAAAGACCCTGTCCCTCTTCCCCATCTTGGGAAGAGGGTGGGGAAGACGGGCATAGTGAAGCATGGATGGCCTTGGTGATAGTAAGTGAGCAGAGTCCTTCGGCTGTCTCTTGTAAGCCCCAAGAAAGGTAGCTCTCTTCAGAATGTGAGATACTTATTGTTACAGCAGGTAGCTAGTCAGACGTGAAAGGGCAGGAGAGCATCCCCCTGCCACCCCCCAACAAACAAGAATGTCAGGCAACCATCAGGTGATGGTCAGTCGGTTGTTGTTAAAACTGCCTCTCTAAAATAATAATTGGTTGCAGCTGGCACCAGGGAAAGGCAGTCTCCCAATAGAGAAAGACACCTAAAGCTCATGATCAACAGCTTCCTGATAAGATCTCAGGAGTTGGGTGAGTGGGCTCAGTCATGCACACTAAGAGGAAAAATGGTGGAGTTTAATTGTTATATGACTTTCCAGGAGCATTCAACTGGTAAGGGGGGATGCCTCAAGTGAGCATGCGCGCAACTCCGGTAAACACACTGCGCATGCGGCCCCTGCCAAGTGCTGGCAGGCCACTGTGCATGTGGGCAGCCCACTCCAAGGAAAGAATCAGGGAGAAAGGAACACAAGACCCCGGAAGCACGCCAACACATAACACACCAGGTCAAAGGGTCAAACTGCACACTTGATCTCCCAAGTTGCCCACTTGACCCTCTTCCAAGTGTTCTTTACTTCCTTTCATTCCTGCTCTAAAGCTTTTAAATAAACTTTTACTCCTGTTCTAAAACTTGCTTCAGTCTCACTCTGCCTTATGCCCCTTGGTCAAATTATTTCTTCTGAGGCGGCAAGAACTGAGGTTGCTGCAGACCCATACATATATGCCGCCAGTAACATTATCACCTTCATTCATCTTGGACTCGGTTCTCCAATGCCAGAAAATCAGAAAAATGTACACAAACCATTACAGATGTAAAAGTCAACAGCTATGGTGGAGTGAAAGATTCAAGTTGAATAGAGAAAAATGTCATCTGCTGGTCAAAGAACACGTGTCGGCCAGATTTGTTTAACTGGTGAAGAAACATCTGATTAAATGGAAGGAATTGAATGTGGTCTAAAATTTCATTTTCTTAGTAAAGAGGGTACACATTTTTTCCTAAAAATTTTACTCATTCATGGCTAAAAATTCTAAGACTTTAAAATTTGAGTACACTCTTATTTTTATGTTTGAGAATTTTTTCTCTGGCTTACAAATACTGTATGTAAATAAAAAATAATGTATGTTTCCAGCAGAAACTTGAGGTACAAAACCATTTCAACAAGAAGCCAAAAAAATCATCCAAAATTGCCCAGTTAGGAGATAATCAAATTTTGTGGGAGATAGAATTTTGACATGAAATAATTTAGGAATGATCATAAAAGAATGAACATACTTCATTCTGTAAACCAAAAATAAAATTCTAAGCCTCTCAACCAACTGAATGGACCCCCTCTGGGCCAAGGGGACCCTAGAGAAACCTGAAAAATGGAACTCACAGCCATTAGGGGAAGGCAGGTTAGACATGCCTAATTGTACCCTCTCCTTTTTGGAGTTTAGGCACAACTGACCAGGATTAACATTAAAATAGAGATCATAAGACTGACAAAACAAACTCTTTGGGGCAATAAGATTCCACATTTCAACCTGATTTTGATGTAGCATCACATAACAGATAGGAGGTCCTGAAGGAAATCAAACATATTTTAGCCCAAAATATATTTCTTTGACATATTTTGAAATGGCTCTGCAGAGCCATCTTTTGTGGGGGATCTTTGCATTTGTAGAGAGTCTCCATTAATACAGCCAGGACCTTCCTGGATCTAGGAGAGATTAACAAAGAGCCTGATGCCATTTAGGGTCTGAAAAGAGACATTTACCATCCATTCTCTCTGAAGGCTGCCACGTATGAGGCTTCATCTACATAACAAGAACCTTGGTCTCCACAACCTCCCTTATCTTAACTCAAGCATTTCTTTCTACTGACTTAAAGTCTTTAGACAAAGCTTAACTCTTTCAAACAACTCCCAACCACAGAAATCTTTGAATTCACCTATGACTTGTAACCACCCACTACTTCTTTGAGACATCCTACCTTTTCAGGTCAAATCAATGCATACCTTACAGGTATAGATTTATGTCTTTGCTTGTAACTTCTGTCTCTTTAAAATGTATAAAACCAAACTGTAACCCAACCATCTTGGGCACACTTTCTCAGGACCTCTTGAGACTGTTTCCTGGGCCATGGTCACTCGTATTGCCTCAGAATAAACCTCTTTAAATATTTTACAGAGTTTGCTTTTTCCATTAACACTTCTGACTTGACTTTGTTTTATTTTCTGTGTTGGAAAGTTATTCAGTGAACACATTTGGGGAAATGAGATTTGGAATATGGAATTTGTTTAAAACCACTAGGGTGCAGAGACAACAGACATCTCTATTTTGCTTTAAATACACTCACAGCAGTTGACAAGGAATATTTATCCATAAGTGGAAACACCCAGGATCCATTTTGTCCCCTTCACTAAGGCCTACTTGCTCTTGATGTGTCCTGGGTTGAGAGATCAGCACGTATTATACATGGCTTCTGAGATCTCACATGGGCTCTGATTGAATGAGAAACCCCTGAAGGAGGGAGAATAGCCAGGGGCTGGAAGAAGACTCCTTAGGAGAGAGACCATTCTTGAAGCTTTGAGGGTGTACATTTCCTAGGGTCTGAGTTGGTTTCCTCTTTCTGTATCTTGCAGACTGAAAGGCAGAGCAATGAGAAGCAGAACTGCAGAGACAAGGATTCCAGGTGCTTGGAAGTGAGGGTGGAGCCAGCCCGGGAAAAGATTCAGCCCCAGACGGCTGCACCAGGTGGAGCAAAGATGTCTTCTCTTTTATACATGTCAACTAGAAGGTGACAAGAGACAGGAGCCCATGATCTTAAAGCTCCCTGTGTTACCCAGCACCCCTGTAAGATTTCCTAATCATTCTTTTATAATTAAAAAAAAGATATTTTCATATCCCTTAGAGTTGTTTATGACTATTAAAATTGTTTTTGATTTTGTGCAAGTGATCCAGAATGAGTAAAAAGAAGAGAAAACACTTATGGTAACTAAAATTCTCAAGCCTTGAAAAGGAAACATTACTGTTTATACTACTATTTGTTGAGAAGCATCTCAGGACTGATAAATAGCAAATATAGATTTTTTTTTTTTTTTTTTTTTTTTTTTACTGTAGTCAGGCATTGTTCTATGGGCTTTATATACAATAACAGTGTCTTTCCAACTATGGGGTACATTCTGTCCTCCTCTCTGTTTTACTTCTGATTAAGCTAAAGCCTAGAAATGTTTCCAACCCAGAAAGTGGCCTCAGCTACCAGGCTTGGCTGGTTCTTATGTATTTCTTCTAAACAAAATAAAAAACTCACTATGTTCATTCATAGAGTTACTCTTCACACAGCAAGGGCAGTGGAGGGTCCGGTTAACAGACTACAATCTGCAGCCACACAATGGGGCTTGCACCGTAGTTCTGGCAAGAGTCCAGTGGCTCACCCTGGGCAAGTCATGTACTCTTTCTAAACTTCAGCATACTTCCCTGTAAAATGGGCAAGATCATGCCTATCTCTAAGGACTGTTTGGGGAACTAAATAAGATAATATTTGAACTGAACTTGGCACAGTGTCTGGCTCAAAGGAATGGTACCCATTATGATTCCTGATACTTAAACTCTTATATCAGACACCAAGGAGACCTCTGTATGTATCCGGAATGCTAAGGGTCCTCTCATTGATTAGGGAAAATCTCACAAACGGGGTGCAGAGAAATGTGTGTGTGGGAGGGTTGATGATGGAGGGGGGTGTCCAGGAAAGGAGTTAAGAGCTTCCCACAAATGGACAGGTGATGTTTGGGCTGGGGGAAAGAGAAACATGGCAGGGAGGCAGAAGTCATCACGGAAGGAGACCGGGATGGCCTTTAGATGCTAAGCTTGGGGAGGACTGCAACGGGGCTGGGAAACAGAACCACCGAGAATGGGAGCTCAATGGGAACCAGTCAGTGGGGAAAGTCCAGGTATCCCTTACTTTCTCTACTCTCACTACCCAAACCTGGGAAGAGAATAGATTCAGATGCGGAGGGCCACTGGATAGCAAGTTAGAGTCCCAGCAAAACAGCCAGCAGCCTGGTCAGCCCCTGAGGTATAGATTTAGCTCAACCTTACTCAGTATTGCACAGGCCATCTATTTCTTTTATAATTTACATGTGATGAGAGGAATGCTTTCTTTCATCTTGGCATGGGGCTCTGGAATGTCCAGTTACAACCCTGGTATGCTATCAAAAGATTTCATATCCCGAACCTTTGGCTGTTGTGTCACGGGTATGTCGGCCCTAACATAGTCTGAAAGGAAGCAAAAGCCAGTACCTTTTTGATAACAATTAAAATCTTGGATTTACATAATGGGACATGACGTGAGGGCCATTGTTTAGCATTTGGCACAGTTATGAATGCCCAGGGCAGAACACCAAAGGAAAAAGTCTACTTTGAATGCTTTCTCAGAACAAATCTGAGAGAATTCACTGGTTAATGTAAATACATGTCCAAACAAGTACTGGTTTGCTTAGGGAGTACGCAGAGCTGGCAAGCCTCACTTGGCATGCAGAGAATGAGTAATGCTTCATTTTAATGAGGGATCTTGGGGGTCTATAATGAGGACTATGTGGTATTTCCCATGTGTCTCTTTGGAACGTGGACTGATTCTACCCACAATGGAAGACAGGCCATCAGAAAGTACATAGTTCCTGAAATCTCTGGGGCTCTACAAGATGCAGATAATTTAATAGCATATAAATGAATTTGCAGAAATATACCTAGAGTTCCCAGAGTAAAGAACTTGCCTTTTCCACAGGTAAGCAAATATGAGTGCAAAGTAACAAGACCGTATTTGGGGTGGGGGTGGGATGCGAGACTGATTTTTAAACTATGGCTATAGGAAGTTCCAGGTATGTTTTAAACATCTGTGGCATCCCTGGAATAATTGTGCAGCCTCCCTACTTGACTATTCTGAAAGATAACACTCATTTGAATATAAGTTCATATGTATAAAGGACATAAATCTATTTTTAAGACACAACTTTAGTCATATTGCAGGTGTGAGTTCTGATCATTTGGACATTTTTTATCAGAGAAAGTCAACACTTAAGGTTTTGGATGAGGCAAAAAACTTAGAAAGTAATTAGGAAAACAAATACTTCCCTAGTCCTTGCAAGTGGTCTTTACTAGTTGATGGAGGGGCCAATGGGAGAAGCTTATTTATTTATTTGTTTATTTTTGAGACAGGGTGGAGTGCAGTTGCGTGATCTCGGCTCGCTGCAACTTCTGTCTCCCGGGTTCAAGAGATTCTTAACACCTCAGCCTCCCGAGTAGGTGGGATTACAGGCGCCCACCACCACACCTGGCTAATTTTTTGTATTTTTAGTAGAGATGGGGTTTCACCATGTTGACAAGACTGGTCTCGAACTCCCGGTCTCAAGTGATCTGCCTGCCTGGGCGTCCCAAAGTGCTGGGATTACAAGCGTGAGCCACAGCACCCAGCTGGGGAGGAGCTTTACCACATGGTCGTAAAGCTCCTCCCAGCTGGACGCGGTGGCTCATGCTTGTCCACATGGACATCCTCTGGATGTCCCCTTATATCCAGCCACAGGGTGTGACTTCCTGAAGCAAATCTCCTTTCTGCTCAGATTTGGGGCATCATGTGATTGTTTATGCAAAGTGTGTCAGGTACTGTAGTGACCTTTATTTTATTTTTCAACTCCAGCTGGAGCAAGATGCTCCATGGAGATAGGGCCTCCCAAAGAGCTCTAGGATTTGGGGGGATTAAGTACAATTGAGGGGTTTTTGGAAGAACACTATCCAGTCCTTTGGGCTTAAAGGAGGGGATGGTGAACCAGAACTCAGGACAAAAGAGTCCCAAGAGGCAGAAATGCTGGCAGGAGGGACCTCCTCTGTGCGTGTTAATATGTCAAAGAGGACTTGGAATTATAAAGAGAAATAAGAAATTCTCTATGTTAAGATAAATAATTTTTGAAGTGTTAAAAACCTGATAAGAACTGAAATTAATGTGAAGTAGACTCGCCAGGCAAAAATTCTTTTATCAGATAAATTTGGCACCTCACACTTGGATCTGAATTGTGCACAATAGATCAAATGAAGATTTCTTGTGGTTTATTTATCCCAATATTTAAAAACAGAACAGTTTAATGCATTCTCCATGTAACAGTTAATTCTGGAGTAGGTTTTAAATGGACCAGGGAAAACATACATTTTCACTTGTTTCCTAGTAAGTTTTAAGTCATTGCTCTAAGAGGTCACTTCTGTTCTCATTTGTGTTTGCTGCAACTCCCCTGCCCCCCAACAAAAGCAACAACAACAAAATCCCAAGCAAAAAAGCCCTTAAGCAATAAAACCGGTGTCCAACAAAAACATTTAGTTTGAAAAAGAGTTGAAAAATGTAGCCTTGGAAGAACCACTGCTTACATGGGATTGTTCAACAAATTCCTGTTGTGTGAGGTTTGGCATATACTTTCTAAAAATATAAGCATCTGGGGAAACGAGACAAAGCCCAGGTCTTGGACCAAATGCGGCACACAGCGTGAATCTGTTAGTGATTATATCCATAATGAAATATGTGCCCAAATTTAGCAGTGCAAAATCTAATACAATAAGAAAGCCCAGCAGGCATGGTCCTTACCATAATATATAGCCAACAGAGAAGGTACATATGGCGGTAAGTCCGCTGCTCCTGCTGGGATACTGATGGTGCGATGTCCTCATCTCGATTAATATAAAGGGCAGAACCGTCGTGTGCTGGAAAATAACAGAGACTAGGTGACACAGATTGCTATCATTGTCTCTCTATAGTTGTTTTTTCACCAGTAGGAGAATGCACACTATAAATTCCTAGGAAAGTGTCAGGCAGAAAGAAGTCTATGGCTCGCCAAAGAAGTAGAATGGACGTAAAACCACATAGTGCGTTGATTGCTCCATTAATATTTTTCTTCTGTATCTTAATTTTTGAAATTTTATTGTATTTTATGCCCATTACAGAGAATTTTGATAACCTAGAAAAATGTCTAAGAAAAAACTGGAACCAAAGAGAGGAATAACAATCACCACTGTTAACATTTTGGTGTACGTCCCATTTTTTCCCTCCCTGTTCATATTACTTAAACACAGTTAATATCATACTGTGTGTGCAATTCTGTTTTGGATTTTTATCATAATATTGCAGCATGAGAATTTTTGATATGGTAGTTTAGAAATTCTTCCAGAACATCGGTCTTGACCATAGCTTTGGAGAACTCCATTATATGGATATACTAAGATTTATTTAACCAATTCTTGTTCTTGGATATCAAGATGCAAAAGATTTTCAACCTTTCATTTATTAAAAACATCATGATGAACATCTTTCGTAGAACTCTTTGTCCAAATGTTAAATTATGTTTTTATTGTCAAAGGCTATATGATTTTAAGGCTGTTGATAAATAATGCCAAATTATGTGTGCACGAGCAGCAGGTTAGCAAACAACGCCAAATCAGCTTCCAGAAATGGTGTGCCAGTTTGGACCAGTAGTGCATGAATTTAGACATGATGTCTGAAGGCAGAATCCCAAGAAGCTGAGTAGAACATCTTTTTGTTTTTCTGATTCAGTGATTACTCTAGACACTAAGTTTATTGGAACAGGATGGAGATGAAATTTATCCCATCTATAGGTAAGAAGAAAGGAAACTAAAATTCTTAAACCTTTCAGATATTCAAATGCCCTTGGTTTTGAAATTTAGTGGACAGATAAAAGGAACAAAGAGTTTCTAAGATAAAACTGGGCCAGGATATATATTTACCTTCCAATACTGGAGACTTTCTCAAGAGTATAAAGATGGCAGAACTGAAAACTGACCCATCAGCAGGTTTAAATTCTATTTAGTACTTCCTAAACAGCCGTGAAAGAATCGTTGCCTTGCTCTTCCTGTATTATTTGTGTATTCAAGGAAAAGGCAGGAAATTGAATATTATGATTTTCAAAGTCTAATAAGCATTCTAGCAAAATAGAACCAGGTGGCAAGTAGGCCTTGGCAGGCAAAAGGCATGTTGGGGATATCTAAATGAACATCTTAGGAGCAACCTATTGTTTATATTCCTAGAAAAAAATAGAAAGACATGATTTTGTAAGAAATATTAAGACAGTGGATGATCTTTGCCTTAAACATTCTCCTCTAGATAACTGTGCTGACTGCCAATACATTAGTAATTAGAGTGTGGCATTCTGAGAAAATCAGGTGAGTGATTCCACAGTTGGGTAGCTTTATATTTCTTTATCTTTTATCTTCTTTATTACTATTTTTTTAAAACAGTATAATTAGCTCTGAAGAAAGTCATGCAAGCCAATGTACATGTGTGCTAGTACAGAGACAGTATGCATTTTAAAGATCTATTGGTTTTTCATTATAATCTAGTTACCTCAGATGACATCGGCCTGGAATGTCGCCAACAGTTTGAGATGGCAACAATAGTTTTACAATGGTGCATTCACGCAAAATTCAAATATACAGCTAGCAATAAGGCTATGTCTTATCAAATCTTACATAAAAGAAAAATACCTGCAGATCAAACCTTTACACTGATGATAATGCTGACCCTGAGGGCCTGTGTGGATCATAAATGACAATGACATTACTTTTGGATCACTGATATTAATAAATTTCTTAAGTTCTACCCTTCATTCATTGCTCCAAATGAAGTAGAAAATCCTCCATTTTTAAATAAATATATATTGGTTGTATAAATAACCAATCAGAATATGCTTATTCAGTTGTCATTATTTTATCAAGGAAAGTGATAAAATGTATGCATATCTTCCAGATAGGACATCTGATACTTGCTGATGATCAGATGTATCTGGGAGAATCAGGATGTACTTTAAACCATTCCAGGAAGAAAATCAATTTGAAAAAGGAATATCTTTCTAGATCACTTCATCATTGGTGTCATCACCACTAAACAGGAGCAACTTGTCCCATCAGTGACATAACCACAGACAAAAGATCTTTTTGTGGCTAGCTGTGCATGTGCAGGTTTGTCCAGTGGCAAATCTTAGTAGAAGGTTTTTCTATGTCATAACAGCTTATCATTTGGAATTTTCATGCACTAAAGACTGTGTATCTCCCTCTCTAGAAATTTATAATGCAAATTATGTTTATTTATACATAGTACGTATTAACAAACATAAATTAGCAGAAAATACCTACTGCAAATATAAATGTTGCCTTACAGATAACTAAAGTTTTGTGAACTAAAAGAATGGTAAAAAACTATGAATGGTCCTGATGAATAAGTAACCTTTAGCAGTTGAGTTATAACTTAAAATCTATAGCAGCAAGAGAGATAATTATTTTAGAACTACAGCTACATGAAATCCAGTTCCAACCCATTCTCAGGCAATACTCTGCTTCAATGACTTAAGAACCAGGAGGGAAATATTTAACTCCAGTTAAAATCATCACTGCATAAGAACAGCACTCTTAGTGTTTTGCTCACTGTGGTATCTGCAGCACTTAGAAAAGAACCTGGCACAAGAGAGGTACTCAGTCAATATTTTTCCAGATAATTTAATCTTCAAAACAACATCTTATATGGATATTATTAACTCCATTCTGCAGATGGGGCAAAAAAGGCTCAGAAAGGTTAATTATCTTGCCTAAGATCACAGAGCTAGTAGGTCTGGAGGTAGGATACAAAACTAGTTCTGTATGCCTCCAAATCTCATGCTCTTTTTTCTGCATTAGTATTATATTTTTAAAAGATATCACAGTTGAATAATGTTTGAATCAATAAACCTGTAGAAGTGCATAATTGCAGATCACTTACATTATCTCCCAACAGATTGGAATTATTTTTTGGTTGGGCCTCAAAACAAATAAAAAGGTCTTCACTGTAAAAAATGATTTTTGCTAAATATGTCTTTCCTGTGATATATTATCCAATCAATAATAATAAACAATAACATTAGCTAGCATAAAGTCAGAACTTTTTTTTAACTTTTATTTTAGATTTGGGGATACACGTGAAGGTTTGTTACATAGGTAAACACACGTCATGGGGTTTCATTGTACGTATTATCTCATCACCCAGGTATTAAGCCCAGTACCCAATAGTTATCTTTTCTGCTACTCTCCCTCCTCCCAACCTCCCCCTCAAGTAGACCCCAGTGTCTGTTATTTCCTTCTTTGTGTTCATAAGTTCTTATCATTTAGCTCCCACTTATAAGTGAGAACATGCGGTGTTTGGTTTTCTGTTCCTGCATTAGTTTGCTAAGGATTACAGCCTCCATCTCCATCCATGCTCCTGCAAAAGACGTGATCTCACTCTTTTTTACGGCTGCATAGTATTCTGTGGTGTACAGGTACCACATTTTCCTTATCCAATCTGTCACTGATAGGCATTTAGGTTGATTCCATGTTTTCGCTATTGTGAGTGGTGCTGCAATGAACATTTGTGCACATATATCTTTATGGTAGAATGATTTCTATTCTTCTGGGCACGTACCCAGTGATGGGATTGCTGGGTCTAATGGTAGTTCTACTTTTAGCTCTTTGAGGAATCGTCATATTGCCTTCAACAATGGGTTGAATTACACTCCCACCAACAGTGTATAAGTGTTCCCTTTTCTTCGCAACCTCACCAGCATCTGTTACTTTTTGAAAGTCAGAGCTTTCTAGTGGTATGATGACAGTTACAGATGGCTGGAAGCGAGCTGAAGAATGATCTGTTGCTGTTTCCCCAAACACAAATACCATTTACAACTTACAGTATTTTCAGGTAGATGTAGATCCACCTTGGATAAATGAGATGGTTACAAAGTCTAGTCACCAAAGGTGGCTCTTAGCTCTTAAGAATTGTTTGGACTGTTTTCTGCAGTACATTGTCAACAGAACAATTCCCCAGGAGCTGAGCTAAAAACAAGGCTTGACTTGTTTGAAGAGCTAAGTAAAATGAAGGTTGACAGCCCAAGGAGTAAACCTTTGGTCTTCCATATAAAGTCCATCCTAGAAAGTACTGGTCTAGGATATAAGTGGTGAACCTATCCCAAGCTCTATCATCCATTTTAGCTAGTTTTAATGAGGAGCTATCATTTGGAAGATTGTGTCCAAAAAACGAAGCCTAAATCTATCCTGATTTATTGCATCATTTGTGCTTTTCTTAATGGGGTCTTGGTGGGTCCCCCGTGATGGAGCGGAGTGAACTGACTCCACTGCCATGGAGGCTGTGAACTGACCAGCCTCCCGTGACAAAGGTCTATTTGCAGAAGAGATCCACAAGGGGGTGTCACCTCCACACAGAGCAGTCCTCACACCTGAGGTGGGGCTGGATTCACGGAAGGACCCATGATTAATTCTGATGTGAAGACTCGGAAGCAGATGGGACAAGAAAAAGGGCTTTTGCAGAAGAGGCTCAAAGGAAGACAGCAGTGTAATGAAGTGGAAAGATTAGGAGGCTGGCATCTGAGATCTAGTTCTGATTTTGTCCTTCCTCACTCTCAGACCCGCAGGTTCTCACACATGTGTGAAGCTTAGTATTATTCTTTGTAAAATGAGGCAGTTGGATTAAATTAGTGCTTCTCCTGAAGAGCTAATGAGTTTTGCTATAACACATGCCAGGGCTGACCCACCTATGCTTTAGGGACAGTAGCCACAGTGCCAGGGCCCATGAAAATGTCTTAGTTTCTTTTAGAATCAGAAGAAAAAAATGAACTTTCAGAGTTGAAGATTATATTCATCTGTATACCAATGCTGTCATAAAACATCATATACGTATACACACGTACACACTAATGTAAGAAGGGACTCACTAACACAAAGTGCTTAAAATCTACAAAAGCCATACTGTGGCCCCGTTCATGCTACTTGATTTTTTTTTTAAAGTTCTCACCCAATTCACTCACATTTTTCTTAAATAAATGTACTTAAAGGAAAACTGTATGTAAACTCTCATAAATGGAATATCATTTGTCATAAATAGAAGATAATCACAAAAACAAAATACAATAAAAATGAATTAATCTTATTAGATTATTTTGAGGCCTCCCCTATCTGTGTTAAATAAGGACATTAGTAAGTATAGAGGGGCACTAAAGATATACTGGCATGAAGCTGGACACAATGGCTCATGCCTGTAATCCCAGCACTTTGGGAGGCTGAGGCGGGCGGATCACCTGAGGTCAGGAGTTCGAGACCAGCCTGGTCAACTTGGCGAAACCCCGTCTCTACTGAAAAAACAAAAATTAGCCAGGCTTGGTGGCAGGCGCCTGTAATCCTAGCTAGTTGGGAGGCTGAGGCAGGAGAATCACTTGAACCTGGGAGGCAGAGGTTGCAGTGAGCCGAGATCACGCCACCGCACTGCAGCCTGGGTGACAGAGCGAGACTCAGTCTCAAAAAGAAAAAAAAAAAAAAAAGAAAAGAAAAAAGATATACTGGCATGAAAGAGAGACTCTCCTAAACAGAATGAGAAGGACTGAAAGATAATTCAGAGGGAATAAACTTTTCACTATGCAATTTAATATTATTTAATGTCACGTCCCCGTGCTACATAAATTATCTTGCAAAACACAAGAGCTATACAGCCTACATACTGGGGTATACTGGAATAGATTATTCATAAGTTGTAGTTGTACCTTCTAACTACTAGATTATTTGATTTATGAATGGATGTTCTTTCACCAGGAAACTGGAAAGATGGATGAGTTGGAGGTTTAGATTCTGACAGACGAATGTAATGGTATTAAAGGAAAAATGTTCACACTACACAAGAAGGGTCTGGACTGGCTCCTGGGGAAAATTTTGGACTATTTGTGATGGCAATGAATGACCTATAAACTACAGAGAAGTTTTGGAATAATCTTCGCTGTGGATTAATAGAAGGACAAAAATTATGCTGCATGATGGTATAAATCCAGGCAAGTCAGACGGATGAATTAGGGGAGCTCTCAAGACTATTTTAGATCTCTAGAATTGAGAGTTATAATCAGAGTGTACAACACAAAAATTAATAGGCAATATTTGAAGACTATGTTCAACTGCTATTTCTCTGGTCTTTCTCCTTCTCTCCAAAATATTTTTTAATAGGAGGGTACTACTCCCATATCATATGAACACCAGGCAAGAATCGTTTTTTCCTCAGAAGTAAAACCAGCTTTTGTATGTGAGGTGTGGCCAACCTCATTGGGTCATAAGAGACCTGGCAATCCCCTGTCCGCTACTGGCACCTGTAGGATACAGGCAGGCCTCTGGAAGTGTTTGCACAGTTATGTGTGCATCAAATCACTAGAGGAGCTTGTTCTTGCCTTCATGTTTTCTAATAACCCAATGACAACTTTGGATCATAAATAAAAAGATGGCAGTGTGCATGTGCGTGTGTGTTGCACACTTAATAAAGACATGCATATCTTTGCAACGTGCATATCTTTGTGTTACTGTGCACCTGTATTCTTATAAGCACCTGGACTGCAGGCAGGGCCAGCGATGTGACTGGACTTGCCTACGAAGATGGGATACGGAAGGGTTCCTAGGAGGTCCAATAAGTTTATAGCTATATTGTAAATAAGAATAGTATGAAAAGCTATCCTAAGATACAAAAATTGTGCACTCTAGATTGTAACTCGAATATTTTGTTTACTTTTTCCTGTTTCCTCTCACCCCCCCATAGAACAAAAGGGTATTAAAAATGAGAACATTTTTATCTTGAAATAAAGCAAGAAGAAATTTCCAGGTTTGGAAATAAAGCCCATTGCATTAGCAAAACATGATCTAAAACAATAGAAAGGGGACATGAGAAAAACTGAGAAAAATCACCAATCTCTGGCTGATCCTAATCTTTGGCAAAGCTTCTAGGCTTCCCAAATAAGTCAAATGTTCGAAGAATACAGGAAAACGCAGCATTAGTGAGGGCATGAAGAGAATCAACGTGGATCTGCCCTTGGGGCCACTGAACAGTGTTAGCTGGATGAGATGTTTCTCCTCTTCAAGGGAGATAGAAATGACATCCGAAGTAGCTTGGAAAGAAAACTGATGCAGGCTCCAAAAAAATCCCCTGAATTTTTACCTCGGGAAATCTGACAAAATGTTTTATCTTGAAACTATCATTATTAATTTCGCTAATTGGTCAGCTCAAAATCTGCTACCCTCCCTCCCTCCCTTCCTAGTAGAGACATTGTAGTGTTTTGAATGATGAGGAACTGCCAGTCTCAGCCACTATAGTTTCTGTTTCTCCAGAAGTCAAACAGAACTTCCTCTTGTCATGGGTCTCCCTCTCCCCAGCGCCCAGTGCTGGCTTTAGTTTGGTGCTACCTATCAGCATGGCATAGAATCTCTCTCCAGAAACTGCCAGGGCATTTTTTAACTGTGCCTTTTTGGCATATGTTGGATACCTGTTCCTGCCGGCTGTCAAACCAGGCTGAGATGCTCTTACACCAGAACAACCTCATGTTCAAAATGAGGTTAGAAACAGTGACCCAAGGTGAAAAACTCAGGTTCAGACAGAACAATACTTACTGAGTGCCAGTATGTTCTGGGCACTTCCAAAACTCTTTATAGGCTAAGGACTAAATTTGGAATTTACTCACTTCTAACATTAGCCCCAACAACTCTTAGGATATGGTTTTAATAATTACGCCAAATAAAATAGTGTTGCACACTTAATTAAGACATGCATATCGTTGCAATTAAGAGCAACTATATGTCATAGGAACCATTACACTAGGACAGTGACACGTTTTACTGGGCTATTACTTTTGCATTTAAAGATTTTAAATATGACTTGAGGCAGTAACTATCTCTTGCTGAATCCTAATGAGGACACCCAGGAGGTGCTAAGGGGCCATGGCATTACCAGGAGGCTGCAGTGCGGTGTGTATTTTCTCTTTCCTTTTCAGCTCAGCAGCCTGTGGGCCACCAATTAAGGAATTCTTTTTGTGACTGGGATGCTAGAGATGACCCATGTTGTACCATAAAATATAACATCCATTTTTAAGTGACTTAGTGTTTGCTTTCTTCCACGAAGATTTCCCAATTAGTATGTGTAGTTCTCACAGAATAGCACCTCTAATGAATGCCCTCAGACAGGCAAACCACTATACTATGATGAGCTGTATGCAGACTTGCAGACCAACAATGGCACAAAGGCCAGAGTGATTTGCTCTGCTTGGTTATGTCAAGGAAAGATCTCATATCATGGTGGACATTAGAACTGGGTTTTTAAATGTGACTAGGGGTTGATAAGTAGAAGGGTAAAGGACAGCATTCATTCACATGGCCAAGGAGAAGAAAAAGTAAAGGTACAGCACAGTCCACTAAGGGCACTGTTACCACTGCAAGACATGAAAGAGGATGAAGAGCTGGGTTTGCACGGGTGAGGGTGAGGGAGGTGTCTGCCAAACCCTAGAGGGCTTTGAGCTGGAGTCTGCCCTGCAGGAAGCAGACGTTCCTCTATAGGTTCAGACATCTTCCATGGAGTTTAAGATCTAGAGAAGTAGGAGAAACAAATTTGGATATTAATAGTAGAAAGATTAAGCTGGAGAAAGAGTGGAGAAGGGAGTGAAGAGAGGAGAGATTTATCTGTCAAGTCGCTCCCCTCTCCTGCCTGGTTCCTATCCTGCTGGCTTTTCAAGGAAGGGACTTTCCATGACTTTCTTCTAGGCCACTTCCTCAGCCTCACACCTCTTCCTCACCTCTCTGCAGCCTTGTCACCTACAATTTCCCCCTTTCTACTCTTCTTTTTCTCCTTTACTTTAATAAGCTCCACAATACAGACAACAACATAAGATAAAGAACAAAAAGAAAGCTAGTCTAACTTTGTAAATGTCAATTTGACAGGTAAACAAAGAAAATATTTATTTCATCCCTCTGTGTTTATGCTGCTTCCTCTATCATTAACTGGATGTGCAGAAATATGGAATAACAATAATAATAGCTACCATTTACTGAGCTCCTAATATATGCTGAGTTTATACTAGACATTTCCCACTGTTATCATATTTAATTCTCACAGCAATCCTAATGTAGTAGTTATCTTCTTCATTTTATACATGACGAAATGAAGGAACAGAGGGGTTCACTTGTCAAAGGTAGTGTAGAACTCATAAATGGTGTAGCCAACATTTGATTCCAGATCTACCTGACTCTAAAACATGCTCTTTTACTGACACACACTGCTTCCCATGCTCGTTTGTTCATTCATTCATTCATTCATCCAATAAATACTATATTCCTACTATACACCAGTCATCCTTGCCTCCAACGGACTGCTGTTCTGGGAAACATGTCTCAATTAGGTGAATAAAAATTTAAAGTCTCTCACCTTGGAAAAGATCTCATTCACTGGGGTTGCATGTATAGGATCTTGGAGTAGAAGTGGCTCACACAACACATGCAAATAATTGAAGTTATTCTATGAGATCTATTTATTGCATGCCAGGAACTGTACTGATCGCTTTACATGGAATAAAACTCATTTAATTCTCAAGATAATGCCTCAAGGTATATGTTATTATCATCATCAATTCCATTTTACAGAGACTGAGGCACAAGAAGTTAAGAAAGTTGCACAAGTTTATCCAACTGGAAGGTGGTGAGTTTGTGCTCAGACTTGGGCAGTTTGACTCCCAGTGCTCTGCTGCCTATGGAGCACCAGGACAACCGAAGGATAAAAGAATGGCCAGGGGTAGATCTCCTATGAGGGAAGGGGAGCTGACTGTGTCATGGCTGTGCCTGGGAGAAGGAACCTGAAATCGTCTCTCATCGCCCCACCATTCAGCTTCTTAAGATTCCAGGGTCTGAGGGACAACAGGTCAGTCTTTATGCCCATGTCAGAGGGTAAATCCCACAGGTAGCAAGAGCCTCATGGAGGTAGAGGGGAAGAAGGGAGAGTAACTCCAAGCTGTTGTCATGGAGAGGCATTCTCTTTCTGAGATTTGTGCTACCTTTCTTGTGTTTTTGGTGGCCCACTCTCCTTAATAGTATTTTGGAAACTGATATGGTTTGGCTGTGTCCTCACCCAATTCTCATCTTAAATTGTAGCTCCCATAATTCCCATGTGTTTGGGAGGGTCCTGGTGGGAGAAAATTGAATCATGGGGGCAGTTTCCCCCATACTGTTCTCATGGTAGTGAATAAGTCTCACAAGATCTGATGGTTTTATAAGGGGTTTCCCCTTTTGCTTGGCTCTCATGCTCTCTTGCCTGCCACCATGTAAGACATGCCTTTCGCCTTCCACCATGATTGTGAGGCCTCCGCAGTCACGTGGAACTATGAGTCCATTAAACCTCTCATTCTTTATAAATTACCCAGTCTCAGGTATGTCTTTATCAGCAGCGTGAAAATGGACTAATAAAGAAACATTCTGGGGAGTGAGGTGAAGAATGCAAGAAGAGAGAGCAATGGGGGACACAGCAGAGGTGAATGGCAAGGGAAAAGTGAAACTCAAGTAGGTGTTCCTGCACTCAGTAAAATTTAAAGCATTGAAGTATTTTCTTAAAGAGCACGGAAAAGTGACAAGTTTGGGGAGCAACTATAGAAAAATGAAACATCATTCACAGCACTCTGAAATTTAACAAAAGGAAGCTTGAAAAACAATAACCTAGGATTTTAATGTTATTCACCTGCTTTTCAGATATTTTCTCAGTAGAATCCACTTATTCGTAGATATCAGCATCCTGCAATGTCAGAGTATGGCTTTAAAAACATAATTCTGACTATGTGGTTCTCTTCTTTAAAATATTCCCACAATATTTTTTTTTGAGACGAAGTCTCACTCTGTCGCCCAGACTGGAGTGCAATGGCATGATCTCAGCTCACTTCAACCTCCGCCTCCCGGGTTCAAGCAATTCTCCTGCCTCAGCCTCCCAAGTAGCTGGGATAACAGGTGCCGATCACGATGCCCAGCTAATTTTTGTATTTTTAGTAGAAATGGGGTTTCACCATGTTGGCCAGGCTGGTCTTGAACTCCTGACCTTGTGATTCGCCCACCTCGGCCTCCCAAAGTGCTGGGATCACAGGCATGAGCCACCGCGCCTGGCCAAAATCTTCCCACTATTTTCAGGTGAAGTCCAAGTTTCTTGGCATTGCCTTCAAAGGCCCTTACTATGTGATTCAACCTACTTTTCTAGATTAATCTTATACCACTCTGGACTGGCAACTGTTATTGTTCCATTAAAAGACCTCAAACTTTCACGTCTTTGTTCATCTTCTTTCTGACTGCAATCCCTTAATATTTGGGATCTTATCCTTGGTATATACATATTGCAGAGTCATTTTCCTCCCATCAAAGAATCAGCCTCACATTTCTATGCTTCCTCAGTTAGGCGGGGCCACAGTAAGCTCTAGTCCTGGCCAATGGGCCTATTATTAACAGAAGCGATGTGGACACTCTTAGGCCAGTGCATTTAAAAGCTGGTGTGTGTTCACTCTCTCTCTTCTCTACCATAGTGACCTGAGAGCCACATGTTAAGATCATAGATGGAAGGGTTCTGGATCCCTGCATTACCACCTGGAAGAAAGCTGCTCTGGAGGGTCAACTGGATAACAACATACTTTGTGTGAATGAGAAACTTTGTGGGGTTAATCTACAGAGAATTCAGAATGAAGTTACTATCTTCGGGTAAGTTAGCCTATTCTGACTAATACACTATTCCATAAGGTCAGCTCTGTCTCGGGCGGAGTTAATCCCTCTTTTTCGTGTTCCCACTGCATACCTACATGATGGCACTCAATGACTATACTGAGATCTATCTCAGTATAATCAAATAGAAATAGTATACACATACAGTATAGAAATAGAGTAGTAATATACCACATAATGCTATAATTACCGTAAGGGAAGGTGACCCTGATGCATTGGAAGTACTTTAGGGAGAATGTACAAACCAGTTGACCATTGTATGCTAAGCTTTTGTTGAAGGAACCTATTAGTATGACTTCCCCTTAAGCAAATCTTCTTTTTCCATTAACTTTTCTTAGAGAAAAAAACACTTGCAATTTAAGAGGAATAAGAAATAAGTTCTGAATGCAATTTATAAGCAAACTGAAAGATATATTCATCTTTAAGGGACAAAAATGATAATTTCCTATTATGTAAAGAAAGGGAGCTATTTTGCCCCAAATCATAATCATATGGGAATAAGCCACCAAATTTAAGCCGCGTATTCACAAAATATGTAGAAGCATTAATTTTTCAAGGTGAAAATAGTAACACATTTCCATCGACTTTTATAATTTCATCACGCTCCCATGTATCACAGTGAGGAAGCAAATTTCAATGGTACTAAAGATGCTTCTTCACTAAGTTTTCAAATACAATGATTTCAAATGGTTTTAATTTACCCTTGTTTATGATGAAAATAAATGTTATTTTGATTGATTGGCAAACGTCTACTAGCAGCAATAAGAGCAATTATGTTTGACATGGAGACATTATAAAATCTATAACCCAAACCTTTAAAGCCTGATTTAAAATGTCAAATTTGACTTATGAGAACCCGTTATAATCCTGCTTCATGCAAAAAGCATTAGGTTAATGCTGGAGCAAAGTACTCTTGCCAAGCATGGACTGGCATAATTAATCAGGGATATTTCAGAAACGAATCATCTCCAAGGGGTTATTGATTTACTGTCATGACATGTTTTTCTTATGGGCTGAGATGGTGCTCTGGAGCTGGGATGCACTGGCATGTATTTTTCAGTGACTAAGCCTTGATCTGTCCTCCTGGATTACTGCCATCTCTGCACTGACATCTGCAAACACTCACATTTGACGGCCTCATGCCTGAGTGTGGTGGCTTCCAAGTTGATTAGAATTAGTTCAGAGGGGTTTTGGACTAGTCTGAGTGTAATCGAAAGCAGAGAACCATGAGTCTCAAGAGACTGGCAAGCACCCTGCAAATGGCATTATATTAACAGAGAATGTGCCTGTGCATATGCACACACACATGCAAACATACGCAAGCACACGACATGCAAGCCTATATACTAGTACAGATTCATGCATTTGCACACATGCAAACACACACACTCATCCATGCACACACACACAAGCACACATACCCATGTGCACACACACAAATGTGCACACACACATATTAACATACTTAAAGAATGAAGAATATTTCAGCTTTAATCTTCAAGGTCATCTCTATCACCTATTAAATGAAATTAAAGCTCTTAGAGAAATACTAACTTATTTAAAGACATATAAAGTAGTTATAACTTAGCTGTTTTTCACAATGATTCCATGACATAAGGCAATGCTCTCAAAAGGGGCCTTTAGAGCCCAGTATAGTCTAGAGTTCTCCCAAAGATTATAGGAAAAAGCCAAGGGAGAAAAAGGCAATTTAGCTCACAGCTCAAAACCTTTTCTCCGTAGTCTTTGGCTTTGCAAAAAGAAAATGACACACTTTCAACACAAAGCATTGTGGGTAGTTATAGAAGCGTGGGTGGGAAGACAGTAGGTAATAGGTGGAGAAAGGCCTCTAAGAAATGGATAACATTTCTGTTACATCAAATTCCTATGCCTTTTTCAGGTCTTTGCTCATGTTTTATTTCCCTGTACATTGCATATCTTGCTTAGGCTGCCTGGATGATTCTGTGGTCAATGCTGAGCTCAGATGAATGGAGACTCTAGTGACCACATTGGCTCTGCTAAGTGTGGGAAGAGGGGGAAAGGATGGGGCCAGGAAGTCTTTCACCATTAGCTGGCTATGTAACTTTGAGCCAACTGGAGCCCTTCTGGACCTCAGACTTGTCATCTATAGGAGTCTGCAGTACTGGACAGTAGGGGTCCTGTTTGAATCTTGGGAATTTTTGTCTACATCCGTGATGTCACATTTTTTGTATCCAGTGTTTACATCTGCCCTTCCTTCTTCTTCCTTCACTATATAAACTCTGAGTTTAAATACTATACCATATCACAGAAAAGTGCACAAATAGTGAGTGTCCAGAAAAATCAACAAATGTTCCTAAAGTGAACTCACTCCAGTAACCAGCAATTGGATCAAAAACAGCTTCGAAAGCCTTCCAGAATATCCCCTTCAGACTTCTTCTTGTCACAGTGAATCTCCATAAAGGCAACCACCACTCTGACTTCAAACACCATACATCAGTTTTGCCGATGTTTACATTTGTATAAATGGAATCATATGTTATGTCTTCTTTTGTGTCTGGCTGCTTTTGTTCAATATTATATTTGTGATATTCATCTGTATTGCCTTGTGGAGCTGTAGTTTTCCTTCTCATTGCTGCATAGTACTCCATTGTGTGACTATAATATGATGTATTTATTCATTCTGTTATTGATGACACTGTGGTTCTCTCCAGTTTGGTGCATTTGGCAAGAGTGCTGCTATGCCCATTTGTGTGTATTCTTCTTTTGGTGGGCATGCGTGCATTTTTCTTAGGCATATATACTGAGGAGAGAAACTGCTAGCTCATAGGACATGATCACAGATATTCAACTTTAACAGACAGAGTCAAAGAGTTTTCCAAATGATTGTACCAATAGACCCTCCCGTCAGCAGTGTATGAGAGTTCCACTTATTCTGAATCCTTGCCAGCACTTGATACTGTCTTTTTCATTTGAGTCATTCTCATGCTTGCCCTTTAAATTTCAGTGCTTTATTTCTAACTTATCACCTTCTGACTCAAGCCATCCAGATTGTCCTACTGTTGCTGGTCAGGTTCCCTGTGTGGCAGATTCTGAGATGGAAATCAGCATGCAGAAGTTTATTAGGGAAGTGTTCTAGGACCAACACCTGTCCAGGGAAAGTAAGAAAGTGTGATCTAGGTAAGGAAGGTATGGCCTTGCAATGCAGTCTGAACAAGGGCCTGAGCCCACCCTACTAGGAGCTGCAAAGCTGTGAAGGCCCTGCCCTTCAGAGTTGCCCCTAATAGAGGAAGTGGGTCAGGTCTTTATACCCCAGCATGGACCAGTTATGGGATGAGGGCTGCCACAGGAAGGGGGTCTGAACTTAGTAAGGCTGCTGTCTTCACATAAGGGCAGTTCTGGAGAGGGCTTAGAGCAGAGGGCTGAAACTGACGGCACTCCCACCTGCTGGGGAAGTAAGTCCAATCCCCAAAGGGGACCTGTGTGGCACATCCTGGCATCCACCAAACATGGTTAACACTACACCAAGTAATACAGCTAGTCTGAACCTCTGATTTTAAAATCCATAGATGGCATACCTACAGTTAACAGATTCTGACAATCCAAAATTGCGCTGCAGGGTTATGAATCTGCTGACATTGGCACTTACAGGGACTTAGTGTTCTTATGAAACAAGAAATTGGTCAGTACATGATTAAATTCCTTACCACCACCTAATTTTGGTGCTATAGTCAGCCCCTGTAATTTTATATATGGTCATGCACAGCTAATAAGCCTCCTTGACATATAACTGGCTTTCTTACTAGCCAGGGCATAGTTGGCACTTCATGCTCTTTAAAACTTGTTATCAATTTGTAGCTATTCAACACCTTATTCAGCTGAATAAGGCACACGTTAGACCATCTAGTTGTGGTCCCCGTAGACTCGAGGCTCAGGGAACAATGCCAGTCGTACAGACAATACCAAGTGCTAATTCCCTCATGAGGCAGAGCAACGGGGAAGGGGGCTGGAGGAAGAAACATGCTCTGAGCTCCACATGTAGATCACACAACCAACCTTTGGTTTTATTCCTCCTTATGGCCCTATGTTTTGTCATTTTCACCCACAGACCAATATTTTAAATGGCTTTATTTCCCAAACTTTATATATCAAGTCATAATCCTCCCTATTTTTATTATAATTCATCATGGATATATATTTTGGCCAGCTTCAGATCAGCATGAGATCAACAGTATTACAACATTGTGCTCACAGAGTTCAGCCAAATCAAAGAAACCTGACATTTTCATCAGCCTCTGCAGCCTAATCCTGGGTAGAGGCACATTTTTAAAGCTTAAACCAGCTGCAGATCCTTCCTCGTACCTACTTTGGTTGACCCCTAGGAGGCAGGTCTCCATTCTGTGACTATCTCAGGTAAACGGAAAAGTCCCCAGTGTACACAGTGATGAGTGGCATTTCTATCTCTTCACCAGGAGCCTCCCTCATGAACAGAGACTGGACCTTCAAAAACTGCTCATCAACTTTTGTCTTCAGGCCCACCCCTTGCTCCAGCCAATGTATCTCCCTGACTCCATATTCCTCTTGCTTTGATAGTCATAAGTCTATGATATCTGGTAGCCACTGAAGAAGGAACCAAGATGAGGGCAGGGCTAACTTGGAGCCTTGAGAATCTTTTCAGCTTCAAGAATCAGAAAGGATGAAGGGGAAAAAGATGAGAGAAAGACTATTCAAAAGGTACAGAATGTGCAACTTTATGGGTTGCATGAACTAGATATAATGGCCAGTTCCTGGATTACTGGGGCTAGGAATCAAATGAGTAGAGGATTATAAAAATAGCTGTGTGCTGTGCTATACGAGGATAGGCAGCTTATGGATTATGAAAGTAGAACACACTAAAAGTAAAAATCAATCCAGTAAGTGTTTTGGTAAGTGGGTGAATATGATCAAGGAATAAAGAATGACTAGGAAAAGCTAGGATGCATGAAGAATAGCAGGCGTTCTTGTAGTAAAGGGAAGTCTAACAAGCCCTTCTCCAACGTGGCTTCAGAGGACCCTTTCCTCTGCCCTCAACTCACCTGGGATCTGATCCTCAGTGGCAATCACCTCAGTCTGGGGGAAGCACCATGACTTCCAGAATTTGAACAAAGATGTTTGAATCTTTTAAGTCCATGAGGAGGAGATGTTTTACAAAGAGATGAGCATTAGGAAAGGGAAAAGAAAGAGAGAGAAGCAGGACGTTGACAAGGACTGGGTCGCTTTTCTGATTCATGTGCATATTCTTTGAGGTCAGGTCCTTCTTTTGGCTCTGCTTAAATTGGTTCTAGATCATATTATTGTCCTTAATGAATTCTTACCCAGGCTGGAGTGCCATGGTGTGATCATAGTTCACAGCAGCCTTGAAATCCTGGTCTCAAGCAATCCTTCCACTTCAGCCTCCTGCGTAGGGCTAAACTACAGGTGTGTTCCACCATGCCCAGCTAATTTATTTTTTGTAGAGATGAGGTCTCATCATGTTGCCCAAGCTGATCTCAAACTCCTGCCCTCAAGTGATCCTCTTGCCTTGGCCTCCCAAAGCACTGGGATTGTAGGTGTTAGCCACCATGCCCAGCCCTTCTTGACCATTTTTTTTTTCAGTACTGGGGTATAATTGACAAACAGAAATTGTATATATTTAAAGTGTACAACTTGGGGTTCTGATATATGGATACATTGTTAAATGATTACCACAATCAAGCTAATTAATATATCCAACACCCCACATAGTTGTGTGTGTGTGTGTTAACACTTAGGGTCTACCCTCTTAGTTTCAAGTACATAATACAGTAAGTATCCCTGATTAATTCTTGACAGCTGATCTCAGGCGATTTCCATTTAACACCTGCAATGAATGGGCCATATTATTATTCTTTTTTTTTTTTTTTTTTTGAGACGGACTCTTACTCTATTGTCCAGGCCAGAGTGCAATGGCACGATCTCGACTCACTGCAACCTCTGCCTCCTGGGTTCAAGCGATTCTCTTACCTCAGCCTCCCGAGTAGCTGGGATTACAGGCGCTCGCCACCATGCTCGGCTAATTTTTGTATTTTAGTAGAGATGGGGTTTCACCATGTTGGCCAGGCTGGTCTTGAACTCCTGACCTCGTGATCCACCTGCCTCGGCCTCCCACAGTGCTGGGATTACAGGCGTGAGCCATGGCGCCCAGCTTATGGGCCATATTATTCTTATTGCCCTTCAAATCATCGCCTGTGAAACACTACAGATAAGCAGGATTCTAAATCAGAGTAATGAAGAGAAATGCCACTGAATGACATTTGAATGCCTGTGGCATGGTAGGGGCTAGAGATTGAGGAAATGAAATGCACCTTGAAGGAACAGCTGGGAAGGAATGTGCACACAGCGTTTTCAGTTAGTAGGTGCTTAATGCATGTTTATGGAATGAGGGAATGAGTGAGGATTTTGCAGAAACACTGTGAATACCGAAGGCATTACCAGGTTACTTTTTGTCACTTTAAGTTCACAGGAAGGATGAGGGGGTGTTTAGTTCTTTCTATCAGGGTCTCAGAAATCTTTCTCCTCCTAGTGAGGTATATTGTGTTCAGCTCTTGCCAAACTTAAATTGCATCCATGTTAAAGAGGAAAAAGGCTTTAGCACATTCCTTTGGGGAATGGAAACAATTTATTTTGTTTGTTTCTAATGGAGTGGGTTAGCTCCAAAATCTCACTGTGAGGTCTGAGAATCTGAGTTGAGGACCGCCAGGCAGCTAGAGGGGCAGAGAGAGGGGAAGAGGGAAGAGAATGAGAGAAAGACTGAGACATTATCAGGTGACTGAGATAGCAGCAGCAGCCAGGGATCAAGGCAATGCATAAAACAGAGTTCCTGGATTCACATCAGGAATACATATTTAGCCAAGTATAATATGAATATAAATGCTTTCATGACGATTATTTAACAAAGAAATGCTAGTTTTTGTTTTTAAATTACAATCTTCCCCTGTGGCTCAGCACAACCAACTTCAGTATCTTTGAGGGTGGGGCAGAATGGAGTGGCTTTTGTTTGTAGGTTTTTCCTCCTCGTTATCCACAACAATGAAACTGCCAGGCTTGTAGTTCATCTTCCTTTGCAGGAGGAAAGGAGAAGGACATAAATGCAAATGACCTGGATGATAACAAGTAATGAGATTTTGGGAAGACTCTCCGATTTCTCAACACAAACTAGATGATGAGAAACATAAGCATGATTTCTCATCTGCTGGTATCCCTTGAAAGCTTATTTTATAATATAATTTATTTCCAAAGGGTGGACTTGGTCTCCTAACAAGAGTGGAGTGTTGTCATTGCGAAGCTGCAAATGTCAGTACACAGCCTCAAGGTTAACATGGGTGGCATAAATAAAAAGGAAAACGCATCCTTCTCAGAGTTCTCAAGCCTATAATAAGACTTGCTGGTGTGTTCAGTGATATATGGTCTTTTTATTTTCAGCAGAGAGCAGTATGCTTTGGGTCTTCAAAATATTGTTTCATTGCTTTACAGAAACCAATCAATAACACGCAGGTAAAGTTTTTGGTAAGGCACATAAATCCTAGCATGGGGAGACCAGCTGTTGTGAGATTCTGGCTCAGTGCCAATTTCCAACTGGGGAGTCTCAAGGAAATGATCCTGAATCTGGGGCTTTGTTTGGATTTCAATGGAACATAATCGGGCGACATCTGGTCCCCCACCTTGTGCTGGCTTGGCCACACTTCATCCACCATGGCTCTGTGCACCTCCTGTGGGGCTTCCTGCAAGCGCCAGGCACCCGTGCCCTGCCCATCACCAGATGCCAATCAGTTTTTCACAGTGGGGGACAAAAAGAGAATTTGGGGCCTTGAAGATGCCTGCTGAGAACATCTCATAAAAAAGATCTTAAAATGCAATTTGGTTCCCACTGCCCCACAAGTTACTGGACACCAGACAAAAGAAAATGCAAAAATAACTTTGAGGGAGGAAAAGTGAGCAGGAGCGAATAAGGATAAGCACTGGAAATCCGCAGTGTGGGCACAAGATAAAGGAAAGATGAAAGGGGCGAAAAAATTAATGAATAAAGGCTAATAAATACCCAAGCATATACGCGCTCATACGAATAAAATAAACAGTTATAATCAAGTTAAAAACCATTTACACATATTAAATTAGCAAACTTTTCTTATAAGAATCTGTCATGTTGCAAGAATAAAGTGAAAAGCACCTCTCATGAATACTGGACAGAAAATACAACTCAACCACTGTTTTGGAAGCAAACTGTCCCTACTAACAAGGACTATAGTTCGATTCCTAGGAATCTATGCTAAAGAAATAATAACCAGCCTAAATAAAAGAAATAAACACAAGATAAAACACATTCTCCTTCAGCTTGGTAAACAAATATATTTTCCCTAGCCCTACTTACAGTAGCAAAATAATTTAAAATAATCTTAATAATCTACCATTGGGGAATGGTTTTTCAAGTAAGATATATCCACTCGGTGGAATATTATACAACCATTAAAAACATCTAAAATACTTATACATCACATTTAGACATCAAAGAACATCAAAACATATTTATATTATCATATTTAGTTTCATAAATATTACATGGAAAAATCTAAAAGGAGCACATCATAATGTTAACACCGATTCCTTTGTCTGAAGAACCATGAGTGATCTTTCTTGTTTCTACATTTTTATATTTTTTAGAATGTTCTTTAATTTGTGGGTATTACCTTGTTATTAAAGTTACATTCATAAAATTTTTTTAAAGCATACATTAAAGAAAATGTGGTGTATGTACAGGAAAATATTTGAATAAAGTGTTTCCAAGAAAACACAGAAATATGAAGAACCAGGGCAGGGCTTATAATAAGCTGAGCAGATGAGCAGGAGAAAGGGCAAATCGGCATGTTCCTGACATCAGAAATAAGAGAGTGAGAAGGAAGTAGAAGCTTAAGTAAGTTATAAGAAAGAAAGAAAAAAAAAAACAAATAAAGGACTAGGATATAGAAAACAAAGAGGGGAAGCTATCAAATAAAAGTGGTATTGCTGAATAGTGATGACTTTTGCTTTGCTAGGGAACCATTTAAAAATGCTTGGTCACCATAAGCAATACTGGGGAAAGGCCAAAGACAACTGGGGGGAGTAAAGGTGATGTACTAATCGGATCTTCCTTATACATAATCATGACCAAAAGAGTCATTTCAAGCTTTCAAGTCAGTCCTCTGGGACATCAGTGCCCTAACAAATACTACTTGTGGCTCTCTTCTGTCAATCTGCTCATCTGTGGTGTTAATTTTATGAATAATATTTCAGGATGGCTATGCAGATTTATTTGAGGAGGAATGTAAAGGGGAGAAAATTAGAAAGCATTGCAATAACAACGCATTTGAGAACTTTTGAAAAACTGACCACCATTTTGGCAGAAAAGTGTAAAATGCATGATTCATCTGTGGTCCCCCTAATGATTTTCTATCCCTGGATTGGCCCTTTGGGAAACTCTACTAGATAACATAAGTCTTTTTAAGATCTTCCCTTGCTAGACTATAAACCTTTATTTTTTTCTAATGAGTCTTCAATTTTTAGTTCTGTTTTGATGCATATTGCCTCCTTCTACCTTTTTCTGATCCTGCGTAAAATCCCTTTCGTCATTGTAGGAATCTGTAAGAATCCCTATTTCTTAAATTTGTATTTATCAAGTAGTAAGTTAATGTGATTCTTGGCAGCACCTTCCATCATTTGAAGAGCATGGCTTCTCAGAATTTTCTTAGTTTCTTTACCTCTGTTCCCCTATTTGCTTTGCAGCTTGAAAAAATGAAATAATACAGGGGAGTTCTCGTTTTCCAGCTGCAGAATCAGTGTAAGGCAGAGCTGTATGTTAGAGTTTCTCCCACAGCAAATAATTCTTCCTACTACTTACTTGCGGATGGAGCCTTCAATTTTCTGGAGAAAAAAGTACCTTGGAAATGATGTCACCCTGTTTTAACAACATGAAGTATTTAATATTTCCTATGCTACTTGGATTATGTAAGCCCATTTACCTTCCCTCCCCTGGCACAGTTTAAATTTACAAGTGGTTTTAATATAGAGATGATTTTGCTAAGCAATATAAAAACACTTCCTCTTGCAAATTCTTAGACTGCTTTCTGTTATTTATTTCACTGAACATCCATGGGCTGAGCTGCAGCAATTGCTGAAAGCGTCTTTGCAGCAGCACCTTGAATATGTCTTCCAATTCTATTTATCAACAGCAGGATAAGTTAGATACTCTCTCTCATAACTCAAATGCTTTCTGAAAGATAATCATTAAGAGAAATTGCTGTAAACTAACCATTAGCTTTTTCAAGAGTGCAAGGATTATCAGCCAACTTAAATTTAATGCACCAAAATCAATGAGGAAAAAGACATCAAGACGTTCCCTAAATCACTGCAAAGCTAGAGTTGTTTGTTTAGAGTATCTTTAACTAGAGTTCTTTTTATCTTGTGAAGCAATGGTAACTCTTTAAGTTTATGAGGTTTCCTCTAACTTTCCATCTTTGTGAACTTAACCCATTGGTGGAGGATAGGCTGGTGTTGATTCAGTTTCTCCAGGTGTGTTTGAAAAGCTTTAGACTCAAACATTAAAAAAAATTGCATAGAGGAAAGGTAAGGGCTATACTTTATATATGCTTTTTAATAGATTTTTTTGCCACATAAATTCTGACATTTAACCAAAGCTACTTTTCAGGGTGAAGCTTTTGCCTGCTTAGGCCAAGGCCACCAGTATTCACACACCTCCCCCAAATTCAGCCTTGCAGGGGCTGGAAAATGCCAACACCTAACAGCTACCAGTGGCCAGGCGCATTGGCTCACATCTGTAATCCCAGCACTTTGAGAGGCCGAGGCGGGTGGATCACCTGAGGTCAGGAGTTCGAGACCAGCTTGGTCAACATGGAGAAACCTCGTCTCTATTAAAAATAGAAAAATAACCCGTGCATGGTGGTGTGTGCCTGGAATCCCAGCTAGTTGGGAGGCTGAGACAGGAGAATCGCTTCAACCCGGGAGGCGGAGATTGCAGTGAGCTGAGATCGCGCCGCTGCACTCCAGCCTGAGTGACAGAGGGAGACTCTGTCTCAAAAGAGAAAAAAAAAGAGCTACTCATGCTTTCCTTCTTCCTTCCCCATTCCTCTGCAACATCAGATGTTTGTGGAAGATGACTCAAGTCATCTCCAGGCTGTTTGCTTGTGGGTTTGAAACTCTGGGAGTCTCCTTACTTTTAATTTCTCCTCCTCTTCCCACCAGCTAAAGAGCTGAAACCAAAGAGAAAGACATTCTTTTTGTTTGTTAATTTTAATGAGCAAAGGGATGGCGGGGGGGTGAAGGGGAATTAGGGCTTCTTTAAGCAAAATATACTGTTCAATGAATTGCAGGCTTTTGCAGTTGTGGGATGGGAAGCCCAGTGGTTACTGAAGTTACACCTGGGTTGGAATTCTAGCTTTGCACTCACTAGCTTTGTGACCTTGGGGAAGACATTTAACTTATTTAAGCCTCAATTCTCACAGCTATAAAATGGGCTTAAAAAGGAATAAATACCTAATGGTGTGGTGCTGAAGTAAACCAGGCAATGTATGTAAAACAGTCACTACAGTACCTGGCACAAGGTAAGTGCTCAGTCAATGTTTGTGTTATCATTTTATTGCTTGAGCTATGGTCTTTTCCTGATTCTTTCTTGCGACCACAGCACCCCACAGGTTTTTGAGTTATCTTGGAACTAAGTGGACCCAACAGGGAATCTATTATCATGGATAAATGAAAAACTGAATGAATAAAATTTACTGGTTTCCAAAGGAAAGCAGAGAATAGATTCAAATTCCAATTATTTAATAAACACCAAACACAACAATATATACTGAACTGAAGAAGTTGGATGGGATAGGGGGAGGTGTCTTTAAGAAGCAGAAGACCCGCCAGATGCGGTGGCTCATGCCTGTAATCCCAGCCCTTTACAGTCGGCAGGAGGCCGACGCGGGCGGATCACGAGGTCAAGAGATCAAGACCATGGTGAAACTCCATCTCTACTAAAAATACAAAAAATTAACCAGGCGTGGTGGTGGGCACCTGTAGTCCCAGCTACTTGGGAGGCTGAAGGAGGAGAATGCTGTGAATCCAGGAGGCGGAGCTTGCAGTGAGCCGAGATCGCACCACTGCACTTCAGCCTGGGTGACAGAGTGAGACTCCGTCTCAAAAAAAAAAAAAAAAAAAAAAAAGAAGCACAAGAAGCACAAGACCCTCACTGTCTTCATTACTCCCTTCTCCAATGCAGCTTTGGCCACATACGCTACAGAATTTTTCCCTTGGCTTCCAGGTCACTACATTCAAATCTTATGATACTAAAACTTTTAGGCAACTCAAATGCAGTAAGTCCAAAACTAAATTTATGATCAGCTATTGTGCCCCGCTACTGCTCTCCTAGTGCTCCCTATCCACTGCCCAACTAATTGCTCATATGAAACATTGAGAGTCATTCCTGACTTCCCTTTGGGTTTCTGGCTGGTAAAACTGAACAGGGAACACTAGCAGTGAACTAAGTTTGGGGGTACGTTCCCAATTTTGGTTATGAGCACGCAAGGAATGAGAAAACTTTTTGATGTTCAACTTAATGAGAGTCTGGAGCTTGTAAAAGAATTCTTAGCTAGGTGATAAATGCAGCTATAATTGTGAATACGCTCATTTAAAAGAAAGGCATACATATATATTAAGACCAAAACAGGGCCCAAGAAAAAACCTTGAAGGACTCCATGTTTAATGGCTAGATGGCAGAAGAGATGAGCCCGCAATGCATAGTAGAGAAAGTAGCCAAAGAGATGAAAGGAAAACCAGAAAGTGTAGTATCAGGGAAGACAAGGGGAAGAAAATAAAAGGAGAGAGTGGTCTATGGCATGTAATGCTGCTGAAAAGGCAAAATTAGGACTAAAAAATGTCTATTGATGTTCTGGCAAATGCAGGTTGTCTTAGTCTGTTTTGTGTTGCTATAACATAATACCCAAGGCTGAGTATTTTATAAAGAAAAGAGGTTTATTTGGCTCACAATTCTGGTGGCTGGAAAGTCCAAAATTGGGTAGCTGCATCTGATAAGGACCTCATGCTGCCTTCACTCATGGCAGAAAGCAGAAGTGGAAGTGGATGTGTGCAAAGAGATCACATGAAGAGAGAGGAAGTCAAATTCTAGACCCAAGAGTTTAGATTGGATATATGGGCTAAGAGGATCCACTGCCCTTTTGTCTTCTGCCCCCATCATCTGCTGGAAATGGTTTTGCCAAGGTCTCTGTTGACCTCTGCTATGGTTTGGATGTGGTTCCCATGAGAGCAGATTGTTAAAAAGAGTCTGACTGCTCTCATGGTAACTAATCCATTCCTGCACGAGGACATCCATCTATTCATGAGGGTCCATCCCCATAACCCAAACACCTCCCATTAGACCACATCTTCCAACACCAACACAGAGGGGACCAAATTTCAACCTCAGTTTTGACAGGGGGTGGGTCTAGAATATAAGACTTTTTTCACAATTGTTCCTCAAATTATTTTCAAGTTAAGCTTTCATTTATACTCTTCAAAATGTCTCTTTGCCTCAACTGTGCTAGTTCCTTCCTTGGTTTCTTTCTCTATTCTACTTCATGCCCCTCCTTGATTCTCTCTCTGCCAATAAAGCCCATAAAATACCTCCATTAGCTGGCAGAGGCTGCAGTCAGAAGCATTTGCAAGAAGAAAAATCTTTAAACAAAAATTTTGTGAGTTTTGCAAAAGGATATGGGTAAGAATGGAAGATATTGCTCTCTTTAGTGTTAGCAGTGGCTAAGAAGAAATTTTTGCATTGGAATCACATACAATCAGCATTGCTGAATCAGTACAAACAATTCTACTGATGATTTGAATTATAATATGCTGGTGATTGTTCACAAAATTCATGAAGAGGCTGAATGAACATGAGCTCATTTGAATTTGTTCAGCCACAATCAATAGTCTCCCATTTAGTGACAGATGAGACAGGGTGGAAGGCTTTTGTCTTCATTTTACAGGTGAGGAAACTGGGGACTGCCCTTCTTTAGCATTTTATAGAAATGGTTAATTCTAGTGAGAAATGTCCGGCCTTTGTCAGTAGGGATACCTAGATTCAAATACTGTTGATACCATGGATTCAATTGGAGGACTCTGGGCATCAGGTTGGCTTATAACAGGCATTCAGTAGTTATTAGTTTCTGTTCCTTTCCCTTCCTCCTCTTTAACTTTTGAAATCCCAGTTAGAAAAAGAACTAGCCACTGTGCAGGGATATGCTGAGCCTGAGGGTGGCAGGAAGTGACAAACTTTAGGGGGGTCTCAGCCTCTCACTCAAGTGCATACTTTTAGAACTGTCTCCATCCTCCACATATAGTATTGAAAAAAGTGAGAATTAGAACTCATGACTTATATTTCTGTCTCCAAGGCCCTTAGCACAGCACCTAGAACTTCACAGATGACCCAAGACCCAACAATGATGCGCTGACAGGTTAAAACAGCAGATTAAAAACACCCTGGCTAAAAACCTCTGCATGACCTGAGGCAAATAACATAAAACACGGCAACTTTATTTGCTGAGCCATTTAGGGTTGGAAATGTTGTGAGAACTAAAATAAAACAAAACAAAGAACCAAAACCAAACCAAACAAACAAGAAACCAAAAAAAGCAGGCATAAAGCCTTCTGTAAAAATATAAATGCTTAACTATAACCGTTCAAACACATATACACATACAAAAATTCACTGTGTATTTCCACTGAAAATCCTAAAGATTCACAAGCGTTTATTTGTACTAATTTCAGAAGTTTAATTTGATTTTTAAAGATTTCCTCATTTGTTCGAGAAGGTCCCTGAATAACAATTTTTTTTTGTTTTTGTTTTGTTTTTGTTTTTTTTACAAAGTTATGCTACTTGTAAATATTTAAGATCACTCTAAATAGTAAACACCACATTTCAAACCTCATTTTATTTTAGTGATTCAGGTGTTCTTGACTCCAGGAATGGATGAGACCACAGGATCTTGGAGTGCTCCATGAAAGCCATCGGGCATGGACGGAGGCAGTGGGAGCGCCAGCTGCCTTTGCAATTGACACAGTGACTTCAGCAAAAATGACATGGGAGCTTTGACGTGATTCCTTCAGAAATAGCCATTCACTGGAAAGCCATAAGATATCTTAAATGTGTAGATTCTGTGACTCTAGCTGCATGCTTTATGGACAAATGAGACTAAAGCTTAAAAATGCTTCCAAAGCCAATTATATCATTTAAGATTTCTAGCCTCCTCCTCACCATTGTCATAAAATGAAGAAAAGGACATGTATGTTGTCTTAATTTTTGCATCCCCTATTGACATTTTTACCCTACTGACATTTTTACAAGAGTCAGAGAAAATAAGTATCTTCCAGCTAATTTGGACTGTTTTTAAAATAATATAACTTTATTTTTTCTTCTAATGTGTCAAAATCTAGAGAGTGCCAAACAAAGAAAATAAGAATTTGCTACAAACTGCCAATGAAGTGGGGAATCATATATATAAAGTATACACTGGATTAGGCAAATGCCATATTGATAGTATATGTTTATTTCAGTAAGATCCTTTCCCACCCTATTTCAGCTGTAACGGTTCCATTTTTATCTGCTCGATGTCCATGGAAGATTTTGTTTGGATTTAGGGTTCAATAACTAAAGAAACATTTGAAAATCACTGTGCAAGAAAAATGTCTAAACCTGACAAAATAAAATTTACTGATGGCAAATGAACAGCCAACGTTCGAGTTTAAGAAGTCAGTAGCATAATGTACAGTAAAAGTTGTAGCCCCAGAAACCAGCCTATGATATGACATAAATAAAACTGTAGACTTAGAAGGGAAGGAGAGAAAACAAGAGGTTGGAGGAACTTTTAAAGTATCATTGATTTTCTTTTTCCACTTAAGAAATCCTAATTTTCCTTAGATTTTAATCATAGTGTCCATTTCCCAGCCAGTTGTTTTCACTGCTTTCCTCTACACATTACATAGACTTAAACAACACTGCCTATGTTGGGAAGTTTACTTCTGTTTATTCTAATTTATTTTTGCCCTAAAATTTATCTCAGTTACTTTTGAATTTGGATTCTGTTTATCTAGCTCAGAAATTTGATTTATAAAGTTTTATATATTTGCTCAAGCACCTAAGCCACCATTTGTAAAGGAAGACTCCAAAACTGTACAATAATGAAAATAACTATGTCATAATTTTAGACAACTCAGGATAGGAAAACATGTTCTTCAACCACTCCTTAATCTTTTGAAAGATTAATGATTTGTAAAACAGATATTCTGCAAAACAGAGTATCTCAAAATTGAGAGAGAAAAGAGCAACAGGGTTATAGGATGACAGACTCTTTGTGAAAGGATTAGCATATAACATCACACCTAGAAAAATAATTAAGTTAATATAAATTTATATTTCCTATCTTTTAGAATCCCCTCAAATTTCCATAGAGTGTGATCCCTCTCTCCAGAAAAATCCATATAGGCATATACTCTCATATACACATTTTCAGAAAATATTTATGACCTCCAATCCACCCATGGATAATGTGGGTGACCCCATATTATGAACTGAATTGTGTTCCCCAAAATTCATATGGTGAAGCATTAACCCCCACAGTGACTATATTTGGAGCTAGAACCTTTAAAAAAGCAATTAAGCTTAGGCAAGGTCATAAGAGTGGGGCCCTAATGCAATAGGGCTGGTAACTTTATAGGACAAGACAGAGACACCAGGGGCATGCTTACACAAAGAAGAGGCCACATGAGGACAGGAGGAGAAAACACCATCCGCCAGCCAAGAATCGAGGCCTCAGGAGAAACCAAACCTGCCAACACCTTGATCTTGGGCTTCCAGCCTCCAGATACGTGGGAAAACAAATTTCTGTTGTTTAAGCCACCTAGTCTGTGGTCTTTTGTTATGGCAGCCTTAGCAGAACAATATACCTCATAACTGAAAGAACCATTTTCAGTTACAGAGAAGAGGGTGGCTCAATTATTGTTGCTAACTGCAGGCCCCTGCTGTTCCATACCTGAACTGTTGTGTATTACGAAGCAAAGTAAGGGGCTCTTCTATGCAGTCATGCTGGATGATGTTCTTATGTGAGAGTTTACCTAAGATTACAGAATCAGAAACTTCTAGAATGAGGAGAATCTTTTGAGACAGGTTCTCACTGTCACTCAGGCTGGAGTGCAGCAGAATGATCATGGGCTCACTGCAGCCTTAACCTCCTGGGGCTCAGGTGATCCTCCCACCTCAGCCTCCCGACAGCTGGGACTACAGCTGTAGTAGTCCCACTACCACACACCACCATGCCTGGCTAATTATTACTACTATTATTATTTGTAGAGACGGGGTTTTGCCATGTTGCCCAGGCTGGTCTCAAACTCCTGGGCTGAAGCAATCTGCCTGTCTTGGCCACCACGCTTGCTAGGAATACAAGCGTGAACCACTGTGCCTGGCCAAGAAGAGGCTATTTTTAAGTGCCTCACAAAGCATCACAACTCTAGTAATATCTTCCTTAGGAAACAAAATAATAAACACTTCATTAGAGCTACAATTGTATATTATCTAAGTCAGTGACTTGCGGGGGTAGGGGGGAACAGAATCAACTCAATAGTCCATGAGTCAATATCTAAAAACAAAACAAAACAAAAGATGGAAAAGAAGAAAAAGAAGTTCATGCTTCGGGTTGTGTTTGCAGATAAAACAAAGCAGAGACACCCCCAGGATGTCTAGGACTTTGCCTCGCGGTGGGATCTAACTGTTCAAGTGTCCAGGGAAGAGTCTCATTTAAATAACTTAAGTTGTTTTAAATTTGTCATGATGCCTCCAGGATGCCCACCTGGGCCAAAATGTCCACCTGAGGAGGGACCACTTTAGATGCCCCTCCCTGCTTCTTGCAGGTTACAGAAAGCTTCAGTACAACTGAGAATCAAGCATGTTTAACACCCTTTCCTCTAAGTCATGTTGCAAAGTGGCTTTCTTTGCTTTCCACATTTTCCCCAGATCTCTCTGTAATTACCAAGAACTGCTACTGCTGCTTATTATTATTTTTGTTTATTGCTGTGTACTCCAACAGACCCACAAAAGGCAGGAACCCACCACTTTGAAAAGGCGCTTTCTCCCTGCACAGAAGGGAGCAAGCCTTTGAAGAGGAAACGGTCCGTGGGAGCTGAGTTCAAAGCACTCCCTGATAGCTAGGAAGCGAGAGAAGACTTCAAAAAGAGAAAGGGTCAGTCTTTGATGAATCTAAAAATTCAAAAGAATTTCTACTGCCAGCCTAATAGGGAGATTCTTTCATATTGTGCTGTAGGGAAAGGAGGTGGCGTTTTTACTAACCCATGAGATTCAATGTAAACAAACCAAGACCAGTAACTTCGTGATAGGGGATTAAGTGTTGTTGGAGTGGAAGTTTCTGTTTAGTTTTAAGAATTTGAAGACGGTTTGAAATGCTTCCTTGAATTACACATTCTGAAAAACTGAAAATGATTTACTCTCCTTGTTTAAACATTTAGATTTTCAGTGCAAAAACCGAGGACTTCATAGAATAACTACACAGTAAATGCATCCTTGGTGACCATCAGCTCATGATACATATTTTGTTTAGGAATAATCTATTTATATGCACTGTGGGAAACAGTTAATGAGTTACTGATGGCGGAGGTATAAAGCTCCTAACTTCCCTGCATGGCTATGCTGAAGACAAATTAACTGAAACATTTGTGCCAGGACTCCAACTTGAAATTTGGAAACCATTTTTCACAGAATAACAATGGAATAAATAAATGTTGGTTAGAGGGATTTGGTTAGCATGATATTTGATATATTTTAGGTAAAATGGGTCTTATTTAGGTGGTAAGGTCAGAAACCTAACTTCATTGTTTGTATAAAGAAAATCATACTGAGTTCTTAGTTCCAACTGAGCAAGAAATTTTTAGAACATGACCCATTCAATACTTAGGAAATGCCTATGGTTGTTACCAGGTGTGACAGACCAGATTGTAAGATGTTTTTCAATGATTCCAAGTGCTCGGTATTCATGCCCTCGAGTGCGGCTGGCCTAGTGACTTGCTTCTAACCTACAGAACATTGTGAAAGTGATAGGATGTCGCTTCTACATTTAGGCTAGAAATGATTGTGGCTTCTGTTTTGCTAGCGAGTGTCCTCCCTTGGCTTTGATGAAGCAAACAGCCATGTGGGGAGGCCGACATAGCAAGAACTGAAGGGGCATCCTCTGGCCAAAAGCCAGCTAGAAACTGAGGCCCTCAATCCAACAGCCTTTGAAGAGCTGAAACCTGCCAACAGCCATGTGCACTTGGAAGCAGATCTTTCCCCGGTCAATCCCTCAGATAAGATGCCAATCCTGGCTGGTATTTTGATTGTACTTTGAGAACCTCTAAAACAGAAGACCTAGCTAGGCCTGTCTGAAATCCTGATCTACAGAAATCGTGAAATGATAAATGTGCGTTGTTTTAAGCTGCTAAATTTGTGGTGATTTGTTATGGGGCAAAACAGAAAACGATCTAACCAAACGTAGACATCTAACCATTCTGACCTTACTCATACATGTTCGGGTTAGCCCACAACCAGTTCAACAGGGCCCCTAATGTTGTTTCAGAGGAATTTTATGTACCTTCTTAACTTCATAGTATATTAAGGAATTTATGAAAAATTTCCCCACTCTTGGCCTCCCCCCATCCTCATTTTCCATTTATTCAATTACCCAGTATTTTGGATTCCTATACTGCTGCCTGTTTCTGTACTGTGCGTTAAGAGAAATATGGACCCTCACGTCTGTAATCCCAGCACTTTGGGAGGCCAAGGTGGGTGGATCACCTGAGGTCAGGAGTTTGAGACCAGCCTGGCCAACATGGTGAAACCCCATATCTACTAAAAATTAAAAAAATTAGCTGGGTGTGGTGGCACACATCTGTAATCCCAGCTACTCGGGAGACTGAGGCGGGAGAATCGCTTGAACATGGGAGGTGGAGGTTGCAGTGAGCTGAGATCGTGCCATTGCACTCCAGCCTGGGCAACAAGAGTGAAACACTGCCTCAAAATAAAAACAAAACAAAACAAGATGAAAAAGCAAGAGAAAAATGGACCCAATGGTAAGACCACCCTCAAGTCTGGCAGAATGGATGGTACTCACATAAATATCTGCTTTCCAAGAGACAAATAAGTGATACGCGAAAGGGACAAAGCGGCATGAAAATTCCAAAAGAAGACTTACTATCTGGGGGATGGAGTTTGATTAAGCTTTGGAGATGAAGAAATGGAGCATATCAATGGAGAGAAGATGTAATGGAATTTATCTGGGAAACAATAGTTTGCTTCATTTAAAGCAAACAAAAGGGAGGGCAGATTGTCTTTCTTATCCAGCGTGTAGATGTAGATGGTGGGAGGAAGAACAGTGGAAAGAATGGTAAAAGGCCAAGGACCAGGATGGGACTCCAAAATGGCCAGAAAAGTTGCAGCTTGAAAGTGCAGTACCATCTGGGGCCAGAGGAATCTAGGTAAACAGAACCTGAAAAAAACAGCAGGCCAGTGAATTTATTTATTCATTCAGCAAATAGGTATTATGCACCCATAATAGGCAGCACAGTGCTGTTCTCCCAGAGCTTACAGCCCAGTGACCTCAGAAGGCTTGGTCAAGGTGTTACCCTCTACCCCAGGCCAAAATTTGAAGAGTCCAATCTAGTTTGCAAACAGTGTCAGGTGTGTTTGTTTTCAAGATAAGAGCTCTGGAGACTTCCATGGGTCAGTTAAGAAAGTATGTGAATTGATTTCTTAGGGCTGTTCTAAAGATAACTACAGCTTGGGTCATTTAAAACAACAATCGGCCGGGCACGGTGGCTCACTCCTGTAATCCCAGCACTTTGGGAGGCTGAGGCAGGCGGACCACCTGAGGCCGGGAGTTCGAGACCAGCCTGGCCAACATGGAGAAACCCCATCTCTACTAAAAATACAAAATTAGCCGGGCGTGGTGGCGCACGCCTGTAATCCCAGCTTCTCAGGAGGCTGAGGCAAAAGAATTGCTTACACCCAGGAGGCACAGGTCTCAGTGAGCCGAGATTGCGCCACTGCACTCCAGCCTGGGTGACAGAGCAAGACTCCATCTCAAAAACAACAACAACAATCAATGTATTCTGTCACAGTTCTGGAAGATAAAAACATGAAATTAAGGTGGTGGCAGGGCTGCAGTCCCTCCGAAGTCTCCAGGGGGAGAATTCTTGATTGCCTCTTCCAGCATCTAGAGCAGAGGTGTCTAATCTTTTGGCTTCCTTGGGCCACATTGGAAAAATGATTGTCTTAGGCCACACATAAAATACACTAATGATTGCTGATGATAAAAAATAAATCGCAAAAAAACAACCCGTCATAATATTTTAAGAAAGCATACAAATTTGTGTTGGGGTGCATTCAAAGCTGTCCTGGGCCGCAAGTGGCCCATGGGCTGTGGGTTGGACAAGCTTGATCTAGAGGCTGCTGGAAGTCCTTGGCTTGTAGCGGCGTCACTCCAATCTCTGTCTCTGTGGTCATCCTGCCTCTGCCCCTGCTCAATGTGTGTCTAACTTCTCTCTGCCTTTCTTATACAAGGACACCTGTGATGGCATTTGGGGCCCACCCAGGTAATCCAGAATAAACTCCTCTCAAGATCCTGAACTTAATTGTGCCTTTATGCCACATATGTTAATAATCACTCTTTTGCCATAATAGGTTATTTTCATAGGTTCTGGAGATTTACATGTGGATATATTTTTTATTAAAAATGTTTAGATTTCAATATAAACTACTCATAGGAAATCTTTGAAATTTATAACTTGCCCATTGGCATTTTAGTTATCCCATGCTCAGATCAGAGTAAGTGGCATGAAAACATTTAAAACGTAAAAATCATGTAATTCTTCCAGGAGATTCCACAGAAGAAAGGTGTGGAATAACATAAAGAGCTGCTTCCTATTCCAGGGCCAGCCTTGAGAAGGAAAGAAGACACAAGTGATCACAATCATGGAGAAGAGTGACTGAGCCCTAGGGCCCATGCACCTGCTAGGCCAAGACAGGGGACCACGCCTGGGCTCAACCAGCAGGGATGCCAAAGTGGTCTGCCTTGCTCCGGGCAGGCCACCATGCTTAGAGGCCCCATGGTGCCTGCCACACATGCAGTTTCCTTTTTCTAGATTTCTTGTGCATTGCTTGCCACGGCTGTACATCTCAGTATTCCACTTTCCTGGTCAAAGCCAGCTGGACAAGGAGCCAGGGCTTGATCCAAAGACAGCCTTCTGCAGGCAGGTAGTGGCCCCTAGGGTGACCTCCTTGATTCACTACATGCCCAATGGAGGTGCATAATACGGAATTATGACTGGTGACCCCAATCACATTCTTTCTTTTAGAGGCTTTACATATGAAACACACATAGGGCATCAGCAAACATAGGGGGGGTTGAAGCAAAAGACACAAGAAGGAAGTAGGCAGAAGCCAGAAGACAGTAGAGGCTCTGAGTAACGCAAACTATCAGGAGAGGGGTCGTCTGTAACAGTGGAGAAACCATGTACTGGTAGTGCAGTAGGAAGTCCATTCTGGAAGAAAAAGGAGCAGAGATTGGAGAGCTAAGTGTTGAACTTGGGAGGCTATCTAAGTTGTTATTGGCTTTCCAGAACTACTGTCAGATGAAAGGAGCTACTGTCCTGTCCTGGCTGCGACAATGAACAATGTTCACCCCTCCACGAGGCCTGGCTGTGAGGTGCCTGGCTGGTTTTATGTCCATGCATCCCCCTACTAGGTTCATAATAACTTCAGTAACCCAAGCTTGTTTCTTTCCTACAACATGAAAGGACTTAAAACCCAGCCTGGATATCCAATATCGTCGTCGTCGAGGAATACTTAATAACTGATCATTCCGTCACTATGTTACTGACAGTGTATTGAGGAAAGAGCTTCAAACCAACCTTTTGTCCCCACAGAAGGTGTACAAGTCAAAGGACAACTCTATACCTGGATGTAGCTTTAGGATTTTCTTCTGCTGTGGTCATTAACATCTCAGGTGAAAACACTGTAAAAACTGCAATGTATTTACAAGTGACAATCAAATTACTTTGTGGTAAACTTACCCTAATTTTTAACATATTCATCCTATATAATTATATACTTTACTTTTAATTAACACAAACAGCCCCTCTTACAAACCAAAATTAAATATAAGTGGGGGTTGGTCATTTCATTTCCCTCTAAAGAATGAACCTGCCCACGATGCTGAAAACTAGTATTAGGTGACAGGGTTGTTTTGTTTCAATTTTTTTGAAAAATGTTTAAAATGGCATAATTTCTGATCTATTATATTCTTGACATTTGCTGTGCTTCAGGATCTCCTGTGGGACTTTTAAAAATATGGTTGCTCATGCCTTACTCTGAGATTCTGATGAAGGAGAAATTCACCTAACTGATGAGGTTGGATAGGAAGTGGAGGATGAAGCACACCTATTTTTTGCCTTGATTCAACAAGTATTCAGGTAACGGAACTCATAGAGCTTGACTCGTGGCTCAGGATGAGCTGGCCTTTTACATCAGCAAAGCTGATCTGTGGGTGGGAGATGCCCGCCCCTTTGGGTTTCATCAGTGATCCCTCTCTGTTTGCAGTGGTTACCCAGAAAAGCTGTTCTCTGAGGGTGCTGGTGATGAAGGTGTTGATCTCCTCCCACTACTGGCAAAACCAGCGAGCCCTGATGAGCAACTGAGACATAGTCTTTAAAGCAACAAGCTATAGCTTGGTGTCTCTAATTACACCCTATATTTGAGGGTACTGGAGACAGCCTCCTGAAACATAAAACTGTGCCTTCAAAAATATGGGAGGAAGGAAGGCCCTTATGTGTTCCATTGTGACGTACTCTATGCAAACAGCGGCAAACCCTAGCTCTATTTCCATACTTAGGGCACATGACTATCAATATCCTCCCTTGTTTTTAACTTTACTTGCAGATATTGGTATGTACTGGTAGGAGTTTTCTGTTTTTTTCCCTGCAGAAATAATGCAGAATTATTAGCCCCATGGATAATATTATTTTCGAGGCTCATAAAAACTCCATTGACTCTCAATAGTCATAAGACACTCCCAGGAGACCACAAACAAGTACTTTTGAGATAGATACTGATGCTCAGCATGGCTCAGTTTGCCAGAGGCAGAACCCAATATGGGTTATTAGTACTTCATCCATGAGACGCAAGAGCCTTTTAGACGGTGTTCAGTGAGGCTCTCATGTTTTTGTAAGGAAAAACCAGAGGAAAATGGAAAGATGAAGACCTCCTGAATCAGATCCACCCAGATTCAAACCAGGTCCTAACATTTACCAGCAGTCAGTCTGATTTCAGCAGAGTCAATGAACCTATTTTTAGGCAGCAAGGAGAAATGTTTAGAGATCCCAGAGGAAGGCTGCCTGGTTTAGAATCCTGGCTCTCTCACGTACCAGCAAGGAGTTCTTAGGCAAGTTTCTTAACCTTTCTGTGCTTCAGTTTCTTCCTCTATCAAATGGGAATAATATTAACAGTGAAGAATAAACTTACCCAAAGAGATGTCTGGCCATTTCCCTTGGCTACTGGAAGGTACCCACTAGGCCCTTAGAAAGTCCTGGCTGGTAGAAGTGTCTTTGTTTATTAGGGCTTTAGCCACCAGACAGTCTAACAGTGATTTATGACGGGGTCTTTAAACCAAGAGGTATTAGTTCTGCCTCCAGAAATAACTGGAAACTAAAAGTCAGCAATATGGGAAGTATGTGATCAAGTCCCCCTAAAAATCTTGGATACACTTTGGGAGGCTGAGGCGGGTGGATTATGAGGTTAGGAGATCAAGACCATCCTGGCTAACATGGGGAAGCCCCGTCTCTACTAAAATACAAAAAATTAGCTGGGCATGGTGGCGTGCACTTGTAGTCCCAGTTACTTGGGAGGCTGAAGCAGGGGAATCGCCTGAACCCAGGAGGCGGAGGTTGTGGTGAGCCAAGATTGTGCCATTGCACTCCAGCCTGGCGACAGAGTGAGATGCTGTCTAAAAAAAAAAAATCTTGGACACCAAAGCCCAGGTGAGCTTCCCTGGTTGACAATATTTCATCCATATTATCACACAGCATCACAGAGAGGAGTTAATGCCCTATAACTCCATGGGGACAGAACAACTGGAAGCACATCTGAGCCCCTTCCAGGCTCTGCTGTATGAGCCTCTTCCCTTGGCTGACATTATTCTGTATCCTTTTCCTGTCATAAACCATAGCCATGAATATAACAGCTTCCAGTGGGTTCTGTGAGTCCTTTTTTTCTGTTCTATTTTTGAAGCCGAGAGTGTTTTGGGAACCCCTGAACTAGCAATTGGTGTGAAATGAGGACATTATTCCTTCTAATTTCACAGTTAGTTCTTTTGTTCATAGTTGGCTAAACCTTTTGCATTCTCTCACTGGCTGTCAAGAGGATTACATGAGTTTTTATATGTAAAACACACAGAACATTACACGGTATGTAAGTGCTCAGTAAATGTTGGCTATTATTTTATGAACTCCACACACAAACATTTACTTATCATTCAATGCAAATTTCTGTGGTGAATGGCTCAAGCAGATTGTCTCATTTAATTCCTGATGTGGTTTGGCTGTGTCTCCACCTAAATCTCATCTTAAATTGCCATGTGTTGTGGGAGGGACCCAGTGGGAGGTGATTGAATCATGGGGGCAGGTCTTTCCTGTGCTGTTCTTGTGATAGTGAATGGGTCTCATGAGATCTGATGGGTTTATAAGGGGGAGTTTCCCTGCACAGGCTCTCTTTTTGCCTGCTGCCACCCATGTAAGATGTGACTTGCTCCTCCTTGCCTTCCACGATGATTGTGAGGCCTTCCTAGCCACGTGGAACTGTAAGTCCATTAAACCTCTTTTTTTTTTTTGTAAATTGCCCAGTCTCAGGTATGTCTTTATCAGCAGTGTGAAAACAAATGAATACAATTCCTAATTAACTGTAAGAGGAAACTGAATGAAACTTAGAGGGCTTCGGTAGTTTACCTAAGTTGAGTCAATTAGGAGCAGAAGTGAGGCCCTAAACCAAGCTTGTCCCACCTGCAGCCCAGGATGGCTTTGAATGTGACCCAAAGCGAATTTCTAAACTTTCTTAAAACGTGAGGAGATTTGTTTTGCAACTTTTTTTTAAGCTCAACAGCTATTGTTAGTGTTAGTGTATTTTATGTGCGGCCCAAGACAATTCTTCTTCCAATGTGGCCCAGGGAAGCCAAAAGATGGGACAACCGTGCCCTAAACCCCGATCTTTGTGACCTGAACACACACCCATATGTCTTGAAAGCCTCTGCTTTTAGCTGATAAGCTATACCGCCTCATAAAATACCTCTGCTGAAGGAATTCACCAACTATGCGTTGCTGTAAGGATTACAGATGATGTTTGCAGGCTCCCAAGGAAAGTGTTCAATAAATGAGAGCAAAAAACATCAAGTTTCCAGTGTTTTTCCTTACAGGATAGAAACACTGAAATGATTCTGTAGGAAAAAGCTGGATGAAGAGCCCCACTTTTGGGACTGCTTCAGCACCCTCATCCCAAACTTGTTTATTTCTTTTCAAAGCAATTATCATTCTGTATGACTGTAGCTTTGGGAGGGGCAATATTTATTCTTGATTGGATTTTTGTACTGACATATGAAATGAATAAACATTTCAGTTTCTGAATTAGAGTGTATCAAATTCCATTATGGTATCAATAAAATGAAAGAAGCAGTAAATTTAGTGCAGAGCCTCAGGGGAAAAAATCAAATCACCATGAAACTCTACACACTCAAAATCTTCTCTGGAAGCTGTGTTGCTTTTTCTTTTTGTATACTTCTGTATTTGTTAAAAAAGAAATTCAGACTTTGGATAGTGGTAGGACTTTCCACTGAAATAAACTGAATAATACCTTCCATCTACCTTGAATGGTTATTGTAAGCATCAAATGATATAATGTATGTGAGAGAAAGTGTTTTGCCAACTATACTCTACTAATATAAGAGATTATTATAATATTAACTTGGGTAATGTTCAATGTTTTACTGAATAAACCCTTGTTCATTAACTGGGCTTCGAGATGGGTGACCCACCGTTCTCCAACTAAAAGAGACAATGGCTGCTGATCCTTAATGATGCTGATTTAGTGACAGGGATATTACAGATTTGTTTTGTTTTTCTACTTTGAAGGTTAAACTGTTGTTCAAATGAAGGACTGAGCATATTTCCTTCTTAGAGTAGCTATTTAAATATAATGACCTCTCAGAGAGTGAAGGTAAGTTCAAGTGCTTTGGGTTGTGAGAAAGGCTTTAGTGGTAACATAGCTTGGAGCTTGTGAACCCCAAGCTGAATTTATACATTTTTCAAAAAAAGAGGAATTAACTTGATATTGTAACATATCACAAAACACCTGATAAGACACTGAGATCCCAAGATTTCTCTAAAGAGCCTGCACAGACAGCACCTCTTTGCAGTTAAATCAGCTCTCCAGACTATACCTTGATGCTCACAGTGTTTTGTTTATGAAACTTCAGAGCAAACCATTGAAGGTGAAAGCCTTCTCTTTGCTATATCATCTGCTACAAGTATATAGTGCATTCTCAGCAGTGACATTATTAAAGCCCATACCCATGTGATCCATTTAGTACGTTATCAGAGCCTACTCAGTGTGCTGTGAATTCATGCAGCCCTTGGAATAATCTCATGGCCCCCAAGGGGTTTACATACCTTAGACTGGGATTTTTTCTGCAAGAAAAACCCTTAACATCTTACCTAGCAATCAAAGAGGTCAAGGTCTTGACCTGAGGCTGCCCCCCAACCTCTTGCTATTCCTCCACTCAGCCCCTAGGCTGGGGAAGCACCTGCAAAGTCCATGCCATTTACCTCCACCCCTTGTCTACCTTGATTGATAAGGGAACTCCCACATCCTGCCAATCTCGTCTGTGTTCATTTCCTCCGGGAAACACTCCTTACCTCCTTCAGGAATAGTTATTCCTCCTTCTGTCTTCCAGTACCATTTAACATATACATTCTATCATTTTATCTCACAATATTATAACTGCTGCTGGGTATGATTCCCTCAATAATCTGCCAGCTATTTGAGGGCAGGTGTCATGTGTACTCATCTTTGCGTTACTAGTGCTGATCATAGAAAGTAAACAGGTTTCAACTCATGACCCAGCTGTCATGGCTTGAAAGGACCTGCCTGAAGCACTGAGGTGAGAAGGATTTTGATGGCAAATCTAGGCCTGGCAGGAAAGAGTGTTGTGATGGATTAGCTATGTCTGTATTGGCAGCAGGAGGGGAGATGAGGTATGAGTGCCACATATGCAGTCTTCCCATAGAGGTGTGTGCTTGATAATGTTGGGATATGTTTTCCTATTTCACCCTCAGTGGTAGTATGGCAGTTCAGGGCAATACTTCTGAACCATAACCAGGTGGCAACACAGAGTTCTTTTTCTTCTTGATCAATTCATCGAAAGTCTCCTTCCTCCACTGTCCTATATCAATACTTTAACAATACCTATGTTACCACTGTCTACTGCCAAATAAAATGTACAAGTTAATTTGGGGTGACTTAAGATCAGATATCTTGAAAGATGAGATGTCACCTGGTAAAAAGATTCCGGGCATTTTGTAGTCTATGATACTTTATTGGGTTATTTTTAACTGGGAGGCTATTCAATGAAAAAAATAAAAGGCTAGGGTTCCAAGCAAGTGTATAATTATGGGAAGCACCTTGCTAATTCCAAGAATGTACAGGCTTCCTTTTTTTGAAACTTCTATTAGTGTTATTTTCATAATCTCATTTGGCATAGAAAGAATATCACTCCTGATGATGCATTCTAGAATTATTTATCTTTTATTGTCCTCTTGAATTGTTTTAGATAAGTGGTGAATGTCTTATTATAATTCCAACTCTGCATGTAATAAGGCTTTAGCACCTACATACCCAGCTGCAAATGTTCCCACATCATCAACTGATTATTTATCAAGTACTGAAAAGAAGTTGGACCAAGGATTTTTTTCTAAAAGGAAGATAGTGAATTTATATAAGCCTTGTGGAGTATGAAAAACACCGTCTAGCCTGATCTCAGGAACCAGCTCTATCTGCCCACAAACATTTTGTAGATCTAGGATGGAAATAATGTTGGCAGAACCCAATAACTCTAGTGGGTCATTCATATAGGCCATCAGATAGGCGCTAGTCTCAGTAACAGCACTTCACCTTCTACAACCACACGCAACCTGGGATAAGAGAGACAAATACCCCAGGACCAGCAAGGGCTCTCCATGGGGGCATATCCGCAGCCATGATGTCGCATGCACTTCCTGCAGAGATGCATGAAACATTACTATTTGTAAAAAATGGAAGTGTTTTGTGTCAGGCTAATGGGTGCTAAGTTTATCTTTCTTGGATTTTCCAAGCTTAAAAAAACTAATTTAGGTTTATCTGTAGGTGCCATCTTTCTGAGACTTCTTGGGCATGTGGTGACTCAGCATATGGATTTAGGATTCTCCTAAGCACCCCTATAATGGCACTGGGTCACTAACTCTAACAACGTGGCTGCATCAAAACAACCCATGGTTTAGAGTTAGACAGAAATGGATGTCGATACTGGCTCTGCCAATAACTAGCTGTGAGATTATGGTCATGTGATTTTACCTCTTTGTACTTTGATTAACTTTTTCATCTGAAAAATGGGGATAATGCCCCCTTCCCCATATAGTTGTGGGGATTAAACAAAGTTACATATAAAAACTGCCATACAGTAGAGTTTCAAAAAGCATAGCTATTTTATTATTATGGTTGTTATTATAGAAGGGTTATCACGTCCGCTAATTTGAGCTTGGTCATGAAATATAGTGGCTTGGGTTCTATTTTCCTCATATTACACAGCAACCCTGCCACTCAGTCTTCAGTTTGTTTTCTCTTGCCAGTGACTAGAATCCCTTGTTGTTTCTGAAATTTGGCTGCGTTCTTGCTTCTCCTGGCCTGAGGATAACTTCTCCTTACATTGCTATTGCTCGTGCTCATTCTAAGCCCTTCTCCCTACTGCTTTTCCTCTTTATCCTGGAGGGGGAGACGTGTCGACAGAGATCAAAACACAGCTGTGTGACTTAGGGATACACAGGTTGAGTATCCCTTATCCAAAATGCTTGGGACCATAAGCAGTTTGAATTTTGGAATATTTACATACACCTAATATCTTGGCGATGGGACCCAAATCTAAACATGAAATTCATTTATTTTTTACATATGCCTTATACACACAGCCTGAAGGTAACTTTACATGATATTTTAAACAATTTTGTGCATAAAACAAAGTTTGTGTTAGGTATCTCCATGTGAAGTTTTCCACTTGGGGTGTCTTATCAGTTCTCAAAAAGTTTTGGGTTTGGGAGCGAGCATTTCAGATTTTAGGTTTTCAGATTAGGGATGCTCGACTTGCATTGCTTAAATGCTCTGTGCTTCAGTTCCCTCACCTATAAAATAGGGAGAAAAACAGAACCCACCCACAGGGTTTTCCTGAGTATTATAATGAGTTGATGTTTGCAAATTCCTTAGAACAGTGCCTGACACACAGTGAGCACAGTGGAAGTATTTGTTAAATAAAATGAAGTACAAAGTGAAGCTTTTGATAGGAAGTTTAACAGTAGAGCGGCATGGAAATGAACTCTTTCCCTAGCTACTTTCTTTCTGTCTCTTAATGCTTCATCCCAGAAGTGGCAAGATGATGACAGCCAAGTCTGAGTTTGGACCTGAGGGAAAAGTTGTCAGGAAAGTCTGGTTTGAGTCAGGGATACAGGCCAAGGGGCAAAAGGGCTCCACGCAAGTCTAAAATGGTTCAGTCTTGCTCACCAGGGTCAGGGTTTTCACATAGGGGTTTGGAATAGTTGTTCGCTGAAACAGCGTTTCTCAAGGACTCCCAGGGCTTGTTTCTTTCCTTGTCAAGGACTTCCAGGGCTGTCTTGAGCCTTTGTTAAAAGTGACTAACATTTACCTTGAGCCCAGCACAGGATTAACTGTAAAGGCTGTGTTTTATGGTTTTATTTGTTGTTGTTGATTTTTTTTTTTCAGACCACTTTTCTAATACCCTCTGCTGATGGATAGAGATTCTCCAGGTAGCCTCACAAACATCAGGTCAATGTTTGTAAAGGAAAATCTATAGAAATCTGAGAACTTCTCCACAAGCTAAGAGCAAACGGGAATGTGTATCATTTCCATCTGAGGAGTAACTAACTCTTCATGGAAGTCCTTTAAGTCAGATACTCATAGAGTATGGTCTGCAGACTGGTGGCCGGCCATTGGTATAAATTCACAGAAAGATAAGTACGGGAATTGAGAGTAAGCACTTGAAGGATTTTTAAAGCCACTTTCCCATTGAATCCAATAAAAAATGTTGGCCCTGAATATTGTCTGGTTTTTTAAAAAATTTATTTTTCTAGTAATTTTTTATTATATTTGGTACAGATTTTGGTTCATGACAGATTGGAAATTTTTTAAAAATCAAAAACCCCAAACCCAAACAAATGCTCCCTTACCAGTGATAGCTTTAATTGTTGGGAAAATTCCACTAGCCATTGGTCCAGAGGGAAGGAGCAAAGATTGGATGATGTGCTCGGTCTATGATGTCATAACTTCATTATCCTAGGCAGAACAGGGTGGCTGTGGTTTATATGTTTTATGTAGAAATTGAGAAAATCCTTATAGAAAATCCCAGCTATTATCTTGCCATGTTAAGATCAATAGACTTGCCACATGTAACTTCTCCAAGCTAAACTTTCATCATATGTAACATATAAAAGTTATACTTAATTTCTAGGGTTGTTCTGAAACTCAAGTAGTCAGCACTTGTACAGTATTCTGTATTCGCCAGGGCCTATTGTAATATGAAACTACACCACCTATACTCATTTCACCCTTACAACAATCCTTAGAGGCATTCACTATTTTCATTCCTATTCTGTAGATGAGGAAACTGAGGCATAGAGGGGTTAAGTGACTTGCCCAAAGTAAAACAGCCAGGAAGCAATGCAGCTGAGATTTAAACCCAGGAGGTCTGGCTGAAGAGTCTGTTCCTTCATCGCCTATGTCATACTCTCTTTCATAATTGGTTTCAATAAATGTTTGCTCTTGGTTCATTTATTCTCTTTGTCCATTTTAGATGGGCTTTAGGTAATAGTGAAATTCTACCTGGAACCTCTAGTGTTAAATACATCTAATTACAGGGAGCTATTTGGCCTCTGCTTTTCTGCCTGTTGCCACATTTCACAAGTTCCAGTCAGGTAAACATCCTGAGCCAGATACGGTTAATATAATGAAGCCAGGAGAATATGAGATGAGTTCTAATTGTCCATGTGGCCAACACATAGGCCACCCTCTGCCCAACTTCTCACTTCATTTATTTGATCATCCAATTGTCCAAAATCCACATTTTGAACACGGGCCATGGGTCAGGTCTTGTGATACGGCACAGGAAAGACCAAGATGCAATAACACATGTCTTAATGTGAAGGGGGAGAAGTTTACTGAGTAAGGTAGACTTATAAACATGGATGTGGAAGCAGGAAGATGAGAGGGAAACAAGATCGTGTGGTGAAAGAGGTGGGAGATAGAACACATGGTCCTTCCTACATTCTTCAGGGGCTGCTGTTCCAGCCAGTGGTGGCGCCTCAGCTCATCAACAAGCAGCCAGATACAAGCATCCACCATCTCCTCGTTCTGAAGCCACAGCCACAGTCTCACCCAACAAAGGAAGTGAGCACAAGATTTCTGAGTGGCAGTGTTAGCATGGGTTCTGTGGGTCGTGAAGGTTTTCCCATTAATATCTGCTCAGAAATATTCAGAGGACTTTCACTTCTGTTACGAGATTCCACTGGACTTGATTGCCCTTTTCTTACATTTCAATTCTGAATGCCTCTTTTATTCCTTCAGGGGCCACACCAAATGTCATTTCCGCTATACATCCTCCCCTCATCACCACCTGCCCCACTCCAAGCAGTGTTGCCAGTCTCTCCCCAGTGCTCCAACTGTACTCTGTGCACACCCTTGGCAAAGCACGTATTATGCTGCAATTACAGCTGGAAATTCATCAATACCTAAAAATTCTGCCATGAGTGGACTGTGTCTTAGTCATCTTTGTTTCATGGTGGCCAGTTCAATAAAGACTTTTGGATGACTGAGGTTCTTTTAGGCTGCCCCAGTGTCAATCTATCCTGGTAATTATGTCTACAGTGTCTGGATTCAAGATGAAAGGGAAGTTGTAACTGGTTCTCTTCCATTTCAAATACAAGCTAGTCATACAGATTTTATAGGAGTCTCTTAGTGGCAATCTTATCCCCTACTTTTCCCTTTTAGGGACAAAATCTTTTTAGATAATAAAGGTTTTGCTCCAGGATCTATCTTTTCTAGCATTTACTTGTTAGGCATTCCCACTCATTACAGTTCCTTCAAACATTCCAGCTTTTCTAGGGCCAAATGGCCATTGCTAGCGTGTCTGCTTCCAACCAACTCTATGACAGACACTGTTAATTGTCTATTCACTTTCTTCCTTTCAAATGAAACATAATTTTTTTTTAAGCTGGTAGAGATCCCATGACCTCAGAGAATGCAGAACCCCTCCCCCAGACCCAAAGGACAAGTTATGATTGGCTTAGGCTCAACATATGACCCAGTTGTAGCCAATGAGATAAAAGGAAAAGTTGGCTGGGGGAGGGCTCCCTTTCTAGAGTGAAAACTAAAACAAAAACAAATGCCATAGTATGAAGAAAGTCTTTCTCTATAATGGATTCCTTTCTGCCTGGGTTGTTGTTATGAGAAAATAATTCTGGGCACAACAGGAGCCATTTTGTGGACAGGAGACCATAACTTTGAGCACAAAAGGCCAACACTAAGGGTGGTGATAGGAAGCCTGAAAACAAAATGGGGCCGGGTGCGGTGGCTCACGCCTGTAATCCCAGGACTTTGGGAGCCCGAGGTGGGCAGACCACCTGAGGTCAGGAGTTCGAGACCAGCCTGGCCAACATGGTGAAACCCCGTCTCTACTAAAAATACAAAAATTAGCCAGGCATGGTGGTAGGCGCCTGTAGTCCCAGTTACTCGGGAGGCTGATGCAGGAGAATGGCTTGAAACCAGGAGGCAAAGGTTGCAGTGAGCTGAGATCGTGCCACTGCACTCCAGCCTAGGTGACAGAGTGAGATTCCATCTCAAAAAAATAAAAAATAAATAAATAAATAAAATGGGTCTTTGGTGACACTGTTGAGCAATGGAAGTAACACCAGAAACACTTACCCTTTGACTTCTTTTTATGGGAGAAAACAGACTTCTACGTTTTCAAGCTTTTGGTCATGTTTTCTCTCACTTGTAGCCAAAAGCTTCCTGGCTGATATACTTCATAATTTCTTTTTCCTGCTTCTCTCATGAACCCAGACTCAGCTCTTTTCTCTTCTCCTACATTTCTAATAGAAAAGTTACTTCAAAGCTAGGTTCGGTTAGAGTAGAAATTGTTTTTCCAAAGTTGGTGGTAACCTTACATGTTATCTACTGAATAGGTGAAGAAACTAGGGGAGAGAGAAGTTCAATGATTTGGCCAGGACATGCATACTAAATATTGGTAATACATACTAAATATCCTGCTTTTCTGATTTCAAGTTTAATCGTGAGTTTATCATATATTAGTTGAGAGAGATGGTATCTTTCTTGACTTCATAGCCCCAGTCCCTAGCATAATGCCTGCATACCGTATGTTCCTTATAAAGGTTTATTAAATGAATAAATTGTAGCCTCAACTACATTATAAGCTTCATGAGACAAGACTTCTTCATGAGACATTATAGAATAAATTGTAGCCTCAACTACATTATAAGCTTCAAGAGACAAGGGTCCAGCATGGTACATGGCACACAGTAGATGCTCAAAAATATCTGTTGGATAGATAGATGGGGATTGCTAATGGATGTGTGACACTATGTTTAAGGACTGAAAAATTAATTAAAGGCATTGAACTTCAATGCATTAGATTATTAATATCAAGGAGTGGGTGCAGTATACAAAACAGTTAAACTCTTGTGCTGTAGAGCCAGGCAGTGGGGTTTAGATTTAGATGCCTTGCTTACCGGTAGCATACTCATTGTAAGTTATTTAACTTGTCTGAGCCCCAATTTCCTTACATGCAAAAAAACCAAGATAGTGATAATACCTCCTTCACTGGGTTTCTGTGAGAATAAAATGGAATCATGAACATAAAACATGTAGCACAGTGCCTGGTGTGTAGAAAAAATATAATTGCTACTATGGTTGTCTATTTTTTTGGTGAAAAAAATTTCTTAAGGAAGTATGGAAATTCTTTTATACATGTGGTTTAGAGCAAACAAAGCAGTGTCATTTAGGTTGACTTGATGCAAATGTGTTTTAGTTGGGGGGTGGCGTTTTTTGGTTTAGGTAGCTCATTTTGCTTACAGTTTGAAGAGGAAAAAAGCTAAGCAGATGGCACGGTGACACAAAGGACTGGAGCCTACTGTTGCTAGAGGTTGTAAAAGTGGAACCCCACGGTTGCCAGCTTGGCTGGACTTCAAACAAGTCCCATAAAGAGTGTGACTCGCTCAGAAGGGGGCAGGAACTTGGTGTGAAGCTCTCTAAAGTGCAAAGAACAACATCATTATATCCACAGTAGCTTGACTCAGTGCTGGGCTCTGGCCATAGGCCGGATGGCAAGAGGGTGTCAGAAAATCACAGGCAGTGCACCTGTGAAGGGACACCAAAGACTGAATCCTTTGAAAACTCCTGACTCCAGAACAACGACAAATTACCAACAGATGGCGTGAGTCACAGACTCGGAGTCCGAATGAGGCATCTGCAAACTCACGGCAGAGGCCCTGCCCCGCTGGGCTGAGCCGGACAGACACAGGCCCCAGCCCAGATGGCTGCGAAGGTCACCAGGAGGGACACCAGCCGTATGCGCTCAACTCATGAGAACTGGCACAACTCGTAAGGCCCAAGAAGGCTTCCCAGGATTAAAGGAAACAGAAACCAGATATCCTGGTCAAATAAAACCTCACATTTTTGGGGCTTATTAAATACAAGAAAATAAAAATGTGATGGGGTTCAGTATATATACCCGAAAATATTTTAAGCTGAAGGAATTTGGGAAAATGGCAGAAGTAGGAAGGTCTTCTCATCTCCTCCCTTCCCTGCCCTACCTTCTTTGAAGCAAAGCTTGGGAGACCCTCATTGGAGAGGTGCCCTCCCTAGATCCAGAGGAAAGAAGCATCTTTATCTTTGAAGAGAAGAATTGGAAAAAACAGGATTTCCTCCAGTTTATTATCAGTAGATCACACTTTTTAGTCCAATTATACTTCATAACTATCCACTTCTGTGTTAAACCTAGCATAAAAAATACATGGTTTCCCTGTTTCTTCAGGTCTTCCTTTACCTTAGGAAGGCATCCATGTCACGTAAAACCTAAATACAACGGTATCCTTTTCTGTTGTTTATTTATCTTTGTTATAGGGGCCTCAGCCAGGAACCTAGACTTTTCTTCTTCCCCTACAAATGAATCAGGGGAGAAGAGAGTGAGATGGGGAGCCTGGGAACATGGCATGCCAGGGAGGCATTTAGCAGAAAAAGGCCACCATTTTCCATTCCAGAAGCTTCTTTGATGTACTCCCCTTCTCATGCACAGGTTTAGCTTCAGGTCAGAAAAGTCCTGTAGATATGTACATTTCCCACATACCTTCCCTGCCATTATTCTATAAAATATGACCACATGCCACAAAGCGAAAAGGTATCTATACAAATTTCAGATGTTTTTCCTTCTTCCAGTGTTACAGAAACACGTATGTCCTCACAGAGACCAGCAATGATGAAAGGAAATACTAAATTCTATTTAGGAAAAAAAAAACTTGCATGGAATAAAGTCCTCAAAGCATCTCATTTGATGAAAAATCCTGTCTTCTGAGTTTCCACAGCACCCGGGGCATAGCCTACCACCTTAGGTTGTATGTCACCATTTTCCACTCTGCCACTAGAATTTCAGCTTGTCATCTGTTGTTCATCTTTAAATCCCTACCTCCTACCACATCATCTAACTTTCAGTGGGCCTTCAATGAATGACAGATGAATGAATGAATAAATACATGCATGCATGCAGGGCTATGTAGTAATGATTAGGCCTCTCCACCCCCGCCCCAGGAAGGGAAGTGCATTTAACTCAGAGGGAATAATCCCTTTGCCACATTCCAAGACAATCTGATTGGAGTTCATTTCATCCTCATCTCCCAAGTAGCGTTTGCTCATGTTATGTATCATGGGATATCCACCATGAGTCATGAAAGGCCACTTTCTAAATTAAAGGTCCAAGCATTTTTGTTCCATCTTATTATCAATGGTGTTGGTTTAGGTTCCTGAGTCTAATTCTGATCCATTCTTTTCTGACAGAAATATCCTAATCAGCATCTGTGTGAGGAATCCTCACTCACCCGATTCCAGAAAGAACACTTGAAAATCTCAGTTAAAAAAAGGGAAGCCCCAGCGAGACAACACTGGATGGATGGGTACTTTTTTCCCCTTCCTACTTATTTCTCCAATAACTGAACTATTTCTTTTTCCCAAAGAAAGACAATTCCTAGTCAGCTCTCAATCAATGTTTTCTTCTCTTTTGAAGCAAAGCTCCTGAAAGACATCTGATGCTCCCAACCAGGTGGGGGAACTCTGAAGGATTTTCTCTTTTCTTTGGGGAACTCCCTTAGGATATTTATGGCATTCTCACTCATCACTCTAATCTATTTCTGAAAGAAGGCAATTGACAAAAGCAACAGGAGTCAATCTCATTGTTGCAATTTTCCTGAGCAACATTACTTTTTCTTCTTTTATAAGTGTGTGTGTGTTTGTGTAACAAGAGATTATAAAAAGAAATCTTTTACCTTTGAAAAGGCTAATTGCCTAAGGTTTTACTTAACAGTGGGAAAAACTGTCAAAGTCCAAGTCTTCCTCTCCTCACAGCAACATAGTCCCCCCGCCGACCACCAACCCCCGACCTAGATGGGCAGAGGTGTGTTTAGGGGGGTCTTTGTAGTTTTCAGAGTATCATTGCCTGCCGTTCAAGCACCATGGACAGATGCCAGAGAGGCAACGGAGCTGGCTTCCCAGCGGCATCTCACCCAAAGTACAGGTTCTTTTTTTAAAAGAAAGAAGAAAAGACTTTCTAATAATTTACTAACTTGGCAAACTATGTGCATGCTAGAGAAAAAAATAACAATTATTTACATGTGGCACAGCAAAGTGAAGGCAATTCCCCATTCATACTGTTAAATTAAGTTTAGCCTAAAGCTACTGCTTACATACTTGAAATTCAGCCTAAAGAGTTTTCTGCACATAGTGAACTGTAACCTATCTGAATGTGTAAACAGATTGTAACCTACTTTTCTACCAATCACTGAGTTTAGGCCAATCAAACGTGGCCAACTATTCAAACCACATTCAAATAAGATGAATGCTAAAGTGTAACCAATCTGGCTATTTCTATACCTCACTTCTGTTTTCTACACATCAGCTTTCTTTTTCTTTTCTTTTCTTTTCTTTTTTTTTTTTGGTCCATAAATCTTCTTTGACCACGTGGCAGGGCCAGAGTCTCTCTGAACCTACTCTGGTTTGGGGGCTCTCTGGTTAACAAATCATTCTTTACTCAATCAAAGTCTGTTAAATTTAACTTGTCTATGGTTTGCCTTTTAACAATACATAAGCAGGGTTCATTTTCCCCCTTCTTCTTTATCTCGTCAAACCACCAAATATTTCCAAATTTCCTGGGTTCTAATTTGAGCAAAATAATCACCCAAGGTCATATAATCTCAGGACTTGGTTTTAAAATGTAAAAAATTTTAGATTAAAAAATTTGGGTTTTAAATTTCAGATTTAAAAAATGTCTGCAGTGCGAGGCAGAGCCACCCTGATGGTCCGTGCCCCCAAGGTGATGGCCATAAGAATCCCCTCATGCTTCAACCCCTTTCTGGACATCCGGGACAAGAGGGTTGGGTGGTGCCTGGAGTGGGGGCAGATCCCAGGGGTCCAGAAGTGAGACTCATGGATATCAACTCCACCAGAGAGGGCAATACCTCCCTCTGGTGGTGGCCTCCAAGCTTGCTGACTGCTTCATGCACATGCCAGTTGTCATTATTTGGCTCAGGGGGACTAGCATAGGCCTGGGAGCTCCCAGAACAGAAGAAACAGGAGGCATGGCCAGTGTGACTCTGAAAGGACATCGCTTTAAGTGTCTATGTCCATTTGCACCACCTTCCACACATAAACATGTACTGATAGGCAGAATTTTGGATTATAGGCCAATGGAGCTAATATGGTGCCATGGAGCAAAATTGGCAGAAAGGCAAAATAAAAGGAAGAAGAAAGGACCCTGTGAAGTAGGCAATTTTGGGGAGAAAAATGAATTTGGGAAGCTTGTATTCTGCCATAAAGGGAAAGGGAAGCAAATAACTCAGTTATTAGCAGGTTATGGTGATAAAAACATGTAACCTACTCAAGACATTTGCCTCTTTAGAAAAGATGGGCTAGAAAAATCAATTTTTACCTCAAAGGAAGGATTATTATCTAGAGTTTAGGGGTAAGAAGCATCTTGGCAAAGAAGGTGTTTGGGGGATGGTGGATAGTTCCCTTTGATGTATACCTTACAATCAGGGACAGCTGGCCTGCACACATGCATTTGGTGATGGTGTACTGCCTGTGCACCATGGTTTGGTGGAGGACAGAGTCTATTTGACTAAGAACCGCACTTCATGGGCTGCTCCGCCTGAGCCTCAGGGTGTCCACATGCCAGACTTTCTGTCTTAACACCTGATATTCTTAGCTCTGCTTCCACCATACCCTTAATTCTCATGAAGTTCTGGAGTAGAATTAAAAACTCAGGAAACACTGCTAATTCAGAAGGGCTGCCTGTCTACTAATTGCTGGGGTTTATATGAAAATTCCATTAAACACAGAGAAACAGAACAGATTGAGAAATACCTCCAACTTTCTTTGCACTGTGGCCCCCACAATTGATCCTTCACACATTTGCCAGAGGAATCTTTCAAAACCTCAAATCTGATCTATATAAAATCTTTCAAAGGTGGCAAAGGCTCCACAATGCCTTTATGATTAAATGGAGAGATCCCCTGACTTGGTATCTGAGGCCTTCATGCTCTGATATCTGACTACATTTCCCTTTCATCTTCCACCAGTCTCCACCTAGAATCTGTGCCAGAGGCATATCAAAGAACTCATGGTTTATTTAGTATTCTGGGCTTTTCCTCCATCATCTATACGTATGCTATCAAACACAGTAGCTACAACATGCATGTAGCTATTAAGCCCTTGAAATATGATTAGCCTAAACTGACATGTGCTGTAAGTGTAAATGCCAGATTTTGAAGATTTATTTGAGCACAAAATAAAGCATGTAAAATATCTTTATAATTTTAAAATACTGGCTATCTGTTAGATGGTAACATTTAGTATTTGTTGAATTAAATAAGATATACTATTACAGCTAACTTCACACTTTCTTTGAACTTCTGTTTAATCTGGTTTGCATTGCATTTGTGGCTTGCATTATATTTCTGCTGGACGTTACTGGTCTATAGCTATGCCCATGCTCCCTCAGCCAAGAGAGCCCTTTTTCACTCTGTTCACGAGATAGTTCCTCCCCATCTTGTAAGATGCAGCTTCAGTATCACCTCTTCTGGGAAGCTTTCCCAGCTAAGTCAATGCGCCTCATCTTATGTCTATTTTAAAAATTAGCATAATACCTTATTTGTAATTACCTCTTTAGGTGTTAGTCTCCTTCACTATCTTGAAGGAAAAAATCCTTCCTCCACTATTTCGGCATTAGGTACTGCCATTCTGTGAATGCTTGCTTAATGAAATAAATGCCATTTCAAACCTGAACATCAGTGGTATGCATTCATTTATTCTCTAACACCTATGTAATGAACACTTGCTATGCACTGTGAGAGATGTTAAGATAAAGTATTATAATCTCTTATATCTGTATAATTTACTACAGTTTACACAATACTATATGATATCCAGTAACTTTAAGAAAGTTTTGCTGGGTGGCGGTTCATTTATTTTTATGCCTATTTGTTAGATGAGGAAACTAAAGCCAAAGAGTGTAACTGACTTTCCCAAGGTCATCCACATGTGATGTGATTAAGCCAACATTTTAATTCAAGAATGGGAGGTGTGAAAGTTAATTGTACATTTAAGGAGCAACAAATGGTTCTGAAAGGCTGAAATAAAGAGGGGCAAGGTGTAAAACTGGAGACAAGTTGAGGAGTCAGACTTTCCTCTGTTGATTAATAGTTCTCAAATTTTAGTTATTCTCTTACTGTCTTCGTGAGCTTTCCTATATCTAAGAACAACTTATGCTATTATAGTATTTTGAAAATGAATTCTAGGTTGACTCACTAATTTTACTGACCATCTAAGTAATAATATCCATGGTTTGATACATATATATTATTATTAAAATGCAAAAATATAATGATATATTTGTCTTATTAATGCATAGGATATTCTTAATTTATAACAGTTAATATTATACTAATATTAATCATATTATAGTTGTAATATGATTATACTAATATGATTATTATAAAAGAAAAAAGAGTGTAAAAAAGAAAAGTGTGAAGTTAACTTTAATAGTATATCTTATTTAATTCAACAAACACTAAATATTATCATTTAACAGGTAATCAGTATTTTTAAATTATAATATATTATACTAATATGATAATATGTAAGCTATAATATAAACTATAACATATAAGATAGTATGTTATAACTTAACTATCTTACATGTTATAGTTTTACTTTAATATGTATTTAAATTTTTACTAACACATAGTAAAATAAGCATAAGTTTGTATAAGTAGTAAAATCATTCCCCACTATGCCCCTAAAATCATTTCATGTATCAATAGCAATATCATACCTTCCATTGGGAAACTGCTAGGGACATTAGCAAACCATTAAAGGATCTTAAACTTTCACAGGTTAGAATTTAATTAGATTTTAAACCTAATCGGGTTGCTATTTTAGACTTATAGAAGCCAATCTCCACGTTTGAGGGTAAATGGAAAGAAGATGAGATATTAGCGCTAGTCAATTATAAGTTAGGAAAGTTCTATGAGCTCAGGATCACATTTTTAATTACTTTTAAAATAAGACAATAAGACCATGAAATGTCCCATCGAATCTGATGTAATGTCATTTTCTCTCACTGAATGATGAAGCCTTGTAAATGGGACAGGTTGCATATGAAATAGTACCACAGAAACCCACAGATTTCCTCCTTGACTCTGGTCAAAGATCCTTTTTTTTTTTTTTTTTTTTGTTCTGAGAGTCCAGAAACGAGAGGCATTAAAAATGAAATTATTACAAAAGGATTAAGAAAAAAACAACTAAAGGGCATTGCCTTGATCATCTTTTTCTGTGGAGTGTGGTCTGTGGGGATGGTATTATCTGCTGAAAGAAGAATGATGAGTTGTCACTGTCATGGTGGTTTAACTCATTTGAGACACAAGCAATGACATCATAGCAGTCTCCTGGTAAATGAGGGTGTGGTAGCATTAATGATGGTCTACATGTTCTGGTGAGTTGGAAAGCATTAAATTGCAAATGTGAAAATGTCCATTACATGATAAAATAATACACTTTTCCCAACAAGCTGCACCTATCTGTTTGTGATAGAACTCCAGAGAGGCTAGAAGGGAATGGACAACAGGTTGTAGGAATGCTTTGCTGGGATTCCCAATTTGGGATATATTAGAAGTGAATATGTCTTTCACCAAAAAAGAAACTAAAAGGTTAAAAAAGTGGAATACAATTACACACTAAGGTAGTGTCAAAGCCAGAATTACAACTTAAGTCTCCAAACCAATTCCATTTTGGAGGCAAAAGTCTTCATATATGAGTAGTAAGTACAAATTGTTTCATGTGCTTTGTTCAAATTGCAAGAAACAGAGCTGCTGTCTTCACACTGCCTTAAGGCCAAGTCCAAGGGTACTCCTGGAGTCAGGCCTTGCCCCTACTGAAGCACAGGGCCCACTTAGGGCCATATTCTGCCTCCTTTGGCTTGGAGAGTCACAGTTCCTCCTACTGGCCCCAAATCTGGGTTTCTATCATGGCAATGGCATGATCCGGCACTGCCAAAAAGATCTTAGCCAGGCATCCTTCAAAGCAGTGTCTCATGTGGCCACAAAAGCAACCTTTGCCTTTTAAGAGAATAAGAATTGAACTCTTAAATTTAAAGTGAGTTGGCGTTTTATACTTGACATCTTGGAAATGAAAAGAACACATTTTTTAAAAGCGAGCTCCACACCTACACAAAGGAGCAGATGAAGGTTACTTTTATTTTCCCTGTTCCCCAGACCACACCCATCTTGGGGCCAATTCATCACTTTTGTGACAATCTTTTCTTCATTTGGTTTTGAGCTTTCAATAGTCCCAGAGTCGAAGCCCTCTGAGTCCCTCTCGTTTGTCCAAGTAAATGTGGTCCCACCCTCTAATGGCGACTCAAATCCTCTTTCCTGCTCCTCAGCTGTTCTCTCCCTTATGTGGGTCTGTGGCTGTTTGATGCTGTTGCCTGCCTGTAGACTCTCCTAGTTTTGGTGTTGGGACACTTGCTCCACCCACACATGGCAGTCATGGTGCCTGTCCCACACACAGTCCTGCAGAGGGCCACCGTCTTTCTCAGTCCCCGCTGTAGAGGTAGCCTTACCTAGCCACATTTTGTACAACTTAACTCCATCTTCGCCTTGGCCACAACTGACTGGTCAGAGGTGGGCGCTTCATTCAAGAATAGTCCAGTCTGTATGTAAAGAGGCCTGATGCGAAAAAAACAAAATACAGCCCCTTGGGGGCCTAAAGTGGTCATTGTAGGTCACGGAGAACAGTAAACTATGAGAGAACCAAATCTAAGAGGGCAGGGCAGAGATTTTTCAAAGCATATTCCAAGCTGCTTTTGGGGTTCTTTTGGAGGTAACACAGGGACTGGTGCAGGGATGAGGGGAGGTCCGAGTGGGAGGGGCTGAGCCTACTGCCACTTTGCAGTTCAGTTTTTATCAGCTTTAAATATAAGATGTTACTTGAAGAAAGAGTTTCAGGCTTTAAAGTGTTTGAACTCACTACAGAGAAAGATAAAATAGAAAGAGAGGAGGTTAAGGGAGGTAGATAATAGATACCTAACAGATAAAGAGGAATGCAGCAAGCTCTGGGGGAATTGCTGAGTCACATTAAGGACCATGAGGTGACAACCCATGCTCTTCCATTCTTCCTGCAGCTCGGTCCTTCGATGGCCCCAGCTCCTCCTGGCCTGTCCTGGGTCCCTGTGCATGTGCACCCTGATAGTAGATGCTGCCAGCCCACCCCTAGGTCCTCCAAGACCCAACCCCTATGGCCACTAAATCTTCGTTTTTGCATCAAAAGAACCCTGTTGAAAGAACCCTAAAATATCAGTCAGGGCTTTCCATGTTGAAAAAAAAAATTACTCCAAAGAGATCAAGCTCTTTTGGCCTATATTTGGAGGATAAGACTCTGCAAGGTTATTGGAATATTTTAGGCCCTAAAAGCCTGTTTTTGTGCTTTTGTTTTTTCAATTTTACAATCTCTTAGATCCAAGAATTTAGAATTTTCCAGGCCCCAGGCTGGAGGACACTTTAAGATTATCTCTCCTTAGTGCTTTCCGAAGTCTTCCTCTGATGCCAATAGGGCCAAATGGGGATGAAGGAGGGGCACGGGGCAGGGGCACGGGGCAGCTGTAATGGCTCCTCTCCACCAGACAGCATACTCCACACAGGACCCTGCTGGGCTGTTTCCAATCCCATTCTCAACACTTTGTCCAGGGCCCAGGACATAACTAAGCATTTGTTGACAGGGTGACTGACTGGCTACAGGTAAAATTCTTGCTTTCTGGGACAACCTTCTGACTTCCAAGAAGTCTTTTACCTTTGTTCAAGAGACTTAATTTGATGATAGAAGTTCAGACAGTGAATTATCTTCTTTAGGACATGGGTGTCCAATCTTTTGGCTTCTCTGGGCCACATTGGAAGAAGAAGAATTGCCTTGGGTCACACATAAACTATACTAAACACTAACGATAGCTGATGAACTAAAAAAAAAAAAAAAAAAAAAGACAAAAACTCAATGTTTTAAGAAAGTTTATAAATTTGTGTTGGGTAGCATTCAAAGCTGTCCTGGGCTGCATGTCGGCTGCGGGCCACAGGTTGGACAAGCTTGCTTTAGGGCACTAGGTTCTTCATAAAAATAAGATCCTTGGTGGCCTGCCTTGACATCCCAGAGTTCCCTGAGAGAGGATGGGAATTAGCTACCCCTTGCTAACTCCATTCATTTTTAATGGCCACCTAAGTAGATTCTACACAATTTTCACAAAATTATGCTAATTCTGAGGCCTACCTATTTTAAATTCAATAAAAATTAACTGTCTATATTTTCACTTCCAAAAACACACACTGAGATGAAAGTCTGGTAAAAATATTTGCAGCAGCTAACAGAATTATTTGGGGAATTATGTAATGCAAAGAAAAAGATCTCTTGAATTAAAAAGTTAAGAAGAGGACGGGTGTGGTGGCTCAGGTCTGTAATCCCAGCACTTTGGGAGGCCAAGGCGGGTGGATCACGAGGTCAAGAGATCAAGACCATCCTGGCCAACACGGTGAAACCCCATCTCTACTAAAAAAAAAAATACAAAAATTAGCTGGGCACGGTGGGGCACGCCTGTAGTCGCAGCTACTTGGAGGCTGACGCAGGACAATTGCTTGAACCCTGGAGGCAGAAGTTGCAGTGAGCCGAGATCATCCCACTGCACTCCAGCCTGGTGACAGAGTGAGACTCCATCTCAAAAAAAAAAAAATATATATATATAGTTAAGAAGAATGGAATGTGTAACTGCCATTTTAAGGCAAGCCTGAACAGATGTGACTCTTGTCATTATACCTGAGCACTTTTGTAAGACAAACAAGTGGATAAATGTTGAAACAGAAGTCAGAGAACAATGATGACTGGTTTTCTCTATCATCATTACACAAGATTCACCGGCAATTACAAATGATCTCTTTGCAAATGAGCAGCTTTCTCTTAAAGAGATCTGGAGCAATTTTTTTTGTTTTTTAAATTTGCTAAAACCTATTCCCTTAGTCACAGATGTGCTATTTAAAAAAAGTATATGTGTTATTGACTATAAAACAATTATAAAAACAAATATGCCAAAAGAGAGAGTAGAGCCATCTTACATTAAAATATATACAAATTCGCCTCTAAAATTGAAACAGAAACAAGGGAAAAGCAAGACAAAGTTGCCCCATACAGTTTGGAGTTTGGGGACAGGCAGTCAATGAGACAAACTGTGTTTTCCAATACCTGAGTTGTAAGCAGGTTCTGACTTTTACTTTATGATATGTAAAATTCGCTTCTTGGAGCTACAGGGTTTTTTTTCTAATTATTAAATAAGCTGCCTCTTTTAGGCAAATAAAGCTAATAACATCAACATGAAGATGCAGGAAAAAGTCATTTGTAGTTTTAGAATCTTTACTGTCAATAATAGTAAAGACTTCAATCTCCTAGTTCTTAAACGAAGCAAAATAAATAAGAATACCTGCCTTATGTTTTACGAAGTTTTGCTTACTTAAAGATAAAGCAATGGCAGTATTTAATTATTGAAGGCAAAAATGACTTTCAGTCAGTCATTTATTCATTGTTCAACAAGCATTTTCTGAATTCCTCTCATGTGTGAATTATCTGAGGCAAAGAGGCTTGAACTGCCTCCCATTCCCCTTCCTTGTGGGATGTCTAAGACATGAACCTGATCAACTACAATATAAAAAAGAGAGGGATATGAATAAAACATTGTTAAGATAATTTAGGGTGGGGGAGAGCTTCTCACTGGGCAGACAAGGGAAGCCTTTCTGGAAGAGGCCACACTTCAGCAGAAAGGACAGTGGATTTGAACAGGCAGAGACAGGAGGGAAGACTCCAGCAGTCAGGGAAGGCAAGGCTGTTGGGAAATGGTAGAGTTTGCCAAGAACCTGGTATAGACAAAGGACAGTGCTTGGAATTAAGTCGGAGGAAAGCTACTGGACTCCAAGCAGGAAGACTTTTAAATACCATGCTGTAGAGTTTTAACTTTATTAAGCGGGCAATGGGCACTCATTAAGGGGTCTTGAGGCAGAGAATGGTTTAAGAGATGTGGTTTCAGAAGATTAATCTGGCAAACGTACATGGAATCTATTAGACGGGAAAAATGGAAGGCAAGGAACCTGGTTGGGAGAACATTACAATGGTCTTAATGTCAGGGACTGAGGACAGCTGTAGGGGTAGGAGGGATGGAAACCACAGGCAGATTCAGAAAATACTGAAGACAAACATTGTTATAACAGGAAGGAAGGGAAAGGGAACATGTATTTATTGAGGACCTACTACATTACTCATAGCACTAAACACGTAGAATGAACACACATCCTGTTTTGCTTGGTGCAGCTTAAGATTTTGTCTTTTTTGGAGGGTCATGGAATAATTATTAACAATAGCCACATTCACTGTCAATATGCTCTGGTTTGGATAATACATTACACAACCAAATTTTAATATACTTTTCTTCTCTTATTTCTCCAAACAATTCTCTGTTTACAAATGAAGAAGCTGAAGATCTGAGAAGTGAGTTGCCTAATGGCACTTGACCAAGAGGTGGCCAACCTGGATTTGAATCCAGACCCACATAGTTCCAAACCCCAGAACCTCCTACTATTCCTGGTTTCCTGCCCTCAACTTAATGGCAGGTCATGGGTGGGAAATGCCCATTAAAGGAAATAGGGATGTTGGGAAGAGGAAAGGGAGGGTAAAAGATGAGGAGTTCCGGTTTGGATGTGTGGTCTTAAGGCGCTGGAAAGACATTGAAGCAGTTGGTGACATTGGCTACAACTCAGGAGCGAAATCACCCTCTAGTTACAGATTTGTGTGCCTTCCAAATCAACAGATGCAGGAGTTGAAACCCTGGGACCGGATGACATCACCAAGCACGAGACTGCAGGACAAAGGTCACAGCTCAGATTCCTGCAGTGGCCAGGCACGTAACACAGAAGAGGCAGGGCAGGCAGGAGACGTTCGGGAGGAGGAGGAGGTCTTATGAGGGCTATCATAATTTCCCCTAAAAATTATTTGCAATTTTAAAATCAACACTACAGCCCTTATGATGGTAGTCTATTTCTTAATTAAAGCTGGTGACTAGACTGATTTCCAGTAATTTAATTTAAAATAAATCACAATTTATTTATAAAAAATAGTTATTCTGTTAAAAAGAAGGCTCATTGATAGAACAGAACATTATAAATTGTAGTTATTCAATTTTTGTCCACCTTTTCATCATAGAGGAACTTCAAGTGAGAGTCTGTTTAAAAAAATGCAATTAAATTTTTATCAAAATTACTAGCTACATTCAAGTACATTAAACCAAATTGCAGTGCATTTTCACTGTCTTAAAAACAGACAAATATAATTCAGACCCTGTTGCCGTAAGCATGAAGTGGGGCTGGGGAGGGAGATGGGAAGAGAGGGACAAAGACTTAGAGGGGACAGCATTTCAAAAAGCAACACCTCCAAATTTCAAATTATTTACATTTGAAAAAAAATTAATTCATTAACAAAAACTTGAGTTACTAGTCTTGTCCTTTTTTCAAACTTCCAATTGCAAGGTAATAAACACCTGTAGCCTTCACAGGCCTAAACCAATGGTTTGCAAACTTTCCTCAGTACCAGGAAACAAGGAAACAAACTTTCCTTGTTTACCTGGAGGACTCGTTACAGCACAGATTGGGAGGCCACATTTTGGAACGTTCTGATTTTGTAGGTCTGGGATGGATTGTGAGAATCTGCATCTCTAACCAGTTGCCAGTAGATGCTGATGCTGCTGGCACAGGGACTACACTTTGAGAATCACTGCTCAGCACACCAGTGGGTCTGCTAGACAGAGGCTGGCTGGCTTCTGCCTTTTTCAGAATTACTGTGGAGCACAAACATCCACCAAGGCTGTTTCTCATGGCACTCTGGAAAATGATTCAATGATACTGCTTCGAACAGAGGTCCAGCTTTTTGCCTCATTGTCTGTGTTCTGAATCCAACCTAGTTTAATATTTTGGAAAATGTTACCCTTTTCTGTACTGAGCAAAGTAAATATTTTGTCAGTTGTTAAGGATGAGCTGCAGAGTAAGACTTAAAGATGTATCCAAATTCAGCAGGAAGGCTTGGAGCTGCTTTGGAACTTTTTCCAGATTGTGATTTGTAATGTATTTCAGAAGCCAGCCGAAATACCAACCACTTGATCTATTAAGAAAAGGCTGAATGAACCTTTTCACAGGAGAATATATTTTTCCACACCAACTCTCTTTACACTTGGCAAAAAAAAAGAGAAAGGGGAGACAAAATGCTTTTCTGTCAATAGGATTTCATATGAGTATTGTCCTTCTATAAAGAAATTGGTAGCAGAGAGTTTTTAAACTGCCAGAAATTTTTAGCAATCCTCTAGTTTGTCAACTGCGAAAACTAAGGCCCAGGGAAGGTCAATGTCATTTGCTAGAAAACCAGACAGTGGCAGAGCTGAAATGAAATTCACAGGCTCTGGACTCTGGGGCCAGCACTTTTCTTATCACGCCACACTACTTCCCTTGCAATAAGAATCAGAACGAATTGACATAAAACAACAACAACAACAAAAAAAAAACCAGATACTACCAATGGTGCATTTCACACTGCCGTTCCCGATAATTCCTAACCCCATTAGTTACTGATGGCTTCACCTACTAGTGAGTGCTATGGGGGAACAGACAGAAGGGAGTCCTGGAGGGTCCTTTCCTGATGTTCCTTACTAACCAAGCATTTCCTGAAGAATCTTCCACTATGGTGCTTTGGGGTCTCTTTAACGTACTACGTGAGCTGAGACTACAGAAACATAATCCTCATTATGGTGAAATTCACATTCTGTCAAGGAAGGTTCACATGAGGTAAGGGATCTCAGAGATCACCAGGTTCATATATCTCATGTATAAATGAGGAATCAAAGCTCTCAGGAGTCGAGGAACTGCTGGGGTGTTCGCAGCCTATTAAAGTGCAGAGCTAAAGCCTGACCCCAGATCTCTTGCCCTGCAGCATGTTGCTATTTCTACCTTATCATCCTGTCGACTGTAGTACAGTGTGTTGATTTAAGCCAGAAAACTGCATGCTCCACTGTGAATCTAGATCCAAAAATACTGATCTGTTCAGCATCAAGAAAGAAATACAGTAATCACAACAGCTAGGATTTCTTGAGTGTTAAGTCTCTCCGAGGCACTGCTGTAAGCACGTTACATGAATTATTGCATTGAATCAGTCATATCACTGAGGAAGATAGAATATCATAAAGTAGGAAATTGAAATTAAGGATGAAATGAAGAAAATGCATGAAATGTATTACAAGAAAAGAGGGCCTATGCTATTTTCCCAGAATATAATATAGCTATTAAATGCAATAATCCAAGTAAAAGATTTAGAACAATTCTTGGCTCACAGTACATACTAAATATTAGCTGCTGTATCATATTTTTCTCTATTTCTTTGTGTGGAACAGAACAGAAAATTTGGACCTAGATAAAAGTTATGAGCCATACAAGATCCCCAGTTGCCACCAGCAAAGACCACAGAGACCACAGTGTAGTTTGGACTAAAATGCTCTCAAAAGCCAAAAGTTGAAGCCAGAGACCACAAAATTGAACAGGTTTGTATTGGGCCTTGGTTTTAAGGAGCTCAGAGGTTTTACCTGGTTCCTCCTGATCAATCCTTATCACATTCAAGTTGGAGGGGGGACTGGATATAGTATGAAAACCTTTTTCGTATGAAGACAGCTTGCATAGACAAAACGAATTACTCAAAGCCAGTGGTGACAACCCAATTTCCTTAATAAGAGTGTGCTTATCTACTAGCTAAGAAAAAGAATATCACTATTAATTAAGATGAAACTACAATAATAATACTCATTAAAGCACCCGTGGCAGGTAAATTGTCTTGTAAATTACCCACCTGGGAATGCTTGACTTACTAGGTATTTGCAAATCGGTTAAACAACAACAACAACAACAACAACAATAAAAACTAGTGATATCCAGACCCCAAGTCCATTCTTAGGCCACGTACTTTCTCTACTTGGCAGCTAGAAGAGATTCACTGTGTTTGTTATAGAGGGATACACTGAGATCAGTGGGTGAAAGATGCATAGTGGTAGATTTTAGCTCAAGATAAGAAAGAACTTTTAAAAAATTAGAGGTAACCAGTAATAAATGTGCTGCCAGCTGAGGTGGTGTGTGCTCTGCATGTGATCAAGGAGAGGCCCAATAAACACTCGAAGTGTAAGCAGTTATTGGTATCACAATTTTCATTGTCATTGTAATCATTATCTTATTAGCATCCTCTCAGGTAGATGTAAACATTGATGACAGTTGAAAATGGTTCCACTTAGAGAGGCCAAATAGCAGAGTCAAGATTTGCTCTTAGGTCAAACTTGAGTTTGAATCTAGAATCAGTTGCTTACCCGTGATGAAGCTTCAGAGTTGGCAATTAAACCACTCTGAGTCTCGGTTTCTGCATCTGTATGATAGAGATTATAATATCAACGTCTCGTGTTCATTCTTTCATTCACAAGTTACTCACAAAGCATCTACTCTGGACCAGGCACTTTTCTGGATGCTGGGGGAGGGACAAGACAGATAAGATCTCTCTTCTCTATGGGTTCACATTTCAGTGCGTGTAGAGGGATTCAAGTAAACATAAATATAACAAACTGACTAAATACATATGTACATAGTAATAAATGTTATGAATTCAATAAAACAGGACGTCCAGGGTATCTTTAGTTAGGATGGTCAAAGAAGACTTCTCTCAGAAGGTGACATACAAGCTGGAACCTGAAATAAGAGAAGGGGCCAGCTTTGACAAGCTCCAGCAGAGGAAGCAGCAAAGGTCCTGTGACCTGCCCCCTGCCCCCTGCCCCCTAAGCTAGATTGGTGTGTCTCAAGTGGGTTGGCATGAGCAGCTCAAGATGAGGTTGGTGGTGAGAATTCGAGGTAAGGTGGGAGGATCTGCAGCACAGTTCACAGGACAAAGGAAGCATCTGGCAAAAAGAACAGTTGGGTCATTATTCACATTCTGAAAACGCCATGACATAGCAATGCCGTTGTGTAGTGAAGGCAGACAGAGGTCATGGCTTCCCTGTCTGGTGACACCCCAAAATGCCCAGGCCTGGGCACAGGGACAAGTTTTCCATGCTACTCTGCTAATCTAACCTACTCAATCTAAAAGCATAATCTATATTTTAACCATGGGAGAGTAGAGAATTTTAGAACAGGAAAAAAACTGGGCCTGTTCATGTATCAACAATCATGATAATGAATAATCTGAGGCTTTCTTGAAGCCCTGAGTAGTGGAAGAGAGAGTTAAGAGGGTGGGATTCTAGGCCACTGGCCCTTATTCCAATCAGAGGAGTTCTACAGGCATCTGTTCTTTTGTTATATTTTTCATTTGAAAACTGAGTTGCGTTGCTAAAAACAACTCCAAGGCTTGAAAATCACCAATTGACTCCAGTTTTGTTTTGTTTTGTTTTGTTTTGTTTTTAGAGATAGGAGCTCAATCTGTCACCCGGGCAAGAGTGCAGTGGCACAATCATAGATCACGGCAGCCTCGACCTCTTAGGCTCAAGTGATCCTCCCACCTCAGCCTCCCAAGTAGCTGGGACCACAGGCATGCACCACCACACCTGGCCTGACTGCAGTTTTATAGATAAGGAACCTGAGCCTCAAACTGAGCCTGAAGGTCATTAGCTAATTAGCAGCAACCTGGGGCTAGGGTCCATCTCTTGACTTCTGATTTAATGTTTCCCATCTGCTTTATTACATTAGAACACTTATTCTGATCTTTACAGATATGGCATTTGCTACTCTTCAGCTCTATGTCAACCAGTATGTGTTCCCTTTCATATAAGTGTGTATCTGAGTTCTGATGCTCTAATGAGTTCTGCTATTTTGGAAAGTAACTCTTCTATTTAATTAATTTTGAACAACGAATACAGGACCAGTTTTCAGTATATTTTCAGTTCACAGAGGTTTCCTCAGAACCAAAAGATGTTTCAGCCAGGGTCTAGGAGTGAGGTTTGAGAGAAGAGGATTAAAGCAACAATTTCTGAAAGGATTATAAAAATGTTGAATTGCTCTGCGTTACCTGAGGGAAAACTAAAGCTGAAAATTGGTTAAAGAGAAAACTATGGAATCAGGGGTCAGAAAGTAGCAGAGGTTCAGGAAGATAATAAAAGACACAATTTTCAAAATGTTGAGAATGAATGAAGCGTCCTTCATTTTTACCTTTTTGCCAAGGGCTTCCTTTGTGCTGTGACGCCCATTTTTAAGAATCGCCATCTTGTATCATAAGAATGGTTTATGTTCTATCTACACTCAAGTTTTTGTGGTGGAGGATACCACCCGGATACTTTAAACCATTAGAAGCTGGTTTAGTGGAAGCAAGAAATCTAAAGATTTGTAAAGGGATATGTCAAACCCTTGCTTCAGGGACAGCAAGTTGGGCTGGAGATTTGGCTTAAATAGCAACGAATTTCCTATTTGGAAAAGAACAGTAACGATGGGAAACATATGATATTTTATTCTATTTTTGACCATGGAAAGCGATCCTGGCATGTAGGGAAAGGTATCTAAAGTGTTTCCCAGATTAGCTGACAGTAGTGGGTAAGATGCCTTCCTTTGGTTAATTAATGCTGGCAGCTAGGGCAGGTGACCCAAGCATTTTCACAACGTTGGAAATTTTCAGAGTTCAAGGTTTTGGAAGAAGTTAAACAGGATTCTCTTCAAACGAGAGTAAAGATGTTCCCCAAATATCCCACAACTAAATAAAAGAACAAACCCCAAGTGAGGACAATATTAACAGTCAGTATAAGTTAATATCTTCATTCTTTATGGAGTTCATTTAGGTTGCAAAAGACAAGTAAGTGAATTCGCAAATGAGACGATGCAATTAGCAACACGCAAATGAGAAAACATTCACGCTAAAATAACAATGAGCTGTTGTACTTCCTTCTATTGCATGAGTGCTGACAGGGTTATAGGGAAACTGGTGATCTCAAGCATGGCATGGGGCATTGTAAATCAATATAGCCCTTCTGGAAAGTAGGTTGGTAATACATATTGAGCCATAAACATTATCCTACCACGTGATCAGTAATCCCACCCTTGAGAATTTATCCTAAGTAATCAAAACTATGTGGAAAGTGGTCGGGTGTGGTGGCTTACGCCTGTAATCCCCGCACTTTGGGAGGCCAAGGTGGGCAGATCACTTGAGATGAGAAGTTCCAGATGAGCCTGGCCAACATGGTGAGACCCTGTCTCTACTAAAAATACAAAACTTAGCCAGGTGTGGTGGCAGGTGCCTGTAATCCCAGCTACCTGGGAGGCTAAGGGAAGAGAATTGATTGGACCTGGGAGGTGGAGGCTGCAGGGAGCAGAGATCACACCACTCCACTCCAGCCTGGGCGACAGAGCGAGACTCTGTCTCAAAAAAAAATGTGGAAAGATATAACCATAAAGACGTTTGTTAAATAATGTTTAAAAGAATACATATTTAGAATAGGTGAGAAATTTCAATTCAATTCAACAAATGATAATTGAATATCTTACCATGAGTGGGGTGTACTAAGGCAGACTTCCATCCCTCAATAATTTATAATCACAATTTAATGACTGTACTCTTTGGAATATTATGCAACCATCATATCAATCCAAGTTTTTGATTGTAGGCTATAGAAACTGACCCTGAACATCATTAACACAACAACAAAAAAACACAGTGATTGGAAGGTGACTGGGGCTCACAAAATTAAATGGAGTCTGAAGGATCAGGCTGGTAAAATGCCAGCAACAAGAGCTCTAGAAGTTTGGTTGTTGGAACACCAACAAGCTGGTTCTATTCTATGTTAGAAATAAATTATGAAAAATTAATGAAAAGTATAAAAACTTCTCAATTGAATATGTCAAGTATTGTGTAATGAAGAATACTACTGTTGACTTTCTAACAGTGGTTTTGCTGCTAACTAGTCATAGAACCCTGTGTGACTTATTTTACATTTCCCAGCCTTAATATTACAGCCATGTGTAAAATGAAGAACCAGATTAGAGATTATTTAAATGATGGTGCCCTAATAGCTTCCTTGTCACTTGAGTCTATATCAAGAGAGGCAACCTGTTTGAGATTCCTCCTCTCCCCTCACTGTCCTCACGCAGCTGGGGAAGACACTGTAGGGAAGCGTAGACCACTTCAGTTAAAACCTGGACGCAGCCACATAATCTCTCTCAATACAAAGTTCCAGCTATGTACTAACCATCAGTTGGAGTTTGCATGGAAGGAGAAATCAATTTGCCATTCCTGATCTGTACTATGTTGTTCTGCATTCACAGGATAAGTTAAACCAGAAAAGCCAAGACATCCTAGCAGCAACAAGTAAAGTCTCTGCTGAAAAGAATCTCCAAGAGTAGCTCTTGTCCTGCTGCTAAACATCAATTCAGCTTGTACAATCTCCCTGGTAACAGAGTACAGTAAGCTATCATCCAGGCAGCCTGAAAGTTTTGTCATATAATTCAAACACATTTTAGGAGTTCTCAGCATGGTGTTCTTCATTCAGTTCCTACAGGCCTTGCCTTTTGTCCTCCATCCTCCCTGTCCATATACCTGATGACTGTCCCATTTATATTCTGCTGGAATCCTCCAAACTGAACATAATGGAACTGAGAAACTTAGAAAAGCCCTCGATCATCCGGTCTTAATAATCAAGAGTCTGGAAACAGAAATGTCAGAACTTTGTATAATAAAATAAGGATCAATTAAGGGAGAAAGGGTCTACTGAAGGAAACCCTTTTTAAAATGAAACAAGAGTCTTGACAGTTTCTCTCCTTCAAATCAAAAGTTTCATCTCACCAATAAGATGTGTTCATTAGGGTGAGATTTAGCTATATATATCACAAGGACTCAAAATCACAGTGCCTCAGAGCAGGGATCAGTAGGCTACAGTCTATGAATCAAATCCAGCCAGCCACCTGTTTTTGTAATTAAAATTTTATTCTAACATAGTCACTCATTCGTTTATGTATTGTCTGTGGCTGCTTTTGAATTATGACAGCAGAGCTGAGGAGTTGTGTCTGAGACTGTATGGACTAAAAAGCCTAAAATGTTTATTTTCTGGCCTTTTACAAAAAAAGGTTTACTAACCACTGCCTTAGAGTGTTCATTCATTACTCTCTTATGTAAAGAAGTCTAGAGGCTGGGACTACAGGATTAATAGTGCCATCAGAGAACCAACCCATTGCATCTTTTTGCTTTGATATCCTAGCACATGGGTGCTAGGATCTTCTAGGTCATCTCATGGTCCAAAGTGCTGCTGGGACTCAGCAGCCATATCTAAATATCTCAAATCCAGGCCCGAAGAAAGAGAAAAAGTAGACACTGGTGAAGGAGGGCTCCTCCTTGATGAGTCAGCTCTCGTTAAACAGTCCTCTTGATAGTTCCACAAAACACTTCCACTTCTATTTTATTTGCCAGAACTTAGTGGTTTGCAATATCTATCTGCAAGGTGCACTGGAAAATACTGTTTTTTGTTTGTGTGTTTTATTGTTGGTGGCCACATACCCAGATAAAAATAAGAGTCTATTGTTCTGGAGAAAGGAGAAAGTGGATGCTGAGTTAGGCTAGCACCAGTCTTTGCCAAAAAACACTATTATTTAGTGACCTCATGAGTATCAGGATTCACAGCTCATCCATACCTTTTTCCACTTTTGGGGTGGAAATGTTTAAAGAATGAAGAATTTGCATTCTGACATCATAAATACTATTTATTTTATCTTATGTTTAATCAGTTGGTGTGCATATTAGCCAATTATGAATCAGTCAGTGATTGATCAATTCATTAATTCAACAAGACCTACGGAGCACCTACAATGTTCCAGGCTGAGAGTGAAGCAAAGGGATATGAAGTGCAATGAACCCAATCTCTGCCCCCAAGAAGTCCCAGGTCAATGAAGGAGAAAGACAAGTAAATGGACAATGGCCATTGAGGGTGGGAAATTTCCCACACCACGGTATATTTGTACACCATGGAAAGCACATAGGAAAGGCTTACAATTTGAGGTGCATGCTGAAGAACCAGTTGGGATGAGTTTGTAGGGAGAAACAGGAGCACAGCTATTCCAATATGAGGGAGCAGCAGGTGCCAAGACATGGAGGGGAAAGGGAGAGAACAGGCATGGAGAGGCTGGTGAAGCATAGGTGTGCAGGGGGAGGAAGGTGAGTAAAAATCACACCCAGAACAGAAGGGACCATGGCACCAAGATGTTGGGTTTCATCCAGACAGTGATGAGTAGGCACTGAAGAGTTCCCTGAGAAGTGATAGGACTAATCTGTGTTTCATAAGGATCAAATTCTGGCCACAATGAGGAGGATTTGGATGGCATGGGAAGGCAGGAAGACAAGGGAGAAAACCTCTATTTACCCCATCACATATTCTGCAATGGTGCTTAGGTTAAAGTATGACCTTGTATTGTTGCACAAGAAGATCCACTCACCCAACAGCTAATTAGCAAAGAGGCCTAATAATAATAACCTAGATTTCATTTAATCCTCATAGCCATCCTGGGAAGCTCCATCTTACAGAAGAGGTAACTGAGGTTCAGAAAGGTTAAATGACTTGTGTAAAATGTCACAGTGAGTGAATGACAGAGTGGGACTTGCATTAAGGTTTTCTGATCTCAAGTCCAGTTCTCTTTCTGCTGCACGTTGAGAGCAATGAGCATTCCAGACTCGACTGGTCACCCTAAATTCAGTCCAGGCAGGACTATCTGCATGTTTTGGCAGTAACATATCTTGATGGCATTAAATGTAGGAAAACACGGAGGCATTTCCCTTCTGTTACTTTATGAGGCAAGTTATCAAGAGTATTTTACTAGGCTTTGGCAAAGTCTCTTAATAGGAAAAATCAAGCATATGTTTTATTATACTTTTGTTCAGTGTTGTGGCAATTATTCAGAAACTCATGAAAGATCTGTTTCTCTAGCATTCCAGCTTTCTATTTGATTATAGTCCATCTTGCATTATTTATATGGAGAGCCATAAGAATTATCAAAATAGACATATTAAAGTCTCAAGTGAACTATATTTAATAAATTTTAATTTTTTAACTTGTTCTCATAGATTGTTGTCTTCTCAGAAAGAACTTCCCAGGCCAGGCATAGTGGCTCACCCCTGTAATCCCAGCACTTTGGGAGCCTGAGGCAGGTGGGTCACCTGAGGTCAGGAGTTTGGGACCAGCCTGGACAACAAGGTGAAACCCTGTCTCTACTAAAAATGTAAAAATTAGTCAGGCGTGGTGGTGGGTGCCTGTAATCTCAGCTACTTGGGAGGCTGAGGGAGGACGATCGCTTGAACCCAGGAGGCAGAGGTTGCAGTGAGCTGAGATTGTGCCACTGCACTCCAGCCTGGGTGACAGAGCAAGACTCCATCTCAAAAAAAAAAAAAAAAAAAAAAAAAAGAAGAAAGAAAAAGAAAGAACTTTCCAGACACTTGTGCACTTGTGCTCCTCTCCCAACCTTCATGTTTGAGTTAGATGCTGCCCCTCATTTATTATACTATCCAATGTGCAGTCAAAGCACTTAGAAACCTGCTTCATGATTGTCAGCTTCCTTGCCTGTTTCTCACTTCAACGATGGTAAGATCCTTGAAGTCAGCAACAGGATATTTATTTATCTTTATATATCCAGCATCTGGCACAGTGATTGCCATTTAATAGCTAACAATAATTATTTGTAGATTAATAAAATGAAGCAACAATGTAACTAAACACATACAATTATATTTTAAATGATACTGCATCAAAATCCTTAGCACATTAAAACGATTTCCACTTTCTCTGTAATTTTACTGCCAAAAAGAAAACACAAGCGCTAAGAACAACTTCAGAGTATTCAAGGGGCTATTTAGGGGTCCATTTTGATATTTGTTAAGATTGAGGATCACAATGCTTTTTCAGAAGTTGATCCAGAGATGTCTGCATTGTGGTTCCATTTTTTTCTCCCTCTGTCATATCTCTCACAATAAGCACAGGCTTTGCAGATTAACTCTGCCTTGGTTTAAAATCAGAAATCTTATGTTGCTGTCTTAGAAGACGAGATGTTATGCTGGGCATATATGCCTTTCAAATTCACTCTGCTTTCTGTTTGTCAGCCCACCATGCTGCTACTTGATAGGAGGAAAAGGCTCCTATGTTTTGGTCTGAATAGGAGCCAAATTCAAGGGACTCACTGCCCACAGACACACACACTCGAAGCTCTTCTACACTCATACGTTTTACCTCTCTCCTGAAGAGTGTGGCACCCTGAGGCACCGAGTTTTCATTTTATGATTCAGTTTGAAGGCCTGAATGAAGTGCTACTATAAATTAATGAGACATTTTCACCAACAGGAATTCCTATTCAGGAATTCATGGTCTGGTCAGTCACTTGCTTAAAACGTGTCTGGAAGTCATTGCCTTAGACCCTGTTCTAAGAGTGAGGTAGAAAACCCCAAACAAATCTTGTACTACCACAGGTGATGCAGAGGGAGCTTGAAGTCCTGATTAATTTCCTCACATTGTGTGCTCCTTCCCATCCTGCAGGGAGGCTGGGGTAAAGAAGGGTTGGCTGATTTCAGAAAATGCTATCTGCTGAGCTTTAAAGACTGTCTATATAGTGTAGTTGTGGGTTTTTGAGAAGGTGGAGAGAAGAATGGGCTCGAAGCATGAGGCAATTAAAACTGGTCTTCAAGAATAGGTGGAATTTGAATTGTTGGTGGGTTGCAAGCATTTTTCAACCTAGGGCAATTTTGCTCTCTGGGGGACATTCAGCAATGTCTTGAGACATTTTTGCCTGTCACAAATTGTAGAAAGAGGGGTTGTTACTGGTAAGAAGAGGCCAGGGATGTTGCTAAACATTCTACAATGCACAGAACAGCCCCCAGGCCCCACCCAACAAGAATTATCCGGTCCCAAATAGTCAATAATGCTGAGGCTGAGAAACCCTGGGTTACACAAAGGACATTCAGAACAAGTAGGATACCACAGGAAAGGAAAAATTTAGAAATAAACTTACGTTGGAATTTTTTTTTTTTTTTGAGACAGGGTCTCGCTCTGTTGCCCACACAGGAGTGCAGTGGTGTGATCTCAGCGCACTGCAACCTCCACATCCTGGGTTCAAGCAATTCCCCTGCCTCAGCCTCCCGAATAACTGGGCTTACAAGCGTGTGCCACCACATCCAGCTAATTTTTGCATTTTTAGTAGAGACAGGATTTCACCATCTTGGCCAGACTGGTCTCGAACTCCTGACCTCGAGTGATCCATCCGTCTCAGCCTCCCAAAGTGCTGGGATTACAGGCATGAGCCACCACACCTGGCCAATTGTTGGAACTTTTAAAAATTGTTTAGACTCCTTCTCATCAATCTCCACTTAACCTAATGTTCACATATGAAGGACTTATGGGATATTTTCACATTAAATATTCATTTGCTCTTGGTACAGAGTATAAACTAGGAAATTTGCAATGTGGTGGGGCTCTGTGGTTCCTGCAAATGGGTTAGCCCACACTAGAATTCACTCTCAGGATCCTGTGGTCCATGTCTCCTTCATAGCACCAGCCGCAATACACATCAATGCAATTCTTATTTATTATATGCCTCCTCTACTAGAATATAAATCTCCCACAGCAAACGACTGGATCTGGTGTGCTTCTGGTTTATCTCAGAGCCCACCAGTGTCTGGTGGTGGAAGAGCAGCTAAGAGAGTAAACTCTTGAGTCAAACTGCCTGGGTTTCAATCCATACTTCACCACTCACTCACTCTGTCACCTTAGGTAAGTCACTTAGCTTTAACAAAGGCTCAGTTTCCCCATCAATATAGAGAGGGATATCTGGTGCCTACCTCACAGATAAAACTAAATAAGTTAATATGTGCAAAATGCTTACTAAATTTTGTTGATGAGGGAAGCATCCAAAAGCAAGCAAAGATAGGGTTAAAAATCTGTCTGCCCCCTAAAAAATTAGGAGGAAAAAACTTCATAAAACACATTGGCTTCTACCTTTTTGGTGTTCAAAAAATTTAAGACTTTTCTTCTTTGTGATCTATGTGGAAGGCTGTATGTTAATATTTTTAGTCAAAAGGCCTTGAAAGTCATAGCAGAAGACACAATTTTGCCATATTGATTTGACTTAATAAATGTTCCACCCAGTTTCTCTGCCATGTTGGTTTCTCTCTACGTATTTTCTCTAGGTTAATTTCATTTTTTATTGTCTCCTGACAAAAACTGATTTACGGCACTTTAGTAAGTCTACCTAAGAAAGGAACTGAGTATTCTGTGGTTGACCCCACTAGTCTCCTTCCTGTATACAAGCAGCCTTTCTACAATGTTACCTTCTTCAGCATCACAGGGCTCTTTCAAGTACACAGAGGGTTTACACTTTGTTTTCTAATTCAAATTTTCTGAAACTTTACTGTGTTCTGTACATCTACTACTCCTTCAGGTTCCTGACCTCTTGCTACTTTTCATCTTTCCTTTGCTATTTCCTATGTTTCTACCTTGTGGAAGCTCTGGGGAGAGAATCATGATTTCTGGTCATTCCCTTAGGTATACAATTATTCACTTGACACTCAAGAAGCATTTACTAAGACCAGTGTATTAGTCCATTCTCATGCTGCTAATAAAGACATACTCAAGACTGGGTAACTTATAAAGGAAAAAGGTTTGACTCATAATTCAGCATGGCTGGGTTGGCCTAAATAAACTTACAATCATGGCAGAAGTGGAAGCAAACATGTCCTTCTTCACATGGTGGCAGGAGGAGAAGAATGAGCAGAAGGGGGAAAAGCCCCTTATAAACTCGTCAGATCTCAAAAGAACTCACTCACTATCACAAGAACAGCATGAGGGTAACTGCCCCCATGATTAAATTACCTCCCACCAGGTCCCTCCCATGACACGTGGGGATTATGGGAACTACAATTCAAGGTGAGATTTGGGTGGGGACACAGCCAAACTGTATCAACTAGTGTATTTGACGCTCTGCTCCTGGCTTGTGGGATACAGCAGTGAACACGACAGGCAAGGAAGGCCTTGCCCTCCTAGAAGAGACGTTCTTGAGTGTGAAGGGAGATGGTAAGAAATAAGCAAGCTAATGAACAAGGCAATTTCTGACATTCTTACAAAAGAAATCAACAGTATGATTGTACTAGTTTTCTATGGCTGCTATTACCAATTACCATGAACTTGGGGGCCTACAACAATACATATTTATTATCTCACAATTCCAAGGTCAGGAGTCTGACATGGGTCTCACTGGGCTAAAACAAGGGAGCCGTCAGGGCTCTGCTCCTTCTGGAAGCTCTAAGGGAGAATCCATTTTCTTGCACTTCCCAGATCTAGAGTGGGTCCACATTCCTTGGTTCATTGCCCCCTCCTCCATCTTCAGAACCAGCAATGGCCAGTGAAGTTTTTTTTACATCATATTACTCTGACATTGACTCTTCTGCCTCCCTTTTACACATTTAAAGGACCCTCGTGATTACAATAGGCCCCCTGAGATAATCCAGGATAATCTCCTTATCTTAAAGTTAGCTCATTAGCAATTTGCATCTCATCTACAACCTTAATTCCCCTTTGCCATGTAACATAACGTATTCACAAGTTCCGGGGATTAGGACTCCTTTGGGGGACATGAGTCTGCCTACCACAATGATATAATGGGTGACCATGATTTTAGTATCCTGTTCAATACCTATATAGAATAGATGTTTGGTAAATTCAGTACGTGGTAAATGGATCACAACGATATACATTTGCTTCTTGTTAAAGGATCAGAGCAAGGGCTGTGTTTTCTTTATTGCAGGAACTGCAGGGGTGAGGTGGCTTCAGCCAACCTTCTAGGTTAACTAACAGTTTTCCCAGTGCAGAGAGACACTCAGGGGTCCCTGCTAGTAATACATCAGGCTCCAGAGGCAAAACCCCTCAGCCTTTCTCCTGCTTGTCCTCTATGTCTAGATGCTGCCATTTGGCTACTGCAGGACCCAGGGTGGTGATCTTTCTTCATCTCCTCTCAGCAATCGCTTCTCTCTGCAGCTTCCCTGAGCACTCCACCACCTTCATTTCTGTCGGCTGTGGCAATTTTCCTGAATTATAAATGGAGATTTTTTTTAAGGATCCTAGGAGATCATTTTCCAGATAAGGAAAGTGAATTTTAGAATAGCTGGGGGGAAAATATCTAAAATGGTTTAGAAAGGCTTTTGATGGATGAAGTGTGAGATTAGACAGTTTTATGGGGTTGCTTTTATGCAGTATGAATATGGTAAGTTTAATTTTTAATTTCTGCAGCGTTGCTTGATTTTATGATGCCACTATTTTGCTGGATGTATCTGACAAATGCTATTCTTCCTCCTCACTAAATTACAGCCTTCCATTCCTTAAAATGTCTCATAAGAATTGAGCCTTGACAGTCTAACAAGACCTAGCATCACTGACCCTTCCTGCCCCTGATTATATAACAGAGTTGGCTGCATATGTGTCACTTTCCTTCTTTTATTTGTATGTATTTATTTTATTCTGAATTCATGGCTGTGTTCTCCATGCAAATGTAAGCTCTCAGCAGGAAGGGAGAAAGTGGCCCATGGCTCTTATTTTGCTTGTACTTCTACCCAATGGCTACAGAGTTCTGTGGCCACAAGTTGCTAAGTTAGATTATTTAATAAAGAGTGTTGCTTGAAAATACTATAGAAAGATAATTTTATTTCCTATTTACCTTTTACCCGTGCAATAGGACATGGGCAGTGTTCATCAGAAAGATTTCAGAATTCATTTTTGTCAGAGAAAATTAGTAACACCAAGGCACACTGGAACATTCAAGGAGGCCAGTCTTACTCACATGAAGCAAAAGCCTCTACAGTGCATTCCTTAGCACGCTTTAGATGGCATTCTGGTCTCATTTCATACTGAGTTACAGCCAATTAGAAATTACCCTTTATCTCTTTTCATCTCTTCATAGAATGGCCACTAAAATCTCTCACCTAGAAGATGGTAAAGCAACTCTGAAATATCCTAAATTAAAGACATGACTCTACTGACTGAAATTCTGAGGGCAACAAACCTTTTAGGCAAAATGAATTATGTCTGTCAATGTTATGTTTTATGCTTGGCAAAATGTACTGTGAAAAAAACCCAACAATTTATTTTCTTCATTTCCTTTCTAATTTTTCCTGAAATCTACCCTAAGGACCAGCACAAACTCATTGATTTTATATTCTACTACCATTTGGATTCTGAGATCAGGGAAGAACTCACCTTCTATGACCAAGAATGTGAGTTGCCTGAGTTTTCATTCTGCTATGGAAGCCCAAAGAACTAGTTCCACCTTGCTCCTGGATATGAGGATATAGCTGATGACACTGTATTTATGACACAAATGGGAAGGAGTAGGGGTGTGTGTGTGTGTGTGTGTGTGTGTATTGTAATGGTTACGGGAAATCTAAATTGAAAGTTTGCTGCATGTAGCTATAATGTTCACTTAGATAATTGCTTTCTGTAAACACAGTTTCTTACAAAGTCTTAGCTTGCTGCTATGGAAGCAATGACATTAACAGAAATAACAGTGGTGCCACAAATCTTCAGGGATTTTTTTTTAATGGAAAGGAAAATTCTAAAACTAAAAATATACTTTTTATTTGCAACTATGGGAATACAAACACCAGAAAAACACAAGAGGACTGTATAGTTGGGACATGGAAGGTATTCTATCTGGTGGTTTTAGCAAGACACTCATGGAATGGAATCTAAGTCTTAAGTCATTGCAACTGGGGCAAAGGAGGGGAAAAGAACTGCATTCACAAAAAGAAGATATCTGGAGGGTGTGATACAACTCCCCTCACTTGTTCCTCAACATGCTCCATGTACCACTCTTATAGATACAGGGACAGCACCTTAATATCTCTTGAATTTATATTACTTATGACATCTTAATTGGCATTTACTTTGCAGGGCCCATTAAAAAATGTCCAGATCTAAAGGCACTGAAATATAAGAGAAATGCCTTCTATTTTATCTCCACTCTAAACATCAACACTAGTTGGACTTCTGAAGGCATATTATTATAATCACTGGCCTAGCTCATTTAAGTTGGCCTCCATCAGCCCTATTACCAAAGACCATGAAATGGGTTTCTGCATGCTTGAACTTAATGATCTCATAATTATTGCCGTAAATTATTGATATAAAAATGCTGACTCATAAAATTTGGTTACAGAAAAACTTTCTTTAAATTAAAGACCTCTATGCTTTTTTGTTTTGTTTTTGTATCTTTTTACTTTCTTTCTGATCTCACAAGTTGTAGAGGGTTAAAAGAACTATTACTTTCTGTACTTTAAATCCACTGTAAGGCTATGGTAGACATATGCCAAAAAAGCAAAGATCTGCCTCTGCTTCTCTTATCAAATGGATATTTGAAAATACTACCACCAACCTCTGAAATCTGAAAATGAGTGGAGTTGGATTTGTCTTTCTGTTAGCAGGCTGGCAGTGGCACCTATATTTACAAAGGTGAGTATATTATACCAATGATATTTTTATTCACTTAAATTTTACATCAGTTAATTGATTTAGAAAAATATTATTCCAGATTTTTGTGATAGAGAAAATGTAATGGTTAAAGATTAAGAACTACCTTGAGAAGGAAAAAAGTAGTTGTTACTTAAAATAGATCCAGAATGACTCCATGCCAGAATTACATCAACACTGCATTGTGGAAAGTTGCCTGCCAGCTATTACAATGGACAGTGACGGATTCAATTTTAATTTCTGCAGTTTATGCCATGTCACACATGTGGTTGTGTCAGCCTTCGCTGACCTTTTGGATCTGACAGTGTGTCTATACAAGCACTGGAGCAAGTGGAAACTTAATAAGAAAAAGAGAAGTCATGGATCAACACAGTCATAATACCTTGGTCATTTAAAAACACAGATTCAACAAATGAATAGATATATAGATGATCTTTAATGATTTGGAGGGAAATGAAATAATATAACAATTACACGGTATTTCCATTGGCAAGGCCATCAAAAGTTGATTCCTCAAGCACTTCTGCTATCCATAAATTCTCACGGTTGATACTTTTCTTTGCCCTGCAATCTGTATTTTATTAAAAGCTTTTGTTTGGGGAATTCTTTGCTGCTGGCTGAAAGACCTCATGAATGCCCTAGAGTGTTGTAATAGCACATTAATGCAATATTACATTAATCAATAGCACCACAGACATATACAATTTTAAAAACAAAACAACTGCAAAATCCACATCTGTGTTGTATGGGCAAGTGTGATGCTGACTTGGCAAAATGTCATATTCCAAATTCAGCTATCCTGAAACAAATCCAATTTGTGTACTTTACATCAACAACAGAAAACACTGACTGAGCAAAGGTAATGTATTTATGGATCCATCATTTATCACCAGAATATATAATGTGAAAAGAATGAGACATGAAGCCAAAGAGAAACATTCCTTTAAAATGAATTAGAAGCTTCTAAAGATACTTATCAAAAGGATTCATACAGGAAAAACTGTATAAATTAACCCAATCAAACAGCTCTGTGGATACAACAGGAGCCAAGCCATGGTCACTGCAGCTTTGAATACCTGCCAGACTGTCACCCTCATACAGCTCTGTTTTTCCTCCAGAAGGGGATTGGAAGAGATTATCTGGATAATTTGTAGAAAGCAGATTTCATGTTTTGCTACTCCAGCCTTAGTTCATGGCTGGTGTGCTCCATCCCTTAAAAGCACGAACTGGGAATAAGGCACATAGATGGACATATTTTCCAGGGAAGCCAATTTACCTGCCCCACTGCCCTGGACTACACCAGAGTTTGGTGTGCTACATGTGTTTGGTACACAAAGAGCATTGAACAAGTCAGCCAAAAATCTTGCAGACAGTGTCTTCAGACAGAAGTCTGTGGAAGACATGTCTGGTAAAATCAGTGACAACAAAATTATCAGAATGAGGAAACAACCCCGAGGTAAAAGACATGGATGGTGGGTAGCATAATTTTTATTTTGCGAAACTCCTCTTCTACTAGATAGGCTTGGATTACTTAACTGTAGAAATGACTCCTTCTCCTTTCCCTCATCTTCATCTCAAAATTTCTGTTTCCACCTTCTGGAACTCCTTTTCTTTGTCCTTATCTCTGAGGTGGACATGTCCCTCCCCCATTCTAAAGATAATCACTCTACCTTTGCTCTCAATTTGGACTCCGCACATTGTTCAGGACCTCGTTCTATCAATTGTCTGTATGGGTGATGAAAGATGGCTATACATTCTTTGCTACTCCTTCCACTGAGAGGTGCATCTAGTTCTTATGCTTGAATCTGAGCTGGCCTTAGGGACTTGACTGATGACCAATAAGAAGCAGCAGAAGTGATGCTCTGGCCTTCTGAGGCTAGGGCTTATGAAGCCTGGTAGTTTCACCTGGAATACTGCTCTGGGAACTATAAGCTGCCAATAAAAAGTCAGACTACCCTAAGAGGCTGGTGGAATTCACCTCCTGGAGTACTGCTCTGGGAACTACAAGCTGCCAAAAAAAGTCAGAGTACCCTAAGAGGCTGTGGAGGCCACATGTAGGCACTCTGGTCAACAGTTCTAGCTGAGCACAGACTTCCAGCCATTCCCACCAAGGGCACAAGACAATGTCAGCCAAAGACCACAGAGTCACCTCTGTCATCCACATGTGGAACAGAAGAATCATCCTGCTGAGCATTGCCTCAATTCCAGACCAACACAATCCTAAGCTATAACAAAGTGATTATTGTTTAAAGCCAGTAAGTTTTGAGGAAGTACATTATACAACAGTGGATACTGGAACAGGGCCCTCTCTAACCTTTAGTTTTGCATTTTTAAACTAATTCCCTTCCTTCTTCTATCTACAAATCTGCTCAATTTTTCCCAGTGTTAAAATTTTCCCTCAGTCCCACCATGTTATACAATAAAACTCTGCTTCCCTCAGTGGTAGCCATCTCTAAAAGAGTACTTTATACCTACTGTTTTTATTTTCTCACTTCCCACTCTGCAAACACAAGGCAATTTGGTTTTCACAACCTCCATTCTAAAGTGGCAGAATTTCAAAATTGGAAGAGACGTAAAAGGCTAAAATCATCCAGCCATGTCTTCTGTCGAATTCTTCTTCATAAGGTCCCTTCTTTGTTGTAGGTGTCTCATCCATGATACAGCATCTCAAGGGATATGGCTCATGGATCCAACCAAGGATATTCATTTTATCTCTGGATATCTGAGACTGTGAGAAACTCTCTCTGATTCTATACAGAATTCTGTTTTTAAAGCTTCCATCCATTGGTCCTAGTTTTCTTGCTCCTAAGTACATAGAGAAGCCTAATCTCCCCAGTTTAGAGGGCACAGTCTAGGTAAGACATAGATTAGGCACTGGTAGTAGAGATGGAGAGAGGTGAATATATCTTCAACTTCTTCCAGTCTAAAACATTTTACTGAAATTTACATGCATCTTGAAATTAATGTGGAAAGTCAAAAGGTGAATTTTGTAATCACCCTTTATCTTTCTTGAATGTAATTTAACTTAAGGTCTCGAGCCACTATTCCATCTGGCTGTGGGAAACATGGAGATAGTAGAGTATAGAACAGTACAAAACAGTGTGGAGGTTTAGAGAATGGACTGTGAAGTCAGACTGCCTGGACTAGAATCCTGGCCACAGGACTGTCTAGCTATGTGACCTTCAGTAATTCAGCTGCTGAAACTACAGCCATTTCCAAGAGATTAAATCTTGTTCAGTTATTTTGCAGTCATATTCAGAATTTAAACATGATCAAATTAGAGTTCTAACTTTCCTTATCTTTTCCTGGGATAGTAATTCTAAGAAGGCCCATATGTATCATGGCATCATAGGGGAGGTATCTGGTTCATTACCTTCTCATCTTTGATGGAGACTTCTACCCACACTGCTTTTGCTGCAGACATTGTTTCTGTTTCCACAGCCTCCAGCACAGAGAATGCACATCAAATTTACTAATGATGTTCCCTCATCAGGTTATCAAGGCCCTTCTGACTCTCTCAGGGCAGCCTCTTGGGACATGAATCTTAAAATATTTTCCATGTTGCTGGGACACCTCCGCTAGTGATTGCGGCCTTCCACTCCTCTGTGATGCTGCTTGCTTCCTCTCCCGGGAAGTGAAGCTCTAGAAATCAAATCCAGGTTCCCCATATGCTGGGATTTCTCAAAACACTTCTGGGGTTTCAGTGATCTCCCATTCCAGGGGCACGAGGGAATGCAGAACCTTCTCAGGGTCCTTCAGCACCTAAACTGCAGATTCTCCTCCCGCCAGCAGCTAAAACATAATCTCTTTTGGGACAAGAAGCTTCTCTGACATCATCCTTAATTCTCCCCAAACTCTACTGTTGATGTGAGAATTGTCAGGCTTTAGTCCTTGATATGCAAAGGAAACATTAAAGAATTTTTTTAAGTTTATCTTTAACAAATTCTGTCTTATAATTCAAACCAAACCAAATCAAAAACCAACCCTGGCTCCTGGCTATCTTTTATGAGTTGCATGACCCAATTTTAGAAGTCAATAGCCAAGAATCTGCCTGTTTTTTTGTGATTAGCTGTCCCTGAGGATTTTAGCTTCAGGGACATGAAGTAAAAAAGGAATTACCAAGAAGGAAAAAAACTTGGTTAGAATTTTAAAAGGCAGGCCCACTATAACTACACTTGATTTGGTAGTGCTTACTTTATTTCCTGAAAACTGTTATTAAATTAAATTGATGGTACCTCTTACATCAATGGCACAGTAGGAATGAGAGGAAGAAGAAATCCAGAAGTCGTTTCTCGGCAACACGATATAAGAGAGTTGGTAAGAGTAGACTTGAATAGCCTGGATTTAAATTGTGGGTTTGCATTAACTGGGTATCTTTGTGCCATTTACTAACTTTCTAAGCCTCAGTTCCCTCATCTGTTATTTAGGGCAGTGTCTGGCACAAAGCAAATACTCAAGCAGAGTTCGTTGTTCTGATGTGTTTGATGTGGAAGAAGGTACAGAAAAAACGTAAGGATGGCTCTACTCATCAGGTTTACAACTAACTTGCTAGTTCCTGAGGTGGAACTAGAAGCAGGCTATCTTTCCACCAAATCATTGTGCCTTTCCAGATTGAATAAAATGCAAGCCTACTTTAATTTCATTTTCTCAAGACCTAGTAGGATAGGAAGGAAAGGATCCCCAGGTCCGTAACAAAGAGGAGAATTAAGCGTTAATAAAGGTTGGGCATAGTAAAGGTTTTGGAGATGTCCACACTGGTGGATTTCTAATCTGATGGATAGAAGAGCAACATCTGCATCTCTCAGATTATTCGTAGGGTCCCTTCTACTTGTGGGACCCACGGAGGATAGTCCTGTCTGTAACCAAGTGTGGTCAGACTCAAAGAGCTTAACTTCTTAGTATAAGTAGCCCACAATATCCTTTAAAAATATATAGCGCAAAGGCAACCACAGATTTAAATTTAAAGCTAGCACTGGTGCCTAAATCAAACAGCTATGAAGCAATGAAGTTACATCAGAAAGATTTACCTTTTTAATTTTTAAGATTTTTTTTTTTTTGAAACAGTCTCACTTTGTCACCTAGGCTGGAGTGCAGTGGTATGATCATAGCTCACTACAGTCTCGAACTCCAGGGCTCAAGCAATCCTCCCACCTCAGCCTCCCAAATAGCTGGGACTACAGGCACAAGCCACTGTACTCAGTTTGGGAACTTTTCTTTTTAAGGACTACAAACTTCAGCCACTTTGGGAACAGTCTGGGGTTCAAAGAATATTTCATAATAAAGTAGTATCTGCTTGGGCTTCCTGATAGAATTGTCCCATGGACTCTCTGCAAACTAAATGATTTACTTTACTGTCTTGAGCAGCAAGGTAGATGGCGATGACTGATATTTACTGAGACGGGAAATAGGTTTGGGAGGGATGTGGGAGTCCAAATTTCAGTATGGATGTATTACATAGGAAATGTCTATGGGAAATCCACGAGATACTCGGTAGGTTTAGAACTCAAATGAGATATAAATGTGGGTGCTTTGTTGACTTTTGTGGGATGAAACTGTGGAGTAGGAAGAAATCCCTCCAGAAGAGATTGTAGGAAGAGAGGCAGAGTCCAGCAATGGTCCTGAGGCAACACAATACGTAAATGTCCAGGAGAGGAGGAGCCTACAAAGAAACGGAAAAGCAAAACCAGAGGCCAGGAAGAGAGAGTTCCAAGAAAGTGGGACTTGCCTGATAGGTCAAGCATTACTCAGAGAGTCAAGGGAACTGAGGAGTAAAAAGTGTTCATGGAATTGGTCAACACGGCGGTCACTGATAACTAACAGTTACAGTGGCGTGGTAAAGGAATTCTGATTCAGAGTCGGTTGAAAGATGAATGGAAGTCAAGCAGTGGAAACATTCTGGGTTGACAACTCTGGAGAAGCTTAGAGTGAGGGAGAAAGGAGAAATAAAGTAGAGATATGGGGGCACTGTGTGGATAAGGAAGTACTGAGAATTCAGTAGTGGGGGTGGGCAGGGAATACAGCTGTTGTTACACCAGTGACTCATAGTATCTTTAATGTGAACTGAAATCATTATGTCATTTTCACAATGATGTTGTCATAATTTCCATTTTCTACTCCAATAAAACTGGCTTAAAAATATTTTCTCTATTCTCTTCAGTAGTAAACTCATACTCTACCTACAGCTTCAACTTTCAAATTCAGCAGCTGACTATCCACGCTAACCTTTCTCTGTGCTCCAATACTGTATTTTGAGATGAACATCTCATCTTGAGATGCACCAGTGTCTCAAAACTATACATCCTTATAAAAAGTATCAATTTTCTCAGTCAGATCCTCTTTACTTCCTGATTTACTCTAATGAGACATCCAGATACCCACACTCAAAACCATATCATTCTTTCCTGTCACCAGGAAACTATCACATGTTCTTTGGCTTGGAGCCTTTCTCCTGGTGGTCCTACTCTCCCCACCACTTCCATCTGTCAAAAGCCTACCCTTCCTTTAAAGCTTATAATATCTAATCCAGGAAACTCTTCCTGATCCTTCTAATTTGATGTGATCTCCTAACATTTAAGCCTTCTTGTATACTTCTCTTAAATTAGATTTATCTAAGGCACTGTCTTATTTGCCTGAGTCGACTTTAAACTTGTTGAGAGGGGCCTTATCTTACTTGCTTTTTACATCCCTTCTATCACTGGATGAAGCGGCCACTCACCAAAATCTTGCTTAGTTGACTCAAAAGCAAATTGTTAATGAATTATTTAGATGAAAATAAGTTTTCTGGGTATATGCATGCAGAATAAATAATACACTGGAAACTTAAGAAAGCACTTAACTGGAGTACAGAAATGAGCTCATATGAAAATCAGGGCACAGCCAAAAATTATTTTTGTTTCTTGGAACAAGTATTTATTTAACTTTTTATTATGGAATATTTCAAATACACATAAAAGTAGAAAGAATAGCATAATAAACCCCCATGAACCCATCATCCAGCTTCAACAACTAACATTTTTCCCGATTTAATTTCAACTATTCATCACCCCCCCATCTTTTGCTTGAGTATTTTAAAGCAAATTCAGACATCATATCATTTCACTTATGTATATCTTAGTAAATGTCTCTACCAGATGAGGTTTTGCTTTGTAATTTAATCACATGTCAAACCTAACAAAATTAATTCTAATCATTTAATATGATTTAACATCTAGTCTTTGTTCAAATATTCTCAATTCATTGCAATCATTTTATTCAACGAATACTGATTTAATAGTTATAGCTTATTTTAAAGCAATTTAATGCAAGAAACGAACTGTTGATTCTTTTAGCATATGCACTGGAAGAGGTTAAGGAGAAAGGAGACCTTCAATTTCTGAATTACCTAGTTTCCATGATTCATTTCCTTCCCTTTTCTGCTACTGCAGTTTTGGATCTTTCTTATTTGTAGGTTTATCAAAGATTGGGACAGGAAAGAAGGTATGGCAAAGGCTGCTATTTGTCCCACAATCTCTCTTTTCTCCTTTTTCCACAAGAATAGACATACTGGCACTTACAGACGACGTTTCTTAGACTCACTTGCAGTTAGATGTCCGTGCAACCCTGCAACTTTTGGGAGCAAAAGTGATGTGTGCAATTTTTGGGTCATGCCCTCAACTGGAAAGAAATGTGCCCTTCCCTCTCATCCCCTCTTTCCTAATGGCTTAAATGCAGACGTGGTGTGGTAGGCCATCTGCCACTATGCAGATGAGGAACAACCTCAGAAGATCCACAAGCCACCAGATGAAAGAGCCTCAGGCCCTAGATGACCTCATGAGGAAGAACTGGCCTGCCAACCTCCAGACCATCGATTTTAAACGACTGTTATTTTGGTATCTGTTAAAACAGCTGTTCTGATATCTTAAGATAGAATGTAAAACTCAACAATGTCAGTTTTATAATTTTTCTAACAACTAATGAGAGCATCTATTCCCAACACCACAGATAATCAAACGTTGTCTGCATATGTTTCCAATTATTACTAGCTGTCAGATTCTGTCCTGGAGATGGTGATCAGCAGACATTAACTGAGCATACGCCATGGAAAACAGCAAAGTAGAAAGGCTGGCTGGGTTTGGTTCTAGGCAAACTTTTGTTTGCATTTTCCCTCGCCACCTCCTAGCTATGAAGAAGTTATTTAAAGTATATGACACCTTAAAAATCTGTAAAATGGAATGATAGCTGTTCATAGAAGATCAATTATAGAGAGTAAATAGAGGACTGAACATAGTACTTGGTACACAGAAGTATCCAGAAAAGATTAATTTCCTTTCCTTTGGCTCTCTTTGCACATAGGTCACAGGGTCTGATAATTTTCAAAATATCCACTATTGCTGTAGCCATTCAAGTCTCCAGGACTCTTCCAAAACAGCAACATTATCACAGGACATTGATAGGAAAGTCCTGGGGTATACAACACCAACTTCTTTTTTAAAGGCTATGAAAGAAGTTATGGGAGATACTCGTGGATGAAAAATATGATCTATCTCCCAAAGATCATATGGCCCACTTAGAAGAAATGCTTGACAAGCAATGCAACAGTTAGGGCAATACCAGCTGATGTAATACACAACCCTCACATCTCAGAGGGTTTGTCTCCTTTCTCTAACAACAGATGTTCCTGACCTACAGTGAGGCTCTGTTCTACCCAATTATTCAAGGATCTAGGCTGGCAGACTTACCAACCAACCTGGAAATAAGGGACTAGAGGATCTGTGGGAGGTGTTTATGGGACAGATCTGCAAATTATTACATAATGTCCACTCACATTCCATTGTCTCATGATTTTCATGGCCAGAACCAACTGCAGGGGATGCTGAAAAATATATTCTGGTTGAGTGCCCAAGAAAAAGAGAAATGAGTATAAGGATCAGTATGCCCTAAGCAGTTGGCCTGAGAGATAAGTTAATGAACTATTTTATTTAGCTTCTTCTTGAGTAGTGGGAGAATACACTTAGAAAAACTTGCTCAAAACCTCTACTAACAGTGTCTCCCAAAAGCCCTTCTATGATACAAGAAACAAATTTAATAAAGATCATTTTAAAAAGAATTGATCAGAAAAAGTTTCCTGAGCACTTCAAAGTGACTTTAGTAAGTAAAAATAATTGCTTTAAAAAGTTTTGATGTACAAAAACATAAATTATTTTAGTTAGAAAAAGAGTAAAGCCTTGGATTACTGTCCTACAGGAAAAAAAAAAAAAGCACTTTTGTGTCGAGAAACATTTGAACTTTCAAGGGATTCTCAAGAGTCATTAGCTTCAAGTTGTCTTTTCCTAAACAATGATGTCCCAGTTGCTGGATCATCAGCATGCAAGTGACCCGGAAACCACACACACATTCATCACAGCCATTGTCAGGATCTCTGAGATACACAGAGAAACTTGCTAAGAGGCTGCAGACTATTATGTTTCACTATAATGATATTTCCAGAAATAAGAGGAATTACACATTAATAAAGCAATGAAACTATGCAGGTAACCATGACGACTGCTGCAAATTCAATAACATTTTATGCTCCTGAAGAGTTTTTTTTTCTTTTTTTTATTGCCAGTAAGATCAGAGAAATTATGAGAAGGAACTGAGAAGCATTTATGTCTGATTTGTATGCTCAGACCTCCAAAGACGTCAGGGGTGTGCTTAGCACATTATAATACCAACTCACAGCAATCCTTGAAAATGCCCTTCTTGGTTCCTAGATGCATATTTATCTTGAGAAACAGTCAACGCCTGGAGCCCAAAGTCCAATGCCTTTAAATGACATCTGGTCAGAGAACCATTTCTCCAAGTTGAGTCCAATTTCATCTCTTTAGATAAAGTACATTTCCCTTTTTGAATCCCCTCAGAATCAAATGGCTTATCTCTAATGGCATGCCTATGGAAATTTCTGAAAGCTCTTAAATATCCACATCAGATTTCAGAAAATTTTAAAGAAAGACATATACTCTAAGTCGTGCAGCCAGTTTTCCAACTTATCAAATTGGGGTGTGTGTGTGTGTGTGTGTGTGTGTGTGTGTGTGTGTGTGTGTGTTGCTTTTGTTGCTTTTGATGTGCTGACAAATGAGAAGGCACAAATGGGAGATTATTTTAAAGATTCTCTCTCCTCCCCTCCAGAAATGTGCAAAACAAGTAACTACTTTTTCCCATTTTTCTGCAAGTTCTCCTATGATTTCTCCTTTTTATTTACAGATTACCATTCAGATCAATATAGAAAAGGATTATTCTGGATGACAGTACATTAAGCAGTAGAAAGAGCACCAAAGGCCATTATCATGAAGCTGGGAAAAAGTTCTGAGCCTGCTAAATAAGGCCACAGGCCAGAAACAGCACCTCTTTCACTGGGAGAAAATAGAAGGTCAGAAGGAGCCAAGGCCAGAGGGGAAAATCATCTGTCCCTCAGACTCTGCTTCTCAATCTGCCCTTGCTTCGGGATCAAGTAAAAGATGAAGCCATCCATCATCTTTCCCCTAAAAACATGCCACATGACAAGATGTTTAATTGCTTTTTGTTTTCCAGGCAAGGCTCCTCTTTTCTTCTGGCGGCTTTTCTTGTGGTCACTTTGGCACTCGGGAGCACCTGTGCCAGCCACTGTCCTTGTCTGGTCAGACCTCCGTGTGCCCAGGACGTTGCCAGCCCTGCCTCCTTCTGGAAGTGCTCTCCTCAGCTACCCTGCACTCCTCCTCCCTAAGATATTCTCCCTCCCTGGCGAGGGCTCCCTCCCAGCTTCCCTGTGTTGTGTCCTCCCCCGTGCTCCCTCAGGGTGGCCAGTCGCCAAGGTTCCACTCTCAGCCTTCTTCTATTCCTTCCTAAATCCAGCCTGTGCTTGTCAACGTTTCCCCGCAGCCCTGGAGAAGGAAGCCTTCTAAAATGTTCATCTGACCCCATCTTCCCCTTGTTTAAAACTCTTCAACAACTCCCCAAAGCTATCAGGATAACACTGAGTCACGTTTCCTTTGTTTCCCATTTCTCCAGTGTGTAAACTAATCATTGTACTCACACAACTTAGCCTTGCTTCTTATTTCCTAGAGGGTAAAACCTAAACTAGTTTTTGGTATGGAGGAGTCTCCAGGATCTGAACTCCTGCTTATTTCTCTAACCACACCTCCAGCTATACTCCACCTTTACCTCCTCTTCCAGCTATATGTAAATATTCCAAGTTCCCTAGACTCAGCATGAAACAGAAATTGCTCCCTAAATCACCATAGCCACCCTAAACTCCCACCGTCAGCCTTTAGAGTGGTCCCAGAGTTCTTCACTTCTCCACCCTTCCAAGGAGCTTTAATTTCCCCTCTTTTATTGGCTGTTCTTTCTCAAGAGGAACACAGTCAGTATCCAGAACAATCCCACAAACAAGGGGTTAAATAAATATGTGTTGGGCCAATCTCCATGAATGGGTAAATCTCTTACTATGACTCCTCTTCATTCTTTGGGTGAGGCCCACTTTCTAGGGACTCCCCCGTAGTACTGCTCACAATGGGGCTTCTCCCTCTTTCCAGTGGGACTAGACAGAGAGAACCTTGTTTCTTTATGGTTCTGGTCTAGAGAGCTGCAGATGTGCCCAGAGAGCCTTGGGGTGCTGCTGCGGGACAGCATCGGGGACAGTGATGACAGGCAGCATGCTGGGGGCCACCTGCCGTGACGTGGAGACATCAAGCACACGTTCAGGTTCTCCAGGGGTACTGGGGTTACAGCATCTTGGGGGACTCCCAAAAACACAAGCCAGGCCAGAGAAACCATAGAGAAGACCTTTAGGTTTTTATCCACACATAAACTACTCAACTTGAAATTATCCAAATAAATAGATGGATTCGAGAAATGTATAAGTCAACCCAAGTTATGATCACCTGACAAGAGAATGTCTCATATTTAAAAACAGCAGTTTGCAGAGGACTTTTCCGTGCTCATCAACATAATAGGGCGATTTGGTTTGGCTCTGTGTCCCCACCCAAATCTCATCTGGAATTGTAATCCCCATAACCCCTACGTGTCGAGGGAGGGAACTCGTGGGTGGTGATGGGATCATGGGGGCAGTTTGCCCCATGCTATTCTCGTGATAGTGAGTGAGTTCTCATGAGATCTAATGGTTTTGTGAGTGTTTGACAGTTCTTCCTTCACATGCTTGCTCTTTCTCACCTGCCGCCATGTAAGACACGCCTGCTTCCTTTTCTGCCATGATTGTAAGTTTCCTGAGACCTACCCAGCCATACAGAACTGTAAGTCAATTAAATCTCTTTCCTTTATAAATTATCTAGTCTCCAGTAGTATTTTTATAGCAGTGTGAGAGTGGACTAATATACAGGGGATAAGCAGGAAGAATCATGCCCTCATAAATCATTTGTGACTTTCTCCAGCCTCTCCTACATTTTACTGATTATACTTAAAGCAATTTGTATCTCTCATCTATACTGAAATATATATCCTTTTTCTTCCCCTATTTTTTTCCTATTTCTTGCTGAATCATCAGGAGAAAGCTTATTTCCTCACTTTCCTCCTAAACCCCTGAAATTCTCTAACCTTCAGTATGCCCTTCCATGAAATGGGATAATAATCAGGTTGTGAGGATTCAATAAATACTATCTAAAAGGGCTTAGCACAGCAAGAGGGAGGAATGTGACGCAAGTGAGCTGTGATCATTGTCCTTCACATTCCATTTATGAGTGGTAAACAGAAGAAAATACAAGAGACAAATCTCTATTAAGGAATAGGAAAGCAGTAAGTACATTTTATGATGAAGTTCACATATAAAGCCAGAGCCATCAACTTCTTGGTTGTCCTTAAAATAAGCAGAACTGTCCTTCAGAATTGCTATTGCTATGATCATTTAACAACCAATAGTTATTGTTCACTTCTAAGTGCAAGGCCCTGTTCTAGGTCATGTGGAGGATATAAAAAGAGAGCTTTGTGGAATTTACACCACAGAAGTCTATTTCTTTTCTATATATTCTCACTACTTCTCAAAAGGTCAAGGTAGCTTGCAATAAAAGGCTCAGGGTGGTGAAAGTCAAGACAAAATGAAGAATCAGACAAAATATATGGTAGGAATGAAAGACAGAAAACTGTATTGGAAGCCACAGATAGGCTGGCTACGGCTTAAAGGCACTAACCGTGTCAGAGGAGAAGTGGAAACAGCTCTTATTAACAGAAAGGAACATATCAGTATCAGGTGAGGCAATATGGCTTCTATCACTAAATTTTAGAAAGAGATTATTGCATGGATACACTCATATTGAGTAAAATAATAGAAAATCTCTTCAGAGTGGTTTTGCAGAGCAGGCAGTTTAGATGGGCAGAAAGTGCCTGGAGCTGGACACACTTGATTTGAACTCAGGCTCTTGGTTGCACCATCATGGACAGATTCCTCAACTCCTTTGAGTCTCAGCTCCTCACCTGTGGAATGGTGGTGATGATTCCTCCCCCTCAGGGCTACTTAGGGAACAAATGTGACAGCATATGGAAGTGGCTGGCCCCTAGCAGTTACTTAAAGATTTATGTACTCCACTCTCCAGATCCACCCTCTGTGTGTCATCATTATTCCTTGTAAATTTGTTTGGACTTGAATGTTCATACAACAACTTTTTATAAAAATGGATGGATCATAGGTCATCTACTTGTGCAGTTATTTGGATATTTGTCTCCTTCACTAGATTATAAACTCACAAGGACAGGAGTTCTTTCTGTTTTGCCTGCTAGCATAAATAGTGAGGAGCACTAGCCATAATATGTGCTCCATTGATACTGGTTACAGGAAAAAAATAAGGCTTTTTTTTTTTTTTCTTGAGATGGAGTCTCGCTCTGTTGCCCAGGCTGGAGTGCAAGTAGTACGATCTTGGCTCATTGCAACCTCCACCTCCTGGGTTTAAGCGATTCCCCTGCATCAGCCTCCCGAGAAGCTGGGACTACAGGCATGTGCCACCACACCCGGCTAATTTTTGTATTCTTAGTAGAGATGGGGTTTCACCATGTTGGCCAGGCTGGGCTTGAACTCCTGACCTTAAGTGATGCACCTGTCTTGGCCTCCCAAAGTGCTGGGATTGCAGGCGTGAGCCACCATGCCTGGCCTAGGAAGAAAAGAAGGCATTTTTGTTGAGGACTTATTCCTTCAGTCTAAGGATGTGGCTTTTTAGTGACCAGATTGAAGCACATGCATGGCGGCAGAGGCCCTCCCGAGAGAATGGCTGCTGCTTCTCTGACAGATGCTCTCAAATATCAACCTTAGATGTCTTGAACATCCTCAGACTCCTCAAATTAAATCTGTTTTCCCTCCAGCACCAGCACTGAAGTTAAAAGTTTAAAGCAATTAAACAATTGATTTTATCACTTTTATGTTTTTTACATCTACAAGTTTTCAACTGTATAATCTACTGTTTATCATTGTAAATGCATGATAATTCAGCTTCAAAACAGAATGAGGAGAGTTTGGGAACTAGCCTCAAAAATGAACTACCACTTATATAACAAAACTTTCGTGGGGAAACATGTTTCCAGTTCCAAATAACTGGCTCATGAATGAACTTTTGAAACCCAAATTCATTTGCACCTCAGGGTTGTCTGAAACATGCAAATGAGATACCAGGAAAGTTTTACCTTTATAAATGTCATTAAAATTTTTTAAATGTAATCTAAAGTAAAATGTTTTGTGTCCTTCCTTCCTCTCCCTTTCCCTTTCTTTCCCTTCTTCCTCCTTTCCTCCTAGACTCCCACCCTTCCTTTCTTTCCCATACCTTCCCATGTTCCCCAAACACAGTTTTTGAAAATCCTCTATATTTCAAGCTGCTTTGGCAGAAGAAACTCCAAAAAAGTGTTAAGTCTATGACTCACCTCATTGTAATTCTGCTTATAGGATTCATGGAAAAGTAATGAGATCCAAGAAAATAAAATAAAACTTTAAAATCCCACTGACAAGTAAGTTTTTTTTCTGTAGGAAATTGAGTTATATAAAAGATTTATATTTTGTTTCATATAACCCAGAAAAAACTCATGTCCCCTGTTAACTGCAGTCTTTAATTAGTTACAGATCATTTAACTCCATATTTTAAAGGATTAATGCTAATTGAAACTTGTAGTATGCTTTTAATCTTATATTAAATATTAATATTAATTAAATTTTCTGAGAATCTTGAGATGATGCCAGTATTTTATTGCAATAGAAACTGAGGCAGAGATACCACCCTATAACTAACCCATTAGAGTTAAGTGTGCGTGATTATGCAGATTAACTCAGGTTTGTCTCTTTGCCATAAGCTCCATTCAGCTCACATCTAGATATCACCAGGACAGCTTCCCTCACTTTGTGTTCTTCCAATACCCACATTTTTTGAACCCCAGGGATGCTTGTGAGACCAACAAATTCAAAGATCTTCAAACGTGTAAGGGAGCTATGTAAGGGAGCATTAAAAAAAAATAGATAGTGTCTCAGTCTTATCCCAGACTGAATCCATCAGAACCTCTGAGTATGAGACCCGAGCCATCCAGGGTTGACCAACATTAATGCAACTTCAATGGCATGGAAAGAAGAAAGCATTGTCAAGACCTCTAGAAATGGGATTGACTTTTAAAGGAAAAGAGTTTTCAATGGGGATCATATCGCTTTCAAACATGTGTGCTAGTATAAATATAAATGATGATAATGTAGAAAATGTTTGAGAGTTTGCAATGATAAGATAGGAAAGCAAAGAAGACAACATCCCATCATGTTAGAATACAGGTTGAGAAAGTCCTTACCTGGGGCTTTGGAAAGAAGGCCCCTGTTCAACTGGAGGATCTGTGCCAGGACACTGAATGAAGTTTTTTGTAAGAAAATGCTTCATAGTTTATTCACATACACAAAAATAATCTCATATGATTCTTAAAAAGAACAGGACAATGAAATTCTGAACATAACTTAAAAGTGAAGATATTGTCTGATCAGACTAAATAATGATAAGCTCCCTACTTCTCTCATCTCTAAAATGTTTACACCAAAAGATAAATGGAAAATATCACCAGGAGAAGAAAGCCAGTGCTGAGCACTGAGGTCAGTGGGAGAGCAAGGGCATGAGGAGCCTCAAGCATCAAAAGCTCACTGGGCCTGGGCCTTGTCTTTTTATTCTGTTTCTCGACTCCTACAATCTGTGATCCATGATATTAAATATCAGAAGTCATGGTGTTCCTTATGGTTGATGTTCTTTGTTGTACTTTCCTTTCTTTTTCTCATCCTGCTATGGGCTGAATGTTTCTGTCCCCTCAAAATTCATATGTTGAAACCCTAACCTCTAAGGTTATAGCATTAGGAGATGGCCCTTTGGGAAGTGATTAGGTCACTGGGGTGGAATCCTCAATGAATGGGATTGGTGGGCTTTTAAAAGAGGCTCCAGAGAGATTACTTGTTCCTTCCACCATGTGAGGACACAGCAAGAAGCTGGAAGTCTGTAATCTGGAAGAGGATCCTCATCAGAACCCAACCATGCTGGCACCCAGCTCTTGGACTTCCCAGGCTCTAGAACTATGATAAATAAATTTATGTTGTTTATAAGCCACCCAATTGTGCTATTTTGTTATAGTAGCCTGAATGGACTAAGATATATCTCTTTTTTATTTACGAAGTTGAGAAGTGTTTCAGGAAATACATTTAAAATGACTCATATTAATATAAGAGGGCTCTAAATTAGGGATGAGGGTTTTGAGGGAAATTGTGTTCTTCAGTTAAAAACATTTAGGTACAGAAAAAAAGGATGATACTGCAATTTAAAGCAAATCAACTTTAAGACACATCAAAAAAGATAGTAGGGTAAAACAATGAAATATTTCTGAGTTTCCTGTCAGAACTTTCCATGCAAACTTACCAAATACAGGCAATTGGAGAAAAATTCATAAGCAAATAACTTAGCATATGACACTCAGCAAAACCTAATGAAATATCATCAAGCTTGATTTCAATATATAATAAATTACTGTATTAAAAAACTATTTTGCAAATACTTTACTATTCTTAAAATAAGTTACTATATAAAATGTGAGCAGGGGCTGGGTGTGGTAGCTCATGCATGTAATCCTAGGACTTCAGGAAGGCTGAGGCAGGAGGATCGCTTGAGGCCAGGAGTTCGAGACCAGCCTGGGAAACATAATGAGGCCATTGTCTCTAGCTTGGGAAACATAGTGAGCCCATTGTCTCTACAAAAAAATTTTTAAAAAAGTAGCCAGGGGTGGTGGTCCACATCTGTGGTCCCAGCTACTTGGGGGGCTGAGGCAGGAGGATTGCTTGAGCCCTGCAGTTTAAGGGTGTGGTGAGCCATGATAGTGCCACTGTGTATTCCAGCCTGGATGACACAGTGAGACTCTTAAAAAGTCTCCAAAAAATAAAAAAAGTTAAAAATGTGAACAGTTGTGCAAACAGTTATAATCTATAACTTTGACTTTTATCTCAGTTGCATGGCTTACTTTTTTAACTACAAAATGATGAGTCTGGAAGGCTTGAGCTTTTAAGAAAAAAACGCATTAATTTTACTGAATACACTTTAAATTTACAGAAATGCCAAATTTCTTATTGAAAAATCCCAGGCAGTGTAAAAAGGAATGTTCTGGGAAGTTGCTATTGCCAGTATGTTTCCCTGGTCTTACAGATGTATGTTTCCCAGGATTACTTTGTGGAGATTATTAGAATCTTTAAAATGAGAGTGGCCACAAGTCTTCTACAGTCTCCTTAGAGAGCTCTAGAGGGGTTGGATGGTCCTATTTATTTATTTATTATTTGTTAAAAGAAGTGTAGAATCAGATTTTATATACAAATCTGAGAGCTGGCATAAGAGAATAGATGACTTGTACCCTGAAATCTTCTGCTGTCCCACCTTGACTGCCCCAAACTTGGACTGTCTCAGCCTTGCCAGGGTTATAGTAGGCAGGTCACAGGAAGGGAAGCTGAAGGAGACCTTCCAGTGCCACTCTAACCCTGACTTCCAAATAAGGTTAAAGCACAGCTTCATGTTATCCAGAGCCTGAAATGTCAGCCAACTTCACCAGCATGAGAAGTGCAATCAGGCGACATTATGCAGCAACATAAATACATCGCTCAGTAAAATGGAAAACTGTATAGCAACAACTGGTGTCAACATCAATTAACATGTTTAAACAGCGGCAACAGTTTACTCTATGAGTGTGCCTACTGAGGAAAGAAACGCCCCTCTCCTAGAGTCTAAATCATATCGATGGGCAGCTTACGAGTAAAGAGAGATACCTCTTCCTCCCATCTTTTCTCTATCCATTAACTTCATCCTCATTTGCGGCTTATCCTTCATTTTAAACTCCCGTCTCTCCATTTATCACTGTACCCTTTGAGCATCAACCTCTCCTTCAGCAAATGTTTTTTAAAAATCACCTAAAAGAAACAAAAGTGGTATGCCAAAGTTCTCCATTACCTAATTTTTCCAACCTGTTACAAAATGCAACTAATAAAATCAAGAGCAAGTATCATTCCTTATGGAGGTTAAAAATTCATGTTCATCCAACACCAAATTAAGGGGTAATTTTTGACAATGCTGCGGATACCCTTCTGTACATCGCTTGAGAAATGGCACTTCTTGAAGGCCCGTATTTCATCAACTTGGCAAAACTTCGCTTCAAGGTCATTTCCAAATGTCCTTCTTGTGCAGAGCAGCATGCATGGCACCAGGTCAATCCTTTAGTCATTGCTGGAGCAAGCTTTCTGTGGAGAGGCAGCCTGCTTCAAAGTCAGATGGGCGTTTGAAAAGCGTGCCAAGAAAACTTTAAGCTTTGAAATGCTGCAGAAAGAAAGGTCGCAACATCTTTTAATTGCCTTCTCTCCCTGCAGAAGGTTGCTTTTCATATTTTTATGCAAATATTACAGGCCTACCCAGTGTGAAAAACAGGTTAAAAAATGTGGTAAGTGATTTTGTGCATATGTCTTCAATTGAGCAGAGTGTCGAGTGCCAAACTTCAACCAAGCTGATCATACTGTAGTTCTGTGTAAAAGCCCAAAGTGGTGGAATCTAGTTGCTATAGCTGCAAATTAAACAAATAAATGAGACACCATGGAATGCAGCAAAATATCTGTGGTCTGATTAGTTCATATTTGCCATATGTGTGAATATTAGCAGTCAAATTCTCAGTTTAAGCCAAGATCTTTCAAATAGGTATGATGAAGGGGGAATTCTTAACAATAAATAAGGAAGATCTGAATTCTTTGTCCAAGGATAAGTAATTTACATTTTATATCAGCTTTTAAGGAATTTCATTAATTTTTTGTTAGGAGTACAAATTCAGTGCTAATAAAAATACAATATTTCTACCGGGGCAGTTTTCCTTGAAAATTTAGATTGAGATTGACACTAACTTGCTAGTTATTATATGGTAATAAGTTAAAATCATTAGCTCTAGGGAGGCTTTAATTTTGTTTAAATTAACTTTGTTTAATTTTGTTTTATTTATTGGACCTACTGTGTGGCAGGCACGGTATTCTGTACTTGCAAGGGCAACCTTGTGAATCCCACAACAAGCTCCACGTTTCCTATGAGTAGAGCTCAGTACAGAAATTTAAGAAGATCATTTGAACAGAGAACTCCATTCTGACTAACCTCTTAAATCATTTACACCAAACTGTCTTCACAGAATAATAAAACTGGAGAAAACTCGAAAGGTTATCCGGTTCAGGACCCTTTCAAATGTCTGCATTCATTAGAAGTGCAGCCTAAGGAAATGAAGTGGCCCTTTTTAGGTTAAACTGTTGTGGGAAAAAGAACAGAGCAAAAAAGACATATTAGTACGTGCGTAGTGATGGCGGAAGGTAGGTATCAGAAGGAATGTTTACTAACAACAGTCTGTTTATCCCAGCACATGGAGATAGCAGCAATATCAGCAGCAGCACCTGAATATACAGGGTAATTAGCTATATTACCAGAGCCAATGAATTAATGTACTTGATAAGGATGAAATGGGTTGCGTAAAGGGGAAACGTTTCCACCAATCTGGGCTAATTATTATACCCAGGTTTACACATATCTGAATTAGATCATTAGCTGTAAGCTCAGTTCCTGGATACAGATATAGAGATGGTAAAAACAATAGGAGAAAAACATCCTTGCTTGAATGAAAAGGAAAATAATCAAAAATGCCAGGAATGTTTATCAGTGACTTAATGAAATATGTTTGGTGAAATATAATGACAATTTAAATTTAGCAGCATCTCTAACTAGATGTTTACAAGGCTCCATGGAGACAGGTACAGAGAGGGCAGGTACCACGGCACACAGGTACAGATAGGGCAGCCCCTGAATGGTCCACTCCCAGCCTGGCTCTCATGGGCTGTGAGCGCTTGGGCAAGTTATTAGGCTGGGCACTTGGAGGCCATCAGATATAGCTGTGCTGTTTGTTTGAAAGAAGAATATGGATCCTGAAAATTATAAATCAATCAGCTTGACAAGGGTTCTATAAGGTTCTATGATGAATCACTGAAAGACTAGAATGGCTCACTGAAGGATGTAGAAAATTAAATGATCATAGGTACCGGCTTAGGTTCACTTAGAGAAAATAATTGTATTTCCTTTCCAGAAAGTGTTACTAGACTTGGAGAATAAGGAAATGTGATAGAAGTTCATTCCCTCAACCATTCATTCATGCATTCTTTCAAAGAACATTTTTGAGACCTATTATGTGCCACCGAGCCAGATAATGGAATATGCAGAGGATGCTAAGACCATGTGCCTGCCCACAAAGGACAACCACTTCCAAAAAATGTAGCAACAAACTACAAATACAGCACAACAGATGCTACAGGAGAGGTACCTGCTGGATAAAGAGGCTCATAAATAAGGGATAGGCAGGGGAGAAGCAATGCATGCATGAGCAAGTGATGTCATTGGAGAGGTGATGCATGCATGAGCACACTCGGAGTTGATAAGCAGAGTTCTGAATGGGAGACAAGGGCTCTGCAACCACTCAGCTCAGGAGCGCAGTGTGCAGGGGCTGTACAGTGTGGCTGGAGTGCTGTGTTAGCCACAGCTTAAAGGGGGCAGGGAGGATGCTGAGGACCTCCTGGACAAGCTGCACCTTAAGAAGAGGCATAAATGGGCTCAGGGAAGTCAGCCAGCACCTCAGTATCCCTCAAGGACCAGGTAGTTTGGGGACAAATTCAGTAGATCAGATTCAGAATCAAAGGGTCATGAAAAATATATGAGATTGAATTTTTTTTTTTTTTTTGAGATGGAGTCTCGCTCTGTCGCCAGGCTGGAGTGCAGTGGCACAATCTCAGCTCACTGCAACCTCCACCTCCCAGATTCAAGTTAGCATCCTGCCTCAGCCTCCCAAGTAGGTGGGACTACAGGCGTGCACCACCACACCCAGCGAATTTTTGTATTTTTAGTAGAGACCGGGTTTCACCATGTCGGCCAGAATGGTCTCCATCTCTTGACCTTGTGATCCGCCCACCTCGGCCTCCCAAAGTACTGGGACTACAGGCGTGAGCCATTGCACTCAGCCGAGATTGAATATTTTCTATTGGGGGTTGCCACACTCTTGTCCTAGCTTCTCTTTAGCTGACCATCTTTCCACAAGACCCGGATAAAGAAGCATAAAGATAAGATGAGGATGGGAGGCCATAAACACATTCTTGCTATCTCCATGATCTGGAGAAAGGTAAACTTGGAAGCAACATGGAAAAGGGACTGGTGAAGAAAGAGGGCAGAGGCCAGGAGATGAGAGACGAGGCTGCTGCCTCAGTTCAGCTGAGAGACGACCAAATCTTAAACTAAAGCAGACATGGTGGACATGAGGAAGCTGGGGCCGATCCGGGACCTATTTTGGAGGTGCAGCTGATAGGATCTGTCACCTAACTGTGGGGGATGTGATAGGAAGAGGAGCTTTGAGATGCATCTTGCCATTTTTGAAATGGCAACACAAGACAAATAACAAGATTTAAAGGAGGGGTTAGCTTAAGCAGTCAGTTTGGTTTATCTCAAGGTCCTTGTATCAGAGGCAGAATGTGATGCCCACGGGGTAGCTGGATCAGGAAGCACAGACCAGGGAAGGACACACGTAGTGCAGAACCTGAAATCATGGGAGAGAGTGAAATCTTCGTGGAAAGAGAACATGAGGGGAACACAGGGGACTGGTTTTAAATCTTGCTGAATGGATGAAGGGACTGGAGAAATTTGGGCTGCAGAAAACAAGACTCAGTTCCTTCTGAGAGTCTTTCCTAAAGCTATTGGCTATTGAAGCTCCATCACTGGAGATGCTTAATCAGAGGGTGAAAGGTAATTAGCCAGGATACTGTCGAGGTGATTTAAGGTTCACATGGTAGATGAACCAGATGATCTTTAGAATCACAAGTTTAGGATTCTAGGATTCTGTGGTTCTATGATAGAAAATGCAGCCTCTTTCCACTTTACTTTCTTTGGCAGCAACAATGATGTGTGCTGAGGTTGGAGCTTCAATTAACAGGGAACTGGAAAGGATACAGGTATGGACTTCTGCCAAGAAACCAGGTCTGTGGCTAATGAATGATCTGTCTGTGGCAGTGAAGAAGGAAGCCAGTTCCTAGAACAGTACCTTCCTGCCTTCCACCACCCCCTCCCCTAAACATAAAGACCTAAGGGCAAATGAATGGAAAACATATGAATTAAGTTTACTTTGAAATATCTATGGATTTAAGGATTAGGGGAGAAAGCACTTGTGTAAACCACACTCTGGGTTTTGCTGACCTCAAACTATCTGAATATAACTTATAGACTTTTTGATGAACTAATACTATTGCTGGGCCTACTCATCATTTAAACAAAGCAACAACAAGGGCAGAGTACAAGCCAAATAATAGCATTAGCCTTGAATTCTACCCTAGCATGGCAAATTAGTTCTCCAGAGGGATTTGTGATGGCATGAAATTGCCTTAAAAAGCCATTGTCTGACCGGGCGTGGTGTCTCACGCCTGTAACCCCAGCACTTTGGGAGGCCAAGTCAAGCGGATCATGAGGTCAGGAGATTGAGGCCATCCTGGCCAACATGGTGAAACCCCCTCTCTACTAAAAATACAAAAATTAGCTGTGTGTGGTGGTGCATGCCTGTAATCCCAGCTACTTGGGAGGCTGAGGCAGGGGAATCACTTGAACCAGGGAGTTGGAGGTTTCAGTGAGCCAAGATTGCGCCATCGCACTCCAGCCTGGCGACAGAGCGAGACTCCGTCTCCAAAAAAAAAAAAAAAAAGCCATTGTCCGATTATTTCCTTAGAGAGAGAATAACTAATACCCAGATAAAACAATTAATATGTAGAAGAGCTTTTCAACAAATTTGAGCCAGGCTGACCTGTAGCTCTGCAGTGTTCTGGAATGTTCTTTGGACATCAGTCCAGGCCTTCTCAGGCAAAAATGGCAATATAATATGCACAAAAAGACCCTTTCTGGGAACAGCAGGTCATGTGTGCAGGATTTTGCTGCAGTGCAGCTGAAATTGAAGAGTGACGTTAAATACAAGTTAGAAAATAAGTAAATGCTTTGAGGTTGTATTCTCTGTCAACTATTATGAAGGGGAGGAGAGAATGAATGAGAGAAAAAGAGAACAAGAGAAAACATGGACATATATTGATAAGGATGATTCACTCATGCAACAAATATTCATTGTCCATTTTGTACAGGCATTGTTCTAGGTATTTGGGATAAATCAGCAACTGAAATAAAGACCCCTACCCTATGGAAATTCCATTCTAGCAAGGGAAGATAGACAATAAACCATAAATATAACATATAAGCAAAACCACATTATATATCAAGGATGATTAGTGCCATGGGAAGGGGGAGCAGGGTTAGGGGATTTCAGTGAGTGGGGAGTATGGGGTTAGCTGCAGTTCCTAATTGGCTGCTCGGGGTAGGTATTACTAAAAAGGTGAGGAGGAGGTAGAGAAGTGAACTAAGCAAATCTCTGGGGACACAGTCCAAGAAGAGAAGTGTACCTGGGGTGCTCAAGGAACCAGAAGGAGGCTAGCTTGATCCATTAACATCTACTGATTCATCAAATGATTATTGAGTACCTATAATATACCAGGCACTATACCAGGCACTAAAGAGAAAAAAGGCCAGGTGCAGTGGCTTATGCCTGTAATCTCAGCACTTTGGGAGGCTGAGGCAGGAGGATTGCTTGAGTCCAGAAATTTGAGATCAGCCTAGGCAACATAGTGAGAACCTGGCTCTACAAAAAATTTTAAACATTAAAAATTAGCCATGCATGGTGGGGTGTGCCTGTAGTTTGAGCTTCTCAGGAGGCTGGGGTAGGAGGATCCCTTAAGACTAAGAGTTTGAGGTTAAAGTGAGCTATGACTGCACCAATGCACTTCAGCCTGGGCTGTGCAACAAAGTGAGACTCTGTCTTTAAAAAGAAAAAAAAGAAAAAAAAAGAGAGAGAGAGAGTGAGAGAAAGAGAGAAAAAATTAATCCCTAAACCTTAAGTAGCCATGGAGAAGTGTATGATTTGACTCTGCCATTCTGCTTTCTTTATGCTAGAACATTTTTAACCCTCTTTCTCCTCTGGTCTCCCCCTTTTCCAACTTCTTATCCTGTCTTCCTCTTTTCTATGGCCGTCTCACATCTTCTCATTCATGATACTATCCTTCTTTTTCTCTTTTCCTCTATCTTTCTTCCTTCTCCATCCTGGTCTCTCCCTGTCTCCCCTTTCTCCCTCCAGTTTTCCTTGTCTTTCTATCTCACAAAGTAGTTCACAATTCATTCAGACATCATCTTAAAAATAATACATTTTTTCCAGTTTATAATATTCTGGTTAAAATAACAAATAAAAAATATCATTGGCAATAGCCAAAAGTAAATGCCTTGAAATTTATTACTGATCTGAATAAACAAAATAATCAAATCTTCATATTAAAATTTAAATCTGCAAAATCTAACATGGGAGGACTGGACTTGTTAGAACTAATGATCACAGATGAAAATTTACAATGGAAGAAGCTATCATCATCCATAAAATTTGATAAGAAAAAAGCTTATGTACAGGAATAGCATGAAGCAGTTCTGAAAGCATCTGACTCATTGTTGATGTAACTCTCCTTGTTCCTGGTTTTTGGGGGTCTTATTTGTTTTCTTTGGGAGGTCCATTTGAGAGTCCTAGAGAGAGGTTCCTAAGGAATTTCTGATCTCTGTTCCAGTTTCTTACTTTCATTTTTGAAAATTTCCAGATATCTTAGTTACTTTAGAATACGTGTGGAAAATTGGAAAAGGCCAGTTTTTTTTCATATGAAATATTTAAGATATTCTTCTTTCAACCAATAGCTTATTTTTATGAAATATCTAATATCAGTGTGGCACAGACTCCATGAGTAATGAAAGGCACAATCTGTGTATCCCAGAGCTGGAAACTTACCATAAGTCATGCTATCTACCAAAAGAATAACATCAAATCTGAGTTCCTGCAAAACCAATGATCATCCAAGTGGCATTTAATGCCTTCTCTTCTGGGAAAGACAGATGCACAAAATCTGTAGTAATTACCAAATGTCAAAATAATATTGAAGAGAATAAATCGTTGCCTAAATTAAGGTTCCCTTGAGGATCAGTTTCATATAACAAGAACAACTGACAAATCAAGTGTGAAGAGGGGTGGGGTTTATTATTTTTTTCTCCTCATAAATTACATGGGAAATGAACAACTCCTGCTGTGATTATAAGAATACCAAGATCTTGTCTGCTTAAAGATCTTTGGTAATAATAATAATATCCTAACCTTCTTCAGTGCTTTGCATTCTGAAAGCACTTTATAAACATGAATTAGTTCTTCAGTAAGCCGAGGCACTATCTGATTGTTGTTATTTCCTGTTATAGCATCACTGAAGCTCAGCAATCTTTCTGGAGTTTAAATATTTATTTATTTATTGCTTTCAGTATATATTTACTTCACTGACAATGCTTTAAAATTATTATCAGCAGAAGAGAAAGGTTCATGGTTCTATTTTTGCAATGAGGAAACAGGCCAGAATAACGACAGTGCTTCTCCTTGTCAAACTGAAAATGGCCCTTTGGGGACTATGCTGTTGGCTTGCGGAGCTGTTTTCCTACTTGCCTTCTTCTATCTCAAATATGCCATTTCCAACCTTTAAAACTGCATCTGTTTTGTGTTTTTCTCATCCTGCAGCCTCACAATATCTATCAGGGTGATTTGCAGATCATAGATTTACAATACATGTTTGTTAGATTGAATTATATCAAAGTCCAGGTCCACATGTTGCAGGCCATGGAGAACTCTCTCCTACAACTGTCCATGGCCACCTGCATTACAGTTTGGAAATTCTGATTCATTTGCTAACACCACCTGTGCTTTTCTTTCATCTGATCATCAGTGGACTGAGGACAGAAAGACGGTGGAAGGATAGAAATGTAAATGTGACATTCTTCCAAGTTTCAAAAGCACATGCATAAACATTCTTTCAATCACCAACATTTATTGAATGCCTAATGTTTGTCATGTGCTGCAAGTTGCTGAGAATATAAAGTTAAATAGGCTATAAGGAGAGAACGATTTTTGATTTTAGATATTGAGCCAGCTCCATTTAAATGTGCTATATTGTATATGCTTATATTTTTAATTACAATAAATTAAAACAATAATTCTCTCTTTTGATATTTTCATAGATCCTGGAGATAACTTAGTATTTATACAAAAAGATTGCGTTACTTTTCTAATTCATCGATTTACTCATTTCTTCTCCTCTTCAAATAAATTCTAGGATTGGTTGCTGAGAAAAAAAAAGTAGACAATAGAAAGGAAGGGATATGACATTCTCCTTTCATGATAATCATGTCTAACTTCTAAAACTTTAGTGTAAATCAAAAACGAAAGCCCTGTGGATTTCAGATCCTGTAAGCTTTCTTATGCCTGTTTTCTCACTAATTTTGTGCTGGGCAGTTGAATGCTGCAAATTCAAGACCGAGTTGATGACGTGTTCTGAAATGGTGTCGTGATACACTTAACTATATCTCAGTTCTGTGGTCCTGGGCTGTAGATTCCTAGAAACTATGTAGAGACTCTTCAAATAATGAATGTGATTCTGCACACAAGAAAAGTGTGCATTCTTTCTTGGAATTCTTTTAATTATACAGATCTCAACAGGCAATGACTGTATACTGTAAATGTTTAAAAATTCATATTTTCCCAATCCCTCAACATCCCCCACCAGCAGGTTACAAGCACTCCAACCAGGTGACCAGGTGCACCAGTGTGATAATGCTGGTACTTGTCACAAGTTCCCATTAGCCCTCTCCTGACAGTGGTCTAGTGACATTCAAACACATCAGTGAAATCCCCTCACACCTTTTGTTTGTGTACTCTACTCAAGCCCCCAATAAAGGCACTTATCCATGGGTTTTCTCTCTCTCTCCCCTCCCCATCTACCTGGTTGAGCCCACTCCCCAGAGCTCCTATATGGGCCCTATGTGGTGGGGATTGCCATGCCTCTTGTCCCTAAGTCCTGTGAGTATATATAACAGATCCTTTAATTTCTTATGTCTCTCCCAGTGTGATTTCTGGGGCCATAACGGAGTGATCCTTACAAACTCCAACAAAGAGACCTACTCCCCCATTTATAGCACAGGCAGCCAGGCCTACAGTATCATAACCATTTGCAGAAATAGTGAAAAGTTACAGAAGACATCATCAAGATGGCTGACTAGAGGTACTCAGCATTCACCTCCTCCAGTCACATGTTGAACAGAGAGTCTAGGGGAGAACACTGGAATTCAGCAAAGAAGTGACAAAGCCCCTCTGGGGATGGAGACTTGGGACAGCAGCATAGACACGGAAGCAAAGCATCTGGCTAGGATCGGCTCAGAGCCCAGAGAGACCTCAAGCACAGGAAAAAGGTAAGGTGAAGATCCCCAGCAGTCCACATTTCCATGCTGGATGCCTGTAGTCCTAATAAGAGGAGAGCCCCCAGCCCTGACAGGCCCTGAGCTCAGTATAGGGAGCTACCTGGAAACCATGTGATTGCATTGTTCCATAGAGGAAATCAAGCTGGGTCCCATGCCCGCAGGACACAGGCTGCCACAGCACATCATCATGTTGAGAGCAGAGCCACCACCAGTGTGCATCTTGCCCTGGGGCCCAAAAACCCCTAAATCTCCACATCCTTGGGGTCCCTGGGACATCCCACCACATCCACCCAGAGGGATGCAGAGTCATGATAGCAGCTGTGCAGCCAAGACCCCAGAATCTGAGCACACACAGTATTTCCACACCCTAGAAAACAGGCAGTCTAATACAGTGGGAAGGCTGCCCACGGAAAAGAGGGAGGCAATGCACGCACTCCTCAGAATCCAAGAGCTACCTGCCTGAAGCCTGCTGCTGCTGCCACCAGCAACCCCAACATTTGCAGTAGCAGAGCAGACGCCCCTCCCATAGGACTGTGGATCCGCCTGACCAGGCCCACCACTGATGGCAACCTGCTCCCTCCAGAGCAAAACTGCTGCACACCCACACATGCCCTCCAGGTGCCAAAGAACCAGCCTGGCCAAGATATGCCACCACTGGCGACCCCAGCCCCTCCAGCAGCAGATCGGTTTCATGCTCAAGTGCATCCCTCAGGGACCCAAGGACCAGCTGTCCAGGGCTGCTGCCATCACCAGTGACCCTGACCCCTCCAGTGATGAAGCCACCCAGGCCCACTGTTGTCAGAGAACCTGCCCACTCCAGTGGTAGACCTGCCATACACCCATGCTCCCTACTGCCGGAGCCCCCAAACTGATCTGCCTGGTGTCCCTGCTCTCAGCAAAGCCGTGCAATAGCCTCTACAAGCAACCACAGCACAGGCCACTGAGGTACTCACAGACACCAATGATGCTGATTATAGCTGAAGAAATCAGAGACTACATTACTGCCCCCATACTGAACCAAAGCCAAAGCACCTTACCCAACTGTATATTTATGATACGTATACATATACAGAAAAACATTTTTCCCTATGAAAGCTACTCCATAAAATCAGAAGAGGCAATGTGTCACCAGACGCATGGATATCAACATAGGGAAACAAGAAATATGGAAAAGTAAGGAAACGTGATACCTTCAAAAGAACACAACAATTCTCTAAGTAACAGACCCCAAAGGAAAACCAATCTAAAATCACCTGAAAAAATGCAAAATAACAATCTTAAGGAAACCTGGGAAGATACGAGAGAACACAAATAGATTCAATGAAATCAGAAAAACAATTCATAATCTGAATGAGAAATTTTTAAAAATAGATATCATTAAAAAGAACGAAACAGAAATGTTAGAACTGAATAACTCAGTGAGTGAAATAAAAATAAAATTGAGAACTTCAATAATAGACTAGATCAGGCAGAAGAGTTTCTGAACTTGAAGGCAGTTCTTTTAAAATAATCCATTTAGGGAGAATGCGGGGGAAAAAATGGCAGATAAGAGGCAGGACTAACCTGCAGCTCCCACTCAGACAAAGCCATGTGTGGAGACTCACATCATGAACTTGCTCCAAGAACTACTGCAGGAACATACCAGGAAAGCCAAGAGAAACCACAGACCCTTTGAAGGAGGCGGATTGCCGCTGCAGGCCCTGTGGGACAGCTGAGGAACTGTGAGTTGGCTTGCTTTCTCAGCTGGGAGGCTTGTAGCCTGGGGCAAGTTCTCAGCACTGCTCACCAGCTGCCTGGAAATAAACTGTGTGCTGTTGGGGGTGGCATGGTGGGAGGTGGGAGCGAGACCAGCTTTTCATGCAGCAGGCTGCATGGGAGCTAAGTGAGGCCTGTGGCTGATGGCTTTCCCTCACTTCCCTGGTGACCTGTGTCACACAGCAGAGACAGCTATAACCCCCCCGGGAACATAACCCCCTTGGCCTGGGAACTACACCCCCAATCTCCCACAGCAGCTGGAGCAAGCCCTGCCGAAGAAGAGTCTGAGCTCAGACATGCTGAACTCTGTCCCAGCCTGATAGTCTTTCTCTACCCGTCCTGGAAGCCCAAGACAAAAAACAATCTCTTGAGAGATCTATAGCCCGGCCCCACCACCTGAGAAACTTGAATACTTACCCAAAGGCGACCCTAGGGTAAGTTTATATCCTCCCTATACTCCCGCAGCTGATGCACTCTTCATAGCGCCACCTCCTGGCTGGAGGCCAACCAACACAAAACCAGTGCACAAAAATACAGCCAAGAACCCTCATGGAGTCCACTTCTCTTCCCTGCTACCTCCACCAGAGCAGGTGCTGGGATCCACGGCTGAGGGACCTGGAGACAGATAACATCACAGGACTCTGCAGACACTTCCCAGTACCAAGCCAGAGCCTGGCAGCTCCACTGGGTGGCTAGATCCAGAAGATAAATAACAATCACTGCAGTTCGATTCTCAGGAAGCCCCCTCCTTAGGGGAAGGGGTACAGCACCACATCACGGGAGCACCCTGAGGGACCAAAGAATCTGAACAGCAGCCTTGAATCCCAGATCTTCCGTCTGACATAGTTTACTCAAATGAGAAGGAACCAGAAAAACAATTCTGGTAACATGACAAAACAAGGTTATTTAGCACCACCAAAAGATCACAGTAGCTCACCAGCAATGGATCCAAGCCAAGATGAAATCCCCGAATTGCCAGAAAAAGAATTCAGAAGGTCAATTATTAAGCTAATCAAGGACACACCAGAGAAAGGTGGAATCCAACTTAAAAGAAATCAAAAATTGATACAGGATATGAATGGAAAAATCTCCAGTGAAATAGCATAAATAAAAAATAATCACAACTTCTAGAAATGAAGAAATCACACTTAGAGAAATGCAAAATGCACTGGAAAGTCTCAGTAATAGAACTGAACAAGTAGAAGAAACAACTTCAGAGCTCAAAGACAAGGCATTTGAATAAACCCAACTCAACAAAGACAAATAAAAAAAGAATTTAAAAAAATGAATAAAGGCTCCAAGAAGTTTGGGATTGTGTTAAATGACCAGACCTAAGAATAATTGGTGTTCCTGAAGAAGAAGGGAAATCCAAATATCTGGAAAACATGTTTGAGGAAATAATCGAGCAAAACTTCCCTGGCCTTGCTAGAGATCTGGACATCCAAATACAAGTAGCTCAAAGAACATCTGGGAAATTCATCACAAAAAGATCACAGTCTAGGCATATAGTCATCAGGTTATCTAAAATCAACACAAAGGAAAGAATCTTAAGAGCTGTGAGGCAAAAGCATCAGGTAACCTACAAAGGAAAACTTATCAGATTAACCGCAGATTTCTCAGCAGAAACCCTGCAAGCTAGAAGGTAGTGGGGTCCTATCTTTAGCCTCCTTAACACAATTATCAGCCAAGAATTTTGTATCCAGCAAAACTAAGCTTCATAAATGAAGGAAATATAGTCTTTCTCAGACAAACAAATGCTGAGAGAATCTGCCAATACCAAGCCAGCACTATAAGAACTGCTAAAAGGAGCTCTAAATCTTGAAATAAATCCTCGAAATACACTAAATTAGAATTTCATTAAAGCATAAATCTTACAGTACCTATAAAACAATAACACAATGAAAAAAACAAGGTATTCAGGCAACAAATAGCATGATGAATAGCATAATAGCTCATATCTCAATAATAACATTGAAGGTAAATGACCTAAATCCTCTACTTAAAAGACACAAAATGGCAGAATGGATAAGAATTAACCAACCAAGTGAATAGTACCTCACATCTCAATAATAACATTGAATGTAAATGGCCTAAATCCTCTACTTAAAAGACAGACACAAAATGGCAGAATGGATAAGAATTAACCAACCAAGTATCTGGTGTCTTCAGGAGACTCACCTGACACACAAAGACTCACATAAACTTAAGGTAAAGGGGTAGGAAAAGACATTCCATGCAAATGGACACTAAAAGTGAGCAGGAGTAGCTTTTCTTTTTTTTTTTTTTTTTTTTTTGAGACGGAGTCTCACTCTGTCACCCAGGCTGGAGTGCAATGGTATGGTCTCTGCTCACTGCAACTTCCACCTCCTGGGTTCAAGTGATTCTCCTGCCTCAGCCTCCCAAGTAGCCGGGATTACAGGTGCCTGCCACCACGCCTGGCTAATTTTTGCATTTTTAATAGAGATGGGGTTTCACTATCTTGGCCAGGCTGGTCTCAAACTCCTGACCACGTGATCCACCCGCCTTGGCCTCCCAAAGTGCTGGGATTACAGGCGTGAGCCACCATGCCTGGCCAGGAGTAGCTTTTCTTATATCAGACAAAACAGACTTTAAAGCAACAGCAGTTGCTTTAAAGAGGGAAATTATATAACGATAAAAGGACTAGTTCAACAGGGAAATATCAAAATCCTAAATATATATGTATCTAACACTGGAGTTCCCAAATTTATAAAACAATTACTACTAGACCTAAGAAGTGAGATAGACAACAACACAATAATAGTGCGGGACTTCAATACTCCACTGACAGCACTAGACTGGTCATCAACACAGAAAGTCAACAGAGAAACAATGGACTTAACCTATACCCTAGAACAAATGGACTTCACAGATATTTACAGAACATTCTACCCAACAATTGCAGAATATTCATTTTATTCATCAGTACATGAAATATTCTCCAAGATAGACCATGTGATAGGCCACAAAACAAGTCTCAACAAATTTAAGAAAATCTAAATTATATCAAGTACTCTCTCAGGCCACAGTGGAATAAAATTGGAAATCAACTCCAAAAGGAACCCTCAAAACCATGCAAATATATGAAAATTAAAGAAGTTGCTCCTGAATGATCATTGGCTCAACAATGAAATCAAGGTGGAAATCAAAAAATTCTTTGAACTGAACAATAATAGTGACACAACCTATCCAAACCTCTGGGATACAGCAAAAGCAGTGCTAAGAGGAAAGTTCATAGCATTAAATGCCTACATCAAAAAGTCTGAAAGAGTGCAAATAGACAATCTAAGGTCACATCTCTAGGAACTAGAGAAACAAGAACAAACCAAATCCAAACCCAACCGAAGAAAAGAAATAACCAAGATCTCAGCAGAATTAAATGAGGTAGGCCATGGTGGCTGTCTAGGCGCAGCAGCTCACGTCTTTAATCCCAGCACTTTGGGAGGCCAAGGTGGGTGGATCACTTGAGGTCAGGAGTTCAAGACCAGTCTGGCCAACATGGCAAAACACTGTCTCTACTAAAAATACACAATACACAAATTAGACAGGTGTGGTGGTGCACGCCTGTAATCCTAGCTACTCAGGAGGCTGAGGCATGAGAACTGCTTGAACCCAGGAGGCGGAGGTTGCAGTGAACCAAGATTGTACCACTGCACTCTAGCCTGGGCAACAGGGTGAAACTCTGTCAAAAAAAAACTAAATGAAGTTGAAGTAAAAAAAAAATACAAAAGATAAATGAAACAAAAAGTTGACTCTTTATAAAGATAAAAAAATTGATAGACCATTAGCGAGATTAACCAAGAAAGAAGAGAGAAGATCCAAATAAGCTCAATTAGAAATGAAATGGGAGACATTACAACTGATACCACAGAAACACAAACGATCATTCAAGGCTACGGTGAACACCTTTATGCACATAAACTAGAAAACCTAGAGGAGATGGATAAATTCCTGGAAATATACAACCTCCCTAGATTAAACCAGGAAGAAATAGAAACTCTAAATGGACCAATAACAAGAAGCGAGATTGAAATGGTAATAAAAAGCTACCAACAAAAAAAGTCCAGGGCCAGACAGACTTACAGCTAAATTCTATCAGCCATTCAAAGAAGAATTGGTACCAATTCTATTATACACTATTCCAAAAGATAGAGAAAGAGGGAATCCTCCCTAAATCATTCTATGAAGCCAGTATCACCCTAATACCAAAACCAGGAAAGGGCATAACAACAAAAGAAAACTACAGACCAATATTCCTGATGAACATAGATGCAAAAATCCTCAATAAAATACTAGCTAACTGAATCCAACAACGTGTGAAAAAGATAATCCACCATGATCAAGTGGGATTTATACCAGGGATGAAGGGATGGTTTAACATTTGCAAGTCAATAAATGTGATGCACCATGTGAACAGAATTAAAAATAAATAATTACATGATCATCTCATTGGAGCCATTCTAGAGGTTGGCTCATCAGCAAAACCCTTCTAGACATTGGCTTAGGCAAAGGCTTCGTGACCAAGAACCCAAAAGCAAATGCAACAAAAACAAAGATAAATAGATGGGACTTAATCAAACTAAAAAGCTTCTGCACAGCAAAAGAAACAATCAACAGAGTAAACAGACAATGCACAGAATGGGAGAAAATCTTCACAATCTATACTTCTGACAAAGGACCAATATCCAGAATGTACAAGGATCTCAAACAAATCAGCAAGAAAAAAAAATCAAACAATCCCATCAAAAAGTGGGCTAAGGATATGAATGGACAATTCTCAAAGGAGGATATACAAATGGCCAACAAACATAGGAAAAAATGCTCAACATTACTAATAATCCGGGAAATGCAAATCAAAACCACAATGCAATACCATCTGACTCCTGTGAAGGTGGCTATAATCGAAAAATCAAATAATAATAGATGTTGGCAGGGATGTGGTGAAAAGGGAACACTTTTACACTGTTGGTGGTAATGTAAACTAGTACAACCACTATGGAAAACAGTGTGGAGTTTCCTAAAATAACAAAAAGTAGATCTACCATTTGATACAGAAATCCCACTCCCGGGTATCTACTCAGAGGAAAAGAAGTTGTTATATGAAAAAGATACTTGCACATGCATGTTTACAGCAGCAAAATTTGCAATTTCAAAAATATAGAACCTTTCCAAATGCCCATCAATCAACGAGTGGATAAAGAAAATGTGATTTTATATATATATAATATATATATTAAATATATATATTATATATATTAAATATATATTATATATTTAATATATATTATATATATTAAATATATATATTAAATATATATATTATATATATATTATATATATTATATATATATACACACACTATTGAATACTACGCAGCCATAAAAAGGAATAAAATACTGGCATTTGCAGCAACCTGGATGGAATTGGAAACCATCATTCTAAGTGAAGTAACTCGAGAATGGAAAATCAAACATCATTATGTTCTCAATCATGAGTGGGAGCTAAGCTATGAGGATGCAAAGGCATAAGAATGATAAAATGGACTTTGGGGACTCAAGGGAAAGGGTGGGAGGTGGATGAGGGATAAAAGACTACAATTTGACTATAATTTGCTTCAGAGAGAACCTTTTTTGGTTTATCTACTTGTTGATTTTTCAGCTTTCTGTATCTGGATGTTCATATCTCTCCCAACACTTGGAAAGTTTTCAGCTATTATTTCATTGAATAGGTTTCCTATGCCTTTTCCCATCTCTTATTCATCTGAAATTTCTATAATGGGAATATTTGTTTCCTTAATGTTGTCCCATTTGTCCTGCAGGCTTCCTTCATTGTTTTTTTGTTCTTTATTTCTTTTTCTTCCTTTTTCATCTGAATGGATTTTTTTTTATTTCAATAGGTTTTTGGGGAACAGGTGGTGTCTAGTTACATGAATAAATTCTTTAGTGGTGATTTCTGAGAAATCAGATTTCAAATAAACAAAGAAAATTTACAATTAAAGTTAATGAAGTACTAAAAAGAAAAGATGGCAAATAGACAATCTAAAGATGCACCTCAAGGAACTAGAAAAGCAAGAACAAACAAAACCTAAAATTAATAGAAGGAAAGAAATAATAAATACCAGAACAGAATTGAAATAGAGACAAAAAATTTCAAAAGATCAACAAAAAAAAAAAAACTTGTTTTTTTGGAAAAGATAAGCAAAACTGACATACCATTAGGTAGACTAAGAAAAAAGAGAGAAGACTCAAATAAATAAAATCAGAAAAGGAGACATTACAACTGATACCATAGAAATACGAAGGATCAGGAGGGGTACAGCTCCGGGGTACAGCACTTGACTGCAGATCAAGAAATACAAAGGATCATAACAGATTATTATGAACAACTGTGTACCAACAAATTGAAAAACCTAGAGGAAGTGGATAAATTCCTGGACACATATAACCTATCAACATTGAGCCAGGAGAAAACAGAAAACCTGAATAGACCAATAACAAGCAATGAGATTGAATAAGTAATAAAAAGTATCCGAACAATGTAAAGCCCAGGACAGAACAGTTTACTGCTAGATTGTACCAAACTTACAAAGAAGAACTAACACAAATACTTCTGAAAATATTCCAAAAAATTAAAGGGGAGGGCATTATTCCTAACTCATTCTATGATGCCAGCATTACCATGATGCCAAAATCAGACAAGGACAGAACCAAAAAATTTAAACTATAGGCCAATATCTCTGATGAGCATAGATGCAAAAATCCTCAACAAAATACTACCAAACCAAATCCAACAGCACATCCAAAAGTTTATATTTATCCCAGAGATGAAAGGATGATTCAACATACACAAATGAATAAATTTGATACATCTCATAAACAAAATGAAGAACAAAACCCAAATGATTATCTCAATAGACACAGAAAAAGTATTTGATAAAATTAAATATCATTTACAATAACAACTCTCAACAAATTAGGTATAGATGGAATATACCTTAATACAATAAAGGCCATATATGACAAACCCACAGCTAACATACTAAAGAGACAAAAGCTGAAAGCTTTTCCTCTAAGATCTGGAATAAGATGGAGCTAAAAATGATGAGCTCATAGAAGTAGTGAGTAGAATTGTGGTTATTAGAGGTTGGGAAGGGTAGCCAGGAGGGGAGAGTATGGAGAGGCTGGTTAGCAGAGACACAATTATAGCTAGATAGGAGGAATAAATTCCAGTGTTCTATAGCAATACAGAATGAATATAGGTTAACAATAATTTACTGTTATTTTCAAAAAGCTAGAAGAGAGGATTTTGAATGTTCTCAACATAGAGAAATAATAAATGTTTGAGAAAATATATATGCTAATTACCCTGATTTGGCCATTACACATTATATACATATTTTGAAATATCACTCTGTACCCTGTAACTATGTTAATTACATGTATGTTAAAATTAATTTTCAAAGGTACAAGTAAAGGAAAAAAGAATTAAGTAGCTGGTATACAAAGGAGGCAGGGAAACATTTAAATTTCATGCATATGTATGTGTTACCCATTGAAAATTAAAATAAGTATATACATTTTTTTAAAAAGCTACAAATAAAGCTAATGAAGTGCTAAATAAAATGTTTTATCCTCCTACATTGTCACATGTAGTTTTATAAAACAAAATAGAAAATATGTGATTGGATAAGTAGTAAAACATATATATTTTTAAGCCATAAATATAAATATTAAAATATTTAATATATGAATATAAATATTCTAAAACTATATTTTTCTTGCCTTCATGTCAGCAAAATTACTAAATATGCTATTATAATGGAAAGTTTCACAAAATGTTCGCTCTACTGATAGTAATAATCTAAAAGATCAATTGAAAATAAAATAATCAAAATTTATGCAATTTGAATTTTCAATAAAATACATACATTAAAATACATGTGAGAATTTTTTTGTTCTTGAGACAGGGTCTCACTCCTGTCACTCAGGCTGGAGTGCAGTAGCATGATCATGGTTCACTATAGCCTTGATCTCATGGGCTCAAGCAATCCCCCCACCTCAGCCACCTGAGTAGCTAGGACTACATGTTCATACCACCACATCCAGCTAATTTTTTTTTTTAAGAGACAGGGTTTCACCAAGTTATCCAGGCTGGTAAGAAATTTGGAATGGATTGAGTTCATGTCCTTTGTAGGAATATGGATGAAGCTGGAAACTATCATTCTCAGCAAACTATCGCAAGGACAAAAAACCAAACACCGCATGTTCTCACTCATAGGTGGGAATTGAACGATGAGAACACGTGGACACAGGAAGGAGAACATCACACACTGGGGCCTGTTGTGGGGTGGGGGGAGGGGAGAGGGATAGCATTAGGAGATATACCTAATGTTAAATGAAGAGTTAATGGGTGCAGCACACCAACATGGCACATGTATACATATGTAACAAACCTGCACGTTGTGCACATATACCCTAAAACTTAAAGTATAATTTAAAAAATTAAAAAAAAAGAAATTTGGAATGGACTTATTTCCATATATTTAAAAATGCTATTTTTAAATTAAATATTAAAAACCAATTAGAATTAAAAGCAAGTACAAATTAATAGTTATTAAAACTTTAAATATTATTTAAACAAGAAAATGCTCATTTATTTGAAATGTCATTTTATTACACATTTTATGAAAATTATTCATAATTCCAGCATTTAATGTTCATATTTTAATTGCTAGTCTAAAGGATCAGCATCATGGTTTATCCATTTTGTATCTATAGTTGCACAGATACAGAATTCAAGTAATGTAAATTGTTTAATATTGCAAAATACACATCAGCCACCATGCGCAACTTCTTTTTTCTCAGTAATTCTGGAACTATCAATTGGAACATGAGGAAAACCAAAGAACTGGTCATTTATCACTATTAGGACACAAAATTCATTGTGAAAGAATCTATTGAACTCATATTATCTCTCAGAGGATTTGACATATTAACTAATTTATCTTTTCTCTTTCCTAAATATTTGTGTCATTCAATTCCTCCTTGTGTTTCTAAGTAGTATCTGTCTCCAGGAGTAAGAGTTTTAAGACATCAAAGTGAATCAAGGTAAAATTAAGAGAGGCAAGTCAAAGTTCTAATGGCTGGATACATGCTTCATAAGCCATTTGTTCAAAACATTAAAAATTTAGAACCAGGATCCACAAAGGCTGTGATTCATTCTCTGGCATGAAGGTAATATTGTGCAGTTCAGGCCTGTTAACAATAAGCCAAAGTGGCCGAGACTTTAATTCTATAGCACATGATGCAATTATTTGTTGTCAGCAAAGTCTCTCGTAATGTCAGAACAAGGTAACTGACATCATTTCACATTCAACTGGAGGCAGCAACTTCAAGAGTCTCCCTTTAATACTCACAATTTGGACACTCTAATTAGAGTTATCTAGGTGATATTACTCTTCCTCATATTTGGAGATATCACAAAGGATACTATTTGCACAAGAATATGCTTGCCTTTTGGCCAGAGCCTGCTCCTGATTGAGCACATGACAATGTTTTTTGGTGTAATGTTTGAAGTGATGATTTACAAAGCCTATCTCCATTTACAACTCAGCTCTTGGAGATCAGGAATTTCATAATGTCTTTTTCTTAAAAATACGTACCTAATTATTGACTGGTTTATCTTAGACAGCTGAAATACGCTAAACAGTTTGAAACTAAGCTTCAAAATACCCTGAAGATGTTCCTCTTACATTTTGTTAACTTACTGTTATAAAAGCTATACAATGTAACTGTTTTTATCAAGAATCAATTAATGTTTTGCTTGTTCAGATAAAATGTGGCCACACATTTGAGGCCAGATAGGCCTGGGTTCAAATCCCACTTCTACCATCCTGAGCTACGTCATTTGGGCAAATTATATAAGGTTTCTGAGATTCAGTTTCTTCATTTGTAATTGCGATCATTCCTTATTTGTAGCGCCACTGTGAAAATTTAATGATACAATCACTGTAGAGTGCCTGGCACAAAAAAAATAATAGTAGCTATGTAACTGGCAAAGAATTATGGAAATTGGCTATAGCGAATTCATTCATCAATTTAATAAATATGTATTGATCCTACTGTATGCCAGACAACTGGGCGAAGTGCTTGGAATTCAAAGGCTGTTTTGCACTAGGAGCTTAACATTTTTGTGGGGATACAGACATGCATAATAGAGATATGAAAGTGCTGTGCAAGCACAAGTAACGGAATAGCTAACTTTGCTTGGGGAGTTAGGAATGGCTTCTTAAAGAAGATAGGAACTAAGCTAGCAGGAATTTGTCAGGAAAGACTGAGAAGGGCATTTGGGGCAGGAGATTGCAAAGCCATGGAGTTACGACATGCTTTTCACATTCAAGAAAAGGAAAAAGTTGGAGAAGGCCATAGTAACCATGCCAGGCCCCGTGGATGGCTAAATTGAACTGACAAGACCCAGCTGATATGTTTGGAAATAGACCAGAGGTGCCATGTTAATCCTTCAAGAGTGTGGCTCTAATTGAACTAAAAAAAAATCCAATTCTCTGAGATGTGCCACTTTTGATGAATTGGCTTAAGAAAGAATTGATCAAAACCCTTCAGTACAGTGATGTTTGTTTGTTAGACACACCACTTTTCTTCAAATATACCAAAATTGGGGGCAGAAGGGAAACTGTTATTTTGTACTCAAGACTCATGATTTCCAGCTCTTCCTTCCCCTATAATTTCTTGTGATGGGCTGCCCTTTTCACCAGGAACACCCTGGGACATATTCTAAAAACTGCTGTAACCAAAATGCATGCTTCTTAGTTAATAACAAAGTAGTGCTCAATTCCAAAAACTGAAAGGGAAGATGAAACAAAATTTCACTGCAGAAAATATATCCTCAAATGTTGTAAAATGATGTGGAAACCATCCAAAGCACTGGATTTGAAACTAGTGAGGGCAACATCATGGCTAAAGCACCAGAAAGAATTAGACTGAGAAGAAGGAAAAGGCCTCAAAGCCACAGGCGAACACCCTAACTTGGGAAGAACCCTACGAGGCAAACAATTCCATTGCAAAAGACACTTCCAAATGCCTGCAGCAGATCTCTGAAAGAAAGTCACAGCCTTGCTGCCCATCTGAGGGAAACTGTCCAGCTGCAATAGTTACTTCAAACAAAATCCAGACGATGTGAGGCGCAGGTGGAGCGGAGGGCTGGTGGTGGCTGTGTAGATGGGAATCCATCCTTGGGCTCTGAGGACAAGCCTTCTAATGGCACAGAAATTAAATTCATCCCAGAATTGGCTAATTATATTATTTAACACCACTGACACACCAACCTTAATAATCTGTGGATTCATCTACTACATCGTTTGAATAATGACTCCATTCCATGGGAAGAAGTTTCTATTTATATTCAGTAAATATTACAGTATTCTCTAATTTTAATCTCCCATTATAACCTTCCAAGATTTCATGGCTTTTTAGGCAAATTCTATGGAAGGTCTAAATAGCAGATCATAGCTATTTAATAGATTTTTTAAAATAAAAGAAAGCCGTTTGTTTTAATCCACTCACCATTCCGTGATTCAGCCACCCTGGGATAAAATTATCCAGCAGCTTCGGGTATATCATCTCTCTGTCATAGGCATAAATGATCCAGAACACTGCTACAACAAACTGGAAGGAAAAAGAAATCTTTTATTTCAAGTTCATCGACTATCCACAACATACAATTTATTGGTTAACAATAGTTGAAAGAATCCAACAGAATTTGGAATCTATGATGAAAGACAGCTCAGTAAACCAGCTAATGATTGGAAACACAGGTCTAGCTTCATTCCATTAGCAGTAAAAGGTAAGGTGCCTCCTCTCTCTCTGATCTCCGAATGGTGTTCTTTCAGGCAAAGGGATTGGTTTCTGAGGGAGAGAGAAGAGGCCTGTTTTCGTGTACAGCTCCGTTTCAGGGCTAATTGTGCTGGTTTGATTCCTCTCAAGAGGGTTTAAAAGTTCACTGGTGGTTTTTTCGGATCCCATTACCCACTATCTAGAGTTAGCACACATTCAGGAAACTGCCAGCTATGTCCCTTTTCCTTGAACCCATCATGTGGTTTAAACTAATCTTCACATTCTCAAATTTCCACTTCACCACTAGCAGCATTGAAACCACTGCTATAAAATCTCCTAAAGTCACATTTCCAGCAAATGTATTAATTTATACAGACTAAGCAAGGGCTTTAGCTGCACTGAGAAGCTGGGTCCATGGAGGGTAAAGGAAGATTCCTAATTCTCTTGGAATAACTTAGAAGTTCATCTAGGTTCCAAAGGTTTGTTTTGGCCCAAGAGCAACATAATCATCAAAAGAGAGTAGAGTACTCAATGTATTATTTTACCCTTCTTCCAAATAATAGTGAGAAAAGAAGTTCAGATAAAATAATGAATGGCCCAAGGTCTTAACCTTCAGCACTGAATTTAAAAGAAAAAGTGTGTGTTTTTGTAAATGTCAAAAAATGTGGCCTAGAAAGGGAACCATCCCACAGGAAGAGATAAAAGTCTCTGTAGAGTGATGCCTCAAAATAAAAAATGCTACAAAATGGAAAAATACAGCATAAATATTAGAAACAATTTTGACTTCATTTTATATCTCATTCATGCTCCCATATTTTATTAATAAAAATAATAAATAGTTTAATACCACTTCAAATTGGTGGTTTCGTAGGTCGGTGGAAGAAAAGGCCAGAATGCAAGAGATTAAAGTGGTTGTAGGTGGCAGGTAGAGGCAGTAAAAGGTGACTCCTGTTTCATGGCAGTGGGCAGTGAGGGAAGGCAAAGGAGGCTGGCTGCCTGAGACATGTAACAGGGATTAGGAGGGTGTATATGATCTTACAAAACAGGAGATCCAGGCAGTATTTTGATTGGCTAAAAGTCAGAGTAAAAGGAGATAGAAAGACAGGGAACAACTGATAAGCAAAGCCAAGGAAAAGAAAGGGATTAGGATTATAAACACAGATTAAGCATTCTTCCCTTTAAAGTGAAATGCAAGCACTTTTGCTGACAGTTGGAAATAGAGCTGAGCACAAAGAGTGGATTTGGGGCACTGCTGTGGATAACGTACTAGGAAGTCCATAAAATATTTAAAAGGAAGACTGCCATGAATCAGGAGGACCCCACAGAGATCTAATAACAAGATTTTGTAGTAGAACCAACCAGGATGTTTTCCCAGGCTGTCCTGAGGTCCGTGAAAATGAGGATTTAGGAAAAAGAGGGTTTAGGAAAACTTGAGGATCCTAGGAATTTTGTAGCACAATGGCTTGGGTAACTGGGACAGATAAAAGGTTGAAAATAAGGGATGCTATGAGATCAGAAGAACGTCTTTAAGCAACTGGCTAGCGTTTCTAAGCTGGTACTTGGCAAGGAGTGGTTACCAATGAATTACATGACTTATCACACCTAAAGATATTAGTGACAGATAGTAAACACTTAATTAAAGATAGCCATTCTGTTTTCACTTCTTTTGCTGGATAGATTTCACAAGTGACACCAAACCAATTAGGGCTGATCATGTGCTCCAATGCCAGGGATGCACTGCCAGGCATCACAGCAGTACTACCCCGCCCCATGATTCCAGCCTTGCTATTCAAAGTGGGTCGGCAGCACTCATGTCACCTGAAAGCTTTTAAATATGCAGGATCCCAGGTCTCACTCTGATCTGCTCTGATCCTGCATTTCAATAAGATCTTATGCACATATAAGTTTGAGATGTTCTGCTTGGGGAGGCTCTACTTCAGCCACCTTGAGCCTCCTCCCTTCCCATGGAGTGAAGACATCCCGTGGCCAAGTGGCTTGCCTATGCGGAGCATGCACCTCTTCCTTTCGAGATCACACCTGGAGTAACTGTGAGCCTGGAATTCCCTGCCCACATAGTCATGAGTATGCCTCAGGGCATTTGTGGACCTCCTCCCCCAGTCTGACCCCGAAGGTAGACTGTGCGATAAATGTGTGTTTGCCTTAACCTGAGGGGTGGTAAAGGCACATGTGTTTCTGGAGGGTGAGGACCAAAGGTTTACATTTGGTCTGGGTGTCCAAACACAGGCACCAAGCCACTTCAGTCTTGGATGGAGCCACTGATGCAAATCTCTTCACCTTTGCCATATAACATAACCTAATCAAGAGAGTGACAACCCATCATATTCACAGGTCTCTCTCATACTCTACAGAAGGGGATTGTACACACTGGTGCAGCAGGGGATGGAATCTTGGCATCATGTTGGAATTCTGCTTATCATAGGCTCCCACTGTGTTCTTCCTTTCCAAATTGTTATGACTGCTTTAAGTCCTTTGCATTTCCATTTAAATGTTAGAATCTCCAATTATTAATTTACACAAATATCCTGCTAGAATTCTCATGGTGACTGTTTGGGGAGAGCTAACATTTTAACAATATTGAATTTTCCAATCCATGAAGATCATTTGTATCCCCTAACTTGGGTCTTCTTTAATTTCTCTCAGCAATGTTTGTGGTTTTCAATGCACAGATACTGCACATATTTTGCTGAACCTGTCCATAAATATTTCATGTTTTGTGATGCTACTGTGGAGAGTATTACATTTTTTACATTCTTTTTTGTTAGTTTATAAGAATGAACTGATTTTTGAATATTGACAATGTAGCTTATACCTTTGCTAAATTCATGTAGTAGTTCTAGTAGCTATTTTAGAAATAGTTTTGCATTTTATACTTACACGATCTGCAAATAAAGACAGTGTTTTTCCCTTACAATTTTATGCATTTTACTTCTTTTTTTTTATTGCACTGCCTGTGATCTGCAGCAATATGTTGAATAGAAGTGATGGAGAGTGAGCATCCTTGCCTTCATCTCTATCTTAGGGAAAGTGGTCAGTCTTTCCACACTTAAGTCTGATATTAGCTGCAGGCTTCTTTTAGTTGTCTTTTATCAAGTTGAGAAAAATCTCTTCTATTCTTACTTTATTTGGGAGTTATATACATACACAAAGAATAAGTGCTGAATTTTTCCATTTTTTCAGATGGTTTTGTTTCATACTTGAGACAATCATACAGTTTTCCCTCTTTATTCTGTTAATATGGTGAATTATATCAGTTGATTTTGAAAGTCAAACCAACCTTACATTCCTGGTCATCATATATGATAATTTATATATATATATATATGTACACACACACACACATATATATACACACATATATATATAATATATGTTTTTACTGGATTCAATCTGCTGATACTTTGCAAAGAATTTTCTTTTCATCTCTATTCATGAAGTATACTGATTTCTGATCTATAATTTTCTTTTCTCATAATGTCTTCACCTAATTCTGGTAACAGTATAAATTCTGGAATCAAAAGGTGAGTTGGGAAGTGTTTCCTCTCTATTTTCTGAAGGGTTTTGTGCAAGATTAGTGTAATTTATTCCTTATGCAATTGATATACTTCCCTAGTAAAGCCATCTGGACTTGCAATTTTTCTGGTGGGCAGATTTGTGAATTCATTTTCTTTAATAAATATAGGGCTATTTGGGCTTCCTACTTTGCTTGAGTTGATTTTGGTCATTATTGTCTTTTGAGGAATTTCTATATTTCATCTATGTTTTTGAATTTATAAAATTGTTCTTACTATTCCATCATGGAAACTGGCAAATGCTATGAATCAGTTATTTTTCCCTAGAGAGCCCATTGTTAAATATTTACTAACATATCACTGTTAGGAGTCACTATCTGTTAACCACAAGTGATCATTCATAGCATCCACAACACATGAGACTCAGTGTGAAGCTTTGGTCAATACTTTGATCCCTACCTTATATTGAGGGAATTATATGGGTTATTAAAAGTGAAGTGACTTTCAAGAAAGTGTTAGTTACCTTTCTAAGTGTAATACTAGAAGGTCAGGAGGCCCAGCTAACTGAGTAATCAGTCTTCTAAATAATTCTTTAGATATAAACACAGCACAGATGGTAGCTTCTTGGCTTCCTGCACTGATATCCTCCTGATAGTATAGCCATCAGCAAACCCAAAATAAATTTGAACTCTCCTACCAGGGCATGGATATGGAACAAAAATAGTTTCTCTTGGACAGGCTAAGCGATACTGAAACCTTCCACTGTTGTGAAGAAGCACCTTCTCTGGCCAGGAGCAATGGCCAGCTATTCCTCATCCTACACCTGCTGCTTCTTGGCTGCCAGGAACAGAATACTGTACTTAAACTGAGAGTGGAAGGAGCACAGTCACTTTCCAGTCCTTTAAGCTTTGAGATAAAATACTTGAGTGACAGCTAGTCACTGATGTCTCATTTGAACCCCCAGAACTACTAGGAAATTAATGCCAAAAGAAAACTGGATTTACAGTTTGCCTCTTTTTGAAAGGAGTCTCTCACATGGAGTCTGACAGAAGCTGAAACTTCAGCTTTAGTCCACTTCTAAGAAGAAGCTTTATTGATTAATGGGAAATTCTTTGGAATTGAGTAAGACCAATTAGAATGCAAAGAATGTTGGAGAGAAATTCGCCATGAAGAAGGCTAAAAAGAAGAGTCACTTATCTATAGATTGGTCTATAAAGGCTGGATAGCATCATCTCAAACATTCACTGTTGAGGGAGGGAAGGACAGAGGGAAGAGGGGAGGAAATGGATACATCCTTAAAGTCTGCAGCTTCAACTGGATAAAATCCTATATATATTCTGATAAGTCAGTACTCAGACTCTACCAAATACTGATAGGAAAAGATTTAAATTCTGTTTGGGGCTCTATTACCTTGCTTCCAGATTTCTTTTTCATAACTTACTTTCCAGTCAATTCTTTCTGTTGCAGAAGGGTAATCTTTAGAAATATTTCCATTGTGATTTCTCTTTGCAAACAGAGAAAGTATGGGTGTGAGAATAAGCTGGGTGTTGTGCATGCTATCTGGCTTCGTCTCTGATGGCCCCCATGCAAAGAGTGAATGTCTCCTTCAGCACAGCCCTTGCCTTCCTACTTTCCAGATCTATGGAATCCTGAGTGTCCAAGTCCTTTCCTTCTGACTAATTTTCCTCAACCATATCCTCAAATTCAGAAACGCATAGTGAAGCTTAGGGCTCTCTAAAATGCCACAGTCTCCTTTGTTCCAGAGGACAATCAGTTTCTAGGATTCATTCCTAAAAGCATGACATGGAATTCCTCTCCTTAGAATGTAAGTCTGTGAGTAATGTTAATTTTTTATGCTATGAATTCTGCCCAAATTATCTTAAAACCAGAATCTCCACATAGAAAATTGCCAAAGCACTTGTTGATGTTATGCTCTTTTTTTCGTGGGTTTTAACTATCATCATTTTGGTACATTTATAATTTATCCATATTTGCCTAGATTTCTGTTCTTCATTATCTCTACTGACTGAGGAAGTAATGATAGAATACAAACCCAGCTCCTACAAATGCCTACATGATTTGGTTCCTTCCTTTCTCTCCAACCTCGGCCTGTGCCATGTTCTGTCTTGCTCCTTCAAGTCCAACCAGTAATTTGTTTGTTCCTGAAAATTATTAAGCTCTTTCCTGATTCAGGGCCATAGCATTTTCTACTCTGTGCCAGGAATGCTCTTCCCCTCCTTTCACATGGCTGGATTCTCTGTTCTTTCACATCTAGCTTAAATAGCACCTCCACATGGAAGCCACCACTAGACCCTCCAGGGCTCTGTTGTCTATTTTAGAACCTGGCAGAAAACAGGCTCTTGCTATTGTTGCTGCTGCTCAGTTCTTCTTTGTTCTGTGGCTCTTCTATGAGAAAGTGAAGTATCAGAGAACAGGAATTGGTTTGCCCTGTTCATTACTGGTTCCCCACTGCCTGGCATATAGCATGGATGTGATAAAAATTTGCTGAATAAATGAATAAAGTCTATTGCTGTTCCTTGTACATGCCAGACTCCACATCTCCCACAGGAGCAAGTACCTTTTTACTCCTTTTCTTCCTATCGACCTAAAATTCCTCCTGTATGTTCCCTGTGGATTTTTGTCCTTCTGTGTGTAAGGAAGAAATCTCCTTCTTTCCAGGCTACTCTTATGGCCCAGCCCTTCTCAGATCATCTATGAGATAGCTCGTCCCTCACCTGCTTAAGTCTTCTATCATCCTATAATAATCCTCTGGACTTCAAGATCAAGTGCAAGACTGAAAGCTCTCTTTCCTTAAGTCAACCAAAAATTAAGAGAACGACAAACAGAAGTGAAACTGATGAAACACTAGGAAACACCCATAATCCAAACATCACTCTTTAAAAGGCTGCCAAGTGTTAGGAAAATTAAATAAGGACATGGGGAGACTGATGGAAGAAACAAGATCCTGCAGCTCTCTAGTTTAGTGAGCAGAACAGAGAGGTCTTTACAGGTGGCAAACCCTGAAGGACATTAAATGACCCTTGCTGGGAACATGAGGTCTCGATGCATGGGAGCACTGGGGAAATGCTCTGACCCCTGTTTGGCATTAGGGGTCAGAGGTGATGATGCTAAACGTGGAAACAGGCTAGTGTGTCATCTCTGCCAGAGCAGGATGTGGGTGTACTAAGGTCAACAAGAAAAGAGTGGTGCCTGAATATATGGCTCATGCTCAGCTGATGGAGACCAAGCTTTATGTCACCATCCAAAAGAGCTGTGATAAAAATGAGCTGAGGAGAGAGAAATGAGTTGAGCCCACACAGAGGCCGTTCTCCAGGAAAGGCAGTAGTGGAAAATAGATGGAAATTCAAGCTGCCCTAGCTCCATTCCCTAGTCTGTCTCCAGTTCTATCCTTTCACAAATAGCTGGCTTGGTAAGAACAAACCAATTTAAGAATGCATAATCACAAGAAATGAAACAGTATGGAATGTAGTCATAGATAACACAAAAAACATAGAGAGGAATATGATTTTAAAAAGTCAGCTGAATGATACAAACCAGAAAAGTTTGCCCCAATAGGTATAATTCATGATCAAATAATTCTCCATTAAAGAAAAGAGGTCAAAGAAGAAAAACTGAGATTCGATAGAAGATAGAGCAAGAGGAGAAGAGGATAAAGGTGAATGAACTTATGAAATAAATAAAATATAAAAAATAAAACTGAAAGTCACATTAGAGGCAGCAAAAGGAAAAATTGCCTTTGGTGAAGACAGTCGGGGTTTAGCTTTCTGCAGAACTGTGGACCAGATACACTGAAAAACCTTCCTGCTGTGAAACACTAGGTGCTAAATAAATTACAACAAATATACTTTTAAATGTATTGCTGAGCACACAAGAAAGGAAGGGAAATCACTAGGAGCCACAAAAAAAAAAAAGGAAAAAAAAAAAAGAAGAGAGGAAAAATGAAAACAGAAGGAAATTCAGAAACTGGGACTGCCTGGAGGCAAATACCAATATGAGAATCAGAGCACTCTGCGGATTGTGGTCAAGGAGAAGGAAGGCAAGGCCTGAGGCCACACAATGTGGTGGAGGAAATTAAGCCAGAGGAGCCTGGCCCGCAGAGGGCCTACACCTTCAGAGAAAGGGGAGCCTGGAGAAAGTACTCTTTATCAGGGCAAATAAATTGCTTTTTACTCCTAATTGCCAAGACTTTTTTAATCAAAAAGGTTTTTTAATTTCATTTAATTTTTTTCACATTGAGATAATCATTTTTTCCTCTTTTACCTTTGTATTAGTGAAAGCAAAGTTAAGATAATTAAGCAAGGTCTGCAAGGTCTAAAAATAAATTTTAAACTTACACCAAATAACTGTAATGGATACTGTAGTGCTTTCCCAGATTCCCTCTTCAGAGTCAGGGCATCCATTGGCCAGTGCATAGGACTATCAGTTGCTGGCCATTCTTAGCTGCATCCTTCAACAGGAGTTGCCCTCAGCTACAGGGAATGGACTAGCCCAAGGTCATGCTCCCTCCTCAAGGCAGTCCAAACCCAATGACTGGCTAACGCAAGGATATAAAGACCCTGCCCCAATTTAGGATGACTCTGAAGGGTCATCCCAGCTCAAAAGCTCCTAGTATGTCTCAGTTACAACTGCAATATGGGTGAGCTTCCCTCTCTGCCCAATGCTGTCTTCCTTACTTCCTAACAGGGGAACCTCCCAAGGGCTGCCTCCTTCTGCATGTGGTCTCCATCTCAAAGCCTGGTCACAGGAGTCCAATCTAAGACAACACCATTCACGTAGAAGTGCAACAGACAGATATACTGAAGCATGAACATATTTGTAATAAATAAATCACTATAAGGAAATGTATAAAAAGTAAACATTCTTTACAATCTCCACCTGCAAAGATCTTTATTGCCAAAGGAAGAGGTATATCTTTCAAGATCTTTTTCTATGCATGTAAAATGCACTCTACACATTATTCTATGAAATTAGGTCATACTATACCTAGTCTTCTGCAATTCTTCTGACTTAATATTTTAAGAAGATACTCCATGGTTCTTAAGTGCTCCATAGAACCCCATTGTAGGATTATGTACCATAGTTTACTCAAGTACTCACTAACGGATACATGCATTCTTTCCAATTTCCCAATTTCCAACAAGGCCACAGTAGATGTGTTACATGTATGTTTTTATATACCTACAAGAGACCTCAGAGGGATAAATTGCAAAAAGCACAATTACGTTTGCACCAACCTAAATACTAGGAGAGATGCTCCAGGATCTGAGGTCCCTATTGTTGGCTGGGCCTGCTGACATGAGGCTCCTTTGTCACTCCCTGTCCCAGTACCACTCCCTTCACCCCAGCTTCAGGCTCTAATGTCCCTATCCTGGACTCCTGCAGTAGCCTCTTGGCCAGGCTCACTGGTTTCAGTTCTCTTTAACTCCATCTATGCTTTATCTTGGCCTCTGAGTAAACTTTGAAGAACTTGCCAGCTCAGAAGTCCCAATGGCTCCTCCATGCCTGCAGGACAAAAAATCAAACTTCCTTTGTGGTCAAGCCCCAAATGCTCTTCCCAGTCCCCTTCCAGTTTCTTCCAGGGACCCTCTTCACCAGACTATGTGTGGCTTCCCAAACTCATCACACACTTGAAGTATCCATTCCTTTGTGCGTTTTATAATTGCAGCTTTAAATTCATTAAAAAACAACCCATTTCAAAATCTAAGCTTTATCCATTGCTACCATCATGGTGCACTTGTTTTCTCCCCCCAGTTTCTTGTCAGACATACTTCTCTCCTTGACCCCCACAACACTGTGCTTGTAACACCGGCCTACTTAACTCTGATTCCTGCACGGCGGCCAGTTCCTCTAAGCTGCCAAAGGCTCTTTCACCCTCCAGGTCCCCATCAATGTTGCTCCCTTCCCTAGAACGCCTCCCACCATCCCACCCAGCTCACCCGACCATAGAAATGGGAGCTTAGATATCCCCCCCACAAGAAGAAGCCTCTCCTGAGCTGCCCCAGCTTTGGGCCCCCTTGTCTTTGCACATGCTGTCATAGCACATTACATTTTTCCTTCGTAACACTGAGCACAGTTACCATGAAATAACTGACTGTGTAATTACTGGTTTCTCTTCCCAGTAGAATGTAAACTCCATAAGGGCAGAGACAAGTCTATCTCTTCTCTGTTACACTGTCACATCTCTTTTCGTGCCTTATATTTTTAAACTATTTTGAGTGGCTCCCGCCTGTAATCCCAGCACTTTGGGAGGCTGAGGTGGGTGGATCATTTGAGGCCAGAAGTTCGAGACCAGCTTGGCCAACATGGCGAAACCACATCACTACTAAAAATACAAAAAAAAAAAAAAAAATAGCCAGATGTGGTGGTGTATGTCTGAAATCTCAGCTATTCAGGAGGCTGAGGCAGGAGAATCACTTGAATCTGGAAGGTAGAGGCTGCAGTGCACCGAGATCACACCGCTGCACTCCAGCCTGGGCTACAGAGTGAGACACTGTCTCAAAAACAAAACAGAACAACAACAAAACAAAACAAAAAAGCCCTCAATTTTGAAATAATCTAAGACTCATAAATTGGAAGATAACACAGTGTTCCTGTGTATCCTTCCCCCAGCGATATCATCTTACATAGCCATGGTACATCCTCAAAACCAGAAAATTAACATTGATACGATACTATAAACTATAGACCAAATTCGGGTTTCACCAGCTTTGACACGCACTCATTTTTGGTGGAGGTGGGAGCGGTATCACACATATATATTTGTATCACGACTGCCTGCTCGAGATACAGAAGTATTCTGTTATTACAAAGAAACTCCCTGGTACTAACTTTTTTTTTCTTTCTTTCTTTCTTTTTACACAGAGTCTCACTCTATCGCCCAGGGAGGCCTGGTACTAACTCCTGATAGTCACACCCTCCCCACAACCTTAACTAGCTCCTGGCAACTGTTGATTTGTTCTTCATCACTACAGTTTCATCATTTTGAGACTATTATATGCATGCAATCTTTCTCAGTGCTTTATTAAGGCTGGCTTGACTTCGTTTAGTCTTAACAATGTATGGGCCAGAGATTTCACAAGCAACATGTTCTTTAAGAATCATAACTACTTTAAGGTAGCTACTATTATTTTATCCAGCCTTATAGATGAAAAAAAACATATCTTTAGAAAATTTTAATTTTAGTAAGTTTCCCAGAGTCAAAAAGTTAATAATGTCCAAACCAGAATGTGAGGTCAGGCAGTGAGACCCCTATGCTTTTAACTTTTTTGCGAGGGGAGTAGAGACAGAGTTTCACTTTGTTTCCAGTCTGGTCACGAACTCCTGGTTTCAAGTGATCCTCCAGCCTTGGCCTCCCAAAGTGCTGGGATTATAGGCATGAACCACCACACCTGGCCACTTTCAACCTCTCTAAACATTTTTTGTACATACTAGATACTTTTGAATCTATTAATAATTGGTTGAATAAATAAATTAAATGTCAGAGACTATTATTTCATAGCTAGTTCTGGGTCCCCTAGAAGAACCTGCATATAGTCAGAACTCAAGTTTTGGCGAGTAAATGTGGTTAATCATTCTAGAAGAAACTAAAGGCAAAGGAAAATGGTCATGAATGGTGAAAAATCATCAAGCTGGTCCTCTGGATTGAACATGCCTCACAAGGCCACAGGGTAGCAGCATTCTTGTCTTTTATAGTAATAAATGCATTTAAAAAATCTCAGCTGGGCACGGTGGCTCACGCCTGTAATCCCAGCACTTTGGGAGGCCGAGGCAGGTGGATCACGAGGTACGGAGTTCGAGACCAGCCTGGCCAATATGGTGAAATCCCGTCTGTACTAAAATACAAAAAAATTAGCCAGGCATGCTGGCAGGCACCTGTAGTCCCAGCTACTCGGGAGGCTGAGGCAGGAGAATCACTTGAACCCGGGAGGTGGAGCTTGCAGTGAGCTGAGATCACACCACTGCACTCCAGCCTGGGTGACAGAGCGAGACTCCATCTCAAAAATAAAAATAAAAAGCATTAATAAAATCTCAAGCATTTCAACCAGGATTATTTGACCAGGTACATCTTCCCTCTAGGAAATTCATATCCATAAGAAAGAGAAGTAGCAGTGACTTAGAATACTTGCTGGTCCTAACTGATACCTGGGTCTTGCCTTGTACCTCGCACATTTCCTTCCCTACTCAAATTTTAGTTAATAGGCTCCTATCATATTCTCACTTCATCTTTGAGGTGGAAATCCTTCCCCAGAATGCCAGCTTGCATGGATGGATCCCTGTGACCAGTTGTCGCTCTGGATTTGCAGATGGGGTCTCTGAGGTTGTACCCTGTGTCATCCCGTGACTTTAGGCTGAAACCACACCAATCTTGCCATACGCCTGCAGTTCTGTCTCTTCTCACAGCCTCAGCATCTCTATCTGGCCAGTTTTGCCACTGACCAAAACATGAGAATGATGGCTATTAGGTTTGATTTTCTTTCCCACCTACAGAACCCAAATTGCCTGGGCTTGGCTTCCAGTGGTGGCAGTCTTATTTTGTGAAGAGTGATGTCTGAAGGGTCTGGTTGGCAAGGTGGTGTGCATTGTGAGAGGGTAGGGTGTGGCGAAAATAAGGCCTGGAGGGAGGAAACTTTTGTATATCTGGTGGTCTTATGCCTCACACAGGTGAGATCATCCCATAAGGTGAACATTTTACCATTCTAATAACTAACCCTCCTGTTATGGGCCCAGAGTTAGATCCATTTAGAATTGAACTCCACTCCAAACAAACAAAGCAAGGCTTCTTTCACGCTCTGTCAAGTGACAATAAATAAAATAATTAAACAGATATCCATAAACCTCACATAAGACCTTTTAATATGTTAGGGAACCACTATCAATTAGGATTGATTTAAGTTTCTTTTGGAAAAAAAAAACTATTTGGGCCTTTTCTCCACCATAAAATCACTGAATAATCAAACTCTTGCTGTCTTTCTTTCTCATTTTTTAAATAAAAGGGGACTATAGTTATTCGATAAAATTACATTAATATGAATATTCAAAGGGTAGCTATAAGTACACAGGAGAGACATCCAGCTAAACACATCTCAGTTACCTGAGGATAAAAGTAAGAAAAATCTAATTTAATCCAATCTAGTAAAAGTTAATTAATAAATCAACCGTGCTTTTTTTAGAAGCATCCTATGTTAGATGACTATGTGTCAATGCCTCTATTTGATGCCTTGGGTGTAGTAGCAGAGTAACAGAATACTATGACCAGAATACTACTGTAACAGTGGAAACTGAAGGCTAATCAAATGAAATACAGCCTACCCAAGAAAGATATGTTAACAGAAGAAAAATGATCTTAATAGTGAGTAGGTGTATGGGCATTAAAGAGCAATAATGCATCACCAGCTTTGTAGACAGGACAGGGTTCTCTGGCCACCCAAGAAAGCATTCTGGTCTACCAAGCCAGTCAATCCCTACTGTGCAACCGAATTCATCAGATTATAGTAATTTGACTACTAGCCACTAGTATCATCCAATTCAAGTTCACCCAGAATTCGGCTTCCCTTCTGGCTTCTTCAGTTATTGCCTCTAGGGAGAGTGTGGACAATCTGACAATTTTTTAGTCCACCTGATAATTTTTTCACAACATAAATTATTTATCTGTCTGATTTAATCTTTAGTCTATAATCATTTCGTTAGCATAAGTTCACTTACTGAGAGAAGGATTATCTCAAAATAGACTAACAAAACAGAGTGTCCTGGGCTACAAGAATATTTCGGGACTTCCTAGCACACTAGGACACCCACAAATGACTATCTCACTGCTCTGGAATTGCTATGGGGCTAGGAGAGGACGAAGGCTATGGCTTTCTGTGTTTTGTTTATTTTAGATTATATACATTAAAAACTAGGAAAATATATAGCAAGTTATACACATAATTTGCAATGGGAAAAGAACTTTTGGAGAGGCTGGCATATTTGTTTCTTGGTATTGTATCAATAACATATCAATATTTTTTGTTTTTCTCTATGAACCATTTGCCATTTACATTTAGAACATGAATGTCTCTAAATGGGAGCACACTTACAAACACAATTGTGATTTATTTCCCAAACATGAGTAGTTGTATGAGGGCTTTTCTAATACCTTTCTGTGGGGCTTTCTTATTATAAGGGTAATAAGTGCTTATTGTGGAAATTGGTGTGGATTTTTGTATTTTGCCTTTAAAATTTTCCTATGATGATCTATGCTGTATAAATAAAGTGGGAGGAGTTAGCAAAAAAAATTGGTCATCTTTGGAACCAATATGACTCAAAGATAGACATATACTGTCCACGAGTCTGCAATCTTTCTGTTTGAGAGCACTTCAGAGCGTTTTTTCTTGGCATTTGGTCTACCTGAATTCCCTGTCAACTGCCTAGGCCCCATCTAGAATTGTGGACCAATTATAGATATTTTTGTTGTTGAAAAACACTTTTCATCAATTAAGAGACACAAAGTTATACTAAACTAATTAACTTTGAGTATCAGCAGTTGAGGAAGGTGCCAAGATTGGGGAGAAACATCTGCTTTGACGCTGATCTGTGAAGGGAACCTGGGGATCCAATGTAAATCTACTTCATGTGGGTGATTTTTTTCCCCCATGAGCTTTTCTTTCTTTCTCCTCTCTTACTACCCTTTTTTTGCTTGAGACTCTTCAAGCACAAATGTGGTTCATCAAACATTACTGACCAGATCTAATAGGGCAGGCATTTTCTTGCGATAGGACAGAGGCAGAGAAAGAACCAGCTGCCACAGCCACAATGGCAGTAGTTTTCCCACCCTAATGGGCCCCAGTCTTCTTCCTGACATCACAATCTGTAGGGATGAGTGGCTTCCTGTTGCTCAGTGTCTCTTATTTATTAGGTAAGATCCTCTTCCAGAGTCAGTGAAATCATATGATAGTGGTTAGCTTAGTGACTGGCACTTAGCACTCAATATATAACAGAACTTGCCAGAAGGTCTATTGAAGGCTTCTTTCCATTTTCCTTACTTTCATCCCTTTTTAAGATAAAAGGCATAAGAAAGTTGCTCTGCCTTTCTTACACCAAAATATAGAAGGCACTTACCCAAACAGCCAAGATTAATTACAGAAGGACTTTGATGAACAATAGGGCTCAGGATGCTAGAGTGTTTGCCTGAGTGACAGATTTGACTTACACCACCTCAAATCCTTGTTTAAAATGGGTGGAGGAATCAATTATAAATTTAAAAAGAAAAGCAGATTTGACTGAAAATTCACTCTTGATGAAGCAGAGTTTTGGGAATTCTTTTAAAATATTTCACGGTGTAGGTGTCATTCAGTTTTTAGGATGCTGCTACTTCTATGGAATGCATTGGATCACTTCTTGCCAAAAAGTTTTTTGCAGTTGTGTAGCTACAAACCATGCCTTCTTGGAAGCCCAGGGATGATTCACAGATGATATACTGGATACATTTTGCAACCAATTTTTTAAAGGTAGCTAATTCTACTGATACAACCTTATTTTCACATATTAGAAACAAGCACGTTGGGTAAACATGTGGTAGCTTAAATCTGCATGCAATATTTGAAATGAGAAGACAAAGCAGGAAAGATTTTCTTTTCTTGTCAAAACTTGCACTTTGCAAGCTGTTCCGTAAAACTGTATAAAACCATTGGCTCTACAGTGTGAAACAGTGTATCAAAGGGAAACAACAGAAGCTCAAATGAATATAGTCTTTTGTTAAGCCACCTCAAGGAAAAAGATAAAGCAGTTATTTTTGATCCAGATTCTACACAACTCCTATTTTCTTTCTTTTTTTTTTTTTTTTTTTTTTTTTGAGACAGAGTCTCACTCTCTCTCCCAGCCTAGAGTGCGAGTGCAGTGGCGCGATCTCGGCTCACTGCAAGCCCCGCCTTCAGGGTTCACACCATTCTCCTGCCTCAGCCTCCCTAGTAGCTGGGACTACAGGCACCCGCCACCACGCCTGGCTAATTTTTTGTATTTTTTAGTAGGGACGGGGTTTCACCATGTTAGCCAGGATGGTCTCGATCTCCTGACCTTGTGATCCGCCTGCCTCAGCCTCCCAAAGTGCTGGGATTACAGGTGTAAGCCACCGCACCCAGCCTCCTACTCTTATTCTGATACATTCTCCAAAGTTAGAAATTTTGGTCAGCTCAGGCCTCATGTACATAGATAAAAATGTCTATCAGGCATATAATGAAGAGCAAAATTAGGTTAGGTTTGTCAAAAAGTTTGGAGTACAGTAACGCATCATTCAACAACAGAGACAGGTTCTGAGAAATGTGTCATTAGGCTATTTTACCATCCTGTAAACATCATAGAGTGTACTTACACAAACCTAGGTGGTATAGCCTACTGCATACCTAGGCTCTATAGATGGTGTAGCCTATTGCTCCTAAGCTACAGACTACTGAATACCACAGGCAACGGCAACACAATTGTAACTATTTGTGTATTTAAACACACCTAAACATAGTAAAGGCAGGTTGTTGGTGGTTTTCTCTTTTCTCTCTCTCTCTTTTTTTTTTTGGAGACATAGTCATGCTCTTGTTGCCCAGGCTGGAATGCAGTGATCACAGCTCACTGCAGCTCGAATCTCTAGGCTCAAGCAATCAGTCTTACTGCAGTCTCCCATGTAGCAGGGACTACAGGAGCATGCTACCAAGCAGGTTACTTTTTAAATGTTTTGTAAAAACAGGGTTTGGTTGTTCCCCAGGCTGGTCTTGAACTCCTGGCTTCAAGCAATCCTCCCATCTCAGCCTCCCAAAGCACTGAGATTACAAGCATGAGCCACCACATCTGGCCCCTAATACAGTTGTTTTGCTTTTTGTTCTGTTTTTGAGACAAGGTCTCACTCCATCGCCCAGCCTGGAGTGCAGTGGCACCATCTCAGCTCACTAAAACCTCCACCTCCTGGGCTCAAGGGATCCTCCCAGCTCAGCCTCCCAAGTAGCTGGGACTACAGGCGTGTGCCACCACACTTAGCTAATTTTTTTTTTTTTTTTTTTTTTGTAGAGATGGGATCTCACTATGTTCCCCAGGCTGGTGTCAAACTCCTGGGCTCTAGTGATCTGCCTGCCTCGGCCTCTCAAAGTGCTGGGATTACAGGTGTGAGCCGCCATGTCCAGTCCATAATATAGGTTTATAATCTTATGGGACCACTGCTGTATATGTCATCTGTCACTGATGAAAACGTCATTATACAGCACATAACTGTGGTTGCTAAGAGCAAGCACTCCGTTAGTTGGAGTGTTAGGGTTCAAAGCCTGGTTGATTTACCAGCATCATTTACTTGCTGTGTGACCTCAAGCAGGCAAGCTATAAAATGGGAATCCCATCTGTAAAACTGCAAAACAGAAGAGTCTTCTGCGAAGTAAAATGATGGAAATTCCTACCTTCTGGGGATGTGAAGATTAAATAAATCGTTCCAGTATAGCCCTTAGCACAGTGCCTGGCCCACAGCAAGCATGTAAGTGAAAGTCAACTCTCATTATTCCATTTTTCAGGCTCTTGGGTTGTTTGTAGGTTTTGCCACCTTGGGAAGGGCTACGGTGAGAAGCCTCAGAAAGTGCAAGTGGAACTGCTCATTCACAGGCAGGAACTAAAACAGAGGTGACAGCAGAGGCTTCCGTATGTGGTGTCTTCTTCAGAACTCTGAGCTAATGGGGTGGGTGCAGGTAGCATTTCTGAATATTCAGACCAAAACGTTGCTTTATTAATGAATCTGGGGGCCATTTTCCTTTGTTGACTCAATGCTAATTTTATTATCTAGTGTAATAGCCGCCCCCTGGGCCAGGGCATACTCACAGTACCCTCTGGCCAAGGGAGTGCGGAGTCTTCTTTCTTTTGAGTTATGTGTGCGTGTATCAATGCAGTCTTCTTATTTCATAGTTGATTTTTAAGGAAACAAAGGGGAGGGGAGATGTCCTTAGGATCAAGTGGCAAGGTGACAAAATTCCTCTCCCATCATGCCTGTAAACTTGGGCATGCCACTCCTTTGTGTCTAGGATTTTTTCTTATTTCACATTCCTCTCCAATCTTTTCTGGTCAAAAATGAACAAAGTCGCAGAGAATCCAGAAAAGCACAAAAGCAGACCAAGGCTTAAGGGCTCCTTTCACTCCCTCTGCGGCATAGCTTCCTTCAATTTCCTCACGTGGCAACAGCTTCACCAACACAATTCAAACTCCTAGTATACATTTGTTGCTATGGGTAAATCAAGTACCAACGTAGCCTACCTATGTACAGACCTAACCTAAAAGGACATTCTCTGGTGGGAAACTTCTGGAAAATGTGCTCTTCAGGGGTGCTTAGGAGACTGTGAGCTGGCTGGCAGGGCTACACTCTCTCTCCTCACCATCTGCCCTCTCCTCATCTTCCCACCTTCCCACCTGATTTTCTGCGTCACCTTCCCAATAGCCAGAATTATGCCTTAACTTTTGTTCCCTAAGAGGATTAGAAAAAGGTACAATGAATGAAAGTCCTATCCCAGACTGGCTATTTGTGGTAAAATAAGCAAATCATTGGAATGGTAATCACATGGGCACGATTAAGTTAGTAAATTTTGTGTAGGTGGAAGGTCCACTAGTTCCTTCCTTAAAGGGAAATTACTTTTTTATCAGCTGATGTAACAGTACACTTTGGTCCAGCTAAAGGAGTTAAGAGTTACCTCAAAAAACCCACAGGGACAGTAGTAATTTCAGGATCACCCACACAGCCAATAAGTTAGTTTCCTTTTCTACATAGAAAGCAATGTTTAGGGCGGAGGGATGAGGTGAAAGGAGAAAGGTAGAGAGAGAAAGAGAGAAGAGGGTGAGGCAGAGAGAGAGAGAGAAAGATGGGGGTGTTGGGGAGATAGAGGGAAAGAGGGGGGAGTGAGATATGCAGGGAAGGAAGAAGTGTGAATCCTTTTTTTCTTTTCTTTTAAAATCAAGAATATTGCATCTTGTCCCTGGTCCCCAAAACAAGGGCATATATAAGATCCTGGTTTTGCGGGTCACATTGTTGAGGACAGGAATCACATGTCTAGTGTTCATGAAAATCAATTCTACCTTTTTTTGATCTCAAATTTCAAATACATATTTTACTTATGACTATGATTATGGGAAGAAAATATCTTCATTTTGTGAGATATTTCTGTGATTTTTTTTTCCCCAGAGAGAGTAGGAACTCTGTGAAATGATCTATAGGACATGATAATTTCTAGGGGGAAGGGTGTTCAAGGAAGATTTTACTTATTGAACCCGTTGTCTGAATCTCTTGAGTTTGTGGTCTAAAGCAAGGGACACCTCTGACAAATTTTATATGGAGCTTTAGAAATTAAACCATTTCATCAAATGTGTAAGAAATCTTTCTTTGAGAAGGACTTCTTCAAATATCAGATTTCAGTTGTTGTTTATGATACTACTGGTAAGAATGTACTAAAAATGATATTGGTAGAGAATGAATGGGAAAAATATATCTTTTTGGTTACAACAGAAAATGTCCATGATTAGTCTTATCAACTTTACTGTATATATTTTTCATACTAACATAAAAAATAAATTACCTAGAATCCTACTAGTTTTTACTTATTTTACATATTGTTATTCCCTAAATTTGTTACTTATTACATTTTTTAAAACTCCTGATTTTGTTTGGGTAGCAATATGCCCAGCCCCTAAGGATAAACCATAATTAGTTTAAGCCCTCATGGTAACTTCATTTCCTTCTGCCTCTTCTTGCCTTCCCAGGCTCCCACACTGCTGGTTCTAGCTATGTGATGGTTCTGACCAATGAGACCTATGGTGAAATCTGCAGGTGGAGCTTCTGGGAATAATCTCTTCACCTGATGAAGAGACATACACTGGGGGAGGGCTCCCTAGAGTTTCTTCCTTTTCTGTCCTTGAACATGGTTGTGAAGGATGTGATGCTTGGTGCTTTAATAACCCTCTTTAGGATTTAGGTGGCAACTCCAAGTACAAAAAGGTAATACTCTGAAGACAGACGTGGATAATAGAAAATGTACAAGTCTCAAATGAAAATACTGGCTGGGCATGGTGGTTGATGCTTAGAATCCCAGCACTTTGGGATGCCAAGGTGGTGGATCGCTTGAGCTCAGGAGTTTGAGACCAGCCTGGGCAACATGGTGAAACCCCATGTCTACAAAAAATACAAAAATTAGCCACGCATGGTGGCACACACCTGTGGTCCCAGCTACTCGGGATGCTGAGGTGCGAGGATCACTTGAGCCTGAGAGGTGGAGTTTGCAGTGAGCTGAGATCATGCCACTGCACTCCAGTCTAGGCAACACAGTGAGACCCTATCTCAATAAAAACTACAAAATATGAAAATACTGAGCAATACCACCCTGAAACTGCCTGTCAACAAGCTCCACGTCTTGTGAGATATTAAATATCTTTATTACTTAAACCATAGTTGGCTGGATTACACTCAACTAATATTGAATTATTTAGACACTGCTCCTAATGCTGGGATAAAGCAGTAAATGAAACACACAACTTCCCTGGTCTCACAGAGTCTGAACTAAGTCAGAGAAGATAGACACTACACAAATAAAAGAATAAACATAATATGCCAGGTAGTGGTAATCATCATGGATAAAATAAAGCAAGGTAAGGGAACAGAGAATAATGAGAGGCTAATTCATATAGATCATTCAAAGCAGCTTTGCTGAGCTTATTTGAGCAGACTTGAATGAAGTGAAAGAGTGAGCCAGGTGGATTTCTGAGGGTATTCTCTTACTTGCAACTGAATACCTCATTAACTTATACATCCAATAAGTTCTTAGTCATTCTTCAAACAGAGCTTAGATGTCATTATTTCTGAGAAGTCTTTCAGGACCTCCCACCCACTTAAATTAACCCCTCTCTCTTTGGGGATACTTCTCTGCACCTTAAACACATGTATTATTATACTCATGACACCCTATTTTAATTTACTTATTGATATAGCTTATAAAGCCACCCTCCCTAGGCTGTGAAACCTTTGAAGGACAGATCGATTCTCAGCCAACACTATCCTGACTCTTAGCACTCAGTACTTGCTACACAGTAGGCTCCATGGTCCCACAAATAATCACTGATTTAACAAGAACTTCTGTCCTTTGAACAGTCTACATATAAATGCACGGTTTTCCCTGTCATATATTTTAAAGTGGGCATCTATGTGAAATTTTGTTAATGTGTGACTATTGTGTTTAAGAAATTTGTCTTGGAAGCATCAAAAAAGCTGACCACTCTGAGCTAGCATAAATGTGTGCAAATTAAATAGGTCACCTAAGCAGAAAATCTTTGGTTCTCATTTAGGAGAAAAGAATATATGAGATGATTGAGAAGCAACCTGGTTTCTTATCAGGTACATACATTTAAACATATGATGTCCTTGGTCTTTTGAAAAGCTATTAAAAAATAATTGTAAGACCACTCACCTAGTTTTGGTAATTACAGTTTTCTGAGTCTTTCTCCTGGTATTGGGAAAACATGGCTCATTTTCCTTATTGATCTTGAATAAATCCTCATCTATAAACCTTCCTTCTTAGGTAACTCAATTCACATTTCTTATTTCAGTGCAGGGGGCAAGCATTTGATTAACTCCACCTGCAGTGTACTGGGTTCTACCATAAAACATGACCTAGCTGATGTACTTTTAACTTCAGAGGTGAAAAGAAAGGAAAAGGACATTTAAAGAAACTTAAAACATCAGTTAAGGCTTAAAGAAAATAGAAAAGTCTTGACTTTAGGTACCTGTGTGAAAATTTAATAAAGAGAGGATCAGAAGATATTAAGTGTGTGTGTATATATATATATATATATATATATATTTTTTTTTTTTTTTTTTTTTTTTTTTTTGAGATGAAGTCTCGCTCTGTCACCCAGGCTGGAGTGTGGTGGCATGATCTCGGCTCACTGCAAGCTCCGCCTCCTGGGTTCACGCCATTCTCCTGCCTCAGCTTCCCAAGTAGCTAGGACTACAGGCACCCGCCACCAAGCCCGGCTAATTTTTTGTATTTTTTTTTTAGTAGAGATGGGGTTTCACTGTGTTAGCCAGGATGGTCTCGATCTCCTGACCTCATGATCATTTTTAAAATGTGTATTTTTAAGTTGAATCCAGAGTTTGTGGAATAAGGTAAACAATTTATTTTTTTTAATTTCCCCCTTAATATCAAAACAGAAGGAAAGACATTTGCTTTTATTTATAATCTCAAATAGAATCAAATTCTCTTCCTTTATGTGTTATATTAACAGACCTTAATATTAGTCATCAATATTAATTTTCTGGTTTCCCATTTAAGCCAATCTCTTTCATTTAAAAATCAGTAATGAAACTGCGATTTTTAAGTTGTAGGTTTATGACTATCTAAATTTATATGCATCTCAAAACCTCTTAAAGATAGCTTAGAATTAGCTACTATGTCAACAAACGAAGACTTTTGGGAATTACTTGTTTAAAACAATAGCAATATACTTTTTCTTTGAGTTTGCATTTGAGATTTTAAATCCATTTTCCATGTTTCCTAAGGAAGCAGATACCATACAGTCCCATTACAAGTAAAATCAAGTTTTAAAGGATTCTAGAATAGGTTGATACCTATAAAATCTTCACTAAGTCTTTACAAGACATGATTATAACACTAAAAATAGTTACTTAACAAACAGCTTTGAGTCTAAACTCAGATAAGAAGGTCAAATTTCCGAAAAGTTAATACAGGCACATGCCAGTTTGCTCCTAATAACCTGGACACCCATCCCAGGTTAGAACTGATCAAAACCTCCAAGATCTCCTCAGGCCCACTCAGAAAGGGCTATCATCTTCATACCGCGATGCAGCAGACCAGCACTGGGGCTAGAGCAACCAAACCAACACCAGGGCAAAAGTGTACTGGTGAGGTTATGAGGTTAGATTACATGCATTATTCAAGTTAAGCAGCTACAAATGAATAGGATGCACAATCTAGAATGAATAAAAAATGTATAATTAGCTGGGTATGGTAGCTTGTCCCTGTAATCTGGATACTCAGGAGGCTGAGGCAGGAGAATCATTTGAGGCCAGGAGTTCAAGACCAGCCTGGGAAATTTAGTGGGACCCCTGTCTCCAAAATAATTTTTTTAACTTAGCAGGGCATAGTGGTGCATGCCTGTAGTCCTAGCTACTTGGGAGACTGAGGTGAGAGGACCCCTAAACCCAGGGGGTTTAGGCTGCAGTGAAATATCATTGCACTACATTCCAGCCTGGGCAACAGGGCGAAACCCTGCCTCTATAAAACAAAGACAGAAAGTTTAAAATGTATAAAATATATAAATAATTGTTCTTTTTCATTAAACGGCTGCTTTGGTAGGCAGTTGGAGACACATTTAAGATTCCTGAGAGGGGCACTTTCATAGTCATTAAACTCATATATATATATATTTTATTTATTTATTTATTTGCTGTTTCTGCTCTTCTCTCATGCCTCCCCTCCCCTTTTTGGTTAAAAGCCTAAGCCTAGTCTCTTAGCCATAATGGTATCTGCCAACACAAAAGTCAACAAACTCACAGGAGACAAAAGACATTCTTGGTCTGATTGCTGCTAATAAACTTCAGTGCTTCCAGACCACATAATGTCATAGAATTATTTGTAATGCTTCTTTAAAAGGGTGACAGGGTTCAGAAATAAACTGCACATGGTAAGAAGAGCCTCCCATGGGTTATCCCTGCAAAATTAGTTGCAAGGCTTTGGGAGTGGTGGTGGTTTCCGGCCATTAGCATTACTAATCAAGGCCAGCTTCGTATTTATGGGAATCTACACAAATCAGGATGATACATGCCATGTTCATCCAAGCAACCCTGCCTGATTTCTTCTAGGTTATGCTGAAATAAAACTTTCCTCCAATTATCTTTGATTGGAATGTTTCATGATTTTTATGTATCCTTGAGATGAACAGAGACCATGAAGTGGATGCACTAGGTGCATGGGTCACAAAATCATATTTAGGGCTTCATGCTCACATACAGCAATTACTGTCAACTCTCAATTAACCTCGTTACTGGAGGAAGCATTAATGTAGAAAATACAAATCCCAGATAAACCACCCATGTCTTTCTTGCTGCCATGGTTTCAGCTGAGGTGAGAGAGAAAGAAAGAGACTGATAATGGGAGCATCAGGAAAAGCTCAGGGGCCAATAGGTCTCTTCAGGAAAACTTGTGCAAAGTTGATAAATCCAGCTGTACAGAGGTAATGCATTCACTCTTTACTTTCTTTTTATGCCCGATGCCATTTGCCTGCACCATGAAGCAAAAATAACTTTGCTTTCCCTTTCAACTTCTGACTGACAAAAAGTAGAAAGGCAGTAGGCAAAGAAAGACAGTAGATAATAGCCAGGGAAGCACTCTGCAAGGTTGGCAGTGCCCCAGCAGTCAGGGTGGTAGAGCAGGGGAGGCCTCTGGGGACTGCAGGAGGACTCAAAGCTGAGGCTCTGCGCCTGTAGCTATAGGATGTCTGGTACTCCCCTGGCACAGAGAGGGTGCTTAAGAATTCTGCCCCTTAGGATTTTGACTGTGTCCACCAAAGTGATGAAGATGTTTACTTCTAAATGTTATCACTAATCATCTGCACACATGATAAGCATTTTTATGCTACAGATTCCTACAGGCATAATTCTGCTTCCATCAGTTCCTGGCCATTAATGCTCTTCCATCCTTCTGATGTAATGAACCGTCCAGGTTGGCACTTCCATTCCAGGCCAGGAGGCACAGAAAAAGTAAAAATGATGCTTCTTCATGTGATTCCTTGTGGCATTGCTCCAGGGAGAGTTTGCATTTTAATAAGGAAGAAAGTCCTAAGTCATAAGAATGAAACTACAGCAGGATTCTAGACCCTTTTGAGCAGTTGCGGGAACAGGGAAAAAGGTACAGAAAGGACAGGGGAAGCTCTGAAGCCACGGTGAAGACAGAGCACCTTGGAAAGGAAAGGTGGGAAATAACATTAGAGACAGAAAGACGAAAAATCACAAAATTAAATGTTTTAGTGAAAAAAAAATTTTGTGTTAAAATACTGATATAGTTTGGCTGTGTCCCCACGCAAATCTCATCTTGAATTGTAGCTCCCATAATCTCTGTGTGTCGTGGGAGGGACCCAGTGGGAGGTAATTGAATCATGGGGGCGAGTTTTTCCCATGCTGTTCTCGTGATAGTGAATAAGTCTCACAAGATCTGATGGCTTTATAAAGGGGAGTTCCCCTGAACACACTCTCTTGCCACCATGTAAGACGTGACTTTGCTCCTCCTTTGGCTTCCCCCATGATTGTGAGGCCTCCACAGCCATGTGAAACTGTGAGTCAATTAAACCTCTTTCCTTTATAAATTACTCAAGTCTCGGGTATGTCTTCATTAGCAGTCTGAGAACAGACAAATACAAATACTTGTAAAGAGGCACATTCATATATTGTATAAATATGACTTTGCAATAAAATTAATGGGATTTGGGAATGAACAATTTATCAGGCTTTTTTTGGCCTCAAAATGAATTTCTGTGTATTAGAGTGAGAAGTCTGGTGGAAATTGCATAAATAGATACAAAACATCAAATAGCATAGCAAGACAGAAACAGTAGAAAACATATGATGATTTCTAGAGAATACTGACCTAGATTCTTCTTAAAACAGAGGAGAGGAGAGAGAGAAAGGAGGGGGGAAAAGAGAGAAAGAAATGTCACTTTCTTTGAAAGGAACATTTAAAAGTTTAGGAAAATAATAGACTAGTAACTATGAAGGGAACAGTGACTCACAGTAACAGGGATGATTATGAAAGATGGAAATAGTGACTACAAAATATCAATGGGCAAAAAAAAAATGAGTTAAAAACATCAGTGAGTTACACATCTCTGATTCCTTATCTATTCTTTGATTTCTTTTGTGATTCTCAAGAGCACTGATCCCCTCCATGTGCTGGGTGACACGGGAGGCCCTGGCGCAGTGATGAGGACTGGCTGGGCTGTCAGAGAGCCACTAGGACAGCTGCACCCACACGCCATGAAAGTGTGATGCTGGGACTTCTGGTTTAAGAGGGATGGGGTGGGTGGGGATGAAAGGCACTTTTATTCCTCTTTTTTCTAAAACATAGGCAAAACAACAAAGACAGTGATAGATGGAGGAAAATATCAGATGTACTAAAACAAATAACTAAACAAAAAGGCCACCACTTGTTTTATAAACCATGAAACATACATGGGATAACTTTAGGAAAGACACCAAGAGTTGACATATACTTCAAGCTTCAGGCAGGTGCAAAAGTTTCCCCCAAAGGAAGGTCAAAAATGTCTAAAGGGCATATGCCATGAGCTTTTGAGGAGAGTAGCAAAATTTACAACATAAGTCAAAATTTTCCCTGTAGAGACATAATTTGATATCACATACAGAAGGGAGCTAAGAGAAAACATGTTAACACTATACTCATGTTTACTTTTTTTTTTTTTTTTTTTGAGACAGAGTCTTGCTCTGTTGCCCAGGCTGGAATGCAGTGGTGAGATCTCAGCTCACTGCAACCTCCACCTCCCAGGTTCAAGCTATTCTCCTGCATCAGCCTCCTGAGTAGCTGGGACTAAAGGAGCCCACCACCACGCCCGGCTCATTTTTTGTATTTTTAGTAGAGATGGGGTTTCACTGTGTTAGCCAGGATGGTCTTGATCTCCTGGCCTCATGATCTGCCCGCCTCGGCCTCCCAAAGTGCTGGGATTACAGGCGTGAGCCACTGCGCCTGGCCTACTTTTTTATTGTATTACTATTGTAATCCTTCTAGCCAACGAAGGCTTCCACAGGCAATGACATGGCTATAGAAATTCCAAGGGAGTAGACGTTAAAAAAGAAAAAATGTATACATGATATATATAATATACATGCATATATTAGATATTAGATATAGATGCATATACATGTACACACAGAGAGACTGAGATTTTCTAGATAATTCTTTTATGCAGAAAGTATGTATCTTTGTGCTTTATGCTAATGGAAATTTTCTCTTAGATGACTATTCTGATAGAAAGTATTTGAATTTTATATGGAAAGTCCAAAGAAGGAAATATTAAGTAATATGGAAAGCATTAAACTCTGCTATGCTAAACAATGGAATCTGAGAGATTTGCTGGTTAGCTTCAATCTGAGTACTCATTTATTTAAGTTTTCAGAGGACAAGGATGAGGGAATGAGGAGTGTCAACAAATTATAATGCTCTCTGGCCATTGTGTTTTTCTCAGGGTTAAGGGCTATTTATTTCATCCAAGAAAATATAATTTGGCACACAGAAAAAGCAATTCAGTGACCATCTGAGTGTCTACTAATTGGTCTTAAAGCAAGCATGTAGGGCCTTCTACCAGCTACAAACCTGACAAATATGAGTAATCCACTGGAAGGACTTATGATCAACTTTCTGATTCTTCCTACAATGGACTTGGTGCATGTGCTAGACCACATCACTGAGACTTCTGTTTTCCCCCGAAATCAGCTGGCAAATGAAAGGTCTGAATTTGAATTAAATAACAACTTCTTACTCATCTTTACAGTTTGTGATATATATGAGTTCTCTTCTCCTGGCTACACAGAGGTTAAAATCTGTAGGGTCTCTGAGGGCCTTTAAAAAAACATGGTTTATGTGCAGACAATGGAAAATTAACAGACTTGTGAAGGAAGTTGAGTTATGAAGAGAATCTAACTGAAAACAATGAAAATCAATGAAGTCAAAACAGACCCAAACATTAAGAGGCATTTACTTCAGTGATAGTAGCTAATGGCACAGCTGGGTAACTGAAGAAGTATGAGCTAATACTGATCTCCTCTCCCAAGTTCAAAAGCCTGGTTGACCCAAGGACCCTACCTTTCAAGTTTGGGCTGCTTAAGAAACTGATAGACTGAATTGTGTCCTCTGCAAAATTCATATGTGGAAGCCCTAACCCCCAGAATCTCACAATGTGACTGTATTTGGAGACTGGGTTTCTCAAGAGGTGATTATATATGGTTGAATGAGGTCATTAGGGGGCCCTAATCTAATATGACTGCTATACCTTATAAAAATAGGAAGTTTAGGCAAAGACAGGCACAGAGGGATGAGTGTGTGAAGACACAGTCAGAAGGCGCTGTCTGCAAGCCAAGGGGAGAGAGGCCTCAGAAGAAACGAACCCTGTGGACAACTGCATCTCAGACTTCAGCCTCCAGAACTACGAGAAAATAAATGTTTGTTGTTTAAGCCACCGCATCTGTGGTACTGACAGCTCCAGCAAACTAATAATACAGAAACCTCTTATAATGAACTCTTTTTTTTTCTCTTAGAAGTCTGAAATAAGAGCCAAGTTTCTTTTGTGGCTAAATGCATCCTCCATCATACTCACAACCCCAACAGGAAAGGCCAACACAGCTAACATCCAGTCCCGGAGAGAGATGAGCTTCTTGAGCTGCCTCTCTTGCTCCTGGTTCCCACTTCCTCGAGTCAGAAGACTGGAAAGATCAGTCAGCACACAGATGCCAAAAAAGACAGCCTGGATAACCTGTAGGGGGACAACAGCCGGTATGAGTCATTAAGATCTGGAGACCCAAGCTGTGGAACAGCAAATGAGCTGCTGGTGTACAACATGACATCTAATAAGAAAGGATCAGAAGCATATTTTAAAGAGCTGCTCCTAGAAATAGAGAACAGACATTTACAACTTGCTTTTATACAGAAAGTTCATCTTTAAAACACCACTTCCATTTTCACTCACCTCGGGACAAGTGCAAAACATGCATGCACACACACATCTAAATAGGGCCCATCAGAAAGAAGTATCAACGATCAAACCAGCAGGGCCATTATTTTAAAGCATCATGTCTATGGTTTGTCATGGTTTCTTCTATGTCATGTCTAAATCACATCTATGGTTTCTACTAGTCAATATAACTAGTGAGTTTTAACAAATATCTAAGAAGTGAAAACAAAAGGGTGAGGACTGTCTGAATAACAAGACAATTCAGTCTAAATGTGAAAAACTTTCCTATGCTTTCATCTCTTACATTTAGATATTTTTTCTATCAAAGGAAGTGGTAGGAAGTGGGTCCTTGAGTCATAAAAAAATCGACTGAATGTAATAATTAAGGCTGATATGAAACAAGTTTCTGTTGTCAAACTTGAACTAAATGACCTTCTACTCAGGTTTTTAGTATTTATGAAATAAAATATTTCCAAAGTAATATAAACAGAGATACCCATACAATTTCTCTAACCGCCCCCCCAAAAAAACTACAGGTTATACATTCCTCAAATCAATTATGAATGGAAGCATTTAGATCAGCTATGTTTTATTTACTTGGACTATTGCAAAGGAGAACACTGCAGGCAGCATACTGTAATGCAGCTAGATAGATGATCATTCAAATTATGGAAAGGGCAGAAAATGTATCCCCTGCACACAAAGTCATACCCAATTAGCACCAAGGATAGATTCAGGAAAATTTTTCTGGCTTTTTTCCTACTGAAAATAGTTTACAGATGATATCTTTGTAAAAGACACAATTTTACTCATTGCCTCTTTAGAAAAGATAGCAAGGACCTTTTTTGGTAAATTTCCTCATTGGCAGTAGAAAGAGTCTGTGAAAGCTCTGTGGATAGGGTCCTCACAAGGGAAGAAGGATCCTAAAAAGTATTTAGTTCCATCACTTAGCATAGCACTAGAACACAGAAATTGTTAACCTAGGCTTTTTGGAGTTCATCAAATCTTACTATTATTAGTCAGTCTTAGGCAGAGTAATGTTCTGTTTCCTCATAACGTAGCCTGTCTTTAGCTTCAGTGACTTAAGGTTTACTGTCATTCTTTCTGCAGCCAGAAAAGCCAGAGTAAAAGAAGCTAAGACTGCCACAATTGAGAACGACACAATAAAAGTGTTGGCAAGAGTCATGTTTTGATAACTAGAAATAACTTAAATGACTCAGGGAATAATTTCATACTTAGAAAAATGTTCTATTTTCTATTTTTCATATATTCCTATTCATATCTTTCTATTTTTCATATCCTAGGACTTTAGATGTTTGAATCTCTATGTTGGCCCTAATGGAGTTTGATTAAACTGGAGTGACCCTACCAGAGGAGAATAATCTTCATTATTCTTCATTACTAGCTAATCTGGCTAGTAAACATAAAAAGGTAACTAACAACCAGGGAAATGCAAACTAAGACCACAATGAGGTAGCATTTCTCACCAGTGTAATTATTTACAATTTAATTCTTACAATACCAAGTGTTACAAAGATGTAGAACAACCAGAAAGCTTATGGTAGGAATGCAAATCTGGACAACCGCTTTGAAAAACAACTGACAATATCTACAGATGCTCCTCAACTTATGATGCAGCTACGTCCCTATAAACTCATAGTAAACTGAAAATATCTTAAGTTGGAAATGCATTTAATACACCCGACCTATAGAATAGCATAGCTTAGCTTAGCCTATCTAAAATGTGCTCAGAACACACACATTAGCCTGCAGTTGGGAGAAATCATCTAACACAAAGCCTGTTTTATGATAAAATGTTGAAAATATCATGTAACTTATTAAATATTGTGCTGAACATGAAAAACAGAATGGCTTCATGAGTACTCAAAGTATGGTTTCTATTGAATGCGATCACTTTCACACCAGCATAAAGTCGAAATATAATAAGTCAAAAATTCTGAGTTGTGGACCATCTATAGTAACTTAAAGATGCATATACTCTATTTATTTCGTGATATAATTATAAAGGGCATTTCCTGCAGAAACTCTCATATATGTGTACTAGTCATATCTACCAAAGGTTAATTTGAGTGTTCATTGCTTCAAAAAAGTTGAAATAACTATGTTTCTTAATAGTTGACTGGATAAATAATGGTGTTATATTCATACAATGGAAATCTAAACCAATATAAACATTTTATTTTCACAACAAAATGTTAAACCAAAAAAAAAAAAAAAAAGGAAACCAGGAAAGAATTCTGACAATTAAAATCAATTTCAAAAAAAAATGCAAAGATAAATTTAAGGATGCAGGGATATGAAGTAATACATGAAGAAATGCATGGGAATTAATAACATTGCATTAAGGTACCTCTAGAGAGAGAAGGATAAGATTGGAGGAAATATTATCTGCACAGGGCTTCAACTGTACAAATAATATTTTATTTCTTAAGTTGGTTATTTGGCATACTGAAATTGATTGTATTATTCTCTCTATATTTCACTGGTGTAAAATATTTTCAAATAACTTAAAAGTTTAAAGAGAGTGGTTTTTATTCTTTTGAAATATAGTTGGCTAGCCTCTTTCAAATCCTTCCCTTCTAATTCAATATCCCTTAGTTTTAAAGATTGACTAAAAAATAGGGTTTGGTAAGCTCAAAAAGCCTAGTTACTGCATTATATGTAAAATTTCTGTGGGATTTTTGTTTATAGGCAGAGGAAGTAGAATATTGCCTTGGTACTGATAAAGTGTAAATACCTGGAGACCACTTAATTGTTTTATGCAGCCTGGAAAGCAAGGAAACATGATGGAGGATAAGTCCAAGAAAGAAAGTTCTGGTTAAAGCTATTGCGATACCCTCCAAGGACAAGTTAATTCACTACAACTGTTCACCTAAAAACTCCATGATATAGTAACTGGACCAGGTTTGCCTTCACACCATAAACAACTAGACATTTGGACTAAATATATGAACCAGGCTTTTCAGATAATGGACTTTTTACTCAGCAATCAGTCAGATAAATCTCTTTTTAAAGGGCTTACCAGATGAAATCAAGCCCATCTTAGAAAATTTTCCTTTTTCCCACATAAAGTAATGTAGTTACAAGAATAATCATATTCACATCCTGCCCAAACTCAATTGGAGGGGAATACACAAAGGTGAATGTCTTTGGGGGTCATTTTAGAAGTCTACCTACTACAAGCAATAGGCTAAACAATTCTCAAAGCTCATTCAGGATAGAGATGTATTCCAGTTCTGACTAATCACATAGAAGAGGCCTTATTGTCTACAACAGGCATTCAGTAGAGACCCAAGAAGTCTCATGCCTAAATAGTGGCACTAACATAGCCCTGGAATAAAGGCTAACATAGATCCACCCAAACAATACTTAAAAATAGCCCTCAAACAAACAAAAAAAAGCTGATCTACAAGTAGTTTAAATGCCTATTAAAAACAAAATTCTACTTTATTTAAAGGAAGACAACAAATTCCAGACATTCAACAACATAGCGCACAATGTCCATCATCCAATAAAAATTACTGAACATGTCAAGCAGTAGAAAAATATCCTTAACCAAAATAAAAGCCATTCAATAAAAACAGATGTAGAAATAACAGAAATATTGGAATTGGTAGACAAGTGCATTAAATAACTAAATTAAATCAGTTCAAAAAGTTAAAGGAAGACATAAAAATAGCGAGAGAAATAAGACATTAAAAAGAATCAAAGTTAATATTCAAAAGTTAAAAAAAATCTGAAATCAAAAAGTCACTGTATGGAAATAATAGCAGATTAGACACCAAAAAAGAAAAGATTAAAAATTGAATACATAGAAAACATGAATACATGAAAAGAAACTTTCCAAAATTAATCACTGAAAGAAGAAAGACTTTAAATATTAACAATCTAAGTGAACTGTGAGAAAATATCAAGCAGTCTAATATATGTGTATTGGAGACCCAAAGGTCAGGTAGAAAAAAAAAAACTGAAGAAATAATGGCTGAAGTTTTTCGAAGTTTTCTGAAAACTATAAACCCACAGATCCAAGAAGCTCAACAGTGGAGTACACACAAAGAAAACCGTATCAATCCCCAGTGTAATCAAATTTCATAAAATTTTGACAAAGATGGAAATTTTAAAGCCACTGGAGGGAAAAAAAACATATCACCATACAGAACAAAAAGAATTAACACATATTTCTTGTGTAAAACGATCCAAGCCAAGAAACAATGAAACAATATCTTTTAAGTCTTATAATGGAGAAAAAACTCTCAAAGGTGAAAGACTTTTTCAGATAAACAGAAACTGAGAGAATTAAATATCATTAGACTTTCACTAAAGGATATATTAGAGGAATGAAGAAATGATATCACATATGGAAATCTATACAGATCAATGACAATTGCTGAAAAATAGATGTGGATAATATAGATATGAAAATAAATATAAAAGATTTTTACTTTTCTAATTTCTACATTTATTAACGATAATTAACTACAGCAAAAATATAACTATTTTGTGAGGTTTTAAGAATATTTAGAAGTAAAATTTATAATAACAACAGCACCAAGGACAAGAAAGAATGGAAGGTATATAGTTGTAAGGTTCTTACATTACACATAAAGTTGTATAATATTAGTTGACAGCAGACTGTGATAAGTTAAATATGCATATTGTAAACCACAGAGCAACCATCAAAAGAATAGAGGGGATCAGCTAATGTATTAGTTGTCCATTGCTGCATAACAAGTTACCACAAACTTAGCAGCTAAAACACCACCAATATATTACTCCTCAGCTTGTAGGTCAGGTGCCCAGGAAGGTTACTCTAGGTTTTATGGTTAGGGTACCACAACACCAAAATTAATGTGTTGGCCAAGCTAGGCCCTTACGTGGAGGCCAAAAGAAAAGATCTACTTCCAAGCTCATTCAGGTTGGTAGAATCCAGTCCCTTGACATTGTGAGACTAAGATTCGTGTTTCTTTATTGGCTGTTGGCTAGGGTCACTCTCGGCTCCTTGTGTCTGTTCTCCAGTCCTTGTACATGGTCCCTTCCATCTTCAAAGCCAGCAAGAGAATGTTGAATCCTTCTTATGCTTCAGATCTCTGACTTTCCTTTCTGCTTTCCTCATCTCTCATTGGCTTGAAAAAGCTCTCTGCCTTTAAGACTCATGTGATATAATCAAGCCCACCTGGATAGTGTTCATTTCTTAAGGCCATATATCATAACACAATGAAAGGAATTATATCTCATCATATTCACAGGTTCCTGACATTAGTGTGAAACATCTCTGGGGGCCATTTAAAAAATTTTGTCTCCCATAGCTAGTAAGCCAATAGTGGAAATAAAATGAAATATTAGCAATATTAAATTAATTCAGGAAAGTCAAAAATTGGGGGAAAGGAAGAAAGAATAAATGGAACAAAAAGAAAACTAAAATAGGATATCAGACTTAACCCAACAATGTCTGTAATTACACTAAATATAAATGGTTTAAGCTCTCCAATGCAAAGGCAGGGATTATCAGACTGGATTTTAAAAACCAAACCAAAACAAAAAAAAGCATGTAAGTATAAATGTAACGTTGGTTAAAAGTAAATGAATGCAAATGCTAACCATAAGAAGGCTGAAGTAACTACACTAACATTAAAGTAGGTTTCCAGCATGTTCTCACTTATAACTGAGACAGCTAAATGATGAGAACACATGGACACAGAGAGGGGAACAACACACAGTGGGGTCTATTGAGGGGTGGAGGTGGGAAGAGGGAGAGGATTAGGAATAATAACTAATGGGTACCAAGCTAATACCTGGGTGATGAAACAATCTGTACAACAAACCCCAATGATGCACATTTACCTGTGTAACAAATTTGCACATGTACCCCTGAATTTAAAACTTCTTTTATTTTTCTTGAGACAGAGTCTTGCTCTGTCTCCCAAGCTGGAGTGCAGTTGTGAGATCTCAGTTCACTGCAACTTCTGCCCCCTGGGTTAAATCGATTCTCCTGTCTCAGCCTCCCCAGTAGCTAGGATTACAGGCACGCACCACCACACCCAGCTAATTTTTGTATTTTTAGTAGAGATGGGGTCTCACCACGTTGACCAGACTGGCAGGTTTCGAACTCCTGACCTCGTGATCTACCCGCCTCAGCCTCCCAAAGTGCTGGGATTGCAGGTGTGAGCCACCACACCTGGCCCCAAAAGTTCTTTTTATTAAATAGGTTTCCAGAGCAAGCTAAGCATACAGTAGGGAACACTTTTTTCTCTTTTGAGCCTTCATAGTCAGCAACACTGTAGAGATATATTTTTCTTTGTGAGACCTTAGATTTTCCTACTTCACAAACTTCAGGATAGCCAGCATCTCAATAAAAAGATAACTTTAATTTTTTTTAAAGTATCTATCAGCAGGGCGCGGTGGCTCACACCTATAATCCCAGCACTTTGGGAGACTGAGATGGGTGGATCACGAGGTCAAGAGATCAAGACTATCCTGGCCAACATGGTGAACCCCCATCTCTATTAAAAGTGCAAAAATTAGCTGGGCATGGTGGTGCACACCTGTGGTCCCAGCTACTCAGGAGGCTGAGGCAGGAGAATCACTTGAACCCAGGAGGCAGAGGTCGCAGTGAGCCAGGATCATGCCACTGCACTCCAGCCTGGTGACCAAGGGAGACATCGTCCAAAAAAAAAAAAAAAAAGTGTCTATTTACATAAGGAATATTACCAAAAATAGAGGAACATTTCATAATGATAAAAAATCAATTAATCAGGAAGAAATAATGATCTTAAATATAGATGTACCTAATATCAGACCTTCAAAATAGAGGAAAAAGAAACTAATTTAACTAAATTACTCAACAATTTTTTGTATAAATAAGTAATTTACTAATTCTTGTGAAACAGTTGCTTTTATAAAGACTTAAAAGAAAAGAAATAGGAATAGGAAGGAAGCTTAACATGAAAAAAAGGGAAAAACAGAATCTCGAATTCTAGGAGAGCGAAAAAACAAAATAATTTCTGCAAATCTAAATGTAATAGTCTAAGCAACACTTTCTCAGATTTATATAATTAACAGTATGTACAAATGAAGTCTTATACTTTTCTACAGTTGATTCATCTTCTTACCCAATGGTGTCATCTAACACAGCAGTCCCCTCACTATTACCTGTCACTCTTTGTAGACCTCCCTACTGGTTCTCCCCTACTTGGGACTATAGTACAGCCCCCACCTCACCTGAACTGCTAAGAAGACTTCCCCAAAGAGTGTACGTGGAGGTCAGGGAAAGGAGGTACTACAAAATGATTTTTTCCTATTTTCTTTTTTCTTTTTTTATTTTTTTTGAGACGGAGTCTCACTATGTTGCCCAGGCTGGAGTGCAGTGGTGCGATCTCGGCTCACTGCAAGCTCCGCCTCCCAGGTTCATGCCATTCGCCTGCCTCGGCCTCCCAAATAGCTGGGACTACAGGTGCCTGCCCCCACACCCGCCTAATTTTTTGTATTTTTAGTAGAAATGGGGTTTCACCATGTCAGCCAGGATGGTCTCAATCTCTTGACCTCGTGATCTGCCTGCCTCGGCCTCCCAAAATGCTGGGATTACAGGCATGAGCCACCGCGCCCAGCCATTTTTTCCTATTTTCTAAACACAAGGAGACAAAGAGGACATGTTTGGGTTATGCTACTATTTCTTTAACTCACACTGGTTAGTCCTCAAAAGATAATCTCTAAAAATGATGAAACAGTCTATCCTTCTCAGGAAAGAAGCATAAACTCACTTTTGGCTATTTGCTTATTTAAGAAGCAGTTTGCCAATACTATTAAAACACTTGAGGTTTCTGTCAGTTTATAAGAGTTTGATTTGAACTGACAGTTAACAAATCCCATTACAGACATTTTATGTGTGTTTTTCTGTTGCCTACATGAATCCTGCTGACCACTGCAACTTAAAATTCATTAACTTAACTGTTAAAAATGTAAAAGTTATATGGAGATGCACAAGTGGATCTTAAGCAGGATTACCTTGAAGTATTATTCGACTCCAGCCATTCTGCAGAGCTGGCACTTCCAAACCATCAACTCAGCATGACACACATATACACCATCTGGCTTTGGGTTCTTAGCAGGCTAGTTGCTCTTATTATTTTACGTTGCATGCTGAAATGAAGTGGTCAAATGTATCATGTCTCTCCAAGAAATATAAATAGGAATAGATCAGAACAACAACAACAAAAATCCCAGGATTACTTTGGAGTCACTCAGTATTCATTTCTCTAAAATCTTCTCTACTGTTTAATTCCTTCTCCATCTTTTTTCTACACCTCCCCAACTCTCCCTGTCAGGAAATCATAGCTGATTTACTGAGTCATGTTAGATTTTAAATTCATTTTCGCAAGTATGGAAGTATACTCAAATTCCATTCATGTCTTTATCTTTTTTGAAATGCACAATTGGTTTTGATTAAATTAATGTAATAGTCTATTATTTTTCTTCTCTGGAATGCACTAAACTATTACACTCCTGTTTGTAATATAGGACAAATTCATTAGACTTCTACCATTTATTCCTAAAACATATATAATTTATCCAGAATTGCTTTTATTTCATCCCATTACATCATCTTCAATATCCTCAACTAAATTTAATTATGGCTGGATGTGGTGGCTCATGCCTGTAATCCCAGCATTTTTGGAGGCCAAGGCAGGTGGATCACTTGAGGTCAGGAGTTCCAGACCAGCCTGGCCAACATGGTAAAACTCCATCTCTACTAAAAATACAAAAGGTAGCTGGGCGTGGTGGTGCATGCCTGTAATCTCAGCTACTTGGGAGGCTGAGGCATAAGAATCACTTGAACATGGGAGGTGAAGGCTGTAGTGAGCCAAGATTGTACCACTGCACTCCAGCCTTGATGATACAGCAAGACTCTGTCTCAAAAAAAAAACAAGAAAGGTCAGCACCAAAAAACAATATCAAGTTATGTCCTTAATTAGTTGCTAATTTGTACATTTCTACATAATTGACTAAACTCAGGCAAAACACAAGAATTAATCAAATAAGAAAAGCAGCATTTTAAATAAAAATGGAATCATTATTTGTATGAATTTTAAAAGGCCAGAGTATATTTGTCTTGACCTTTGGCCATATCCCCAGTGACTGGTAGTCAAGGTGTTCCACATTTTGATTATGGTGTACTTTTATAAAATTAATGTAAAGAACACCATAGATTTGTCTTGAAGATGGTTCATGTTTTCAAGTTAATTTTAGGCACAGCAGACAGAAGAAACAAGAAGACGGAATGCTGAGAAGGGCAGCAATGGAAACTGGAATGACATGGATCATGGAATGAAGGAAAACTGTGGAGAGAACAAATGGGAAAGAGGCAGTGAGATTTATTGGTGTCATAAAGAAAGGCCTGGAAGAGTCCCCATATGAGGATAAAACCATTAATTAAAGGGGAAATGATAAGGAAGAAATGAAAAATCGACCTGGTCTCTTTTCTAACTAGAGAACATAAAGTATTATGTGACATTTAATAAATTTATATGTAATCCAGAGAGGAATAGTCTATCTACATATAAAATCTCTCTATAAAAGTCACATATGTCTAGATAGATAGATATTACTCTGTAGATCTCCCTACTTCTTCTCCCCTACTTGGGACTATAGTATCTATATAGTACCGAATATATAGTACCAACTATATAGGTACTATAGTCCCGAGTAGGGGAGCACAAGTAGGGACTATATATATCTATCTAGATATATATGATATATATGATATGTACATATAAAACATACATAGTTATATACACATAAAAGAGAGAGTAGTTTGTCATATGCAGAAATGAAAGTAGCACATTCAGAGAAATGGTGTGAGCTTGAGACCTTCCTGTATTTCACCTACAGTCACATATCATGAGGTACTTTATAGCATAAAAAGTTATTTTGTTTTCAGTTCATCAAACTTTCAATGCAGTTCTTGCTGGAAACCAACCTAGGCAGTATCCATGTTCAGCAAAGACTAAAAGAAGTTAAATAATGCATGGAAAGGATATAAGAGCCATAAAATAGCAGTTCTATAAAACACCATCTTCAAGGGATCCCCCGCTTTCCACAGACATCTTTCTTTTTAACAGCGCATAATTCTTTCTCCCTGTTATCAAGAGTGAACTCCAACGGTACTTCATCCCCGTGAGACAGTGACTCAGTATGAAACCAGATGAGTGAATCCCACAAGGGTTTCCTTTGCCTCTGTTTTCACTGCTTTCCTTGCCTGAGACATCTGAACACCCGGTAGCAATTCTACAACCAGGGGAGTCCATCATCACTTACCTGGAGTCCATGATCAGTTACATATTTGAATGCTACTCCGTAGAGAAATCAATGCATTTAAAAGAACCACAGGCTCTCTCTACCTCCCTCATCCAGAGACGATGTCCATTAGATGCACCGCCTGGTGAATTATCCTCTCCTACCCTTGGAGCGGGTTAGCCTGACTGAGCCAAAGAGGACTTCTCACTGTAATGACCGAAATTCTTTCTAAATCTGTCATCTAAGTGACATGCTTTAAGCCCAAGCTTTTTCAAGGAAACTTCACCACAAACATTTTTGAGGAGATGGGCTAACTGCACCATCAAATGTGTGGTTTGCAGAATGTGATTTAGAATCCCTGCTTTTGTGCATAGATATTTACCTCATACTGCTCCATCTCATTACTGAAAATCGATGAAACAGGCCATAAGTCACCAGTGGCAAGCAATTCATTCAAACGGGCAGGAAAAAACATAAGTTTTCCAGTCAGAAATAATGTACATAGATAAGCAGCTTTGGGAATGAAAGCTTGTCAACATAATTCATTACAATATCACATAATTGCTTTTAATATATAAGTAGCAAGAACAACAACCGTCTAAAGAAGGCATTTGGATATTCTTCACACAGTAATGGGTACAGTCACGCCATGTTCCCTCAATTGCTGGATAAACACACAGCAGGGACCTCCCCAGAGACTCCATTCTAATCTGCAAATTATGATAGAAAATTCCCCCCCAGGGTGTTCTGACTGAGCTTCCTCAGCTACCCGGGTGGAGCAGATGCTGACTCTATGAGCTACTCAAAAATCTTACAAGCTTAAAGATTTTTACATAGTTAATATTAGCATGAACTTTTTGAACACTGAATTAAATATACCATTGATTTTTTTAACAAATAATTATTGATTGCTATGTACAAAGCACTTAGTAAACTACTAATGCAGAAAGGCACACTATGAAACCAGTATGCACTCTGCTACAAAGGTGAATATGCTTTTAAGTGCCTAACCTCTAACTTAGCAGTATCTCCTTTTGCTAAGTATATGACATTTAGATTTAAGCACAATAATAGTGATAAGCAATTACTGGGGGAAAAAAGATGTTGCATCTTTGATCATGTTCTGAAGTGCAGTAAATTTTCTAACTTTGTAAAATATTTTGTCCCACTAAATTTTTATTCATGGTAACAATTTTCTTCAACAGAAGATAATTTAACTGCTAAAAATATCATTAAAGAGCTAGATAACTCTGAAACCTAAATGAAATATAAAGTATAAAAGGTACCCTGGAGCTCAGGAAGAGTACCCCAAAAAAACAAAACTTGGAAAAGGACGTCCTCCCCAAAGATGGGCTTCAGACCTGATATGGTTTGGCTGTGTCCCCACCCAAAATCTCACCTTGAATTGTAATCCCCATAATCCCCATATGTCAAGGGCAGGACCAGGTGGAGGTAATTGGATCATGGGGGTGGTTTCTACATGCTGTTCTTGTGATAGTGAGTGAGTCTCATGAGATCTGATGGTTTTATAAGCATCTGGCATTCCCCCACTTGCACCCACTCCTGTCCTGCCACCCTGTAAAGAAGGTACCTGCTTCTCCTTTGCCTTCCACCATGATTGTAAGTTTCCTGAGACCTCCCCAGCAACATGGAACTGTGAGTCAATTAAACCTCTATCCTTTGTAAATTACCCTCGGGTATTTCTTCATAGCAGTGTGAGAACAGACTAATACAAGACCTCACTGGAAAAGGTGTGTTTGCAGCCTGCTGGAAGAGCCACAGCAGCTGGGCAAGCAGGAAGCAGCCTTCCCAGGGGCAAGTGAGCCACCACCGATGAGCAGGTGCACAGAAGGAGTTCACGGTCCACCGTGGGCAGGAGACCTGGAGCATGTAGTGTCCTCGTTGGGAGGGCTGCAGGAAAGTGGTCACCGGAACAGGCTGGGGCTGTGAAGTCACTGAGGGACTGCACATTCCCTTGCCTGTGGCTGGGGCAGAGCAACACTGGATGTCCTTACACCTACACCACTGATGAGTGGGGCAGCAGCTGAAAACAGTAAGAGAGGCCCTTCCTCCTGCAATGGCCCTTCAGCGCTCTTTACTGAGAAAGCTCAACATCGGCCTTTCTGTGAAGGAGAAATGCTCATAAAATCCAGTCTGCTAAGGAACAGAAGGTGTTGAAGGGTGATTTGGAACTGAAAGATGTTATATATGATAGCATGTAATTCACCATGACTTTGTTGATTTTTAGTAGCATTGCTGACACTATTTCAGTTCTTCTTATGAACTGCAGAAGAATCATTTTAAAACATTTGCTTTTAAATTATTCAGACTGGCAGTCTGAGTTCTGTCTTTCTGACTTTGGACATTTAATTATTTTCAATCCTCTTCCAAAGAAAGTAGATCAGGAAAACCTATGAAGACATTATCTTATTGTTTTAAATATGGTAGAACATTCAAAGTGGGCTAATTTATTAGTAATGTGTGATGCTTATGTTAGATAAAGAAGGCTACAGTGAATGGCTGAAGGTAACTTTAAACTGTATATTGAAAATTAACCAATCTTTATCACATCTTTCCTGCTCATATCAGAATTCTATAAAGAATAACAAAAAATAGAAAGTAGCCCAAATATGTACAGACTCAACCATAGATAAATAAATAGAAATATTAAAAAATATATATACAGCAGGGAAAACAAACTGCCTAAAGTAACATGTATCAACATGGATGAACTGCACGGGCATAATGTTGAAAAATAAAAGCAAGATATAAATGACTGAAAAAGTATAATGTCATTTAAATAAATTTTGAAAAGAAATGAAAGAAACAACAATATTAACCCAGGAATCCACATATAGTAAACAATAAGGAAAAGTAAGGCAATAATAGTAAGAAAAGCCTGCACATAGCCAAGTTAGAGTCTGCCTGACTCTATCTCAATCTATTCTCAGGCAACATTTTGTTTTTCACTGCTTGATTCAAGTGTAATGAAATCATCATTAGTGTTGCTACTTTATAAGTGTCTGACTCTCTTGCAGACTATGTGGGTAGAGTTTTTATTTCAACATCATATCCCTAGAGCTTAGCACACATCTGGGATGTAGTATTAATGCATATTTACCAATTACAGAATTAATATAGCAGTGAAGGCAGCTGAGTGGAGTGGGAGGGGACCTGACTTGGGACTGGTAGAAGGACAGCCAGGAAATGCGGAGGGCCCCATAAGGAAGGATGCCATAATAGTATATTTCCACCTGTTACAGGATTGTTTTTTCAACAGTGCCCAGTGCCATAGTTATAGGACATGCCAATGGGAATTAATGGGTCTGAGGGTTTGTAAGGAAGCTCAACAAGACACTGGGGCACTGAGGGTATCAGGAGATGAATAATTAGAGATAGATCATAGGGCTTAGAATGATTAAAGAAAAACATGGAGTCAGGAGGGAGAGAAAACAAGGGTGCTTGGGTAGATCACAGGTATGGTGGGAGGGAACAAACTAAAAGATGGGAATCTGTGGTGCCAGTAGGGGGTTTTAAAGGTCAAGCTGTTCTCAATGACAGTGAAATCCAGGGGTGGCCATGGTAGTAAGCTCCCAGGTGGATGAGATAAAACTCAGTGGATTTGAGGAGATAAAAAAACACTATGAAGAACTAATCTCATGTACCCATTATGTTACTGTAAATTGTAGGGCAAGAAAATAGTTAAGAGAAATTAGAATCGAATAGAAAGAAACATATGTTCTAAAAATTAGAGATTTTATAAATCTATCAACTATGTACACAATTATTAATATAAACTGTATGTTTATAAAACAGTGAATAGTAATGGAGTATCTTGCATCAACAGAAATATAAACAATGGCATTTTTTCTGTTGAGTTACATTAAAGTGATGCATATCCTTTTGATTTTTTTTTACCTTTCTATTCTTACAAACATACAAAGTATATGTTTAAATTCTAATAAATAGAACCATCAATAGTCAAAGTTGTACATGGACAGAACAACAAACATTTTTTTGATGAAAGCACTCCATGAAAGGATAAGGCTAGTCTCATCACTTTTGTAGTAGACAGAAGAAAGAAAACAAATCCAAAACCTTCCAGAGAAGTTCCAACAGGTATTAATAAAAATATATGTTTCTTTTTCTAAAAGCAGTACTCATCTGGAAACTTCTCCTAAGAGAAACTAATTCAATGCCCACACATCAAAAAGTCAAACAAAATTTACAAATCTAAAATCAGGAAGAAATAGCACTAAGAGCTCTAAGAACTCAGAACAAAGAAAATACATAATTTATGCTGCTTTATAAGGTACACTAATTTTAAAACTATCAATAATTTTTTCACCAGAATACCATAAACAAAACTAAACTGTGCTTTGTTAGAAATCAGGAAGTATATTAAATTTTACATTAGGAAGCTTACTAAATTTATACTAACTTTTAAAGATAGCGAGGAAAAACAAGTTGACATAAAACTTGGTATGATATATTACATTTAGTGAAAAGATGTTTATAAATTTCTAAGTGAATCCAAGTAATATTTTCCTGAGAAGTGTTTTAAAAATCAGTCATTAACAATAACATTATTTGAAATAATTATCACACAGTTTTACTAGTGAAAATAAAATACCTATGGTTTATGAATGGTTAAGACATGCACAACTGGACCCTTCTACCAGTTGTCAGAGAAAGCCCTGGTTGCTAACCAGACACACACTGGAATTGCTCCTAGCAAATGGTTTTAATAGCTTCTCCAAATAGCTAACAGTGACATCTTTGTGGCAATTCTGTCTGTAGATAAACAAGAAAGGATAGATGGAAGGAAAGGAGGAAGGGAAGTAAGGGAAAGGAAGATAAATGATCTTTGGGAAAAAAGGATTATGTAATGTAAAGTTGTGGTATGCTCAGGCACTTTGAAAAATATATGTATATTACATGATATGTTCAACTTGATCAGAGAGCAGCACCTGAGAGATGATGATTCAAACTGGTAAATGCTGGAAGAAATCACATACTTGAAGACATACTGGGCAAACAAGAGCAACTCTGCTGAGACCAGCTTGGTCGGGAAGACCCTAACCCAGCAGCGCTAGAGGAATTAAAGACACACACACAGAAATACAGAGGTGTGGAATGGGAAATCAGGGGTCTCACAGCCTTCAAAGCAGAGAGCCTCAAACAGAGATTTACCCATGTATTTATTGACAGCAAGCCAGTGATAAGCATTGTTTTAATCAATTATAGATTAACTAAAAGTATTCCTTATGGGAAACAAAGGGATGGGCCGAAATAAAAGGATGGGTTGGGCTAGTTATCTGCAGCAGGAGCATGTCCTTAAGGCACAGATTGCTCATGCTATTGTTTGTGGATTAAGAATGCCTTTAAGCGGTTTTCCGCCCTGGGTGGGCCAGGTGTTCCTTGCCCTCATTCCAGTAAACCCACAACCTTCCAGCATGGGCATCACGGCCATCACGAACATGTCACAGTGCTGCAGAGATTTTGTTTATGGCCAGTTTTGGGGCCAGTTTATGGAGGGCCTGCTCCCAACACAACTCTATCCATCTTTTCTGCCATAATTGACAGTGAATCCCAGAGCTGAACTGAAAATATTATCTAATATGGTTTGGCTGTGTGTCCCCACCCAAACCTCATCTTGAATTTTAGTTCCCATAATCCCCGCGTGTTATGACAGGGACCTGGTGGAACGTAATTGAATCATGGAGGCAGGTTTTCCCATGCTGTTCTCGTGATAGTGAATAAGTCTCATGAGATCGGATGGTTTTATAAAGGGGAGTTCCCCTGCACACACTCTCTTCCCTGCCTCTATGTAAGACATGCCTTTGCTCCTCCTTCACCTTCCATCATGAATGTGAGGCCTCCCCAGCCATGTGAATCTGTGAGTCCATTAAACCTCTTTTTCTTTATAAATTACCCAGTCTCAGGTATGTCTTTATTAGCAGCGTGAGAATGGACTAATACATTATCCAAAGGTGTTCATCAAATTCTGCCAACTTACAGATTGTCTATGAGGAAGTTTATATGTAATACCCACAACATCTGCCTCAGTTATTTTAAAAAAGGAAATATTGGGCTGGGTGTGGTGGCTCACACCTGTAATCCCAGCACTTTGGGAGGCCAAGGCAGGCAGATCACCTGAGATCGGGAGTTCGAGATCAGCCTGACCAATATGGAGAGACCCCATCTCTGCTAAAAATACAAAAAAAATTAGCCAGGCATTGCTGGCACATGCCTGCAATCCCAGCTACTCGGGAGGCTGAGGCAGGAGAATTGCTTGAACCCAGGAGGCAGAGGTTGTGGTGAGCCAAGATCATGCCATTGCACTCCAACCTGGGCAACAAGAGCGAAACTCCATCTCAAAAATAAAAATAAAAAAGGACATATTAATATTACCAACACTGAGCCCAGGACAAATTGTTTTGGTAAATATACAAAGTCCAACTTCTCTTCTGTGACTTCAAAATATCTTGAATGAAATTTTCTCAAATATTGAGTCAGAACAATCTTTCTTTTTAGTGGCATTATTTTCCTTTGTTATGTGTGATTGTGCTAAGCACCCCAATCAGTGCACTAAATAGGGGTTACAGACAGGAACGAAGGCTTCTTCCCAAGGTCCTTACTCCAGGAAGAAGTCCAGAAACACTGAGTGGAGAAGGGATAAGCCCCTTAGAAACTAAGTCCAAAGTGTCCATGAGTTACTGCAAACACAAAAGTGTTATCTTTGTCTTAGGTGAAGGCCCTACAGTTTTGTAAGGCCCACGCTGCCACTGGAGTGTAGAAAGCCCTAATGCTTCAATGCTGTTCACTTCCAAAGTATGCATCTGTTAAGGTAAGTACAAGCTGCCTGCCTGTGCACTTTTGGACTTGTGTTTATTACCCACAATTCAGAAGTGGACTTTATTCCCCCTACCCAAGTATCACCCCATAGATGGACACCTCTTGAGAATGTGGCATACTTTGAAAATTATTACAATACTTTTGAATTGTAGAGCCTTTAAAAATCTCTAAAGAGATGCACCGCAAGGTTTATGGAGTGTTTGATACTTAAATTGAGCATTTATAGGCAAAAATCTACAATCCCCACATAGCCAGCGTGCTCCCAGACATGATCTGAGAAATTTGTCAGCAGGTGATAAGCACGCTATGTACTTTGAAAATTCTTTTGCTCTTTGGGAGGCCAAGGAGGGTGGATCCCTTGGGCCTAGAAGTTCGAGACCAGCCTGGGCAACATGATGAAATTCTGTCTCTACAAAAAATAGAAAAACTAGTTGGATGCAATGGTGCACACTTGTAGTACCAGCTACTCAGGAGCCTGAAGCAGGAGGATCAATTGAGCCCAGGAGGTCGAGGTTGCAGTGAGCCATGATCATACCACTGTACTCCAGCCTGGGTGACAGAATAAGACCCTGTCTCAAAAAGACAAAAAAAAAAAAAAAGAAAATTCTTTCTTTGGGACACTCTCCAGAAGTTCCATATAGGAATTTTTTGGCACTGATTTTTATTTAGGTCACTCAAGCCCCTCTTTGTTGTAAAATTCTTAATAGGATCATAGGACTTAGTTACTTATTAGCACTATCAGTCATAAGGCAACATAAATGATAAGTCTTTGGGTTATGCTGCTAAGCTAATTCCTGTTGATTGAATAAATACAGGAGACGTGGAAAAGTTCTCTACACATAAGTGATTGCTAAAGCATGGCTGAACAAACATTTTTCTGAAAGGCATCTTTAACCTAGAAAAACTGGCCCGTCTTAAGTCCAATCTTTCGGTATTTTTTTTTACCTTAATGTTGAAAGCATGCTGTACATAATGTACACATCCATTTTAGTGATTTTTTTTTTTTTTTTGAGACGGAGTCTCGCTCTGTTGCCAGGCTGGAGTGCAGTGGCACGATCTCAGCTCACTGCAACCTCTGCCTCCTGGGTTCAAGCAATACCCCTGCCTCAGCCTCTCGAGTAGCTGGGACTACAGGCACCTGCCACCAGACTCGGCTAATTTTTTGTATTTTGGTAGAGACAGGGTTTCACCATGTTGGCCAGGATGCTCTCGATCTCCTGACCTCATGATCTGACTGCCTTGGCCTCCCAAAGTGCTGGGATTACATCACCGGGCATGATGTGCTCACCGGGCATGATGTGCTCACCGGGCGTGAGCCACTGCACCCGGCCTAGTGATGTTTTAATCTTTGTGGACCTACATTGCTTTTGTCCTTTTCTGAATCAATGTGTTTTTATGTAACAAAATCAGAAGCCGAGATCACTATATCTGTTGAAATACTATTGTGAAGCATCCTGCACAGAACTGCCTATGCCCAACTCCAGTGGTGCCCAAATTATCTTTGTGCCTGAATCAATCCAATCCCTGATAGGAAAAAACCTTCAATTTTTCATGTCATGAAGACAGCATTTAGTAAACAAACACAATGTTTTTGGAGGCGGCCACAGTGAACAGAGTGAAGGTACCTCATGAGGTACCACATTTTCCCAGAAGTGCATAATAGTTATAACTACTATCTACATGATAGTTTACCACAATGCTCAGTCGTTGGAGCTCTTCTCTTTTGCAGCTGCAATCACTACCTTAGAGATCTGATCGACTCTTGACTTTAGATACTGCCTCTATGTTAATGATCCTGGTATTTTCGTCCTCAGCCAGGACCTCTCCCTTGAACTCCAGTTAGCCAGACTTCTGCATTTGAAAGTCAGACAGGCATCTCAAACTTAACTGGTGCAAATCTGAACTCCTTGAGCTCTCCCCGACAATCTGCTTCTTCCACCGTCATCCTCATCTCAATGGATGGCCACTCAGGCTTCATAGTAACTCAGCTCTAAACCCTGCTAATGCCATTCTTTAGCAAATCCTGTTGGCTCTATCTTTAAAAATAACCTCCATAATCTGACCCTGTGCACCACATCTACTGCTATCTCATTGGTCCACATCTCCCTGGGTTGTGGGAACATCCTTCCATCACTCTGTTCACACTCCTTCAAAGGCTTCCTATCTTATGCCCAGTAAAAGCCAAAGTCCTTATCAACATGTCCCACAGGCCCTTCCCTGCCTCCTGCCACTGCCACTTCCCCCTAACTGCACCCCATACACGCTCTGCTCCAGTGCCACTGGTCTCCTGGGTTTGGGGCTGTCTCTTTGAACTGCACCCTCACTTCCTCCAGCTCTTCATTCAAATGTTAGTTTGTAATGAGGCCCTGTATGTTAAAGGCACCTGACAGCAATAACTTAAGCACACCCTGAGAAAGACCCTGTACGGCAGACACACTGAATGTGTGTTCTGAGCTAGGGAATCCGGGAATGGCGAAACAGAGATTCGTTCCTTGTCGATGAGGAACATCTGAGCCCCCATACTGTCCTATGCAACACAGGCTGCCCATGGAATCAAGGCCCCGATTTGGGATTGCATGAAGGTTGCCAGGTGGAGGTCATTATGGAGAGGGTGTTAAGTGAAAATGCTATATAAACTGGATGCCTTTCACAAGCCATTGTGGTTTTCCTGTCCAGCCCACTTGCCGCCCCTGGACTGTATGTAAGGTGGTTCTCCTGTCCATCCCACCACTACTAGACTCTCTCCCCAGTATGAAAGTTCCCCAATAAAACCCCATCTCGTGTGCTGGCTCTGGGTCTCTTCTGCCTCTTGAACCTGGTGCCATCCCCATTGGCTTAAAAAGGGATTTGGCAAAATAGGCCTCTCCTGCCACTCTCTGTAAACATGCCACCTCTCCTCCCCAATTCTCCATAGCTTCCTTCACTGCCTTTTAAAAATTTCATGGCAGCAGTTTTTACATCCTTCGTCACCCCCACTGAATCTATGCTCCATGAGGGCAGGGATTTTTGTATATTTTATTCCCTGCTGAATCCCAGGTACTCAATAAATACTTGCCAAATGGATGAATGAATAACTGGATTTTAACTCTTTTCATTTTCTTGCTTAGAACACAAGGGCCTTCCCTGCCCAACCCATCATTCCACAAGTATGTTTTGAGGCCTGAATATGAACTAAGGTCTTCTGACTGAAAGCCCATTATTTTCCTACCACAGCATGCCAATTAACTGAACTACCCACCACATTCTAAACATCTTAGGGGCACAGTCTGGCTTTATCATTACTTACTTTCACCTCCAAATACCTACCAGTGCATGTCTTACGGGAACAGCACAAATGAATGTTCAATAAGTATAAACAGAAGAAGAATTTCACCCAGAAAAGATGGTAAACACTTCCTGTCTAGATTATGAGCCCTTCGAGGACAAAGATTACCTTTTATTCATTCCTGTATCACCAACTCTTGATTCAGTGTCTGACACAAAGCAGGGGCTAGATGTGCACTAAGTCAAGTCATAAAACTATGTCATGTTAATGCTAACCAGGACCATCAAGTGTGTTGACATTACAGCTGAAAAATGTCATGGATTTCTGCCCTCTCCTCATTCAGGACACAGCCAGTACACCTGTCGGGAACTCTACTACTTTATGAATCTACAGATGCAATAAAGCGAGGAAAGCTGAAGGCTGGCTCTGCAGCAAAAATGATACTCATGGTCAATAAGCCTGTGATCAACTACAGGTGCTTACTATGTGCCAAGACCTTTGCTTGGTGCTTCTCATGCAGAATATTATTTAACTGCCACAAAAGTCCTATAGTATACGTATGATATCACCGTTTTGCAAATTGTGAGTCTGTAACTATGAGAGGTAGAGTGACTTCCTCAAGCTGGTGTTTAATCCTGTATCAGTCAATATAAGAAACAGGCTGCTTAAAGTCAATGCAGTGCTTTTACTTTATCACACAAAAGCTCCTTTTAAATATGAGAAATTATAGGAATTTATTTATCTTCCCTCCCTGGTATAAATAAATACCATGGTATAAGTAATAAATAAATGCAAATATTCTGGCTCTAAAACTTCCAGCCTTCTATTATTTTTGCCACATGCTTTTACATTTCCTTAGTTCTTCTTTAAACATGGCAAGAGAAAGGGGTACTTTCAAATGGCTACAATCTTTCAGGGATGGAATTTGGACATATGAATGAAAATGAAAGCCTTTAAAATATGTATACATTTTGACCAATCATTCTATTTTAGAAATGTATCTTACTTGGTCACAAAGACTTCTGCATAAGAATGTTTAGTTCAGTGGAATTTATGTTATTGCCAATCTGGAAATTGCAAAACTGACCAAAATGACATTATTTAAATCTTAAGAGAAAAGTGGGTTGTTACATATCCATGAGACATCATGGTTTTGAATAATGGTTAGCAACTTGAGAAAATGCTCACGATGTATAATAAAGTATAAAAAACAAGTAAGGCAACAACAAACCCTACTTGGATGCTGACTGGGCACCAGGCTCTGTGCTGGGCACTTTAGTCACCCCTCTCATCTACTCTTCGTAACAACTCCACGAGCCAGGACTCCAGCTATCTCTATCTCACAAATGAAGAAGTAGAGGCACAGAAAAGCATATTACATATAACATAACCTCAAATTTATTAAAACACATAAGAAGAAATAATGATTTAGAAATAAAGCATTTAGCCAGAATACTCCAAATAACTGACAATCATGATACTATAATGGTAGACAGTATGCCATGATACTATGTTCTATTGATCCAGAACCTGCAAGCTGACACCCATTGAATAGTTTCTAAGTTTAACTGACTTATTCAAGTGGAAAAATACATACTTACAACCTGAACGTTTTATTCCAATTGTAATGCACTATGTCTAATCCTTAATAAAATAAAAATAGTGCTGCCCTCATATTGTTCATATTCTTCTTCTTTGCCTGCCAACCACTTCCACCTTGGTGCATTTTTTTCCCATCTATTTTAAAGTGGAATCAGAGATGTTCTTCCATTCATACGTCTGAGAACTTCTTGAAAACATGTAACTAAAACAGCAAGCTAAGGCAGTAAACTCATTAGGTGAAAGGTTCTCGCAGCATTTTCCCTTAGGAATTATTTAGCATTGTTTTAAACTAGTCACACTGGTTTTTTAGGAGAAAAACAAAACCAAAACAAAACCAAGCATTACATATTTCACCTGTACAAGATTTTTGAAAACAGATATGTGTTTTGAAAGCTCAGCTTGAAGATATACTTTTCTACTAACTTTCCAGCCATTCAGGGCCATGAAATGAAAGCAGTTACCTATGTATTTGGGTTATTTGTTAGGTTTGAAATTCTGTTTGTTTAACAGGTTAAGAAAACATTTCCGGCCAGGCGCGGTGGCTCACACCTGTAATCCTAGCACTTTGGGAGGTCGAGGCAGGCGGATCACGAGGTCAGAAGATCAAGACCATCCTGCCTAACACGGTGAAACCCCATCTCTACTAAAAATACAAAAAGTTAGCCGGGCGTGGTGGTGGGTGCCTGTAGTCCCAGCTACTCCGGAAGCTGAGGCAGGAGAATGCCATGAACCCGGGAGGCAGAGCTTGCAGTGAGCCGAGATCACGCCACTGCACTCTAGCCTGGGTGACGGAGGGAGACTCCGTCTCAAAAAAAAAAGAAAACATTTACATAAGATAAACATGGACTAGGTTAAGAAAACATTTACAGTGTTTGTCTGTCCTAAGAAAACTCACCAAACCTAAAAGTCGTTCCAGTAAGTTTCATAGCGTAAGGGACAGCTTATGAATCTGCTTTGGAAAAAAGAAATCTGTAACTTTTTTTTTGTTTTTTTTTTTTGAGATGGAGTCTCTCTCTGTTGCCTAGGCTGGAGTGCAGTGGCGTGATCTCGGCTGACCACAACCTCCGCCTCCTGAGTTCAAGCGATTCACCTGCCTCAGCCTACCAAGTAGCTGGGACTACAGGCGCATGCCACCATGCCCGGCTAATTTTTGTATTTTTAGTAGAGATGGGGTTTCACTATGTTGGCCAGGCTGGTCTCGAACTCCTGACCTCGTGATCCGCCCACCTCAGCCTCCCAAAGTGCCAGGATTTCAGGTGTGAGCCCCCACGCCCCGCCAGAAATCTTTAATAATTTTTTAACATTGTATCTGAAAAAGTAGAATGAATCTTTCAAGGCTTTAGGCTGTTCTTATTACCATAAAGGCAAACGCCTTTTTTCTCTTTTTTTTTTTCTTTTTTGAGACAGGGTCTTTCAGGGTCTTGCTCTTTCGCCCAGGCTGGAGTGCAGTAGTGGCGTGATCCCAGCTCACTGCAGCCTCAACCTCCTAGGCTCAAGCCATCTTCCCACCTCAGTCTCCCAAAGTGCTAGGATCTCAGACGTGAGCCACCATGCCCAGTCAGCAACATTTTTAGACAAAGTCAGGGTGGACTATGATCTCAGTCAGGCTTAGGATTTTGTCAGACAGCTCCTGAGCACACAAAATAAGATGCTTATTTTTTCAAGTCTCAACTAAGTCCTAAAATATGGCTTAATACGTTTACCTCTCCCACCAAGCCATATCATGTTTATTTACATGTTTGGGTCCTATTTGTTAATATTTTATCTCCCATGCAGTTCTCTACATGTGAGGATCAAAAATGCACAGTCTCTGGAGATCAACTGGTGAAATGGGTGATGGGGTTGCCAGGAGTTTTCCTGGAGAGGATATTTACTCTGAGGATTATTTGTCCGTCCATATTTCTCAAACAATCCTTGTATACACTTAAATAGAACTCACTCAGACCCAGAATCAGGTGCTCTATCTTCCATGTTTTAAAAATACCTGTCATCTGGTACTTGTCAAACTGCACGGTAACTATCTTTTGATGTTTCTGTTTTACTTTCTATACTATGAGAGCCTCATAGGCAGGGATAATGTCTTATTCATCTTTGCATCTCTAGAGCCTAACATAGTGCCTATTTCTAAAAGTACCTGCAGAGGGAGGATACAAACGTGAAAAAATGTGTTTTTCGCCTTTGAAAAGTTCAGAGTGAGATAAAGAAACACATATAATGCAATATAATATATTCCAGACTGGTGTGTGCAGGGGAATGAGAAAAGGTTCCCCCTAGAGCATGACATAACCAAGGTAAGTTTTGGAGAATGAGTAAGAAACCACCCACAGAAGAAGTTGTGGATAGAGATGTGACTGTTCTGGGCAGAAGCAGAGTATTTATGAAGGGAAGGCACAGAGTGATGGAAGGAACTGCAGGGGCTCTGGATAACAGGTCAGGCAGGTGAAAAGGGGTAGTGTCAAGAGGAGACTAGAGAAGCAGAAGGAGCTCCCTTATGGCTAGGTTTGTAAAGCCATATTGAAGGTCTTGGCTTTTGTGCTGAAGGAAAAATAGAACCACTGTAGAGTTTTAAATAGAGAAGTAGTACATTTTGGAAAGATCATCTTGAAAGCAGATATGAGATTGGAGGATGACCATATTGAATGGGCAGAGAGACCAGTTAGGAGCCTGTTTTAAAAAGCCAGGTGTAAGGCTATTTGGGAACAGAAAAAAGAGAGAGATATAGAGAAGAGGGTCAAGACTGCAGACATATTAAGGCTATTAAGGAGGAAGACGAGTTGGATGTTTTCACTAGACATGGGGAAACAAAAAAGAGAGAATAGTCAATAACCACTTCCAGGCTGCTGGCCCAGGAGAAAGGGTGGCATTCACCAAGGTGCAGAACATGTTAAGATGTTTCCTGTTCTGACATGTTAAGTTTTAAGTGTCTCTGGGGCACTCAAATGGAGAGGTCCAACAGGTAGTTGGATATACGTGTTTGTAGTGTAGGATATTTCAGGATAAGCTTTCAAAAACGTCAGAAGACTGATTGTCAGGAAGCCACAGAGTGAACGAGTTCCACCAGATTGAGAATTCACAATGAAGAAGCAATGAGTCTGAAGCAGGCCATGTGCAATAACAACATTTGTGGAATGAAGACAGCCTGAGAAAGAGTCAGAGAGGTAGGAAGGAGACCAGGAAAGGAGAATAAATATCAAGAAAGCCGCAAAAGAAGAGTTTTAAGGAGAAGGAATAGTTCAATAATCTCAAATGTCGAAAGAACTTGAAGAAAACTTCTTTACTGAATCTGGCAATTATGAGGTCTTTGGGTCTTAAGGATGAAAACAGTTTTGATGGATGTCAGGAGTCAGGGGCTGGTATGAGAAGTGAATTGGAGCTGAGACACTGGTGTCAGCAAGAAGGAATATTCTTTCCCAAAGCATGATTGGGAAAGAAAAGAAAAACAGAGTAGTAACCAGCAGGAACTCCAAGAGACTTTAACTCTAAAACAGTATGCTGTCACTGACTCACACATGAGTTATTAAATTTCAAAATGTTTCTTATTTAATGGGAAATATAATTGGTGGTAAATCTAAACCATCAATTACCTTGATAATATTTTAATCATTTAATTTATAACTTCATCTCTGGCAACTGGGGATGGTAAATCAAAGATTTAAGAAGGTAAATCCAGGATATAACCTATGTTTAGAATGGTCATTTGCTTTGCATCAATGAATGTACTTCAGATACTTAAAATATGCATTGGTTTATTCATTCAACTATGCGATTACTCAATGCATTAAGTCTGCTTCTCGATATACTCTGTCATTCTTCCCACACACATCTGCTGCCTTTAAGGATATTCCAAAGATTCCATCTGGACAAGACATACTGCATCTCACCTACCTCAAACCAACAACCAAAAAAAACTCCGCACCTCCTCCTCAAGGTTCAAGGGCACTTCCTCTCTTCAGCTTCAAAATAGTTCCTCTATAATGTTTTGTTTAAGGGTGTGACCGTAAAGGAAGATTTTGCTTTTATACAAACTGGAAGCAGCTCTCTACTGAAAAGAGGACACATAACTAGGAATAAAGCCAGTGAACGATGTGCAGTCCTCCACAAAGAAAACCCAAAACTTTACTGACAAGGTGAAAGAAGACTTAAGAAATGGAGGCATCTACTAGGTTCCTGGAAGGTACAATATTGAAAAATGTCAATTCTACTTAAATTGATTCATTATTATCCCAATTAATAATCTAAATCTTTGTGTGTGAAATTTGGCAAGCTGATTCTAAAATTACATGGAAATGCAAAAGCTCAAGAATAAAAAAAATTATATTGAAGAACAAAGTTGGAGAACTTATATTACCAGATATCAAGATTTAATTTACAGTTATAGTCATCGGAATGGTATGGTATCAGTGCAAGGATAGGTAAATAGACCAGTGGGGCAGCACAGAGTCCAGACACAGACCCACACATAAACGGTCAACTGCTATAGGGCAAAGCTGCCACTGGGAAAAAGAATGGATACCCATGTGAGAAAAAATGATCCTTGCCTCCTACCTCACATTATACAAAAAAATTACTCCCAGACAGACCAGAAATGCGAAAGGCAAAATGACAGAGCTTCTAGAAGATAGCAGAGGAGAATATCTTCATGACCTTGGATTGGGTAAATATTTCTGAAAAGGACAAAAAACAACAATGCAATAATAGAATGGATTAATAAGTTAAACTTCATTGAAAGTAAGAACTTCAGTTGATCAAAAGATGTCATAAAGAGGGAAGATAAGCCATAAAGAAAGAAAATATATTTGTCATGTATATAACTGAAAATGAACAAATTTTTTTTAAAACTTGCCTTCTACAAGCCAGAGTAAAAGAAAGACTACCCAGTATTTTTAAACGGCAAAGGACTTTAACACACACGTCATTAAAAAGACCAATTTCAAATGGCAGGTAAGGAAATAAAAATGATTAACAATACTAGTGATCAGAGAAATCCAAATTAAAATCACAACAAAAGATTACTGCATAGCCAATAGAATAGCTAAAATTAAAAAAAATAATAAATCAGAAAAAAACGTTGACACTACAAAGCATTGGTGAGGACACAGGATAACTGGAACTTTTAAACACTGCTGCAGGGAATGTAAATTGTTAAAACCACTTTGGAAAACTGGCAGTCTCCACGAAGCTGAACATATGTGGACTCTATAACCCAGTAAGTCTCTTCCTCGCCAGAAATGCATATCCCTGTGTACCAATGTTACATGTATAAGCACGTTCATAGAAGCATTATTCTTGATAGCTGAAAGTTGGAAACAACACAGAAATGCATCAGCAATAGAATGGAGTATAAATTTTAAAACATACAAAATGGAATCTTGTATAGTAATGAAAAAGAACAAATGCAGTCCTGTATAGTAATGAAAAAGAACACACAACCACAAGAATGAACCTCACAGACGCACACTGAAGAAAAGAATCTAGGGGAAAAAAAAACAGCAACGTAAGCTGCATGATTCCTACAGAATACCATAGGAATTTCTATGGAAATCTGTAGAATTGAAGAATGAGCAGCTATAATCTACAGTGACAGAGGTCAGAATGGTGGTTACCTTTAAGGGGCTAATGACACGGAAGGGATAGAGTAGCTTCTGGGGTATTGGTGATGTTTGATATGTTGATGTGGGTGGTGGTTACACAGATGTGTTTCCTAAAAACTCATTGAGCTGTTCATATAAGACTTCTCCGTATACCTGGTTTGCTTTGAAAATAAAAATATACAAATAAACAGAACACTGTAAGCTGTAGTCAATTCATGTAAGATGTGTGCACTGCTTTGAATATAAACAAATAAACAGGATAATGGCATTCCACAGGAAAACACCCATAGTCCAGGGGTTTTAAAGGCATTTCTAACTATAAACATCTTAGAAAGTTAAATACCTACATGCATCCCACATATATGTGTCTGTTGAAAACTGGCGAAGGCAAGTGTTAATATCCTCACATACAGTTAAAAGTGTAATTTTATACACCAGAGCCAGATTCTGGGCCCCATCCCAGCTGAAGTTGTTAAGTGAGAAATCTCTGAGCTGCAAACTGCCCTTCTGTTTTTTATTCCTAGAAACAGAGGTTAGATCAGGGAAAAGGAAAAGTTAAGGCATTCTATTTCGCTTGTTGTGCTATCAAATAGACACCACAAACATTTGACCATCGTGGTCAGGAGATGTTTTCCAAGTCTTTTCACTTGGTTTTAGGTTTCTCAAGATATTGTCTTACATTGAGTAATTTTTCTTAAATGCTATGTTGCAAGTAAGAAATCTTAAAGAAAAATTTTCTCTTAGTATTTTTAGTAGAGTAAATCTGGAATGATTTTTAAACAGATTTGAGTCTAGTGCTTCTAAATCACACCCGTTACAATGTGCTTATGCAGTAAACAAACAGTAGAGAAAAGTGCTGCAGAGTCGCTTCTGTTACATAGGGTAAGACCTTGCCTATATTCTAAAACTATGTTTTACTTAACTGTCAGTTGAGAGATGCAATCTGGCATCAAAGCTTTGGGTGGCCATTTTGACAGGTCTAAACGTTTAAGCAAAACATATAAGCCAACTTAAAACAACAGTAAATCAAGCAAATCAGTTTCCAGAGAAAGTCTTATGTAAAATCATGCTGTCTGTCATATATTTAACTAGATCAGGAATTTAATAAAGAATTCTTTTTTTCCCTCTGTTAGAAGAAACACAAGAAACCACAGAAAATGGAACACACAAAAGATAAATGAAGTTAAAAATGTTTCCACCTTATCACAGTGGAAGGATATTTTAGTTGATCTCTAAGCTTTCAGAAATGACTTATAACTCGAGGGCCCAGAAAACTATTACAGAATATGTCCCTTCCACCTCTGACCTAGAATTCTTCCCCTCTTTCCTGTCCTGTGTCATCTCATTCCAGTCAGCCTCTTTTCCCTCTGCTTCCCAGACCTTTAGCACAAAGGTTAAAATTCAAGTAAATAGATACTGAGGTTTCCAGATATAGCCAGTTGGCATATTTTTTTTTTGCTTGCAGTTATGAAGGAAGCTTTATTCTAGTTTACTTTTAAGGACCTACATTTTCACTTATAGTTTAAAAATATCTCAGTTCACTCGTATATCACCATAATTTTATACAGCTAGCTTCTACAATCTAGAAGACAGATGTCTGCATCTATGGTAATATGTTTTGGAGACTTTTATCTGTCTAAATAAATTGTCCACTTATATTCCATATTTATTCAGGACATGTCTTCACAATGAGTAGGTATCTTTATATTAAAATATCCTTCATTTGTGTGAAAATTAAGTAATTTCTTTTCTTCTCAAGAAAATCTTAATCAAATTCTTGATACTGCCTATACACATTCTTTTAATGAAGGCTTTCCTAAAACAGTGCTACGTTATAAAAACTTCATTTACCTGTGGATACTATGAAAGTTGTTAGGCTTAACTTTTTAAATACAGTATAATGAGGGTAATTGATGGGACTTAGGGAGACGAAGAACTGATCAAGGTGCTATGGTTTGAATGTGTGTGTCTCTCTAACTTTCATATGTTGCAACTCCACACCCAATGTGAGGGTATTTGAAGATGGAGCTTTGGGAAGTGATTAGTCATGAGGGTAGAGCTCTCATAAATGGTATTAGTGTCCTTATAAAAGAGGCCCGAGAGAGAGCCTTCCTCCCTTCCACTGTCTATGAACTAGGAAGCCATCATTCCTTGTCCTCATCAGACAAGGAATCTGTAAGTACCTTTATCTTGGACTTCCCACCTGAGGGAACTATGAGAAATAAATCTGTTGCTGATAAGCCGTCTAGTCTATGATATTTCCTTATAGCAGCCCAAATAGACTAAGACACAGGGAAGTCACCCCAAACCTAACCCAAGGTCAAGGTTGCTAAACTGAAATGAGTTTGAGAATTGGGAAAACAGTATATATGCTTTCCTACTTGAGAGATAGCTAAATGTTTATTGGCAGAAATCAACATATCTACTTTTTGTATTTGGTAAATATTTTGGGGAGGCCTAAGTGTACCAGGACTGCTGTATGTGATGAGGATTTGGAAATGATCAGGACACAGTCCCTGACCTCAATGAATGTAGAGTGCCCTAGAAGAGACAGCCAAGTAACAGATAACCATGCATTTGTCTGCTAGGGCCGCCATAACAAAGCATCATACACTGGATGATTTAAACAACAGAAATTACTGTCTCACAGTTTTGGGGGCCAGAAGTCTGAAATCAAGATGTCGGCAGGATGGGCTGTGAGGGAGAACCTGTTCCATATCTTTTCTCTGGTGGTTTGCTGGCAACCTTCCGTGTTCCTTGGCTTGTAGAAGCATCACTCCCATCTCTGCCGTCATGCTCACATGGTGTTCTCCCTGTGTGCATGCCTGTTTCCATATTTCCCCTTTTTATAAGAATACCAGTCACATCAGATTCAGGGCCTGCCCTACTCCAGGATGACCTCACCTAAACTTCATTAATTACATCGAAATGAGCTGATTTCCAAATAAGGTTGCATTCCAAAGTACTGAGGTTAGGAACTCAACATGAATTTTAGAGGGACACAATTCAATCTTTAACAATTCAGAAAGGCAATGAGAACAGAGGGGAAAAGCACACGAGCTCACTAGAACCATTCACCAGACCTTTGGGCATCCTCGTGGAAAAGCCACCATTTCCATAATGGCCTCCATTCCTACCATCCATTTCCAAAAGTCAGTCCCCTGATTCTGCCATCTGCCCATTGTGGAAGTTGGCTGCCTGCACAGCTAAAACCTCAAGGAACATGTACTACTACCACTGAATGCATATGACAGCTGTGTGAGGGGCCTGACCTTGTTCTTAACTTTCAAAGCAAAGCCCCATGGCAGAACCCAGACTACTCAAAAGTGTCCAAAAGACAAGTTAGAGAACTCAGCAATACATCCCCTAACCTAAAACGATCCTTCGCTTATATTGCCAATTCAAGGATAGGACTGTGCTTGTGGACACATTTTTCTGGAGCTGTGGGAGAAATATTGGTATCATTCGGCAGTTTTTTCTCAGTAAAACCCACTCTCCATAGTGTTTATAGTCAGCTTGAGAAAAGCATTCCAGCTATGATACTCCTGGACAAATATTTTGGACTTAAGGATGTGAGCAATATTATCATTACAATGCACAACAGATTTCTGCGCTTCCTGGTGTGTGAAGGCCTGTGCCCTACTGGCTCACTCTCATGGGTTCCTCAGCAACCTCATCTTGAACACTACTCACACCCGCTTCTGAGGGCCATGCAGGGTCTTCCTTTTGCTCTCACAAGGCTGTTTCAGTGTATCTGGCCGTGGTGGTGTAATGTACGTTCTCTCAGTCTTTGATTTATCTGGCTCTTGTGGCATGGGATGCTCCATTAACCATCTGTCTTACCCTGGCTTGACCACACCCTCACTACTATGCTATGATCTCACTGGTCTGTGCCATGTTGCCCTTATTTTTATTCAAAATTTTATCAAAATGTAGAAATGCAGCAATGAGCTGGGAGGAATCATGAGATCTTACCTTACCTGAGCTTAACTGTTAATATGCCATTTTATGCCCAGCATAGACAAGCCTCACCTTTGGAGTTCAATTCGAGGCCTACTAGCTATATCTCTTGCACACATTCAGAATGTTCTTTTTTTTTTTTTCTTTTTTTGAGACACGGTCTTGCTCTGTAACCCAGGCTGGAGTGCAGTGGCAGCATCACATCAAAGTCTTGAACTCCTAGGCTCAAGCAATCCTCCTGCCTCAGCCTCCCAAGTAGCTAGGATATCAGGCGCACATCACCATGCTCAGCTAATTTTTTATTTTTTATTTTTGTAGAGATGAAGCTTTCTGTGTTGCTCAGGCAGGTCTTGAACTCCTGGCCTCAAGCAGTCCTCCCTGCCTCGGCCTCCCAAAGTACTGGGATTATAGCCATAAGCCCTACACTCAGGGTATTCTATAGTTTCTATGTTTTCTCTGATCCAGCACTAAAACATAAAAACACAAACAGAAGAGCTCACACCTGGGAAAGGCTAAGAGGTCTTTGGTGAACAAATGTCACATACTCAAAGGTCTTTGGAACTACAAAATGCCCACTTGGGACAAACAACCACTATATTTCTGCACAGATGGCATCTTTAGCCTGGAATGAGGGACTCCCATGGAGAAAGGAATCCCTTCACTATAGCAAGGTCAGAAGGAAGCTTCACCCTCATAATTAAAAGAGAGGCAGAGTCTTTCATTTACTTCTGTGAAGGGATGAGAGGAATATTAGGTAAAGACTTTTATGTAATAGGCTCTAAGCACGGTAACTTTTCAATGTTTCTATTTTTAATTGTAGCATCATTTCTATTTCCACAGAATGGTTGGCTGCAAGATTCACTCTTAAATTAAAAAGGTCCCAAAGAGGGACTAGTAAGGCAACAAAGGGGACTTTCTCAGAAACCAGTATAGACCAACCCTCACCTCTAAATTTGCTGATCACATGGCTTCTGGGGAACAAGTCTGTGGTTGATTAAAATAAAAACAGAAATCTCTTCCCATCATCCCCACCACTATTGTCACCACCAGCAGCAACAGCAATCAGAAACATTGTCAATTCCTTCCATTTAGGGCAGAAAATGAAGGCAAATCATTTTGAGTAGAGTACTTTTCATTCACTTACTAATATGAATCCTGGCCAGTGACCAAACCTCTTCAAAGGCCCAGGTAATGCTCCTTTAAGTGAACAATTTTGTGTTAGAACTTATCAGGAAGAAGGATGTTCAGTAGCTCATTTTAGAAAACTTCTATCCCAGCACTTTGGGAGGCCGAGGCGGGCGGATCACGAGGTCAGGAGATCGAGACCATCCCGGCTAAAATGGTGAAACCCCGTCTCTACTAAAAATACAAAAAATTAGCCGGGCGTAGTGGCGGGCGCCTGTAGTCCCAGCTACTCGGGAGGCTGAGGCAGGAGAATGGCGTGAACCCGGGAGGCGGAGCTTGCAGTGAGCCGAGATCCCGCCACTGCACTCCAGCCTGGGCGACAGAGCGAGACTCCGTCTCAAAAAAAAAAAAAAAAAAAAAAAAGAAAACTTCTGTATTTATCACATCTACTTTGTCAATGCTATAAATGACCTCAAAGTGCTAAAACTTTGTACTTCTAAATACAGCCATTGACTTCCCCAGGGCAAAGGCAGAATGTATATATACATTCCACAAAGCAGTGTGGCTCCTAATGTGGGTGGACTTAATTTAGCTAATCAATGTTACCTTAGAATCCAACAATAATTGGAAGGGGTAGAGTTTTTAATCATTTGTAATATCCTGTACATGCCTCTTTCACTATACTTCTATGCTGTTGATTGGGCCTGACACCCCCATTACATCACAATATTTTTGAAGGCAGGAGCTGTGTGTTACTTGTCATTGTATTACTAAAACTAGCAGAGTGGCACACTGGTATCCAGAAAGTGTTTATCAAATAAATAAGTCAACTAATAAAAATGACTGTTCCTTCATTGCCTTTGTTCTGGTTTTAAATGTGTAATTTAGTGGTACTTTCTGGAAGAACAGATTCTCTAGTAATGATTGTACTCTAATATCCATTTCCTAAGATATATATGTACACTAGATTTTCACCTAATGTAAATCTTCAGGATTCTGGGATAAAACAAACAAAAAAATAAAGTAAAAATCCATTGTATGGAGTTTTATTTGCTTCTTTTAGTTTGCCTTTGGCTTGACATGGAAATACATGACTATTTGGCTTGACATGGAAATGCATGACTATTTTGACATGTCTACATGTGTCTCTGCTCATAACTAACTTTTTAATTTTATTAAGTCAGTTATCTGTTAACCAAAACAAAATGTAAAGGAGTAGAGAGGGGATGAAAAAACAATATCAACCACTATTATTTTATCTAGAATACTGTTACATGTTAAATGCAATGATAGACAATTAACATAATCTCCCCTGGGATATGTTCTATGACCCTATATATATTATATTATATATATTTATATAACATTATCTTTTATATACTATATTATATATTTTACATATTATATTATATATTATGTATCATATTATATATTTTTATATATATTATATTTTATATATATATATATATCCTAAGAGGCCCTGAACAATGCATTTCCATTTAATATCTCATGAAACGTTTTAAGTCCTTCCCTTCCGGCTGAAAATATTTTCTCGGACATTAATTGAGGAGTCACAATAGGTGTTTTTTTTGTTTGTTTTTTAAGAATAAAAACCTTCAGTCTTATAAACTTAATTGTGAGAAAACATGGAACTAATTAGATGTGCCAAAAGAGGAAAATATTAGCACCACATATCCACAAGATTGTGTTCAAATGTAAACAAAGAATAAAGTCATATAAAATATTATCAATATAGTGAATAATATGTCATAAAGCAAGCTATAAAATATTTATATTTTAAGTTCTCTAGGGATGAACATATTCTACAACAGCAAAAAACATCACTTTACTCTTACACATTTTCAGGAATATATTAATACTGTAGGAGACTGAATAGCATAGGCTAGGTCTGTTTCCCAAACTTTGCTAACACATTGGAATAACCTGGGAAATCTTTGAAAAATACTGATGCCAATGTCTACCACTAGAGATTCTTATTTAATTGATATAAAGGGAAACTTGGGCATTAGAAATTGTAAAAACTCCCCAAGTGATTGTTTTTGTTTGTTTTCTTGTTTTTTAGAGTAGAAGTTTTTATTATTATTATTAATTTCTTATTTCCATTGGTTTTGGGGGAACAGGTGGCATTTCGTTACATGAATAAGTTCTTTAATGGTGATTTGTGAGATTTTGGTGCACCCATAACCTGAGCAGTATATACTGAACCCAATTTCTAGTCTTTTATCCCTCACCCACTTCCTACCCTTTCCCCCTAAGTCTCCAAAGTCCAACACAATAGGCAGTTTCTACGGTGTCACACCTGACAAACCACTCTGGATTCCGTCTTCCCAGTTTTCAGAGCTCTATCCCTCATACAGTCCTCTAAGAGTCTCCAGTCTCCTCCCCTTCATCTCTACCTGCTCAGAGCCACCATTCACTGAAGGAATCTAGACCCTTAATCCTATCTTCCTCTCCTTGTCTATTCCAACTTATCCCTCTTTCCCCCAACCAATAATTCCTTGGAAATTCTTCTAAAATGGTGGAAGAAAAACAAAGTGATTACTTAATTAGTGTAATTTACACAATGTTGTGAATGTTGATGTGGATCATCCTTGCAGGCTACTCATACTGGAATTGATGGACTGTGCACTCCAGGATATTTTCCTGCATTGGTCTCAGTGGTCTCCGAGATGCTACTATATGCGCCACCTCATTACCTCATTTTCTCTCCTTATTCACCTAAAACAGACTCTTCAACAATGAAAGCCAGCAACCTGACATCTCACTTTAATAAACATTACCTACACTGGTTATTTAAAGCATCAGTAAGCAAAAAAAATTATATGAAAAATAACCTCTCAGGCATGCATAAAAAGATGACATGAAATAAAACTTGAAAATTTTATAAGAGTGAGCTTAAATTAATTATATAAGAGAATAGGCTGGGCACGGTGGCTCAGGCCTGTAATCCCAGCACTTTGGGAGGCCGAGGCGGGTGGATCACTTGAGGTCAGGAGTTTGAGACCAGCCTGGCCAACATGGTGAAACCCCATCTCTCCTAAAAATACAAAAATTAGCCGGGTGTAGTGGTGAGTGGCTGTAATCCCAGCTCCTCAGGAGGCTGAGGCAGGAGAATCGCTTGAACCTGGAGGCATAGGTTGCAGTGAGTGGAGATAGCACCACTGCACTCTAGCCTGGGCAACAGAGCAAGACTTCATCTCAAAAAAAAAAAAAGAGAATAAACTTTAAGTATGACTATATTACTATCTTCTCTCCATTAGCATCTTACGCAATCTTTACAGAGGCTTGCAATGTATATATTGCTTGCTTTTTAAAATAAAGAGAATAAGGACATCAGAAGATTAAACTTAGTAAGCTCTAACTAACACATTTTCATAAAAATGACTCCTATTATTTCTTAAAATAAGTGAATGCTTTTTAATTTTGTGGATTAAAGCTATGGACAAATATCAGTTCCTTCTTTTTTTCTGCTTTCTTTGTAAGAGTATTATTTTTAGCATTTTTCTATCCAAAACACATTAAGACAAAATCGTGAAATCAAAAGAATATTTTTAATGAGAACAAAACCTCTCCCATCTCTGAAATCAAAGGAAACAACCTAGGTCAATGAGCCACACAGTTTTCCAAGAGCAAAGGGAAGCCCTCTTCATGTAAATCTTACGGTTCAGAGGATCCATTTGGCAGTAAGAATAGAGTAGAAACACTGACATTGGAAGAATAGAAAGTACCAGCACAAGCAGGGCCAAAAACCAAGCCAGTGCTGTCAGTGGGTGGCATCAGGACCCACGGGTTATATCCATACATGCTGAAATCAACAATGCTGATGGAAACTATAGAAAAGGTAAATATATTCTAAAGTCAGCATGGCACCACTGGCAAGCAAACAAAACCGTACTTGAATGAAATTCAACTGTGGCTGAATTTTCTTATAAACCGCTGGCCACAGGTCTGCCATTGACCCTTGTGTTTAGGTTTGGCACTGAGCCTCCCAAACAACAAAGCAGGTGAAATTCTACAAATACACACTTCTAATAAATCATTCTGTCAGTTAGACAGTAACATTTACATATCATCCTTCCAATTCCTAATTGGCTAATCAGTGACAAGACCAAATTACATAGTACTGAAGGCAATAAAAAACATAAGCATGTAAATGATATCACAATGGTCCATTGTTCTGCCAAGCTTACCCCACTTAAACACACTATTTCTATTTGGATAAAGAAAGCTTTCATAATGAAACCACTTTTATGAAGCCCCTAATCAAGCAAAACTAACCAACACAATATTTTGTTTAGGAGTATATACTACTAAAAAAGGAGGAGGATATAAACACAAAATTCAGGATGGCAGCTACTTCAGGGCAGGAGGCAAAATTACAGTCTGGGAAAATAACATGATATGGAAAACAGCAGTAGAGGTAAAATTATCTTTATAATTAGCTTTAAAAACTTATGCACATATCATGCATACTATTTTATGTTGATTATTTATTCCACGGTTAACTTTTTAATAATCCCTGTCTTGCTTAGAATATGGTGTGCTCTAGGGAACAGAGCATAGCAAGTTTGGCTAATGCAGACAGAGTATCTACATTGTTAGTTAGAAACTCATTTGAAAGCTCTTTGATCTTTACAATATTTCTGGCTGAAAAGTTTATGAAGCTTTCTGCAGTAGTAGCAGCAAATAAAAAGAGCTGCTGATATTTACTACTTTTTAGTCAAAGAGAAATGTGGCCATTTTTGGTGGAATCGAAAAATATTATATGGTTATTATCCTAAATGGTAAGTGAAAACTGATGGTCTTTTTAAATCAAAAACTCTTCACTGAAATGTTTCCAAGATCTGAAGTTAAAGTTAAAATTATTATTTTTTGAGTTATGCACTTTAGTCAATATGAAGATGGTTCTCTGATCTTTGGCAATTTCTCAAACAAAAGAATATTAGCTGTTCATTTTCATCATGTAATTAGTATAGCAGCTACCCAGATAGACTGAAACTTTCAAGAGCTAAATACAGCTACCAAACGGTTTACATTTTTTAGTCCAATTCAAATAAATGAGATACCCATGGGAAAAAAATGCACAGAAGATGCTAACAAAGGTCCAATTAATCCATAAGAACAACATACCCCGGAGTTGTACAACACAAAAGTCTTGGATGATGGGGTGCCATTTATTTAGATAGAGAATAAGGGAGTAGAAGCAGGTTTGGGAGGTAAAATCAAGAAAAGTTTTTTAACATAAGTTTGAAAAGCAGGTGGTTAGATACAAGAATATAGAGCTCAAGAGAGACTGGGGCTCAAAATATAAATTTGGGGGACCAACATCAGATAGAATGTATTTAAAGCCACCATAATGCTAGTTGAGTTCCCCAAGGTAGTGAATGTAGACTATAAGGGGAAGATGGTCTAGAACTGATTTCTCAGGAATTCAACATTGAGAGGTTAAGAAGAGGAAGAGGAACCAGTAAGGGAGGCTAAGAAGAAACAGAAAATAGCCAGAATGGTCAGAAGAAAGGTAAGAGTGTCACTTCCCAGAATCCAAGTTTTAAGAAAATCCTTCAAGAAAAAGAAGGTTATTTACTAGGCTAGTCATTCCTGTGAGTTATGTAAGTAAAAAATCAGAATTAGCCACTGTATGTGTTGACGCAGTGGTTACTGATGACCTTGATTAGACTTCCTTCACTGGGGCAGAGTGTGTTTCAGAGAGAATGGAGGAAGAGGAAGTGAAAACCAGAAGTGTAGACTTCTTCCAAGGAGTTTTGCTGAAAATAGAACCAGAAAAATAGAGTGACACTAGGAGATTTAAGACAAAGACAAATTTTATTTTGTCTTGTTTCGTGTAAGATGAGAGATGATAGCACACTATGTTTGTGGACTGATGGAAATGAAGCAATTGAAATGGAAAACTGTAACACAGGAGGGAGGAGAGATACTCTGAGTAATAAAATGCTCGAGTAGGTATGAGGTTATAGATTCCAAGGTATACATGGAAGAGTTGTCCTTAGAAGCACAGACACTTCTTCTACTGCAATAGGAGAGAAAGTATAGTAGAGTTTCAAGTGGAGGTGGTTTGAGAAATTTGATGATGGGAGAATGTAGAAGCTTCTTCCGATTGCTTTTGTTGTCTTATACTGAAACAAGCAGCAAGGTCACCATGCCCTTTGGCTAATATGAAGATTGCTCTCTGAGTGAAAGAGACAGCTGAGTGAGAGGATTAGAGAGGGATGCCCAAGATTTGAGGATAGAGGAAAACAGGTGAAAGAGGCACTGTGAGAATCGAAGATGAAACTGCCTAGGTAAGTGTAGTAGCTGGTTGGTCAGCACAGTACGGAGCGCTCATTGGATATTTGTGGTTATAAACATCAAGCAAGATCACACGGGAGGCTTCTGTGATTTTCTTCAATCATTCTTAGCTGCTAGTGTACAGGCATGAGTAGACAAGTAGTTGAGTTTAATCCGGATTATAGATTTTTCAAATGAGTAAGATTGAAGGTAAACAGGATATGATGAGGGTATGCTGGGGGTGTGCTTATAAGGTTGGGCCATGCACTCTAAGCCACTAAGAAAAATAATGAGGAAATGAGGGGGTATAGGATTGGGAAAGGTGATAAGGTCTAAATTTTTTGCTACAGCAGAATGTCTGAGAAATTCTCCCACTACAAAGTAACAGAGCAAGCCCCACTTCATCAAAAAGCAAGGGAGATTCTATCTGATAGGCATTCTCTTAGGAAAAAAAAAAACAAAAAACTTCACTTTTCCTTTACAATTTAAGTCTGCTGTTACAGGGCTATTCCCTTTCTATTTGTGCCTAAGGTCACTAATGGCAATTTTTTAAATATCAAATTAGGTCATATAATAATGGTTTTCTGTGGTAACCAGATATTGGTTCACATATGTTGATTACAGTCAAGCTATGAGTTTAATTTGTGCTAATATATAGAAAAATTAAATGTATAAGATGGAAAAAATCATTTTAAAATTATATGCTAGGTTGACTTTCAATAAAAATGTAAAGTAGGAATAAGGCAATTGCAATTGTATTACAGTATCAATGACACAGTCCTATTAACCTCTGACTTATATTTGATAGAGATCCATAACTGGATTGAAAGATATTCCTTCTTTTAAAATCATTTTTTCAAAGACAGAAGCGTCATTAAGAAACTATCAATTATTAATATATACTTATCTATTGGCCATCCATATCAGCATGACATTCTGATACTGTACCCATAAATGAAATCTCAGGGGAATTCCCACAGTGAGCTATTAAGCATAAGTCTATTTACAGTGACAATAATACAACACTCTTCATCTTCTCTTTTTGATTCTGCTATTTAAAACCGCAATTTAAGAGCAAGAAGAGAAGCCATCTGACTGGGTGAGGTCTTTAAAATAACTTAGTCACTCTCATGCTAGATAGGCCTAAATTAGACTGCAATTTACCTTTGAAACTGACCAATGATAAAGCATATTAAAATTTCAGAAGAGATACCTTAGCCAGCTTATCAATTTATATTCATTCATGTAAACAGCAATGAAGGCAGGAAAAGCCCATATTCAGATCAGTACTTTCAGGTGCTAATTAACAAATAATTCTTAAGTACTCATTAAAGTAGCATTTCTGTAGGAAATATCTGGCCAGATTATTTCTCTGTAACTTTAACCAGGAAAACAGCATTAAAAAGTATCTAGGGCCGGGCGTGGTGGCTCACGCCTGTAATCCCAGCACTTTGGCAGGCCAAAGCAGGCAAATTCCAAGGTCAGGAGATCGAGACCACCCTGGCTAATATGGTGAAACCCTGTCTCTACTAAAAATACAAAAAATTACCCGGGCATGGTGGCACACGCCTGTAGTCCCAGCTACTCGGGAGGCTGAGGCAGGAGAATAGCTTGAACACAGGAGGCAGAGGTTGCAGTGAGCCGAGATCGTGCCACTGCACTCCAGCCTGGTGACAGAGTGAGACTCCATCTCAAAAAAAAAAAAAAAAAAAAAAAAGATAAAGTAGCTGTAATTAAAACCACACTAACTCAGCTCAATTTTTGACCAATAGTCTGCAAATTAGTGACATTTTAGTTTTATATCATTTCTACTTCATTGTTGAATTTTTTATTTTAATTCCTTTCTTGGCTTGTTCAATTAAAATGCAGTAATAAAGGGATGAAAAAACAAGATGAGGTATATGCATAGTATGTTCTGAAAACTTACATAACTGATAATATATTTTAATTATCTTAGGAAGATAACTTGGTCAGGTATAAAATTTTTAGAAGACAATTTTTGCCTCAAAATTCTTTAGGTGTTGCTCTGTTACTCTCTTTGACTCAGAGTCTAAATAATACATAATAAATTTAGATGATTCAAAAAACTGTAATTTTTGCTCCTTACTAGGTAATTTTCTGGAGTGCTCTTTGTGTATGTTTTATTTGGTTTTTCTTGCATGGCTACTTATATGATAGCTGATCATTATTTTAAACCTCAAACTTTGCCAGGATGAGTCCAGCTAAATGTCATTTCTTATGTGTTTTGCCTGAAAGACAATTAACCTTTCAATTCATACAGTAGTCTTTTAATTTTTTTTGCTTCCTGCACTAGTAATTTTCTTCAATTTTGTTTTATTATTTTTTTCTAATTACTATAGTTTATTATTCAGGAATAATCAATAATTGTTACTGAAGTTCCATTCTCTTTACCTCACGGTTTCTCTTTCATTATTTTCTTTTTCCTTTTCTTCTAAATTCTGAAAACATTTCTTTAGCTTATTCTCCATCACACTGATCTGGTTTCCCACAGTATCAATTTTACCTTTTACTGCCCCCATTGTGGATGTTAATTTTGCTATTGCATTTCCTTTTTTGTTTTTGCCATTGCATTTTTAGAGTCTTGCAACTAACCTCATTTCATCCACTCCCCTTTTCAACTCATCCTGTTGCCTTTTCATTTCTCAATTCTCAACTCATGGCATTGTGCTCTGTTTCACTGAGACTACACCTTTTTCAATATAGTGAGGATTCTGAACAGTTTTCTAAACTTTTTTGTTTCCTATTGTAAATAATTTTCACTGGTGTTCTTTCGAGTTTTCAGGATGATATATATTTCCTTTGTTCTACAATAATTTTCAATGGTTGCATAAAGTTGTTTTTTTTTTCTATTTGATCAACCTGGAGCAAGGAAATATTTGTCTAATGCTAGTATTAATATTTTTCAATAGATAGGATACGGAGACTTATCTAGGGGTCACTTTTTTACTTGGGTGCTATTCTAGTCCCAGATCTATGGTTGAAAATGTTTGTATGTACAATTCTAGCTCAATTTAGTAAAATAGTGCTTTGTAGGCCTCCATGCAACAAACCTCAGCTCTATTGAGAAGGTATTTTCCCCTACTCACCGGCTGGTTCTCTCACTCCGAAGCAATGGAGTACATAAAATAGAAACTACAGGCCTCAGTGTACACTGCTGCTAACTCTTACCATTAGCAACAACCTACAACACTTTATTTGTGTATATTACATCTCCCAGGATGTAACGTACTTCTGTTAGTGCTTTTACTACTTCTTCCTACCCATTTTCTAGGTTTCTGCCACCAATTTGGCAACACATTGGCTGCCTCCCAGATCTACCACCCTGAAATGAAAAGAAGCCTTTCGAGATGCTTATTATCTCTGAGTCAAACGGAAAAGAATCTTATGGACGCCACCTCAGATTTTAGACCAGCAGATATGGGGGGACATCAATCACATAGAGGCACACCTCATTTTACCGCACTCAACTCACAGATGGGTAGTTTTGTTTTGTTTTTAACAAATTAAAGGTTTTGTGGCAACCCTGCATCAAGCAAGGGTATCAGTGCCATTTTTCCAACAGCATATGCTTACTTCCTGTCTCTCTGTCCCATTTTGGTAATCCTTGCAATATTTCAAATTTTTCATTATTATTATATCTGTTATGGTGATCTATGATCAGCAATCCTTGATCTTACTATTATAATTGTTTTGGGGCACCTCAAACCTCACCCATAGAAGATGGCAAGTGCAATCCATACATGTTGTGTGTGTTTTGACTGCTCCACCAACCGGCTATTCCCCCATTTTTCTCCTTCTCTTCAGGCCTCCCTATTTCCCAAGATTAAATAATATTGAAATTGGGCCTATTAATATCCCTACAATGGCCTCTAAGTGATCAAGGGAAAAGAAGAGTTGCACATCTCTCACTTTAAAGCAAAAGCTAGAAATGATTAAGCCTGGTGAGGAAACCAGACATGTCAGAAACCTAGACAGGCCAAAAACTAGGCCTCTTGTGCTAAACAGTTACCCAAGTTGTGAATGCAAAGGAAAAGTTATTGAAAGAAATTAAAAGTACTACTCCAGTGAACACTGAAATGATAAAAAAGAAAACAGCCTTATTGCTGACACGGAGAAAGTTTGAGTGATCTGGAGAGAAGATCAAACCAGACACAACATTCCCTTAAGCCAAAACCTAATCCAGAGCAAGGTCCTAACTCTCTTCAATTCTATGAGGGCTGAGAGGGATGAGGAAGCTGAAGAAGAAAAGTTGGAAGCTAGCAGAGGTCGATTCATGAGGTTTAAGGAAAAAAGCTGTCTTCATAACATAAACTGCAAGGTGAAGCAGCAAGTGCTGAAGTAGAAGTTGCAGCAAGTTATACAGAAGATCCAACTAAGATCATTGCTGAAGATGACTGCAATAAACAACAGATTTTCAATGTAGACAAAACAACCTTCTATTAGAAGAAGATGCCATCTAGGACTCTCACAGCTAGAAATGAGAAGTCAATGCCTGGCTTCAAAGTGATTTTTTTGTGAGGGGAGGGATGATTGTTTTGTTTTTTTCAGAGACAAGAGTCTCACTGTGTCACCCAGGCTAGAGTGCAGTGGTGCAATCACAGCTCACTGCAGCCTTGAATTCCTGGGCTCAAGCAATGCTCCCACCTCAGCCTCCTGAGTACCTGGGACTATAGCCATATGACACCACACATAGCTAATTTTTAAATTTTAAGTAGAGATAGACTCATGCTATGTTGCCCAGGCTAGTCTCAATCTCCTGGCCTCAAGCAATCCTCCCGCCTCAGACTCTCAAAACGCTGGGATTACAGCCACAAGCCACTGCACCTGACCTGACCTCAAAGCTTTGATGGACAGGCTTACTCTCTTGTTAGGGGCTAATGAGACTGGTGACTTGAAGTTGAGGCCAATGCTCATTTACCATTTCGAAAATCTAAGGGTTCTGTTTACAGCATGGTTTACTGAATATTTTAAGCCCACTACTGAGATCTACTGCTCAGAAAACAAAAGGACTTCTTTCAAAATATAACTGCTCATTGACAATGCACCTAGTCACCCAAGAGCTTTGATGCAGATGTAAAGGAAAATTAATGTTTTCATGCCTTCTGACACAACACCCATTCTGCAGCCCATGGATCAAGAGGGAATTTTGACTTTCAAGTCTTATTATTTAAGAAATATAGGTTGGGGATGGTAGCTGATCCCTGTAACACCAACACTTTGAGAGGCTGAGGCAGGAGGACTGCCTGAGCCCAGGAGTTTGAGATCAGTCTGGGCAACAAAGTGAGACCCTGTCTCTACAAAAAAAAAAAAAAAAAAAATCAAAAAATTAGCCCAGCATGGTGATGCACACCTGTAGTCCCAGCTACATGAGAGGCTGAGGCAGGAGGATCTCTTGAGCCCAGGAGGTCAAGGCTGCAGTGAGCCATGTTCATGCCACTGCATTCCAGCATGGGTGAGAGAGATATATCCTATCTCAAAAAATAAATAAATAAATGTATTTCATAAGGCTGTAGCTGCCACAGGCAGTGATTCCTCTGATGGATCTGGGCAAAATAAATGGAAAACTTTCTGGAAAGGATTCACCATTTTTTTTTAGGTAAAATATTATTTTATTAATATTACTAATACACCTAAAAAGCACCAGACGTTGCTTACAGATGGTGTTTCCTCTCACCTAATTTTATGACTATCTTGGAATTTACTATTTTATAGAGGAAAAAAGTAACAAAATTAAACAAAGAGAAGCAATAGTACATTTCATCTTATGCATGTGTATAGCTTTCCTTCCTGGAATGAATTAGGGATTAATTAATTGATAATATTTGGAACCTTTAACTTTAGTACTCTCATACTAAAATATGTTTCTCTCCAGTTTATATTGTTTTGTTAATTACAGTTTCGCAGAGCCATTTCTATAGCTATGGCTATTAAGATGCCAACCTACTGTCTTTCATTGATGTGCATCTATGAGACTAACAATATTTTGTTTTACCATCGTAACTGTGCCTTGGAATAGACTAGTGCTTTCAAAGATAGAGACACAGCTTTTTTTCTCTTCGTTGTCAGCAAGGATTGTGATTTTTAGCATTTATTAATACAGTCATTATTCATTTATTTTAAAACATATATTAAAAGATTTCTCTGGTGTTAAGCTCATTATAATCTGCAGTTGCACTGTCAGATCGAAACTTCTTTGAAAGCAGAGCAGAGACCCTGGTTAATGTGAGCCATTCTATACATAGCTAAACACCAGAGGATTCACCATTCTACAAGCTATTAAGAATATTTGTAATTTATGGGAGGAAGTCAAAATGTCAACATTAACAGGAGTTTGGAAGAAGTCAATTCCAACCCTCATGGATGATTTTGAGGAGTTCAAGACATCAGAGGAGAAAGTTAACTGCAGATGTGGTAGAAATTACAAGAGAAATGGAATTAAAAGTGGAGTCTGAAGATATGATTGAATTGCTGCAACGTCATGACACACTTGAACAGATCAGGTATTGCTTCTTATAGACGAGCAAAGAAAATGCTTTCTTGAAATGGAATCTACACCTGTTGAAGATACTGTGAACACTGTTGAAATGACAACAAAGGATTTAGAACATTACATACACTTAGTTGATAAAGCAGCAGCAGGATCTGAGAGGATTGACAACAATTGTGAAAGAAGTTCTATTGTGGGTAAAATGCTACCAAGCATTGCACGGTACAGAACAATCTTTCATGAAAGGACAAGTCAATCAATGCAGCAAACTTCACAGGTGTCCTATTTTAGGAAACTGCCAGTCACCCCAACCTTCAGCAACCACCACCCAGATCAATCAGCAGCCATCAACATCAAGGCAAGAGCCTCCACTAGTAAAAGACAATTACTCAATGAGGGCTCAGATGATCATTAAGATATTTTAGCAATAAAGTATTTTTAAATTAAGGCATGTACATTTTTTAGACATAATGGCATTGCACACTTGGTAGATTACAGTAAAGTGTAAACATAACTTTTATATGTACTGTGAAACCAAAAAATTCATGTGCGTCACTTTATTGCAATATTCACTTTACTGCTGTGGTCTGAACCCAAACCCACAATCTCACCAAGGTATGCCTATATTGGAAAACAATTTCACCAGATCTGGCTTCTGTGGGACTATGTTCTCACATCCTGAAAACAGATCGACTATAAATTCTAAGTTTTTGATATTATAATGAATTTTCATACTTATCTTTTTATATATACAGTATATAAACTTTTAAAAATATAACTATATCTATGGATGGATGGATGGATAGATAGATAGAAAGACAGATAGATAGATAGATGATAGAGATATCAAACCCAATTTTCAGATGAAGAAATTAAAGCACTGAGAAGATGAGCAGATAAGTATTTGTCAAAGAAACAGCTAGAGGCAGAACTAGGCTGCAAACTCAAAAGATTTTTCTCCAGAACCTGTGCCCTTAATTACTAAACTCTCTATCCTTTCTAAACACTAAGTTAAGCAATTAGTTTCATCCTAAAATGAGGAGAGGATGAACCAACTCAACTCTTCATTCTTGTCCCTGGTCACACATGTGTAACAATTAGAATAATAGACATTTATTAAGTACAATACTTAATATGTGCCAGACATTGGCTTATGCAATTTCCATACTACTGTAGTTTGAAAGTTTGATCCTTCCAAAACTCATGTTGAAATTTAATTCCCAGTGCTGGAGGTGGGGCCTAATGGGAATTGATTGAGTTATGGGGGTGGATCACTCAGGAATAGGTAAATCCCCTCTCTGGGGGGCAGTAAATGGGTTATATCTCTATTAGTTCCCACAAGAGCTGGTTGCTAAAAAGAGTGTGGCACCTCTCCTCTCTCTCTTGCTTCCTCCCTTGCCACGTGATCTCTTCATACTCAGGCTCCCCGTTACATTTCACCATGAGTTTATGTAGCCTGAGACTTTCACCAGATGCCCAGTCTTCCAGCCAGCAGAATCATGAGCCAAATAAATCTTTTTCCTCTATAAATTACCCCATCTCAGGTATTCCTTTATAGCAATACAAATGGACTAAGAAAAATACATTATCTCATTTAATCCTCACAACAATCCTATATGGTAGGTACTATTATATTCCTGTGTAACGTATGAAACAAACAAAATAGAAGCTTTATGACTTACAGAAGGTAATAAGCTCACCCCAAGTCAGAGAGCTCATAGATGGAAAAGAGGGGATTCAAACTAAGTGTAACTCCCAAGCCCAAGTGCTTATCCCTTATATTATAAAGTCTAATATATTCCTCATATCATAGGTATTAATAGATGTATAATATGCTATATATAATTCTCTAATAAATTGGTAGTATATTTTGCTAAGCAGTCTTTTTTTTTTTCTTTTTTTGAGACATAGTCTCACTCTGTTGCCCAGGCTGGAGTGCAATGGCATGATCTTGGCTCACTGCACCTCTGCCACCCAGGTTCAAGCGATTCTCCTGCCTCTGCCTCTTGAGTAGCTGGGATTACAGGCACCCACCACCACCTGTGGCTAATTTTGTATTTTTAGTAGAGATGGGGTTTCACCATGTTGGCCAGGCTAGTTTCGAACTCCTGACCTCCAGTGATCCACCTGTCTCAGCCTCCCAAAGTGCTGGGATTACAGGCATGAGGCACCATGCCTGGCACTGCTAAGAAGTCTTATGTTACGAATTATCATTTTATATTCTACTATAAATACCTGGTGAAATAGAAATGTTCTTCCATCATTTACAATTAGTTGCAAATTAGCCAGCAACATTTGTGGAACACATTTGTGGAAGGAGATTTCAATCCCATGTTTCCTGTATTCACTTTGGTAGATCTGTGTTCATTGCATTGAAAGGCATGCTGACCCTCTGACTTCTGATAGGTTTAATCAATGAGTACTGTCCAATGAGTATTGGACAAAGAAAGAACAGGAAACATGAGGTCTTTGTTCTGTTCACACACCCTCTGAAGGCAGCCTGCACACTGGATGAGCACCAAAGGTCAAAGCTCCAGGCCTAGAAGTGATACTCTCCAGTCCCCAGTTACTAACCTACACGTTTCGTGCTATATTTTGTGATCTCTACATCCTGCCCTCAATTGTAAATGGTTCTTTCACTAAACTCATTCAAATTACCCACTTTGAGTGCACCAGTTCTCTTCTCTGCCAGGGCTTGGGCTGATACAGAAGTAATCTTCTCTGGCATAGTATATGTCATAATAGTTTAGAAGAGTATATTTTCCTATTCTATAGGGATTTTTAATGTTCATATGTCTATTTTAAAACAGCAAAGGTATACATATGTAATTACAAAAAAAAAAAGATGTGCAGTGTTATAGAAAATACCCTTTCCTCAGACTCCTAAAGTTGAGAAGCCAACTCTTCAAATTGGACCTAATAAATCACTCATGACTAAAGCACAATTTTAATGCAAGATGAATGGAATGCATAAGGCAGACCCCATGATTACTGCACACAGAAAGCCATTCCTGCTCTCTTCAGCCATGCCGATTCTATCCTAATTAGGATGCTCTATGAAACTGAAGATTTATGTCTGGCTCAAGGTTTTATGAGCCCAAACCAAATGTGCCTGATATCACTGAATTTTATAAACATCAAGCCAAAGACAGCTAGTCACTTATATTTATGAGATATGTGGCGAAAGATCTGCAGTTAATCTACTAAACAGGAAATTGTCAGGTTTACACACCCTGAGTGATCATTGCCATTATTTTTCTATCTATTCTATCCCATTCTATAGCGAGAATATAGAGAAATCAGTACTCCAAGTATTGGAGGGTGTCTAAATTGATTTAAAGTTAAGATATTCTCTTAAAGATGTCAGTATAGCAATTCTGCCTTTAAGAATTTATCCTAAGGGCAACCCCTTTTGGGTCCCCTCCCATTGTATGGGAGCTCTGTTTTCACTCTATTAAATCTTGCAACTGCACACTCTTCTGGTCTGTGCTTTTCACAGCTTGAGCTGAGCTTTCGCTCGCTGTCCACCACTGTTGTTTGCCGCCGTCGCAGACCCGCCGCTGACTTCCATCCCTCTGGATCTGGCAAGGTGTCCACTGCACTCCTGATCGAGTGAGGCGTCCATTGCTGCTCTGATCAGACTAAAGTCTCACCAATGTTCGGGCACGGCTAAGCACCTGGGTTCATCCTAATTGAGCTGAACACTAGTCACTGGGTTCCATGGTTCTCTTCCATGACCCACAGCTTCTAATAGAGCTACAACAGTCACCACATGGCCCAAGGTTCCATTCCTTGGAATGTGTGAGGCCAAGAACCCCAGGTGAGAGAACAAAAGGCTTGCCACCACCTTGGGAGCAGCCCGCCACCATCTTGGGAGCTCTAAGAACAAAGACCCGCCGGTAACATTTGGTAGACCGTACTGGGATTCTCCAAAGAGGTGAGTAATATGAGACCACTTTCACTTGCTATTCTGTCCTATCCTTCCTTAGAATTGAAGGAAAATACTAGGCACCTGTTGGCCAGTTAAAAACAATGAGCATGGCTGCCTGACTTAAGACTCAGGTGTGAGGCTTCCTGGGAAAACGCTTTCTAACAACCCCCAACCCTCTGGGTTGGGAGCGTTGGTCTGCCTGGAACCAGCTTCCGCTTTCACAATTTTTCTGGGGGAAGCCGAGGGCCAACTAGAGGCAGAGAGCTGTCGTCCTGAACTCCCGGCATAAGCCAGCTGAGATCATGGCACAGCCAGAAGTCTCTCTTCAACAGTTGCCCATGCGTGCGCCCCATCTTTCCTTCTGACCTATACCTCCTAGGTCCCGACCACAACTTTCTTGAAAGTATAGCCCCAAAATTCTCCTTACCTTTGAATCTACTTCCTCTGATCCCTGCCTCCTAGGTACTAATGCTTCAGACTTTCACTTCCTCTCCCAAGTATTAGAGCAAGTTGTATCTCCAAAGGGATCTAAGGAAGCTCTACACTGTGTCCTTAGGGCCCTAGGCTATGAACCCAGGGTGTCTTGTCCCTCGTGTCCCTCCCAATTTAGGCATACAGCTCTCAACATGGGCAGTTATGTGACACCTGTTCCCCACCATCCTTGCCAGGGCCTTAGAACTGATGACCCAGTACTTTAACAACTGGAACTGGGTCTACAACAACATAACAGATCAGGATGAAAGTGAATTGAGTAAGTCAAGGCAGAGAGAGAGAGGGGAAAGAGAGGCAGGGGGTGGGGAAAGAGAGGCAGAAAGAGAGAAAAAGAGAGATAGAAGTAGTAAAGAAAAAAAGTGTGCCCTATTCCTTTAAAAGCCAGGGTAAATTTAAAACCTATAATTGATAATTGAAGGTCTTCTCCATGACCCTATAACACTCCAATACTACCTTGTTGTCAGTGTAAACAAGGGTGTAGCCTGAAAACAGTGAAACCACTGACAACCCGTAGCCTTCCTATCAAAAATCCTTATCTCAGCCATGGATGGCCCAAATGCATTCAATCTGTAGCAGCAACTGCTTTGCTAACAGAATAAAATAGAAAAATAACCTTTAGAGGAAACCTCATTGTGAGCACACCTCACCAGTTCAGAACTATTCTAAGTCAAAAAAGCAAAAAGGTAGCTTACTAACTCAAAAATCTTAAAGTATGGGGCTATTCTGTTAGAAAAAGTTGATTTAACATTAATCACTGAAAATTCCCTTAACCCAGCAGATTTCCTAACAGGGGATTTAAATCTTAATTACCATACAAAGGTCCGACCAGACCTAGGAGGAACTCCCTTCAGGACAGGAGGACAGATGGCACCTCCCGGGTGATTGAGAGAAAAACCACAATGGGTATTCAGTAATTGATAGGGAGACTCTTGTGGAAGCAGAGTTAGGAGAATTGCCTAATAATTGGTCTGCTCAAATGTCTGAGCTGTTTGCACTTAGCCAAGCCTCAAAGTACTTACGGAATCAAAAAAACTCTATCTCAATCCTGACTCAAAAGGTTACCTACACCCTCTCTGAAATGAATTTGCATAAGGACTGTTGTTTATGGGAATGCATCTTGATGGAGCAGCTGGGTTGCTATGAAATACTCAGGAACCCAGCCCAGCTCTAGGACTCACCCCTGAGCACAAAGGCAATGTTGGGCACGCTGGAAAAGGACCACTAGAATCCAGCAGCCTGGACCCCTTTCTTTGTGGTCAAGAAAGGTGGGAAAAGGGGTGCAGGACTGCTACATCGGTGAGCGTAACGAATCCAATAAGCAGAGGTCCATGGGTTGTTATACGTCCTGGAAAGGAATAAGCATTAGGACCACAGAGGACACCTATGACTAATGCTCATCAGAAAATGACTAGGGGTGCTGGCATCCCTATGTTCTATTTTCAGATGGGAAACGTTCTCCACAAGGCAAAAACACCCCTAAGATGTATTCTGGAGAATTCAGCCCAGTCAGAGTGCATGTACCTTTTTCCCTCTCAGACTTGAAGCAAATTAAAATAGACCTAGGTAAATTCTCAGATGACCCTGATGGCTATATTGATGTTTTACAAGGGTTAGGACAATACTTTGATCTGACATGGAGAGATGTAATGTTACTGCTAGATCAGACACTAACCCCAAATGAGAGAAGTGCCACCGTAACTGCAGCCCGAGAGTTTGGCGATCTCTGATATCTCAGTTACAGTTAAGTCAATGATAGGATGACAACAGAGAAAAGAACAATTCCCCACTGGCCAGCAAGCACTTCCCAGTGTAGACCCTCATTAGGATGCAGAATCAGAACATGGAGATTGGTGCTGCAGACATTTACTAACTTGTGTGCTAGAAGGACTAAGGGAAACTAGGAGAAAGCCTATAAATTATTCAATGATGTCCACTATAACACAGGGAAAGGAAGAAAATCCTACTGCCTTTCTGGAGAGACTAAGGAAGGCATTGAGGAAGCAAACCTCCCTGTCACCCGACTCTATTGAAGGCCAACTAATCTTAAAGGATAAGTTTATCACTCAGTCAGCTGCAGACATTAGAAAAAAACTTCAAAAGTCCGCCTTAGGCCTGGAGCAAAGCTTAGAAATGCTACTGAACTTGGCAACCTCGGTTTTTTATAATAGAGATCAGGAGGAGCAGGTGGAATGGGACAAACGGGATAAGAAAAAGGCCACCGCTTTAGTCATGGCCCTCAGGCAAGCAGACTTTGGAGGCTCTGGAACAGGGAAAGGCTGGGCAAATCAAATGCCTAATAGGGCTTGCTTCCAGTGCAGTCTACAAGGACACTGTAAAAAAGATTGTCCGAATAGAAATAAGCCACCCCCTCGTCCATGCCCCTTATGTCAAGGGAGTCACTGGAAGGCCCACTGCCCCAGGGGATGAAGGTCCTCTGAGTCAGAAGCCACTAACCACATGAGCCGGTAGCAGGACTGAGGGTGCCCGGGGCAAGCACCAGCCCATACCATCACCGTCACAGAGCCTCGGGTATGCTTGACCATTGAGGGCCAGAAGGTTAACTGTCTCCTGGACACTGGTGCGGCCTTCTCAGTCTTACTCTCCTGTCCCGGACAACTGTCCTCCAGATCTGTCACTATCTGAGGGGTCCTATGACAGCCAGTCACTAGATACTTCTCCCAGCCAATAAGTTGTAACTGGGGAACTTTACTCTTTTCACATGCCTTTCTAATTATGCCTGAAAGCCCCACTCCTTTGTTAGAGAGGACATTCTAGCAAAAGCAGGGGCCATTAGACACCTGAACATAGGAGAAGGAACACACGTTTGTTGTCCCCTACTTGAGGAAGGAATTAATCCTGAAGTCTGGGCAACAGAAGGAAAATATGGACGAGCAAAGAATGCTCATCCCATTCAAGTTAAACTAAAGGATTCTGCCTCCTTTCCCTACCAAAGGCAGTACCCACTTAGACCCGAGGCCCAGCAAGGACTCCAAAAGATTGTTAAGGACCTAAAAGCCCAAGGCCTAGTAAAACCATGCAGTAGCCCCTGCAATACTCCAATTTTAGGAGTACAGAAACCCAATGGACAATGGAGGTTAGTGCAAGATCTCAGGATTATCAATGAGGCCATTGTCCCTCTATACCCAGCTGTACCTAACCCTTATACTCCACTTTCCCAAATACTAGAGGAAGCAGAGTGGTTTACAGTCCTGGACCTTAGGGATGCTTTTTTCTGCATCCCTGTACATCCTGACTCTCAATTCTTATTTGCCTTTGAAGATCCTTTGAACCCAATGTCTCAACTCACCTGGACTGTTTTACCCCAAGGGTTCAGGGATAGCCCCTATCTGTTTGGCCAGGCATTAGCCCAAGACTTGAGCCAGTTCTCATACTTGGACACTCATGTCCTTTGGTACATGGATGATTTACTTCTAGCTGCCCGTTCAGAAACCTTGTGCCATCAAGCCACCCAAGCGCTTTTAAACTTCCTCGCCACTTGTGGCTACAAGGTTTCCAAACCAAAGGCTCAGCTCTGCTTACAGCAGGTTAAACACTTACGGCTAAAATTATCCAAAGGCACCAGGGCCCTCAGTGAGGAACGTATCCAGCCTATATCGGCTTATCCTCATCCCAAAACCCTGAAGCAATTAAGAATGTTCCTTGGCATAACAGGCTTCTGCCAAATATGGATTAACAGGTATGGCAAAATAGCCAGGCCATTATACACACTAATTAAGGAAACTCAGAAAGCCAATACCCATTTAGTAAGATAGACACCTGAAGCAGAAGTGGCTTTTCAGGTCCTAAAGTAGGGCCTAACCCAAGCCCCAGTGTTAAGCTTACCAACGAGGCAAGACTTTTCTTTATATGTCACAGAAAAAACATGAACAGCTCTAAGAGTCCTTACACAGGTCCGAAGGACCAGCTTGCAACCCGTGGCATACCTGAGTAAGGAAACTGGGACCAGCTTGCAACCCGTGGCATACCTGAGTAAGGAAATTGATGTAGTGGCAAAGCGTTGGCCTCACTGTTTACGGGTAGTGGCAGCAATAGCAGTCTTAGTATCTAAAGCAGTTAAAATGATACAAGGAAGAGCTCTTACTGTGTGGACATCTCATGATGTGAACAGCATACTCACTGCTAAAGGGGACTTGTGGCTGTCAGACAACCGTTTGCTTAAATATCGGGCTCTATTACTTGAAGGACCAGTGCTGTGACTGCACACTTGCGCAACTCTTAATCCAGCCACATTTCTTCCAGACAATGAAGAAAAAATAGAACATAACTGGCAACAAGTAATTGCTCAAACCTATGCCGCTCAAGGGGACCTTTTAGAGGTTCCCTTGACTGATCCCGACCTCAACTTGTATACTGATGGAAGCTCCTTTGTAGAAAAAGGACTTCGAAAGGCGGCTTACGCAGTGTTCAGTGATAATGGAATACTTGAAAGTAATCCCCTCACTCCAGGAACTAGCACTCAGCTGGCAGAACTAATAGCCGTCACTCAGGCACTAGAATTAGAAGGAAAAAGGGTAAATATATACAGACTAAGTATGCTTACCTAGTCCTCCATGCCCATGCAGCAATATGGAGAGAAAGGGAATTCCTAACTTCCGAGGGAACACGTATCAAACATCAGGAAACCATTAGGACATTATTATTGGCTGTACAGAAACCTAAAGAGATGGCAGTCTTACACTGCTGGGGTCATCAGAAAGGAAAGGAAAGGAAAGGGAAATATAGGGAATCGCCAAGCAGATATTGAAGCCAAAAGAGCCACAAGGCAGGACTCTCCATTAGAAATGCTTACAGAAGGACCCCTAGTATGGGGTAATCCCCTCTGGGAAACCAAGCTCCAGTACTCAGCAGAAGAAATGGAATGGGGAAACTCACGAGGACATAGTTTCCTCTCCTCAGGATGGCCAGCCACCAAAGAAAAAATACTTTTGCCTGCAGCTAACCAATGGAAATTACTTAAAACCCTTCACCAGACCTTTCACTTAGGCATTGACAGCACCCATCAGATGGCCAAATCATTATTTACTGGACCAGGCCTTTTCAAAACTGTCAAGCAGATAGTCAGGGCCTGTGAAGTGTGCCAAAGAAATAATCCCCTGCCTTATTGCCAAGCTCCTTCAGGAGAACAAAGAACAGGCCATTACCCAGGAGAAGACTAGCAACTAGATTTTACCCACATGCCCAAATCTCAGAGATTTCAGTATCTACTAATCTGGGTACTTTCACTGGTTGGGTGGAGGCCTTCCCTTGTAGGACAGAAAAGGCCCAAGAGGTAATAAAAGTACTAATTCATGAAATAATTCCCAGATTCGGACTTCCCTGAGGTTTACAGAGTGACAATGGCCCCAATTTCAAGGCTGCAGTAACGCAGGGAGTATCCCAGGCGTTAGGTATACAATATCACTTACACTGTGCCTGGAGGCCACGATCCTCAGGAAAAGTTGAGAAAATGAATGAAACACTCAAACGACATCTAAAAAAGCTAACCCAAGAAACCCACCTTGCATGGCCTGCTCTGTTGCCTATAGCCTTACTAAGAATCCGAAACTGTCCCCAAAAAGCAGGACTTAGTCCATATGAGATGCTGTATGGACAGCCCTTCCTAACCAATGACCTTGTGCTTGACTGAGAGACGGCCAACTTAGTTGCAGACATCACCTCCTTAGCCAAATATCAACGAGTTCTTAAAACATTACAGGGAACCTGTCCCTGAGAGGAGGGAAAGGAATTATTCCACCCTGGTGACATGGTATTAGTCAAGTCCCTTCCCCTTTAATTCCCCATCCCTACACACATCCTGGGAAGGACCCTACCCAGTCATTTTATCTACCCTAACCGCAGTTAAGTGGCTGGAGTGGAGTCTTGGATAAGTCACACTCGAGCCAAACCCTGGATACTGCCAAAGGAACCCGAAAATCCAGCAGACAATGCTAGCTATTCCTGTGAACCTCTAGAGGATCTGCGCCTGCTCTTCAGGCGACAACCGTGAGGAAAGTAACTAGAATCGTAGATCCTCTTGGCCCTCCCTTGTCATATTTTTCTTTTTACTGTTCTCTTACCCCCTTTCACTCTCACTGCACCCCCTGTATGCTGCTGTACTACCAGTAGCTCCCCTTACCGAGAGCTTCTATGGAGAATGTGGCTTCCTAGAAATATTGATGCCCTATTGTATCGGAGTTTTTCTAAAGGAAACCCCACTTGCACCGCCCACACTCATATGCCCCTGCACTTCAGGCCGTACATTTCAATCCTTGTATCTTTAACCTCCTTGTTACGTTTGTCTCTTCCAGAATCGAAGCTGTAAAACTACAAATGGTTCTTCAAATGGAGCCCCAGATGCAGTCCATGACTAAGATCTACCGCGGACCCCTGGACTGGCCTGCTAGCCCATGCTCCAATGTTGATGACATTGAAGGCACCCCTCCCAAGGAAATCTCAACTGCACGACCCCTACTATGCCCCAATTCAGCATGAAGCAGTTAAGAGCGGTTGTCAGCCAACCTCCCCAACAGCACTTGGGTTTTCCTGTTGAGAGGTGGGACTGAGAGACAGGACTAGCTGGATTTCCTAGGCTGACTAAGAATTCCTAGGCCTAGCTGGGAAAGGTGACCACACCTACCTTTAAACACAGGGCTTGTAACTCAGCTCACACTCAGCCAATCAGGTATAAAGAGGGCTCACTAAAATACAAATTAGGCTAAAAAGAGGAGGTAAAGAAATAGTCAAATCATATATCGCCAGAGAGCATGGGGCAGGGATAATGATCGGGATATAAACACAGGCATTTGAGCACGGAGTGGCAACCCCCTTTGGGTCCCCTCCCATTGTATAGGAGCTCTGTTTTCACTCTATTAAATCTTGCAACTGCAAAAAAAAAAAAAAAAAAAAAAGGAATCTATCCTAAGAAAATAATCACAGATGTGTGTAAAGATTTATTTATTCATATATTCACTAAGACAATCAATATAAACACTCGAATGAATATGCAGTCTTAAAAATTATGTTATGGGAGAATGTATAATGGCACGGAAAAATGTTTATAAAATATTTTAAGTGTAAAAAAGTAGATATTGAAAACATATGTAGGCTTCTGGTGCCAGCCCAAATGGAGTAAGCTGACTACAGCCTATCAATCCCATTGATTACAACTAAGAACTCTGAACAGAGTACAAAAATCAACTGCCTGAGGACTTTGAAAATTACACAATGACAGGTGCATTGGGAACTAAAGCAAAAATAAATAAGGACCCATAAGGGTACAGTTTGTGGATTTTTACTCTCCTTTCTTCCCCTTATTTGACCTGAGTGCAGACTGCATTCTAGAACTGGGAAGCAAACACTGACAGCAAAAACTCCAGGAGAAGCCCCTTCTTTCCAGTCTGAGGATAGAGGAAAAGTCCTCTATCATAATCTCTGCTAGAGATTATGATTCCCTCTTTTTTTTTCCTTTAGCATGAGTACCTAAAACCCCAAGAAAAATCCAACTCAATGACCAGAGGAACCAAGCAAGAGGAAGTCCTGCTGTGTAAATAGTGGAGAGAAAATACGTTTTGTTTTGTTTTGTTTTTCCTCTCTCTCTCTCTCTTTTCTCCTGCTGCCTCACTGTGAAGGCGTCACCAATTGTGTGAACCGCATGACATCATAAGAGGCTAAAATTTTGAGAAGACTCTTTCTGGCTGCAGAAACCATAAAAAGGGACATCTTGAGAGCTGGAGAGTATAAAAGAAATCACAAAAAGAAGAGCTGGAAAAAGGAAACTTGGTTGGTTGCCTGCTTAAACAGATAAACAAAATCAACATTTCTCCACAGAATTTTAACAGGACCTTGAGCCTCACCACATAATGTTTGATATGGTTTGGCTGTGTCCCCACCCAAATCTCATCTTGAATTGTAGCTCTCATAATTCCCACATGTTGTGGGAGGGACCCAGTGGGAGATAATTGAATCATGGGGGTGGTTTCCTCCATACTGTTCTCAAGGTAGTGAATAAGTGTCATGAGGTCTGATGGTTTTATAAGGGGTTTTCCCTTTTGCTTGGCTCTCATTCTGTCTTTCCTGCCACCATGTAAGACATGCCTTTTGCCTTCCACCACGATTGTGAGGCCTCCCCAGCCATGTAGAACTGTGAGTCCATTAAACCTCTTTTTCTTTATAAATTACCGAGTCTCGAATATGTCTTTATCAGCAGTGTGAAAACAGACTAATACAATATTCAAAATGTTCATGGTATAATCCAAAACAATTTGACATACAAAGAGCCAGGAAAAATGGATCAATATTAAGGGAAACCCACAATCAACAGATGTCAACCCCAAAAGGACACCAATGGTGGAATTATCAGGCAAGGACTTTAGGGCAGCTCTTCAATAATCCTCCATGAGGTAAAGATGAACACTGTTAAAATGAATGAAAGATAGAAATTAATTGCTGAGAAACAGTAACCATAAAATGGAACCCGGTGGACATTTTAGAACTGAAATACACAATATTGGAAATTTAAAAATCCACTAGATGGATGCAATAGCAATATGTAGATGACAGTGGAAAGAGTCAGTGAATTTGAAGATTGATCAATAGAAATTAAACAATCTAAAAAACAGAGAAAAAGAGAGACAGAAAAAAATGAACAAGTCCTCAGCAACCTATGGAATGATAATAAAAAGATCTGACATGCATATCAATGGAGTCCTGGAAGAGCAGGATCTAAAAAGAGTACTCTTCAGTAGTATTAAAGGAGTAGGATCCTCATCAGTAGATAGAGACATATAAGAATAGTCATACTACATCTACCAAGTGTTAATATTAAGTGGCGGCTTCAAAGCCAAAGTGATGGTTGGATGTAAAGTGGAATTTTAATTGGCAGAAGAAGAAATGAAAGAAAGAGGTAATCATAGAAAAAATATTTGAAGAAATAATGGCTGAAAACTTCTCAAACTGAGTGAAAGACATAATTGGAGATTCAAGAAGCTCAGCACACTCCTACCAAAGTAAACTTATAAAACCATACCCAGAAACATCATATGCAGACTGCTGAAAACCAAAGATGAGGAAAAAAATATAAAGGCAACCAGAGGAAAACAACATATGCCTTTAAGAGCACAATGGCTTAAATAATTGCAAATTTCTCTTCAGAAATCACACAGGCTAGATGACAGTGACACATCTTTTAAGTGATGAAAGAAAAGAACTGCTAACCAGAACTTTATATCCAGCAAAAATATCCTTCAGGAATGAAGGCAAAACAAAGCATACTCAATGAAGAAAAACCAAGAGACTTCTTGCCAGCAGATTTCTTAATGAAATGCTGAAATAAATTCTAAAGCTGAAGGGAAATGATATCAGAGGGAAATATCAACATAAGAACTAAAGAGAGCAACAGAAATGGTAAATATCTGGGTAACATAATATTTTACTATACTAAGTTCTTTAACATATTTATTGTTAATAGCAAAAATTATAACCTTATCTATAGGGTTCTCAAGTCATGTAGATATAATGAAAATGACAACTATGACACAAATCAAGGAGGGTAAAGTGACAAGGTTTATATATTTCACTTGAAGTGATAAACTATTCCCTCTAAGTAGATTGTGTAAAGCTAAGTTTGTATATGGTAATCACTAGAAAAACAACTAAAATAATTCAAAGAGATATATACAAACAGCCGACAGATAAAGTTAAATATTAAAAAATATTCAAGGCCGGGCACGGTCGCTCACACCTGTAATCCCAGCACTTTGGGAGGCTGAGGCAGGTGGATCATGAGGTCAGGAGATCAAGACCATCCTGGCTAACATGGTGAAACCCTGTCTCTACCAAAAATACAAGAAATTAGCCGGGCGTGGTGGTAGGTGCCTGCAGTCTCAGCTACTCGGGAGGCTGAGGCAGGAGAATCGCTTGAACCAGGAAGCGGAGCTTGCAGTGAGCTGAGATCGTGCCACTGCACTACACCCTGGGCAACAAAGCAAGACTCCATCTCAAAAAAAAAAAAAAAAATTCAAATAACCCAGAAGAAGGCAGGAAATGGAGGTGGGGGAACAAAAAAAGGATAATAAATAAAAACCTAATAATAAAATGGTAGCCCTAAGTCCAACTATTTTAATAATTACATTAAACATAAACTGTACCTATTAAAGAATAGAGATTATCAAATTAAACTTTAAAAATAAGATGCAACTATATGTTATCTACAAAAAAATTCACTTTAAATGTGTTTATAAAGATAAGTTAAAAGTAAAAATATGGAAAAAGACATACCATGCAAACACTAATACAAAGAAAGCTGGAGAAGCTATACTAATATCAGACAAAGCAGACTTTAGAGCAAGGAAAATATTTACCTAGGAATAAGAACATTTTATAGTGATAAAGGGTCAATCCACCAAGCTACATAGCATTTCCAAATGTGTATGTACTTTTAACAAGGTGTACATTCCAAAATATATGATGCAAGAACTAATAAAACTGAATTAGGAAATAGACAAACCCACAATTATACTTAGAGACTTCGATTCTCCTTTCTCAGTTAATGAGAGACCCAGAAAACAAGCAAGAATATACAAGACCTGAATAACACCATCAACAAACTTCTCCTAGTTGACATTTAAGAAACACTCCACTTACTAAAAGCAAAATACATATTTCAAGTGCACACTGAATATGTAACATGATGGCCCATATTCTCAGCCATAAAACCAAACTTAACAAATTTAAAAGAACTGAAATCATGCAAACAATGATCTCTGATTGTAATGTAATTAAATTAGAAGTAAACCATGAAAAGCTATCTGTAAAAAAATATAGTGTACAACTCACTGTAAAATAGAATCAAAGGAAATTTTTAAAAATATTTTTAATTGAATGAAAATAAGATGTATTAAAGCATGAGATACATTTAAAGTGGTGCCTAGGGTAAAATTTTTAGCATCGAATGCTTATATAGGAAAGAATAAAGGGTTCATATTAATCATGTAAGCTTCCCCATTAAGAAATTAGTTAAAGAAGAACAAAACAAACCCAAAACAAACAAAAGGAAGAAAATAATAAAAGTTAAAAACAGAAATCAGCCTCGCACAGTGGCTTATGCCTGTGGTCTTAGCACTTTAGGAGGCTGAGTGGGGTGGATTGCTTGAGCCTAGGAGTTCAAGACCAACCTGGGCAACATGGCAAAACCCCGTCCCTACCAAAAAGTACAAAAAATTGTCTGGGCATGGTGGTGTGTGCCAGTAGTCCCTGCTACTTGGGGGGCTGAGGTGGGAAGATCACCTAAACCTGGGAGGTTGAGGCTGCAGTGAGCTGCACTCCAGCCTGGGTGACAGAGTGAGACCTTTTCTCAAAAAACAAAACAAAACAAAAAACAGCAACAAAAAAAGAGAGAAATCAATGAAATTGAGAACAATAAAAATAGACGAAAAAAATCAAAAGCTGATCTTTGAAACAAATCAATAAAAATTTGTTTAACTCCTACCCAGACTGATAAAGAAAAAGGAGATAAGGCACAAATTACCCATATCAGCAATGAAGTATGATTATCACTACAGACCCTACAGACAATAAGAGAAAGATAAAAAGGAAATGCTGAAAGATGAAATTGACCAATTATTTGAAAGATACCAAATCTGTTTTAAAAATTGACATTAATAGTCCTACATTTTGAAATCAAATAGAATTTGTGAATAAAATTTTCCAATAAAGAAAAGCACAAGCCCAGTGGTTTTCACTGGTAAATTCTACCAAACATTCTGGACAGAAGTAACACTAATTTTGCTTAATCTCTTCCAGAACACTTAAGAGGAATGAGGCCAACATATCCTAATATCAAAGCCAAAAACAATAAAAGAAAAACACACTATTGACAAATGTTCCTCATGAACTGAGAGGCAAAAAAACTCAACAAAATATTAGCAAATTAAATCCAGCTATATCTAAAATGAGCAATACCTCATAACCAAGTAGCATTCACCCCACAAATGCAAGCTTGGTTCGAGTCAAAAATCATCGCACATCATTATTTTAAATTACACTACAAAGCTATGGTAATCAAAACAGTAAGTTGCTGATATAAACATGGACCAGTGCAACAGAATCAAGAGCTCAGAAATGAATTCAAAGATATATAGTCAACTAATTTTTGACAAAGCCACCAAAAGAACACAATGGGGAAAGGATAATCTCTTCAATAAATGGTGCTGGAAAAACTAGATTTTCACAGGCAGAAGAATAAAATTAGACCATTCTCTTGCGCCATATACAAAATTCAACATGAAATGCATAATCGACATCAATGTAAGGCCAGAAACTATAAAACTCCTAGAAGAGAATACACGGGAATAGTTCCCAGAAAATGGTCTTGGCAATGATTTACTTATTTATTTGGATATCATACCAAAAGCTCAGGCCACAAATCAAAAGTAAATAAATGAGACTACATCAAACTAAAAGTCTTTTGCACAGCAAAGGAAACAATGAAATCAAATGGCAACTTACAAATTGGGAAAAATATTTGCAAACCAACATTTGATAAGGGTTTAACATCTAAAATTCATAAAGAACTGATGCAACTCAATCATAGAAAAACAAATGACCCAATTAAAAACAGGCAAAAGACTTGAATAGACATTTGTCCAAATAAGACATAAAAATCACCAACAGGTCTATGAAAAGGTGCTCAATATCACTGATATAGTTCGAATGTGTTTTCCTGCCTAAATCTCATATTGAAATGTAATCCCCAATGTTGGAGGTGAGGCCTGGTGCGAAGTTATTGGATCATGGTGATTTCTCATGAATGGTTTAGCACCATCCCTGTTGCTGTCCTTGTGATAGTGAGTGACCTCTCGTGAGATCTGGCTGTTTACAAGTGTTTAGCACTTAATTCTCTCACTCCTGCTTTTGCCATATAACATACAAGCTTCCACTTCACTTTCTGCCATGACTGTAAACTTCCAGAGGCCTCCCCAGAAGTAGATGCTAGTGTTATGTTTCCTACACAGCCTGCAGAACCATGAGCCAATTAAACCTCTTTTCTTATAAATTACCCAGTCTCAGGTATGGAAATGAAAACCAAAACCACTATGAGATACCATCTCACACCCATTAGAATGGCTATTATCAAAACGTCAAAAAAGAAGAAATGTTGGCAAAGGTGTGGATAAAAGAGAACTCTTGTACACTGTTGGCAGGAATGTAGGTTGGTAGAGCCATACGAAAAAGAGTATGGAGGTTTCTAAAAAATAAAATTAAATAAAAAATAGAACCACCATATACCCAGCAACCCCTCTTCTGGGCATATAACCAAAGGAAATGAAATCACCATCTCACAAAGATATCTGCACTCCCATGTTCATTGCAGCATCATTCACAATAGCCAAGATATGGAAACAACCTAACTCTCTGTTGATAGACAAATGGACAATGAAACTGCAGTGTATATATACATACAATTCAGCCCTAAAGAAGAATGAGATCCATTTGTCACAACATGAATGAGCCTAGAGGACATGATGCTAAGTAAAATAAGCCAGACAGAGAAAGAAAAATATTGCATGGTCTCATTTATACGTGAAATCCAAAAAAAATTCAAATATACAGAGATAGAAAACAAAACAGTGGTTACCAGGCACGGGAGTGGGAAGTGGGGAGGAAATGGGGAGAAGTAGGTCAGAGGACATAAAGTAGCAGATATGTAGGATGACCAAGTCCAGACATCTAATGTACAAAATGAGGACTCTATGTAATAAAATTGTACTGTATCTGGGATTCATGCTAAACAAGTGGCTTTTAGTGGCTCTTGCCACAAAATCAAAAAATGGGCAAATCTGTGAAATAATGGATATGCTAATTTGCCTCAATACAGTAATCTTTTTACCATCTAAATATATCCCATAACATCATGTTGTATACCTTAAATACACACAATGAAATTTATTTTTTAAAAATTTGGAAAAAAGTCAAGAAAAACCATATGAACAAATCAAAGCATAAGACGAAATTCAACATCCATTTGTAGTTTTTTTAAATCTCTCGGCAAACTTGGAATAGAAAGAAACTTACTCAACTGATCAACTGATAAGGGGCATATACAAAAAAAAAATCTATATCTAACATCATACTTAATTGCAAAAGACTACATGTTTTCCTCCTAAGATAGGAACAAGAAACAAGAAAGGATCCTTCTAAGGATATCTGCTCTCTCCTCATCTACCTAAAACCTACTAGAAGTCTTAACCAAGGCAATAAACCATAAAAAGGAAATAAAAGCTATCCATATTGAAAAGGAAGAAATAAAATGTCTCTATTAACAGGTGACATGATAGTCTAAATAAAAAAAAGAAACTCCCATAGAATCTAAAGCAAAGCTCCTTGAATTAATAAATAAGTTTAGTTAAATCACCAGGACATAAGGTCAAAATATACACATTAAATATGTCTATACACTAACAATAAACAACCAGAAAGCAAAATTTAACAAAACAGTACTATTTGTTTCACTAAAGAGGATATACAGATGGCAAGTAAGCACATGAAAATATATTCAACGTCGTTAGCCATTTGAAAAATGAAAATTAAAACCACAATGAGCCAGGCATAGTGGCTCACACCTGTAATCCTAGCACTTTCGGTGACTGAAATGGGAGGATCACTTGAGGCCAAGAGTTTGAGACCAGCCTGGGTAATGCAGCAAAGCCCTGTCTGCACAAAAAAAAAATTTAAAAAAAAACAATCTGGGCACGGTGGCACATGCCTATAGTCCCAGCTACTCGGGAGGCTGAGGTAGGAGGATCAACTGAGCCCAGAAGTTTGAGATGACAGTGAGCTATGATCATGCCACTGCACTCCAGCCTGGGTGACAGAGCGAGACTCAGTCACACACACATACACACACACACACAAGAAAAGAAAAAAAAAGAAGAGAAGAAGGAGGAAGAGGGGGAGGAGAAAGAGGGAGAAGGAGGAAGAAGAAGAACAACAACAACAACAACAAAAAAAGAACCACCACTACCACCACCACCACGATGAGATATCACTATACACCAATTAAAATGGCTAAAATTAAAAATATTGACAACATCAAATAACTGGCAAGAATGGGGCTAAATTTTATCTGTCACATATTTCTGGTGGAGATATAAAATGGTACAGCCACTCTGGACAACCATTTGGTAGCTTCCGGTAAAACTAAAAATTGCAACTATCACAGAATACAGCATTTTTCTTCTTGGATGTTTATATCAGAGAAATAAAAACTTATGGTCACACAAAAACCTCTGCATGAATGTCCACAGCAGCTTTATTTATAATAGCCAAAACTGGAAACAATCCAGATATCCCTTAACGGATAAATGGCTAAACTGTGGTGTATGCATACTATGTAATACTACTAGCAATTAAAAAGGAACGAACTACTGATACATGTAACACCTTGGGTGACTTTCTAGGTAATTATTCTGATTTTTAAAAAAAGCAATCCCCAGAAGTCACATATGTATGGTTATGGATACACAATATTCTTGAAATGACAAAAATCATAGAAAGAACAAATTAATGGCTGTCAAAGGTTAGGGATGGGTCAAAGGGAGAAGGTAGTTGTGGCCATAAAAGGGCTACATGAGGTATCTTCGTGATAATGGAAAGGTTCTATAACTTTACTGTTTTAATATCAATATCTTGGTTGTGATATTATAATACAGTTTTGCAAGGTGTAACCACTGGGAGAAAGTGGGTGAAGCCTACACAGTATCTCTCTGTATTTCTTACAACTGAAGTGAATCTACAATTACCTCAATTAAAATGTCAATTAAATATAAAAGGGTCACTGCCGTTGAATGTTTTTGTCTCTAAAATTCATGTGGAAGCTTAATCCCCAATCTAACAGTATTAAGAAGTAAGGCCTTTTAAGAGGTGATTGAGTCATGAGGATTCTGCCATTAATGGATTAATGTGTTAACAGATTATCACAGGAGAGTTAGTTATCACAAGAGTGGGTCTGTCATAAAAGCTAGTTTGGCTCTTTCTCTTATGCCTCTCTTGTCCTGTGATGCCTTCCACCATGCTATGGTGCATCAAGAAGGCTCTCACCAGATGCCAGCACCATGCTTTTGTACTTTTGAGCCTCCAGAACTGTAAGACATAAGTTTCTTTTCTTTATAAATTACCCAGTCTGTGGTATTCTGTGATAGCAACACAAAATGGACTAAGAAAATAAAAATTTCTAAAAAAAAATTAAAAATACCATTCACAATAGCACTAATCAAAAATAAAATAGGTATAAACCTAACAAAATACACGCACAAACTATATGCTGAAAACTACAAAACATCAATGAAAGAAATTTAAAAATCTAAATAAATGAAGAGATATGTCATGTTCATGGGTTGGAAAAGTAAATATTGTTAAGATGTCCAACTTTCCCCAAATCGTTTTATAGATTCAATTAAATTCTACTAAAAAATCCAAGTACAATTATCTGTAGATATTAACAAGATTATTCTAAATTTAAACAAAAAGGAAAAGTAATTAGAATAGCATAAACAAATTTTGAAAAAGAACAAAGTTAGATGATTCTCACTACCTGCTTCGAAGATTTACTATAAAGCTGCAATCAACAATGTGTGGTACCTGTGAAGGGACACACACATCAGTGGAGCAGAACAGAATCCAGAAACAGACACACAAATGTAGTCAATTGATTTTTGACAAAGGTGCAAACGTAATTCAATGGCAAAATGACAATCTTTTCAAGACACGGTGCAGGGAAAATTGCACAACATATACCAGAAAAAAAGGATTATAGATAAAAATGTAAAACCTAAAACTTTAAAACTTCTAGGAGGTTCCATAAAAAGAAGAAAAATGGTAAATTTTGTATCATCAAAATGAACTTTTGCTCTGTTTAAGACACTATTGATAAAATAAACTACAGACAGGAAGAAAACATTTGCAAATCACATATTTGCCAAAGAGCTTTCATTTGGCAAACATAAAACCTCTCAAAGCTTAATAATAATAAAACAACCCAGTATTTTTTAAATGGGCAAACTTCACAAAGAACATGAATATATTATTAAAAGGCACAGGAAAAGATAATTAACAACTTCAGTCATGAGGGGAACTCAAAACCACAATGAGATAGTGCTACACACCTATTAGAATGGCTGAAATAAAAGAAAAATTGACAACGCCACACTCTGAAGATACAATATGAGTTCCCATCTGTGGAGCTCTCACACATTGCTGGTGGTAATGCAACATGGCACATCCACTCTGGAAAATTGTGCATCTATCAAAACTGTGCATCTATCAAAACTATGCATCTGTCAAAACTTACAGTATTGTATACTAAAAAGAATAAATTGGCCGCGCGCGGTGGCTCATGCCTGTAATCCCAATACTTCGGGAGGCCAAGGCAGGTGGATCGCTTGAGCCCAGGAGTTCGAGCCCAACCTGGGCAACATGGCGAAACCCCGTCTCTACTAAAAATACAAAAAAATTAGCCAGGAGTGGCGGCATGCACCTGTAATCCCAGCTACTCGGGAGGCTGAGGCGGGAGAGTCACTTGAACCTAGGAGATGGAGGTTGCAGTGAGCCGAGATCACGCCAGTGCACTCTAACCTGGGCGACAGAGTGAGACTCCATTTCAAGAGAAAAAAAAAAAAAGGAATAAATTTTAGTGTATGTGGATGAAGAATTTATAAAAACCATATGTTCATATTGAATTTTTTGTTTTTTTAACAGAAGTATATATATGACTGAAAAGTCAAATATCAAAATACTAACATCAGTATCTCTAAGTGATATCCGTAATTTTAAAATAAGTTTTAAAGAATATGATTTTTTCTGATATCTGACTACATACGTATGAACACACATATACATATATACTGTAGTCTCTCTATGTTCCTGTATGTACTAAAGTTCCAAAATAAATACCATCCTGAAGCACTAAAATGCTAAGATGCAAGGAAAATTAGGGAGAATTAAGATGGACTATATTTTCTTCCCTGTATTTCTATTGTTTCCTGTATTTGCACAAATTTTCTATAATAAGTATGTATCGCTTTTGAAATTAATTTTTAAAATTATAACACAACCTGACAGACCTAAATATAAGACAATGTGAGTGCACTAATGCATTGTCTGACTTTTCAGAATTCCATGCTTCTGTCTTACATCTTGTTCAATTCCACAATGGATCTGATCAAGTGGTGTCTCACTTTCCAAGAAAGCTCTGCTTCCACCGCACTCAGAAGGGCTACCCTGCAGGTGAGGCATGGGCCCTTTAACTGTCTAACTACAGACTGCACAAGAGAGCTATGTTGTATAGAATCCTAAGCAGTAAGATTTTTCCAAGCACGCTTGGATCACATGAACATCTGATTCAATGTGGAAAATTGTACTGTTGTTCTTGCTTCCCCCAGAAACATGACATTTCAGAGGAACACACAGAAACAAATGAAAACCCTCAAGAGCAGTTACCAATTTTGCCAAATGTTATACCAGACATGGGGGAATGGCAGGAATGGGAAAAGAAGTGACCTCAACTAGTGGTCAGATGACTTTCTGTAATTTCAATACCATTTGCAACTAAGAGGGAATGGGTGATTATATCATCAACTATTTCCCCCACTCTAACAAAACCAGGCCCCTATTTTATGCCTGATCCAAAAGAAACATGCAAAGAAGGTGAAGAGGATTCTATGCAAAGCATTATTCTCACAATTCTTCCTCCAGGTTAGGAAAAAACATTATTTGAGCCTTCAAGTTTATATGCATATTTTAGGGTCAAGTCTGAGTCTCCTGAAGAAAAAAATTGCAATTTTACACTCTCTGTATAATATCCAAAACCCCAAAAAACAAAAAACAGAAAAAAATCCACCTAATTTTGTTCCCTGAGTACTCAATAAACTACTGGCCTTCACGTGGCAATGTGTGGTTTTGACTGGCAAAACTAAGTACCATAGTTACATAATGACATGCAGAATCTCTTCTCAAGGTATTTTATTTCCTATTTAAAATTAAGTCATGAACTAGAGACAAGAATATGTTTTATGATAAGTATGTAAATAAATATAAGACTAACTCAAATGCAAAATGTAGTATACTTAAGCAGCTTATTTTCCCTCTTTAACATTTTTTAAATGTCAAAAATTCTCAGCATGTCTAAAAGCAAAAATGGTATCGTCCAGGTACACTTGACTATTTCCTATTCTTTGAGCACCCCAAGCTTTTCCACATCTGAGACTTTATTTATCCTCATCTCTCTCTGGTTTTCTGAAATTCCTTTGCAATACAGATTTAGATAACAAAAAAAGTACCTAGATTATATTACCTTAAACTTCTACAAAAATGCCTTCACCTAGCCAAAATATAAGACCATGCCTTTGGCTTTCATAAAACCATCAAATAAGAAACATTAACCATAAAAATTTTTCTATATATTACACTAAAAACCAATCAAAGACATTATCTACTATGCTAACCAATGTTTTTTTTTTATTTTTATTTACAGACAGGATTTGGCTCTGTCACTCAGGCTGGAGTGCAGTGGCACTATCATAGCTCATTGCAAACTCGAACTCCTGGGCTCAAGTCATCCTCCTGCCCCAGCCCCCACATAGCTGGGACTACAGGCACATGCAAGCACCCCCAAATAATGTTTAATTTTTTGTAGTGGGAGCCTTGCTGTGATGCCCAGGCTGGTCTCGAACTCCTGGGTTTAAGCAAGCCTCCTACCATGGCCTCCCACAGTGCTGGGATTACAGGTGTGAGCCACCATACCCACCCTTAATGTTCTTTAAATAAATATCTGAGTGATAAATTACCTTGAAAAGTCAGTGCCTGGAAAGAACTGTATTTTTCCCAATAAATTGTTATACCTCCTTTCTTTCAACATAAGGACAATACAATCAAATGTGTATTGTTTTTCACCTTAGTTGCCCTGAAGATTATTTAAATTTGTTTCTCAATAGCAATAACTAACCCATCTCTCGTATCTGAAACATATCTTTCTTTTATTTTCAAATTGTAATTTCTTACATTTTTTTGTTATATCACAGTGAAAGTCAATCTGTAATATGTTTTGAAAATAGGCAGAATTCAGGCCAGGCGCGGTGGCTCACACCTGTAATCCCAGCACTTTGGGAGGCCAATGCAGACAGATCACTTGAGGTCAAGAGTTTGAGACCAGTGTGGCCAACATAGTAAAACCCTGTCTCTACTAAAAATACAAAAATTAGCCAGGTGTGGTGGCAGGTGCCTGTAATCCCAGCTACTCGGGAGGCTGAGACAGGAGAATTTCTTGAACCTGGGAGGCGGAGGTTGAAGTGAGCCAAGATCACCACTGCACTCGCCTGGGTGACAGAGTGAAACTCTGTCTCAAAAAAAAAACAAAGAAAATAGGCAGAATTCATATATTAAGACTGCTCTACAGGGTCCTACAATTAATCCATGTAAATGAAAAAACAATGCAACTTAGAGCAGCATTTATCAACCTTGAATGTGCATAGAAATCACCTGATGATCTTATTAAAATGCAGACTCTGATTCAGAAGCTCTGGGGTGGAGCTGGAGATGCCACATTTCTTACAGGCTCCCAGACAAAGTTGATCCTGCTGGTCCTCAGCCCGCACTTTGAGTAGGCAGGGCCTGAACAATATTCTGCCATGACATGAATGAAAAGCCAGTCTAGGAGGAATAATGGGTATGATACGGCCCTAAGAGAGGATGACTCTCAAAATGGCCAGTACTACAAACTAGAGCCAATGGGATTCCCAGATATGTTTCAATCTTTAAAAATCAAGATGTCTTACATCCATCATCAATATTTTAAGTTTTCTAAAAAATCCAGTTCATGGTTTTCAAAGAAGTTGATTCTGACTCATCTGTTAGACTCTACCATATACATATGAATAATGTTCTGGTTGATACATTTTTAAATTCCTATCATTTTGAATGTTTTTGGGAGGAGACAGGACAAGAAAAGAATACTCAATGAAAATTTGGGAAGAGAAAGCTTCCATTTACTTAAACATTTACTAAACACCTATTATACCCCAAATACTACTTTAAGACCTCAAAATACATTTGCCTTTTTCTTTTCATTTATTTATGTTGGTTTTATCCTAATTCTTCTTTATTATCTTTTGGGGCAATTATCATGTAACACACAGCATAATCATTTTGCTAGTGAATGAATCCACATCACTTGAAGAAAATTCATCAGCTGTGATATTGACTAAGAAAGTGTTAATATTTGAGTAACAGCTAGTTTAAATTTTCTTTCTTTCCAGCTTATTTCCAATTAAGTGTATTTCTTCTCCTGGCCTGACATGTTACTTAATGATAGTCTCTGAAATACTTCATAGTAAAGACCTAGTTTTTCCAAAGTTGTCCATGTCAGGCCTCTAAGCCGAAGCTCAGCCATTGTAACCCCTGTGACCTACACATATACATCCAGATGGCCTGCAGGAGCCAAGAAGTCTGGGGCAACCGAAAAACCACAAAAGAAGTAAAACAGCCAATTCCTGCCTTAACTGATTAACCAACATTACAACATTCCACCGTTGTGACTTGTCCCTGCCCTACCTTAACTGATCAACCGACCTTGTGACATTCTTCTTCTGGACAATAAGTCTTATGATCTCCCCACCATGTACCTTGTCACCCCCTTCTCTGCTAACAATAAATAACCACCTTTTACTGTAATTTTCCATTAGCTACCCAACTTCTATAAAGCAACCCCTTCCCCATCTCCCTTCGCTGACTCCTTTCTCAGACTCAGTCCGCCTGCACCCAGGTGAATTAAAAGCTTTATTGCTCACACAAAGCCTGTTTGGTGGTCTCTTCACACAGACACGCTTGACAGTCCAGTCTTTACAAATCCTCATATTGCCCACTGTTACACATATGTATGTCTCCTCCACATAATTTCATGGATGAAGTAGGAAAAAACTTGCATTTTTGTTAAAGCTAAAATTAACCAGTTATCTACTATACATAAAGGGCTAGCTGAGTCACTGCATTTATTTCATATAAGTACAAAAAGAGTTAAGTTTTTTTTCTAAGTCAGAGGCTTTAAAGCCAAGTATACTAGTTTTCTATTACTGTGGTAACCAATTACTATCAATTGAATGGCTTAAATGACACAAATTTATTATTTTACAATTCTGGAGGTCAGAAGTCCAAAATACACTACCATTAAGCTGTCAGCAGGTATGTGTTCCTGGAAACTCTAGGAGGAAAACCATTTTTTTGTCCTCTCCAGCTTCTAGACACCTCTCACACCCCTTGTCTCCTGGCTCCATCCTCCATCTTCAAACCCAGCATTGTCGTATCTCTCTCTGACTTTCTTCCAGTCACATCTTCCTCCAACAAGCTCTTGTCTTCTGTTTCCCTATTCCTTTTAAGGACCCTTGTAATTACATTGGGCCCAATGGGATAACTCAGGATAATTACCCTATTTTAAGGTCAATTGATTTGCAATCTTAATTCCATCTGCAACTTTAATTTCCCTTTGCCATGTAACCTAATGTATTCACAGGTTCCTGGCATGAGAATGTAAACATCTTTGGAGGCCCATTATTCTGCCTACCACACCAAGACAGTGTTCTTTTTCCATTTACTAACTTCAATTTTCCAAAAACACCTTAGTTCTCTTACAGTTTCTCAATACTAGGAAAAGAAACCATTGGAGAATAACAGTATAAGATTACTGGTAGCAACAATGTGTATTTCAGTTTTTGACCATAAGCTCTGAATCTACTGGAATGACCCTCATACCCAAGGAGAGAAATGAATACAGCCAGAATGGCCACTGCCACATAATCATCTGCTCCTGGATGCATAGAGCCTGAGATTCCTGACTCAGATCCTGGTAAACTGAAGCCATGGAATATGGAATCCAACTGTGGCTATCAGGATAAATGATTCCTGCAATCCAAGTTGGCTAGAAAAAAGGGCCTTCACATTACAATTTTAAAAAGTTAAACTCTTGCAAAATTACTCCAATAAACTTAGACTCATTAATATTGTACAAGGCACTAGGTAATAAAGTTTACGGTCTTTTTAACATTAAAAGTGAAAAGTAAAATGGCTAAATTATAGTAGCCTAATCATTTCATGCCATTACTGAGGATTGACAGGTTGGTTGTTTTAACAGCTGTACAATGCTTAAGCTCTAAGGATTCTAAATCTCAAATAATAAAAAGAATAACACTTTGCATGAATGTTTTTATGAATATATCTCAGACATACTTTCTCACAGGCACTCTTTGTTAAAGATAATTATTATGTTTCAATCAGGAGCCACAGAGTAAAAAATTACAACGCTGGCTAAAGGTCCTATACAATCTGAAGCTAAATATGAAGCAAAGTAAATGTTTCACATTTGAATCTACTGTCTGACTTCTGGGATAGAAAAAGTCCTGTATGGTGATTAGTATTTAAAACAGGCAAGTCCAATCATTGAATGCTAAAAGATAAATTATATGACAGCATATCAAGCTGACTCTACTATGGTTTCATGTCACACAAAGGTTATGAGAGGTATATCATTTCTTCTGAGCCTTGTTTTTCAATGCACAGTAAGCAATGCTAATTATGAAAAGCAGGCATCTCTTGGGTTAACCAACACCCTCAATTTCTACCTCTGTTCACCTGCTGACCCCTGCCTTGCTCCCACAACACAGCATCTACTGCAAGAGTGATGCTGAGGGCTGTTTCTAGAACCTATGGCTCCCACAGCATCTCTGTATTCTTGCCCAGCACTGCTCTTTAGCAACATTCAAATAGGCCAGCTCTAAGTAAGATCTGACTTAGGAATGGGATAAGGCAGTGTCCCAAAAGGAGTTTTGCTCACATAGCCCCTCAAAGAATTCTGAAAATCTATGCACATATTTTTAAATAACATCTCAACATCCTTAACATAGTTAAGTGTAAACACTTGAAAAAGGGACATCTTTCTGGCGCTCTATGGGTGGTATGCTTGCTTCATATACATATGCATCAGAACCTCAGGGTTGCAGATTTAGCTCATTCAGTATACAGAAAATGTCTGCTACACAACATAATTGGCAAAGCCAATCCTCATTGACAAGCCAATCAACCCAATAAGACTTTCTGTCAAGGCAACTCCGACATTGTTGTTCAATCAAATATAAAGATAGCCCTGGTGACAACCATCTATCTTCTGGAAGCTAAAAGGAACAGACAGAAAAGCACACCTCAGAGTCTTGTCACGGGCTCCTCACTTGGATGAATGGGGAGAATGAAAGGAGAACTGGCAGGCATCACGCATGTTCAGAGGGAAATTAGTTTCAAGCAGAGTTGGAAGATGAGGATCTGAAAATTAAAACCCTTGCAACATTCTATACCCTGTGAAGTCTTGTGGGCCTAAGGGTATGTGCACAGTTTGGAGACTGCTGGGCAACAGAATTGAAATTCCACTCTGAAAGTATCTAATATAATGCAAATATAAGGTGTTATTTTTAAACCAAAAGCCTCTCTGCATTTCTTTGAGGCATCCTAAGCCTTTGGAAATTTTTAAAACAGGTATCATGTTCTCTTCATCAGAATGGAGGGTCAACAAGAGATTATAATCTTGCTGGTGTAGCCAACCAACTGTATAGTCTTGGATAAACAGTTCAGGGAGTCCCAGGAATTGGTTCTACAATTTCTCTGAGTGCTTTAGAACTTCATTGCTTTTGTTTTAAGCCTCTTCCTAATAATCTTTTAGCGTGTGTCTTAGTCACCTTTACCCTGAAATTCCTAGGTCCATCCATGAGTTCATTATTGGGCCTTATGCCCATGTTCTGTTCTCCAGGGAGGTTGAAGAGGGCCTTTTAGTGCCAGAAATAGAAAAACTTTCAAAATGATATACTAATAATAACCTGCACCTGTCAAGATTATCATATTGTGCCAACAGAGGAGCTGCTTATGCAAACTACTGTAAATTTGTACATGGGAAGACAGAGAAGTGTGTACAGTCACCTTGGAAATGCACTTTGAACATCTCTGTCTCCTAATATGTACGGGGTAAAGGTTGAAAGTAAATTATTGACAATGGGGGAAAAAAACAGATGCAAAGAAGACAACTTTATTAGGTGCTTTCTCTCCCTTATGAGAAGGATTTGGTTCTTTCAGGTGAAGTTCCAAATCACTAGACAATACCCAGTTTCCTTCAGTTGCAACAAGTTCATCCCACGGTGGGTGCTCTGAAAAGCACCTTGAGGGCGAATGGGTCTCAGGCCATTCAGGATCAGGTCCGATGCTTTTGTTGAAGATTCTTCCCGTGTCACCTCTTAGAAGCAGTTCGGTGTCCCCCTCCAAAGAGCCCACCACCTGGCTGCGCCCCACCTCCATTTGTCCCCCAGTTGCCAGGTAAGGGTACCCAGCTACCAGGTAACGGTGAGTGGTTCAGAAGGTGCCGCTGCGGGGGCAGCCAGGCCTTCACACGCAATCACTGGGGAAGAGGCGAGGACACGGGTGGATGCTGGAGGCGCGCACGTGCGCAGGTGCTCGCGCATCCACACACACACACACACACACACACACACACGCACACACAGGCACGGGGTGCGGGGCGAGCAGGGGGAGGGGACGGCCTTACCAGATCAATGAACGTCAGGAATTTCCAGCTCCCTCCGTAGGTCTGGTGTGAGGGCATTTCGATGGCCTTGTAGTTACACAGGATAGAGCAGTAAGACAGCAGGATTGCCATCCGCAGCACCTGGCAGGGGACAAGCGCCATGTTCGCCAGAGGCCTGGACCGGCTGGGCGGCAAGGAGGGCGGGCGTGAGGGAGGCGCCGGGCGCGCGGGGGCGGGCGCCGTGGGAACCCGGGCGCGGGCGCGGGCGCGGGGCGGGGCGGGGCGGGGGCGGGGGCGGGGGCGGGGCGCGCGCCCCCGGGGACTGGCGCGGCCGCGAGCGCCCGGGTGACCTGTACTGGCCGGGCGCGGTTTGCGGACGCTCTCCACTGCCGGCCGCGGCCTGGCAGGCGGCGTGTCGTCATCTCTTTCGTCACCTTCGTCATTCTGCTCCTGCGTTCGCAGGGTCCCGGGACACCCGGCCAGGAGGCGCCCCCTAGGCATCCCAGGTGTGGATGCGACCTCTGAGTGCTACGAGGGCTCGGGAAGTGCGCGCTGATCTCCAGGGGGAAGCGGGCCCTGTGGCTAGTGGGCGCCGGGCCGGGCGAGGGGGCGGGGAACCTAGACTGAAGGAGTGGACCCCAGTGTCCACAAATGTTCCCGCCCCGGAATCGCGGTGACGCTTCCTGGGGTAGTTGCAGTTGGCCGAGAGCTGGTGCCCCGTGCGGAGGGATCCGGTGGGGGTGTGAACGTGGGGTGTAAACCCGAGCACAGGCAGCCGCGAGTGACTTTCAGTATTTTGGGGCAATAAGGTTTTCAGTGTTGACAAACGACTGTCAATCACTAGGAAACTCTCTCAATTCTGCTTTCAATGGGTAGGCTACGCAGCACTTTTCCATGACAGATTGAATAATGTCATATCAGTATATAACATCAGCTAGAATATGAACTTTGGACAAGAGGTTTATAGATAAAAAGCTATAAAGAAAGGATTTTCAAATAACTTTCTGCCACAAGATTGCATTCAGCTTTAAAAAATTCCAATTTTGGATGTAAAACCCCTGCGTGTAATTTAATACTAATCATCTGGTTGTTAAACTGGTTTTGCCCTTACTTTTTTCTTACACTACACTACCAGGGCTTAATGGAAGGAAAATAAATATAAACTGGAGTCCCTCCTGCCTTCCAGTAAATGTTGTCACACTGAAGTTGCATCAGTCTGTGGGCAACATTTTCATTTCAGCCAACCAGTTGCAGGTTCGGATTATGAAAAGGCAACATAGGTATTTCCTGTGGATCCATTTAAAACAGGTGTCCTCTTCAAATAGTCTCTGAGTCAGAGGATGTGGAGGGAGGGCTGGTGGGGAGAAGCATAGTGCTAGAGGTAAAGAGAAAGTAGCAAGCAAGCCATGGATGTTTTCCTGAATGTTTCCAATCAAGCTCTAAACTAAAATGAAGAGACCCACTAGATTTTTTTAATTGGCATTATAATTATGCTAATAGAACTGATGTCAGAAGAAGATTCTACTAGCATTAAAACGATGTATTATTGATGATTTTTGGTTAAATCTTAATGTAAAAGTTGGCTTTATTTTTTTAATTGTGCATCCTTGGTACATGGTTATAAACTGCCAAAAAAATAAAAATAAAAAAGAGTAGATCTATTGAAGATCTACCTACCTTAATAATGTGTCTGGAATTGGTTCCTGCCGGTAGATTAGTGGTCTCAGTGACTTCAAGAATGAAGCGGCAGACCTTGGTGGTAAGTGTTACAGCTCTTAAAGATGGCACAGACCCAGAGTGAGCGATAGCAAGGTTTATTGTGAAGAGTGAAAGGACAAAGCTTCCACAGCATGAAAGGGGACTGGAGCGGGTTGCTGCTGCTGGCTGGGGTGGCCAGCTTTTATTCCCTTATTGTCCTCTCCAGTGTTCTGTTTCTGTCCTATGAGAGTGCCCTTTTTTCAGTCCTCCCTGCGATTGGCTACTTTTAAAATCTTGCTGATTGGTGCGTTTTACAGAGTGCTGATTAGTGTGTTTTACAGAGTGCTGATTGGTGCTTTTTACAGAGCGCTGATTGGTGCATTTTACACTCCTCTTGTAAGACAGGCAAGTTCCCCAAGTCCCCACTTGTCTCAGGAGGTCCAGCTGGCCTCACCTCTCAATAGAGCCTTAATAAAGTTTTATGAGTTAATGTGATATTTGCAAAGTTTGATATACCCTTCCTACTTTACATGTTAGACAATTATTAAGACTCCCCAACCCCATTGTTACAAAATGAAATAATATTTTCATAAAGCCATTTTTAATGGTCAGGTTTTTTGTTTTGTTTTTCTTTTTGTTTTTTTGTGAGACAGAGTCTAGCTCTGTCACCCAGGCGGAAGTGCAGTGGCATGATCTCAGCTCACTGCAACCTCTGCCTCCTGGGTTCAACTATTCTCCTGCCTCAGCCTCCCAAGTAGCTGGGACTACAGGCGCATGCCACCACACCTGGCTAATTTTTTTTGTATCTTTAGTAGAGATGGGGTTTCACCATGTTGGCCAGGTTGGTCTTGAACTCCTGACTTCAAATGATCCACCTGCCTCGGCCTCCCAAAGTGCTGGGATTACAGGTGTGAGTCACTGCGCCCGACCAGTTTCTTTTAAATAAATAACTATAACTCTTAATTAAGTATTTAGAACCTATTCTGCTGGGTTTGCTTTTGTTTTTTCATGATTTGCCAACCATGATCAGATAGTTTTGTGCTTTAAAAAAATGAAGCGTTTGTATAAAACTTGACTCAAATACTATTTTATGAGAATGTCAGTTCACAATTTTTGGAACTTCTTGATAACTATTAACATGTCCAGGCTTGCTTTCTGTGCTTTTCAGACCATATCTAACAATCTTAGTCATGTTTTACAGATAACTTTTGTGGAAAATATTAATCTACACACATTGTGTTTTTACAGCGTAAACAATTGCTTTTAAAACTTCATTAGGTAAGTTATTACTTTTTATGAACTATAATACATTATTCACTTCTAAGTATTCTTATGATGATTCCATATTTGATTTAGATAATACTGTTTTCTATGTATAGAAGAAATATTTGCATGTCTTTTTTTTTATCTTTTTCATTCTACTACACAGTTAGTGAGACTGGAGGAGAAAAGCCTCATCCAGTTGAATTTCATCAATAGCAGTAAACATAAGAAACACCAAGGGAAGATTTCAAGAACCCGTTTTAGCTTCAAGCTATATTCTTTGATTGTTGTAATATTTCTTAGACTATATATGGGGCTGAAGATACCCTTTCTTAAGTACTTCTAATAATTGAGACAGACTGTTCATTCCTTTTTTTTCTTTTGGAGGGGGGGTGTATTAGTCCATTTTCATACTGCTATGAAGAAATACCTGTGATTGGATAATTCATAGAGAAAAAGAGTCTTAATGGACTCACAGTTCCACATGGCTGGGGAGGCTTCACCCTCATGGCAGAAGATAAAGGAAGAGCAAAGTCACATCTTACGTGGTGGCAGGCAAAAGAGTGTGTGCAGGAAACTGCCCTTTATAAAACCATCAGATCTCCTGAGACTTATTCACTATCACAAGAACAGCACAGGAAAACCTGCCCCCATGATTCAATTACCTCCCACCAGTTCCCCCCCTACAATGCGTGGAGATTAAGGGAGCTACAATTCAAGATGAAATTTGGGTGGGGACACAGCCAAACCGTATCAGGGAGGATGTCTGTCTGACATACTGATGATAATACCTGTTAATTTGGGAAATGACTGGGACTCCTATGTCACCCTTAAATTGTATTCCAAGAAGCCAACTTTATGTAACTATTGGTCGTTGCTTAAAAGTTCAGGAGGAAGAATTGTGTTTATACATATCCTTGCAGTATTCGATATTTACACATTTCCTTTGGTTCTGCATTTACATGAGATAAGCATTTTCTAACAATATCAATATATTTGGAACAAATTTTTTCTCCCCATTTATCTGTACTTCAAGGGTGAAAGTTAGGACATGTCCCCCTCAGAGGCCTGGGCATGGAAAAAGTCTTCAGTATTACAGAAAAGATACCTCTGAATTATTTTTATTCATTATAAATGTAGCGTATTTATGATACTAAAATGGAAACGCTACTTTTAAAAAAACATTTTCCCCACTCTCTCCACCCAGAGAAAACAATGAACATTTTAGCATATTCCTGCAAGTCTTTTACAATATAGAGTTAGCTGATTGTGACATACTATATAACAACTTGCATCACAGAGATTTCTTCTGCCTCAAGTTTAATAGCAATTTTCTCCTATTTAAAACATTGTAAAACTCATGTTTAATGATTGCATAGCACAACATCATATGGACATATATTTTGCTTAAACTTTTTTTCTTTTTGGATATTTATGTTCTTTTAAAGTTTTCACCACTAAATACACAGTAATGTCTGTATTTTGAATTGAGAAAGCTACTTTTTAGGATTATATGGAACTCAAAACCAATTAAGAAACTACACTTCTAGAACCTACTGTGTGTTGTTCATGTTTGTTTATATGAACTGAGGTGACAGAGTTCTTTTACCCTGGAGGGCAGTTGGGAAAGATTAAGAGAAAGAAGTAGGTAAAAATTACTCTTTTTTTTCCTTACAATTGATGCTTATTACAGCTTTTTCAAATTGCCATAGACACAAAATGCAGTACCAATGCATTTAATTAGCCAGGTGTTTTTTGTGTTTGTTTTGGGGGTTGTTGTTTTTTTGTTTTGGATTTGGTTTGTTTGTTTGTCTTTTTTTTGCTATTAACCAGTAAAAATTGTTCTTTACAGGCCAAATGAGCAGCAGCTACTAGTGGTTGTGTTGATGCTGCAAGTTTTCACTGATTTTAAAATGGACTGTTTTTGCTACAGAGAACTCTATAAGATTTCTAAACACCGAGGATTCTATGGAGGGTCATTGAAAAGTGTTAGAAAAATTAGGGTCTAGATGAGTCGTGAGTCTTGCATGATCTCATACAGATGCAAAACATCTCCGTCACTCTCTAGTACTAGAAGTGCATTTACCAGTGCTCCTCATCAAGCTTGGAATGCTCTCTCTTCGTGTGCATGTATCCAAACCCAACACATCCAGCAAGACTCAATTAAGTCCACTTCATCTGACAGTCCCTCTTTGGGACATATGTTGTAGCCACCCTGCTCTGAATGGTCTACCTGGATGGCTTACTGGTGACACAAATCCTACATGCATTCATTATACTCATTATTTCCTCCTCAAAAACTGACCCACTGCAATTAGAAAAGTCAGGACAGAGCCAGATGGCCTGGAGGTGCCAGTCTCTTAATGGTGCTAAAATGTCCCTGGAAGCTAGCAAGTTGAAAGTAATATACTCACCCAAATTCTTCTCAGGGAGACTACTGTATGATGTTAAAAGAAATGTTATCACAAGCTACTTGGTTGGATGGATGGTGGTGACTGGTGAGAGAGACTTTCTAAAGCATTCTAGAGTGACAGTAAATGATTATAAAATCTCCACCCCCGATGGGTATACATTGCAGATGTAATTAGTCAAGATGACATAATGCTAGAGTAGGATGGGTCCCTTATGCAATTTGACTGGCATCCTTATTAGAAGACAGAGATACACAGGGAAAATGAGATGTGAAGGCAGAGACAGAGATTGGAATGATGAGGATCCCAGGAATCCCAAGGACTGCTGCTGTCATTCGAGTAATTGCACAGGTTTTGTTTTGCTGAATGAAGTATTTAGGAGTTGGAGCAGAGCTAAATTGCTCTGAGTAGTAGAGAAGAGGTGGACATCCTACCAGAGGACCTTCCTTCTCCAATCCTTCTAGATCATTCTAGAATAGAAGCCTTCAGCCTCTATTCTAAATAAGTGTTGAATATTTAAAGGATATAATAGTCAAATTCTTTAAAGATCAGGCATGTATCATAAGTAAATCTAGATGTAAGGTAATAGGGCACGATTGAGTCTCTGAAAAAGTGGAGCAAATGCCATTTACTCTTTAGTAAAGACATTTCCATTCAAATATTTAAAAATTGTGTCAGCCAAAAATTAAAATTAAAAAATGCCCACCTTTGTGCTAGAGTCAGCTCATAGTGGACTGCAGTTGGGATTTCTGGATTTTTTGTTTGAAAGAGTGCCCTGTGAATGTCTTACCCACAGTGTCTGCAGGACCCTGGCAGGCCCAGTTTGGAATCCTACTCAAGCCCTCCTCCTCATCTGTAAGAGTTAAGGCTACTTTGGCTGGAATTTACGACTCTATTTCTTAAAGCAGGGTGGAGGAAAACATGAAGATGAGTCAAAAGGGGCATGTACACTGACCCTTAAGAAAAGTTTGCAGAAGATACTGTCACACAACACTTCCACCTTCACTTCTTTGGCCCACATTTATCCATGTGGCCACAGCTGGGAAAAGTAGCCTCCTTTCTGGGTAGAAATGTGCCAGCCGGAAATCAGAACTCCATTAGCATGGAAATGAGATGTCCTGGATTGAATTGTGTCCCCTAACAAGATATGTTGAAGTTCTAATTCCCAGTACCTCAGAATGTGGCATTATTTGGAAACAGGGATATTGCAGATATAATTAGTCAAGATGACATCATACTGGAGTAAGGTGAGTCCCTTATCTAATATGACTGGTGTCCTTATAAAGAAACAGAAAAGGCCAGGTGCGATAGTTCACACCTGTAATCCCAGCACTTTGGGGGGCTGAGATAGGTGGGGATTGCCTGATCTCAGGAGTTGGAGACCAGCCTGGGCAATATGACAAAACCCTATCTCTGCAAAAAATACCAAAATTAAGCGAGTGTGGTGGCATCTGCCTGCAGTCCCAGCTACTTGGGACTGAAGTAGGAGTCCTGAAGTCAGAGGATTGTTTGAGCCCAGAAGGTGGAAGCTGCAGTGAGTTGGTTTTGCACTACTGCACTCCAGACTGGGTGACAAAGTGAGACTCTGTTGAAAGAAGAAGAAAGAGACAGAGAGAGAGAGAGAGAAAAGGAAGAAGAAGAAGAAGAGGAGGAAGAGGAAGAAGAGGAAGAAGAAGAAGAATGAAGACAGGAGAGGAGGAACAGAAAAGAAAAGAAAGAAAAGAAAAGAAAAAAGAAAAAGAGAAGAAAAGACAGAAACACACGGGAGAAACATCAAGGACTGCCTGCTGTCACTAGGAACAAGGAGAGAGGCGTGCAACAGATTCTCCCGCACAGCCCCCACAAGTAACTAACCCCACTGAAACTTTGATTTCAGAGGTATATCCTCCAGAACTGAGAGACAATATGTTTCTGTCACTTCAGCCACCCAGTTTGTGTTACTTTGTTGTGGCAGCCCAAGCAGACTAATCCAAGAGAGAAAGGAGATATTAGGAGACCACTAACAGTTGTTACCACAATTTCCCATCAATAGTATAATTCTAGTAATTTGTTCTCTGCAACGTTTCTCCAATTTGAACCTTCAAGTCTATTTTTCCTGCTGTTGCCTTACTGAGTAAGCTCTGTAAGTGGTCTTACTGCCTCCACGTTTGCATTTCCATGTCATCCTTATCACTGCCACTAGGATTATCTTCCTGAAAATATAGATCAGATTAGATTACTTCTCTCCTAAAAAATTGTCAGTGATTTCTCATGACCTGCAGGAAATCTCACTCCCTTAGCATGGCATTCAACATCCTCTGTGGTTTGGCTGACCTTAACCCCGTTTTTGAACTTCTGTAACTGCATCTTTCTAAATAATTATGTATTCCGTTATTATAGGAATACATATTTTCTCCCAAAACTCAGCATTTACTTTTACTTTTCCACACCCTTCAAGCACTAATGATTCATATTACCTTCTCCATCTGCTGAAATTCTACTCATCTTCCAAGGGCCAGCTCTGGTTGAAATTCTATAATAATGCCTGCATTTGCATAGTACTGTGCCATCTAGAAAGCACTTTCACATTATACTAAATGCAATCATGGCATCTTCTCAAGATGTCTGTGGCATCTCAACCCTTGGGCATTCCTGCACAATGACCATCCCCCATATAATAGGAATTGCCCTGGGATGCTCTTCACATCCAAGTAGCCAATCCATAGGTGAGGCAGTTATCAGCAGGCATTCCCTCTCTTGTGTAAGATGGAAATCTTATTTCCCAATAGTTTGAGATATGTGAAGCAGCTAATTAAACTATCCTCTTTGTACCCAGACTCTGTCCATAGAAGGCAAGGCTTTGGGGAAATTGATAGCCTCTGCACAAAGCAGTATTACAGAAATGTGGAATGCAGGGATGATAGGATGGGTTGATACTTCTTACCATATTAAGTAACTTTTTCCCTTGAATTAAAGGCAGCTAAAATGCCTGCAGTCCATTTATTGGGCCCCTGTGTTAGTCATCCACAGAGGTAGTTGAAAGTCAGTTTTAGAAACTAGCATAATAAACATCCAGCACAAAAGAGGAGTGCAACAAAATTAAACTAAGCACCATTATTTAGTTTTCAAGAGACATGGGATTTGCCATGAGAGATGTTAGCACCAAGCTGCCCTGCCAAGTGCCAAAAGCCAGTTTAAATTATCTGTGACGCTAGCCAACTGAGAGCCCAGAGGACTCCAGCTTCCCTCGCCCGAGAGAAGACCTTAGCAGGCCTGTCAGAACCAAAGCTTGTTCTGACACCTTGTTCCCCCAGGAGCTCAGCATCCGGTTTCCATTCCCCTCAAAACTTCACCTGTCAAAAAAAAGCAGATGAATGGCTCACATCACTGATGTCTAGGCTGTGGCTGTAGAAGATGATCAGACCCACAAGGACGTTTAGAAGATTACCTGGAATACAGTGAGGTGGCTGGGCCAAGCCATGATTCTGAGTCAAGTCAGAATCTGCTGGAAGGACTGCTGAGAAATATTTTATTAGTGTAGTCCTTTTCTTTCCCTGTTTTTTGAATTCACTGTGCGTATCATGGCTGGAGGTGCAGTTGCCATCTTGTAAGCGTGAGAGAAAGAACAGAGAATTTCATAGATATTTGCCCTGATATCAATAACCTGCTGAACCAAGTGGGCAGTTACCACCTTCCAGACTTCTTGTGATTTAAGAAAAACAACCCCCTATTTGTTTAAGCCAATGGAGTACAGTGTTCTCTTATGTGCAGCAAAATGGTGGTACAAAGAGATATGTGGGGTTATTTCCTGGTATTCAATTTTTTTTTTTTTTTTTAATGAGACGGAGTCTCGCTCTGTTGCCGGACTGGAGTGAGTGCAGTGGCGTGATCTCGGCTCACTGCAACCTCCACCTTACAGGTTCAAACAATTCTTCTGCATCAGCCTCCTGAATAGCTGGGACTACAGGTGCCCGCCACCACGCCCAGCTGATTTTTGTACTTTCAGTAGTGACAGGGTTTCACCATGTTGGCCAGGATGGTCTCAATCTCTTGACCTTGTGATCTGCCTGCCTTGGCCTCCCAAAGTGCTGGGATTACAGGCATGAGCCACTGAACCCCAGCCTTTTTTTTTTTTTTTTTTTTTTTATGTGATGGAGTCTGGCTCTCTTGCCCAGGCTGGAGTACAATGGTGCAATCTCAGCTCACTGCAACCTCTGCCTCCTGGGCTTAAGCAATTCTCCTGCCTCACCCTCTTGAGTAGCTGGGATTACAGGCATGCACCACCTCGCCAAGCTAATTTTTGTATTTTTAGTAAAGATGGGGGTTTCTCCATGTTGCCCAGGCTGGTCTTGAACTCCTGACCTCAGGTGATCCACCTGCTTCGGCCTCCCAAAGTTCTGGGATTACAGGCATGAGATACCGTGCCCCGCCTTTATGATTATCCTTTTAAAAAGTGCTGAACTGACTGGGTGTGGTGACTCACGTCTGTAATCCCAGCACTTTGGGAGGCCAAGGTGGGTGGATCACTTGAGGTCAGGAGTTCGAGACCAGCCTGGCCAACATGGTGAAACCTCATCCCTACTAAAAATACAAAAAATTAGCCGGGCGTACTGACACATACCTATAATCCCAGATCCCAGCTACTTGGGAGGCTGAGGCAGGAGAATTGCTTGAACCTGAGAGGCAGATGTTGCAGTGAGCTGAGATCACACCACTGCACTCCAGTCTGGGTGACAGAGCCAATCTCTGTCTCAAAAAATAAATAAATAAAATAAAATAAAAAGTGCTGAATTATAAGATAGTGGGCTAGTCTTAAGGAGACCAGGATTCAAATTTTATGCATTTTTTAAAAAATAACAAACACGCATCTAATACTATGGGTCAGGCTCTGAGCTTTACACTTTACAAATTTTAACTCATTTTATCCTCTTTGAGGATGGTTACTATTATCTCCATTTTACAAAAGAGGAAATGGAAGAACAGAGTAAATTAGATAAACTGCCCAAAGTCACACAACCTGTCAATGGCAGAGCTAAGATAGGAAACCCATGCATTTTGGTTCTTAAACATTACACTGAGCTGCTTGATAGGTAGTCAGTGCATATCCTATCCTAGGTTCTGATTCACATTCATATCGGGCAGAAACAATGCCTATATTTCAGCATCTCTGTAGACATAATTGTCTGATTCATAAGGATGAGAAAATTCTAGATAATAATTCCAAGAGTCACACATCATTTCATAATTTTTGTAGACTTTCCATGTATTGACAAGCTTTTTGTTATCATTTGGCAATGCCATTTTATTTTATGATATCTGAGCCATCTGGTGTTACCTTTCTTCTTGAAATGAATGCTTCATCAAATTCCTATGTATGCTCCATTTCCCCATTATTTCTTTCACGTAAATTACATTCCATCATTAGATTCATCCAAGAATTATATTCATTTTCATTTATTTGCTGGAATTTTAAGCAAATTTTAATTTGCCAGATGTCCCTTTAGGTTTTACTTAAATTGATTAATTATTTTTGTTCAAAATCCTCTTTCTTTCTACCTTAATATATGTCAGAGGCCAGACATCTTTATATTGATAGATGCAGAATGACAGAATCTTCTATGGAGAAAAACTTAGAGATCATCTAGCTCAGGTCTTTCATTTTATAAATGATGAAACTGAGGCTCAGAAGAGTTAAATTACTTTCCTAACATCACAGTCAGTTGGTAGTGATGACAGCGGGGGAGCCAGAAGCAGGCAGGGTCTGCCCTCCTGGGTGCCGCTGCAGCTGCCCGACCTGCAGCTGCAGACCTGGTTGTCCCACTCCATCCACAGAGCAGGCAGGAGCCGGGGACAAGTTGGAGACCTGCCCCTTCCGAGTTGGTGGAGCAGGAGCTCGCTGGGTGCAGCTGTGACTGCCCTCCCAGGTGCAGGACCTAGGCGTCTCTGTAGCCTGCATCCCCAGGGGCCTGGGAAAGCCCCACCCATTCAATTTCTGCTGGCTCGGGGATGTCCACTCCCACTGCCTGGCCTCTCTCCTCTCCTTGTGCTTGCTCTAATCTCAGAGCCGGGTTGGGACTGAGCCCCAGGACTATGAATGGCAGGAGAGACAGACAGATTCCTGGGCGGAAGGGGATGGGTCCCCAGTAAGGCCCCACCTTCAAGCCAAGGAGGGCCTGAAGGCTGAGGGCCAGGCTGCCAGTCCTGCAGACTGGAGTAGGGACTTGTGGTGCCTCCTCCAGGCCCACCCATGGCCACCCATGGACCAATCAGCACGCACTTACTCCCCTCTGAGGTCCATAAAAGCCCCAGCTCAGCAAGAGCAGGGCAGAGGATGGAGAGAGGATGGGAGGACCAGCAGCATAGAGGAGCTACCCTCTCAGGGCCTCCTCTCTGCTGAGAGCTGAACATTCCGCAAGATGACCTGTCTATGGAGAGGAATTACCCACTGTGGGTTTCCTCCGAGCTGTTGTAACACTCAATAAAGCTTCTATTCATCTTGTTCACCTTCCACTTATCTGGTACCTCATTCTTCCCAGATGCAGGACAAGAACTCAGGCAAAGGCTCCACTGGCCACAGAGGTTTCTGGCCAGAAAAACAACACCCCAAAGATCCTGCAACAACAGTAGCAGAGCTGGGTCTAAACTTTTATTAGGGTAGCTTTTCTTTTCTTTTTGTTTGAAATAATAAACTATTTTTAGAGCAGTTTTAGGTTTACAGAAAAATTGAGCAAAAAGTAGAGTTCCTGTATTCCCGTATATTCCATCCCCACCAACTGCCCCACCTTGCATAGTTTACCCTAATATCAATTTGTTGCATTAGTGTGGTACATTTATTATAACCAATGAACCATATTGAATTATCATCACTAACTAAAGTCCATAGTTTACATTAGAGTTCACTGTTTGTGTTGTATAGTTCTAAGGGTTTGGACAAATATATAATGTCATATATTTACTATTAGTGTATGATACAGAATGCCCTAAAAGTCCACTATGCTCTGCATCCCTCCCTCCCTTTCCCTGGGACCCTGGAAACCACTGATCTTATGACTGTCCTATTGTGTTGTCTTTTCCAGGTGTCATATAGTTGGAATCATATTGTATATAGCCTTTTCCTACTAGCTTCTTTCACTTAGCAACATTTAATAGGTTCCTGCATTTAAGGTTCCTGCATGTCTCTTTATGGCTTGATAATTAACTAATTAGTTTTCATAGTTGAGTTAAATTCCATTCTATGGATGTATCACAGTGTCTTTATACCTTCACTTAAGAGCATCTTGGTTGTTTCCAAGTCTTGGCGCTTATTAATAAATATTTATTTGCAGGTTTTTGTGTGAACATAAACTTTCGATTCATTTGGATAAACACCAGGGAACACAATTGCAAGATCATGTGGTAAGATTATTTTCAGCTTTGTAAGAGACTGCCAAACTATCTTCCAAAGTGGCTGTACTATTTTGGATTCCCATGAGAAAAAAAATGAGAGTTCCTATTGCTCCACATCCTTATCAGCATTTGGTGTTGTCAATGTTGAATTTTAGCTGCCGTAATTAGTATATAGTAGTATCTCATTGTTATTTTAATTTGAAATTCCATGCTGAGATACAATGTAGAGTACCTTGTATGCTTATTTGCCATCTGAATGCCTTTTTTGGTGAGGTGTCTGTTCAGATCTTTTGCCTATTTTAAACTTAGGTTTGCTTTCTTACTGTTATTTTAAGAGTTTGTTGCATATTTCCTATACGAATTCTTCAACAGATATGTTTTGCAAATATTTTCTCCCAGTCTATGGCTTGCTTATCATTTTCTTAACAGTGTCTTTTGCAGAGCAGAAGTGTTAAGTTTATGGAAGTCTCACTTAAAATTTTTTTTTCATGGATCATGCGTTTGGTGTCTTTTCTAAAAACTCATTTTCAAACCCAAGGTCACCTTGATTTTCTCACTTTGATATTGTTATCTTCTAGAAGCTTTATATTTTTTCATTTTAAATTTATGTCTATGATCCATTTTGAGTTAATTTTTGTGAAGGTATAAGTTCTGTGTCCAGATTAATTTTCGTTACCACGTGGATGTCCAGCTGTTCCAGCATCATTTGTTTAAAAGACTATTTTTGCTCCATTATATTGCCTCTTCTTCTTTGTCAAAGGTCAGTTGACTATATTTATGTCAATTTATGGGCTCTCTGTTCTGTGATATTGATGTATTTATTTTTTTCTCTAATACCACAGCTGTTTTAAGGACTATACAGTACATTTTGAAATCAAGTAGTATCAGTCCTCCAAATTTTGTTTGTGTTAGCTTTCTGGTTCTTTTGCCTTTTCATATCAACTTTTGAAATAGCTTTCCAAAATAACTTGCTGATATTTAACTGGGATTGCATTGAATCTATATGCACAATAGAAAGAACTGACATTTTAACAATACTGAGTCTTCTTACCCATAAGCATGAATATCTCACAATTTATTTAGATCTCTGATTTCTTTCATCAAAATTTTGTAGTTTTCCTCGTGTAGATTTTATGCATATTTTATTAGACTTGTACCTAAATAGCTTATTTTTTTGGTGCTAATGTAAATGGTGTTTTGTTTTTGCTTTCCAATTCCATTCGTTTATTGATGTTTTATAGAAAAAAGTAGACTTTTGTCTATTAATCTTTTATCCTGTAGTTTTTTTAATCATTCATAAGTTCCAGAAGATTTTTGGTTTATTCTTTGGGATTTTCTGTTTACACAATCATGATATCTGTGAACAAAAACAGCTTTATTTCTTCCTTCCTGATCTGTATACCTTTTATTTCCTTTCTTACCTTATTGAATTAGCTAGGACTTCCAGTACAATGTAGAATAGGAGTGGTGGGAGGGGACATTATTGTCATATTCTTGATCTTAGGGAGAGAGTATTTAGTTTCTCACCATTAAGTATGATGTTAGCTATATGTTTTTTAAAGCTATTCTTTGTCAAATTGAAGACATTCCCCTCTATTCCCAGTTTGCTAAGTCTTTATTATGAATGCGTGTTGGATTTTGTGAAATGCTTTTTCTGCATCTATTTATATAATTATATGATTTCTCTTCTTTTACCTGTTGATGTGGTAGATTACATTAATTGATTTTTTAATGTTGAAGAAGCATGGCACACCTCAAATAAATCACACTTGATCATGTTGTATAATTCTTTTTCTACATTGTTGGGTTCGATTTGCTAATAATTTGTTGAGGAATGTTGCTTGTATTCATGAGAGATATTGCTCTGTAGTTTTTTTTTTTTTTTTTCCTTATAATGTCTTTTTCTGGTTTTGGTATCAGAGTAATATTGCCCTGATAGAATGACTTAAGAAGTAGTCTCTCTGCATCTATTTTATGGAAGAGATTGTATGGAATTTGTGTCATTAATTCCTTAAATGTTTCATAGGATGTACTAGTGATTCCTCCTGGCCTGGTTCCCTCTGTTTTAGAAGACATTAATTATTTATTCAATTTCTTTAATAGATATAGGTCTCTTTAAATTGTCTATTTCTGGTTCTGTGAATTTTGATACTGTGTCTTTCAAGGAGTTTGTTTATTTCACCTGGGTTATCAAATCTGTGGGCATAGAGTTGTTAATAATATTCCTTTATTATTATTTTAATGTCTGTGGGATCAGTAGTGATGACTTCTCTCTCATTTGTGATATTAGGAACTTGTGTCTTCTCTCTTTTTTCTTGACTAGTGGGACTGCAGACTTACCGAATCTATTGTCTTGTGAAAGAACTAGCTTTTGGTTTGCTGATTTTCTTTATTGTTTTCCATTTCATTGATTTCTACTCTAATTTTTATTATTTCTTCTGCTTACTTAGTATTTAATTTGCTCTTCTTTTTCTAATTTTCTAATTTGAGGGCTTAGATTACTGACTGATTTTAAGTGTCTCTTCTTCCCTAAATATGCATTTAATGCCATAAATGTCCCCCTAAGCACTGCTTTCCCTACATTCCATAAATTTGGATAAGTTGTACTTTCATTTTTTATTTAGTTCAAAATATTTTTCAATTTCTCTTAAGACTTCTTCTTTGACTCATTTGTTGTTTAGAATTGTGTTGTTTATGAAAACTATAAAAACTCTAGAAGAAAATCTAGGCAATACCATTCAGGACATAGGCACAGATAAAGATTTCATGACAAAAACACCAAAAGCCTTTGCAACAAAAGCAAAAATTGTCAAATGGGATCTAATTAAACTAAAGAACTTCTGCACAGCAAAAGAAATTATCATCAGAGTGAACAGACAACCTACAGAATGGGAGAAAAATTTTGCAATCTATCCATCTGACAAAGGTCTAATTTCCAGAGTCTACAAGGAGCTTACACAAATTTACAAAAAAAAAACAACATTAAAAAGTGGGCAAAGGACACAAACAGACACTTCTCAAAAGACGACATTCATGCAGCCAGCAAACATATGAAGAAAAGCTCAACATCACTGATGATTAGAAAAACGCACACTGGGTGCAATGTCTCTCGCCTGTAATCCCAGAACTTTGGAAGGCCAAGGCAGGCGGATCACTTGAGATCAGGAGTTCAAGACTAGCCTGGCAAACATGGCAAAACCCTGTGTCTACTGAAAATTAGCTGGGCATGGTGGCATATGCTTATAATCCTAGCTACTTGGGAGGCTGAAGCAGGAGGATCACTTGAACCCGGGAGGCAGAGGTTACAGTGAACTGAGATCACGCCAATGCTCTCCAGCCTGGGTGACAGAATGAGACTTGGTCTTAAAAAAAATAGAGAGAGAGAGAGAAATGCAAATCAAAACCACAATGAGATACCATCTCATGCCAGTCAGAATGGTGATTATTTAAAAAGTCAAGAAACAACAGATGCCAGCAAGGTTGTGGAAGAAAAGGAACCCTTTTACACTGTTGGTGGGAATGTGAATGTTCAATCATTGTGGAAGTGTGACGATTCCTCAAAGATCTAGAAGTAGAAATATCATTTGACCCAGCAATCCCATTATTGGGTATATACCCAAAAGATTATAAATCATTCTAATATAAAGATACTTGCATGCATATGTTCATTGCAGCACTATTCACAATGGCAAAGACACAAAATCAACCCACATGTCCATCAGTGATAGACTAGATAAAGAAAATGTGGTACATATACATTATGGAATACTATGCAGCCATAAAAAGGAATGAGATCACGTCCTTTGCAGGGACACGGATGAAGTTGGGAGCCATTATCCTCAACAAACTAACACAGGAACAGAAAACCAAACACCGTATGTTCTCACTTATAAGTGGGAGCAGAACGATGAGAATACATGGACACATGGGGAGGAACAACACACACAGGAGCTTGTTGAGGGGGCAGGGAGAGGGAGAGCATCAGGAAGAATAGCTAATGGAGTCTGGGCTTAATACCTAGGTGAGGGGTTGATCTGCACAGCAAATCACAATGGCACATGTTTACCTGTATAACAAACCTGCACATCCTGCACATGTACCCTGGAACTTAAACGCTGAAGAAAAAGATTACAAAAATAAAAAGAAAGAAGTATGTTGTTTAATCTTCAAATATCTTGCGATTTTCCTAGCTATTTTTCTGTTATCAATTTCTAGTTTAATTCCATTGTGGTCTTAGAGCATACTTCATATGAGTTCTATTCTTTTAAATTTGTTAAGGGGTGTTTGATAATCCAGAATTTGTTCTATCTTGGTGACTATTCTGTATGAGCTTAAGAAGAATATATATTCTGCTGTTGTTGGAGGAAGTATTCTATAAATGTCAATAAGATCTAGGTGATTGATGGTGCTGTTTGGTTCAATTATGTCATTACTTATTTCCTGCCTGCTGGATCTGTCAATTAGTGATAGAAGGTTGTTGACTTCCCCAACTAAAATAGTAGATTTATTTATTTCTCCTAGAAATTCTGTAAATTTTTGCCTCATGTATTTTAATGCTTTTTTGTTAGGTGCCTGTACATTAAGGGCTGTTATGTCTTCTTGGAGAATTGACCCCTTTACCATTATGTAGTACACCTCCTTATTCCTGATCATTTTTATGGTTCTGAAGTCTGCTTTGTCGAGATTAATATAGCTACTTCAGCTTCCTCTTGATTAGTGTTAGCTTGATATGCCTTTCTCTATTCCTTCATATTAATTTATCTGTATCATTATGTCTAAAGTGGGTTTCTCGTATACAATATATTGTTGGTTCTTGTTTTTTATCTACTTTGACAGTCTCTGTCTTTTAATTAGTATATTTAGACTATGTTTAAAGTTATTATTTATATAGTTGGATTTATATCTGTCTTATTTGTGAATAGTATCTATTCATTGCCCTTGTGCTTTGTTCCTTTTATTTTTGTTTTCCACTGTTTTTCTGACCTTCTGATTTTGATTGAGCATTTTATATTATGCCATTTTTTTCTCATCTCTTACCATATCAACTATACTTCTTTTTAAAATTTTTGTCAGAGGTTATCCTAGAGTTTAAAATACTCACTTACAAATAATCCAATTCTACTTTTAAGTAACACTATATCACTTCAAGGGTAGTGGAAGTATCTTATCCTTGAGTATTTCAATTTTTTACTTTCATGCCTTGTAACATTTCTGTCAGCCAGGCTCGGTGGCTCATGCCTGTAATCCCAGCACTTTGGGAGGCCAAGGCAGGTTGATCAAGAGGCCAAGAGATCGAGACCATCCTGGCCAACATGGTGAAACCCCATCTCTACAAAAAATACAAAAATCAGCCAGGCATGGTGGTGCATGCCTGTAATCCAAGCTATTTGGGAGGCTGAGGCTGGAGAATCGCTTGAACCTGGGAGGCGGAGGTTGCAGTGAGCCAAGATTGTGCCACTCCACTCCACCACTCCAGCCCGGGGCAACAGAGTGAGACTCTGTCTAAAAAAAAAAAAAAAGAAAAAAAAAAAGAAAGAGAAAGAAAGAAAAAAGAAAAGAAAAAAATGTTTTATTTTACCCTTATTTATTCTTTCTGTAACATTCTCCCTTTCCTGAATTATATCCTAGCCTATATGTTTTTCTTCTCTTTGAAGGACTTTTTTTTTTTTAACATTTCTTGCAAAGCACGTCTACTGATAACAAATTTCCATGATTTTTACTTGTCTAAAAGTATTACTTCTAACTTCTGAAGGATGACCCAGGACAGAATCCTAGGTTGGTGGTTTTTTCTTTCAACACCTTAAATATTTCACTCCGTGTTCATCTTGCTTGTATGGATTGTGACTTCAGGGTAATTTTGATTCCACTAAGTCCTAATTTTCATGAACAACTTTCAGTGCAATGATTTAGTATTTTTTAAATTTCATTTCCTTTCAAAAGGTCTCATTATAGTAATGTATAACCTCTTTGAAGTCAGAAAATACTATTTCTTTGTAGTCATTTTTCCTTCTCCCTTAATCATACAGGAGAAAGGAAAGAATAGAAAAGGTACTGAACTCCAGGTCCAAGTCAATCATCTTTGCTTCTCTCACATTGTCATCGACATTTACCCCAGCATTATCCTCATCGCTTCATCACTACTGCCACCCCAACCAATCTGCCTCCTCTGTATAAGTATAACCTTCTTATTCTATTTATCGTTTATGAACTTTTGCCTCCTAAAACGTACACACTATGGGTCTTCAAGAGAAAGGGCGATGCTTAAATAATACAAATAGCAGAAATCTGGGGGAAGATGTGGCCCTTAGGAGTTCTGGAGTAACTCAAAAAATTCATTGAGTGTCTTGGAGAGACTAATTGCTCCTTTTGTCTATAGGTTCTTAATCAGTGGAGAAGGGAGCCAGCTTGGAACCCAATATCAGTTCTGTTGTTGGTTAAGATGATTTAGAGAGTGTGACTTGGACCTCTGGCAAAAATGAATATATGTATGTAAAGCTATTGACCTCTCTTATAAGGGCGCAGCTTGACCCAGTAAGTTTACCCTGGGCAGAAGAGAAAAATGTATTTTGTGAGAATGTTCATCTGAAAGAGAATTTTAAAATAGGCTTTTTTTTCCCCATTTTCACCACTTAATCACTCTTCACCAAGAGTAGTGAGCATAGGAAGAAGGGTGTAAGTCTCCTTTTAATATTTTCAGAAGGTAAGAAGAAGTTCCTATTTCATGGATCAGCAAGAAATCAGAAAATTCTGGAAACAAAAACAAATACTGATCTAACCAGTAGAAACTGGGGAGATGTTACAACATTTGTATGGGATAGACTCATAGGAGAGGGGAAAATGGCACCTGAAACTTAACTCCAGGGCATACATTTTTTAAACCAAGATATACAGACCGTAAGAATTCATTTTCCTTATTCCTGTACATCACAACATTTTCAACCTTCCCAATTTAAAACAATAACAATCTAAGTTTTATAATGTATGGAGAAAGAACTTTATCAGTAGAAATAGAAGAGCTGAATACTACACCTTCATTAATTGTTACAGGTTGTCCCCCCCTATCCTATCCTTGAAGAATCTTGGGGTCTTGTCCAAGTCCCCTGCAGACTGTAGGGTTTGGATTTTATTACATTTTATTTCTGTCTTGAGTGTCTCTCCTGTATTTAAGACTAATAGGTACACATGCTTGGAATTATATGTCTACTATGAAGCGTGTTATTGCTCTTGTTTATTGTTTGTCTCTTCCTACTACAATGTAATCTCCATAAAGATGAGGAGTTTGATACTTTTTTCACTGACAAATCTCCTATGCTTAACACATAGCTGATATGAAGTGACTGAATGAAAGTGAAAGAAGAAAAAATTGTGAAGCAATGAGAAAGCGTGTGTTGCATCTTGTGGCCCTGTTTAATATAAGAAAAGAGAGGGCTGATAATATGTGTCAATGCACACAGGGAGTGAGCTGAAATATTTGCAGGATCTTAGCAGAGGTATGATTTCAAATACTCAGTGCTAGAATGGGGAACCTGTACCACTTCTCTAATTGCAACAATGATGAACTTAACTATTTATCCTTTATTCACATAAATCTAATTTACATTAATCAAATTCACCTTAATTCATTTTTACGGGATCTGAAAATATATAGAAACCAATTCCAGAACTTCTGCTTCCAACAATGGTAGAAAACATGTTTTGGACTAAGAATAAACAATAAAGTGGTATAAAATATTTTTTTAAATTCATTAAGGGCAACAGAGAGAATTTCTATTTCCAGAAAGGATATAGTCAGTGTGGCAGGCCAACACTTGGACTAACAACGAGAAAAACCTAGGTAAATTATATATTTATAAAGGAATCAGAGGGTTTTAAAAACAAGAACTAAATGGATTAAAATTCCAGAGAAGTGAGAACTTTCCAGTAATGACTTGATGATGTCCACAATTTTTTCCTCTTGGCAAAATTGCCAGGTTGGAGTGCAGGCTAAGGATGAGGCTGAGTCCAGGCAGAAAGATGCAGCTGCGGAAAAAAGTTAAACTAACAAAACTTTTAGCAGTTATATGGGGCTTTGGTGACTCACTGAAGGTGTGAGAAACCCTAAATACATGATTAAGACATTAACTGAATTCTGAGACTGTATGGAGGCTAAAACAGTAGTCCCCAAACTTCTGAAATGCAAAGTGAAGTCCCCCACAGTGTCATGGTGCTAGAGAATCAACGAACTGCTATGGAAAAGAGGAGCCCCAAAACAAAAGAAGTAAAATATAAAAACATAAGAGGGAGTAGGGAATTGACATTGGTAATTTACAGGTGGTTTTTTGATGGGAATATTTACAGATTCTGAGCAAAGCTACAGGCTGTCCCTCAAAGAAAACAACAAAAGAGATCTCTATTCTTCACAGAAGACTATAGAGTGTCCCAAACACATTGCCAGTCTTCCTTTCAAGCGAGTTGCTGAATTTTGAAGCTTTATGGAGCAGGAGGTTAAAGAGCTAAACTGAAAACTTGCTGTTATCTTTTAGGGCTGGAAGACAGAGATCCACCAGGCTCTCAATTGAAAGCCCTGGAGGGCTACACCCTAAGAACAGAAGTGAATCGGAGGTACACTTAGCAAAACTGAAACCAGCTTCTGATTCAGAATAATCTCTGACTCGATTGAGGTGATCAAAGGCTATTCTACCTGCCCAACAGAAGAAAAAGGGAACACTTTCGGTGGAAGGCAATATCATCTGGACCCTTTATGGTTTTATTATACATAATGTCTAACATTTTTTAAATTACTAGATGTGGAAGATCAAGTTCATTTGCCCAATAATCAAGAGAAAAAAACACACACAATAGAAACACAATTATAGATGATCAAGATATTGTAATCAGCAAATGAGAATTTACAAATAATTTTTATGAATATGTTTAAGAAAATAAAGTGCAAAATTGATGAGGAAATGGACAATTTTCAGTAAAACTAACCTATAAAAAAGATTTCTTTAGGCATTCTAAATTTGAAAAAATATACTATCGTCAGTTAAGAAATCAATATATGGAGAAAACTGCAGTGGAAAGGATCAGTAGAGATAGCAGTGTGTCCAACAGCCAAGAAAGTAGGGTGGCGGGCATACAGATAGTGATGTGCATAGGGGCAAAAGAAGTCATAATGGGAAAGCCATGTGGAGGCAGCAGAGTGCCTGGTGTCCAAGGAAGCATGTATAGGGGGTACATATGGTGGCAGTTGTATGCTCAGCAGAAGAAGCACCAGGGAGGTGAAGGTAAGAGTAAGTTGGGGTGCACAGTTAACAATGTGTCTAACAGCCAGAAGGTGGAGACAGGGGCATGGAGGCAGTGGCATATCAAACAGACCAGGGTTTGGTGGGGAGAAGAGTTCAAAAGTGACAACTTGCCTGGAGATGAAATCAGGAGTGATGAGTTGGCCATGGCAGTACCTAGCATTTTTAGGAAATTAATTATGTAAAGGAGGATTGATCAAGAAAGTATCTATATTGAAGCTAATGGAAGCTGGATTTCTCTCTGTGGGAAAACAAATTTACAAATATGAAAAGGGGAAGCGAAAAAAATAACTCATTGCTATTGTTATGGTAAGAAGGAAGAAGGAAGGAAGGAAAGAGCAAAAGGAAGGAAAGAAGGAAAGAGTGAAAGGGAAGGGAGGAAAGAAACAAAAAAAATTATCAATGCAAGTGAATATGTCTGTGTACATATCCATGAATACATACATATATTTCAAAATTCTGACCATGGAGAGGACCTAGGTGCAATGACACCCCAGTAGCAATTAATAACAAGTATGTAGGTTCCAATTTCCATAACAAACAACAAGGACTCCTTGTAAAAGTGGATGATTCAAGGATGGAGGTAGAGAAATTTCAAGATAAGCCTGGAACGTTGGATAATAATGAACTGTGGTTTGAATGCTGGTATTTATCGCTGTCCATTTTCTGATTTGAAAGGCTTGGCAATTACTCTGTAGGAGAGTGTCTTTGGGAGAAGTAGTAATAGGAATATTTACAGATGATAGGACATAAAGGTTTCAACTTGCTTAACTTGCTCTCAAAATATTCAAAAAAGGTATCATATCCTTGAAAATACACATCTATCTATCTATCTATCTATCTATCTATCTATCTATCTATCTATCATCTTTACAAAAAGAGATGGAGAAAATATGAAACTATTAACTGAGGAATCTGGATGAAGAGAATGTGGGAGTTCATTCTACTGTTCTTGCAACTTTTCTGATAAAAATATTTCAAAGTAAATTATTTCAAAATTAAATTTAAAAACTCAATATATGAGTTTAACAATAGGTTGGACACTATTGAATACAAGACTTGTGAACTGGAAACATATCAATGAAAAATATACAAAGTGAAGCATGGAAGAAAAAAAGAAAGAGAAAAAATAAGAAACAAATGTAAGAGACATACAGGACAAGTATGAAAGGTCTACCATGTAAAACTGAAGTTTCAGAGGGCAAGGAGAAAGAAATAGAGCAGAAGCAATATTCAAAGGGATAATGGTTGGGAATTTTCTAAAGCAGATAAAATACATTTAACCCACTGGTTAAGAAGCTCAGCAAACCCTCAAGCAGGATAAGTATAGAGAAAACCACAATTATGCAACTCACAATAAAACTGCTGAACCAAAGACAGAGAAGATGGAAAAACCAGCCAGAAGAAAAAAGACACATTATCTACAAAAGAGCAACAATGAGACTGGCAGCTGTCTCTAATAGCAACAATAGAAGCCAGAAGATAATGGAATGCTATCTCTAGAGTACTGAAAGAAACTAAAGGCCAACGTGTGAAAAACAATCTTCAGAAATGAACGTTAAATGATGACATTTTCAAACAAACAAGCAACAAAAAGAAGCAAAAAGTAAACAAAAAACAAAAATTCACATAATTTATTGCTAGGAGTTTTACACTGAAATGCTGAAGGGATTTCTACTAGCAAAAGTAAAAATGATCTCATTTGAAAAGATGGAAATTCAAGGAGGGAATGAAGAATACTGGATGGGTAAATGTGTTGGTAACTGTAAATGAATACTGACTACACAAAATTATGTTGAATAACTGAAAGATGAAAACACAATCACTTGAAGGAGAAATGTATGGTCAAACTGCATGCAGGAAAAACTTCTATAAAAGAGTTACTTCATGCTCTGGGTTGGCAGATACAATGAGCAGGAGTGCATCAGAAGTAATCAAGAAGGTGATTAGTTGGTGTACTTCAGCAGGAGCAACCAGATGAATTGGCTTCTCTATATCCCCGTATTAGCCACAAGCTAGGCAGCAGCCTGCAGGTGGGAGCAATGCCTATGCATGTATGGATCAGTGTGCTACATACAGTAAGTACAGGATGGTACCAGTTCCTGGTGAGAGGACACAGATGAATAGAAAAGAGACTGAAATGATATACAATAAGCCAGTAACTAATGTTGCCACTAGAGATGGGGTTAGAGGAAATAGTTTTGTCTACATTATATAAATCTTTCACAATAAAAATGTATTCATGTGCTACTTGTATAATTAGAAATATATTTGAAAATGAATAATTTTGTATAGGAAATATATGTTTGACTCCATGCAATAAATACTGACATCAGCATCAAAATAAAGCATTTCTAAAAATCACCTGGAAATAAAAATAGTCTTCTAGATAACTCTTGTATCAAAGAGGAAAAAAGAATCCTGATAACATAATATAATCTTGTGAATTGTAACCAAATCTTACCTTATGAAAAATTTTGTTTAAAATAACATAAATGTATAACTCAGGAAATTAAAAAGAAGAAAATAAATCAAAAGAAAGTAAAAGAATGTAAAAGCAATGACTTAAACATGAGAAAGCCAAACATTACAATTTATTGATAAAAACAGTGATCTTGTATTTGAAAAGTTATAAAAACAAAACAAACCAATCAATCCCTAGCAAGTCTAGCCAAAGGAAACCTAAGAGAACACAAATACAATATTAGAAAACAGAAAAGGTATAACCAAAGGAAATTATAATTTTTAAATAAAATTTTTGTACTTTTCTGAGTATAAAATTTTAAAATAGATATTTTTAAGGAAACTACAAACAACCAATTTGCCTGAATAAAATATAGGAAGCCAAAATAGATCAATATCCATAGAAAAGTTGAAACTTTTGTAAAAAAAATACTGTAAAATGGCTCTGGGCCATGTTCATTTTCTCAGAAATTTTTACCAAATACTGACGAATAGTTAAGTTCTGTAGTACTTAATTGTTACAAAGCTATAGAAATCATAACTTTGATACAATAAACCTGATAAATATGTCACAAAACCATGGGCCAATCTATCTAATAAGCACAAATAAAAAGTCTGTTATGAAATATCAAATCCAACAGTATACTAAAAGAGCAATACACTTTACCTGATCAAATTTATTCAAGAGTACAAAAATTGTTCAAATTTAGGAAATATGCTAATGTAATCTTGGTAGATGCTAAAGGACATTTTATAAATGTTAACGTTACTTTTGATTAAAATTCCTGGTGTGCCAAGGGAAAAGCAGACTTTCTTAACTTGGTAACAAGTATTTTTTAGAAATCCAAAGCCAATATAATACTTAATAATGAAATACCAAAAATAATCACATTAAAGTGATAAATAAGAGGACATGGGAGCACAAGAAGAAAAACCAGGGACTCTTCCAAGATGGCCTAGTAGGAACTCCGGTCTGCAGCTCCCAGTGAGATCGATGCAGAAGATGGGTGATTTCTTCATTTCCAACTGAGGTATCTGGTTCATCTCATTGAGACTGGTTGGACAGTGGGTGCATCCCACAGAGGGCTAGCCGAAGGAGGGTGGGGCGTCGCCTCACCTGGGAAGCACAAGGTGTCAGGGGATTTCCCTTCCCTAGCCAAGGGAAGCCATGAGAGACTGTGCCAGGAGGAACAGTACGCTTCTGCCCAAATACTGCGCTTTTCCCATGGTCTTCACAACTGGCAGACCAGGAGATTCCCTCCAGTGGCTCGCTCAGTGGGTCCCATGCCCATGGAGTCCAGCAAGCTAAGATCCATTGGCTTGAAATTCTCACTGCAAGGGCAGCAGTCTGAAATTGACCTGGGACGCTGGAGTTTGGCAGGGGGAGGGGCATCCACCATTGCTGAGGCTTGAGTAGGTGGTTTTATGCTCATAGAGTAAACAAAGCTGTCGGGAAACTGGAACTGGGCGGAGCCCACTGAAGCTCAGCAAGGCTGACTGCCTCTCTAGATTTCACCTCTGTGGGCACGGCATATCTGAACAAAAGGCAGCAGCCCCAGTCAGGGAGTTACAGATAAAACCCTCGTCCCTCTGGGACAGAGCACGTGGGGGAAGGGGCAACTGTGGGCACAGCTTCTCCAGACTTAAATGTCCCTGGCTGACACCTCTGAAAAGAGCAGTGGCTCACCCAGCATGGTGGTCGAGCTCTGATAATGGATGGACTGCCTCCTTAAGTGGGTCCCTGACCCTCATGTAGCCTGCCTGGGAGACACTTCCCAGTAGGGGCTGAGAGACACCTCATTAAGGAGAGCTCTTGCTGGCATCTGGTGGGTGCCCCTCTGGGACAAAGCTTCCAGAGGAAGGATCAGGCAGCAATATTTGCTGTTCTGCAGCCTCCACTGGTGATACCCAGGCGAACAGGGTCTGGAGTGGACCTCCAGCAAACTCCAACAGATCTGAAACTGAGGGACCTGACTGTTAGAAGGAAAACCAAGAAACAGAAAGGAATAGCATCAACATCAACAAAAAGGACATCCACACCAAAACCAACATCAAGACCAAAGGTAGATAAAAGACCAAAGGTAGATAAAACCACAAAGATGGGGAGAAACCAGAGCAGAAAGGCTAAAAATTCCAAGAACCAGAAAGCCTCTTCTCCTCCAAAGGATCACAACTCCTCGCCAGTAAGGGAACAAAACTGGACGGAGAATGAGTTTGATGCATTGACAGAAGTAGGGTTCAGAAGGTGGGTAATAACAAACTTCTCCGAGCGAAAGGAGCATGTTCTGACCCATTGCAAGGAAGCTAAGAACCTTGAAAAAAGGTTAGAGGCATGGCTAACTAGAATAAGAATAACTAGTGTAGAGAAAAACATAAATTACCTGAGGGAGCTGAAAAAAACAGCACGAGAACTTCATGAAGCATACACAAGCTTCAATAGCTGATTAGATCAAATGGAAGAAAGGATATCAGTGATTGAAGATCAAATTAATGAAATAAAGTGAGAAGACAAGATTAGAGAAAAAAGAATGAAAAGAAATGAATAAAGCCCCCAAGAAATATGGGACTATGTGAAAAGACCAAATCTACATTTGATTGGTGTACCGGAAAGTGACGGGGAGAATGGAACCAAGTTAGAAAACACTCTTCAGGATATTATCTAGGAAAACTTTCCCAACCTAGCAAGACAGGCCAAGATTCAAATTCAGGAAATACAAAGAATACCACAAAGATATTCCTTGAGAAAAGCAACCCCAAGTCATATAATCATCAGATTCACCAAGGTTGAAATGAAGGAAAAAATGTTAAGGGCAGCCAAAGAGAAAGGTTAGGTTACCCACAAAGGGAAGCCCATCAGACTAACAGTGGATCTCTTGGCAGACACCCTACAAGCCAGAAGAGAGTGGGGGCCAATATTCAACATTCTTAAAGGAAAGAATTTTCAGCGCAGAATTTCATATCCAGCCAAACTAAGCTTCACAAGGGAAGGAGAAATAAAATCCTTTATAGACAAGCAAATGCTGAGAGATTTTGTCACCACCAGGCCTGCCTTACAAGAGCTCCTGAAGGAAGCACTAAATGTGGAAAGGAACAACGGGTACCAGCCACTGCAAAAACATGCCAAATAGTGAAGTCCACTGATGCTATGAAGAAACTGCATGAACGAACGGGCAAAATAACCAGCTAGCATCATAATGACAGGATCAAATTCACACATAATAATATTGACCTTAAATGTAAATGTGCTAAATGCCCCAATTAAAAGACACAGACTGGCAAATTGGATAAAGAGTCAAGACCCATCAGTGTGCTGTATTCAGGAGACCCATCTCGTGTGCAAAGACACAAATAGGCTCAAAATAAAGGGATGGAGGAAGATCTACCAAGTAAATGGAAAGCAAAAAAAAGCAGGGGTTGCAATCCTTGTCTGTGATAAAACAGACTTTTTTGTATTATTATACTTTAAGTTCTACGGTACATGTGCACAAAATGCAGGTTTGATACATAAGTATACATGTGCCATTTTGGTTTGCTGCACACATCAACTTGTGGCACTATTCACAATAACAAAGATAAAACAGACTTTAAACCAACAAAGATCAAAAGAGACAAAGAAGGCCATTACATAATGGTAAAGGGATCAATTCAACAAGAAGAGCTAACTATCCTAAATATATATGCACCCAATACAGGAGCACCCAGATTCATAAAGCAAGTACTTAGAGACCTACAAAGAGACTGTGACTCCCACACAATAATAGTGGGAGACTTTAACACCCCATTGTTAATATTAGACAGATCAACAAGACAGAAAATTAACAAGGATATCCAGGACTTGAACTCAGCTCTGGACCAAGCAGACCTAATAGACTTCTACAGAACACTCCACCCCAAATCAACAAAATATACATTCTTCTCAGCACCACATCGCACTTATTCTAAAATGGACCAGGAGAAGTGTTTGGAAGTAAAACACTCCTCAGCAAATGGAAATAACAGAAATCACAACAAACTGTCTCTCAGACCACAGTGCAATCAAATTAGAATTCAGGATTAAGAAACTCACTCAAAACCACTCAACTACATGGAAACTGAACAACTTGCTCCTGAATGACTACTGGGTAACTAATGAAATGATGGCAGAAATAAAGATGTTCTTTGAAACCATTGAGAATGAAGACACAACGTACCAGATTCTCTAGACACATTTAAAGCAGTGGTTAGAGGGAAATTTATAGCACTAAATGCCAACAAGAGAAAGTAGGAAATATCTAAAATCAACACTCTAACATCACAATTAAAAGAACTAGAGAAGCAAGAGCAAACAAATTGAAAAGCTAGCAGAAGACAAGAAATAACTAAGATCAGAGCAGAACCGAAGGAGATAGAGACTCAAAAAAAAAAACCTTCAAAAAAATCAATGAACCCAGGATCTGGTTTTTTGAGAAGATCAACAAAATTCATGGACTGCTAGAAAGACTAATAAGGAAGAAAGAGAAGAATCAAATAGACGTAATAAAAAATGATAAAGGGGATATCACCACCAATCCCACAGAAATACAAACTACTATCAGAAAATACTATAAACACCTCTATGCAAATAAACTAGAAAATCTAGAAGAAATGGATACATTCATGGACACATACACCCTCCCAAGACTAAACCAGGAAGAAGTCGTATCTCTGAATAGACCAATAGCAAGTTCTGAAATGAGGCAATAATTAATAGCCTACCAACCAAAAAAAGTCCAGGACCAGATGGATTCACAGCCAAATTGTACCAGAGGTACAAAGAGGAGCTGGTACCGTTCCTTCTGAAACTATCCCAATCAATAGAAAAAGAGGGAATCCTCCCTAACTCATTTTAGGAGGCCAGCATCATCCTGATACCAAAGACTGGCAGAGACACAACAAAAAAAGAATTTTAGGTCAGTATCCCTGATAAACATCGATGCAAAAATCCTCAATAAAATAGTGGCAAGCCGAATCCAGCAGCACATCAAAAACTTATCCACCATGATCAAGTTGGCTTCATCCCTGGGATGCAAGGCTGGTTCAACACATGCAAATCAATAAACGTAATCCATCACATAAACAGAACCAACGACAAAACCCACATGCTTATCTTAATAGATGCAGAAAAGACCTTTGACAAAATTCAACAGCCCTTCATGATAAAAACTCTCAATAAACTAGGTATTGATGGGACATACCTCAAAATAATAAGAGCTATTTATGACAAACCCACAGCCAATATCATACTGAATGGGCAAAAACTGGAAGCATTCCCTTTGAAAGCTGGCACAAGACAAGTATACCCTCTCTCACCACTCCTATTCAGCATAGTATTGGAAGTTCTGGCCAGGGCAATCAGACAAGAGAAAGAAATAAAGGGTATTCAATTATGAAAAGAGGAAGTCAAATTGTCTCTGTTTGCAGATGACATGATTATATATTTAGAAAACCCCATCATCTCATCCCAAATTTCCTTAAGCTGATAAGCAACTTCAGCAGTGTCTCAGGATACAAAATCAGTGTGCAAAAATCACAAGTATATCTATACACCAATTACAAGCAAATAGAGAGTGAAATAATGAATGAACTCCCATTCACAATTGCTACAAAGAGAATAAAATACCTAGGAATGCAACTTACAAGGGATGTGAAGGAGAACTACAAACCACTGCTCAATGAAATAAAAGAGGACACAAACAAATACAAGAACATTTCATGCTTATGGATAGGAAGAATCAATATTGTGAAAATGGCCATACTGCCCAAGGTAATTTATACCTTCAATGCTATCCCCATCAAGCTACCACTGACTTCCTTCACAGAATTGGAAAAAACTACTTTAAATTTCATATGGGAAAAAAAAGGGCCCGCATAGCCAAGACAATTCTAAGCAAAAAGAACAAAGCTGGAGGCATCACACTACCTGACTTCAAACTGTACTACAAGTCTACAGTAACCAAAACAGCGTGTTACTGGTACCAAAACAGTTATATAGACCAATGGAACAGATCAGAGGCCTCAGAAATAATGCCACACATCTACAACCATCTGATATTTGACAAACCTGACGAAAACAAGCAATGGGGAAAGGATTCCCTATTTAATAAATGGTGCTGGGAAAACTGGCTAGCCATATGTAGAAAGCTGAAACTGGATTCCTTCCTTACACCATATACAAAAATTAACTCAAGGTGGATTAAAGACTTAAATGTAAGATCTAAAACCATAAAAACCCTAGAAGAAAACCTAAGCATTACCATTCAGGACATAGGCATGGGCAAAGACTTCATGACTAAAACACCAAAAGCAATGGCAACAAAAGCCAAAATTGACAAATGGGATCTAATTATACTAAAGAGCTTCTGCACAGCAAAAGAAACTCTTAGCAGAGTGAACAGGCAACCTACAGAATTGGAGAAAATTTTTGCAATCTATCCATCTGACAAAGGGCTAATATCCAGAATCTGCAAAGAACTTCAACAAATTTATAAGAAAAAAACAACCCCATCGAAAAGTGGGCAAAGGATATGAACAGACACTTCTCAAAAGAAGACATTTATGCAGCCAACAGACTTATGAAAAAATGCTCATCATCACTGGTCATTAGAGAAATGCAAATCAAAACTACAATGAGATACAATCTCTCACCAGTTAGAATAGTGATCATTAAAAAGTCAGGAAAAAACAGGTGCTGGAGAGGATGTGGAGAAATAGGAATGCTTTTACACTGTTGGTGGGAGTGTAAATTAGTTCAACCGTTGTGGAAGACAGTGTGGTGATTCCTCAAGGATCTAGAACTAGAAATACCATTTAACCCAGCAATCCCATTAGTGGGTATATACCCAAAGGATTATAAATTATGCTGCTATAGAGACACAAGCACATGTATGTTTATTGTGACACTATTCACAATAGCAAAGACTTGGAACCAACCCAAATGCCCATCAGTAATAGACTGGATAAAGAAAATGTGGCACATATACACCATGGAATACTATGCAGCCATAAAAAAGATGAGTTCATGTTCTTTACAGGGACATGAATGAAAGTGGAAACCATCATTCTCAGCAAACTATCACAAGGACAGAAAACCAAGCACCACATGTTCTCACTCATAAGTGGGAATTGAACAATGAGAACACATGGACACAGGGAGGGGCTCATCACACACTGGGGCCTGTAGGTGGGTGGGGGACTGGGGGAGGGATAGCATTAGGAAAAATACCTAATATAAATGACGGGTTGATGGGTGCAGCACACCAACATGGCACATGTATACCTACGTAACAAACCTGCACTTGGTGCACATGTACCCCAGAACTTAAAGTATAATATAAAAAAAATAGAGAATGCTTTCTATTAATACTTCTATTATTCAACAAGATTCTGGAACTTATGGACAATAAAAGAATATAAGGAAAGGAAAAAAGTATATATTGGTTGTAAAATGTATGATTATTTACCAAAAATTATATAACTACCTTGGAGTAAAATCAAGAAAACTGTCTGCTACAGCAACAGAAAGTACGAGAAAGCAGTTAATACAAGATTAATATACCAAAAATCAATAAAAGTTAGAAAATGAAGTGGGAAACAAGACTCATTAGTAATGCTAATAAACATACCTAGAAATAAATCCAATAAGAAAGATGCAAGATTTTCAGTTAAACACAAAAGAAAGACTAAAATAAATGAGGAAACATAACTACATTGAGGGAAGAGTATAAAGTAGTAAGTTATAATAAAATTATTGCAATTACAATTAAAAACCAAATTAAGCATTTTCAGAACCTTGAAAAATAAGTTTAAAATTTCATTTGGAATGTAATAAATAAGTTATAATGCTATGAGCAATGTGAAAATGATTAAGTCCTCATCTGTAATTTATTAAAACATATTATAAAATACAGCAATTAAAATACTCTGACACTAATAGAGATAAAAATCAATAGGTCAAGGAGTTATTCATAATAAAAAATAGACCTTGATATATATGAGCTTTACTATATAATAAAAGTGATATTTCATATTAGTGGAGAAAAGACATATTGTTCAATAAATGGGCTACAAAATTTTCCTACCCAATTGGGAAGAAATGAATCTGTATTCCTACTTCAGAACCATATCCTAAAAGGTCTCTAGATTGGTTAATGTTTTAAAAATAACAAAAATAATAAGTGTACCAGTGGAAAATAATTTTTATGTAAGGAACACCTTTCTAAACACATCAGATAAGTAGAAACCATAAAGAAAAAAATGAATGAAATGACTATATAAACAAGATAAAAGACAGATGACAAAATGAGGGAAATTGCAATGATACCCAATGTGTTAAAATTATCTTTCACAAATCTGTAAGATAAAGGAAAACACCACTACAGAAAATAAACAACAAATATGAACACAGAATTCACAAAGAACACAGATGATCATTAAAGATAGCTCTTAAAAAATACACAAACTCACTTATAATTAAGTAAAAAAAAATTAGACTAACAAAGACCAAAATGTATTACAAATTTACATTGTTAGGTATGATAATAGGAAAAAATATGGACTTTAATCATTCTTGATGGAAGCATACATTGATATATTTTGTCTTTCTCTTCTAGAAATTTATTATGCAAAAATATTTCTCCAAGTAATCACAGATATATGTATCATTATATACATCATTATATATGTATAATGATGCCACTTTTATTACAAGTGTGAAACTAATCCAAATGCCTATCATTGCGGGACTGGTTAAATAGATTATAATAACTCTGTATAATAGAGTGGAATACTATGTGGCTATTAAAAAGAATGAAATGACTCTGTGTATATTGATATGGAAAGATACCCAGTGTATATTGTTTAGTAAAAAGGCAAGTGCAAGTTACACATACACGCACAGTATGATATATTTTTTGTAGTATATTTGTGTACATATTTGCATAAACATAGTCCAAAAACTGGAAGGATATAGACCAATTGCGATCAGTGGTTTTCTCTCAGGCATGGTGTAAGGATGGGGTGGAGATTTCATTATTCCTTTTGAATAAGTTTGTTCAATGATGCCTATGTTGTTTGTATATAGAAAAAAATGAAAATGAAGAAGTATATGGTACAACTGGGGAACTCAAAGCCAAACTTGTGCCTAACTCTGACTTTAAATACCTGAAGAAAACAAATTTTGAAAGAAAATTCCTCAAGTTAGTCCTATATCTCTGGAATATGATAAATTTCACAGAGATTTTTACGTTGTTTTCTCCACACATTTCTCTGTGATGATCTGCGCTGCACTGCTTGATGGAGTCCAAAGGGTTTTGCCGATGATGAGGATGCCAGAGTGTGGCGCCAGAGAGTCACCAAGCCCCAAATTAAACTTAGGAGCTATGGCAAGGTAGGGCCCCCAACCAACAAATCCAGGAACCCAGGCCTATCATAACAGTAATCTGACCTGTCAAGCCCTATTTTCTTTCACTTCTAAATGCCTTTCCATTGTTCCTTGAACCACCCCTGGAGGCCACGTAAGATGACAGCAGCTGCTGTCAGGGAAACTGCCCCTGGTAGCTGTAGTTTGGGGATGGGATGGGTACAGAAGAGATGCTCTGAAGACATGAAAACACCTCTTTAATGTGGCAAGACACTGAATTGTAGGGAATGGAAAGAACATTAGCAATAAACTTTGGTAGCTGTTTTGGAACACAGACCACTTGGAATGGAAACAGAAATTCCCTCAGGGAAAATCATAGCAAGTAGACTGCAGCCACAAAATAAAGAACAGCCCAGAATATACAAATGAACATGTTTCTTCCTACACTAACTGTATATCTTTATAGCATCACCTTCAAGGCTAACATATTTCATTTCCTTTACTGCTTTATAATTCTTTGGAGAGCTAATTTTAAAAACAACTTTGCTGTTTACACTCTTAAAATTTTAGCACATATATGCAACTCAGAAAATTGGACTAGATGGGAGAAAATCCATATAGTAGCAAAATTATTTTATAAATTATTAACTGGCTGGCATTTTTATCTAAGTATGAGAATCATGAATTTTTTTCAGCATTTCCTTTTAAAGAGGTTATAAAGTTAAGCTGTAAAAGGATTCACATCAGTCCTGCTGAAACAATGGATGATAAAGTCCAAGCAAATAGCCATTGACACAAACTTGTCTTTGTCTTTATAGGAAGGGAAATTTCAAGAATAACTCTAGAAACAAAGTAATTTTTATAGAGTGAAGGCAAGACTGTGCATTAAAATGTGCTTTTTGTTAGGAGGTAGTCATGTGGATTGGCTCTGTGTCCCCACCCAAATCTCATCTTGTAGCTCCCATAATTCCCATGTGTTGTGTGAGGGACCCAGTGGAAGATGATGGAATCATGGGGGCTGGTCTTTCCCGTGCTTTTCTTGTGATAGTGAATGGGTCCCACGAGATCTGATGGTTTTAAAACTGGGAGTTTCCCTGCACAAGGTCTCTTTGTCTGCTGCCATCCACATAAAATGTGACTTACTCCTCCTTGCTTTCCACCATGATGTGAGACCTCCCCAGTCACATGGAACTGTTAAGTCCAATAAACCTCTTTCTTTAGTAAATTGCCCAGTCTTGGGTATGTCTTTATCAGCAGCATGAAAACCGACTAATACTGGTAGACTACTGGATCTAGGCCCAGTTTTGCTATTTATTAATAAATAGAATTGCATAGCTCATTTTGGGTAGCTTATCAAAATCCTGAACCTCCATTTCCTTATCAAAAGATAGAATTGAAGTAGATGGTGTCAAAGGTATGACAACTCTAAGCTTTTTATAACTATCAAATATAATTGTAGATTTTTAACAAAATGCAACAGGTAGAGAGAGAGAGATGAAAGAAGGAAGTAAGGGGATAAATTAAATTTAAAATGATGTCAAGCATTAATTTAAAAAGTAACCTTTATTGACTTGAAAGTAAATTTATTCTGTTTTTAAACACTATTTTAAAAATATGCTTTATTCACATTTATGAAATCATTTCTTCAATTAATATCATACCTGAAGTCATAGTACATGTTATTTTTTGTTATTGAACAATTTTTGTTATGCTATGATCTGAGTGTTTGTGCCTCGAAATTCAATAGTTGAAAACTTCTCTTATGTGACAGTATTAGGAGGTGAGACCTTTGGGAAATGATTAGATCATGAAGATGGAACCCTCATGAATAGGTTGTGCCTTTTACAAGAGGTCCAAGAAAGACCCCTTACCCCTTCCACCAAGTGAGGGTGGAAAAGATGCCTTCTGTGAACCAGAGTGGGCCCTCACCTGGTAGCAAATCTGCTGGCACCTTGTTCTTGAGCTTCCTGGCCTTCTGAACTATGAGAAATAAATTCCTATTGCATAGAAATCACTCAGTTTATGGCATTTTTGTTATAGCAGCCTGACTAGACTAAGACATTGTAGTATGTAAGCAAAATGGGCTCATTTTTATATATGACAGAGACAAAAAAACATAAAACATATTACTGGAAAGATACTAAAGCACTCAGATAAAATGAAATGGAAATGCTATTTTCTCCATGAGAAAACAAAAAAGAAGAGGAAGATAATAAGGTGCCTGATTTAAAAAAAAAAAAAAAACTTTTACTTTTGAATAGTTTCAGATTTACAAAAAAAAGTCGTGATGATAGTACAGAAGGTGGCTATATAACCTGTACCCAGTTTCTGTTATTGTTAACATACCACATCTCTATGATTCATTTTTAACAACTAGTGAATGGTTATTGACATATTTTAATTAACTAAAGACCAAACGTTATTCAAATATTTTTACTTTTTACCTAATAACCTCTTTCTGCCCCAGGATCCAATTCAGGGTGTGTGACATTACATTTAGTCATCATGTCTTCTGATTTCAGTCTGTATAATTCCCAGTTCCTCACAGCTGGGACTCCTGACATCCCATATACAAGAGCAACTCCACCCCTGTGTCAGGCCATATTTAAACTGTGCTAATCCCCCAGGCAGAAGCCTCAGTATCAAGTCCCATTCTTAATATCAAGTCCCATTAGGTTTGACCCCATACTAAAAGCTACCAAGTTAGCCAGTCAGTCCCAAATTACAGGCCTTCCATGTACTCTGTTCCAGCAGCTACTTTTCTGAGGCTAAGACCCCTTTGCTTTTAATCTGATCTAGGATCAATGTCTCCTGCTGAATTTGACTCCTATGCTCACACCCTAGTCACGCATCCTTCAGTGTCAGGCTCTTAAAAGAAGGTGGTCTTGTCTATAAGCTCAACCTTGCTATGTGCCACTGATTCTAAAGTTGAGCTTCTGCAGTAATCTAATTTAAGATCTTTGTTAAATAACCTATCTGGTTTTCCTCTCAGAAACCTAGGAGCTTGTTTTTCTTCCAGACAGATTTCCTGGTGGGTATTAGGATCCTGTCCTGGAAATCCAGTCTACCAGCTAAGGCCTTGTTTCGCCATGGACACCTGCACCACCTGTCCTTAGGACCCACATGATCACTGGTATCATGTCATGGATCTCCACTCTCAGCCCAGTCCTCTGAAACACATGCCAAGTAGTTCCTATATGAAATGAATGACTGGTCAGGGGCCATCATGATTATACTCAACAACTGTGATTGTACTCTACAAATTTTCTCTGAGTAAATGCCCATGGGCCAAAGCCCAGGTCATAAGCCTTGGAACCTGAGTCAGCTTCCTAGGGGACAGAGTGGCTCCCTCTCCGGTCAGGCCTGGCTCTGCCCTGCCCATTCTCACAGGGAGCCATCAGTCACACTCTCCAAATGAAACAGTCTTTTAACTGAACAACTCAGCAAAAGGGGGAAACTCAGTTTTTGTCTAAATGAAAGAAAATTGAGGACCATTTAGAGGCCATTTCCTGACTTTATCTAAATATAAGTTAAATTCTACACTGCATTTGGTAACGGATAAGCTTTGTTTGCAGCTATAGAAGTCATGATTGTTAAATTTGGTCAAGATAAACCATTTACTTTAGCTCTTTTTATTTGACATGACCCTGATAAGATACAAATTTGAAAACCACATAAAACATTTGGAAATACTAAAACATTGATTATGTAAATTTAAAATTTTATTCATATAGGGATCCTTCTTCCAGCAAAAAAAATTTAATTTTAAAAATCTTAGTTTTTTTGTTTACCCAATTGTCAAAATCAGATTTATCAGCTAGCATAAATCATAATTCCTATAACAGTTTCACAAAATAGGCTAGGTTTATAAACACAATCTATAGGGTGCTTTTTCTTATATTCTATTCATTTTAATTTTTAATTGATGCTTATTATTTAATAATGTTATTCTTTGTTATTATTGACACCTTTGAGTTTAAGTACTCTGTAGTCTAGACAGGATACACTTATTGATACTGTAAATAATAGATAAAGGATTAGTGTGCAATTTACTGTTAATGTGATTGATGGATTCGATTCTCCACTGTAATACTTCTCCATTCTTATTTTAGCTCCAATGCCAACGGTCTTGATCATTGGACAATGCCTATAATGACTGCATGAAAATGAACGTGGTTCTTCATATTTCTTAAATTTGTTCTTTTGGTCTTGTCGTTTCATAAAAATTGTGTTACGAATGGAATGGTACAAAATGGAGCTTCAAATCAGGATCTGTTTTGCTGTTGTACTGCCTTGCTATATACAATTTATTTTTCAGAGGTGGAATCTTGGGTTTGTTTAATGGAAGGTGTGAAGTCAGAGAAATGAGAATAGAAGTAGCTTTTCATGGCTGTGTTTACTGAGGTGAGGCAGAATGACAGAGTGGACCTTGTTCCTCCTCCTGTGCAATTCACAGAGCTTATAGGAGGTGACCCTGAGGCCGAGGCTGAGATTTCAGGTGAACCTCTGAAAGGGTGAAAAGGCATTCTGCCCAGCAGGCAACTATCCATGCATCACCCTTAGTCATATTAATATTAAAAGAAATCCAGCATATACCTGAGAACATCCTTGCTTTATCTCTGTCGAGAACAAGACACAAAGAATAGGCTTAATTGCAGATATTTTACATGTCTGTATATGAATTTTTAATTGCAATGAGAATGGGATTAAAATTAGAAAAAAATATCGCTGATTACAGGTTATAAAGTATTAAGCATACTCAGTTTCTAGATCTTGATTTGTAATACTATTCTCCAATAAAAAGCATCAGGTTCTGTGGAGAAACGGCCGATTCTAGGAATGGGGCAGAAAATATACAAGACAAGTCTGCAGCATCGTGTAGTGTCATCAAATAAGGAAATGCTAAAAACAAAACAAAAACGGAGTATGTTAAAGGAATATAGAAGCCAACAGAAAGATATTCCAATGGCCCCAGCTGGGATAATTGGAGCAAGAAAATAAATAGTGCAGTATTACATTATATCCCAATGTATAAAACAAATATTCATGAGTTATTGAATAAATAACATGTACAAAAGAATTCCAAATAATTTGTATAGCTATTCCCTCAAAGATATGGAGAATAACTCCCCCTGCAACAACCCCCATAAGTATGGGCTGCACATAGTGACTTCCTTCTAAAGAACACAGCATGGAGGGAAGGGAAAGAGTAACTCTTATTGGAAAATAACTCTGCTTCAGCCACATAATCGCATTTGACATCATCCATGACAGGTCACGTTGACAGCATGAACCTTCGATGTGATGTGAGGAAAATGGCATTCTACCTCTGTGTTCTTCCTCCCCAAAATTTGTAACCACCATCTAATCATGAGGAAAACATCATACAAGTCCAAATTGAGGAAGATTCTACAAAATGCCTGATTAATATTCATCGAAACTGTCAAGGTCATCAAAAGCAAGGAAAGTCTGAGAAACTGCCACAGCCTAAAGACAATCCAGGGAAACGTGATGACTCAGTGGTATTCGGGGTGGGTTTCTGGAACAGCAAAAGGACAACAGGTAAAATCTAAGAACATACGAATAAAGTGTGAACTTTAATTAATAATGATGTATCAATATTGATTCATTAGTTTTGACAAATGTACCATAGTAACGGAAGATGTTAACAATTAGAGAAACTGGGTGCAGGGTTGTGGGAACCCTGTGTACTATCTTTGCAACTTCCCTATAAATCTAAGACCATTCTAGAATACAAAGTTCATTTTAAAATAAATTTTTAAAATATTTAGAATACTAGACCACGGTATCAAAATAGGTAGAAATCCTTAGTCATAGGACTCTTATAATCCAAGATGTAAACTAAAAATTATACATAAAGCTGTTCAAAACAGGATTAATTAAAATAACATAAAAAGGAAAATTAGGGAATGATTAGAATAAAATTATTGTATAATTATAGCCATTTGATGATGTCAACTTTTAAAAAGCATGGTGTGATGTGTATGGTTTGGCTATGTCCTTACCCAAATCTCATATTGAATTGTAGTTTCCATAATCCCCATGTGTCATGGGAGGGACCTAGTGGGAGGTAATTGAATCATGGGGTTGGTTACCCCCATGCTGCTCTTCTCATGGTAGTGAGTTCTCACGATATCTGATGGTTTTATAAGGGGCTTTCCCCCATTTGCTAGGCACTTCTCCTTCCTGCCATCATGTGAAGAAGGGTGTGTTTGCTTTCCCTTCCATCATGATTGTAAGTTTCCTGAGGCCTCCCCAGCCACGTGGAACTGTGAGTCAATTAAACCTCTTCATAAATTACCCAGTCTCTGGCAGTTCTTTATAGCAGTGTGAGAATGGGCTAATACAGGTGGTATATAGGCAAATGCATGTGAAGCACTACTGAATGAAAAATATGAAAAGATTGATAACCTCTGGCCTTCTTGTGGTCTGAGAAAAACAGACTTCTTACTTTTACTGCTGTGGTCAGGTTTTCTGTTGTCTGTGGCCAATGCACTCCTCATAGTCACAACAAAGAAGTAAACAGACAGTGCTTGAAGATTGTAAATTGGGGTAAATCTTTCTAGAGGAAATACAGAAATATGTAACAAAAATCTCCTGATTTTGGTAACTTATTAGTAAATAAGTTTAAACTTTAATTTGTACATATTTTACCTATTGTGAATGTACATAAAGATTCAAATATTTGAATATTAATTTAATCATTTTGGGTTTGGGGTTTTATTTGAGTCTCACTCTGTCATTCAGGCTGGAGTGCAGTGATATGATCACGGCTCACTGTAGCCTTCATCTCCCAGGCTCAACTGATCCTTCCACCTCAGCCTAGTGGGTAGCTGGGACTGTAGGTACATGCTACCATGCCTGGCTAATTTTTTAAAATGTTTTTGTGGAGATGGGGTTTTGCCATGTTGCCCAAGCTGGTCATGGTCATTGTTAGTAGCATTAAAAAAAACTACTTTATATCCCAACAATATATTATTTACATAAATATTATATAATATTTACATAAATTATGGTTCAACCATCCAATAGAATACTTTACACTCATTAAAACTCAGGTTGTATAACTTCACAGGAAAAGCTTCATAATAAGTGTAAAAAGGAGCTTTCTCAAAGAAGTAGGAATAATCTCATTTTAATATAATGATAATTACATATTTATAATGATTACTTACATATAATTATATAATATATGATTATAAATTATCAATATACTTATATAATTAAATATAGAAAATAATATAAAACATATAAATATTTTTATATTACATAGGCAGAAAAGTTGGAGGATTTTACTAACCAAAACTATAGTAGTGATTATCTTTAACAGTGCTTTTTATTTTTTTACATTACATCTTACATTTTGTATAATACATTTTTTCTACAATTTCAAATTTTACATTGTTCTTGTATTGCTTTTTCAACCAAAAAAGAATAAATATTATTTTTTTAATTAAAACCATGGTTAGAACTCAGCTGATATGAATGTAAAGTCAATGGCTATAAAATTATTTTTTAAATTGTTACACATGGACTTACTCCTAAGTAAATGCATTTCCCCATGAGAAGAATTATTTCTGTCTTTACTTTAGTGTCTAGAATACTGCAATTTTGTGTAAATATGAAATTGGGTCTTGCTCATCTTCATACAACTTTCTTAGGTGCTCATGGCATCAGAGAGCCAGTAGTGTTTTAAACAGAGTCCTTACAATCTGGAAATTTGAGTTCTAAGTTTGGATTATTTACATCTTCAATTGTGTTTTCACTAAGTCCCTTCACTCTTCGGGAATTATAGTTTCCTACATGTAAAAAGATATCTCTTATGATTAAATCATGAGGTATCCTGGGCAGATGATGACTTCAGTGATGTTGTGCCCCCGAAAAAGAGTGTGGCTCAGAGCGGGACATGTTTTCCTTTCCTTTGAATGCATATTACCTTGGTCATCTCCACTGCCTCCTACAAGGCAGATAAGCAACAGATGTGACCATTACAAACACTCGTCAGATGAAGCAGTGACATAAACAGGCAGAGTAGGATGAGGGTGTGTTGTTTTGCAGACCACGTGGGAGGACCAGCTTTCAGAGCCAAGAATGAATATTGGATGAAGTTATTAGGTAAAAATGGACTTGCTCAACATCCCAGAAAGGAAACTCCTCCTGTGCCCGAGTTCAAGAACAACTTCCTAGGGTGGAATGAGAGACTTCAGCTGATGGAGGGGAAAATGACATGCCACCTGGAGAAAAACCCAAGGAGAGACCAATATTCCTCTTGTTCCCCTTACAGGTCTTACACTTTCCCACTGAAACAGGAGTTAACATCAGCACAATTCAGGTGCCCGAGGAGTTCCTTTTTTTTCAGAGGCAGGGTCTCTCTCTCTCTCTCTGTCTGTTGCCCAGGGTGGAGTGCCATGGAGCAATCATAGCTCACAGGAGCCTCGAACTCCTGGTCTCAAGGGATTCTCTTGCCTTGGCTCCCCAAAACTCTGGAATTATAGGCATAACCCACCACACCCAGCTCCTGCGGGGTTCTTTATCTTTGGCAAGTCTTAAGTTAGCTCCAACTTGATTGGGATGAGGATAGAGTAGATTCCTTCTATCTCTTTTTTTAAATTAAAGTAGTTTAAGAAAAGATATGGAAATGCAGAAATGGATACAATGTACTCTAAAAAGATGTCAGGAATACACTCCCTCTCACGTTCTCTCTCTCCCCTCTCTTTCTCTCTCTCTCTCTCTCTCCACCCCCCTTCCTCCCTCCCTCTCTCTGTTTATGCCAAGCTGAATGGGAAAACGTGACAGGGTACACTTTCTGAGGGTTTCAAAAAGAAAAATAGTAACTTTAAGGTAAAGAAGCCTGGAAGACACCACCTTAACCTACTAATCAAAGTTAACATCATCAGTAAGAGACAAATCAACGGCCTATGTCTCCCGATATGCTGCACTCAAAAGGACATGGCATAATTCCTGTGATTTTTTTACTCAAAATAATTAATGTATATTTAATTGTGGAATCTATCAGATAGCCCTAAATTTGGCCAGGCACAATGGCTCACGCCTGTAATCCCAGCACTTTGGGAGGCCAAGGTGGGGGTATCACTTGAGGTCAGGAGTTCGAGACCAGCCTGGTCAACGTGGTGAAACACCCTCTCCACTAAAAATACAAAACTTAGTCTGACAAGGTGGCACAAGCCTCTAATCCCAGCTACTCAGGAGGCTGAGGCAGGGAAATCTTTTGAACCTGGGAGGAGGAGGTTTCAGTGAGTCGAGATTGTGCCACTGCACTCCAGCCTGGGTGACAGAGTGAGACTGTCTCAAATAAAAAAACATAATAACCCTAAATTTAGAAATATTTCTAAACATAACTGACCAGTGCCCTTCAAAAGTGACAAGAACATGAAAGACGAAGAAGCACTGAGAATCAGTTCTAGAATAAAGGAGAGTAGATATACATGGCAGCCAAAACCAGCATGTGATCATGGATTGGATCCTGGACAATAAAAATGACATTACAGAGACAATTGGTAAAACTTTAAAGAAGGTTTAATAATTGTACTGAATCAATGTTTAATCTCCTGATTTTGATAATTTAGTTACATAAGATGTTAACTTCTGGGAAATTTTGGTGAAAATGTACAAAGATTTTTTGTAGCTGCTTTATAAACCTGAAATGATTTAAAAATGAAGAGTTAAAAAATTAAAAATAAACATATGAAAATGGGCAGAGAAATAATTTCATATTTCACATAGAACTCAGAGTACTTTTAGTAGCAACGGTCCTGTCAAGCAGTAACCCCATTTTATAAAATTAAGGAACTTAGACTAAGAAAGCTGAAGTCACATGCTTTAAGATCACAGAATTAGTGAATGTTGACTTCAGGTCTGTTATGGCTGATAACAGATACGATATTTTGATAAATTGAACACTTTAGTCTCATGAAATGCCCTCTTTATCCCTGGTGATATTTCTTGTTTTGAATTCCCATGTAATCTTAAAAGACACAGTTCAGCTTTATTATGATCAGTGTTTGCATGTTACATCTTTTATCATCCTTTTACTTTTATCCTTTTTTGATATTTAAAGTGAATTTCTTGTAGACAGTATGTAAGTAGCAGGTCATATTTTTTTATTCGGTCTTACAATCTCTGCCTTTTAATTAGACTGTTTATACCGTTTGGGTTTAATGTAATTATCAATACAGTTATGTTGAAATTCATCGTCTTACTATTTGTGTTCTCTTTGACCCACTTGTTCTGAGTTCTTTTTTCTCTTTTCCTGCCTTCTATTATATAAATCAAGTATTTTATATTAGTCTGTTTCATTGGCACTATGACTTACTCTCTCCATTTTTAAAAATGTTTGCTTTAAGATTTACAATATGCATCATTAACTTTTCACAGTCTACCTTCAATTAATATTATGCCTCTTCCTATGAAAAGTAAGAACTGTACAACAGGATACATCTTTTTCATCTTTTCTGTCTGAAATTTGAAATGCTCCAAAATTCAAAACATTTTGAGCACCAAATTGATGCTTCAAGTGGAAAATTCCATACCTGACATCTTTGCCTTCTACAACTCAATGCATACAAACTTTGTTTCATGCACGAAAATATTAAATATTTTACATAAAATTACCTTCAGGATATGTGTATAAGGTGTATATAAAACATGGATTAATTTTGTGTTTAGACTTGGGTCCCATTCCCAAGATACCTCATTATGTGTATTCAAATATTCCAATATTCAAAAAAATCCAAAATTCAAAACCCTTCTGGTCCCCAGCATTTTGGCCAACAGATATTCAACCTGTATTTTTGCATAGACTTTACTTCTACATGTATTACAAAACATATAATATATTGATTTTTTTTTTACTGACAATTATCTCTTAAGGAATCAAAAAATGAGAAAAATATTTGTTTATTCACATTTACTATTTCTGTACTTTTCAATTTCAATACTTTGCAAAGATTTAAGTTTATTACATAATTTTCCTGAAGAACAACCTTTAACATTTCTGTAGTACAGATTTGCTAGTGACAAATATTTTTCAACTTTTGCTTGTCTAAAATAACTTTATATTTTTTCTTTATTTTTAAAGGATCTAGTAAAGGATATTTCTGCTGGATATGTCTAGGTCATGAGTGTTTTTCATTTAGTACTTTATAGATGTCTTTTGACTCACAGAATTTCTGAGCTGAGATCACGCCACTGCACTCCAGCCTGGGGGACAGAGTGAGACCCTGTCTCAAAACAAAAAACAAAAAAACAAAACAAAAACAACAACAAGAAAAGTTTTTTTCTCATCATCACTTATTATCAGCCTTTTAATTATGATGGGCTTTGGCATGTTTGTGTCTTCTTGTGTATATGTTTATCTGTCTTGGGATTTGTTGCATTTCTTGAACCTTTGCATTTACAGTTTTCACCAAATTTACGAAAAAAAATTCCATTATTCAAGTATTTCCCCATAACCAAAATTACACATGATATGATTTGGCTGTGTCCCCACCCGAATCTCATCTTGAATTGTAGTTTTCACAATCCTCATGTGTCACGGGAGGGAGCCAGTGAGAGATAATTGAATCATGGGAGTGATTTCCCCCATTCTGTTCTCATGGCAGTGAATAAGTCTCACAAGATCTGATGATTTTATAACGGGAAACCCCTTTCATTTGGTTCTCATTCTGTCTTGCTTGATGCTATGTAAGAAGTGCCTTTCGCCTTCCACCATGATTGTGAGGCCTCCCCAGCCATGTGGAACTGTGAGTCCATTAAACCACTTTTTCTTTATGAATCACCCAGTCTCAGGTATGGTTTTATCAGCAGCATGAAAATAGACTAATACAACACACATGTTAGATTAGCTTGCTACAGGTCACTAATGCACCATTCTTTTTATTTTGTACTGTTTTATTAGGGATCACAAACATGCAGAGTTCATTGCCAAACATCTAAAGACAGTTGTTCATATATTTTGTCCAATGCTCCAGTTGTTTGTGGTGGGAAGGTAAATCTGTGTCCTGTTACCCCATCAAGGCTGAATGCAAAAGTCTATTTTTCTTTTGATTTGCTAAGTTATGTCTCAGAAAGCCACTGTTCCCTACACCTATTTTCCCAAAGATTGACCTATGTTTCATAGCCTGTGCAGGGCTTTCTCCTTCACTTTTATGATTCAATTCCTTAGAGCAGAAACCTAAACAGGAACTGAGACCACATCAGGCTAGTGAAATGAATAATAAGTAAAACATTGAGGCATGCTTACGCTCAAAGAAGTATTAAATAAACATAAAGATGTGCTATATCTTGATTGTCCAATAACCAAACTCTTTACAGAAGAGAGTGCTTTCCTGTAGTCGTGTAGTATTTTATGAGTACTCACTAGGCACTTGGAGAGAATAATTAATTAAACAAACAAGAAATGGTTCTGGACCATTTTTGGCTGTGTAAAAGTTGGAACATCAATAAAGTCATATCTAAAGATAACAGTCACATTAAACAACCTATTAATATTATGTGCCAGAAAAAAGGATAATAATATACATTGCATACAGATAGTTATGACCTTAAATGTGTTTATTTCGATCGGTATTTGAAAACCTGTTATGAATCCTCCATGTCCTCAAGGTAATTGGTATATAGACCCTTTAGTGTCTGGCAACATCCTATTTTTCCTTGACTCTTCTTTTGACCTGCCTGCCCTATCATTTATCTCCTGCCACTTAGAAGGCCCATCCTCTTCCTTTTCATCTGATGAGCACCTACCCAATTTTTATGACCCAACACTTCTGGGAGGCTTTTCTTGGTTCGTTCAAATATCATCTCTTTCTTTCTCCTTAGTGCTTCTTCATCAGTTAGCACTTTATCATATTGCATTCTGATGATTCTAAACCTGTATCACCATTAGTTTATGAAGGTGGGAAACTTTCTTATTCATATTTTTATCTTCAGATTACAATATTGTAGTTGATGCATTTTAGTCAGATAATAAAAATTTGTTAGGAAAATCAATGAATGAGGGAATTCATATAAAACAACTTATTAAAGAGACCTGGAATTTCATTTTTGGAATAAAACTAGAAGGAATTTTAGACCTGTAAATTTGTACTAGAAATAACAGAATCAAGTATTGTCCTGGAAACCCTGCATATTTTTAGAAAGAGGTTTTGGAACCAAAAAAAAAAAAAAAAAAGTATGTGAAGAAAGGACTAGAGTAGGGAGCATTTACTTCTGTCTTTTGACTTCATGGGAATTTACTTGGCTGACTTATTGAAGGTATCTGCTTTTCAAGAGTCAATTGTGTGAAAGGACTCTTTGTGAATGACACGTAATTTAAAAAACTTCTCCCTTGTCATAACAGAAACAAAAGATCAAGCAGAGGAGTGCATGTGTAGGCAAATTATGAAAGAAGTTATAGTAAAGCAATTCTTTTGAAATTATAATATTTCAGGACACCAATTATGCATGTCATGTTTCAATAGAAGACATTCATAAATTTTAAAATATTAGCTTTATTAATTATTACACATTGTACTCATAAATCATGATATCACTTTATTCTCCATAAATATATATAGCTATAATCCATCAACTTACAATTAAATAAATATGTAAATAAAAAATAAAAATACTGGCTTTTAAAATATAATGGTTTTTAAATATTTTAGTCATAGTCCTAGGCATTTTTTCTGTAAGCTGCCCACAGCTCAAAGGATAAAATTTTTATGCAGAAGACTAATAAAAGATATTATCCTCAGGAAACAAAGAATGACTCAAAATTTAAGAAAAATCTTTATGTACCCATCCACCCTAATGTCTACATGAGGACCCAGCAGGTCAAACAAAAAGGCATGGTACCTGACAAATGGAGAATTAACAAGCATAAAACAAACATTTGTAATAAATACATTGGCAGAAAGTAATTTTTCAGGAAGAAAGAGGAGGATGTAAACAGATTTACCTTGGTCAAATGGAAGAACTTGGCCGAGCACGTTGGCTCATGCCTGTAATCCCAGCACTTTGGGAGGCCGAGGCGGGTGGATCACCTGAGGTCAGGAGTTCAAGACCAGCCTGGCCAACATGGTGAAACCCCGTCTCTACTAAAAATATAAAAACTAGCCGGGCATGGTGGTGGACGCCTGTAATCCCAGCTACTTGGGAGGCTGAGGCAGGAGAATTGCTTGAACCCAGGAGACGGAGGTTGCAGTGAGCCGACACAGTGCCACTGCACTCCAGCCTCGGCAACAGAATGAGACTCTGTCTCAAAACCAAAAACAAAAACAAAACACAAAAAACAAATGGAAGAACTTAGGCGTGTATCAGTGCTTTGCTTACATAGGAATGAGATTTGCATTCTACATCTTTTACACCAAGCCATTCATATATTTCTTAAAATATAAAAAGGGAATCCATAATAATGAAATTACTATGTATTAATAGTTAATTTGACAAATGCTACATGCCCTAAAGTCTATAAAACTTTATTAGAAATAATTTTTAAAATATCTTAATATAGCTTTCCACCATATTCAGGTTTTTACTCTGTTTCAACTCTAAGGGCTATTTCATATTAAGTCTAAAGAGCAATATAGGTTGCTATAAAATATTATTAATTTAAAAATATGATAGAAAAATTAAGGCATTCATTCCAACCACCTCAATATTGTGACTAACATGTCAAGTTTTGTTTACATTTTCTAGTGTTTACAAATAAGAAAATCAGTTACATTAAGCTTGCATATGTATAATCACAGAAATGGAACACAGCAGCACACAATTTTGCATTAAAAGCACTAGGGAATGTTGATGTTCCTTTACCATGAACTGTTATGCTTTTCACATATTGTGACATCATATCTTCTTAGAACTAGGTACAATTTTCACATAGAGTGAAGAAGCAGATGTGTTTTGTCCTTAATGAAAGCATTAGACAGTGTTACTTCTATTCAGCAAATGTGACTGGAGTTTTCTTATGGCGAGTTTGTTGGTCATAGGGCAACAGAGAAAACAGATATGAGTGAAGGAAAAAGCTATGCTAAGGACGGGAGGCTGACCTGTTATGAAATAGGAAGTAGCTCATAGGAGTAATATGCCCAATAACTAGCTTGCATACCCTTGAGCAAATGACCCCCTTGGATTTTCAGTTTCTTTGTGCAAAACGTATACAATGAGAGCCCTTTAATGATAATATAGCTACAATACAAAACATTATAATTTCTGTACATGAAAGACAAGAAATACAGTACAATTCTCAAGTATGATTGAAAGGTATCTCTAAGGGTTGTTTATCTTTTCATAAGAGAATGCAGCATAATAGGCATAAGGCACTGGGTTATGGGGGATTCCGAGATGAATAGGACAGACTCTTTCTTCCTAAGAAGAAACTTCTTGAGAACAGCAAGCATTTATTAAGTACTTATTTTATTCCAGGCACTGGACTTCATTACTTCCTTACTGCAACCTGGCGCTTAAAGTGCTATCATCACAAGGATGAAGAAACAGTTCAGAAAGGCTGATTGAGATGGCTATGGTCATGCCTTATACCACTGGCAGGTGTAAGCAGTAACTCCAGACCCTGAGTGCTTCTCCATTGTAGCCCTGTGTCTTTTTTTCAGGCATGGGTAACATTTCAAGGCAAAAAGTGATGAGTACTAAGACTCCTCCAGCAAAATGCTCAGGAATCCATGAGAAAGGAAGGGAGACTTCCTCGTTTAAATGTCATGTGAATTAGAATTGTAACATGGGCAACGGTATGCCAAAATACTCCCATGTCAAAATGGCAAGGTCAAAGTAGCTGTATCAATGTGTGATGTGTCTGCCATCATGGGTCAAGGAAGAAAATTTGATCCACTAGACAGGGAGAGATAGTCCCTGGGAGAACAGGGTTGAGTGTATAATTGACAAGAAGTTTGGGGACTTGATACAAAATCCTAGCTGTGGTGATCGGCCACTAAATCTTAGATCTCACAGAGGAATGCTTCTAAACCTTACTTAATGAAGGAGTGAAAGCTGTTTGACATTTCCTGGTTAGCCAGGACCGTACCTCTTTGTACTTTTCAATGTTTTTACCTCTCTTTAGAATGCCCTTCCTCTTTAGGGCAATTAATGAGTAACTATTACACATTAATTTGTGTATTAATTCTGCCCGTCCAATACAAACAGGGCTTGCTCCATGGAGCTCTCCCTAAGCTCTTTTCCTCTCCCAGATTTCCTTCTCTAAATAACCATAATCCTTACATTAAAAACAGTTATTTTAGATTTTCAGAGAAGTTGCAAGGACATTTACAGATAATCCCTGTATGTCCACTTTTCTCAACCCACTCCCTGGTAATCCCCTGTAAAAGTTAACAGTTAAATCTATTAAGGCTTAAGTACTAACCTGTGCATGTCACAGATTTGAATTCTGAAGAAAAGAAACCCAGAGGGCAAGTCTTTGCCTTGAAAGTAGCACAATAATTTTGCCGTCACTTTAAAAATTCTGCTTTAAATTATTCAGATTTCAATATTCTTGTTTCTTTTCAGTTTGTAATTACCATTAGGATTCTATCAACAACAATATTTTAGCCAATTATACTACTGAATGCTGTGTTTTTAAAAAAACAATTACAGATGGCAACCCACTTTGCAAATCTCCTCTGTAAAAATAAAATAATATTTAATGTTGGTTTGCTGGTCAATCAGACGAATAATTAAAGCAATGGAGTTTTGGGTTCGTTTCTTATTTAGCAGTGGTCAGTTACACACAAGAAAACTGGCAGGACAGACTGCAGTACTTTCCATTTTGTGAAGATTGCCAAGTAGAGTCAATTTGTTTCCAGAATAACCTTGAAAATGTTTCTCTGATTTTTAGCAGATATGGTTTTGCTGAGAAGTTTTTTGCTTTTAATTAGGATCTTTTAACGTCTTGCCTAATTATTTTCTTTTTAGAGATTACAGTCTTTTTAATAGAGTGATATAAATCTCAGTTCCTATCATAAATCAGCATATTCTGAGCGGAGTCACTCAATTCTATAAAGGATCTGACTCAGCAGGAAGAATAAAAATATGATCCACTTGTCATCTAGAATGCCCGTTGAAAACTTTATCATCCACATCTCTACAAGTTTTCTTCTACAAGCTCATTGTTCCTTTACATCCAAAAATTTTATTCAAAAGAATAAAAAAGGGGAAGTAAACAAAACAAACTGCATGAGAGAGAAGTATGTAGTAGGCATGGATCATCTGGGTCATGTAGGAGTTGGCAAAGTTCATACATGACCATATTTAATCATGTCTTGTTGAAAGTTGTGTGTGTGCGTGTGTGTGCATGCACATTGGGCATAAAGTCATGCAAATGCTTCCATTTCATGCATTTATGACTGATTTATTATAAATGATTTATCATCATTTATCTCAGTCATAAGGTACAGTGGACGTCTATGAGAATACCTTTCATTGTTTACCAAAATATAGCCTAAACAGGGGTGTCCAATCTTTTAGCTTCTCTGAGCCACATTGGAAGAAGAAGAATTGTCTTGGGCCACACATAAAATACACTAAGACTAACAATAGCTTATGAGCTAAAAAAAAATAATAATTGCAAAAAAACCTCAAAATGTTTTAAGAAAGTTTATGAAATGTTTGTGTTGGGCTGTATTTAAAGCTGTCTTGGGCCACATGAGGCCCGTGGACTGTGGGTTAGACAAGCTTCGTAGAACCATCCTTGAGGCAATATGGGTATTGTTTTAGCAAACCCATTACTAACAAATTGAACATTTGGGATTTTAACAGTAACCTTCTTTCCTGAAACTTATTTATTTATTTATTTATTTGAGTCAGCATCTTGCTCTGTCCCCCAGGCTGGAGTGCAGGGGCTCCATTTCTGCTCACTGAAACCTCCGCCTCCCATGTTCAACCAATTCTCGAGCCTCAGCCTCCCGAATAGCTGGGATTACAGGCGCCTGCCACCATGCCTGGCTAATTTTTGTATTTTTTGTAGAGACAGGATTTTACCATGTTGGCCAGGCTGGTCTGGAACTCCTGACCTCAAGTGATCCACCCACCTAGGCCTCCCAAAGTATTAGGATTACAGGTGTGAGCCACCATGCCCAGCCCATGAAACATTTAAATATTACTTATGTACCACTCTACGCATCCAGTTTAATAATCTGAGTGATCATAGGTAATTGAGTGCTCCCTTGAACAATAAGCATCATTTTTTATGTGCTGCGATAGTTATCACAGATGCTTCCAGCCACTTAATCCCTGCGGTGTGAAGGTTACATTTCAGATTGAGGTTTCCAGTAAAGGTATAAGAAAATCTTAAATGAATACCCAAAGCATTATTTATTTTTTTTTTAGAAGCCAAACTGAATTTGTGGAAGAAAAATAAGTCAGCGTTTAATGGATGGAACAGAGAGTGGAAACATCTGACAGAACAGTAGGAAACTTTGTTCTGTTTTGAACGCCTCACCACTACTCATACCATCTGTCATGCATTTCTCATGAAATAAACAATTTTCAGAATTTTTTTGTCCAGGGAAGAGACATTTTGTGTTTTATTGATTTATTTATCCTATGTAGACTTAAGGTAATGACATTTAAGAAAATAACTTTTGAAGGAGATACTTTTATCAAAACAGGTAGTACTTGTTTTATTTGAAAGCCTTTCTCAAGGACATGAGATGGGGATACACATTATAATTCATAGATTGAATGGGAAATGTGGGGGGCGGCTTGGAAAGAGAGGAAGTGATGCCGAGAGCAAATACTGAATTTCCTGCCGTTTTTATTTCCCAAAATCAGAGTGGCTGAGAAAGGGCTGGCTGAGAGAAGGAGCTGGGGGAAAGAAAAGGAAGGATGACTTTTCTCCAGGGCTGGGTTGGGGGGGGTCTCCTTCATAAAATTTTTGAACTGTCGCCACAATCTGGCAATATTTTTATGCCAGAGGAAAGAGGACATTCTCCTCGTTATTTACGGTTTTCATCGGATGTCTCAGTTGATTGTACAAGTTTCTTCCGATCATTCCATGTGTGAAAATTAGCTTTTCTTAAATAGTTATCTTAATAGTCCAGGGCGTTTCCATAACAGTCCAATAACACCCTTGACGTTGAATACTAGTGGCTTAATATGTTTTCAACATTCTGTTTCTATGATTTTTTTTTCTGTGTAATAACTTTCATCTTCAGTTTTCAACTTCTTGTTTCTTCTATCCTACAAGTGCTATTTTTCCCATCTCGAGGAGAAGAATGTTGTGTTATTAGGTTCTGAATGGAGTCTCAACTTCAATGCAGTTCTGTGTTCTTGGGCAAGTTCCTCAACCTCGTGTTTCTTCAATCATCTATCTGCTCCTCGTGGCTGTGGTGAAGGTTGAATGAGATAATATATTTAGAGCATCTGGTTTGTATTAGGAAATAAATGTTTATTCCCTCCCCACACTGTTTCCTCATTGTTCCTATTACTGAGTTCATCTTTCCTGTCCTGGCTTTCATCCCTGGGTCTCTCCTCTTCCCCTGTGTTCATGGCACCGCTTTGTCCTTCTCATGGATGGGACAACAACAACTAACAAGACAGAGGGGCTGTGGGCCGAGGTGACTCCCCCTACGTTTCGCTATGCGCAATACAATTTTAAGGCTTCACAATTTGTATTTCATAAAGCAATAAAAAGCACTGGGCGTTAAACCACCAGAGCTATTCTGGCCTTTGCTCATGGTTTTGAAATCAGATTTATCCTTCATCTACATACCTCACTATCTTCTGAGGTCCAGCCATATTTTGTTGCTTTCTTCCTTCAAATCCCACACCTTCATCATATCTTTATTTGTAATCTCATTATCCTTTTGCTTTCTATTAACATTTCCCCCCACCCCCCTTTAGACTCTCCTCAAATTGGCTATCCATTTGAAAGTAACAGTGATTTCTTCTGGTTAAATACGGTGGCCTTTCATCTCTAAATTTTATCTACCTGTACTGGTGTGGATGAGAATTACCAGGATTAACACTACTCTGTTCTGTGGTAGCTCCTGTGTCTTCACACCTCTCATCCCTGCCCTGCATTCCCATACATGGCCCAGCTTCAACTAATGGTGTCTCTTTACCTAAGACACCTTTTGTAACCATTTCTTTTCTCTTTTTCTAGGCGCCAAAAAAACCTCAAACTCCACTCATTTTCTATTTTATTCACAATGACATCTTCCTCTTAGAACCTCCTGTAAATCCTTGTGGTCTTTCCCTCCCGTCATTTACCTTGTATTAGCAACTATACTGAAATATTAAAATGCGATTTTCATTATTACTACCTTGTTCAGAAACTTGCCTCTCAATTGACAGTTTCTTAAGGTTAGTATGGAAACTAAGTTTCAAGGCTTCCCAGCCAGTAATGCCCTGTGATTTGCTTCGTCCTTATTTTTCTCTGAATACTCTTTTCCAGAAAGGCTTCTAGGTATGTAGAAGAGAATCCTGTAACGGACACATTACTTTGGCTTTTCCTTGGCCAGTGGTAACAGGTAGGGAAGCACGTGCAGAATTATCAGAAACCACAGAGGAGAAAGTGGAGAAAACAACTTTGTCTGTGGCTCCATGTGCTAATTTACATCAAGACAACAATGTACTCACTAGCTTTTCTCAAAATCAGAGAATTGTTCAGGGCTATTTAAAACCATTAAGATTGTTTGCTATTACTTCATACAAACAAGCCCCTGGCCAAATAACAATAACTTAGCTTTCTAGCTCTGCTTTTTTTTTTTTTTTCTTGAGATGGAGTCTCACTCTGTCTCCTATCTCCTAGGCTGGAGTGCAGTGGTACGATCTCGGCTCACTGCAACCTCCGCCTCCTGGGTTCAAGTGATTCTCCTGTCTCAGCCTCCCAAGTAGCTAGGATTACAGGCGCATGCCACCACACCTGGCTAATTTTTGTATTTTTAGTAGAGATGGGGTCTCACCATGTTGGCCAGACTGGTCTTGAACTCCTGACCTCAAGTGATCTGCCTGCCTTGGCCTCCCAAAGTGCTAGGATTACAGGCATGAGCCACCACGCCCGGCTCTTGCTCTGCTTTTTAACAGCACTAAAGCCAAGTATTCAAAGCAAATGTTTCTCATGAGCCCTTTTCCAAGAACCAGTCTAATGGCTTCCATGCTGTTAATTGTGTTTATTACAAGGGCTGGTAACTTAGTACTCACATTCCTAGTAGACGCAAATACTTATGCTGACATTTGCGTTGGTTTGGCATGATCCCCATAGTTTCTGCATGAGAACAAGGCTGACTGGCCCATTTTCAACTAGCATTCCCAAGTATTCAGAAGGGCTTCTTCTCTCTCACCCTCCTTGTAGTTTCCCTCACTTCACATTCTCTCTAAATCCTTTCCTTCCAATATTCATTGAGCCACCAAGTTGATGCCTTTTTCACATTGTGTTTGCACAGTTAAAGCTAGGTTGGTCTCCCTGCCACTAGTCCTCAGACTTTAATCTATGCCACCTGTCACAGGGAGCTTAGATTTCCTAGGGCAGAGTTGGAAGTCCTTCCTCCTTCAAAACTTGATTGTTCTCCATTCCGGAGGCCATGAGTTGTGGCAGTCAGGGTCCTGCACTTGTCCAGCATCGTGACCCCAGATGCAAAGAAAACTTACACTTTGTATGTATAGTGTCTTCTCCTGACCCTTTTTCAGGAAGATCCTTCCACCCTACTTCCCATTCTCAGTTTCTTAAACTTACTTATCCTTTAAAAACAACCCAGACAAAAATTCTACCTCCTCCGTGAGGCCTTCCCAGGATTCCTTTAAAAATGGGCTCTTATGAATTACAATTTTTGTTACCCATATTATAGATACAAGATTATTTAAGGCTCTAGCTCTATCAGGTGAGCTGACACTTTATCTTGCATTTATAATTATTTTCTGATTGCTTCAAGAGTCTCTATCAATTAAAATCTTGCCTTATTATCTATAGTTCTTGTTTCATTCTTTCCTAATATGTTAATCAGGAAATACTGGCATATCTTTTAAAAATGCTTATGAGACAGTGATATGTTGGGTTCACCTTGGCCAGTTAAGACATAGGATTTAGAAAATAGGAAAAGGCAGGTGAGCAACATATAATGATTGAATAGATACATTACTATACAAACAATATATATGTTTTCTTTCTTTTAATTCGTTCTCCACACTGTAGCCAGAATGATGTTCCACCTGCTTACGTTGCTTCCCTGCTCAAGCCCTTTAAAATCTCACCATTGCTTTTAGGATGCAGAAACCCTTAAGACACCTCATTATGATCTGGTTCCTATTTACCTCAGTAGCTTCCACTCCACTCCATGCCACTGATCTTGTCACATTGAACTTGTCTCTCTGATGAGTCCTTACCCTCTCCGGGCCTTTCTAAATGTTGTTACCTCTATGGGATATAATCTTCCTGCCCCTCTGCCACCCTCATTCCTCAGCAAATTCCAACTCATCCTTTGGATCTCTGCTTAGACATCATTTCCTCTGGGAATCTCCCTCTGACTATCCAGGACTCAAACAAGTGCCCTTCCAAGATTCTCTGACAGCTCATGCACTGCTCCAGCATGGGTCTGTGTTATTATTGCCCATTTAGCAGCCTGACTCCCTGACTTGGCTATCTTTGTGAGGGCAGGGCTGTGCCTGTCCTGTACACCAGTTACACCCCAACATAGCCTAGGTTGGAAAGATTTAATTTTATTTATTTATTTAAAAAAAATAACATGTAGCAAGATTTACTTTTATAAGTGAATATATCTCTTTTTCTACCTTTATCTATATCTATCATTATGAATATGTATGTATGAATACATAATAAATATAGATAAATATAATGTTACATATATTATATTAAAAGTAATGGCAAAACAGCAATTACTTTTGCACGAACCGCATATAATATAATTCTTAAGATGATAGGTCTGGTGAGTGACAAGGTGGGTACTCCTGATGTAGGAGGTTGTCTAAATGTGTCTTAGACTAAATATTTTAGAACACTTATACGCTGTCTTAGGACTTCTATCTTTGATAACCCTTCACTTCTGATCTGTGTAAAATGTCTTTCTGATTCCTTTCTGACTTCCTCCTTTAGGGTTATTTTTAACACTACTCTTTTCCAAATATAGTTCCTCACTCTAATAGAATAGTGCTTTATTCTTTGGATACAGTGCATCCATTTTGCACATTATCCTAAGCAAATCTTGCTTTCAATTTTGTTTGGATTTAAAATAAACTAGACTATGGACGTAATGTTTTCAAATTATCCACTCTGTCTTTTATTTTTGCCGCTGTTGTTGTCATTTTACTTCTGCAAACTCTCTGTAGTCTGGAGCCTGTTAGGAGGTCTTGGCAATCATTCACTTCCTCATAATTTGGAAAACTGTGGAAACTAGACCACCGTTACCATAGCTCATTCTGCGTTGGTGTTCTCTGTGAATCGTGAAAACAGATTTTCCATCACTAGTAGATATAAACTAAAATAAAAGTAACACGAAGTATTCCAAACTACAAATAATGATTTATTCGTTGGCAATTTTCAATATTTTTTATCCACCTTTTGGCCCACTAGCAAAGAAACTTGAGGAAATCAGATGACTTCATTCCTTATTTTTCAGATGCTGGATGGCACCTTTAAGAAATCATGCAACAAATATTCAGTGTTTGGTAGAAGGACACAGATCTAGGAGTCCCAACCCACATATTAAAATGATGCTGAGGCTAAACCTGTTCCGCATTCTTTACCTTACCCCTTGTCCAACTAACTACTTTGTTAACCACCAGCAACAATTGTCCCCACCCCTGCCCCTCCTCAGTGGACTTGCCTCTCTGGCTTCTTGACCTTCGCTTCTTCTACAGGCTCATGATATATCTCCTGCCTTCTGGTCTGGCAAACTAGAAAGGACAAACTAATTACTTGATCTCTCCTTCTGAGCTAAGGACCTTTTCTCATAAGATTCATTCTGGGCCCTGTTGCCTCCTTGGTTCTGGCTCCAGATGGACAGATGTTGGCTGTTATCTTGAACCTAGGATCCGGAAATGCTGGAATTTTTGCCAATGTCACTATTCTACAATTGAAAACATGCAATTGTTGAACCCACCCTACTTCACAGGAGAAATGATTCTTGATATGGTTTGGCTGTGTCACCACCAAATCTTGACTTGAATTGTATCTCCCAGAATTCTCAAGTGTTGTGGGAGGGACCCAGGGGGAGGTAATTGATTCATGGGGGCCGGTCTTTCCTGTGCTATTATCGTGATAGTGAATAAGTCTCACGGGATCTGAAGGATTTCCGCTTTTGCTTCTCTCATTCTTCACTTGCTGCCATCATAGAAGAAGTGCCTTTGGCCTCCTGCCATGATTCTGAGGCCTCGCCAGCCATGTGGAACTGTAAGTCCAATGAAACCTCTTTTTGTTCCCAATTTTGGGTACGTCTTTATCAGCAGCATGAAAACGAACTAATACATTCCCCTCTGGGTTTTTGCTGCAATTGAAAAACTTTATGATCTTCTAGACCAGTCCTTGATCTTATCATGTTCTCTTTTGGTAATAAATAGTTTGTAATACTTCTTTTATGATTCTGAAATAAAAATGATGGATAATATGATCTACCTACACATCACTTCAAAAAAATCAATATAATGCACAAACTAGTATAAAGAGAAATAAGAGAAAAGTAATTTATAATAGATTAGTATGGATTTCATTATATAAATGTTTAAGAATGAGTATTCCAGAGGAATAAGAATATTGTCAGGTGATTGCACCTATGCACCAAACCAACTTGTGACAGCTGCAGAGGCAGATGGTTAGAGGTGGAAATTTTTTAATTTTTATTTTTAATTGACACATAATAATTGTACATATTTATGGGATACAATGGGATGTTTTGATACAAGAAGTGTGTTTTATTTCGAGGCAAAAATTGCATAAGTAGTGTTGCTATCAGAATATGATTTTCGGGGTGGGGGGAGGGGGGAGAGATAGCATTAGGAGATATACCTAATGTTAAATGACAAGTTAATGGGTGCAGCACACCAACATGGCACATGTATACATATGTAACAAACTTGCATGTTGTGCACGTGTACCCTAAAACTCAAAGTATAATAATAATAAAAAATATGATTTTCAAAAAATGTGGTAAAATCAAAACAAAACAAATACAATATTCTCCTTGGGAAATGCAATGTTGTTATATGAAATGAAATTAGCTTCCAGGTTCAAATCACATAAACAGGTTTTGTTTTGTTTTTTTTTTGATATAGAGTCTCGCTCTATCGCCAGGCTGGAGTGCAGTGGCACCATCTCAGCTCACTGCAGCTTCCACCTCCCAGGTTGAAGCGATTCTTCTGCCTCACCCTCTCCAGTAACTGGGATTACAGGTGCCTGCCACCACGCCCAGCTAATTTTTGTGTTTTTAGTAGAGATGGGGTTTCACCATGTTGGCCAGGCTGGTCTCGATCTCTTGACCTTGTGATCCACTCACCTCGGCCTACCAAAGTGCTGGGATTACAGGCGTGAGCCATTGCGCCTGGCCCCGCATAAACAGGTTTTTAACTTATACAGATATCTTGTGGGTCAGTGAAAAGTTACGTGGGATACAAAGCAATTCTTTATTCTCTGGAACTGTCTCATGTATTGTAGGACATCTGGCATTCCTGGAACCTGCCAAAGATCTAGACAAAGCCAGTAGCTTCTTTATCATGGCGACAACCAAAACATGTGCTCTTCCCCATTTTAAAACTGCCACCAAGGGGATGATAGAGCTCTCATTGAGAACCACTGTTGAAAATTACCCACTACCTGCCCAGGAATGTGGACAAGAAGAAAGAAGTGGTAGAAGAGGTGGTGGGTGTGAATTGACATTTATGTGTACTTACTATGTTGCGATGTCCATGAAATAATTTTATGTATTTTTTAAACTTCATCTCCAAAATCAACCCTTGAGGTAGGCAGGCTAGGGCAGTTAAATAACTTACTCAAAGTCGTACAGCTGAGAAGTATGAGCTGATTGGAGCTTGAAGTCCTCCATAGCTAATAGCATTCTTGGCTCTCTGGCTTTACAGAAAATGAAGAAATGGTCAACACTGTACAAAAGGTGGAGAGGCCCCTTGGTGGAAATTTTGAGGGAGTTCCCAGCTGACCCAGGCCAGATGCATGAAAGCCCAGGCCAGGCAGAAAGTGTCAATCATGCTATTCACAAGCCCCGCTGAGGGAGGTCCTGTCCACTGCTTTGCAGCGGAGTCTAAAGCTTGGCCCGAGACCCAGCCCTGGAACAATGCCACTCTCTGTAGAATTTGTCTTTCTTTTTTTTTTTTAAAAAAAATCTTCATTGTTTTCTCCCTTATAATAGAAATGATAGATGCTCATTGTGAAATGTTCCTACTCAATCTAGAAATGTATAAAGCAAGAATGAAAGTTCTGTAGTCCCATCACTCAAAGATAATTGCTGCGTACATCCTTTTCATTTTTTTTCCTCAGTGTATAAAAATACTGATTGTAAAATGAGATCACACTATAAATAATGTTTTTTAACTTGCTATTTTTATTTAGCAGCATATTATGGCTTTTTATCCTTGTCAATATACAAAAAACTTTCTCTCTCCTAATTTTTAATGATCACATAATTTAGAATTGTATGTCTACTTTTGCACCAGGTCCATAAGGAAACTTCTCCTAGGAGAAAAAGACACAAAAAATACTTTTTTAAAAAATATTTTTGCTATCACAAACAATGCTATAATGAGCATGATTGGGCATATATCTTTGGGTAAAGACGCACATACTTCTGTAGTATAAATTCCTAGAAACAGAACTGCCAAATTGCTATCTGAAAGGCTCTACCAATCTACAGTTCTATCAATGGCACTTAAAAATGCCAATTCCTTACACCTCAGCAAACTAACAAGTCTATTTTTCCGATTGGTTTTGGGGAAATAATGCATGCTAATTTATTTTATTTTATTTTATTTTATTTTATTTTATTTTATTTTATTTTGTGTCATTTTTTTGAGATGGAGTCTCACTCTGTCACCCAGGCTGGAGTGCAGTGGCATGATCTCGGCTCACTGCAAGCTCCGCCTCCTGAGTTCACGCCATTCTCCTGCCTCAGCCTCCTGAGTAGCTGGGACTACAGGTGCCTGCCACCATGCCCGGCTAATTTTTTTGTATTTTTAGTAGAGACGGGATTTCACCGTGTTATTCAGGATGGTCTCAATCTCCTGACCTTGTGAACAGCCCGCCTCGGCCTCTCAGAGTGCTGGGATTATAGGCATAAGCCACAGCACCTGGCCGCTAATTTGTTTTTAAAGTACATCAAAAAAATTATCTTCCAAAATAACATCCTTCAAATATTTTTCCATTGGAACATTTTACTACATATCTGTCCCATGATGAGTGGTGCCCTACAAAAGATATGCCCACTGGGAACCTGTGAATGTGACTTACTTGCAAAAAGTGTCTTTGCACATGTAAAGTTAAAGATCTCTAGATGAGGTCATACTCAATTATAATGGGCCCTAAATCCAATGACAAATGTCATTATAAGAGAAAAGGAAAGAGGTGACATGATGATAAAGCAGAGATTGGAGAGATGCATCCACAAGCCAAGGAATGCTGAGATTGACCAGCAGCTGTCAGAAGCTAGGAGAGGTGCCTGATCACTCAGGCAACCTACAGAATGGGAGAAAATTTTTGCAATCTATCCATTTGACAAAGGGCTAATATGCAGAAGCTACAAAGAACTTAAACAAATTTATGAGAAAAAAAAAACCACATCAAAAAGTGGGCGAAGGATATGAACAGACACTTTTCAAAAGAAAACATTTATGCAGCCAACAAACATGTGAAAAAAAGCTCATCATCCCTGGTCATTAGAGACATGCAAATCAAAACCACAATGAGATACCATTTCTCACCACTTAGAATGCTGATCATTAAAAAGTCAGGAAACAACAGATGCTGGAGAGGATGTGGAGAAATAGGAACGCTTTTACACTGTTGGTGGGAGTGTAAATTAGTTCAACTATTGTGGAAGACAGTGTGGTGTTTCCTCAAGGATCTAGAACTAGAAATACCATTTGACCCAGCCATCCCATTACTGTGTATATACCTAAAGGATTATAAATCATGCTGCTATAAAGACACATGCACACGTATGTTTATTGCAGCACTATTCACAATAGCAAAGACTTGGAACCAACCCGAATGTCCATCAATGATAGACTGGATTAAGAAAATGTGGCACATATACACCATGGAATACTATGCAGCCATAAAAAAGGATGAGTTCATGTCTTTTGTAGGGATGTGGATGAAGCTGGAAACCATCATTCTGAGCAAACTATCACAAGGACAGAAAACCAAACACTGCATGTTCTCACTCGTAGGTGGGAGTTGAACAATGAGAACACTTGGACATAGGGTGGGGAACATCACACACTGGGGCCTGTAGTGGTGTGGGGGGAGGGAGGATGGATAGCATTAGGAGATATACCTAATGTAAATGATGAGTTAATGGGTGCAGCACACCAACATGGCACATGTATACATATGTAACAAACCTGCACATTGTGCACATGTACCCTGGAACTTAAAGTATAATAAATAAATAATTAAAATAAAATAAATTTTATTTATTATACGTTAAGTTCTGGGATTTATATGCAGAACGTGCAGGTTTGTAACATAGGTATACATATGCCATGGTGGTTTGCTGTACCCGTCAACCCATCATCTACGTTTTAAGCCCTGCATGCATTAGGTATTTGTCCTAATACTCTCCCTACACACCCCAACAGGCCCTTGTGTGTGATGTTCCCCTCCCTGTGTCCATGTGTTCTCATTGTTCAGCTGCCACTTATGAATGAGAACATGTGGTGTTTGGTTTTCTGTTCCTGTGTGTGTTTGCTGAGAATGATGGTTTTCAGCTTCATCCATGTCCCTGCAAAGGACATGAACTCATTCTTTTTCATAGCTGCACAGTATTCTATGGTGTATATGTGCCACATTTTCTTTATCCAGTCTATCATTGATGGGCATTTGGGTTGGTTCCAAGTCTTTGCTATTGTGAATAGTGTTGCAATAACCATATGTGTGCATGTGTCTTTATAGTAGAATGATTTAAAATCCTATGGGTATATACCCAGTAATAGAATTGCTGGGCCAAATGGTATTTCTGGTTCTAGATCCTTGAGGAATCGCCACACTGTCTTCCACAACAGTTGAACTAATTTACACTCCCACCAACAGTGTAAAAGTTTTCCTACTTCTCCACATCCTCTCCAGCACCTGTTGTTTCCTGACTTTTTAATGATCGCCATTCTAACTGGCGAGAGATGGTATCTCATTGTGGTTTTGATTTGCATTTCTGTGTTGAATAGGAGTGGTGAGAGAGGGCATCCTTGTGCTGGTTTTCAAAGGGAATTCTTCCAATTTTTGCCCATTCAGTATGATATTGGCTGTGGGTTTGTCATAAATAGCTCTTATTATTTTGAGATACATTCTATCAATACCTAGTGTATTGAGAGTTTTTAGCATGAAGTGCGTTTAATTTTGTCAAAGGCCTTTTCTTCATCTGTTGAGATAATCATGTGGGTTTTGTTGTTGGTTCTGTGTATGTGATGGATTAAGTTTATTGGTTTGCGTATGTTGAACCAGCCTTGCATCCCAGGGATGAAGCCAACTTGATCCTGGTGGATAAGGTTTTTGATGTGCTGCTGGATTTGGTTTGCCAGTATTTTATTGAGGATTTTTGCATCGATGTTCATCAAGGATATTGGCCGAAAATTCTCTTTTTTTGTTGTGTCTCTACCAGGCTTTGATATCAGGATGATGCTAGCCTCCTAAAATGAGTTAGGGAGGATTCCCTCTTTTTCTATTGATTGGGATAGTTTCAGAAGGAATGGTACCAGCTCCTCTTTTTACCTCTGGTAGATTTCGGCTGTGAATCCATCTGGTCCTGGACTTTTTTTGGTGGGTAGGCTCTTAATTATTGCCTTAATTTCAGAGCCTGTTATTGGCCTATTCAGAGATTCAACCTCTTCCTGGTTTAGTCTTGGGAGGGTGTATGTGTCCAGGAATTTATCCATTTCTTCTAGATTTTCTAGTTTATTTGCATAGAGGCGTTTATAATATTCTCTGATGGTAGCTTGTATTTCTGTGGGATCAGTGGTGATATCCCCTTTATCATTTTTTGTTGTGTCTATTTGATTCTTCTCTCTTTTCTTCTTTATTTGTCTTGCTAGTGGTCTATTTTGTTTATCTTTTCAAAAAACCAGCTCCTTGATTCATCTATTTTTTGAAGGTTTTTTTGTGGTTCTATCTCCTTCAGTTCTGCTCTGATCTTGGTTATTTCTTGCCTTCTGCTAGCTTTTGAATTTGTTTGCTCTTGCTTCTCTAGTTCTTTTAATTGTGATGTTAGGGTGTCGATTTTAGATCTTTCCTGCTTTCTCTTATGGGAATTGAGTGCTATAAATTTCCCTCTACACACTGCTTTAAATGTGTCCCAGATATTCTGGTACATTGTGTCTTTGTTCTCATTGGTTTGAAAGAACATCTTTATTTCTGCCTTCATTTCGTTATTTACCCAGTAGTCATTCAGGAGCAGGTAGTTCAGTTTCCAAGTAGTTGTGCAGTTTTGAGTGAGTTTCTTAATCCTGGGTTCTGTCGTGATTGCACTGTGTTGTGAGGGAGAGTTTGTTGTGATTTCTGTTCTTTTACATTTGCTGAGGAGTGTTTTACTAGCAATTATGTGGTCAATTTTAGAATAAGTGCAATGTGCTGCTGAGAAGAATGTATATTCTATTGATTTGGGTTGTAGAGTTCTGTAGATGTCTATTAGTTCCACTTGGGCCAGAGCTGAGTTCAAGTCCTGGATATTCTTGTTATCCTTCTGTCTCGTGGATCTGTCTAATATTGACAGTGGGGTGTTAAACTCTCCCATTATTATTATGTGGTAGAATAAGTCTCTTTGTAGGTCTCTAAGGACTTGCTTTATGAATCTGGATGCTCCTGTATTGGGTGCATATATATTTAGGATAGTTAGCTCTTCTTGTTGGATTGATCCCTTTACCATTATGTAGTGGCCTTCTTTGTCTCTTCTGATCTTTGTTGGTTTAAAGTCTGTTTTATCAGAGACAAGGACTGCAACTCCTGCATTTTTTGTTTTCCATTTGCTTGGTAAATATTTCTGCATCCCTTTATTTTGAACCCATATGCATCTTTGCACCTGAGATGTGTCTCCTGAATACAGCACACCGATGGGTCTTGACTCTTTATCCAATTTGCCATTCTGTGTCTTTTAATTGGGACATTTAGCCCATTTACATTTAAGGTTAATATTGTTATGTGTGAATTTGATCCTGTCATTATGATGCTAGCTGGTTATTTTGCCCGTTCGTTCATGCAGTTTCTTCATAGCATTGATGGTCTTTACAATTTGGCATGTTTTTGCAGTGGCTGGTACCCGTTGTTCCTTTCCATGTTTAGTACTTCCTTCAGGAGCTCTTGTAAGGCAGGCCTGGTGGTGACAAAATCTCTCAGCATTTGCTTGTCTGTAAAGGATTTTATTTCTCCTTCACTTCTGAAGCTTAGTTTGGCTGGATATGAAATTCTGCTTTGAAAATTCTTTTCTTTAAGAATGTTGAATATTGGCCCCCAGTCTCTTCTGTCTTGTAGGGTTTCTGCTGAGAGATCTGCTGTTAGTCTGATGAGCTTCCCTTTGTGGGCAACCCAACCTTTCTCTTTGGCTGCCCTTAACACTTTTTCCTTCCTTTCAACCTTGTTGAATCTGACAATTATGTGTCTTGGAGCTACTCTTCTTGAGGAGTATCTTTGCAGTGTTCTCTGTATTTCCTGAATTTGAATGTTGGCCTGCCTTGCTAGGTTAGGGAAATTCTCCTGGATAATATCCTGAAGAGATGTTTTCTAACTTGTTTTCATTCTCCCCGTCACTTTCCAGTACACCATTCAAATGTAGATTTGGTCTTTTCACATAGTCCCATATTTCTTGGAGGCTTTGTTCGTTTCTTGTCACTCTTTTTTCTCTAATCTTGTCTTCTCACTTTATTTCATTAATTTGATCTTGAATCACTGATAGCGTTTCTTCCACTTGATTGAATTGGCTATTGAAGCTTGTGCATGTGTCATGAAGTTATGCCGTGGTTTTCAGCTCCATCAGGCCATTTAAGGTCTTCTCTACACTGTTTATTGTAGTTACCCATTCGTCTAACAGTTTTTCAAGGTTTTTAGCTTCCTTGTGATGGGTTAGAACATGCTTCTTCCGTTTGGAGAAGTTCGTTGTTACCAACCCTCTGAAGCCTACTTCTGTCAACTCATCAAACTCATTCTCTGTCCAGTTTTGTTCCCTTGCTGACAAGGAGCTGCAATCCTTTAGAGGAGAAGAGGCACTCTGGTTTTTGGAATTTTCAGCTTTTCTGCTCTGGTTTCTCCCTATCTTTGTGGTTTTATCTACCTTTGTTCTTTAATGTTGGTGACCTACAGATGGGGTTTTAGTGTGGATGTCGTTTTTGTTGATGTTGATGCTACTCTTTCTGTTTGTTAGTTTTCCTTCTAACAGGCCTCTCAGCTGCAGGTGTGTTGGAGTTTGCTGGAAGTTCACTCCAGACCCTCTTTGCCTGGGTATCACCAGCAGAGGCTGCAGAACAGCAAATATTGCTGCCTGATCCTTCCTCTGGAAGCTTCTTCCCAGAGGGGCATCTGTGGTGTCTGTCGGCCGCTACTGGGAGGTGTTTCCCAGTCAGGGTACACAGGGGTCAGGGACCTGCTTGAGGAAGCAGTCTGTCTATTCTTGGAGCTCAAACGCTGTGCTGAGAGAACCACTGCTCTCTTCAGAGATGTCAGACAGGGACATTTAAGTTGGCAGAAGCTGTCTGCTGCCCTTTGTTCTACTATGCCCTGTCCCCAGAGGTGGAATCTATAGAGGCAGTAGGCCTTGCTGAGCTGTGGTGGGCTCTGCCCAGTTCATGCTTCCCAGCCTCTTTTTTTACACTGTGACCTACTCAAGCCTCAGTAATGGCGGACGCCCCTCCCCCCGTCAAGCTGCTTAGCATTGCAGGTCAATCTCAAACTGCTGCGCTAGCAGTGAGCAAAGCTCCGTTGGCGTGGGACCCACTGAGCGAGGTGTGGGACCCACTGAACCAGTCATAGGAGGGTATCTCCTGGTCTACTGGTTGCTAAGACTGTGGGAAAAGCACAATATTTGGTCAAGAGTGCAGCATTTCTCCAGGTACAGTCTCTCATGGCTTCCCTTGGCTAGGAAAGGGAAATCCCCTGACCCCTTGCCCTTCCCGGGTAAGGCGACACCCCACCCTGCTTCAGCTCACCCTCTGTGGGGCTGCACCCACTGTCCAACCAGTCCCAGTGAGATGAACCAGGTACCTCAGTTGGAAATGCAGAAATCACCCATCTTCTGCGTCGATCTCGCTGAGATCTGCAGACCAGAGCTGTTCCTATTAGGCCATCTTGGAAGAGACTCTTGATTTGCATTTCTCTAATGACCAGTGATGGTGAGCTTTTTTTCATATGTTTGCTGGCCACATAAATATCTTCTTTTGAGGAATGTCTGTTCATATTCTTCACCCACATTTTGATGAGGTTGTTTGTATTTTTTTTTGTAAATTTGTTTAAGTTCTTTGTAGATTCTGGATATTAGCCCTTTATCAGATGGATAGATTGTAAACATTTTCTCCCTTTCTGTAGGCTGCCTGTTCACTCTGATGATAGTTTCTTTTGCTGTGCAGAAGCTCTTTAGTATAATTAGATCCTGTTTGTCAATTTTGGCTTTTGTTGCAATTGGTTTTGCTGTTTTAGTCATGAAGTCTTTGCCCATGTCTATGTCCTGAGTGGTATTGCCTAGGTTTTCTCGTAGGGTTTTTATGGTTTCAGGTTTTACATTTAAGTCTATAATCCATCTTGTGTTAATTTTTGTATAAGGTGTAAGGAAGGGTTTCAGTTTCAGTTTTCTGCATATGGCTAGCCTGTTTTCCTAGCACCATTTATTAAATAGGGAATGCTTTCCCCATTGCTTGTTTTTGTCAGGTTTGTCAAAGATCAGATGGTTGTAGATGTGTGGTGTTATTTCTGAGGCCTCTGTTCTGTTCCATTGGTCTATATATCTGTTTTGATACCAGCACCATACTGTTTTGGTTACTGTAGACTTGTAGTATATTTTGAAGTCAGGCAGCATGATGCCTCCAGCTTTGTTCTTTTTGCTTAGGATTGTCTGGGCTATACAGGTTCTTTTTTTGATTCCATATGAAATTTAAAGTAGTTTTTTTCTAGTTCTGTGAAGAAAGTCAATGGTAGCTTGATGAGGATAGCATTAAATCTGTAAATTACTCTGGGCACTATGGCCATTTTCACGATATTGATTCTTCCTATCCATGAGCATAGAATGTTTTTCCATTTGTTTGTGTCCTCTTTTATTTCATTGAGCAGTGGTTTGTAGTTCTCCTTGAAGAGGTCCTTCACATCCCTTGTAAGTTGGATTCCTAGGTATTTTATTCTCTTCGAAGCAATTGTGAATGGGAGTTCACTCATGATTTGGCTGTTTGTCTGTTATTGGTGTATAAGAATGCTTGTGATTTTTGCACATTGATTTTGTATCCTGAGACTTTGCTGAAGTTGCTTATCAGCTTACGGAGCTGTGGTTTGTGGTTCTCCTTGAAGTGGGGGTCTTTGCCCATTTTCTAATGAGTATTTCACTTTTTCTTATTATGTAGGTGCCCTTTATAACAAAGATATTCAACTCCTCAAAGGCATCACAAATATTTTCTCCTAGTTTGTTATTTGCTGGCCAAGTTTTCTATGGTCTCTAAGTTTCTAATTTTATGTAATCAATTGTCAATATTTTCCTTTCTGGTTTTGGACTTTTACGGAGGGTCACAGTATACCTTTTTTACCCCTAGAAATCATCCCCCAAGTTTTGTTTCAGTGCTATCCTACTTTATTCTTTGTATTCTTATTTGCATATTCAAACCATCTGGATTGTTTGTGTGTGTGCATATGTGTGCTGTGTAAGGAAAGACTGTTAATTTTTTTTCTATTTTGGTTATCAAATTTCCCAAAACTATTTATTGATCAATTCATCAGTTTTCTGCCAGTTTGAATTTTTGCCTTTTTCCTCCATTATGTTTTCAAATTACTGTTACTGGTGTATTAATTCTACCTACATATTAATCCTATGTATTTCCTTTATTTCTAGCCATCTTACTGAACTCTGATGTTAATAAATCAACTATTTCTCTTGGTTTTCTGTATATGAGAATAATAGATAGCATCATCTAAGAAAGACAGTTTTAGCCCTCAAGTAAATATCAGAGAAAATTTACTGTTTTCTATATTGATTTTACATATTTCTTGTTAAGTATATAATAAATGCTTCTTAATTCTTGTTATGTTGGGAATAGAGTAGACACGTGAGTGTGAGTCAGTCTGTCATAATGCATAACTAGAACCTTGTTAACAGTATTAAATAATGAAGACACATGTTTTCAGTGTTTCTGCTGAGCTTCTTCTTCACCTTTTAGAACATCTTTGGTTCCTAGTGAATACACAGTTAAAATATTTATGAGAAGTGTCAAGTTGGCCTCCCCCAATTTTTAGCAATTTATACTCCTATAAGAGTTTGCATTTACTTACACTCATGTTGGGAAAGGTCGTAATGTGTCCATTTATCTGTCATGAAAATGATTTTTGAAAGAGTAAATCAAATCACCCCAGCAATAATTTGACATATTTCTCTCCCATTGCTTAGTTTTACTGTCCTTGTGCACCAACTATGGGCTCAAATTCTTCGCTATGTGTTGCCATTTTCTCCACTCAGCTCACAGCCTCCTATCTAGCCTCCATCTTGGCTCTAACCTAGCCATTCCTCTTCTTTGTTTGCTTCACTAACTCACCCTCTCTTGTAGGAGATGGAATTGGCCTAGTCAGTCAGATTCTGGCCAAGTGGAGAAGACCATGTCAAGGATTGGGTTCTTGAGGGACTGGAGGTGGAACTAAGTCAAAGTCTCCAGGTTGAACCACAGAAGATAACCGGTACAAACAAGAGAAGACCATATGCAAACATAGGATCCAAGCTTAAAAACCCAAACATAGCCAGCTCACTCCTGAGACTGTCAGCTCCCCTCTGACTCGGACCCATAACAAGTCTAGAGCCGGTATAGGTTTTTGCTCTCCCAAGTCCCCTGGGACCGAGGTTCCCTGTGGCTTTCCATTTGACCATGCTAAGAGCAAACTTGTGCTCAAGAACAAAGATGGAATTTCAGTCATACCTTCATGTTCTGAACAGCAGGCTAGAAGAAGGAAAAAAGAAGAGGCAAAGAGCCTGTGACAATTGCCTCTGATGGAAGGTCATTGTATGCTGGTACAGGACACTTTCACTTAAATTCCATTGGTTGGAACTTAGTGACATGGCCATACCAAGTTGTAAGGGAGGTTGAAAGTGTAGGTTTTGCTCCAGTTGGCTGTGTGCTTAGCTAGAAATTCTATTAATTTGCAAGAAGGGGAGAATAGATATTGAGAGGTAATTAACAATTATTGCCACAAGGGTCTACTAAATTAGGAAATGAATTAGGCTTCACAGTTTAACAGAGAAAGACAGGTATATGGATGAACAAATGAAACAAATTTCTATTTTATGACTGTGCTTGAGTGAAGTATACAATAGGGGGCTGGAGTACAAAGGAAGACTTGATCAGTTCTACTGGGAAAGAAAAAGATCTGGAAGTTTCCTAGAAGAAAAGACATTTCAACTAAGTCTTGAACATTGAGTATATTTTTGCCAGGTGCTCTGTAAGGAAAAATATTTGAGGTTGTAGGAGCAGCATAATCATAGAGGAATAAAATATGGTGGTGCCTTCAAAAATATGGAAGCATCTCCCTCTGGGTGATAAGTGCAAGGGAAGTGAGTAGTACAGCAGTAAATGGACTAGTAAGCAGAGACCAGAAATGAGCAACCATGTTTGCCCTACTTAAGAGTCTGGACTTTGATCTCTAGGTAATAGACATCAGACTTGAATGCTAGAATTACAAGATTAGATCTGATATTTATTTTGAAGAATAATTTGAAAGGTCTACAACTGTATAAAAGCCAGCGGCAGGAGGAAGTGTTTAGGTAGTCTCTTAGATTTTTAGCATGGAGGTCTACATTAATGAGATATCAGTCAGGGTTTTCCACAGAAACAGAACTTGTAGGACTGTGGGTCCTGGCAAGTTGGAAGAATGCAGGATAGGCCCGCAGGCTGGAACTCTCAGGAAGGAGCTGATGCTGCTGTCTTGAAACTGAATTTCTTCTTCTTCAAGGAAGACTGTTTTGCTCTTATGGCTTTGCAACTGATTGGATGAAGCCCATTTAGATTATCAAAGATAATTACTTAAAGTCAACTGATTGTAGATGTTAACCACATCTATAAAATACTTTCACAGCAAAACTTTGATTAGTGTTTATGTGAATAACTGGGTATTACAGACTATCCAAATTGACACATGAAACTGATCATCACAGATGGTGACACTACTAACTCTGTAGAGAATACTGGAAACACAAAGTTAGTAGCTAATGAGAGAAAATAATGTGCTTGGCCGGGCATGGTGGCCCATTTCCTATAATCCCAGCACTTTGAGAGGCCGAGGCAGGTGGACCACTTGAGGCCAGGAGTTCGAAACCAGTCTGGTCAACATGGGAAAACCCCATTTCTACTGAAAACATGCAAAATATTAGCTGGATGTGGTGGCATACATCTGTAATCCCAGCTACTCTGGAGGCTGAGGTATGAGAATCATTTGATCCTGAGAGGCAGAGGCTGCAGTGAGCTGAGATCACGCCACTACACTCCAGCCTGGATGACAGAAAGAGACCCTGTCTCAAAAAAAAAAAAAAGAAAAAAGAAAAGAAGAAAGAAAATAATATGGATAGTGTTTAAGAACGTGCTCTGGATTAGAATTTTACGGTGAGGTAGATCAAATCACAGCAAGGATGAAATTACACGGGGTGAATATGCAAGGAGTATTACAAATGCTCATTGTGGGAATGATAAAGTGAATGGGCCAGGGATTTAATGTGACAGGCGGTGGTGAGGACTAGAGTAAATGGAGAGGGATGTCCAATCTCTAAAGAACAATCTCTATTTAGTTCCAATTAATGATTCCTATGCATAAGTATTGGTGTAGTGTTGTCAGATCTTTCCATTTTTGAACGTCTTTTCCCATGTTTAAAAGAACGTGGGAAATCTAAATGAATAAATGAACATCTCTGGTTTTAAATTTGTCTGAAATATTGTCTAACCAAAATTGAATTCGTTTATGGGCTCTATCCAGTTTTTGTGGGCCTCCATGTTAAGAACTTTGTAGCCTGGTGTGGTAGCTCACTCCTGTAATCCCAGCACTTTGGGAGGCCAAGATGGGGGGATCATTTGAGGCCAGGAGTTTGAGACCAGCCTGGCCAACATAGTGAAATCTCGTCTCTACTAAAAATACAAAAATTAGCTGGGCGTAGTGGCAGGTGCCAAAACTAAACCAGCTGGGCGTAGTGGCGGGTGCTACTCGGGAGGCTGAGGCAGGAGAATTGCTTATACCAGAGAGGTGGAGGTTGCGGTGAGCCGAGATTTTGCCACTGCACTCCAGCCTGGGCAACAGAGGGGGACTATACCTCAAAAAACAAACAAACAAACAAACAAAACTTTGAAAAAGAGTGAGAATAAAAAAGAGGCATGGAATCCTGGGAACCCCAATCTTTAAGGGCCAATGAAAGAATGCATCAACAGCATAATATAAGGACTAAAATGATGCCTTAAAATATGAAAATTGGGAATTAATTGGTAATCAGTCTGTGAATTATTTTAGTAAGTATGGTGGAGGTAGAAAATAGATTCTACATGTGAAGAAAGTTGAGACAATTTTTTCAAGATCTGTCACACAGGTAATTTTTTTCCACCTGAGCAGGTTGGTAGCCCTATCTTTATTTTTGCTTCTTAGAATACAATGTACATTTTTCATTCCATTCATGGGTATGTGCTCAGATTAAGGGAATATGTGATTCTGTGCTCCTAGAACATTCTGATCTTCCTGGTTCTTGGGGCTTAAAGGATACAAATGAAAAATAGCAAATAAGCCATAAATGCAATTTATTTCTACCAACAAATTGTATGTAAGCTTATATAAAACAATTAAAAAGAAGACATCACAATAATTTGTGAATATTGCCCTGGAAAGAATCACTGCAACTTCACATATTCAGCAAAAATAATAAAATTTAAACACAATACTCATTCTTCTCAAGACTCTGAGTCCTCTAAAGAGCAACAATTAATCAAAGACCAAGGAACTTGATCTGTAGATATTTTTAGCATCTGCACTTGTTAATGGACACTTCAGGATTTAATCAGGTCCCAGTAACACCTGTATTCTTTCTATGTTCCAAAACTAGAAAGATGACAAGTGCCTAATGCAGTTTAAATTGTGTTTGTCTGTGAATAAGGAAGAAGTAGTGCCTCATAAAGGGTGTGTGCATGCACACATGAATGACAAACTTTATTTCCTCATGAGTTCATGCCAATCAGCAGGACTCTGCAAGCCATTTGCATGCTCCATAAACAAAGCTGCATCCTTGGTGTCAAATCCAAGATGGCAGCCAGAAGTGATTGCTAATTCCTAAGCAATGATTCTTCTCAAGAAATAATTGTAGAACCTCTAGAGAGTGGCCCTAACCAAAGGGGAGAAAACTTATGAGTTGAAACAAAGAAAAGTCTGTTGCCCATAGGTATTACCACTCAGTAGCCTAGGACTCCTTTTACATTCCATGGGATTTCACTAATTGTAGATGAATATTGACTTACATGCTTAAAATGCAAAATCCCAGAAAGAAAAAAAAAAGCGGTTATTTACACGTTAGGATTGCTTAGTTGGTTTGCCTGTTTATACTGTGCTGAGACCAGCAAGCTTAAACGAATGTGAGTTTGATTGAAAGAGAAGCTGGGGGAGAAAAATGGTAATCATTCGGAAACTGGAGACCCTTTAGAGAAGGCAGACAAAAGTAGTCAGCTGAGCTGGAAGACATCAGATTCCTAGGGAGTGGAGCTGTGGGGTGGGAGTGGGATCTCCATCAGCATAAGGAAAGGGTTAGGAGAAAGAAGACAGTGAGAGCCAAGAAACTGAGGTGAAATGGTGGATAGCAAAGACAAATTTTATTTCCATCCTATTGCCACTTGATTCTCCTTGTAGATGGCTGATGAAAGGCTTTTCCTAGCTAGCGGCAATTTGGCTGGCAGCTGCCAGGGCTGGGCTGGAGTGCACTGAGGGTGGGGCAGGGGAGGGATTAATCCCACCCAAAGATGCTGGGAGGAAGTGAAAATGAAAAAAATGAGAAAGGGTCTAATTATAATGTCTCAACTTAATTAAGAAACCATGGTAGTAGAGAGATGAATTATCATGCTACTGCCATGGAAATCACATCCAATGTCTTCAGCTACTAAAGAGGACTTTTTTTCAGACCCAATTTCTCCATTTGGCCAAACTTAAATTAAAACTCTGTGTGTGTGAGTGTGTGTGTATGTGTCTGCAGACATATATAATAACATATATATAATTGTAGTCTAATTGACCCCAATTAGCATGACTTGGATGTTGTGTTTATCACTGAATCACTCTTTGTAATCAGGCAGACATGAGATTTGATTGGTCAGGTCTAAACCTAAAACTCTGTGTGTGTGTGTATGTGTCTGTAGACATATATATAACTGTAGTCAGTAATACAATTTAATTGTACAATTACTTTTACTTTATGGCAACTAGATTTTAATTTGTTACAGGTTTTTTTGTAACTGTAGTTGTGTAATTCTTGGATTTTGACTATACTTTTCATAATTTGCATGAAGGGGAGGGCTAAAATTGATGCTCAATTGTCTATAATATCTTACATCCACAAGAATTTACAGTGCTTTTTTTAAAAAGAATAAGTAAACAATAAAAGAACATTTAACCTTTCAATCTTCACACATCCTCATGAGGGAAGCATTAGTATTTCCATTTACAGCTGAAGAAACTGAGGCTCAGAGATAAATGATTATGTTTCCTAATCCTCACTACAGTGTTAACATCTGGGCCAAACATCTGGGCAGCAACATCAGAAAGCCCCTCTGCTGTGCTTCAGGATCACTCTTATCACTGCATAAAGGTGAGAACGGCTTCCTTCTACACCCAGTCTGTTACTCTGGTTGGGCTATTTATTCATATGAGCTATTGTCAACGGTGCATCAAGAGGAGGCAGGCAATTACTGTTGTACCAACTATTAATAGTAGATAATCTTATTAAGAATGATACAGAGTTTCATTAAAATGACAACCACTTACTTTTAAAAGAATAAAGTAGAACATCAGATTCCTAACGACTTGGCTGTTTACATGTCTTTGTGGTACCTAAGTCTGAGTCTAAGCAACTTTATCTTCACATTTGATTTAAAGGAGGAAATCCTTCTCACTCCCTTACAGCTCTCTGTTTTATTCTAAAGACAAAAGTCAAATGAAGTAGAGATTATGACTAAAGAGGATAGATAAAAATGGAAAAACTGTATGTCAGACGTGAATTTTTAAGAAGAGCTATGATATTCTTACATTGTTATTCCTCTTATGCTTCCCAGGGTATGCTACATTTTTGCAGAAAGTCAGGAGGTTTAGAAACCACACAGAGAAACATTGCTTGGAAAGGGGAACTCTTCAATCGTCTAAGATTACAGATCTTGGAATTGGAATGGTATGCAGTTGAGTTTTCCATTCACAGTTCCAGGAAAAAATGGGATTTTTTTCCCATTAAGAATACTGTTATTTAGTTATTTTGAAGTATACAGTACATACATGCTTTTTTATAAAACCACTGGATTTCATAAGTAGCACACATTTGAGTATTTCAAAATCTCTCTACTGCTTTTAAATCAGATCTGGGGCTTGACTATAGAAAAAAATTTCATTTCAAGTACAGAACAGAAGCTGAATTATCTATCATATGGCTCATAAAGTACTTAAATTTTGCTATTTATTTCTTGAGAATGACTCAGCCATTCATATTTATTATACTAAAATGCTACACAACTACTGCCAATAAATATTGGAAAAGCTGAACAATCCAGACACAATGTGGTAATTATTCTATCCTGACAAAACTTTTCATAAGTCTTGAGAAAAAAGGAGCATTGCTTTGAAACTGAAAAATAATCTTAACTAAGTAAAATATAATTAAAGCACTGCAGTTTAAGTCAATTTTCCTTTCTGTTTTGCCCAACTACATTTGAAGTAAACTACATATATAGTAAGTTACTTAAACTATCTAAACCCAGTTTATTTTCCTATAAACTACAGAAAATAGAAACAACCCAACCAACCAAAAGCTTAGGACTCTTTCAGCTGCTAATGAAAGATACCCAAATCGAAATGGCAAAAGGAAAGAAAAAGAATGCGTTGACTCCTGTAGATGAAAGTCCAGGAGTACCTTGGCATCACTGTGGTTGGATCCTGGCTCAAACAATGTCATTAGAACTGAGTCACTCTCTATGCCTTGGCCCTGTTTTCTCTGTTAGACCCAAGTCTCTGGTAGGCTCTCCTCATGGGGCAAGACGGCCTCCAATAACTCCAGGCTTATATCCAACTGGCTTCAGAAAGAGGTCTGTTTCTCAACTGTTACAATGGTAGTCCAATAATTGATTGGCAATGACCCCAATTAGCATGACTTGGATGTTGTGTTTATCTCTGAATCACTCTTTGTAATCAGGCAGATGTGAGAGTTGATTGGTCAGGTCTAGTTCATATGCCTATCCCGTAATTTGGGTGGAGAGCCAGCCCCAGCCAAACAGTGGGAATTTGAGAGTAGGTGAGGAATAGTAGCTCCCCATAGAAAATCTAGGTGCTATTATGACAAAGAGAATATATTAGGTATAAAATATTATACATATAATATGTAGTCATGATAATCAAATAAGATAAAATATGTAAGATATCATGACTATAAGGGATTATTTTGTGTTATGCCAGATGTTAATTAAAATATATCTAAAAAGAGTTTATGTTTTCAATAATGCCATTAGGCATTTTATAACTTGAAACATCTGAGTTAAACATCTCTTAGGGATCTCCATTTCATTTTGCCAAGTTCTCCTCTGTAGTCATGGTGGCTAACTCTCATGGTGCTGACTGCAGAAGAAAAGACCACAAAGTATTATCTTCAGCAAAATAGTTCAAATTCTTCTAAAAGAATTAAGCAAACTTGTGACAAGCAAATAACAAAGCACTTTAAATGAGTTGAAGATAGTGGTGTGATCTTATTTTGCAATTATGCAGTATGTCATTCTTAGAACAAATCTGCATGGAAGCAGGCATTTTGACATTTGAATTGCACATTTGTTATTTGAGCACTTACCTGAAAACTGGCTTTCTTGATTTTCAAGTGTTCTAGATACTGGTTAAATGGTCACCAGCCCTAGTTCCTATTCCTGGGCACACATAAGGTCTGGATGAATCAGCCCCTTTGCATTGGATTGAGACCAGGTGACTCTGTTGGGTAGATGGAGTATGGCAGAGGTGATGTAAGCCACTTCTAGATCTGGCAGTTCTTCAGTCCTATTGTCCAGTGTGACACCCTTGCAAACCACACCTCAAAGATTCATAAGATTGTAGGAACTGGAGGCTCCAAGATGGCTGAATAGGAATAGCTCCAGTCTACAGCTCCCAGTGTGAGCGATGCAGAAGATGGGTGATTTCTGCATTTCCAACTGAGGTAATGGGTTCATCTCACTGGGGCTTGTCAGACGTGGGTGCAGGACAGTGGGTGCAGCCCATGGACCATGAGCCGAAGCAGGGCGAGGCATCACTTCACCTGGGAAGTGCAAGGGGTCAGGGAATTCCCTTTGCTAACCAAGGGAAGCCGTGAGAGAAGGCTCCTAGAAAATTGGTTCACTCCAACCATAATACTGCGCTTTTCCAATGGTCTAGCAAATAGCATGCCAGGAGATTATATCCCACGCCTGGCTCAGAGGGTCCCACGCCCACAGAGCCTTGCTCACAGCTAGCACAGCAGTCTGAGATCCATTTACAAGGTGGCAGCGAGGCTGGGGAAGGGGCACCCGCCATTGCTGAGGCTTTAATAGGTAAACAAAGCAGCCAGGAAGCTCGAACTGGGTGGAGCCCACCACCTCAGCACAAGGAGGCCTGCCTGCCTCTGTAGACTCCATCTCTGGGGGCAGGGTGTAGCTGAACAAAAGGCAGCAGAAAGTTCTGCAGACTTAAATGTCCCTGTCTGACAGCTTTGAAGAGAGTAGTGGGTGTCCCAGCATGGAGTTTGAGATCTGAGAACGGACAGACTGCCTCCTCAAATGGGTCCCTGACCCCTGAGTAGTCTAACTGGGAGGCACCTCCCAGTAGGGGCCAACTGACACCTCATACGGCCTGGTGCCCCTCTGAGACGAAGCTTCCAGAGGAATGATCAGGCAGCAACATTTGCCGTTCTGCAATATTTGCGGTCCTGCAGCCTCCGCTGGTGATACCAAGGCAAACAGGGTCTGGAGTGGACCTCCAGCAAACTCCAACAGACCTGCAGCTGAGGGTCCTGACTGTTAGAAGGAAAACTAACAAACAGAAATGGCATCCACACCAAAACTCCATCTGTACGTCACCATCATCAAAGACCAAAGGTAGATAAAACCACAAAGGTGGGGAGAAACCAGAGCAGAAAAGCTGAAAATTCTAAAACTCAGAGCTCCTCTTCTCCCTTAAAGGAAAGCAGCTCCTCACCAGCCACGGAACAAAGCTAGACAGAGAATGACTTTGATGAGTTGAGAGAAGAAGGCTTCAGGCAATCAGTAATAACAAACTTCTCTGAGCTAAAGGAGGATGTTCAAACCCATAACAAAGAAGGTAAAAACCTTGAAAACAGATTAGACGAATGGCTAACTAGAATAACCAGCATAGAGAAGACCTTAAATGACCTGATGGAGCTGAAAACCATGGCATGAGAACTGCGTGACACATGCACAAGCTTCAGTAGCTGATTCGATCAATTGGAAGAAAGGGTATCAGTGATGGAAGATCAAATAAATGAAGTGAGAAGAGAAGTTTAGAGAAAAAAAGAGTAAAAAGAAATGAACAAAGCCTCCAAGAAATATGGGACTATGTGAAAAGACCAAATCTACGTCTCACTGGTGTACCTGAAAGTGACGGGGATAATAGAACCAAGCTGGAAAACACTCTTCAGGATATTATCCAGGAGAACTTCCCCAACCTAGCAAGAGAGGCCAACATTCAAATTCAGGAAATACAGAGAATGCCGCAAAGATACTCCTGGAGAAGAGCAACTCCAAGACACATAATTGTCAAATTCGCCAAAGTTGAAATGAAGGAAAAAATGTTAAGGGCAGCCAGAGAGAAAGGTCAGATTACCTACAAAGGGAAACCCATCAGACTAACAGCAGATCTCTCAGCAGAAACTCTACAAGCCAGTAGAGTGTGGGGGCCAATATTCAACATTCTTAAAGAAAAGAATTTTCAACCCAGAATTTCATACCCAGCCAAACTAAGCTTCATAAGTGAAGGAGAAATAAAATCCTTTACAGACAAGCAAATGCTGAGAGATTTTGTCACCACCAGGCCTGCCTTACAAGAGCTCCTGAAGGAAGGACTAAACATGGAAAGGGTACCAGCCACTGCAAAAACATGCCAAATTGTAAAGACCATCGATGCTAGGAAGAAACTGCATCAACTAATGAGCAAAATAACCAGCTAACATCATAATGACAGGATCAAATTCACACATAACAATATTAACTTAAATGTACATGGGCTAAATGCTCCAATTAAAAGACACAGACTGGCAAATTGGATAAAGAGTCAAGACCCATCAGTGTGCTGTATTCAGGAGACCCATCTCACGTGCAGAGACACACATAGTCTCAAAATAAAGGGATAGAGGAAGACCTACCAAGCAAATGGAAAACAAAAAAAAAGCAGGGGTTGCAATCCTACTCGCTGATAAAACAGACTTTAAACCAACAAAGATGAAATGAGACAACGAAGGCCGTGACATAATGGTAAAGGGATCAATTCAACAAGAAGAGCTAACTATCCTAAATATATATGCACACAATACAGGAGCATCCAGATTCATAAAGCAAGTCCTTAGAGACCTACAAAGAGACTTAGACTCCCACACAATAATAATGGGAGACTTTAACACCCCACTGTCCACATTAGACAGATCCACAAGACAGAAAGTTAACAAGGATATCCAGGAATTGAACTCAGCTCTGCACTAAGCAATCCTAATAGACATCTACAGAACTCTCCACCCCAAATCAACAGAATATACATTCTTCTCAGCACCACATCACACTTATTCCAAAATTGACCACATAGTTGGAAGTAAAGCACTCCTCAGCAAATGTAAAAGAACAGAAATTATAACAAACTATAATTTTATAAATTTATATATATAAATTTATAATTATAATAAACTATAACAGACCACAGTGCAATCAAACTAGGACTCAGGGTAAGAAACTCACTCAAAACCACTCAACTATATGGAAACTGAACAAGCTGCTCCTGAATGACTACTGGATACATAACAAAATGAAGGCAGAAAGAAAGATGTTCTTTCAAACCAATGAGAACAAAGACACAATATACCAGAATCTCTGGGACACATTTAAAGCAGTGTGTATAGGGAAATTTATAGCATTAAATGCCCACAAGAGAAAGCAGGAAAGATCTAAAATTGACACGCTAACATCACAATTAAAAGAACTAGAGAAGCAAGAGCAAACACATTGAAAAGCTAGCAGAAGGCAAGAAATAACTAAGATCAGAGCAGAACTGAAGGAGATAGAGACAAAAAAGCCCTTCAAAAAATCAATGAATCCAGGAGCTGGTTTTTTGAAAAGATCAACAAAATTGATAGACCGCTAGCAAGACTTATAAAGAAGAAAAGAGAGAAGAATCAAATATGCTCAATAAAAAATGATAAACGGGATATCACCACCAATCCCACAGAGATACAAACTACCATCAGAGAATATTATAAACACCTCTATGCAAATAAACTAGAAAATCTAGAAGAAATGGATAAATTCCTGGACACATACACCCTCCCAAGACTAAACCAGGAAGAAATTGAATCCCTGAATTGACCAATAACAGGCTCTGAAGTTGAGGCAATAATTAAGAGCCTACCAACCAAAAAAAGTTCAGGATCAGATGGATTCACAGCCGAAATCTACCAGAGGTAAAAAGAGGAGCTGGTACCATTCCTTCTGAAACTATCCCAATCAATAGAAAAAGAGGGAATCCTCCCTAATTCATTTTAGGAGGCTAGCATCATCCTGATATCAAAGCCTGGTAGAGACACAACAAAAAAAGAGAATTTTCGGTCAATATCCTTGATGAACATTGATGCAAAAATCCTCAATAAAATACTGGCAAACCAAATCCAGCAGCACATCAAAAACCTTATCCACCAGGATCAAGTTGGCTTCATCCCTGGGATGCAAGGCTGGTTCAACATATGCAAATCAATAAACGTAATCCATCACATAAACAGAACCAACAACAAAACCCACATGATTATCTCAACAGATGCAGAAAAGGCCTTTGACAAAATTAAACAGCACTTCATGCTAAAAACTCTCAATATACTAGGTATTGATAGAATGTATCTCAAAATAATAAGAGCTATTTATGGCAAACCCACAGCCAATATCATACTGAATGGGCAAAAATTGGAAGAATTCCCTTTGAAAACCAGCACAAGGATGCCCTCTCTCACCACTCCTATTCAACATAGAAATGCAAATCAAAACCACAATGAGATACCATCTCTCATCAGTTAGAATGGCGATCATTAAAAAGTCAGGAAACAACAGGTGCTGGAGAGGATGTGGAGAAATAGGAACGCTTGATCACTATTTTAACTGGCTTGAGATGGTATCTCATTGTGGTTTTGATTTGCATTTCTTTAATGACCATTGATGATGAGCTTTTTTTCATACATTTGTTGGCCACATAAATGTCTTCTTTTGACAAGTGTCTGTTCATATCCTTCACCCAGTTTTTGATGGGGTTGTTTTTTTTTATTGTAAAATGGTGAAGTTCTTTGTAGATTCTGGATATTAGCACTTTGTCAGATGGATAGATTGCAAAAAATTTCTCCCATTCTGTAGGTTGCCTGTTCACTCTGATGATAGTTTCTTTTGCTGTGCAGAAGCTCTTTAGTTTAATTAGATCCCATTTGTCAATTTTGGCTTCTGTTGCCATTGCTTTTGGTGTTTTAGTTATGAAGTTTTTACCCATGACTATGTCCTGAATGGTGTTGCCTAGGTTTTCTAGGGTTTTTGTGGTTTCAGGTTTTACATTTAAGTCTTTAATCTATCTCATGTTAATTTTTGTGTAAGGTGTAAGGAAGGGTTCCAGTTTCAGTTTTCTGCATATGGCTAGCCAGTTTTCCCAACACCATTTATTAAATAGGGAATCCTTTCCCCATTGCTTGTTTTTGTCAGGTTTGTCTCTTTGTAGCAATTGTGAATGGAAGTTCACTCAAGATTTGGCTCTCTATTTGTCTGTTACTGGTATGTAGGAATGCTTGTGATTTTTGCATATTGATTTTGTTTCCTGAGACTTTGCTGAAGTTGCTTATCAGCTTAAGGAGATTCTGGGCTGAGACGATGGGGTTTTCTAAATAAATGATCATGTCATCAGCAAACACAGACAATTTGACTTCCTCTCTTTCTATTTGAATATGCTTTCTTTCTTTCCTTTGCCTGGTTGCCCTGGCCAGAACTTCCAATACTATGTTAAATAGGAGTGGTGAGAGAGGGTATCCTTGTCTTGTGGCGATTTTCAAAGGGAATGCTTACAGCTTTTGCCCATTCATTATGATATTGGCTATGGGTTTGTCATAACTAGCTCTTATTACTTTGAGATACATTCCATCAATATCTAGTTTATTGAGAGTTTTTAGTATCAAGCGGTGTTGAATTTTATTGGATGCCTTTTCTGCATCTACTGAGATAATCATGTGGTTTTTGTCATTGGTTCTCTTTATGCGATGGATTACGTTTATTGATTTGTGTATGTTGAACAAGCCTTGCATCCCAGGGATGTGGCCGACTTGATCTTGGTGGATAAGCTTTTTGATGTACTGCTGGATTTGGTTTGCCAGTATTTTATTGAGGATTTTCCGGTTTATGTTCTTCAGGGATATTGGCCTGAAATTTTCTTTTTTTGTTGCGTCTCTGCCAGGTTTTGGTATCAGGAGGATGCTGGCCTCATAAAATGAGTTAGGAAGGAGTGCCTCTTTTTCTATTGTTTGGAAGAGTTACAGAAGGAATGGTACCAGCTCCTCTTTGTAACTCTGGTAGCTTTCGGCTGTGAATCCATCTGGTCCTGGGCTTTTTTAGGTTGGTAGGCTGTTAATCACTGCCTCAATTTCAGAACTTGTTATTGGTCTATTCAGGGATTAGACTTCTTCCTGGTTTAGTCTTGGGAGGGTGTGTGTCTCCAGGAATTTATCCATTTCTTCTAGATTTTCTAGTTTATTTGCATAGAGGTGTTTATAGTATTCTCTGATGGTAGTTTGTATTTCTGTGGGATCTGTGGTGATATCCCCTTTATCACTTTTTATTGTGTCTATTTGATTCTTCTCTTTTCTTCTTTGTTAGTCTTGCTAGCGGTCTATCAATTTTGTTAATCCTTTCACAAAACCAGCTCCTGGATTCGTTGATTTTTTGAAGGGTTTTTCGTGCCACTATCTCCTTCAGTTCTGCTCTGATCTTAGTTATTTCTTGTCTTCTGCTAGCTTTTGAATTTGTTTGCTCTTGCTTCTCTAGTTCTTTTAATTGTGATGTTAGGGTGTTCATTTTGGATCTTTCCGGCTTTCTCCTGTGGGCATTTAGTGCTATAAATTTCCCTCTAAACACTACTTTATCTGTGTGCCAGAGATTCTGGTATGCGTGTCTTCGTTATCATTGGTTTTAAGGAACTTATTTATTTCTGCCTTGATTTCTTTATTTACCCACTAGTCATTCAGGAGCAGGTTGTTCAGTTTCCATGTAGCTGTGCAATTTTGAGTGAGTTTCTTCATCCTGAGTTCTAATTTGATTTTGCTGTGGTCTGAGAGACTGTTATTATTTCCATTCTTTTGCATTTGCTGAGGAGTGTTTTACTTCCAATTATGTGATCAGTTTTAGAATAGGTCTCTAATTTTGGAGTTATAACCTGTTGAATACAATGAGCAAGTCTAGAACAAAATAAAATTTCTCTAATAATAGCATTGCTTCATATCTTGACACATCTACATAGAGTATGCTAATTGACAAGAGCAGCAATTGATTCAATGTCCCTTAGACCGTCAAGGAAGCTCTCCTCATCTTTTCCAACCTCAGGGAAAAAATAATAAAAAAAAATTAACAAGTTTTACTTCATTTTTTCATTTTTACTTACATTGCACAATTACTATGTGCCTAGTTTGTGCCAAAAGCTTACTAGCTGCCTACAGGCCCTTAAGCACAGTATATCCAAATTAAATCCAATATCTTTCCCTATACATTTCACAAACTTCCACTTCAATTCTATATCCCGTTGAAAGACAACACTCACCCAACTTCACCAGCCGAAAACCTAGGAATCAGCCTTAATTTCTATTTCTCTGTAAGTTGATCCTGTGGACCTTACTCTTATTACCTTCATTCTACTCCAAATCATCTGCATCTCCTACCCAAGGATTACTGAAATAGACTCATTACTTGTTCTCCTTCTTCCAGTCCTGTCCCTTAACCAACATTCACTTTGGAGCTACATTAATCTTTCTAAAATGCAAGCCTGATTATGTCAGCCTCACTCTTAATCATCCAGTATCTCCTTGTTACTCTAAGGATAGTCCAAGCTCTACAGTATAACTTACAAGACCTTGTATGATCTGGGCCTTGCTTCCCTCTCTAGCTTATCTTTTGCTGTTGCTCCCAACACATACACTCAAACCAATCATTACCATGAAAAATCCATATGTGTCTGATCCAGTCAAGATGCCATTTTGCTAAATTCATAGGTACTAGAACTTTGAAAGCAAGTTATATCTGCCCATTTGGTGCTCCCCAGTTCTATCCCTCTGCTAGGCTTTTAAACATTTATGGAGCCTGGAGAAAAAGGCCCATGTACTATATATTTAAATATTTAAAAGTTATCAATCTAGCTAAGACTGTTAAATAAAATGTATTCTATCCTTCCATCTCACTAAATATATTCATACCAACATGTAAGGCCAGGCTGGAATTTTGAATTCTTAGGTTTCTAGCTACATTGGAGCGTGGCAGTAGTGTGAGGAGAGATGGTCTTAGGCAGCCTGTCCTTTGAGCACACGCATGGATACTCGGCCCAAAGATCAGTCCACATACTGGTAAATAGCACCCCTTGGCCACTCCATAGGCCTCAGAGCACAAAGACATCATGATCTGCACTTGGAAGAATAGACTTAGGCCAGAGGTCCACGGAGTCACTGAGAGAGGCCCTCACTGTAGGGACAGGGAAGTCCTGGCTTCCGGGTATTCAGAGCATGATCTATAAGAGGGCGCTGTAGGCTTTGAGTGTGAACATCCCTTTTGTGCTACAGACTCCTTGCCTTAAGGGGAGAGGCATAGTTAGAAGATGACCAGATTTGGGCCTGTAGAGAAGAGTCCAGAGGTCCTCTTGCCTGGATCTAAGGGCAGTGTTTCTTCCTGTTTGTCTCCACCTGAGGTAACCACTACCCTGAATCATGCTGATCATTTCCTTCCTTTTTTATTTACATAGTTCTATTTCATATCTATATAGTCTAGAAGTATTGCTTTTAGTTTTAGTGTTTCAAAGTTTATAAAAATGTTTTCTGTATGTATCTTTGGGAATTTATTTTATACATCTGTCTATCTAGATATCATCAATTTATTTATTTATTTTTTACACTCAATATTGTTAATATTCATTCATATTGTGATGTGAAGCTGAAGGTCATTCATTTTGAATGCTATATAATATTTCATCATTTGATGGTCACCAGTTATTTTATACATTCTGCTGACAACAGGCATGTAGGTTGTTCCTAGGTCTTTGCTATTTTTAAAATAATATTGCTATAAAGATCTTCATCTGATCCCTGGTGCACACGTGCAAGAGTTCCTCTTTGGTGCTTATGTAGGAGTGAATTGCTGGGTCTTAGCTCTGGTTGGATCTCACAAGTTCTGATATGTAATGTTGTCATTATCATTCACTTTAAAATTTCCATTAGGATTTCTTTACCTCATGAGTCATTTAAAGAGCATGTTCCTTATGAACTTTAAAGTAGTTTTTTCCGGCCGGGCGCGGTGGCTCACGCCTGTAATCCCAGCACTTTGGGAGGCCGAGGCGGGCGGATCACGAGGTCAGGAGATCGAGACCATCCCGGCTAAAACGGTGAAACCCCGTCTCTACTAAAAATACAAAAAATTAGCCGGGCGTAGTGGCGGGCGCCTGTAGTCCCAGCTACTTGGGAGGCTGAGGCGGGAGAATGGCGTGAACCCGGGAGGCGGAGCTTGCAGTGAGCCGAGATCCCGCCACTGCACTCCAGCCTGGGCGACAGAGCGAGACTCCGTCTCAAAAAAAAAAAAAAAGTAGTTTTTTCCAATTCTGTGAAGAAAGTCATTGGTAGCTTGATGGGGATGGCATTGAATCTATAAATTACCTTGGGCAGTATGGCCATTTTCACGATATTGAGATGAGTTCATGTCCTTTGTACGGACATGGATGAAGCTAGAAACCATCATTCTCAGCAAACTATCGCAAGGATAAAAAACCAAACACCGCATGTTCTCACTCATAGGTGGGAATTGAACAATGAGAAGACATGGACACAGGAAGGGGAACATCACACACCGGGGCCTGTTGTGGGGTGGGGGGAGGGGGAGGGATAGCATTAGGGGATATACCTAATGTTAAATGACGAGTTAATGGGTGCAGCACACCAACATGGCACATGTATACATATGTAATAAACCTGCACGTTGTGCACATGTACCCTAAAACTTAAAGTATAATAATAAAAAAGAGCATGTTTTTAAGTTTTAAATAAGTGGGCAATTCATATTTTTCTTATTTTTTCTTATTATCTATTAACTTAATTGAGTTGATGTCAGAAAATGTGGTCTATATTATATATATTTTAAGATATTTTTGAGGCTTATATTTTGTCTAAATACATGATCAATATTTGTAAGTGTTCTATGTGTGCTTGAGAATAATGCAGTTTACATTATCTAATTGTTGGGTGCAGAATTCCATCTATGTTCGTTAGGTCAAGTTTTTAAATTGTGTTGTTGAGATCTTCTATGTTCTTGCTTAGAATCAATGGATTAACACTTCAAACAATGAGGGAAATTTAATGAAATTTCTCACTATTTGGTGGAGCTTTGTTTACTCCCTTTATATATTTTGAGGCTATTAGGTGCATGGTGTTTAGAATATTTATACTTTATTGATGTGTATAGATAGATAAATAGAGATCTTCTCTGACTCTAATCGTGTTTTTGTCTTAAAATCCATTTGATCCGACAGTAATACAGCCACACAAGCTTTCTTTTGGCTACCATTTTTCTAATTTTTGCCATTCTATTATTTTTAACACAGATTGCATTGTTATTCCCAGTTTGTTGTCTCTTCTCGGTACCTTATGAACCCTTGTTATGTGACTTGCCTTAGCCAACAGAATATTGGTGGGATGATACAGTTAGTGGCTTTAAACATGCTTGAAAGGTTGGACAAATTCTCTTGTATTCCTGACTTTTGCCATGATAAGACCCTGCCTTGGGTAGCCACTGGTCCAAGGAAGGTAAGAAATATTTGGAACAGACTAAGGCTGAACCTATATTTTAGAGCAAACCCCAGGTGGGCAAAATCAGCTGTACCCAAGCTGATCCACAGATGCATGAGTAGGAAACTGTTATTGCATGAGACTGAGATTATGCAGCTGCTACACAGCCAAAGCTGGCTGACATAACATATCCTATGCTTTAGTATGTCTCTTATAAAAGCCACATATCTGGAATTTTTTTTATTTCAATAGCTTTTGGGGTACAGGTGGTTTTGGTTACTCAAATAAGTTCTATAGTAGTATATTCTGAGATTTTAGTGCACCCATCACCCTAACGGTGTACACTGTATCCAATATGCAGTCTCTTATCTCTCACCTTCCTCCCAACCTCCCCACCACAAGTTCCCATAGTCCTTTATATCACTCTATATGTTTTTGCATTCTCATAGCTTAGCTCCCACTTATAAGTGAGAACATAGGGTATTTGGTTTTCTATTTCTGAGTTACTTCACTTAGAATAATGGCCTCCAGCTCCATCCGAGTTGTTGCAAAAGACATTATTTCATTCCTTTTTATGGCTGAGTAGTATTCCAAGGTGTAAATATACCACATTTTCTTTATCCACTCATTGGTCAATGAGCACTTAGGTGGGTTAGTTCCATATCTTTGCAATTGCGAATTGTGCTGCCATAAACATGTGTATGCATATATCATTTACATATAATAACTTTTTTCCTTTGGGTAGATACCCACTAGTGGGATTGCTGGATTGAATGGTAGATTGACTTTTAGTTCTTCAAGGAATCCCCATACTGTTTTCCGTAGTAGTTGTACTAATTTACATTCCACCAGCAGTGTGAAAGTGTTCCCTTTTTACCACACTCATGCCAACATCTATTGTTTCTTGACTTTTTAATTATGGCCATTCTTGCAGGAGTAAAGTGGCATCTCACTGTGGTTTTGATTTGCATTTCCCTGATGATTAGTGATGTTGAGCATTTTTTCATATGTTTGTTGGCGGTTTGTATATCTTCTTTAAAATTTAATCAGAAAGTTTGATGAGTTTAATTCATTTAGATTTATTGAAATTGTTGATATTTTTATATATTTATATTCACCAAAAGATTTCACTAAGGTAATTAATTACTATTTTAGTTTGGATTCCCCCTTAAGCAAACTCTGAAATAAGGATTTGGTTACAAGTTATGCATTTGGGAGGTGATCACAGGAGTAGAGGAACTGAGAAAATGAAACTAGAAAAAAAAAGGAAACCTAAAAAATCAAATAATAAAATAAAATAAGTATTCGGGCCACCACTCCAGGTGAATGCAACTTGCTATGGATCATCCTTTCTAATGGGGATATGAAAGGCATTGGTCAGATCAATATCTGCATATTAAGTGTCAGAGGCTGTATTAATCTGTTTTAGGAAGATGCCACATATATATAGCATGGCAGTTGTGGCTGAGGCCTCCCTTGGTTACATTCACAGTAGTCCACTATAATCCACCATGTTCCACCTCCATTCTCTTTTTTTTTAATAGAAGCCATAATGATGAGTTAAATAGGGACATGATGGAAAACATTACCTGTGCATCCTGTAAGTCTCTGAGAGTATTGTTAATGACTGCCTGCTGCCTAATTTGTGGTATTCCTTCCAATTTGCTGTCTTGGCTGGTTGGAGAGAAAGCAGTAGTTTCATGTGCTTCCACTTAGCTTTTCCTACTAGTATATCACTTATCTCACAAGTCAGAAACCAAAAGGGGGCTTCTGCAAGCACTTAAGTCTGTCCATCTTGGTGAGACACTCAGAGACTGGGATAACATGAACAGGTTGAGTCTGTGAACCCACTGTGAGATGGATTTGGTCCAGGATTCCATTTATTGCCTGTCTTCTGTTTTGTCCACAATGTAACTGGGGAGCTATGAGAGTACCTTGAGTCTTCTGGTATTAGAAGGAGTTCAGGTTCATTATTTCATTGTAGAGTTTCATTCCTAGGTTCTCCCTTCTAGAACCATTCCTGGTACCAACAATCTTGGATCAGGTACCAAAAGCAGACCCTGAGATAAGAATTTGAGTTCAAATGGTTCTACGCAGCCCAGTGAGTGATATAGTTTGGCTGTGTCCCCACCTAAATCTCAACTTGAATTGTATCTCCTAGAATTCCCATGTGTTGTGGGAGGGACCCACGAGGATGTAACTGAATCATGGGGGCTGGTCTTTCCCATTCTACTCTCAGGATAGTGATTAAGTCTCATGAAATCTAATGGGTCAATCAGGGGTTTCCACTTTTGCTTCTTCCTCATTTTTCTCTTGCTGTCACCATGTAAGAAGAGCCTTTCGCCTCCTGCCATGATTCTGAGGCCTCCCCAGCCATGTGGAACTGTAAGTCCAATTAAACCTCTTTTTGTTCCCAGTTTTGGGTATGTCTTTATCAGCCACGTGAAAATGAAATAATAGATAAATAGGTAGTGGAGAGGTGAGAAAATCAAGGTAGATATGTAAATAAAAGATATGTTAATATGTTAATGAGTGGGCAATTGAAGCTTGGTTTTGCTAGAAACCTCGGAGACCCTAAGTCACACCTCAGAATAGCTCCAAAGGGACAAGAAAGTTTAGATATTTGTTTTCCAACTCACGCCTCTTAGTGGTTGAGAGTTGTTCCTGGGGGTATTCATTCCTAGGCACTTCTGGCCTGCCAGCATTTGGATTGCGCATGTGTCTACAGGCCGAGAACAACCTCAGTCAGAGAGGGGCAGCTACATAAAGTAGCAAGTCATTGGAGTGTATGGGATTTGTTCAACAAAGCTACAGGCAGAAATTGACAAACTGACTCTAAAATTAGTATGGAAATACAAAGGACATAAAATGCCTGCAACAGCTTTGAAAAAGAAAAAAATAGAGAACTAATATTTTCTGATGTCAAGATTTACAGTAATCAGAATACTGCAGTACTGGCATCAAGACACACAAATCTGTGGAACAGAACAGAGAGTCCAGATACAAAAATAATGACAACTGATCTTTGACAAAGGGGCAAATGCAGTTTAATGGAGGAAGGATAGTGTTTTCAATAAGTGATATTAGAATCATTGGATGCCCATATGCCAAAAAAGAAAATAAACTTGAAACCGTATCTTGTGCCTTATTAAAGAAATTAACTCAAAATGGATTATTGACCTAAATGTAAAACCTAAAACAATCACACCTCTAGAAGAAAATATAAGCAGAAATGTTTGTGACCTTTGATTAGGCAAAGATTTCTGTGTGTGCGTGTGTGTGTGTGTGTGTGTGATGGAGTCTTGCTCTGTCACCCTGGCTGGAGTGCAGTGGTGCAATCTCGGCTCACTGCAACTGCCACCTCTTGGGTTCAAGCGATTCTTCTGCCTCAGCCTCCCCAGTAGCTGGGATTACAGGCATGCACCTTCACGCCTGGCTAATTTTTGTATTTTTAGTAGAGATGGGGTTTCACCATATTGGCCAGGCTGGTCTCGAACCCCTGACCTCGTGATCCACCTGCCCGGCAGAGATTTCTTATATGATACCAAAAGTATTATCCATAAGAGAAAAAAATGGGCCAGGCATGGTGGCCACTCCTGTAATCCCAGCACTTTAGGAGGCTGAGGTGGGCAGATCACCTGAGATCAGGAGTTCGAAACTAGCCTGGCCAACATGGTGAAACTCTGTCTCTACCAAAAATGGAAAAATTAGCTGGGTGTGGTGGAGGGCACCTATAATCCCAGCTACTCAGGAGGCTGATGCAGGAGAATTGCTTGAACCTGGGAGGTGGAGGTTGCAGTGGGCCGAGATCATGCCATTGCACTCAGTCTGGGCAGCAAGAGCAAAACTCCATCTCAAAAAAAAGAAGAAAAAAAAAAAAAGAAAAGAAATGGATATACTGAACTTCATAAAAATGTAAAACTTCTCTTTATTTATCTTTTTTTGTTTTTTTTTGTTTTTGAGACAGAGTCTCGCACTCTTGCCCAGGCTGGAGTACAGTGGCATGATCTTGGCTCATTGCAACCTCCGCTTCCCAGGTTCAAGTGATTCTCCTTGCTTCAGCCTCCCAAGTAGCTGGGATTATGGGCACCCACCACCATACCTGGCTAATTTTTTTGTATTTTTAGTAAAGATGGGGTTTCACTATGTTGCCCAGGCTGGTCTCAGACTCCAGACCTCATGATCCACCTGCCTCAGCCTCCCAAAGTGCTGGGATTACAGGTGTGAGCCATCATGCCTGGCCTTAAAACTTCTCTTCAAAAGAGAATGAAAGACAAATCATAGACTAGAAAAAATATTTATAATTTACATATCTGATAAAGAATTTCTACCCAAAATATATAAAGAGTTCTCAAAACTCAACGATAAGAAACCCTCAATTTTTGAAAATGGGCAAAAAATCTCAACAGACACTTCATCAAAGAAGTGTGTGGATGTCAAATAAGCATATGAAAAGATGATAAACATCATCAGTCATTAGAAAAATGCAAGTTAAAACTACAGTGTGATTCTACTACATACCTATTACAGTGGCTAAAATTAAAGGACTGACTATAGCAAGTGCAGACAAGGATGTGGTGGAACAGGAACCCTCTTAAACTGCTGATAAGAATATTTGGAAAACATATTGGCAATTTTTTAAAAAGTTAAAGATATCCTGACCACATGATCCAGTCATTTAACTCTTACATATTTTCCCAAGAGAAATAAAAGCATATATTCCTTCAAAGACCTGCACATAAATGTTCATAATAGCTTTATTTACAATAATCAAATAGAATACAAGCAGCAATAAGAGTGTTCTGTTGATACGTGCAACAGTACAATAATTTTTATCTCCATTGAAACTGTTTTATAGCTTGCTAATATTCCACATTTCCTAATGTATAGATAGAGTCAAATCACAATGAAGTGGGCATCATTTTGTAATGCTTATATAGTCTAGAATGGGGCTGGCAAACTTTTAATGTAAAGGGCCAGATGATCAGTATGTTAGGTTTGCAAGCCAGATGGTCTTAGTCGCAACTATTCAACTCTGACTTTTAGCACAAATGCAGCCATAGACAATAGACAAATGCATTGGTGTGGCAGTGTTCCAGCAAAATGTTATTTACAAAAACCAGCAGTAGGTGGATTTGGCCTACAGAACGTAGTTTGCTCACCTCTAGTTCAGACCATTAGAACTAGTGTCAGTCTTTCAATATTTCCCATTTTTGTTTTGTTTTTTTTCGAGACAGGGTCTTTCCCTGTCACTCAGAGTGCAGTGCAGTAGTGCAGTTATGGCTCACTACAACCTTGGCCTGGTGGGCTCAAGTGATCCTCTCACCTCAACTTCTTGAGTAGCTGGGACTACAGGCACATATCACCATGTCTGCCTAATTTTTTTTGGTATTTTTCTGTAGAGACAAGTTTCTGCCATGTTGCCCAGGCTGGTCTCAGACTCCTGGGCTCAAACAATCTGCCCACTTCAGCTTCTCAAAGTGCTAGGATTATAAGTGTGAGGCACCATGCCAAGCCCATTTCCTTGATTTGATGTGTTTGGATCTGGGTCCTATTGGCCATTTGCCTAACATACTGATCCTGGATATTAGGGAAGATATCAATGGACCCAGCTATCTCTGTGATGCCAAGAAGCTTAGGTATTTAGAGTTATCTGGGGAATTTTACAGTGTCAGGGGACAGGTTCTTTATCTCACAATATGCTAAAAGCCCATGAGAAGTGTGATGGATTAAATATGACCGTAAATTATTTGTCATCTCTCCTTCCGTGCACACCACCTGATGGAAAGGTAGAGTTTGTTTTTGCTCCTTTTGAATCTGGGCTGGCCCTGTGACTGCTTTAACCAATATAATGTGATAGAAGGGATGTTATTCCAGTTCTGAGTCTAAACCTGAAGAAAGTGTCAGAAGTTTCTGATTTTGTACTTTCAGGTACCCTGAGCCACTATCTAAATTGTCTGCTTACCTTATGAAGACACCATAAGGAGGTATAACGTGTGGTGAGCACAGGTGAAGAGCTAGAGGCCTGAAACTAGATGGGGAGGGAGAAGCCAGCCATGCCTGCATCCAGGGCTGCACTCAGCCTCCCAGCATCTGTGCAGAGGCATCAGTCAAGCCACAGCTAACTGCAGTCCCAGCTAACATTATGTGGAACATCCCAGTCATCCCAGATCATCCCAGTCAACCAAGATCATAAAATTGTTTTCAGCTATTAAGTTTAAATATGTGAAATAAGGAGATAAAAATACTGACTTGGACTCTGTCTGAATGAAAGGATTAGTAGATTAGATTAGTGATTCTTAAAAGACTTTCTTGGATGCATATAAGTGTCCACAAAATAAGAGTATGATGGTTTCCAGGTACAAATAAGATGGAAAACTATTTTGTGAATCAGAATTAAATTGGTTTATTTACTGTAGAACTTCTAAGAGGCTTTAACATGTACATTTAATTATCATAAGCCTTATGAAAACTCCAGGAGGACAGAAGAGTTGCCTGTGACTTTTTTTAAAGTGTTTATTCACATCCCAAGGAAGGATTCCCAGAAGAGATGATGCCTAAGCAGTGTCCCAACCATGAAATAAAGTCTCCTAGCTACTGGACAAGATCATCTCGAAGCTTATTTCCAGCTCCAAATGTTATTATTTTCCTCAAACCCATTATAAAATGGCCTCTCTTAGCACTATGAGATCTGTAATACAAGAAGTAGAACAAACACATGAAGTTCCTGTTGGAAATTCAAACTTCTCATACAGCCTTCACTGAGTTCTACTCATTATGGATAAAGGCTTCTGCTTTGAGTCACCTAAGTACTTTTGACCCCCAACTTAATCAATGCCTTGAAGTGAAAATACAGTGTCAGGCAGTCCCTATTCATGACACAAACAAACCAACCAACTCATATCATGACTTAATGGTGTGAGACCTCAGTAAAAACTTTATATGAACTAAATTTGTCTCATTTGTATCTTCTCATACCTGTCACAGAATTTCCTCTGTCCAATGACACTGGTCCTTCGATAGTCTTAGCTGTCTTTTCCTTCTTAAACTAACAAAAATAAAAGTGAAAGAAACAACATTATCCAATCTCATCTGTTTGTTGGGACATATTGTAATTGCTCTACTTGGAATCTCAGCACCAAAATTCTTGAATTATCTGTCTATACTGTTTGCATTTCTCCCCTTCTCTTTTCATTTACACCATAATCTACTGCAATTTGGCCCCTTCTCTCATTCTCTCTTAATTATCTTCAAAACTGGAAACTTTCCTCAAGTATTTGTATTGAATCCCAAACTTTCAGTTCTTACCTGTATACAATGTGACTGAAAGTAAGGGGAGTTCCCATATCCATACCTCTTGTCCTCCTCCTGCCCGTAAGCCCAATATTTGAACTCCAGACCTATACAACTAACAACCTATTTCTACCTGAATATCATAAAGTATAAATAAACTTCACCCAATGCCAACAACATCAAACCTGCTCAACTATTTATTCATGGATTCAATTGATACTTGTCAGGCACCTATTCTGGGTCAAGAACTTTGCTAGGCAATAGATCATAACAGTGAACAGGATTCCACCCATAGGGAGCTTATAGTCTAGCAGTGGAGATAGACAAATAGACTAGCAGTTATAGAGAAAAACCTGAGTTTCTATGGGAGCACAGAGAAGAGACACTTAATTCAACCTTGACAGTGATGATGGGGGTTTGGGGAGGGTGGTATGAAAGGCCTCCCAGAGATGAAAATGATTAAATCCAGTCTTTAAGATTAGACAGGGCAGGTAAAGGATGAGAGCAGAGCAGCCAGTCAGAGGAAGTACCTAGTAGGGAGACTCATAGGGAAGAGACTGCATCACATACTCAGGGAGCAGCAAGTCATTCTGCCTAGCTGACCCAAAGAATGATGCCTGGTGAGGAGCCATGGATGATCAATACCATGGATGATCAATACAGGTGGAAGAAGGCTTCCTTTAAGGAACCCTAATTCTTGGGCCACTTCAGTATTGTGCAACAATTACATGTCTTGTTTTTGTGTTTTTCTTATAGAGGGAGTACGTAAAATACATATGCCATGTTTCTAATAAAGTTAAACATATATCTACTCTATTACTGAACAATTGTATTCTCAGATAGGTAGCCAAGAGAAATGAAAACACATGTCCATGCAAAGACTTGTATAAGAACATTCAAAGCATCCTTATTAATAACAGCCCCAGCTGGAAAGAACCTAAATGTCCATCGATAGGAGAATGAATAAACAAATAATGGTATATTTATATAGTGAAATAACACTTCATAATAAGACAGAACAAACTGTCCATACATGCAACAATGTGGTTGATTCTCAAAATCATGCTGAGCAAAATAAGACACAAAAGATTACATACTGAGTGATTCCACTGATGTGAAGTCTGAGAGTAGGCGAAATGTATTATGGTGACAGAATTAGAAAAGGGTTGCTCTGGGGGTGAGGATGGATGAGGAAGGGGGTACGGATGAGAAAGGGAACTTTCTGGATGCTGGAAATGCCCTCTATTTGTTTTGTCTTTTTGAGACAGAGTCTCGCTCTGTCGCCCAGGCTGGAGTGCAGTGGTGCTATCTCGGCTCACTGCAGCCTCCGCCTCCCAGGTTCAAGCGATTCTCCTGCCTCAGCCTCCCAAGTAGCTGGGACTACAGGCACGTGCCACCACGCCTGGCTAATTTTTGTATTCTTTAGCAGAGACGGGGTTTCACCATGTTGGTCATGCTGGTCTTGAACTCCTGATCTCATGATCCACCTGCCTTGGCTTCCCAAAGTGCTGGGATTACAGGAGTGAGTCAATGCGCCTGGCCTATTCAAAACTCATTGAGCTGAACACTATGATATGTACATTTTATTGAATGGTAATTTTACCTCAACTTTTAAAATGCCAACAAGAGTATTTCTTTTAAGAGTCTAAAGGTAACAACATGGTTTGGTTTGCCCACACTAAAGCTTCTCAAGTCTTAAAACATTGTACAGTGCAATTTAATGACCCTGAAATATATTTTTAAAGTCATGGAAGAGTAACAAAAACAAGAAGTGAACAGATTATTCAAAAAATTAATAAGACATAAATACTTCATTTTAACTGGAATTTGCATAGATGTTTTGGATCTTTTCAATTAAAAACCCACAGAAATCAATGACTCCTAATATGGGCATATATGAAGAGTAACTCTTTTGTCATCTATGAATTAATGTAATAAGAAACTGGGAGAAAATGCAGATGAAATTTGATAGGATATGAAAAAACAATTGAGAGATAAAGTCAAATAGAAATCACTTTGACATCAAGAAGTAAATTGTAACAGAAATATTTTTAGATAATACAAAGAGCAATAATTCATTAACAGGAAGAGGGAAGTACTGAATGGGCTTTTTAGTTTTTGATAACACATTTAACCCAGAGGACTGAATCACATGAACTCTTTGAGAAAATACTTAAATTTCTTTCAAATTTGATACACAATCCTGACATTGACAGAGATAAAATTGAACTCACACTACACCATTACAACAAGGACACCAGTGACAAGCTGGTTAATGAGTAACATCAATTGAAAGAGTATTTAAAATTACTTACATGCAAGAAAATTATCAATGCCCTGAAATCTTATAGCTCTTGCAGTTCATATATGAAAGAAATTTGACTGAAGTTTTCCTGTACTTGACAACAATCCTGAAAACTTACTTATAATTATTAAAGAGTTGTGAGCCAGAAAGAAAACAAATTTCAATCATGCCAAAGGAATGACTGAATAAATTATCACTGTTTTCTCTGTATAGAAAATAATATAAACAATTCTTGGCCTGGCGTGGTGGCTCTCGCCTGTAATCCCAGCACTTTTGTAGGCCGAGGCGGGTGGATCATGCGGTCAAGAGATTGAGACCATCCTGGCCAACATGGTGAAACCCCGTCTCTACTAAAAATACAAAAATTAGCTGGGCCTGGTGGCATGCCCCTGTAGTCCCAGCTACTCGGGAGGCTGAGGCAGGAGAATCGCTTGAACCTGGGAGGCAGTGGTTGCAGTGAGATGAGATAGCGCCACTGCACTCCAGCCTGGGCGACAGAGCGAAACTCCATCTGAATAAGTAAATAAAGAAATTTTTCTCATGTGGTCAACAATATGCAACCAAAAGTAGAACACGTAGAATTATACATGTGATCAGTCAGCTAATTAATACAAAATATAGGTTTTTTTCTGAGATTTTGTGGTATTTCTGGCATTTGTGAGAATGCTAAAACTTGTAATTTGTTGTGATTAATTTTCTCTATACAATAAATATTCACTTTTATTAGTAATTCTGCATTTGTAATTTTGTATTCTTTTTCTTAAAATGCATGTCCAAAATTATACTTGCCTAAGACCCTACAACACCTGGAGCCACCCATGCATTTTTTTTTGGATTATGTGTTCCTCAAGGGCAGGGACTGTGGGCTTTTTCTCTCCACACCTGACCAAAAGTAGGAGCTCAACAAATATATGTGCAGTGAAAAGGAATGGGGGCAAACAGTCTGGTAGTATAGTAGAAAGCAAAATTTGGTTATGGTAAGAGGAGTACAGATACATCTGGATCACAGTCTAAATTCTCTCCAGGGACCAAATATATATGTTTTACCCCTTGGGTTATTGGTCTGGCAGACTCCAATTTTTAATAGGGTTTATATAATCTAGACTTCTTATAAGCTCTGCCCCACTGAATACAGGCATTACTCAGTTGAAGTTAAAAATTGAATATAGGATTATGTGCAATGCTTTATCTATAACTTTCTTGTAAGGATAAACTCAGTACATCTCTGGTTTTCTAATATTTTGGAGGAAATGTTACAAATAGATAAGGAAAGTTTGAGCCTTGGCTGCAAATTCAAGTATACTCTGAAAACCTCAATTATCTACCTTTGCACTATTAATGACAATGAAAATAGTTTTATAAGACAATATTACAAGTCATTATAAGGCCCAATTTTCTAGGTGAACTGAAGTTATTTGTTACTTTTCAAATCAGAAATAGAAATGGTAGAATTACCAAACCATAGGTTTGCTTAAGAAGCTGCCAAGTCAAGCAGTACCACCATTATCCCATCCAAACAGATGTTATCCTATTTTTAAAGACTTCTGGGAAAGGGAGATTCCCTAACCTTCCTTAGCAACCCACGTGGATGTTTAACAACACTTGCTGTCAGGGATGCTGGTTCTCTGAGCCTGGCTTGAGTATTTTTACATTTTTCTATGTGCTCGTGTTTTTCCTTGTCCTCGTTTCCTCTTTTGGTACTAATTTTTGTTTTTTCCCATTAATTTTGTTTGTAGCATCTTTTTTCTGCAAATAAAAAAATCTTAAATGACCCCCCAAAATTAAACAAAATACGTAGAATATTATTTTACATATCACACATCTTTGGGATGGAAATGAGTTTTAACTTAGATTTTATACAAATAGTACACAGGCATTTGATATTCACTTCCCATATGTATGTCTATTAGACATTTATTAATTTGTGTGAGTTAAGGACATATATCACTTTATTGAAATGCATTACATTTTGGCAGTGTTAAGTATTTGAACATATCATTTTGCTTTAGTCTTTAGTTTCTTCTGAATGCTTTACAAATTTTCTATATTTTTCTTAAGTTGATAAGTTTTGAACTGGATAAGAAATTCTTATAGAGGTCTGAGCAGTGCTGAAGATCTTGGGCAGAACAGCTCTTTCATTTCTGCCTTGTTAATTTAGAGTGTTTGCCTCTCAATCCATCTGTACATCTAGAAATCTGTATTAGTCAGGGTTCGCTAGAGGTAAGAACTAATAATATATATGTATATATGAAGGGGAGTTTATTAGGATAATTGACTCACGATCACAGGGTGAAGTCCCATAATAGGCCAGCTGTAAGCTGAGGAGCAAGGAAGCCAATCCAAGTACCAAAACCTCAAAAGTAGGGAAGTCGACAGTGCAGGCTTCAGTCTGTGGCTGAAGGCCTGAGGGCCCCTAGCAAACCACTGCTCTAAGTCCAAGAGTCTGAAAGCTGAAGAACTTGGAGTCTGATGTTCAAGGGCAAGAAGCATCCAGCATGGGGAAAAGATGATGACCAGAAGACTCAGCAAGTCTTCTCATTCCACTTTCTTCTGCTTGCTTTATTCTAGCTGCATTGGCAGATGCTTAGATGGTAACCACTCAGATTGAGGGTGGGTCTGCCTCTTCCAGTCTACTGACTCAAATGTTAATCTCCTTTGGCAGCACCCTTGATATGATTTGGCTGTATCCTCACCCAAATGTTATCTTGAATTCCCACGTGTTGTAGGAGTGACCCAGTGGGAGGTAATTGAATCATGGGAGCAGGTCTTTCCCATGATGTTCTCATGATAGTGAATAAGTGTCATGAGATATGATGGTTTTCAAAATGAGAGTTTCCCTGCACAAGCTCTCTGCTTTTGTCTGCCGCCATGTGAGATGTGCTTTTCACCTTCCACCATGATTGTGAGGCCTCCCCAGCCATGTGGAACTGAAAGTCCAATAAACCTCTTTCTTTTGTAAATTGCCCAGTCTCAGATATGTCTTTATCAGTGTCATGAAAACAGACTAATACAACCCTCACAGACAAACCCAGGAACAATACTTTGCATCCTTCAATGCAAACAAGTTGACACTCCATATTAATCATCACAGTAGCTGACCAATTATCCTTGAATACCCAGCTGGCCATATCTCATATAGAAATTGTGATTTGACAGGTACCAGGAAAGTTATGTTGTTTTGAAAGAGTTCTTATTATCAGGTACCTGAGGGCCTGAAATTCCACTAATAGTGATTCATTTCATTGTACTATTTTTTTGTGTGAACTATTTTAAAATACAATAACTTTCCAGAATTTTAACACTTTGATCAATTTACTCCAAGAAACTGACCTCCAAGTGTACTTCTCAGATAAGTCACTGGATGTCTGGTAGATGTCTGGGAATGAAGATATATAGACAGAAGATGAACATACACTCTAGTTGGCAGTGGATGATCTTGATTCATGCCATTTGTCCAGATGTAATGATTCATAGCTTCCCCTTTTGCTCTCAAATGTATGGTCATCTTTGTAAAGTCAACCAAAGCAGGAAATGGTTATTAAGTGAAGCTGTGAGGAGTTTGGGGAATAACTTTAGAGGACTTAGATCTGAACTTGATTCCCTGCTCTCTTACTTGTTGGCTGAGTGACAAAGGGCAGGTTATTTAACATTTCCTACTCTCACCTCCCCACTGACAAACACAGACTTAATCTTAAGTGTCTTTTGGATACACCTTGTAATGATGCAGCCATTAATATTGGTAACTCCTATTTTGCACAGGCTTGGCATTTGTAAACTATTCAAATCTACCAGACACAGACACTTTTCTACTCCGGGGTCACCCTCTTGTTATTTGCATTTCACTTCTAATTGTATTCCTAAATTTCATCTTTATCAATTCTCTTTTATACCTATTGTCTTTGTTCAGGCCACTATAACAAATTGTCATGAAATGGATGGCTTATAAACAACAGAAATTTATTTCTCACAGTTCTGGAGCCTGAAAGTCCAAGATCACAGCGTCAGCATGATTGGGTTCTAGTGAGGGCCCTCTTTCAGGTTGCAGACTCTGGGCTTCTTGTGTCCTCACATGCTGAAAGAGAGTGAGCTAGCTCTCTGGCCTTTTCTTATAAGGACATTAATCTCATTCAGGAGGGGTCCACCCTCATGCGTAAATGAGGCTCAAACTTTCCTTACCTATTTGTAACATTTCCTCCAAAATATTAGAAAACCAGAGATGTACTGAGTTTATCCTTACAAGAAAGTTATAGATAAAGCATTGCATATAATCCTATATTCAATTTTTAACTTCAACTGAGTAATACCTATATCCAGTGGGGCAGAGGTTATAAGAAGTCTAGATTATATAAACCCTATTAAAAATTAAGAGTCTACCAGACCAATAACCCAAGGGGTAAATCTATGTATTTGGTCCCTGGAGAGAATTTAGATTGTGATCCAGATGTATCTGTACTGCTCCTACCATAACCAAATTTTGCTTTGTACTATACCACCAGGCTGTTTGCCCCCATTCCATTTCAGTGCACATACATTTGTTGAGCTCCTACTTTTGGTCAGGTGTGGAGAGAAAAAGACCTTTACTTCCCAAAGGTCTCACCCCCAGATAGTGCTACCATCACATTGGGGATTAGATTATAATCTATGAATGTTAGAGAATACCAACATTCAGTCCATAACACTTACCAAGAAAACTGATCTCACAATCTGCACCACTCTGTCTGGCAATGGCTTTGACACCTTCATCTGTGTTATTGGATATTGTTCTATGTATGTTCATTCTGTCCTACATACCATATTGTCAGGTTTTTGAAAGCAATAAGATTCATCTTCCCTTTTTACTAGGAATCTAACACAATGTGGAAAAAATAAAGAACTGTCAGAATCATATTACTTCACTGAGTTAAAACTCTAGGCTTATGTATCATTCTCAGCTTCATTCTCGAATTATTTTCACTGAAAATAAAAGGTGTTAAAATTATTGCCAGTTTGTAAAAGGAGTGAAATAATTTAAAACAGATGGAAACATTCTTGGTAAGTATAGGAATTGCATCCTTCAGGATTGAGATCCAAAATAAAAACAACTTCGATCATGACAATTTTTTTGCTGCACAAACTAAGAAAATGAGTCTGCCTTGAACCAGAGGAAACTTCTACAGAGCTGGAGCTATATCTCCATGGTTCATTCGGTTCTTAGCCTTCTCTCTGGGCCTGCCAATCAAGACACTTCGGAGAGTGCTTTGCTGGCATATGCAAGCCCCAACTACTTGAAATGAGGCAGATATCGCCAGGGCATTTCAGAGGCCAGACACCAGATGGTAATAATACATTTCAACTATTAGAAGTTTGGATCAGAAAGCTAAAGGTGGAAGTCTTATCTCATTTGTCAAATGATGTAATTCATTATTAAATCAGGACATACCAGTTAACAACTGAAGAATAATTTTGGTTGCTATTTATAATGCACTCACCAGTTCATTTGGCTTGGGTAGCTTATTTAATTGTGTGTTACATTTTACATTTGTTAAATACTTAGGAGGACTAGGAAATGACCCACACAAATCCCAGTTCTGAGTAAATCAAAACTTTTCTTCCTGTGCCAACTCAACATTAACATGTTTCAGTTACATGAAGAAATTACGCATTATTTAAAATACTTGAAAGAGGAGACTACAGGAAACTCTCTAGGTAAATGTAGTGAGCTTTGACAACATGTGTGGGCTTTGGGGGCTGTACGTTTTTAGAATGAAAGTGAACACATATCCAGCTCACAAAAAGAGAGAATGGCCATAAATAAATCAATTAATTGCTTTTTTTTTTTTTTTTTGAGGAGGGTGACAGGGTCTTGCTCTATAGCCCAGGCTGGAGTGCAGTGTCACCATCACAGCTCACTGCAGCCTTGACCTCCTGGGCTCAAGCAATCCTCTCACCTCAGCCTCCCAAGTAGCTGGGACCACAGGCTTATGACACCATGCCTCACTAATTTTTTTATTTTATATACAGATAGTATCTCACTATGTTGCCCAGGCTGGTTTTGAACTCTTGGCCTCAAACAATCCTCCCATCTTGGCCTTCCAAACTGCAGGGATTACAGGCATGAGCCACCACTCCCGGGCCAATTAATTTCTTAAGATACTGATAACAAAAGAAAAAAAATTAGCAGCCTAGGGTATCTACACTGGGAAATCTTAACATAATTCTTACTAAGAAGCAAATGAGCTTAGGCTTTTCTAAAAAAAAATTAATTTTTGTGAGTACATAGTAGGTACCCCATATCTATGGAGTACATGAGATTTATTTATTTATTTATTTATTTATTTTTTAAGATGGAGTCTCACTCTGCCAGGCTGGAGTGCAGTGGCACGATCTCAGCTCACTGCAATCTCTGCCTCCCGGGTTCAAGTGATTCTCCTGCCTCAGCCTCCCGAGTAGCTGGGACTACAGGTGCGTGCCACCATGCCCTGCTAATTTTTGTATTTTTAGAGATGGGGTTTCACCTTGTTGGCCAGGCTGGTCTGATACGGACATACAATGTGTAATAATCATATCATGTAAAAAGAATTTAGTCTTGAAGAACCTTTAAAGAATAAAATCTTGGTAGCTCTGGCATTGACTCAGAAAATAAGAGAATGTAATCAATCTGATACTGAATGTTTTATGGCTGCCATACTATCTGCAAATAGGGTCATTATCATCTTCATCATTAGCAGCATCATCACAGCTAATACATATTAAGCACTTCCAATGTGGCAGGCACTGTTCTAAGAATTTTCTACCTGTCTTAATTCATTTTATCCTCTCAAAAATTCTGTGAGGTAGGTACTCTTATGCCCATTATAAAGATAAGAAAACTGAGGCCATATAAGTTGCAAGAATTATAGAATATTGAAGTTGGAACGAAACTTAGGGCTCACCTTGTTCAACTCCCAATTTATGGATGAGGAAACAGGTACAGAGATGAATGCATTGCTCAGAGTCACATAAGAAGTTAGTGCCTGACCATGAATATTTAGATAAACAAGCAGCATATATTAAATGCTTAATGTATAACATTTAACCCTGACAGTAACACTATGAAACAAATACTATTGTCTCAATTTTGTAGAAAAATGAAGCTCTTAGAGATGTTAAGGGATTGGCCAAATCACTGTCAGGTAAATGAGGGTGTTGGGTTTTGATCTCTGGCCTGTCACTAGACATCATGACAGTATCAGCAGACTGTCTCTCGAAGGCATAGGACTGTCTCCTCTCTGTTGATTTTGCACTGCACGGGACGGCCTCCTACTTACGCTGTAAACAGCTGCATTTTAGTCTTTAGCCTTGTTAGATCTCATGTCAGAGGAAGCAGTTCATGGAACCCTGGAATAATTAAGAAAAAAGCCGAAATGAGTGGCAGCCCCTTTGCTAAGTTCTGAAACACCAAAACAATAAGAGGCCTTCAATTTGTTCTATGTAATCAAATCTGGATGACAATGGAAAAACTCAACCAAATACCTTTATGCTTTCAGATATCCTGATATTTATAATCATGCAAATGTTCTTCATTTCTGCTTTCACTCAGGAATTTTAGGGGCATTTTGCAAACATTGCTACTATATTTGTATAAATACAATAAACCTAGTGATGTAATCTCTTGTTGGAAACTTAAATGCAATTGTCTTGATGTTTTTTCTTCTTCAAATTTTGCCCAGGCCATGACATTTAATATTTCTCATTATACGTATATTATCGTTTTTTAAAAATAGCATCATGGTTTCATTTAACGAAGGGTGAATTTTAAAGATGCCAATTGGTTATTTGTTTTTAGCATATCTTTAAGTTTATATATACTTGGATCAATATATTATACTGCTAGAAATGTCTTTTAAAATGACAAGTGCACATGATATTTACTAGAGAGAAGATATGTATATGTATCTGTATATACACCTTAAGATTTCACATAATTACTAATTTTTAAAGTTACATACATCTAGCACTTGATGCTCTAACTAAGCCACTCAGCTAAATATCACATTTTCTGTGTAAAACAGAAAATTTGAAAAACTAGATTTTCAAGAGCAAAGTAAATTTGGGAGTTGCTTCATTAACATGGAGACGTGATTTAAACTTGTAACTATCCACTAATAAGAGAAAGGTACCCTTTATAGATATTCAGAAGGCTATTATTTTTACTCATCTACTCTGATAATACAATGGATGTTCTAAGACAAGCTGGGGGTGGTAACCAAGGGCTTCATTTATCTGAAATTAGAAGTGCCCATAATGGGTTGGCAGAGCTGTGGGCAGCATTGTGTGTTTCCCAGCTCTCTCTAATTAACCATAGAAAAATGTGAGGAATAGCACCCAAATTATCTAAATTCTCTTTAGGATTTGCTACCTTAAAAACTATTTTCCTTTTGTTACATTCAATATGTATAATTAGGCTTTCAGAAAGTCCTCTGTTTGGAATTCTTTCCTTGCCGACCTGCCACCCAATTGCAAGTTACATCCAGCAGCCATTACTTATGTACTGAAGGTTGTTTCTGAGAAAAGTTTTTTCAATTAATTAATAGAACACATAAGATATACGTATCTTTAAATCCCCAATGTCTACCCCTTCCTCAAAACTCATCTAGCCCACAAAGGCATCTTCCTCTGGTTCATTCTGATTGCCTTTCTTACATTATCTCTTAGGACTTTCTCCTCCGCAGTCCCCACCTTCCATGTCCAGCCACACTGGCCTTTCAGTTCCTCATGGCACAGAGCTTCTCCTTGGCTTAGGGCTTTTGCACTTTCAGTTCTCTCTTTCTGGGGCTCTTTTTCCCTGCTTTTCCTCAGTCAGTTCTCAGCCCAAATGTCAACCCTGCAGATACCTCTACCCTCATCCAATATTACCCTACCTACCTATTTATTGCCTAACAATTACCTTGTTTTATTCTTGCCATTTTTCATGATTTGAAACTGTCTTCTTGGTAAATTTGTTTTCTATCAGTTTCCCAACCAGAATGTGAGGCCCATAGAACCTAAAGGCCTCATCTGCCTTGATCACTCCTATATCTCTAGTCATCAAACTTGGTCTAGCATATGGTTACTTGAAACATTATTTTAAAAATCAATACATACATACATGCATGCATGCATATATACAAACATATCTTTGCTCAAAAACCAACCTTCTAACTAACTTAGAAGTTAGAACACAGATTATCTCAGGGGTACCCTGTGGGAAGGGGTACAAGGGAGCCTTCTGTAATCTTAAAAATATTCTCCATCTTTTTCAGAGTAATGGTTACACTCACACAAATATATGCCAAAATTAACATAATTGTACACTTATGATTTGTTTATATTGGGTACCTACATTTTTAAAAATGCCTTTTTGTCAATTCATCAAGGGCTGATTTACACACATGACGTTTGGTGAGCTTTGTACCAGTGGTGCTTGGGTCAGGCATCCTTAAGCGCCTGGCAAAAATCTGATTGTTGGAAAATAATCATTGCCTTGAAGGACAGATGTAATAACAACAGAACAGGTTGCCTCCCCAAGGCTACATTTTTTTTTAAACACAGGTCTGTTTTGAAATATGCCCCCACCCGTGTCATTATTTAAGATGTTATTTAGCAAAGGGAGTCTCACACATTTCAGTGGCAGTGTCGTGGCCTACACACAGAGCCCAGGAAAAGATAAGAAGGCAGGAGTAAAATATTAACTTAAAAACTCAGAATATTTATTCAACACAATACATCATTGGCACAGCCTCTGCTAGTTGAGGATCCCACAGTAGAGTGCAGGAGAAATGATTATAAAACAATGATAGATAAAATTATAGGGCACTAGAGGGACCTGGAGCATATCAGTTTGCCAGAACAGAAGGTATTGACATATTCATCTACATATACAAGAATGTCAATGGGAAATGACATACTGAGTAAGTAGTTCCTTTATAAAAAATCTTTTTAAAAAAGATACAAAACAAATAATTAACTTCCTAATACATTATACTCACCAGAATCACTGGGAGCAGACTCATCTATATAAGGGGACTTTTCAAGTGGCTGAATATTTTGAGTACAAAGTATTTTAAAATGAGTTTAATTTTCTCCTGTGCAAATCTTTCTAAACAGATCATGGATTTCTTCTTCCTCTTACACAAGGTGTATTGCTATGACACACTAGTCTCTCTGTTGTTTGGGTTTATGAAGCACATGGATGACTGAGTGGGATTATTTCAGCGATGACTCTGTTGTTACCCCAGTAACAGCTAAGTAAACCCACCCTGCTTCGCATCTGCATAATTTTGTTATCTTCTTGTTTGCTGAGAGCAGCCTCCTCTGGATCAGAAATAATATCCTCTACTTGCTCATTTTCTCTTCGATGCTTCCAACTTGCTACCTTATTTTACATATAATTTCTAGGTCAGGGCCTGAATCACTGCACAAACTTAGTGACAACTATTTTACTTTTTTTGTTTTACTACCCTAAACTCAAGGTTCAAACCTATATAAAAGAGGGTCAGATCTACCAGATATCACATCAATAGATAAATTGGGAGTGGGTCAAGTCACTGTTCTCAGGAATTCTAAAAGTTCAAGGACTTAGGTACTAATCAAGAAAAATACATTTTTCCCAAAGTGTTTTATGGCTGACAATGAGAAACAACGCTTCTCCTTTCGGACCATATAGTATGCCAAATTTATATAGCCTATGTTTAAACCAAAATCACTATTCTCTGAAACCCCCTACTATACCTTGCCCATGTACTCTCATTTCTTTAACATTGGAAATTTATGTTTTACCCTAAGAAACCACTGCAAGAGCTTGGGAGGAATTTGGACTTTGATAAGCTCTCTCTGCTATTTTTCTTTTTCATGCCTCCCTCTCTTCTTTTCCCCTTCTCTGTCCCTGCTAGATTGTTAGGAGTTTCTATTTCAGAATCTTATGATTGAAAGGGAATCCCCTAGTTGCTTGAATGAGGAAGTGGAGGCTAAGAGAGGGGACCCAGGTCTCCCGCTAGCTCAGAGTCAGGACTAGCACCTGCACTCTGGGCTGACAGAGCCACCCAGCTTCTGCCTAAAAAGCCTGGATCATCATGCCCCACTCCACAGGCCCTGAGCACAGGCATCCTCTGTGTCCAAAGACAGTGGCTTTTGCGTTTGCCTTTCCCTTCATCGTTTCACACCTTTCCCCTTCAATTTGTATCCTATTCCTAGTTGCCCTAGTGTGCCCATGTCAGTCTGGTCCAAGCTTTGGATCTCTCTGTCTCACTCCCCCTCCAGACCTTCCTATATTATCTCCATTCTATGCTTTGTCAAGATAAATCAGTTTGATCACTAAGCTAGCTGTCACTCTGTAAGGCAATCTAATAAATTAATCTTTCATAAGAAGTTAATGACTGATTAAGAGCTTAGGATAAGAAGAGCCTACCACTTGTAGTTAGCTTGTACGGGAAGATTTCTACAGAGGCAGAGCCTTAACCCCAAGCAGTGACTGTTAAGTGGAGGAATTTCAGTTCTAACCAATTTTGGAGTTGGGGGAGGGTGATGGAAGAAAGTAGGATGGGGGATGATGTTAATGTGGTGCTCTTAAATTGCTAACATTGTATCATAAGCCTACATTTCCCTGTATCTAAGGTGGCAGTTCAGGCATTGGTAATCCTGGACAGTCTTACTGGCTGCTCCTGTATCTGATATTTGTTCATCTTTAAGAAGGTTATCTGTGAGACATCAGTGAGCTTCCTCAGAATAAAGGCCTGACTGGGCATTCCTTGAGCATTCTCTAGAATATAACAAGCATTTCACAGCAGATTGGACTGAAGAAACATGCAGTATCCTTCCATAAACTATGGGCAGGGTTGGTCCTAAGCTAAGCTAGAAAACCATCAAAGTTTGCTTGCATCTTGCTCATCCCCACAGCTGACCTCTCCCTCCCCTCGCGCCCTCTATGCATTCGTATATTCCGTGCCCACCATTCCCTCCTTCCCCTGCACCCTTCTCATCCCCAGGGCTGGATCATTCATGGGATCATTTCTTTCCTGACATATTTTTTGTACAGAAGAAATCTGGTTAAAATAAGAGCCACATGAATATCTTTAAAGGAGAAAAAGAGACCAACTTGTCATAAAGGATCACGTGAAATTTGAAGAATGTGACAAACAGGGAAGAAGGGAGTTCTCAGCCAGCCAGCCCCCATTCAATCTGAGGGACAAAGTGAGCTAGAAATTGTATGTAAAGGGATGCTTCTCAGACTTTAATGAGAATAGAAGTCATCGGGGATCTTATTCACATGGAGTTTCCCAGGCCCTAATTTTGAGGATTTTGATTTTATAAATCTAGGGGGTAGCCCAGGCTTTTAATTGAGCATTGCAAGAGATATTGCTACAAGTGGTCTTTGGAATATATTCCGAGCAACTCTGGAATACAGGGTGACATTTGGTTAGTTGGATGTCTGCATGCTCTGTGTGCCTTGTAAAACCCATGAGGGTAAGCACTTTATCCTTCAATCCTAACAGATGTCATCTTGAATCACAGTATGGCTCTGGCTGATCGGTCCTTCATTACCACTATCACCCTCCACTCCTGAGCCAAAGGATGTATAGTGGGATCAAAAGACTTGTCTACATTAGAATGATTGGATTTGTATCCTATTGACGATTCAACAGACATGCAGATTTTCCCTCCAAATTCTTTTCTTCAACTAATTTTTGGGGACCTATGTATTCTTAACATCACATGAATCATGACACTGCTTAATTTTCCTCCATATACTAATTAAAGCAGATAAGTAGGAAGCAAGAGATCCATCAGAAAGGCAGTTCTAAGTCATTACTCTTTATTAAGACCTAAGGCTATATTCTATTTATTCATCAGAATCCCATAGCAGGTAACCCCTTTAATGTCTTATTTATAGTACCATAAATTTATCTGAGAGAGTGGCATGCCAGTTAATTCATTTTGCACAATTTTATGGGGGGACTTTATTACAATGATTTATATAGAATTTATAGGAAATTAGGCACATCATCTTGACTAAATCCCTAGTTATAAAAAATAGGGAAACCTAAGCCAAAAGACTTAAGGGATATAGTGGATACTTTCCGCCCCCTGGTCTGCAAGACTCCTTTCTTTTGGGAACAGCTTTTTTTTTTTTTTTTTTCCCCATGAGGACCTTCTCCTCTTCAGGTCTAGTCATGACCAAATCAGATCACTCCACCCAAGACCTGCAAGTGGTTCAGGTGCAATGACATGACTAAGGCTGCCTGAGCTATCTGGAAAGAAGGTCTTTTCCTGCTGTGTTGCTTATCTAGGAAGAAGATAATCTGGGAATGCTGCCACCAACCTGCAGAATGTTTGCCTGAAGGGCAAAGTGAAGCAGAGAGATAAGAACAGAGATGGAGAAGGCCTTACCGGGTAATAATATTTGAGCCTCAGGATCTCACTATGTTGAAAGTTAGTCCTTGAGTGATGGTTATGTGAATCAATGAAATCCATTTTTCCTTAAAGTCATTTGAGTTGCAGATTTAACAGAGAGAGTCTTGATTAGTAAGATGGACATGGCTGGTTCTGGAAACTTCATGTACAGTGTCTCCTGGTACCCAGTTCTCCTGCCTGGATATATCAGGTCCCATGCTCTGTGGCAGGAGGTCTTGTGCTTTAGAATACATAAGTAACAATTGCTTTACATGTTAAAAATGCAGAGTCCTGGGCCCACAAAGATTCAGATTCCATGGGGCTGAGTGATAAAGGCCCAAAATTTGCCTTTTATGAAGCTTTTCTGGAATTCTTACGGTGACCTGAGAGGCCTTCTGTTCACTGGCTGTCTCATTTTATTCTAGCCACACCATTCCCATTGATGTCTATAAAAATTCCAGGTATTGGAGCTGTATCTTGGCTGTTCCCTCCATGTGAAAAGCTCTGTCCTCCAGATATCTCCAGGTATTTCCTTCAAACCATGGCAGAAATCTCCCTTTTCAACAAGTCTTACTCTGATGTTCCTATTTAATACAGCATCAGGACAACCCTCACCCCACCTATATCCTTTACCCTATTTTATGTTTTTCCCCCAAACATTTTACCTTTCAAAGTCCTATATAATTTATTACTTACATTTATTGTCTATCCCATTCTTCCTCCAAATCCTCTCCTCCCGCTGGAATGCAAGCTCCAAGAAAGCAGGGAACTTTGATTTGTTCACTGATGTATCTTAAGAATCTTCAGCACATAGCCGGCATTCAATAAATATTTTTGAATGAAAATTTCAGTTCGAAATGATTTTCTGACAATACTCTGAAAAATGCCATATAACCATGAAGCCATTAATTATTTTATTTTCTTAATGTCTCAAAATGCAGATTACCAAATTTTCTTTCCCTTTGAAACTGAGAAGTGATAAGAAGGATGCATGATGAAAAGAAAGTTCCTACTTCCTTGCTGATGCTCCATATGGGTGCCAGGCTGGGGCAGCTGTGCCCCACCCAGCCTCACTTCCCATAGAGTTTCTTAGAGCTGCATGCCCAGTTTTCTACCAGTACTAGTTTTGTCTTCGGGGGCTTTCTGGGAAGAGTTTTCTGATTACTCTATTGCCCTTACATGCAAGCAACTGGACATTGACTAAATATGGATAGCATGTTTGGTATATAGACATAAAATATGGGTTATAAAGGAGATTCACTTAGAGAAGAAAAGCCATGCAGCCTTTTGGAGAGAAACCCCCAATCAATAGGCCATTGGGACTGAACACAGGAATAATCAATCACAATAGACAATGCTTTCTGAGTCCTATGTAGGTCAGGCTCTGGAGTGGCTGGTGCTGATTTGCTCCAGATCTGCAGTGGCTCCCCCTCCACTCGGGAGGCTGAGGTGGGAGGATTGCTTGAGCCTGAAAGGGAGAGGCTGCAGTGAGCCAAGATCATGCCACTGCACTCCAGCCTGGGTGATGGAGCAAGAACCTGTCACCAGAAAAAAAAAAAAAAAAAAAAAAAGGATTCTTCCCAGCAGAGAGGATGTCACCTAGTTACACATATTCATAATATTTTTACTTTACTTCAACTCAACGCAGGCTATCTTCTTTCCATCCTCATGACTCTGAAACAAAGTAATTATTTAAAATTTGTCAAATTGTGACTAAAACTCTTTTCAGGGATCCTCTTTGAAGGTGGGATCAAATCATCAAAATAGATGTATATCTGCCTGGTTTTCCTTAAAAAATATTTTAACTAACTACCGGAGTATCTTAATATTCCCATTATTCTCTTTAATCTAGTCTTTTAAAGAGGTATTTAAGGTTTCAACTAACATTCATTCTAGTGAAGCAAAACGCTGCCTGCTACTTGCCTTTGCTTAGTTTCTGGGAGCTTGGGCAGCTGCTGTTGTGCTTGTTGAAGGGAAATTGGATTCTTAAAGAAACTGCTTAATCTTCTCTATTAAGCAATTAAATAAAACGCTCTCTGGGAGTATGTAGCAGGTGGGTTTGAAAGTGAAAAAAATTTCAAAAATCACATTTTGTGTGTTAAATGGATGTTTAAAATGCAACTGCATACATTGAAAAGAAAATGATGATTGGGACAGTTTTTTAAATTAAAGGCTTCAAGTTAAGTTTAAAAAGGTTGGATATTAAAGAACCTATACAATGAAAGAAGAAGTTGCTTAAGTGGAAGTAGGCCCTGAATTTAAATGAGATCAACCTAAGAGAAGGACAAAGTGAAACTTAGGCCAAATTGTTCAGATTTTTCTCCTCTGAGAAAAAAATCGGTTAAAAAATGTATCACCGCTTTATTTTGCTGAGTTGCCCTTCACGGCACCGTCGCCATTGCATAGGGACCTCAAAAATACACTGATTGTGGGTCAGAATGAAAAACAAAACAAAACAAAACAAAAACGAAACCAGCAGCGCTATTCTCGCAGGCATTAAGGGGCTGCCCTTCCTTTGTAATGCACTCATTTTTAATGAAAAGAGAAGGGGATATTTTATATGTCCTCACATTTGGTCCCTTTCCGCGAAATTTGAAACTGGAGACACAAAACATTCCGCAGTTGCTGGTGAAATACCTGCTTTAAAAGCAGAACCACAGTTATTGTCTTTGGCCCGGAATTCCAGAGACTCATTTCCACCCCTCCCACGGAGTCACCTGCTCAGGGGGAACCCCGGCCAGAAAGCCGGGTCGCGCCAGGTCAAATCTTGCGCGTCTCTTGTTTACTCCGCCCCGGGCAGGGCGGCGGCGCGGCCAGGGGGTGGGGAGGACCGCTGGGGCCCGCGGCGTCCTGGGCGCTCGGCTCTGCTCCGCAGGGTGCGGGGGCTGGGGCGCCCGCGAGGTGCTGCGCGCGGTCCCCGCTGGGGGGGAGACCACCCGGAGGAGGCGCTCCGGGACCCGGCCCCCCTCCCCAGCAGTCACTCGTCGCGCTCGGGCACCGTGGCACCCTAGGAACCTCCCCCGAGGGTGCACACCAGTCCACATAGGCAGGGTAACGGCCCGAGAGAGCCCCGGTGTCCCCCGGGTGTCGCCCGGCCGGGGAGGAAGCCCAGAGCTTCGGCTCCCACTCGCCTGGGATTCCCCCGCCTCCCGGCCCCGCTCTCCCAGGGTTGGTTGTGATTTCAACTCCGGTCCCTTCCGTGGAGAGGGAAGCGCACAGGCTGAAGGTGGCAGCTCGCCCCGAGGTTCCAGCGCGGCCCACCAGGAAACCGGCAGCTGCTCTTCGCGCCGCTGCCCACACCTATTTGAATCCCCTGGCGAGGGCGGGCCGCGGTCCCCGAACTGGGGGTGCCGGGGGCACCCTGGTGAGTGACCTCAGGGAAGGTAATCCGGGCGTTTCGAGCACGTGAATAGTTCGCGCGCCCGCAGGGGCACGGAAAGTGCTAGTAAAACCCTACAAAGCTCCAGAAACCCAGCCGGGAGCCACAGTCTGATTTTGCTTTTCTTGACCGATAACATAATTGTGAGTAGAGGCAGGGGGCGAGGAGAGGCCAGGGATCCGGAGTACTGGTTCCAAATCTAAGGGCACTACTAATTATACAATTCCGTTCGTCAGGAAGGCAGACAACGATTCTCTGGGAAATGGGGAAGGGGTGGGGACGGAGGACGTTTCCACATCCTTAAAGGAAATTCTCAGGCTCCTAGAGATGCCCAAGTTTTTTTGCATGACAAGTAGAGACCAGCTCTCCGGGGAGTTCCCCGCTCCGACCGAGCGAGTGCGCGGCCGCGATCTCCCCGCCCGCAGCGGCAGCCGTGGGGCCCGGCCCTGCCCTCCCGACCGCCTCCCTCCCCCGTCGCCCCGCGCGCCGCACATCCCTCTCTCGCTCACTGGCTCCAGACTGGTTTTTCTGGTTCAGCCTCCCTCCCTGGGACGCGCTGGGGGATCCGATGACGTCGTTGGCTGAGTCTCTCCCTCTTCCTCCCTCCCTCCCTCCGCCTCTCCCCCCGTCCGCCCTCGCCGCGCACTCCTCCTAGTAACTTCTGTTCGGGGAGGCGCTGCCAGGAATAACCCGGTGCGTCCACAGCCCGGGAGGGGAGGCGGCCGCTGCGGCTCCCGCACGCAGACAGCTGCGGCCCGGGCCTCGCGGCTCCCGCCTGAGCCCGGCGGCCCCTGCCCCGGGCCCATCTCCGTACAGTGTCAGAAAAATAAATAAAGGCAAGAGGAGCCTGGGCTGGCGGTCGGGATCTTTTCCCTCCCTCCGCGCCCGCCCTCCCTCTGTCCTTAAGGAAATGCTACCAGACACCCCCCACCAGACACGCTCAGCCTTGGCGAGGAGCGGCCGCCGCGGCAGCGAGAACAAGGGCACCAGGGGGGTTTCCTCCCCCTCCTCCTCTCCCTCCTCCTCCCCGTCCTCCTTCTCCTCCTCCTCAGCGGTGACTTTCCAGGTGAGCGGCCGCCGCGGCTGCGAGGATCCCCCTCGCCCGCTGGGGCTCGGGCCGCCGCGTCGCGCCCTCCTCCCGCCCCTGTCACCCGGCGGCGGCCGGGAGCTGACAGCCGCCCGAGGGGCTCGCGGCCCGGAGGCGGGCGGCCGGCGGGAGGCGGGCTGGAGGTGAGGGGGTGGAGAGGAGGAGAGCGGGGCGCCGCCGAGCGCCGTCGTTCCCCGCAGGAGGGTCTCCGCACAAACATCTTCGGTGACTGTGGCACAAGTCTTTGCCAAGTTGTGTCTTGGACCTTGACGCTCCACGGAGCCCAGAGCAACTTGGAGGGTCTCCCGGCTCGTTCACAGCGTTCCTCCACGTCTCGCGTCTGGGGTGCTGGGTGCAGCCTCGGGGTGCGCGGAGGGCGGACCGGCCACCGCGAGAGCGGAGCGGCGGGAATCTAGGTCCCTCCTCGGCTCGGTAAGTGGCCTGGACGCTGGGTTTTTCCTGCCTCCTTCGGCGCTGGGAGCTTGTTTCACTTTATATTGGAATCGCCGCCGCCGAACTCCGTCCCCCGCTCCCCGGCGTGTGCCCCCAGCCCCTTCCCGGTGGCCCGAGGGTGAGGGTCGGAGGGGGCGGGGATGGGGGAGACCGCGGGAGGGGTGTCGGGCGCGTGGGGAAATGCGGGGAATACCCTGGCCGCGGATCTATGCAGATGAGGGGAGGCTGCTTTGCGTAATGTCCTGGGGGGAGGGGGCCGCGCGGGAGCGCTGGAGGCAGGAATGTGCCTGCTTACTAATGAGCGACGTGCACCGGCGCGCACGGCCCGGCCACCGCTGCGGCTGCGGCGGCCGGCGGCGGCCCGTTGTCAGGTAGCGGGGGAGGGGGCCGCGGCGCGCGGCGCAGGCGGCCGGGCGGGCTGGCGGCGCGAGGCCCGGGCCGCCGGCCTGCGGCCGAGCGAGCGCAGCGAAGGCGCTGGCTCTGGGCATTTCAGTGACTCCCTTTACCTCCCGGGCAAGGAAGGAAGGAAGGAAGGAGCGAAGGAAGGAAGCGAGGAAGGAGGGGACTGTCTCGATGGAAGGTTCAGGCGGAGGCGCCCTCGCCTTGCGGGTGCACCGGCTGCAGAGCGGCTCTGGCCGCTGCCGGCTGGACCCGGGCGCGTGGAGACGGGTGGGGGCGGTTTGCATGCGTGTTTGTCTGTCCGTCTGGCGGGGGATCGGGAAGGGACATGTGTGTTTGGGCTGTGCACTGTGGGGAACTGGGTCTGCGCCTTTATGTCTGTTCCCTGAAGTGGGTGGAACGTTGGCCCGTTCCGGGAATGTTCCATGACGTGGTGCAGCCACAGGAAGGGGGTTAACGAGGGGCTCTCTGCCGCGGCGGCACTGCCGGCTGCTATCAAAGCAGATGTGCTGCTGCTGCTCCTCCTCCTCTTTCACCTCCTTTCACCCCCACCCCCCGCCTTTCCATTCTGTGCCTCTGGTACTGGTAGGGGTGAGACAGGAAAACATTGCTCTGGGTGTGTGCGTGTGTGTGTGTGTGTGTGGGTGTGTGGGGGAGGGGGTGCTGATGTGCATGTGTGGGGTCTGTCGTATTTGGTGGGGGGGGGGGGTGGACTCCAGATCCGCTCTGCTACCCCAGCTGTTATCACAGATCGGTGCGCTTTATACGCATGTGCCTCCCGCGTTCTGTCCCTCTTACATAACACATCCAGTGCAGCAGAGGACATGAGAAAATGCGACCCCAACCCTCCAAGCCCAAATTGGGTGAGGGGATAGAAGGTCAGGAAGCGTCCCTGGGTGTTGTCCTTCAGGGACTTGGTTCCCAGTGGGGGAAAGGAAGAAGGGAAGGAGGGTTTCTTCAAGTGGCTCCTCTCATCTCTGACTTAAAAGCATCTAACTAAAAAGGACTGCAGGCACTAGTCTTCCCTAACGGGAAAGCTTGTAACTAGCTACACCAAGGGAACGGGGGCACTTTAACCTCGGGAGTGCGGAGAAGAGAGAGGGTCCTTAATCAAGACACTTGGAGGAGAGAAGCAATAATGTGTGGGCGGCGGATGGGGGGCGCTGGGGATGACTTCGAGGAGACCAGAGGAATCTCTTGATAATAGGTTTCACTGGAGGCCTTAGGACACCTGTAATGGCTTAGCATTCACACAGGAAGTTGTGTGTGCAACTGACATTGCAAAACCCTTATTCTCTGCAGAGTTATTTAGGCCTAAAATGAATATAGAAAGGCTTGTTTCCTGTACTTTCATTATAATGGAAAATTTGAGCTGATTTTTCTCCTTCCTTTTCTGCCATTTTAAAAATAACTCAATTTACCTCCAAATGAATATTGGTACTCGCCCCCAACCCTAAAGCTGGACCTCAATAATTCACAAGAGATCTGTGTTTTTCTAGCATACCCAGAGCCCTAGTCAAGGGCTATTGATTTTTCTCCTCAATACAGTTGTTTCTTTTGTAGTGCATAATCAAGCCCAGACATTACTTGAAATATTAATAAGATCCATTTTAATTAAATTTGCAATGATCTGTCCTCCTAGAAAAAGGCCATTTAACTTTATTAGAAACGTTTCCTCCAGTGATATAGTAATATTTGGTGATATTTGCCCTTGAGCAAACCAAGTTATTTTAAATATTTGCACATATAGATCCCATATGTTTGCTACATATGTAGCAAATGTCTCATTGCTTTTTCACCTTATAAGAGTGCCAGAAGCAGAATTTTAACGAAGTAGACTGTGGAATGAGTAGATTGGGTTTGATTTTTAGGATATAGGCCAAATGGTTTATCAGAACAGAAATGTCCTTTCTGTGACTAAAGTGGGTATCATTTTCATTATTAAGAGAAAATTCCCTGTGGAACCCTAAGGAGTCATAGTACCAAATGACAACTGTACATTTGCATTGTGAGCTGAAAGGGATTTACCAGTATTTACTTAATGATAGTGTGTTTGTTTCAAGTGTCATAATCCCTTTGACCACTAGGTTTGAAATATGCAGTATATTTCTTATATACAGAAATGTATTACAATGATGAATCTTTTGAACATTGAGACAATTTCTTGCGTCGAGCATAGGTCGGGTATAAAACAAAATTTGCTTATTTGCATCTGTATTTTTGTTACAGTGACTGTATTTTATGTGGCTAACTTTATTAGAGATGGCTTATATTTATACAAGGGTATTCAAGAGTAAATTGATGTGTGACTGATTCGGGGACAATTTTGGGAATGGTGGTATATTAATGATCTTACAAATGTAAGATCTAACTGATTTTTAACTGGTTAGATCCTTGTAGAGGTGTTTGGTAAAATACCACTAAAGTACATAAAACATTTCTATATTCCTATTTAACATGGAATGTGAAAAATTTACTATGTGTATATTATCACATAGGAAAATAATTCTCTTTGATTACATTGAAAGATTAAGCAGCAGAATATTTTGATTGATCAGGCTCCTTTGCATGAGATGTGTTTGTGAATGTTCTTGTTACCATGAAAACAAAACAGAGGACAGTATATAGGGAGACGTTCCTTGTGGAGTAATGGTGCATGTGTCTGCTTGAACTTTTGGCACTTTGTCACTATTCAGAAGATCTGTTTGACTCTTTTATGCTGATTTAATTTAAAATGAAAAATCTTATTCCAGAATTTGCCATTTTTTTTTTTCAAAGCAGGGCTCATTTTAACAGCAGCAATAACAAATAACTCTGTGTTGTACACTGTATTGGGTTTCAGCTTTTGAATTATAACAAGTACACTATTTGGGTTGGGTTTCAGTTTTTAAATTATTATCAGTAATTAGCTAAAGTCAATTTGAAAGCTTCACATAGGAAAAGTAATTTTAAAGAATGATAGAAAATGTTAGTTGGCATGAGTGAAACTATAATCCATGAGGATGTAAAGTAATTTAATAACTGACATGTAATTATTATCAGAAGGGAAAAGTGGCTAAGGTCAATCGGATATATGGCTGTGGATCAGACAGGCTGCTCATCTCCTATTTGTTAAAAATAAACACCGTTTTCATATTTTGGTATGTGATCAGCATCAGCGGAACTCTCTGTTGGTCTATACATTAGTTCTGTAGGTGGAGAAACGGTTCACAGTTTAAATATCTACCTGAAAATTTCAATGATATGCTTCCAGTTCATGGATTTATATGTGAATTCATCATGAATTCATATTTTTGGCTAAAACTTGGTATTTAACTGTTACAACTTTTAAAGTGATATTATAAAAAGGAGCAGAGGAAGTTTGCTAACTCAACTTAATGAAATTAAGGTTTCATAAGGAACTTCAAACCCATCCAGAGTGTATGGATTTGCTTTAACCATACAGGCAGATCCTTTATTAGTATGGAGCTAAACTTTAGTGAATATTCAAGTGAGGGCTGTACTGTGAAACCTGTAGGATTTACAGTGTTTGGGATGAACACAGAGGATTAAAGGGAAATAGGAAAACTTTATGAAAATAAGATCATGTTTATTTTAAAGTAATTGTATGAGAAGTAGTATTTTCTCTTTGTTCCTGGTATTTGGTCACAATCAAAAGCATTGCTTTCTGTATGATATTTATGGCAATGCTTATGAAAAAGAGGTTGAGTAAGCCAGTATTTGTAGCTATGAGATGCCACTAACTAATTTGGGAAAACATTTTAGCATTTTATTATTGTGTCACAACTCCAAAATCGTCGTGGGAAAGAGGATAACACAGGTTTCTTAGTCTGTGCAATCTTTGGCTTCTCTGAGATGGACCGTGAATATCGACATTAGATAGACACAGGCCTAAACTGGCTTCGTGACTGCATTTAGAATAGAATCAGAACTGCCTGATATTTGGGTCACTATTGTTCTAGGCCGAATTTGTGCTATCTTAACATACACTCCCATTACTCATCATTTGAGGTATTTTCTATGACGTGATTTTTCTACAAGTGTCTATAACTTTAGATTTCCAACCTCCTTAAAATTTGGGATCTAATTGTTTACATCTATTTGAGAAAGTGCTTTGGAGAGAGGAAGAGATGAACATGATGTTTATGTGCCTGAGGGTGATTCTCGGCAGAAAGCAGAGGGGGTCTCACCTGCTACTTCTGGGTCACAGAGTGATGGAAGTAAGTTCAGGAAGTACCCAGGGCCAACCTTTTTGACTTGTCACTCACATATAATCTTAATCCTCTATTCAGAGTACTACGACTGGTGCCCTGTTATTGCTGGTCAATGCAATTCACTCTCTCAGTCATTCAACAAGTATTTCCTGTAGATTAGGCCTTGTGCTAGACACGCAGGGTATAAATAATGACCCGAACCACTAAAGGAGCTCCTTCCAGGAGTTAAAAACAAGCCAGTGGGGCTGATAAGAGAAAGGTAATGCAGGGCCTTGAAGGAAGGTTGACCACAGGAATGATTATCCAACCTGACATATGTGAGGACTGCCTTTGGCAAATCAGGACACATCATGACCCTCCAAATGATCATGTTACAGGTTGATCCTTGGAGAGGCAATTTTGAGGGGTAGGACCTTGAAATTGGAAGAACCTTGTGCATAACGCCTGTCTCTTCTCAGTGCTTCCACATCAATTGTTTTGGAGCACCTGGAATTTTTAATGACTCTATATGTAATGACTTCAGTTTGAAGGACTTACCTGTAAATTAACTATTATTATTTGCAGATTTTTTTAATAACAAATAATTTAAGTTCTAAAAATACTTATTTGGTGCTCCAGTTAACAAAAATAGCCAGCATCATTGATTCAATTAATAAATAACTACCAATTCAGAAGTCTTTACAAGGTCGCTGTGTGAAGTAACCAATTAATCTTTGGAGCCCTGCATGAGCTAGATCTATATATTTTCAAACAACTAGCAAAGGGCTGAGACATTCAAGTATCCCAATAATTTCTCCTCATGATTGCAAGTATCAGGATCTTTGGAGAAATTTAGTTCTGATTTCTTACTTTCCATGTGATTAGGGGTCTGTGTGATATGAAAATATGAAGCAAAAGAGTAGAAACAGAGGTTAGTGAAAATCACTTTCCTTTATTTTTTCCACTGCATCATTTGATTACTTTTTTTTCTGTTTTATAATTTATATAATGTAGGAGATTCAATTTAGGTGACAAAAAGAGTCTATTTTATGTAGTAGTTCCAAGCTTGGGCTCTGCAGTCAGATCAAGAGTCAGAATGAGCAACAGAGATAAAAGGATGATGATTTCCAACTTCAAACATTTTACAATCTAGAAGAGACATGGCTTATAGTAAACTTTATTAAAACTTACAATTGGGAGTAGAGTATAAATGGAAGCAGGATTTTTTCCAACTGGAAAGATTAGAGGGTTCTTATGAGAGGAGGTGATTCTTTTTTTTACTGAGGATCTTGAATGTTAAGTAGAATTTCACTGAGTAAAGAAGGGAGTCAGGAGCTCCTCATACTCTGACCTGGGATGGGAGGGGACAGGGATAGTACCAGGGCAGAGGAAGAGTTGGGAGCCTGGAAAGGTACGTAGCTCCAGATCTTGTGGTGCCTCAAAGACCTGCAGAGAAAGCTGGACATCACTGAAGGTTTTTGAGCAGAGAGGTGATGCTATAAAGTGTGTGTTTCAGAAAGCTTATGAGGGTATATGGGATGAATATCTCGGTGGCAAGGAGACAGTTAGATTGCCAAAATATCCTAAAGAGAAGTAATGAAAGTTGCCCCTACTGAATGATAATATGAATTCTTTTACTCTGTTAATTGATGTGTTTAAAAGTACCCTAAAAGTAAGTAACAAAAGTGATTAAAATATTTTGTTAAACATTGCCAAATGTGTATGACAGGTTGTCAATTTGAACATTTTAAGTAGTGCATTATTATTTTAACCTAATATAAAATTTTTTTTACTACGGAATATATTTATAAATATTAGTAGTGAAAGTTGACCATCAAACACCAACTTGCAGACATGTTTATAGTTAAAATTACAAGGTAATTATATTTTTAGGGATACATGTATAAGGAATGGGCCACTGATTCATTTCGTGGTTAACTGGAATACTGCTTTTTAATTGATACCCAGCTGTATCTAAATCATTACAATACTGGACAGATAGTGTAGTGCAGTGTATTTGAAATGCAGTGCTTTGTTTGGCAAAGATTTATTTAATGGTTTCATTTTCTCTGCAAGAAGAAAAAAAGCAGATCATCGAAGCTCTTATTATTTGCACTGTGGCAGATTCACTTGAGTTCAGAAGCCTAGGGAAAAGGTGGGACTTTTGAAACTAGGGCAGTAGGTAAATGTGGACACACCTTCGTTTGTATTTGATTAGGGATCTGACAGCGTGCATATGTGTACAGGTTTGCACGTGTGCATACACACATATACAAATCATAGAAAACCATAGGTGTTCTGTGAGAGAGAAAATTTTGCTACTTAAATACAGCGTGAATTCTCATCCTGATAGTTGCAGAAAATATTTCTTTTAAAATGGAGATTAATGTCTAATTCCATATAAAGAAGATTATAGGAAAGGTGATTTAAACTGTAAGTAGCTTTGTTCACCAAAACGCTAGATTTATTTGAAACAGTGTTTTATTTCTTTTGGAAGGCAGACAACTAGTTTAATAGTGTACATATGAAACGCTAATTTGGCTTGTTAATTGGATGCAATTAAATTGAGGTTATTTTATACTGCTTAATTGTTAGAAAATTACATGCGTTGCCATGCCTGTGTAATGTGAAGCAAAAGCGAAGGGTATAGCAGGAGTGGGGGTGGGAGGGACGCAAGATCTAGTCCTGTCTTTGCAATTAACTTTCTGTGAAAACTTGGAAACAAGTCATCGAAGCTCTTTGGACCTCATTTGGAAATGGAAGAGATTGGAACAGATGGCTCCTAAAGCTTCTTCCAGCTCATATTCTATCAGTTTATAAATTCTACTTTGTAGTTGTAGAGAATGCAATGTCATTATATTCTGTAATTATGGTATTACAAGGATGAACTAAACACTTAAAAAAATCAGCACAGTGCCAATTTAGCAAATCCGTTAGAAGGAAGGCAATTTAGGCTTAAAGAGCACTCACCTGTGCCAGGCTCCATCCCAGGCTCTCTCTCCACATTACGTCACTTAGCCCTCACAACCAACCTGAGAAGATTTAGTTTTTTATCTTGATGTGTATACTTAAAGAAACTTCCATTCGGAAAGGTTTTTGTGGGGATGCTTTGCTAGTCATTGGTGAAGCAGGATTCCAACTCAGGGTTCTTTGGCTCCGAAAATGCTTTGTCTTTTTACCATTTCACGCAGTATAAGCAATTGTTTACACATCAAAATTATTTCAAATATTTAAAAAAGGCCAACCATATTTATCACTTAGCACAATGTTTCCCCTTAGTAGTATATGGATAAACAGGTAGCCCACGGGATTAAGAACCTCGATTTGAAGTCAGACAGAATAGGGCAAATTCCAGCTCCACCACCACCTGGGGGAATTTGGGTATGTTACTTAACCTCCCTGAGGTTACAAAATGAGGATAATACCCATTCAAGAGTCATTGGGAAATTTTTATGAGAATGTTTGTACCCATCTCAATGAGCACATAGTAAACGTTTAATACCTGGTAGCTATGGGTTATTATTAACAAGGTATTAGACTATAAGAAAAACATAGGACAATTCAAATTGTTGTGACAGTAAAATATTAAATATTTTCAAATGGTCCATTAAACTCTTGACTGAAATGGTTTAAGAAACAATGTTAGAATGACATGGTTTCACATTTAACAGTTAACAAATGGAAATATCAATTAAAATCTGGGGTGTTTCTCACTGAGCTCAGCCAGTGCTATGCCAATGAAGTGAACTAAATTCTCTGGTTCTTTGTGGAAAATCATTCTGAAGTTTTTGCTCTAAAAATAGCTTTTGGGGCCTGAATTACCCCTTACCCCACTCGAACTTCTGTGCAAGAGCCAGAGGACCAGTGATTACTCGTGGGGCCTTGGGCCTACTTAAGAGACTCAACTTGGGTGTTCACAGGACTGTTGACTTTAATTCTAAAAAAATTTATTAATTCAACAGAGATTTATTAAGCACCTGCTCTGGGAAAGGGCTGTTCTAGACACTGGAGATCCATCAATAGACAAAAATAGTAAAAAAAAAAAAAAAAATTCCTTGCCTTCATGGAGTTTACATTCTAGTAGACTAATTTAGAAACTTTTTATGGCTAATTCAGTCACTGCATTACTTTTCAGTGTTTACAGGATCTCTGCTTTTATAGTGGTCTCTCTTAACCCAAATAACAAAGAAACATCGTAAGACTTATTAAATCACTAATGAAATACCCCATTTATTTTATATATATGTGTATGTGTGTATGTACATATATTTCATAGTAAGGTAGTTTTTGACACCTAAATATTATAGCACTAGATTTTTTAAAAATTCATTTTTATGGTTCAGCATTATGGCCCTTCATACCTGTAGAATTAGTAGAATTAGGTGCTGGTGGTCGGGCGGTGGCTCACGGCTGTAATCCCAGCATTTTGGGACGCTGAGGTGGGTGGATCACAAGGTCAGGAGTTCGAGATCAGCATGGCCAATATGATGAAACCCCATCTCTACTAAAATTCAAAAATTAGCCTGGTGTGGTGGCACGTGCCTGTAGTCCCAGCTACTTGGGAGGCAGAGACAGGAGAATCGCCTGAACCCGGGACGTAGAGGTTGCAGTGAGCCGAGATCGCCCCACCGCACTCCAGCCTGTCTGACAGAGTGAGACTCCATCTCAAAAAAAAAGAGAGAGAGAGAGAGAATTAAGTGCTGGCTGTTTTATTATGGGCAAGAAAAAAATGGTTTACAAATGACACATCCTTTTTTTTTCTTCTTGAGACAAGTTCTCGGTCTGTCACCCAGGCTGGAGTGCAGTGGCGCGATCACGGTTCACTGCAACCTCGACCTCCTGGGCTCAAATGATCTCCCGCCTCAGTCCCCTGAGTAGCTGGGACTGCAGGCTGGCACCACCATGCGCGGCTAATTTTTGTGACACATCCTATTGTTAAATGCATTTATAAGCTTGCCAAAGTGAAGTAGTTAAATTATATTCAGAGTTTATATTTTTAATCTTGTTTAAGTGAATTATTCATCTTTTAACTGATAATTTTTGCTATAAAATTTCTAGTGGATTAGGATGGTTTCACTTTCACAAAAGTGTGCTCAATACAGTGTATGACATGTGCTGGGCATACAGTTGATATTTGGTGGATGTTTAAAGTCATAATTCTCAAGAAGCTTACGGTCCAAATGGTAAGGAAAAACACCTGCCACACTATAAGATGGGGGCCATGAGAACCAGATGAAGGAGATCCTCCAGGAGCTCAAGTCCTGTCTAGTCTTTGTGCCAATAGCCAGAGTTCATCAGTCTGTGCACCTTTACTTTATTATTATTTTGAGACAGGGTCTCACTCTGTTGCCCCCACTGGAGTGCAGTGGTGCGATCTGGGCCTCCACTGCAACCTCCGACTACCGGGCTCAAACGATCCTCCCACCTCAGCCTCCCAAGTAGCTGGGACTACAGGCACCTGCCACCATACTGAGCTAATTTTTGCACTTTTTGTGGAGACAGGGTTTTGCCATGTTGCCCAGGCTGATCTCCAACTCCTAGGCTCAAGTCATCCACCCCGCCTTAGCCTCCCAAAGTGCGGGGATTACAGGCATGAGCCACTGCACCCAGCCTGTCTGTGCACTCTTAAGTGCTTCTTGGCACATTTGATTTTAATGTTCCCCAGGAAACAAGTGCCTCCATGTGTCCATCCAGCAATCCCAAACATCTCTTAAACCCATAGTTGCGGGCTTCCCAGGCTCTAAACTTCCCATTTGTTTTTGCAGCGAGTGAACAGATAGGGCCTTTTTGAATTATGTTTCTCCCTACAGTTGGATAGGGGAGCTTATAGCTGAACTGTGATTCTTCCATCTAGGACAGCTTTCTTTGACCATATTCTGTTCAGGGTGCTCTAAGAAGGACGCTGTGTGAAGGTGGCTGTTGCTCATGATTGTGGAGTTTGAGGAAGCATTGTTTCTTGGTGTGCCTGTTTGGATCAATTAGGTGTGAAAGAGGGAGTGTATTCCTTTCCACCACTACACACCCTTGCCCCATGTAGGCCAAGACAAATGGAGGAGGAAAGGCTGGGGTGAAACGGTTTCCTTTCATGCAAAGCAAGTGGTGAAAGCCTCTGTTTTTGCAACTCAGCAATGTCCCTTGGGATGGTCTTGATGGCTGGTCCAGTACTTTATGGATAGATCATGGGAAGTTCAGCTTCTAATTATCCATGGAATAGTTATCAAACTTATTTTTCTTTCTTCTGCTGATGCTTACATTTTAATAAATTCGCTTTCTCTAAGCAAGGGAAAAATCCAGGGTTATAAACATTCAATTTATTTTCTTGTCAGTAGTCATGTGTCAAAGTTTATGTTGGGAGAGATATAGAGATGTAGCCTTTTTGGGTAAAATGAGGATTTCAGATATCTTTTCTGCTCTTGTGAGGCTGTGCTCATTAGAGCCTACACTGGAGCTCTAGAGAACACCAGAATGGATGACTTGAAACTCTGACCCCACTAGTTGATTGCTTGCCTTATTATTGATTTTCAAAAGGATTCAGGCCAAGAGGCTGTACCTCTGTTATATTTCATTATTTCTTCATCTGTAAAAATGAAGCATTGTTTATAGCACTCCCCTACCTCCTGGGAATACAGCAGGGTAACACAAGAGAATTAGAGTGGCTATTTTTAGTGTGTGAAGCAACACTAAGTTTTGAGAATAATTCAATTGTTGAAAAAAATCTGATATACAGCAATACATTGGTGACAAGGGTTAGTAAAGTGTTGTTGAGATAATTGACTGATATTGATGCAATTTATTACAGGCCTATGTAATTGTTTTCAGAAAGATAATGGTCAGCAGTTCCACAGCTTGTTATAATATCTCCTGATGGATTTAAATTTTGTGTAGGTCACTAATGCACTTGTGTCACAAAGTATTCAGAGAGTTATACCCACATTCAAACAAAAGGAAAGGGCTCTAAAGACATTTGTTTTTGGATTTGTAATCTGTTTACTTTTTCAAATGACCTTAGTACTATTCATGATAAACTTGGTGCCCAACTTCAATCAAGTGTAAATTTTAAAATGGGTCAAGTGGCTGAGAATATTCTAAATGACCTTTTAAAATAATAATCTGACAGTATAGAATATAACAAATAATTAGACACTGAGTGTGGAAATTAAATTTTCTAATGGACAAAGTCCAAGTCTTTTCAGTCATCAGTTGGTTTTTGGCTATGTTTGGTGGGAGTTTGCTAATGTGAAACCTAATGATGTCTGAAAATGGTCCTGATGGGTATTAATAGCCATCTGGAAAAATTTTACATCTTCACAAATAATCCCAATAATTTATATTGTGAAGATATTATCCTGATAGTCCTTCTTTTCCTATATTCTTGTCGGCTGTAGGATGAGAGCAGTATGAAGCAAACAGAAGACATTTTGAAATTAATCACAAAATTCCCATTGCTTTGAAGCCTGCTATTATTATACTAAGCCTTCTTATAGCTTTAAAAATCAAACAATGCCAAACAGTATATCTAACATTTTTAATTTCCTTTGAGCCAAACCAATTTGGTTTAAATTTCATTTCAAAGTTTTACAGTATGCCACACAGTTGTATACATCAGGCTACTATTCTTATTTGTATTTGACATGTAAGTATTTCTAAATAAACGAGGCAGTGAGTGGGGCAGGCATGAAGAAATGAAATTCTGAGGTTCTTTTGGAACATGCAAATGACTGCTTCCTTATTTAGTGCAACCTGTTCCCATTGCTTTCTTTCTGATAGGTCAGCTTTTGGTTTTGAGCAGGCTGCATCATCGGTCCCAGTTGAGCTTTTTGTGAGAAATTTTACTTCTTCCTTTCATTGTGATACAATTTGTGTTACTGCAATGATGCCTTATTTAGGGCATCTCTTAAAGTGTCTAGTTTAAATATGCTGATTAATTTTCTTAGGTGTAGGATCTGATGTTTCAGTTTTGGTTTGTCAACTGGTGACAGGACACTCTGCAATGTAAAGTTTCTTACAGAATTTCAGGATTAGATAAAACTATTGGAGGCATCATTTAATCTCTAACTGAGCAAGAAATCACTTAGGACAAATTACCAAGGACTGCTTGCATTCAGATTCTACTTAAACACCTTTTTATTTCTTAGGGAGGCCTATTCCGTTCTTGGACATTTCTAGTTACCAGCAGTTGAGCCCTCTCCAGCTATCTAGAACAAGTTTACTCATTGTCTTGCATGACAATCCTACAATTATTTAAAGATAGCAATCTTGTTCACCTTAAGTATTCTTTTCTCCAGGCTAAATATTCCCAGTTCTTTCAACTAGACCTCATAGGATGTTGTTTTCATTTTTATTTTATTAATTTCCCAGGGATCAGATTGTTCATGTCTGAAATTTACTCCAGGCTGAGTTTTTTTTAATAACTCCTCAAAAATAAATTGCTTATTACCATTTACTTTCCAGAAGACAGCCTCTTACCAACTGGCTTAGAAACGTTTTACAGAAAAGGACTAGCCATGCTTGCTGAGACTTTTTATGTAGTATAACTAGAACAGAGTTGGAATGTATAATAATGTAATGCAAATTGATTTTAACAAATATAATTCTTGAGATTCTGGTATGTGCAAGATATATGGGAATATGAAGTAGAGTATAAATATAGATAGAATATAAATGTAAGTAGAACATAAAATATAAAGAAGAGTCACTATTCTCATCATCAGGACTTTATAATCTACCATACTGAGGAAAAGAATGATGTAAGTGAAGCGGTAATTAAAAGAAGCAGGTTAAGTACCATGAGAGAGGCACACGTGAAGTACTGAGAAGGCGCAACATCAACCCTGGCCGAGGACTCAGGAGATAGCAAAAGGAAATGCTTTACCTGGGCACACACACCAATATGGGAAAGTGTCAAGAGTATTTTCAGAGAAGCATTTCATTTGAGGGAAGCATAAAATATGTATTAAGTAAATGTTGGTGAGAAAGTTAGGAAGATAGGGATATATGGTCTAAGGACTCATATTCCAGCTTAAGGGGTTTGGACTTAAAACGATAGATAATGGTAGATGTAATTTACCCCATTGAGAATTTGGTCCCTGAATTGAACAGTTCTGTAACTACATACACAATTTAATGAAATGAAACGAACAGATAAAAGATAAGTATGTGAAAATTTCTATGCAGAAAATTCAACTGCATTTATAAGTAGCAAGGAGTATATGTATTTTGCATAGAAGACATGTTTGCTTTGAATTGGCATATTATTTTTATATACTGTCTGTGTCCTAGAAAGCCAGCAATCTCAAGGATAGTGACTTTAATCATGAAGCTAAAGTAAGTGTATTGCTGATGGATGTATTGTTATATTCACACCTGTGCCAGTTACACATACCTTTTCTACCTCCTACTTTTTGGCAATATAAATGACATGCCATACTGATACTAGGCTGAGCTCAAATGATTGTCATTTTAGTATAAATTAACCTTTTCGTCAATTTATATTTTTCTGTTGATTAAAAATGGGGATACAGAATATTTGGAAGTACTTGTATGCATTTAAACTACTTGTAAGACTGCTATCTATATAGCATACTGTAAGGCACTATATAGATAGCAGTCTTACAAGTAGTTTAAACGCATACAATAAAGTTTTGTTGCATCTTAATAACAATTAAAAAAATTCCTACTTGAGCTCTAGACTGCCTTTAGTGCCTATGAGAAAACTCTCTTAATTTTCCTGCACAGATGACTTATTCCACATAATGAATAGTAAAGAAGGAATATTTAAATGGTCACATATTTGATAGAACAAGTAGACCTATATGCAGAAGTGATATATTAGAAGAGAGTTGAGATTTAATAATTATCTGTTGCCAAAATAGAAGTTATTGTTTCCTGAGTGGGTACTTTGATTTTGGAACTTTTCTTTTAATCATTATGGAAATAAATACATTTTAGATTTAGCTCTAGTCACACTTTTGGTTCTGGAGAAGTACAGAGGACTTTGTGAGTGACTAGGAGAGAATAGGAAAATACTATATTGTAATAAAAAATAATTTTGTTTTACTTGAATTCATGTGGGGACACTGCTGTTTCAATAACATGCTTGATTATAGGCCATCTGAGTACTTAACTATTACTTAGATTTCATTGAGGGCCTATTCTGAAGTATTTAATATAGATGGAGGCTGAACAAGGAGATGTGCTCTCAAACACTTGAGTACTATGTAAATATATTTCCATCTGAGAATATATTGACTTTTACCTACAGCCCGAAAGGTACGAGGTGATGATACATCTTGTTATTGTCCAGAGAAGTGAATGAATAGTCCTGGAACCACCTGCAGGTCTTGGGACTGTCTCAGTTACAGGGGCTGTACTTTGTTTAGTTAGCTAGCCTTGAAGGGATTGAGGCATTAGTAATTTGTGCTGAAGGCCACTTAATAAAGAGAAGGTTATAGTTTTATGGGTAGTTTGTAAGAAAAATAAAGCCACTGAGCTTGGAGATACCACAGTAGAAAAGGGTTCTATAGGAACCAAAGATTGTGAAGCAAGCAAGTAGGTAGGTAGGTTTTTCATGAATGGTTCATTCATTCTTATATGTTCATGAGTATGTGTGCATGATTCACTTCTCTCTTCATTCCTATATATATCTGTTCACTCAGTGAGCTCCCTTCCTTTCATTTCAGCTATTTAATTTGAGCTGGGCTTTGATTTGGGAAAGTACTGGCTGTAGAGGAACAACACAGTCGTTTAGTGTGTCATGGAAATAGGATGTGGACCTCAGAAAGAAGAGAGTCTTGATTTTGTCATCACATATCTTGGGAGTCAGTTTTCTGGAAAAACAACAAATGACTGGTGAAAGCTCATTTGAGAAGGATATTACTCAATTTGATTATTGTTAGAGAAGAGTGAAAATTTAGTATGCCCTTCTGAATATTTTTAGAGAGGAGGCCAGTTTGTGAAACAAGTCAGCCTGTCAGATACAGTCTGGCCATATCAAAGACTTTTCAAAGTCTATGAAAATGTGGAGACTCTTGAGTTAGAGAACTTGGATCTCAGAAGCATGGAGAGCCAAACATTATGGTAACAACTTACTGTTTCTCTCATATTCTAACTACACATTTAAATGAAACCAATCCTGAATGAAACAATGAGTTTTAAAATGGTTAGTTTGGGAAACTTCAAGTCTTAATCCTTTTCATTGTATGAAATAATATATCTTCTTAGGTTGGAATTGCGCACTTCATGATGTACTTTAAGTAACAAAAGTGGAGCACTTTAATTTTTTTCTAAAGAGAAAGTGTAAAATACATTATCCTGCAAAACTTCCTTTTATCCTCACAGTTATTTCTTCTCTTTCATGGTGTAAAAGAGGTGCATTTGAAAATAGCACCAGGAACCTGAAGAACTCCTTTTTTTTTGTTCTGGTTTATATTTTCAATTGTGTATTTATTCATAAGTTAATTTATCTTACCGTTCTCATACTGATCTTTATATCCTCAGTCTATACTAAATTTATGGTAATACTGATTTTATTTAGCCTGTAATCAGGATTATAAAATAAAACATTTTTAAGTCTTCCCTCTTTGTCCTTTCCAAGTGCCATCATCAGCAACTAGGTATAGACCAGAGAGCATGAATTTTGAATAAAATCTTCACTGAGCTTAGGCAGTATTTGGGGAGTCACATGCAGCTTGGGGAGTGCTAATTGTATACCATTGGCAGATGATTTGAAGGAACAAGTATAAGTATGTTCAAATCAAAAACACAAGAATTGCTGCAGAGATTTAATGGATAAAAGAACAATTGATATGAAGGAGAAAAGACACCCCAAAAAAAGTTGGTGTAAGATCATTCAGGAAACAGATATCCACTACAGTATTTCCTAGGATTGGATACAGTGGAATCACATTTACAGTCAAGAATCATTTGATACAGTTTGGGAAGCCAAGTAAATAAAGCAGTTGGATGTGATTAGATTTTTTGCAGGCCCCTCTCAGCACTCACACTCAGGGGCACTGGCCACTGGGAAGTAAAGAAGTGGTTGCAGTTAGGAATAAGGAGTTTGAAAATGAGAAGAGTTTGCGATTGCTTTTCAGCAAGATTGAAAGACTAGCTATGCTAGTCCTGAACTGAGTGGAGATTTCAGTTCTCTGAGCCTATTTCTTGAAAAAATCGGGATAGAAATATATATATGTGAAGCAAATAGCAAACTCTAATATACTATGCAAATTTAAGATATCATGTGATAAAGTTGTATTATTCAGATGTTTAGGAAATAAGACAACAGAATATTATTGAAGGGCTTTGCATCACTGTAAGTGGGGAAATCTAAGTTACCTTTAATATTGCCTTAAATAGTACATGACTGGATAGGACAACTAATATATATTAAATGGTAAAGTCTTTGATGTGCCTTTACCATATAAAAAAATTTCAGTAACCTTCTAAACATGAAACTTGTTTATCAAGAAGCAGTAGAACCGAGGATGAACTTCATGAAAACATCGAGATGATTTCTGTGCCAATTCTTAAGATTAATTTCTTGTCAATTCATAGGTTACAATGCAATGCACATTTTAAGTATCAGGATACTCATAAAACCCTAAACATATGTTTAAAAATAGAGTTTATATTTTTAGGGTAGTTTTAGCTTCTCAGCAAAATCCAGCGGAAGGTACAGAGATTTCCCATGTACTTCCTGTCCCCACATACACACAGCCTCCTCCACTATCGAAGTCTTGCGCTAGAGTGGTACATTTGTTATAATCCAAGAACCTACATCGACACATCATGGTCACCCCAGGTCCATAGTTTACATTGTTTTAATTCATGTCCTGATGTGAAACATTGCTTAGTTCAAATGTTAGAGATGTTGACACAGTAAAACATCTGTAATGTTTGTTCACCATGAGAACAGAATCTACAATTTGTTTTGTAGTTGACGATCTGTCTCAAACTGCACAAGCTGAAATTAAACTATTTCAATTTTTTATTTCAAAATGATCATAAAATACCTTATGGCCTTATTTTTAATCGTTATTAACCGTAAGCCACAGCTTCTCTACAATTACACATTGTTATAATCTGGTTTATGGCTTGAAACTAAATGGAAGGCTGGAAATTTAGAAGGAGACTTTAAAAATCTTTAAGAAACATGAACAGGTAATTTCCATTTTAAAACACTCTGGCTAAAGGTTTTGTTGGCTATTAAAGTGGATAAGTATAAGATTGAAAGATTCTTAAGAGATTCTGATTGTTAAAAGTATTAGTTGAGATAGGATAACTTAAGGTCCTAATAAATAAAAGGAGTGCAGTGGGTGTTTTCATAATGAAAACATATAGAATATGCTTTTAGAAACGTCTCAGGGGGCCTTCTTGCCTACTTTCACCTTACTGGAGCTCTGCAGTGAAGAAATGTTCCTTTTCCTGTTTTATGTCTGACAGTTATTTACGGAATTCACAATTGGAAAGGAGATAGAAAACGAGGGGAAAACAACTGCAACAACACTTACGTGATTTTTCACTTTTGATGACTTGGAAATAATCCTAGTGGAAAAAAGAGTCATCTTTAGGGAAACTGCGTTCAAAATTACGCTGAGGAAAGTGCGCCCGGCCAGTGCGTCCTCCAAACACCTGGAAACGCACGCCTTTTCCTCCCCGTGGGAAATCCAGGCGGTGGAGGAGGGCAGCCTGCAGTCTGCGGCTGGGAGCGCTGGGCTTGCGAGCTCGGTTTCCTCCGGGAGGAAGAGCAGCTCTTCCCCGCGGAGCCCCAGGGCTGGCCTCCGGTAGCAGCGCTGGGCCGGCCGGGGACGGAGGCGCCGGGAGCGCCAGCGGGAGAGGGGAGCCCTGGCCGCCCGCCCCGCGCCGCCGCGCCGCCGCGCGCTGCCTGCCCTGGACGCGGCTTGAACTTTGGCCCCCCGTCCGCTGACACCCGAGGGAGCATGAATGCAATGACGTCTCCGCAGGGCTCAGCTGCACAACAGGAAATGCTCTCGGCCTCCCCCCTTCCTGCCGGGAGAAAGTGGGGCTCGCCGCGCCCGGCGGCCGCCGCAGGGCCGGCCCAGACCTAGTTTCTCGGCCGCGGGCCCAGCGCCGGGAGCTGGTCCGGGAGGGAGAACGCGCGCCCCGGCCCGGGTTCACTGGCCCCAGCGTGTCGGGGGACTCCACGGTGCGGAAAAGCCCGGGGGTCAGGGGACAGTTGGGCTCGCGGGGACCACAGCACTGGCACCTCCCTGACTCAGAGGACGCCCAGTCAGGTGGGCCCGGAGCACCGGGGGCTCCCGAAGTGGGGCCTGATGGTGCCCAGGAGCGCTGACCTCAGGAGGCCTGAGTCCGTTTGTCATTGCCCGGATAGAATATACGCTCTTTCTTTTCACAAAGCCCTCACAGGAAACCTTGTTTAACTCTCCCTCTAACTGCCACCTTTTTACTTTGTTGTGGAAACAAAGATATGAATGTTTAGTGCAAAGCACAAACATCATGCCGTTAATACACTTCCAGACAGAATCATTACAAGAAAATGATCTCAGTGTTCATGATTTTAGCTGTTGTTATTTAGGGAATATGATTAATTTGGTTTAAAAGAATACTAATGATCTTGTGAATTTGAAGACAGTGTCAAAGCCCTGGATTTATTATACTGAAATTATTAGATGGACTTTTACTGTTTTTATAATAATATTATTTTGCTAGAGGTAGACGTAAAAAGTTGAACACAAGCAAGTTAACCCAAGCTGTTAAATTTAAAAAAAGTTTAAATTTGCATGAATCATCTTTAGAACTATATTTAAGAATCGATGTTTAGTACTAATAATCTATAATTTAGTAACTTGAATCTTACGTGTCTTCCATACTTGCAGGTATGATAAAGAAGAGTCGTATCAGCTGAGCAGTCGTGATTGTGATTACGTCCCTGGTTGACTCATGAATAGGCTTTGTAATGGTAGATTGTTCTTTTGGACACACAGCCAAAATGCTAAAGTTCACTGGGAGGTCTGCTAAGGTTTCTTACATCAAAGAGTTGACAGAGAAAGGACTTACTAAATGAAAATATTATTTAGTAGTTTCTAGTAAACCTCAAAAATCATTCCAAATTGGAACATACACTATGTTTACATGTTTAAGTTAAACTGAGTCATGAAGCTAACCGCTGACTTATGTATGCTTTCAGTAGTGTTGCCTAAATGTTCTCATTTAAAAGAAGTCCCCATAGGATTATGAGATGTGCATATAGTACGATGTCATTTTTCTTGGGAAACTTTCAGCTTACTTATGCAATAAGGAAATTTAAGGTTATTTGAGTACATCTGGAATAATAGCTTTAGATTTTTGAAATTTGTCTTTTTGGGGTAGCTTTTCCCTTTTTCCTTGACAAAATATAACACAACGATCCTATTTCCTATCTGAGCTTAGTTCAAGTTGTTATGGTGGCAAAGTTATGGGTTATGAAATGCACAAAAATGTTGGTACAGATATACTTAGTGGCCCACTTAAGAAAATAAAATTGGAGATTAAGAATAGAGGGAAGGTTGTGGCTCCTTGGTATTATGTTAGGAGAGCAGAATCCATTATAGTACACTCTTACAGTTAAACAATTTGGGGACAAACAAGGTTATGTGAGTGACAAAGTTTCATAAAACTAGAAAGCACTATGTTAATGCAAGATTACTTTCTAAAAATATTGATTCTCATTCCCTTTTTTCCTTCACAATAAAATTGTATGGAACGTTTGTGTGGTAGAACAAGGAGAACTTCTAAAGTGCATGTTAGTTTCATCCTTTGAGGCCACATATTGGGTCTCCTGCATTCTATCTGTTTACTCTCTATAAGATTTAAAACAGAGAGAGTAAATAGACAGAAGGCAGAGGACCCAACTATGTGGCCTCAAAAGATGTGGCCGCAAAGGTACTATGAAAGTATTTAGTAGTAGTATTATAGGGACCAGTTACTCCAGATTTGTATGAACAATAATCCCCAGTTTTGATGCAGCATCATGTTGGAGGTGCTAAGTAGGATCCTTAGACTTATTAGTTGAATCTCATAATCACCAGGAGATTAACATACTATTTTATGAAAAATGGAGTGTGAAAAGTCCTTATGGACTGCATAGATTCTGAATTTTTATAACATTAATCCAAACCCAGTACCTTGTCTGTAATTATAGTCTAAGCATATGTGATTTGATTAACACATGAATTACAAATATATCTACTTTTGGGCATATATTCCACCTTTTGTACTGCAGAAAAATTTTGTGCCTTTGCAGTGACCAAAACTATAGTTCTGTTTAGGGTCAGTAGGAGAAGATGTTTTTCCTCTTAACTGAGAAGTTTATGTTTCTTGGAGGAAAATCCTAGAATAAATGCAATCTTCCATTGTATCTTGGAATTACAATTTGAAATATCTTAAACAGTATTTTTTGAAAGAATTGGTTGTCTACTGTATGCCTTTTCCAATGAACTACATAAATAAAGGCAGAGTTTGTCTTTTCCTCTCTGAATGCCTAATGCCTAGAACGGTGCCTGACCCGGAGTAGTTGCTCAGAGCACGGGTGCTGAATGAGGAAATAAAGATGATACTGCTATCTCTCATATTTCAGATGCTATTTTGTAGTCTTCGGTCATAATTTTAGAATTCTCTTTTTGGTAAGAGGTTTAAAAAAGTGAGATATTATTTGATTTTTAATGAAATGTAAACATATAGCAGATGCACAATAAACATTTATTAAATTAAAAAACCACTGAAAGAAACATGATACTGCAATCCTGGTGCTTTATTTACTATTCTAATCATCTGCAGTCCTCCTTTTGCATCTAATGAGAGTCATTTTTTAAAAAGCTCATTGACCTATTGATTTATAAAAGAAGACATTTAGCAAAGCTGAAGAGAGGCCCACTTGAATTTGAATCATTTTAACTAGCACTTAACCCTCGGCCTTTACCTAGCGGTTTGAGATCCAAAGATTCTTTGAGTTCTTAAACCTATTTCATATTTGATTATTTATTGCCTAACAGGATCTTTGATGCTACATTTGAGCCTTTCTGGACATCGGGATTATGGATTAAAAGCCGTTGCTGTACCTCCTGCCTGGTACTGTGCCTGACATAGAATCTAGGGGCTCCACAGGGCTGGCTTTGTGGGCATGTGACCTGTGCATTTGTACAGGGCTCCAAGCTCAGAAGGGCCCTGAGTTTGGTTAAATGATCTGCTGTCACTGTCTTGAAATTAATTTTTGAGCAAGGGGTCTTCATTTCTCTGCCTTGCTAAGGTACAACTGAATAAAAAACAGATGGTGTGTTTGGGATCCATCCAATATATCAGCTGAATTGGAATATTATTTGGAATCAAATATGAATGGTTTTGAAAAAGAAAATCTTCTCCAAAGTGTTCAATATATCCTCTTGGTTGGAACATAGGAGACTGTAGCTAACATCATGGGAAATGTAATAGGTAGCATTAACTATCTTATTTTTAAATGTCATCTGTTATATTTTGGTTCATGCTTATCTTATTGTTCACTATTAAATATTTAACTATGATTTTTTTTTTTTTGAGACGGAGTCTTGCTCTGTTGCCCAGGCTGGAGTACAGTGGCACGATCTCAGCTCACTGCAACCTCCGCCTCCCGGATTCAAGCAATTCCCTACCTCAGCCTCCCGAGTAGCTGGGATTACAGGCTCCCACACCATGCCTGGCTAATTTTTGTATTTTTAGTAGAGACAGAGTTTCACCATCTTGGCCAGGCTGGTCTTGAACTCCTGACCTCGTGATCCACCCGCCTTGGCCTCCCAAAGTGCTGGGATTACCAGGCATGAGCCACCGCGCCTGGCCTAAATATTTAACTATGAAATATTTATCTCTTATTAGTGGTATAATTATTTACTAATTACTGATTTATTGATAATAGTTTGTTAGATGTTGGGCAGGATTTATATTAAAACATGTTTGTTTTCTGGAGAGTACTATGTGTTTACATGAATACATGTTCATATAAATACTATGTATTTACATGCTCATACCTGCAAAATAATAGGAGGGGACAAGACAGTCTTTTAAAAAAATCTGTTTTTGAGGCTCTCTAGGGATGTACATGTCATAATTCTTATTGAGAGCCAGTTCTGTTGCTTAATCAGACTTACGACTGGAAAAGAGGCAGTCAGTATAGAGTGGGACCAGAACTGTGGGTTTCAGAGCTGGCCTGCCTGGGTTTGAGTACTGTCTCAGTTACTTTCTAGTTGTATGACTTTTGGCAAGTTACGTTTATCCCCTTAGCCTCCAGTTTGCTCACCTGTAAAACCAGGATACCTCTTAAAACAGACCTTATGAGGCTTAAGTGTACTAATATATGTAAAGAACCTGGCCTGTAGTAAGCACTCAATAAATGAAGTTCAGGCCACTCTGGATCTTACTATTTTAAAATTTTAGAAGTATACTTATGTGGTTATTTATATTTATTAAATGCGAATTGAGAGCTTGTGTTGCTATCCCCAAAGACATCATAGTCAAGTGAAGGAACTGACTTGCAATTCAAGAATTAGGATATTGGAATAAGGGCAAAAGTAGGGGGAAGCAGAGGGTGAAAAGAAGGGCCTGGAGGGAGCCCTAAACCCTCCTTGCAGAAGAGGTGAAATGGAACATTCCCTCAGCTGCCTTTGGAAGGATCAATAGACACTGAGAGCAGCTTGGTGAGAGTTTGAGAATGCATAGCGAGTTTGGGGAATTTTAAAGAGCTTAGTATGGCTGAAGTTTAAAGGACAAGTGGGAGATTGTGAAAAATGGGATAGAGATGTAAGATGAGGCCAGATCCTGAGGATGTGGACTAGACAGAGAGGAGGGAAATGAAGAAAGGGTCACGTCTTAGACGCCAACGAAGTTGAGTTTCCCCAAAGAGACTTTAAGCATCAATACCATATGCTATGGAGAGTTAAAGTAAGATAAGAACTGAAAAGTGATTAATAATTAGGAAATTGCCAGCATGTAGTTTGATCTGTCATTTGCTATTTAGGGTGATTGACTATTTAAGCTTTGATTTTTTGGAAGTGTGGAGAAGGCATTTAAATTAGATCCCAAAGTTTCTGACTAAAGGAGGATTAAGTCCTAGATTTCCAAAAGAAGTTTGACAATCCTTTTTCTCCCTAGTTATTTCAGATTAGGATTAACTACTGGTTTGAGATTAATACATGGCCTGACTTAGATTGTAATCCTCAGTAGGGATAGGGCAATAGAGCCTTATTTTATCACTGTAACTTCAGAATCTGATGGGATTTTTAGTTCATAATGATAATTAAAAAAAACTGAACATCAGACACTTTTCTAGGCCTTTTACATGTGTTATCCTCTTTTCTTTTGAGGAAGAGTCTCATTGTATGACCAAGGCTGGAGTGCAGTGGCACAATCTCGGCTCACTGCAACCTCTGCCTCCTGGGTTCAAGCGATTCTCGTGCCTCAGCCTCCCCAGTAGCTGGGATTACGGGCGTGTGCCACCACGCCTGGCTAATTTTTGTATATTTAATAGAGACAGGTTTCGCCATGTTGGCCAGGCTGGTCTCGAACTCCTGGCCTCAAGCAATCTGCCTGCCTCCCAAAGTGCTGGGATTGCAGGCATGAGCCACCTTGCGCAGCCTATCCTCATATTTTAAACTTTTTATTTTTTTGAGGCAGGGCTGTTTGTCTTCTTATTTTATAGATGAAAACATTGGAAGGGCAGAGAAGTTAAATATCTTGTCACACTGCTAGTATGTTTTGGAGCTTGCATTTAAGCTCCGGCAGTCCTAATTCAAATCCCAGACTTTCCTTTTTCATGACCTGCTTCCTTACTGTAGCTCTGTATACTTTTGCTGAATGAATGGGTGAATGAATGAATAAATTGGGGAAAAGAGATGGATTTATATATGTATATTGAGACAGGATCTCCCTCTGTCACTCACTGTGGATTGCAGTGGCATGATAATAGCTCACTACAGCCTCTACCTCCTGGGCTCACAGGATCCTCCTACCTCAGTCTCCCAAGTAGCTGGGACTACAGGCATGTGCTCCGATTCCCAGCTAATTTTTTAAATTTTTTGTAGAAATGGGTTCTCCCTATGTTGCTTAGGCTGATCTGGAACTCCTGGGCTCAAGTGATCCTCCTGCCTCAGCTTCCCAAAGTGCTAGGATTACAGGCGTGAGCTACCATGCCCAGCTGGATTAATAAATTTTTAATCCAGACTAGTCAATCTGAGTATAAAATTTTTTATCTCCTTGTTGGTGGTAGGTACCTCATCCCTTTTATTTTCTTCAGAGAAGTTTATTCTTCTGTTACCTATGTGATAACCCAGTTTCTAAATTCTTGAAGCACAGGATGTATTCAGGAATTGATTTCCTGGAAATTAGGGAATTTCCAAATGAGTTCTCCCTCCTGCTATCCAATAAGAATCATGGGGTCTTGGTTGTCAGAGAGGAGGTCTTTAATACATACCTGTGATCTGGATAGTACAAGAGTGGACACCATGGGTAGGGCTCAAAGTGAAGCCGTGAGCCACTCACATGTGACGGAGGACTAGACCAAGGTCAGCTCTGCATGCCGAACCTTTGGAAGCCAGGACTTCGGAGATACAAAGATAATTGAGTGACAAATAAGTAGCAGAATATGATAGAAGGGATATTATCCTTACATTTGTGACTTTCTTTTTAGCTATAACTCTGTGACCTCATGTAGCAGTTACACAAAATGGGACTGTAATTCTTACCTTTGGAGATAAAATGAGTGGTAGAGGAAATGTTTGTTAGGCTTATAGAAAGATCCAACTATTGTGTCTTTACAGTGAACAGAATAATTAAATTTGATAGAACCAACTTTCCTACTGTAGAAATACTTTTAAAGAGTTTATGTCTAATGACATAAAAATATACTTAGGAAGCTCTGTTTTTATACAGAACAAAGTGTTTTTCAACTTCTGTTGTTACATCCTTTGAATAGGTTAACATTTCTGCCTCCTTTGAGGACTAATTCTTTGCTCTTTCACATCAGTGACCAATGTAGAGTTTGCTTACATTTATTTACAACTTATTAACATTACTAGAGAATAGCACACTAAATGTGAAAGGAACAGAGTAAGATCCATGTCAGGGTATCAATTTTTAACTCAATAAACTTATCAGTATTTTAAAATGCCATTTTATTATTTTTGCATAGATAATGTATATTACATCTTATTTCCCAAAGCTTAATAGGTTTGAACATGGACTTTATTTGTAGAAGGCAAGTAAGAGAATAATTATAAAAGTGGGTCTTTGAGTAGAATAATGATAAACTTACCCATATTATAAACTGCATTGTGACATGTGTTTCCTTAAAAGAAATGTGATTCTGAAAAAAATGGCTTGCATTTGAGCCTGTTACTGTGGATCTAGATTTGCATAGAAGACATTTATAGACGGTTCCTGATGTGAGCTGCAGCTGGTAAAATACATTCCTTACCTATCCAATAAGAATATAATAGGATTTGCTTTTTAATTTTTAAAGCACAATTATGAGTCAATATTAAACTATAAAGCTCTGAAACTGGCGAAGAAAACAACTATCAGGAAGAGAGCAGAGAATATTTTGTATATTTCACATAAAGGGCATTTAACAGTATTGTTTTCTAATTTTACTTTCATTTCAATCTGTTTCATTAAAAAAGAAAGTTGAGGTGACTTGCCTCAAAGGTCTGTATAATTTTTGAGGCTTCTTTCTGCTTGTGTTTTTGTAACTGTAAAATAAGAACACACTGAAAATATACTGGAATTAAGAAAGCCAGTGTGAGTAAATGAAAATGTCATTAAATTTGGTAGAGAAATGGACAGATGGGTAACTTGAAGTTAATAAAGACATAAAAATCAAAGCAGAGGAATGTATTTTAAGAATAAAACAATCTAAATTGCATGACTTAAAAGTAAAATAATAGGTAGGGAATTATGTATTATAAAGAAACATGAATGTGTTAACTACAGGTGTTAATATTTAAAAAATTATAGTGGGAATGATTTGAGACTTCAGACTTGGTTACATGGCTTTTATGACATCACTTTTTCTAAATTACTGGAACCTGTGTTTGTTTTTACATTGTTTTGTCATGAGAAAATACATTTATATAACTTAAGGCTCTTTTCTTCATTTATTTCACCTTGTCTTCAAAAAATTACATGAACATGTTAATTCCCTAAAAGTGAAAGAACATTATGTTTTTTATTGGTGAATAAGAAGTTGTTATGGAGTGCTCTATTTTTACAGCTGTGCTTCAGGGTATCACGTTCTGAAGAGGTCAGCTTGGCATGATCTCATGGGCATGAATCTTGGGGAGACAATTCTGAAACAGCCACAGGCCTGCAGCGTCGCAAAGCCAGGGCAGAACATCCAGATGCTGTCGTTAGGAGGCACGCGGTCTGTTAAAGCTTTAGGGTGGAAGACCCAGGAGGATGCAGCTAGAAGAATGCCGCATCCACATTCGTGGCAACTCTCTGGGTGCTGTTGTAATTTTAACTCTTGAGTTCGTTTAATAGAAAAAAATAAATAGGGCTGTGAGCGATGGCTCAGGCCTTTAATCTCAGCACTTTGGGAGGCCGAGGCAGGCGGATCACCTGAGGTCAGGACTTTGAGACCAGCCTGGCCAAAATGGCGAAACCCGGTCTCTATTGATAAATAAATAAAAGTAAATAAAATAAATAGGGAAAAATAAATAGGGAGGCAAAGAGGAAAGGGTTTAAGGAAAAAGGTATTGAGACTGAAGTAGAGAGACTGTTGTAGTTTCATTTCATGGCTCACATTGTTCTTGTTAAAATTACAGACGCTCCGGGCATGATGGCTCACGTCTATAATCCCAGCACTTTGGGAGGCCAAGGTGGGTGGATTGCTTGAGGTCAGAAGTTTGAAACCAGCCTGGCCAACATGGCAAAACCTGTCTACTAAAAATGCAAAAATCAGCCAGGCGTGGTGGTGCATGCCTGTAATCCCAGCTACTCGAGAGGCTGAAGCAGGAGAACTGCTTGAACCCAGGAGGCGGAGCTTGCAGTGAGCCAAGGTTGCTCCACTGCGCTGTAGCCTGGGCAACAGAGCAAGACTCTATCTCAAAAAAAAAAAATTACAGAAGCATATTATGATTTTGAGAAGGTGTGTGAAGCTACTTTCTTTATCTGATAAGAGCAGAATTTCTGTGTCTAATACTCAGATATGATTATTTGGGATATGGATTAGCTTTGCTGTCTTTACTTTGGACTCCTCTGTATCAAGGTTGGTGGTAGTTGAGTACATGTGTGATTGGAAGTTGTTTATAAGATTCTTATTTAATGAAATAAGTTAGGAAATACTAATGTTTTCCCATCATTTAGAAATATGTGTTATATTTTTTATCATCACTGTTAATGAGAATAAAATTTGTTATTTGGAATCCACATGCACTCAGAATTGTTGCCACTTGCAGCGCATGTAGTGTCACGTGGATGTCATTCATACCTGTTGCTTCTGCTGCGGTGGCTGTCACTGTCCCTATGCAGAGCTGTACCAAGATCTGCACTCAGAAAATTTTGAGGAAAATTGTTTAATAGGGTTGGAGTGATATAACCTTTGTTTTCATTATTCATGTATTCTGTTTTTCATATCAAGTAGGTTGATGATCCTGGAGAAGAGAGAATTAGTGATAAAACCAACAGTACATCACATACGAAACTGTTAGTAAAATTTTATTTACTTGTTTTTGGACTATTGGAATAAGAGTAGCAAAGAAGTTATCAACTAATCACCTTTGAAATTTTGGATGAGTGACATAAGTTAATAATTGCTTATGGCAGCATAATTATTAACAGTACAATATTAGAAGAAGTGCATTTAAAATATAGTTAACATACAGTAAACCAGCCTGTCACATTTATAGTATGTCCATTATGCTACAGTAGAAGCCTTAGGAAAATTAAATACTGTATGTATCTTTCTAGAGAAATAATTTCCATCATAATATGGTATACAATTAAAACAGTAGTTTCTTTCAATATGTAAAGGATATTTGCTTACTGTTGATTATTTAACAAATACTTATTGAGTAGCTGTTAGGTGCTGGATGCTGATCTGAGAGCTGGGGATACAGCAGGAACAAAGAGTTTCAGTCCTCATTGGAGGACCCTAATCCATATTAATCTGACAATCATACAGCTGTAGAATTATAAATTAGTTGATAACTTCTTTCCTACTCTTATAATTATAAATTATGCTTTTAAGGTGCCAGGAGAGAGGAGAACAGGAGAGCTTCATCTCTTTGATGAAGTCAGGGAAAGATTTTTCTGAGAAACGGATGTCTTGAGCCCAAATTGACTAATGGGGAGCATTAAATAAGTGAAGGGGTTGGTGGATTCTCCAGGTGGAGGGAACAGCTAGGGCACAGGACCTGTGATCAGTGGGATCATGGTTCTAATCAAAGGCGTAAAGGAACACTGCTGTGGCTGGAGCACCAAGAACAAGGGAGCTGCACAGGGCTTGGTCCACACAGGGTCTTATAAACTCAGTTTAGGATTTTGGTCTTCATCCCAACTTGAATGGAAACCCATAGAAGTTGTTCAGACATGGGGATGAAAGGATTAGATTTGCATTTTGAAATTTACTTGGACTATGTAGTTGAGCTTTGCATGGTGAACAAATTGGAGGGTGGCAAGATTGGATCTAGAACTAGTCAAGAGATTACTGCAGTAAACCAGGGAGTAGATGACTACACTAGACTAATCCACTACAGTGAATTAAAGAGGTAGAGGTGGAGACCAGAGAAAGATTGGTGAGATTTGAGAGATTTCCAGGAGGAGAAATAGATAGGGCTTGATAGTACCTGTAGAGAGTGAAGGAGAGGACGTAGCCTAGAATGAGTCCTAAGTGTGTGGTCTGCATGCCTGAATGGGCAGAGGCACAATTTATTGGGATGGGGCTCACTAAGGGGAAAGCCAGGTTTAAGAAAGTGGTGACTTTTGTTTTTGGATTTGTTGAGTTTAAAGCGGCTTTGAATTATCTAAATGGAGATGCCAAGTAGTCAGTTGATCATAGGAGTCTGGAGGAAGGGGTGGTCTGGAGATGGAAGTGGGTGTCCTTAATGTATAGATGGTGTCTGAGTTGTAGTGGATGAGAGGGTGTAAAGAGAACAGAGACGAAAAGAGAGTGTGGGGCTAACTCTGGAGAAACCCTAACTTTTACAGGCCTGATTCAAGGGAGTGATGCCACCAAGATTAAGAAAGGCTGGCTAGAGGTCCATAATAAAAGAGAGTCCAGTGTCATAGCATCTATGTGAGGAGAGGTGCAATAGAGATTTTGCCAGGGCTGCTGTGATAAAGTCCCACATGCTGGGTGGCTGAAAACAAAAGACATCTATTGTCTCACAGTTCTGGAGGCTGCAAGTGTGAAGCCAAGGTGTCAGCAGGGTTAGCTCTTCTGAGGGCTGTGAGGGGAAATCTGTTCTGTGCCTCTCTCCCAGCCTCTGGCCATGGTTTGCAATCCTAGTTGTTCCTGGGCTCCTCATTACTGTAGTCTCTGCCTCAGTCTTCATGTAGTGTTCGCCATTTCTGTCATGTTGGATAAGGGGCCCACCCTACTACAGTGTGATGTCATCCTAACTAATTACATCTGCAAGGACCTTATTTCCAAACAAGGCTGCATTCTGAGGTATGGAAGTTAGAACTTCAATGTTTCTTTTTGGGGGGCCACAATTCCACACATAACAAGAGGATTCAAGCAGATTTCCCTCTTGCGTAAGGCTCTCCAGGGGAAGCAGTGACAATCATGACCCAGTTCCCATTCTTACACAATATTTTAATATTATTGTGTCCAGTGAGGTTCAAATTAAGTGTTTAATGGTAGCTGAGGTAAATGTAAGGAGTAGGAATAGAAAGAAGATTAAATGGGGGAGAAATAGTGGGGAAAAACAGTTCTTAGAGGAGATGAAATTTGAATTGGGCCTTAAAAGAAGGGGCTCAGGATTTAAATTTGTGGAAAGTTGAGGTAGAAAGGGCATTACCGGAGAAGAAAACCTGCATGAAGTCTTCATCTGGAAAAATATTCAAAGCCTTCAAAAAGTAGGAATCTGCTCTTTGTCACTTAGCATAAAAGAACCATGTTCTTGCTGGTTTCCCTTTGTATGGAAAGAATATTAGATATTTATGTTTGATGAAGAGACTTTTGGCATGAGTAAGGCTGGGTTGTGCATTCAATTGATTTAGTTAACAATTATTTATTATGTACCAACTACTATGCACCAAGGGCTGGGGATACATCAGGTTTTGAATAGTCATTTAACCTCTCCCTGCAACACTTCTGCATCAGCCATCATTTTAACACACAGTTTATGAGTAAAAATGTGTTGATTGTCTGTTATGACTCTGCCCATTTTCAGAGTCATAAATTTAATAGTGACTAATAATTACTGAGCAGCTTACTCAAGACCAACCGCTATTCTAAATACTTGACCTAAATTAACTAATTTAATCTTTATCGATACTTTATAAAGTAGGCTCCAAATTTCATAGACTCTAAGGTATCATCGGTTGTAAGATGGCATTTGATGTACCTCTAAGAAAGGAAAACAAAGATTCCAATTTTTTTTGAAAGATGCCATCCATAGTAAGACACATTCTGATTTCAAAAATGTTAAAATATGAAAAAAAAGCTTATGTCTTAGAATTGGTAGACCACTTAAATTTGATGGCACATGATAACTGTGGCTGACATGTGAGAAAATGGGGGCACCAAGAAGGGTCAGTTGCTTGCCCACGGTTACCTACGGATACGCAGTGTTAGCTCAGGTTCTGCTTCAAGGGGCTGCTGCCAGAGCCCATCCCCAGTACTATGACTGCAATCTCCAAGCACATCTCAGGCACTTTTTTTTTTTTCATATACTGAGAGCCTGATAATATTTCAGGGCTCTAACCTGACTGAGTTTTGCGGTACACTGTGGTGGGAGAGACACGTGCAAACGTGCAACTTGCTGCTGGTGATCCGGCTGATCAGGGACTTTGCTGGGCCAGTCTTTAATTTACTACTTTTTATCAATCTGGAATGTTGACGATGAAGAAATGCCACAATGGTGAGCCACGAGATGGCGTGGAGGTGAGGATGGGGCAAGAGTGGGTGACTTTTCTTGTGGAAAGTGATGCATCTTTGGCCCTGTTCTAAGTTTCACTTCCTCTGAAGGCCACATTCAGCACCCCCTGCAGTCGACTGTGCTCTCTGTGATTGTCATCAGTTGTGCTCTCACCACGTTACTTGGTTTCATTTCCCGTGTTTTACCTTTCCTCTGGTCTATGGTGGCCCTGTAGACACCTCTTTCTTCCAAGGCTTGTGGGAAAGTGCCTAGAAACTTAGTTAAGTATGGCAATTAGATACTTAGTTAAGTATGGCATTGAAGCTGGCAAAAGAAAGCAGTGAGCAGTGAAGTACCAGTGTGATAACTCTTCAATCCTTTTTAGTATTTTCTGTCTTCATGGGGACAGCCAGTGTGCCCTGATCCATGGGTTTTCCCCCTCAAACTGGTTTATTGAAAAAATCAGATATTGTTCATACTTCAGGTACTTTGAAACTATCCAAATGATAGCATGAAGGAAATGTACGTTTTTCGTGTTTCAGAAGTCGTCAGAGTGAAAGTAGAAGTTCTCATTAGCATCCCAAGGCTTGAGTTTTTGAAGATGTTGTAACAGCATGAGTAAGAAATGAATTGATACAACTTTTTGACAAGCTCATCCTAAGCTAAGCAGTTCGGTTCCCATAGGTCACCATGAGTCCTGGTTTTGTCTCCCTGCTGTGGTAAGGGGCCATCCTCTGTGTGCTGGCTGATGACAGTCTTAGTCTCCTCGTCTGTAAATTGGGGATAACAATACCTCCAATACAGCCCAGTGCTTTTCTGATTTATGTCTGCTAAGTACATTTTCATACCCACTTCTAAAATCATTTGATTTTTTCTTCTCCTTATAAATGTGCAGCACAAGCAATAATTCCACCTAAGCATCTACCTCGTAGGAATGATCACAAAACCTTACCATTCTTTAAACTCACAGTCTCCAACCTTTTTGGCACCAGGAACCAGTTTCATGGAGGAGAATTTTTCCATGGTGTGGGGATGGTGGATGGTTTCCGGATGAAACAGTTCCACCTCAGATCATCAGACATTAGATTGTCATAAGGAGCATGCAACCTAGATCCCTCGCATGCGCGGTTCACAGTCGGTTTCACGCTCCTATGAGAATCTAATGCTACCGCTGCTCTGATAGGAGGTGGAGCTCAGGCAGTAATGCTCGCTTGCCCACCACTCACCTGGTGCTGTGCGACGCGGTTCCTAAAAGGCCATGGACCATTACTGGTAACTGAACATGACCCACTGGCCTTGAGAAGCTGACTGTAGAGGAGATGGATGTGCACGTAGCTATCAAGCCAGGATGAAAACAGCCACGAGAAGAGAGGTGTGATGAGGAGAAGGGGGAAGGGATTTCTGAGGAGAAATATATGAATTCTACTAGAGGGGCTTGAGAAGCCTTAGTGGGAGGGACAAAAGTTCGATCACTGTTATTAGCATGTGTTTGGAACTAGATGTAAATAACAATGGTTGTATACACTGAGGCCTGAAGTTGTCTTTTCAGAAAGACTGACACTCTGGAGCAGTGCTCTCCAATTGAACTGCATTGGCCAATATGGTAGCCACTAAACACAAGTGGCTTTGGGGTACTTGAAATGTGGCCGTGCAGCTGAGGAACTAATTTTTAAATTTTATTTAATGCTAATTTTATATTTAAACCTAAGCAGCCACATATGGCTAGTGCCTACCATACTGGATAGCACAGCCAGAGGAAACCTGCTGTCACTAACCCAGTATGGAGATTTCAGATAATTATCTTGATCACAAATCAAATCACAAAGTCAGAGACTTTGATTGGCTTTTGCTTTTCAGTATCATTAGCCATAAGTACTAGCACTGAAACATCCATTAGACACTAAAATACAGTAACTCATTAATTATGAAATGATGAGCGGTCAGTTAAATTAGTCAGTGATACCCTCGACACACACACTCATGCATAGATCTACATGCATGCACACATATCATGCACACATACGCATCACAGACACACAAACACTCACACACATTTCCCCTGATTGTTTCTTGAACTGGACAGAGGGAGAAATATGTTTTTGAATGGCTTGTTGTCTCATTTCTGAGACAGTGAATTAATGATCCTTCTCCTGGGAGCAGTGTCAGGCTGAGCAAAGAGTCCCTGATGGAAGGAAAGGACCAGCTTTGTCCTATAATAAGAACCCTGCAAAAAAGGGTCTCAGATGATTCTTAGTCTCCTCGTCTGTAAATCTGGGGATAACAATACCTCCTCTGTCTGCCTCAAAAGATAATATATGTTTATAAAACCTTCTTTTCAGGGAGGTTTTCCCAAACCAATATCTCATCTTTTTAATAAGCCTGCAGGACACTTCTCTTTCTGTGTTGACTATGGTACCAAGAGATATGATTATACATATTTTCTCCTTGATCTTAAATGCCCTATGGCAATCATCACACCTTTTTAGAGACCCACTTGAAAATTGCTATGTTTAAATTCTGCCCCAAACTTGTTTTAGAATTCTTCCTTTCTGAATCCCAACTGTATTCTGTTCAGTCCTAGGCTCTGCCCCTCTCAGCACGTTTGTCCTCTATTCACTGGGCTCCCCTGAAATGTTGTTTGTGCTTATTTTTAAGTTTTTTTTTTTTTTTTTTTTTAATGTGTTTGTGCTTTGTCTTCCATATTAAAGTGGAAACTCTCTGGGTAGAGGTGACCTTTAAACTTTATTGTCTTGAACTTTTTAAACTTAATTTTATCCAGTGCATTGCAGAGGGTGGCATTCATTAAATTTTGCAGACTGGTAGTAAAATAGAGGACTTGAGTCTTTAGGGCTCAGACTGACATTTTCAATGTGTACTCTTTGGTTATTTAGATCAGTGGATTCAAGCTGTATCATGCACGATGGTCTTTCAAGGAGCGTTAAAAAATTCAGGCCCCCATGCTCTACGCATGTGATTCACTAGGTCTGAGGTGAGGCACAGGGAACCTTAATGTTAAGAGGTAAATTAGGTAATTCTGCTGCCGGTGATCTGAGAACTACTCTTTGAGAAACAGTGGTTTATATATTAAGATACCATTTCTATGGACTGTACTTAAAGAAGACTTTTCTGGCAGTAGGGATCTTGCTTCTAAGCAGAAGTGTAGGTTTGTTGTTGTTGTTGTTGTTTTGTTTTGTTTATCTTTATTTTTATTTTTTGAGACGTAGTCTCGCTGTGTCACCAGGCTGGATTGCAGTGGCACAATCTTGGCTCACTGCAACCTCTGCCTGCCGGGTTCAAACAATTCTCCTGCCTCAGCCTCTCATATAGCTGGGACTACAGGCATGCGCCACCACACCCAGCTAATTTTTGTGTTTTTTAGTAGAGATGGGGTTTCACCATGTTGGCCAGGATGGTCTCAATCTCTTGACCTCGTGATCTGCCTGCCTCAGCCTCCCAAAGTGCTGGGATTACAGGCGCAAGCCACCATGCCTGGCCTGTTTTGTTTATTTTAGAAGAGAATGAGAGAAGAGTGGGAAATTTTGTTGGTAAAACATTTCTTTAAATTATCTTCTTAAATGGGTGGCATGGTCAGTTGGGTAATAGAAATATCTCATCAGAAAGAAACGGATAATGCATGAAATGATTTTATCAAACTGCAATGGTAGAAAATACCTATTCAGCCTTCACTCAGAGCTTGTTTGTCCTTATTTTAGGCTTAGTTTTAATAGGCTTGATGATCTGATTGGCTAGAGATTAGGAGCAGTATATGGAAGTCAAACATTGTCACTGGTAAAGGATGGCATGTTGACTGCAAATGTAATCACTGACAGCCTGAAAGTGAAGAAGGAAATAGATAAACTATAAAAATCAGAAGCAAGATCTTAAAGATCAAAATATAGGCCACTGGAGGAAACAAGAGTGCAGGGGTAAGCAAATGTAAGCATCTCAGTAGCTTCAGAAGCTGTTACTGTGTTTCCCCCAATTTACAGTAGCTATTTTTTGATCTTTCTACTCAGAATCTAAGTTCTACTAGGGCTGAGACCATGCCTGCCCCATATGATACTGTTATCTCCAGGACTTAATGTTGTACTTGACTCATAGAAGAGGCTCCCTAAGTATTTTCCTAGTAAATGGAAATAAATAAATGAGTAGGTTTGCTATGGTGATCTATGTTTATGATAATGACCCTGAGATATTTCTGATTAAAAACAGAGGCAGTTGGTTTTTTTGCATTTTAGATATATGTAATCTCAAAAAATGTTGGTGTATAAAGCCTTATTAAACATGCTTAATATATATTCATTCATTCCTCAGTGACCTCCTCTCTAACACTGCTGCACTCTCCCCTGCCTAGTTTATATTTAAATTGTCTTAAAATCATGGGATTTAATTTTCAGATTATAAATACTCATATATGTAGATATATACTAAAATATTTTGAATCATCTGCCAATGTATACTATACCATTGCTATGTAAACACAGCATCTTTTAAGGTCTTGAAAAATGTTCAGATAGATTTTTGTCTATAGATAGTAGAAATCTGTGTATACCAATTTGAAGCTATCTCTTTCTGTATAGCTAATGCTTTTATAGTTAATTGTTCTTTAATAGATCATAATGATTTCCTTGGGTCATGATATATTTATTAAAATAGGTATTTCAGCATGCATTCTAATTAAGAAAATGCATGTTATGTGTTAGGCAGACACACAGGCTCCATATAGTAGAGACAATAACGTTTAGATACCTCTAAAATGATACACCTGCTCTTCAAGTGTTTCAGATTTGTATCCCTAAAATCTGCCCTTTAATAGACTATTGTTAATTAAAAAAGGAAAGTTATTTTTGATATTCTACAAAACAGGTTAAATTATGCTTGGTTCCTTTGTACTTTGTTTCAAAACTGTGTTTTTAATTCGTTGTGTAGAATTCAGAATTTTTTTTTTTTTTTTTTTTTTTGAGAGGTGGTATCTTACAGAGTGGAGGAAAAGATGAGAGGAAGTCTTTTTCCATAGGTACATATTTGGTCTAAGGCAAAATTTTGAAATAGGGAAAAGTATGTTTTTGACAGTGACATCCTACCACTTAGCACCCTTCTCAACCCAGTCAACCTGAAGGCACCAAGTTATCCAAATTTAGTTCTTGGTCTTTGATTGCTATAGTCCATTCCAGTCTAAATCACTCCTTTAAATTTTTCTAGTTCCAAAGTCATCTGTATTTTCTTACCAATCAAAGGTCCCAGCCAACAATTATTTGAGTACCTGTTCTGATTTTGGCAATGGGCTAGAAACTATATAGAAATAAATGTGAACCCTACATCATGTTCTCAGAGAGAATGCAATCTAATATTGTTAATGGCAAGCATGACTAACTCATTTTACTGGAAAAGACAGAATATGCAAAAAACAGGCATAAACCAGATGAAATGAAAGTTCAGAGAAAAAGACCAATTGCATGAACCAGGAAAGGTTTTTCTGGAAAATGTGGACCTTGAGGATTGGTTAACATCTTTAGAAGCAGCGATGGGTTGGAAGATGGACATATGTTACAAGTGAAAGTAGGAACACCACATATGGCTGCCCAAGAGTTGGATTTTGTAAAATCGTGAGGGCACCATTCAAATAGAGTATGATATAAATGGTGGCATGAGTGAAAGTCAGGAGATGGGAAATATACAAGGTTAGGATCTGAGAATCATAAGTAGGAAGGCCTGGACCATGTTGTGATGGAACTTGAATGAAAGAGTGAAGTTGTTTTGCCCTGTTCTTTAGGTTGTTGTGCTAAAAGTCCTTTCAGACCTCTCAAACTTTGAGTTTCTTTGATTTTCTGTAATTCAGTTGGTAAGAGAGAGCTGAGGAAGATTTTTGAGTAATGGAGTGGCTTGAAATTTCAGAAGATGAAAGATTAGTTAGAAATACATGGGGTGAAATAAATCGAAAAGTTATTAGACTTTAGATATGTTTAAAGTGGTTCTGCTCCTTTAAGGCCATCAAAGTACAATTGGAGTATACATCATACCGATGCTCTAGGGGAGGTCACAAGAACAGACGTTTTTGGATTGGTCCTGAGCGCAGGTCCTCTCTGTTGAATTGCCCAGTGGACAGCCTGTTGATCACAGCTGTTTGTTTATGGGGTTTCACTCCCTTCTTGAGCTCCAGCTCCATGAATCGAGAGCCCCAAAAGGAGGCTTGTTAACAGGCTGCTGGAGTAGGGTAGAGGCAAAGTAGTGGGGCTCAAATTACAGAGGTGAAAAGGAAATTTATTCATTCATTCATCAAACCTTTACTGAGTACGACTCAGGGTAAGCAATGGCTTTGTGTGCTTTGTGTATATTCACTATCTGGTACTGTTTTATTGCTTTGACCCTTTCTTCCCCCAAATTCTCTAAAAAGTTTTAGATTTCTTCACAACAGCTGAGACTCTCTAGGGGTAACAGTAAGACTACTGGTAGTGCTAGAAGGCGACAACCCGGGGAAAGCAGCAGCTGGTTTTATTTTTGGTTTTCGTCAGGTGGTTGTAAGTTGAGAATTGCCTGTATTCAAACAATGTGATTTGGTAGTGTATACTGAACTCCCATAGAAATAATGGATGTAGTACAATCACAAGGATAGAAATGAACAATCTCCAACATCATATGCTAGATAGTAAACTTTTTAAGCACTTGGGCATGGATTAATAGCTTAAAGAGTATGAATATGCTACGGACCATTCACAGTTTCATTTCATGTAAGATGTAGGTCTTGCTTTGGTTACAGAGATCTGGCCATTGGTGAACTCTCCTGTGGAACAGTCATTGTTTTATGGTAGGTACTGGTTGATGCATTTGGGAGATTTAATTTTGGAGCTGACTAGCTTGCTGTAATTTATTTGTTTTTGTCAAGTTTTTAATTTATCACAAAAGCAATATTATATCACCAATAAAGAAAAGATGCATAACTATCTTATAGGCTTTTATAATGTATCAACTTGATTTTTAGAATTTTTCCTTGTATATTCTTTGATCTTTGCCCACATTCATACACTTGAAATAGTTATAATCATGATATTGATACAATCCTTACTTTCAAAATCATTTTTATAAACACTTTCATTTTGCATATTACCATATTCTGATTTTAATGGCTGCATATTTTTGATCTAATTTAATGGTGACAATTTTCTAAAAATCCCCTTATTGCTGAATATTCATTTTTTTTTCTTTTGGGGTTGTTTTTCAAAGGGAATGAATATTTTTTATCATACATGGTCCTCATTTTCAAATTGCTTCCCATTTTTATCATGATTGTGCCAAAGTAAAAATTTTGACTGCATTGTTGTTTTGGTTTGCATTTTAATAATAATTAAAGAGGTTTCTTTATTTGTTACATTTCTTTGTCTGGATTGACTTGGCATATCTTTTCTAATTTATTTCTTAGTTATTTTTTGAAAAGTAAGTTTCTATGAGCTTTTTATATATTTTAAATATTAATTCTTGTTACCTTATATCTACTTGGTTCTACTATTTCTCAATGTGATTTAATTCTCGTTTTGTTATTTTGCACATTTAAATGATATTAGCTTTACCTAATCTAGATTATCTGTTTCTGGTTAGTTTTTCATGAATGCCTTCAAAGTTATTTAAAAATTACAGTGATAAAGATAGTGTTGTTCTCTGATTATTGTTATTATTAATTTTTTTTTGAGACAGAGTCTCACTCTGTCAACTAGGCTGGAGTGCAATGGTGCCATCTCAGCTTACTGCAACCTCCACCTCCCGGGTTAAAGCAGTTCTCCTGCCTCAGCCTCCCAAGTAGCTGGGATTACAGGCATGTGCCACCACGCCCAGCTAATTTTTGTGTTTTTAGTAGAGATGGGGTTTTGCCACGTTGGCCAGGTTGGTCTCGAACTCCTGACTTCCAGTGGTCCGCCCCCGCCTCGGCCTCCCAAAGGGCTAGGATTATAGGCGTGAGCCACCACGCCCGGACTGATTATCATTTTTTATGTTGCTTCTTGGTCTACTGTCAAGTGGCTTGGATTCTTACGGACTTGTATATTCTAAAACCATGACCATGGTGGGGGGAATTAACAGTTTGAACCATTAATAGTTAAAGGGTCTATTATGTCATATAATTTTTTCAGATTAAATGTAGATTTATAGATTGATAAATTAGACAGTAAATGAAAACTATATGCAGGAATTTCTGAGTACAGTGAATCTGGCTAGTAAATTAAGAATTGTATTTAACCTCAGGTTTTAAAAACAAAAATACTTATATTTATTAAACACTTGAAAAACACTCCATGTTTGGAAATTATTTTTTTCCATGAGCTTTTGAGCATTTGTAACACTACTTTCCAGTGTCTTGCTTTTAAAATGTAAGTAATAGTACATTTTTAAATGTGAGCTCAACTCACCGGTCGTTTGCAGAAATCATTTTAGTGGGCCCCCGTATTGATTACCTAAATCATGCCTTGTTGGTTTTCTTTTTCTGAGGCTCAGATCTTATTGTGTAAACAGGATGCACTTTTGGAATTTATAGTGCATTTCAAGATTTTCTTTATATTGGTTTAATTGATCTTATAATTATTTTAAAATAACCTAAGTTATCTGGTAATAGTTTATTGGTAGATGGTTGAGCAGTATCTTTCTTAACTCTTATTTAGAGATGGGAATTCAATATGTCTTCCAATATTTCATACAATGGAGGAAGGATTTAAAAAGTGAATGAAAGGTTGTTTTCCCTTAGTTTAAAAAGATAAATTGTAATATCCAAAATATTATAAAGTAAGTGGGCAACCCAAATCATCAAGATAGTTAAGAAAATATAATTAAGTCGGTTTTAACAAATCTTAAAAGGAGAGGAGTCATACTTGTTAGGACAAGCTTATGCTAATGACATATCAGCCTGTGTTATCCCAGGTCAATAGATATGAAAACCACAGTTTACCCAGGGTTACTTAACTGATAATAATAGTGTGAGGATAACAAATTGAACTGATACAAGTAGAAAGACTAAGAATGATCTTCGGGATAAATGAAAACAAATGGATAATAAACTGATCTTGCTGAGTAATATAGGTTATGGTGTTATGCTTTAAAATATCAGTATTAATAGAAATATTCTTATGTTCCTTTGTTCTTTTAAAGGGTAAAAAGGGCTGTTTATCTTTTTTTGATCATGTCATCAGTTTCATTGGGTTGCCTTATTTTCATTCAGAAAGAGTATGGACTAATATCCATATTGAATTATGATTTAGACTTGAGTGTACTGGTAGGAAATTTATCAGTTGTGTGTGTGCAATAGTGCTTGGAATGAAATGTCACATTCACCTCTGATACTGCACCTACTGTGTTTTCTCATAGGCTTAATTTTGCCTTTTCAAGTTTGAGGTCCTGTTGTTCAACATGAACAACAGCTTTACAAGGAACTATGTAATTTACATTGTTAAAGGAAAGTATATGTGACACTGTAACCTTTTTACTCTAGCATTGTTTTCAAAATGTTAATTACTAATTTTTCCGGAAATGATTTTTAAAGGTAAATGTATAAAACAGATGGGTAAATAATATTTGGGGAGGATAAGTGTGACAAGTGGGGAACAAAAGTAGAATGTGTGTCCTCAAATTCATCTTTGTAATTTCCCACTTTTTCATTTGGAGGTACTTGCCAAATACGAGTTGAAATTCAGACAGGCTGAATTGGGTTTTTAAGTCTAAAAATGACTGGAAATTTGGGTTTAATATTGCTATGAAGTTTTGTGTTTAGTCTGAGGTAAGTGAGCTTGCTGCATCTCAGTCACTTCCTGCCCCCTCCATATTCCTCAGTGCATAGCTGTGTTCCATCTCTGTGTATATAGTGCAAAATGATCTGTCACTGTTAGGACACTTCTGGTGGAAAAGGTTTTCAGAGATTTATTTAAAGTATCAAATTGCTACTAAGATGGAATTTTTTTTTTTTTGCTTTGGTGCAATCATTTGCTTTGTTTTGGTGCAATCATTAGCAATAAAGCAAGAATGAAATGGATGAGAGAAATGAGTATCGTAGACTCTAAGAAGACATCCTTGTTGATAACACTCTTTAAAAAGGAGTCCAAGAGAGCACCACCATAGTGGTGATTTCACCTTTTTGTTTTGTTTTGTTAACCTTGATATCAGAATTAGTGTGTGAATTAATGGGAACCACCGGAGTCATTTTTTTTCTGCAATTTTGTACTGGTATATATGCATATATGGTACTGGTACATTAATTTATGGGGTCGAGCAGGAATGCATAATGCATTAGTATTATAACATAGTTATAACATTAATATTTTGTGGATTCTTCAATACATAGCAATTAAAACAAAATGATTGTACTCCAAGTACAGAAATCAGGGAATAGTTTCAATAGAATTTCAACTTAAGAGATATTTACTTACATACTGAGAGTCCATCAAAGTGAAGTCCAAGTCCAGGACACTGTATAAGTGAAGTACTATGTTTATTTCAGAGTTTCTTAAATTTATGCTTACTAACTGGCATAGATAAGAAGGGAAATGGTGGTTTAAAGTGTACATTCAATCAACAGCAAGGGCTGAACTATTGAAAATGTTGTGTTCTGTGTCCAGAAAACATTTTATTTTCACATAATTGTTTAAGTGTCTCCAATGAACATTTACAATATTTATGGGGGTATAGTGCTTGTGGTTCAGTTAGCTCAGTCTTAAGTTCTGTGCCTGGGTAATGGTGTGTTGTTTAGCAGTAATTCTGAAATTAATTATAATAAAGGAGAAAACACCAGAGAAAAATATCGGTTTACTGCTCCTAGTTTTACAACAAGGGAACACTGTTAGGAGTTCCAAAGTAGCGTTAGTAGTTCAGCGTTGAGATATTTTGTCTCCTCACCCCCCTGTCTCCAACATCCTGTTTCATCACAAATGTTTATCATTTTACTCATTGGTTCTCCACCCGTCTTGTGGGCTGCTGTGGTTGCTGTCACCCAGCCAAGAGGCTGGGGAATGCCTGTCCACAAGCAGTAAGGGGCATCTGGCTAGGGTGCTCAGAAGTTCCTGAGCATTGTAGTATCAGCATTGTGAGGCCATTGAGATAGGGAGAGAACAAGCCTATTTAAATAGCTGCCAGAACAATCAATACAAGCACCATTGTTGCTAGTCATAGTGGAAATATACACACTGTCTTTAGCAAAGAAAAAACTGAAGTGTACACCATTTGAAGATGTCATACTGAGGTGTTCTGAAAGCATCAAAAGAGAAGAAGAAAAATTCCTATCTAAACAATATTACTATCTTAAAAAGGCTATTCTATTTGAGTGGTTGTTAACTGTTTTAAAGAATGGTTTGGTTTGCCTGAGAAGTTTATTTGGTATTAATTAGCTACTCACTTTAAAAATATTTAATATGACACAAGATACAATATGATAGTACCATGGCACAGTCTACTTGTTTCAGATGGAATTGACATTTTGGAAGAGTATGGGCCAGGAATTTTGTAGTCTGGGCTTATGGGTTTTGGGGGCAGAATACCACCAGGCGAGGTTCCCATCTCATCACATTATGTTAGGAATTGTGTCACATCAACATGCCTTATCACTGGTAATATTAACTTTGATCACTTGGTTATGGTAGACTCTGCCAGGTTTTTCCATTGTAAAGTTACTGCTTTTTCTCTCTCTGTATTCTATTCTTTGGAAGTCAGCCCACACCTAAGGGGAGAAGAATTAAGCTTTATCTTTGAAGGGAGGAAATATCTACATATTTTATTGATTGATTGATTGACTTTGGTGTGGACTCATGGATATTTATTTTATTATTTGGGTTATCATCTAGTGCCATCACTATTTTATTCCTCATAAACTATTTTCTAATTCTTAAGATTTCATTTTGCAGAGCACTCTAGCACTAATATTGTGTGTAGCTTAGTGCAACATTTTATCCACCTGTTTTGCCTCTTCCTCCTCCGCATGTTTGCACTCTCATTTTTTCAAACCGATAGATTCAGTTTTGCTGTTCTGGTTAAGACGAAGGTCATTTTCGTAGTCAAGTTGTAATGCATGCACTGTGGGAGGAGAAGTCATAATACAAAACTTCTTGTCGGCAGATTGGCGAATTTACCTGAGACATTGAGGCTCAAGATTATGAGAATGTGTGATAGGACCAAAAGCATATTTCCAGGTAGGAAATCAAAATTGTTTTATTTAACTCCTTTGCATTTGATTTTGCAGAAGTCAAATCACTGATTTCTTAGGAGGTACAAAATCTGAAAAGGAGGGGCAGCATAGACATTGAGGTTGTGCTAGGAAATTACTTTGTTTTTCTTTCATTTGATTATTTTATTTGATTTCCAAACAATAGGGTAGTAGCTAAGTTTTGAAACAAGATCTGAGAGGAACTTGCAGAAGCATATCTATGTTTGCAAAAGCGTTCTAGATATGATTTTGATTCTTGAAACCTATTTGAAAAATAGTAATCAGAATATAAATAATCTTTAGGTTTATCATATCAGAGAAAATACTTACTGGTTATGCGACGTTTTATGTGTTTCACAGCATATTTATTAGCTATGAATTGATTTGTACTTTGCATTTCTCATAAACTCCCCTAGATGTGATAAGGTCACAAATTTTCTCTGTTAAAAAGGGCAGGAGTGGGGAAAACTCACACATCATGTATGCACTCAAGTTTTGACATATTGATTTACAAAGAAAAGAATCAGTTTGCTAGCAGCTTCTATGAGGTAATTTTATAAGGAGTAAAAAAATATAAATAGAGTTCACGCAGAATACGAAGATGAGCAACGGAAAATCTGAAATAAAAGTGGAGTTAATATTATGCAGTGATTCTTACCTCTGCTGTTAGAAGTATAAAAGCACTGTGATCCTTCCATCTAAACTACAGAGGTTTCAGCTCCATGGCAACACGAAGAACCTATTCTGTCAGAGGGTGTGTATACACAACTGCATTCAAAGCACGGGGCTGGGAGTGAGTTTGGGGGGAAAAACCTCAACCCTCCAAGACTTGCCCACGCATTTTTATGTGTGTATTATAATAAGGTCTTTGTGCAAGGAGGCCTGATAGAAGTTCACATCAGCTGCACTCTGGTCTTTTACATGATCCAGCCGCCATCACCCACCTCCCTTCTCTCTCCAGAAAGGAAGCCAGAAGAGGCAATTAAAGAATGAGACTGCAAGAAAAATGCTCTTCTCCCTCTCTCTTCTTGGAATGTCAACATAGTTATTGCTTTTCTGTGTGTCTCAGGGGGGCACTTGGCTGCTTCTTTCCACAGTCTTATTCCAGGGAGAGCTGTTTAATTGCAGCCTTCATGTAGAGTAGGCGCTGGCAAGAGCCGTAGTCAGCTTTCTTCTCTGTGCAAGGAGTACTTTCGGTAGGTCATCTGATGTCCTGCCTTGTACTTAAATACCGTGTGGCCCAGGGTGGTGAGGTGGCGTGGAGTGATTGGTGAAGTGGGTATTCCTGCCTACAGTTTCTCAGCCCCTCACTCAACTCTCAGACGTCAAGTTTCTTCTCTCACTGTGCTTTGCAGCCATACTCATCTTTGTCAATTTCCCCAGTCCTTTGTTTAGTTTCTTCATTCAAAAGTGACAGCATCACCACTTGACTATTGATTTGCCCACGTTCCTGTCCTGCATCTTAGAAATGAGAGCACAATCTGAAAAACGTTTATTTTTGCTCTGTTCCACTTTAGCCAATCCAGGAGATACATGGAATATTCTGCTCTATCCTGAGAATCATCTCTATTAAGGTTTAGACCTTTTATTAAGATTTATTGTTAACATTATATTAAGGTTTAGACCTTATATTAAGGTTTATTAAGGTTTAGACCTTAATAGATTTCTCTCCACTAAGAATCATCTCTATTAAGGTTTAGACCATTTTTATTTCACCAAAAACTTGAGGTTGAGTATCAGTGATTCTCTCCACTAGGTTCAGAGACTAGGGATCCAGGAAATAGGCTATTAAATACAGATCTTCACCCTTTTCCTTTCACCTCTGTACTTAACCCCTGCCCAGGATCAGAGATGGCTGCGGTGGTGGTAGGAGAAGATTATTGATGAGAGGCCTGGGAGAGGAGGATGCTATGTTCCTGCAGACACTTACACAACAGCTAAATGTTGTTTTCAGCCTTACACTTTGAGCTGCACTCTCGTAGAGTTTACAAAGATAAATGATCTATTCTTGCCTCATTGTTTCTGCCTGGTTCATTCTCTTGGGATTTGCTTTTAAAATAAATTATTTGCAACTAAGATTATGTGTACACATACAATTGGTTTCATTTACTAATTCACTTGTTCAAGTATTGTTGACTATTGCGTGTGGGCCTGAGCATGCAATAAAGAGCAGGCATGTGTCCCCAAGGAGCTAATGGTCTAGAAGTGAAGGCTGCAGTCTGTAAAAAAACTGCAATACATTATGAAAGGGCTGTAAGAGAAGGATGCACAAAGCTTAGCTGTGACATGAAAGCAATGCAGCAGCTTTACTTGAGAGGCTTGACAGAGGACTAAGTGCTTGAGCTGCCTCTTGCAGGATGGGTGGGAATTTGCCTGGTTGACAGCATGGGAAAGGGCATTCCAGGAAGATAAAGCCTTAGCAAAAAAGGATCCAGAGACCTGGAAATAGAGAGATGCATTTGTGAGCAGTAAATCTTCACATGGCAGGATTACAAAGTGGGAGGAGGAGTAGAGTCACAAAGGAAGGATCTGGAGAGCTTGGCCACGACCAGGTCAAGGAGGGTATGCCATGCTGCTATGTTTGAACTCTGTCCTGCAGGCAAGACAGGGGACATATTCCGATTAGCATTTTACAAATATCTCTCAGGCAGCCTCACAAGAATGATACAGAGGAAGCCAAGCCCGGATTTGGGAGACATGGTGTGCAGACAATTACAGTAATATTCAAGCGAAAAAACAATGAAAGCCTGAATTAATGCTGCGATATTTAGAATAGTGAGCACAGGATGGACTGTCAAACTTAGCACACAGTACTTAGTGGCTGAGTCAGTGTGAAGGGTGAGGGAAATTGAAGGCAATTCCCAGGACTGCAGCTTGGGTGACAAAGTGGGTAGTGATGATATTGCTCAGGATAAGGAAGATGAGCAGGCCTTTGAGAAAAGTAGTGACCTACATTTCATTTTTTAATTTTAATTTTAATTCATTTATTTATTGAGATGGAGTTTCACTCTGTCGCCCAGGCTGGAGTGCAGTAGTGTGACCTCACTGCAACCTCCACCTCCTGAGATCAAGTGATTCTCCTGCCTCAGCCTCCTGAGTAGCTGGGATGACAGGCGTGCACCACCACACCTGGCTAATTTTTTTATTTTTAGTAGAGATGGGGTTTTGCCATGTTGGCCAGGCTGGTCTTGAACTCCTGACCTCAGGTGATTTGCCCGCCTCGGCCTCCCAAAATGTTGGGATTACAGGTGTGAGCCACTGCGCGCGGCCTGTGTGACCTACATTTTAGATTTATTGTATCTGTGGTCATGTGTGGTCTGTGGAAAGATCCTTGGCTTTGGGATAAGAAAGACCTGAGTTTCAATTTTACTTCTCCAGTTTATCACCTGTGCATTCTTAGGTAAACCTCTGGGATCCTTGATTTCCTGGTCTGTAAAGTGAGGGTAATAATTAGTAACATGCAGGCTGTTTGTGATAGGTAAAGCTCCAGACTCAAAGCCAGTTCCAAATAAAGGGTAGGTTGTTATCACTGCAGTGTCTATAGGCAGAGATCAAGACCTGGAGCCCAGGGAAGAGGCTGAAAATGCAGACTTCAGCATCAAGAGCATAAAAGAGACCAAAATCAGTGGGGCTGAGGTGCCATGCTCGTTCACTCATCCAGAATCATTTGTTGAGAGCAGGTGTGTACTAAGCTCTGTATAGGAAGTAGGGAAGCCGAGATAGACAAGGATTAGTCCCTGGCCTCAGGATCTTAGCATCTATAGAGTGAGACAGAGAAGGAGGTCAAGAGTGTTTTGAATAAGAGGTGGCTCAAGGATGAATCAGTATATCCAGATTTTAAAATTGTGTAATATAATATATATACAGAAAAGGATGTAGACAGTTTGATGGATTTTCACCATTTGAACATTATCAGCATTCTGAGAGCACATCTCTTGCCCTTTTCCAGTTATGTTAGAACCCAAGGGTAACTGCTGTAACTGTTAACACCATATCTATTACTTTTGCCTGCTTTTGTCCTTTATGTATATGGAATCATATGCTCTGCGTCATGTGTGTGTGTCTGACTTATTTCACTCCATGGTATGTCAGTGAGATTTGTTCATGTGTAACAATCATCCATTCTCATTACTGTATTGAATTCCATCCTATGAATGTGCTATAATCTCTTCGTTCTACCATTGATGAATTTGGATTACTTTTGGCTTTGGCTCTTACAAATAGTGCTTCTATGAATATTATGGTACATCTCTGCAGATGCAGCCCTAGGGGTGGAGTCGCTACATCATGGGGCTTGCATGAATTCCACTTTAGTAGTTATTACCGCGTGCCTTTTTAAAGCAGGTATGCCAATTTGTGCCCCTTCTAACATGCATGAGGGTCCTAACTGTCCTCAACCTGCTGTAGTATTTTCATCTTTTGCATTTTGGCCATTCTGATGGCTATGTAGTGGTGTACCTTATAGTTTTAATTTTTATTTCTCTGGTGGTTAACAAAGTTGAGCCCCTTTTCCTATTTTTTTTGGCTGTTGTATATTCTCTTTTTATAAAGTGGCTGCTGAACTATGTTTCCACCTTTCTATTGGGCTTTCTCTATTTTCAGCATCAATATTGAAACAATGAGAATTATTATTGAGGGCCTATCTGGAACTATGTTTGTGGAGGTAGAGAAGAGAACAATATAGTCATACTCTGTACCTCAAGAAAGCTTGGCTGTGTGTAGGAGGAGTGAGATGATAGAATAAGAGGTAAGACCCAGAAAGCATTTCTGCATCATTGTGAACCTGTTTATATGTGCTGACCAAGTAGAGCCATTGGAGAGGGAAATGTAGATGATATAGAGGAAAGATGATAATTGAGCAGAATCCTGGAGCAGCTAGAGTGCTTTGAGCACCAGAAAGGACTGATTGGGGCAGAAGGAGGTATACTACTAAGTTTATGGGTAGAAACTGTGCATTAAACATAATTTTCTTTGAAAAATTCATTATTTTATTGTTTTTTCTTTTTTGTGAAGTGAAAGGCAAATTTATTTATCTGGAAAAACTGGATAATATTGACAAAAATGGGGAACACTTGGAATTGTCTCTGAAGGAAATGGCAGAGAGTGCTGAGCAGAGCATCCTGGAATGAGAGGCCGACATTCAGAGGGCTCCACAGAAGTAGCCCAGCCTGTGAAATTGGTGCTTTTTCTCAGCCCCTCTAGATTACATAGGGACCGAAAAACCAGTGAACCAAATTGAGTGTTTTTTAGGATGGGTATGAAGGACAAGGTATCAGATGAGTTGGGATGCTGGCAAGACAAAGGGCAAAGTGGTTCACAGTGGAATTCAGAGACAATAGTGAAAGAAACCCAGAGCAGGAGGAGGAGGAAGATGGTGAACTGCTGGAATTGAGGAACTGGGTGTCTCCATAAGGTTGAAGAACAAACACTAAGTGTGAAGATTAGGAAGGTAGGTGATGTGACACAATTGACTATATTAGCCTCTCTTAGAGACCCACATATAGTAATCTGAACTTCCTGTCAGGTTTTATGGACAATAATCAAACATTTCAGCAAGTGACATCTCAAAAAAGGTCACATTCTAAGTTTTAGCTTATCTCTTGCATTGTTAGTAATTAAATAATTTCTATTAAATGAAAACTTCTGATGAAGTTTTATTTGAATGTTTTTCTCTAACATCGGCCATTAATTGGTTCAATAAGGTAGTTTTTAATAATGAAGGTTAATTGAGGGATGCAAATGGTCAGGTTTTATATGAAAATGAAACACCAAAAATAAAAATCTATTGCTTCGGTAAACTCAAATGAAACAGGTTGGGTGCATTTCCTAAGCCATTCATTATCTTTGGAGGCCTGGTTTGATCCACTCTCTATTCTCTAGTTGTGTTTCCTGGCTGCTACACATTGAAATAAATAATACAGTGTGTTAAAATCTTTGGTTTAAATTTAGCACATAAAATGCCCCATATTGTGTGACACTCTCAGCTGAAGTCTAGAGAGTGAAGTTTATGTTTTTATAAAACTAGCACATACACACTGCTAAATGAAAAAGGCTTCAATGGAAGAACCACTTACAGGAATCAGCAGACTGAAAATCTTATGATTTATCCCAGTATGTAGAGAATTCACCTTGGCAACTTGCTGAAAAAATGTAGATTTGGAGCCCCAGCCCTGGAGATAATGATGTGGATTGCCCATAGACTCAACTTTGAGGAACCTACTCTTAAGCATCTAGTTTTGGAAGATTGCTATACATACCATCCTACATCATTTGACCAGGAAGGAAAAAAAGATGAGAAAATAAGATGAAGGCAAGAAAAGAGACAAAAATTTAAGTCCTGAAAAAAACATTTCTACCAGATTTTTATTGTTTAAAAAAAACCAAAATTTCAGTGGATGCTAGATAGAATCACAACTGTAAGACAAAACAGAAAACAATGTGAAGTGTACAAGACTGCACAGAAAACATATCAAGATACTGTTCAAGAAGAGGTAACTGGCTATAAATTTAAAGTTCAAGTGTTAAAGTTAAAATGTAGCTCTAAGTTTTATTTTCCCAACAACTTTTAAAATTGTAATGTGATGGATGTGCTACTTGTGATATTTTTGGTCATGGAGCAGGACTGTTATAAACAATTAAATTGGTTTACTTAATTTTTCTCCTGAATACCAATTCGTGCCAGTGAATTATCAAGGCGACTTTCAATTTCCAAGATGATTTTCTACTGGTCCCAGCGTTGTTGTGAAGATGAATTAAGGTCTGAGGACAGTGTCTGGCATATTATCAGTGGGGACAGTGTAGTGGAGTGGTTCTGAACACATGCTGTGGATGCCGGAGACCCTGCGTTCAAATGACTGCTCTACCACTAACTAGCTCTATGCCCTTGTCCAAGTTAACTTGATTTAGTTTCCTCATCTGTAAAATAAAAAAAAATTAGTGCCTACCCATAGAATTGTTTTCCAGGAATAAAGTAGTAAATGTAAAGCACTTGGAGCACTGCAAGACACGCTGGACACTCAATAAATGTGATCTTGAAACATAACTTCTGTTGTCAAGTTCACTGTTAAAAGTACCTTAAAGTTTTTAAAAATTATTATGTAAAATAGGGACATATAATTTTATAAAGTTACAGTTGTCTTGAGCTTTATTCAGTTTAATTTATGGATCATCTACTTTTAAGTGCCATAAGGTACTCCAGGCTATAAAATGATGAGTAAGATATGGCCCCTGTGCTCTTGAACAGTCAAACTTTGGGAAGTTAACCTGTTGACATGGTTTTCTTGAGTAGGTATTATGCTATGTTAGGAAATAATGTTGAAATTAATTAAAACTATATTTTACAACACAAGTAAAAGATAGTACCTGAAAGACAGAAGGAGAGGCTAATAATATATCGTCCCTTGATATATTATAGATTGTAGCAGATCACACTAGAAAGATGCTGATATTTTTCCTGAGCTGGACTTAATACAATGGATGGAACACAGATATGACATCATAAAACCCAGCTATTAAAATGGCAACTCTACTATTTATTGATTATATAACTATAAGCAATAGACTTAACTTGTGCCTCAGTTTCAGCATCTGAGAAACAGGCACATAGCTACCTTGCTCAGTTGTTAGGATGATTAAGTGAGCGAATGTTTGTGAAGATGCTTTATGAACTATAAGCTTTTACGCATTTGTGTGGCTTTATCATGATTATGTAATATGGGGCTTGTGGATTTCTGAAGAGCCATGGCTCAGAAATGAACCCTTAGAATAATATATTTTAAATAGGTTTACAGAGAACTTTATCATTCTCTGTAGAATTACCTATAAACCAATAATGGATGGATAACATGCTGCAGAGATTAGGCTTCCCTCCCCCCGAAAAATGCAGGTGAAACAGGTTAAGAGGTTACACACTGACTTTAGGGCAGAGTTAACAAGTTGTAGAATAGAACTGGATAGAATAGAGGGTTGTTCCCACTGCTCTTCATGCCATTTCTCTGGCTATTTCTTGATTGAGAGAAAGGAGTATGGGCTTTGAAGTCAGACCTAAATTAAAGTCGCTGTCCTGTCACTTGCTAGTTGTAATTTGGGCAAGATACTAAACCTTTGTAAATTTCAGTTCCCTCATCTGCAAAGGGGAGTCAGATCACTTGCCTGGCAAAATTGTGATCACCAGAGATAGTATCTGTACAGTACCTGCTTGATAATTAGCTGTTACGTGATTTTTCTTATGATTATAGATTATCAAATTTTTCAAGGGAAATTGAATTGCACACTTGCCGCATTAGGAATACTAATGCAACTGATAAGAGCAATTGTTTTACTGTGGGGTTTCTTCGTGCTAGGCACCATTCCAAATATATTACACATATGATGACCTCATTTACTCTCTAAACAACCTGATCATGTAGATACTACTGTTATTCCCACTGAGGCTCAGGGAGTGTATCCACCTTGCCCAACGTCACCCAGCAAGTTTGTGGTGGAAAAGGTTTACAAACCTGGGTGTTTGTGACTCCAGGTCCCACTTTCCAGTTCCTGCCTGGCCAATATAGGGATGTGGGATAGAGAATGAAAGGACTAATTGTTTCATGAGAATGATTTATTGAGTGGGATATTTGCTTTCGGAATCTTCACCTTTCCCATAGACATTATTGGAAGGGGCTTGCACCCATCCGTCATGTAACTTTTGCTCTATGTTACGAAGCCTCGCCGAGCTCCACTTTCCTTTTTGGTACGATGGAATGATTATACTTCTGAGAGTTGTAGCGAGCATTTAAGTGGGATGATAACTGTAGAGCTCAGTCCTGGAAGTCATTTCCATCTGTAATCTTGACTCCCCATTCCCTTACGTAGGAGGCTTGCACTAAGGACAGAGCCTTGGGGGAATGCCTGCTGTCTTCACATTTTACACCAACAGAATTGTGTGTTATTCAGTATTGCCTTGTATTAAGCCATTGATGTTATATCACAGGATATATGATTGATCCCTTTGAAAGGTCATTAAAATATTTGCTCACATGTCTTCTCGTTTATCTATTATAAGCATTTATAGACTTTGTTTAATGAAGATAGACCAATCACTTCTGTCTTATCATTAATTTGCATCCTGTGTCTGGACATGTGTACTTAGAACACAGTCCCTTTAAGAACCACTAGCCATCAGCAAAAATAACCTAGAGCAGCTCAGGTTACTGCCAGGCTCCAAAGACTCTTGGGGGGTCAGGTTGCTTATTTCTCTGGCACCTCCGCCGGGATGTAGGAAGAGCTTTATCCATGCCAGCAGAGGGTATGTGTGGATTTGTGCACATGAGTCCCTACTTTTAGCCAGGTGCCCTTAGACATGACTTCTTTTGGACTTGCCCCTTCTTTATGGTGGAAATGTTCTTAGTTGGGCCACTTAAATTGTTTAAAATCTGTTGTGACCCTGTTCCTGGACCTGGGTGCAAGAGCCTGTCTTTCCTATCACCCTTGGGTTTTGTACTATTTCTTTAAAAAATAAAAATGTAAAAGATATCAAAACCCATCAACACAGACAAGCATCTCCTATCCCCAAAGTGAAAGTGCAGTAGGCAGCGCAGTGAGGCCAGGCCAGGTGAGGGCACACCCCTTTCCCTGGGACCCCTGTGCCTGCATGTGTCAGCTAGCCTTTCTTCTAGGGAATGTTTTTACTGGCTGGACATAGCTAAAAGATCAAAGAATAAATGGGACATAAACAGGGCCTAAGGCTCTATAAAGATAAACAAACAAACAGAATGAACTCCTTAATGAAGTCCAGTTTTTCGATTGTGGAGAAACAGATATTGTTAAGAGGGATTACAGTGTTTGAGAGAGGACAAAGAACCAGCAAGGACTTAGACCATCGGGGGCCGTGTCTCAGCGATGTTGCCGAATTAGCTGAATTGCAGAATAAGAGTTTTAAAAGCTAGGTGGTATCTGTGAGTGACTCAAAGTCTCTCATTTTACACAGGAGGGCAAGGCCCAGGGAGGTTGGGTGACTTATTTGAAGTTACTCAACTGGGTGATAGTAGATCTCGATCCATAGCCCAGGTGCACAGATCATTCATCTCCATAACCCTGCAAAGACACAGTCAAGAGTTGAGATCTTTCCAAAACCCAGTTTCCTTATCTATAAATGGTGATTGTCCTACCTGGCATACCCTATCTGTAAGGATCTGCTAAGTGAGTGTGGGTGAGAACACTTTTTAAAATTATTAAATTATATATTAATATTAATATTAAATTATATATAAACATACATATGTATGATGAGATAGATGTACAGTGTAATACCTAGTATTTTGCTAAAATTCTTGATGTGGGAATACATGAACACAATCTGGGTTCTCCTTTGGAAATGAGAAACAGTAGGAAATTCCTTGAGTACAAGAACAGGAGTTCTAGACTTCGAGTTATTAATCTGATGGTTTTACTTACTGATGTTGTTATTAGTTTACTTTTCTGCAAAGTGGAAATACTAAAATCCTCAACCTATCTTGGAGTTGTCCCGAAGAGAACTTTAAGCATGTAAGTGAAAGTGCTTTGTGAACTGAAAAGCAAACAACAAAAGTGAACTATTTTTACCAAATACTTTTGAAAACTGCAGACCCTATCTTTACAGCACAGGTATAATTAAGGAGAACAGGCCATATATACAAAAGCATATTTCAGCATTCTATGACCTTGATGTCAGATAAAAACTACACCACCGGTAATGACTAATATTACAGTTTACAAATGGAAGTGTAATCATCCTTATAATTATTTTAAAATTGATCTTTCCCTCTAGACATTTATACAGATTGTCAAGACAGATACCTGGTGTTTTTCATATTTATGGGACATTATTTTCTGTAGTAATATACAAGATAGAGATTTAAGTGTTTTTTGTATTACTTTCTCAGTTACACTATTTGCACTAATATTTATATGTCTGATTTATCTCATTAGATTATTATATTAATAGGATATTTAGGAGTTGCAGTTAGTATTATCATTATTTGACAGATAGGAGGTCAGGTGATTTTTCCAAACCTCATAGAATGTTAATGGCAGAGCTGAGATTTGAAGCAAGCTCTTTTGGTCCAGATCCTGTGCACTTGCCACTCTGATCCATCTCTCTGTGTTGTGCTGGGGATTCCATTCTGTGGACTGTATTCTTCATTCATTTCTTTGGCAGTAATTCTTTCAAAATGTGTACAGGGAAATGAAGCAAGATCGTTTCTACCTTCAATGAATTTAGAGTGTTAGAAGGAATGCAGAGCAAGTGCACGAATATGTGAAGAAGTACACGCAATAAAAGCTGAATTGCGTTAACTTTGTAAAGATACAAAGTTTTGGAGGAGCTTATTTGAGGAAGATTCTCTATGGAACTCTGTTATCTGATCTTCTCACACTTTCATGGATAAATTTCTTAAATAGAATGGATTGTTTTACTGATGTAGAGCCCCTTCTACTAGTGTTAGAGCTAATTTGCAAAGGGAGTGAAAAATATAGGCATTTAGGTCTGATTTCTTTAACAGAGCAGGCAATGTTGAATTAACAAAAATGAAGACATAGATAGACCCTAATTAACACTGGCACTTGAATCCTTGTAAACAAGACTGATTTTGGGGAAAGGGGAAATGATAGACACTTAAAGGGTGCTCCATTGATGTCAGGGCTAATTTGGTCTGTGCTGTCCAGTGCTGTAGCCACCCAGACTCATGAGGTTATCTAAATTTAAATTAATTAAAATTGAAAAATCAGTTTCTCAGTTATACTAGCCACATTTCAAGTGTCAAGAGCCATTTATGGCCAGCGGCTACAGTGTTAGACAGTATAGATATATAGATACCTGTCTAGTGGACAGCACCAAAATAGGTCATTTTGATGTCTGATAAATGTATGTATAATTGCACAGCAGAAATCACTAAACATAATAATAGCTGCCATTTATTGAGCACCTTCTCAATAGGTGCCAGCTATTGTAGGAGGCACACAGTGTATGTTATTCCATTTGCCATAACACCATTTTGTATCTTGGGAACCTAAGGTTCAGAGAGGTTATGTAATTGCCTAAGATTTGATAAGACTATTGTTGAATTCAGTTTTCTTTGATTTCAGAGAGAATTGCTCTGCCATACCTTCTTTTTATCTAGTCTAGTTAGACCACATCAGGAGTTTTGTTTATTTGTTTCTTTGTTTGTTTATTTTGAGACAGGGACTTGCTCTGTTGCTCCGGCTGGGGTGCAGTGGCATCATCACAGCTCACTATAATCTCAAATTCCTTAAGTGATCTTACCGCCTCTGCTTCCCAAGTAGCTAGGGCTACAGGTGCATGCCACCACACCCAGCTAATATTTTGTAGAGACAGGGTCTTGCTTTGTTGCCCAGGCTGGTCTCCATCTCCTGGACTCAAGAGATCCTCCTGCCAGTCTCTCAAAATGCTGGAATTACAGATGTGAGCCACCATGCATGGCCACATCAGGAGTTTAAAATGTCAATGCAGTGTCCTGTCATTCAGTCCACTTTAGTTCAACAAAAGTGCCAGGTACTCTGCTGAGAGCTGGAGATGCAGTAATAAGTATAACATAGTCTCTGACCTTAAGGAGCTCAAAATCAAATAGAAAGTTCGAACACATAAATGAAAAATTATGATAGTGTAATCTCTGATACAAGACTTTGTATGATACAACTAGGAGCCATTGAAGGGTTTTGATGGAATGAGCAGTATAGTCAGAGTTATGTTTTCTACAACTCATTTTTGGTCATGTAGAGCATAGTTTGGGAGAAGAGGGAGAACTGAGGATAGTTATTTTATTTCCCTGAAAGAAGCACTGGGTTAAAGGGTAAAACTAAGGTCACGACAGTGGAATTAGAGAGAAGACAGACAAGGAAGAGAGGTAACTTGGTAAAATTGTCATGGCTTGGTGATTAGACATGGGAGCTGAGGTTTAAGGAGGAGTTAAGGATGACTCTCTTGAATATACCTTGGGTTCTTTGAATGTTTGACCTCATCAAAGGAGATCAGGCATGAGGGAAAGGTTGAATATGTATGTGTGTGCATGCACTCTTGCAGGTGCATTGCAGGGTGGGAAAACAATGAAGATAATGACTTCAATGAGCATAAGCCCATGAAATATTTTGGAAGCAATCTTATTTACTAAATGAAAAAATGTCACTATTAAACAATGAGGAGATGTAAGGATGTAATTTTTTTTAATTAAAAATAAAGCAGAATCTGTGGCTGGACACTGTGGCTGATATTGATAAACCCAGCATTTTCAGAGGCCAAGGTGGGAGGATTGCTTGAGTCCAGGAGTTTGAAATCAGCCCTGGCAATGTGGTGAGACCCCATCTTTACATGGCATGCACCTGTGGTCCCAGTGAGTTGTGGTCACACCATTGCACTGCAGCCTGGGCAACACAGTGAGCGTCTCAAAAAGAACAATACAACAAAACAAAACAAAACAGAATCCCATCATAATACTGAGACTAAAGGAGAAAACTAACTTTATAGTCTAAATGTGAGTTATCTGTCCTTGACTGGGCGTAGGATAGTGAACTAGGGATGTATTTTCCCATTTTTTGAATATAGTTAAAACATGTAAAATGATTTATTGTCATGGTATTTTACTAGTGACATAGGGGAATGAATTTAAATATTGTTTCTAGAAAGATTAATTTGAAAAAGCAATTTTTTTTTTTTTTTGCTGCATCGCCCTTTGCTATATCCTCCCCTTCCCCCCAGTTCTTTCCAGATAATTAAATAATCTGGTCCTAAATTTAGTGACCAGGTGATTACATTGTTTGATATTTCAGAAAGATAAACGCACATACTCTCTGAAATGTATTTTTGCATTTTTAAATTTTAAACGGTGATTTGTTTAACTTCTTCATTGGAGGAGACAATGCAGGAAATGATCTCACAGATTTAAATAACTGTAATGATAGCATAGTTTCTAATCTAGGGTAAGGAAGTTTCATTTTCTCTTAACAAAAAACAATTGTTCTGTTGATAGTAAATTTAACAGGCCTGGAATTACTAAAACTAAGAGTGCTGATGGAAATAACCTTTTATGGGATTCAATCGGTGATCTCTGAATTGATAGTTAATATGTCAGTGCAATTTGGAATAGTGTCTCCTTTGGATATTGGTATTGTTTTAAAATTATCTGAGGATCCTCAGTTCAGACTTGACCAGCATAGACCACCATGACTGAAAGCTGTCAAATGTATGTAGCAGGGTGAAACATGATCATTTCAGGGTGCCTTGGCTGATTTTGAACTATCCTTTTGTAAAATTAGTGAAACATTTTTGGTTTCTGAGTTAATATTAAGTATTAATACATTCTTTCTTCTTTGGCAAATAGGAATATGTCTCATCTTATCTTTTAGGTTTTTTTTTCTGTTTCTCAAAGTTTTTCTTTATTGTTCATTTTCCAAAAAAATGCATAATGAAACCTTATGAAATAAAGCAGTTTCTAAATTTCATTTTTTATTTCACATTTTATGTCAGGAATTAATGGCTGAATGTTGATTGGGAACTTTACAATATTTATGAGTGGGATGATGGAGGTACACGTGTACTTCCTCAAAATTGCTTTAGCAATGATCAACTAGAGGGCACCAGTGAACATTTCCATTTAGGTTCTTTAAACTAGGCCACATACTGTTGACACATATGCACAGGAGAGAAACGTGAATGCTTTGTGAAATCTTAGTACTAAAAATATGTTGCACCTGTATTTGTAGCAGTGTTATCATTCTTGAGGAAAGTGATGTAGAACCTACCAGGACAGGAAGAGAAATGTCATTTTGTTAACTACTTGTTCACTGGAGAGCTGCCCTCCAGAGTAAAGCCCTAAACATGTTTTGTCAAAAGTTAGAACAGTGTTGTTAACAGGTTTTTTGCCATTTGTGTGGGCAAGATAGTTAATAACATTAAGCACTGAGATAAATTCTATCATAGATAAATTTCTATGGCTAATAATTAACTGGGTAACAATGGAAACCTGTCCACAATTAGGAAAGGATTTGTAATAAGACTAACAAATAGGGTGTTGCAAGTCGGAAGTGTTCAAGTTCTGAGGCAGAATTTTGGGTTCTGTCATAGCCAGTTGCCTTCATTGTTCATTGTGTCAGCACATTTGCTTAAGGCAAACTGGAAAGGGAACATTTTTAGATATTTAAATATAAAAATGTGCGAAAATCCAGCATTTTCTGATATGAAAGTTCTGTGAACGACCTGCTTGCAGGGTAGCTATGCATATGTTTGAGTGGGAGGAAAAGAGAACAGATGATTTGAAAACTATTAAAATGGTTATACATATAAAAAGTTATTTCCCTCCTCATAAAATTTAAAAAAACCAGAATTTGTCTTAGTTAACATCTTACTTGTCATTTGCTCAATTAAAATACTTGCACATAACATTTCATTGATTCATCCATTCACTCACTCATTTGTCAAACAATAATAATGCCTACTTTGTATAAGATACCATATTTAGTAGGTATATGTAATACATGTGGTAATTATTTCTGTAAAGGATCAAACCAATTCATGAAAAAGATAACTGCAAATACAGTGGGCAAAATGTCAGGATTTTTGGTGAAATTTGTAATTAAGCTTTACTTAAAAGCATGTTTTATAAAGATATAGATGCAGAAAGCAATTTGTGTTGTTTTCCTAAAGTTTATTTGGAAAGCAAGTAAGGCTGTATTTCTTTGGACTGATTAAATATTACTGCTTGGGGACTACGAGTTAAAGAAGAGAAATCATTATTTGAAGGAGAAAGTGAATAAAATAGAAGATTAGGCGGCATTTTATAAGATAGTTGGTGGTACTGTTTACGGCTTATAAAGTTGTGTTAAAATTTACTAAACAGCTTGTTATTGTGGGAGCTTATTTAAAACAGCTTTCTGTGGTTATGTCTGTTGAGGAAGCTTAAACTTCAACTCTCCAGCCACTTAACTGCAGCACGTTGACTTCAGGTCTCTTGTAAGAAAGTCTAAATGTAGGCTGTTGAATAATCCCTTTGAGGGCCCTGTAACTATTTTTATGCCTGGATATGCGTCATCAGTGGGTATTTTCTCTGGTGACTCGCTTCCATCAGGTCTCCTACCATACATTCTATCAGTGAGTGACTTATGATTGATGGGAACCACGGCTTGTTGTTTAGCTTTATCTGTGACCTCAGCGAATGGACAACAGGAATTTCCAGGCTGTTAAATTCCCTGAATGCTTGAAGACAGGGGCTCACGGTGTTGCTCAAGGCAGGTAGCAGAGTGATATTATTCTCCAGCGATGATGGGGGAGGGACGAGAGAAGAAAGGGGAGGGAGAAGGAGGGGAAGGGAGGGGGAATTCCTTTTGTGAACAGCAGCAATTCTGGCTCAGTTTGTTTCTTAGCCCTCCTCCATGGCTGTGTGTGGGGAAAGGTGCATTTCCTGGACCTAAAGAAGCTGGCAGTCAGAACCTTGCCATGGGCTGCGCAGAGTAACTCCATGGGGTTGACTGGAGAAGGCACTGAGTTTTCTTCAATTAGTTAAGATTTTGTTTTCCAAATCAGTTAGATTGGTCCATGAGCAACTGGACTATTACAATCCTGTATAAAAACAGAGATTTTGAATTTAAAGGTGTGCCAGCATTCCTAGTGCTATGTAGGAATTTAGTGTCGTTTTTAATCTCTATATGCTTGGGTATCTATCTGGAGGTGATTTTGAAAGTTAACGTGCACCTCTTATCAGCATGCTTTGAGGAGCAGAGCAGTGCATTTGTGTATGTGTGTGAAAATGCATTATAACTGAATGCACAAAAATGTTTTCTCATTGTCTTGCTTTTTCCCCACCTCTTTCTTACACACGTGTGAATAAGGTTCCTGAACTGGATGTAGTGAGATTTAGTCACTAGCATCAGCAGCTACATTTGCTTTTGGATAACGGTGTCCATCTCCCAAACTTTTTTGCTAGTCTGTCTTCCTAACTCCTCCTTTTCTTTCTCTTCCTCTTCTTTCTCTTCCTGTCTCTATCCTTACCCTATGCTACTTTGTTTGCAAAAGTAATTCTTGAGCTTTTGCTGAGTTAAGGAGACAAGGTTCTCTTCTGATGTGAATGAAACGACATCATTCTAGGTGTGAATGAAACGACACTGGTTTGTCGATGTTTGTTTAGTCTACCTTTTCAGCGATTATTTTGTTCTTTTTTTTTTAAATGACAATTAGGCAAAATTAAAACACTCCTTTTAGTGTAATAGGATTACATCATTCACACATTTAGGCAAAATTGATTTTCTGATCTTCTAAGGCTATTTTTTTAAAGACACTTATTGATTTGGCTTACCAAGTTTTATTCCTTTTTTTTTTCCAGAACAAAGGCATATTCCCTTAATGTAAGAGATCACCAAGGCTGCTTGTCACTGTAATTAATTTCTTAATGGTTTCCCTCCTAGGAACCAAATTATGAGATGCATTCCAAGATCCAGTACCCTCAAACAGATATTGTGTGTAGGATAAAAAAGCCCTAGTGGAAAAAGAGATTTTAAAACTTTTATCTGTTTTACAATTCTGTTAAGTGGGCATGAACATTCATAATTATTTTTATAGCCTCATTTCAAATCAGCTAACCTAATGGTAAAAATGTTTCACCCATCAAGTCATATTATTTCAATTTTAGACATTTAAAATTCAAGGGATTAAAGGAGAAAGAAAAATGACTGTCACTATAAATGTTACCTACAAAAAAGAAAAACCTTCCTTTTGAAAACTTGCTTCTTGAGTAGCAGAATGACTCATGACAAGAAATTTATAATTTGAAATTTGCAAAAGATAAAGCTCAGAGCTCTGTGAGTTTTGAGTTATTAGTAGTTGAATGAATTAAGCCTTCACAATGCATCTAATTAGAAAGAAATTATTAAAATATTGGTGAGATCCATTGTTTATGTCGATTTCATTGTACTTTTCCTGAGGAGCTGCTGGAGACTAGCTTTACTTTCATAAGCATCACACTATATGAAAAAGTTTCATTTGAGGGTTAGTTCAGATGCTACTGTTCTTTGCCCTACGTTGTAAGGGATGTTATTAGAAGCTATAAAATTCTTCTCCCTTTCTTTAAAATGTATTTGCACTTTTATGTGTAGGAGTGTGAGGGCAGAAGTAAACATGTAGGAGGGTTATGTATTCTTCATTAAAAATATATTTCACAAAAGATTATAGTTTGTGTGGGAAGGAAATAGCTGCTTGTCTGTTGATTGCACTGTGCTTATTCCATATAAGAACTATTTGAATTGAGTCAGGATAACCTCATTTTGATAATCTGATGACTGCTTCTGCTTGGAGAAGAGAATATAATTTCAAGGCTGCGTGCTGATGGGCAACAGTAATTGTTCTCTTTTTGGCAGAGCTTAGCATGGAATCTGCTTTGGTATTTTTGTAACTACATATGCAAATCTTTTCTCCCAAAGCTTTTCCCCCCTTTCTCTCTCCATGTGCAGAGCTTTTTGTAATCTTCAGGACTGTGAAATTCCAAAGGTGTGATATCGAATGCTATCCGTGTATGATGATGTGTAAACCTAAGTTAGAGCAAAATCTTGGCTTGAAGTGAAGTCTTTTTGTTCAAGCAGATCCTGTACTGTAAGCAGATTTCCCTGTATACTTGGTTTCTATGGAGACACTTTTATTACTTATAGATGATCAGACTATTTGAATGTAGTATGGGTGGTTAGTTTATCAGCTTTGGTCAGTGCAGGTGATGGAGTTTCCTGGTTAATATGTGGTCCTTTCACTAAGCTTCCTATTGTGTTGCAGGGTTTAGGAGAGTGAAGCTAACACCAAAAACCAACCTAAAACATTGAGGTAATGTGACACTGAATTTTACCTTCTTAAAGGTACATTACGCCAGCGTTATGTAAACGATAAAGAGAAACCCTCAAAATTAGGAAGATTCCTAATTGACACTGTCAGAACAATGGAATGACCCATTGCTAAAGCTCATTCTGAGAGGGAATATATGATTCTTTCTTTCTTTTCCCTCCCCTCCCCTCCCCCCCTTTCTGTTTTTTATAGACAGAGTCTTGCTTTGTCACCCAGGCTGGAGTGCAGTGGCATGATCATAACTCATTGTAGCCTTGACTTCCTGAGCTCAAATGATCCTCCTGCCTCAGCCTCCTAAGTAGCTAGGACTACAGGTGCTCACTACCACTCCCGGCTATTTATTTATTTATTTTTTGTGGAAACAGGATCTCACTGTGTTGGCCAGGCTGATCTCAAACTCCTGGCCTCAAGTGATCCTCTCACCTTGGCCTCCCAGCATGCTGGGATTACAGGCATGAGCTACTGCCCTCTGCCTCTTCTACTTCTTTTCTATGTAATCAGTGAGTTATCGGTATTGAAGGACTCTTTAGCTTTAGGAATTCTTCTTAGTGATTATCCAAGTTTTAAAATGTTTCATACTTCACTGTAGTCACCTTATAGATGAAGAATATAAGGCCTAATAAATGGATGGGCTTTATACTCAAAATTACACATTGTATTGACAGTGGCTTAAGGATAAGCTCTGCTCACTGGAGCTTGTCTGCTGGGGCTTAGGAGCTGAAAGGCTCTGACCTCGTATATATGATGTCAGGAGAGAGCGTGATGACTCTGGGTAGAGTCCTCCTGCAGCCCTGATAATGGTAGCAAACTCTGATAATTAGGGCAGTGTTTACAGCTTTAACTGTGTTATCTTAATCTTCCTGTGACAGAGGTTGGCAGTGGCCATCAGTAACTGATGTGTAGATCCACTGTGAGGCACTCAGATTTCTATAACAAGATGTCATCATTTGAGTCAGCAGGACTAGAAGCTCATGTTGAATGGTGGCTTTTAGGAAGGACTTTCATAGAGCATGAGACTGGGAACTCAGCGAGAGACACAGATCTCTGAGGAGGCATAGTATGTAGAGATAAGTGCATTTTAGTGGAAATATTTTATTCTACTCTTTTTACTTGGAAGAATATACATTTTCTAAGAGAGAAGGAGATCTGTGAGGTCTAACTATCCTGATAGCTGAAAGCAGGACCTCAGAGACCATATTTTCGAATACAGATGACAGAACTCAGGTCCAAGACTTTTTATTAAAGGCATTCTTCTAACTTCACTAAAGTTAGATGACACTATCTGATTGCCTCAGAACTAAAGGATGCACAGGAATGTACTCTAATAACATGTGTAGGGCCATTCTTACTGTGTCTCAAATCTGGTTGCTCTAGTTGTCTACATTCATTTTCTTGGAATTAATTCACTTGCTACAGAATTAGTCTTAAAAAATTCTCTTTCCAAACTTTTAAATTTTTAACTGGACATTTAAAAATTATTGACATGATGATTTATAGATATTTAAACAACTAATTGCCCACAAGTGCCTAATTTTCCATAAAATCACAGCCTGACTCGTGTGAACTGGATAAGGCCATATCCAAAATTGTTTCCTTCTGTTATTTAGGTTAGTTTTATATGAGTGGAGAGGTATTCATAAGGCCACATGGCATAGTCCAATAAAGAATTTATTTCCCTCCTGAGGGAACAAGCTTAAGAAGGTTCAGAAACATACAGTAAAACCATGAAAGAGGATCTATGCATTTTAACCATAAAGCATAAGATAAAAACTTATTTCCTCAAGAAACTTGAGTCTAGTATGGGGAAAAAAAATGACATTTCATGCTTGATCCAAACTGAGTACTAGAGATGTTAAAGATGCCTTACGTCTGAACCCCAGTGGTTCAAGGAATGGAAATGCCAGTAACTGAGACCAGAACTGCTGGGGAGAAGACACATTTTATTTTATATAACTGTTCTGTCGAGATGAGGGTGTGAGGAACCTGCAGTTGTGATTGTGGCCTCAAATTGTGCCAAGGCATTGATGGATGGAGGGAATCTAGGAAGAGCCCAGTTGTAGGCCGAACTTTGCCTGGGGACTTGATCAAAGAGAGTCTGAGCCACGCAGGCCAAATGGACAGGTTTGGACTAGGATCTCAGAGGTGTAGGGCAGCTTTCCCCGTTTGTAATGAAGTGCTGAAGCAAACCTTTCTCTTGGATATGGAAGACTGTCTCAAAGAGAGGACACCGAATGCCTTTAAAGGTATAAAGCTCCCAGGCCTCAGAGAATCTGGACTTTTAAAGGCAAGTAATGATCCCTGAGAAGAGAGGCTTCTTTGTCATCAATGTAGGACACGCTGGTGACTGTGTCTGGTGGCAAAGGCTTGCCTGTCAGTCCCACTTGAGGCTCAGCTGTCTCCACTGGGAGGGTCCAATTCCTCTCTGACCTTTGTTCCTTCTCATTGGAGTCAATTTTTTTGGTGTGGCTTCACCATCTGGGGGAGGGTGCAAGTTATGGGGTTGTTGGCAGGAGCATTGAATTTGGGTCCTAGTGAGGGTGAATATCTGAAATGTCTTGACATTCTACTGTGTTTGCTGGTGGGAACTGTTCTCTGCTGGAGAGAGAGCAAAGAGAGAATATGAGAGCTGAGTTTAGAATCCTGGGAAATATTCCTGCTTTGGGGACGAATGAATAATAGAATCTAATAAAGATGACTAAGAGGAGTAGTGAGGGGGTAGGTGGACGCCAAGAAAAGCACCATTATAGGAGAGATGAATTATAGAGTTTCCAAATTATCAATTTCATTCACTGAAATTGGTGTTCAATTGAGGGTATTCTATATGCCAGGTTCTATGCTAGTCCCTGTAGATACAATATGAACAAGACATAGTCTTGGTCCTCAAAGAATTCATTGGAAGTCAGAGATCATGGCCCATGTGGCACTATTGAGTGACTTTTGCTGGGATTGCAGTTTAAACCAGGGAAACAGAACGCAGCCTGTGGGTGAGCCATGTTTGGAGACGGGCATGGGAGGGTCAGAAGGAGGCTGGAAGGCTGCCTGGAGAAGAGACTGTGGAAGCCTGGGGAGGGTGTTAATGAAGTATCTGACTGTGTGATCTGCAGCTGCTCAGACAGCTGAAGTCAGATGGCCTGGGATGGTTGAGAATCAGGGACCCAAAGTCAACATGAGAGCAAAGAGCCACTCCAGCAGCTGTGAAGAAGTGAAAACCAAGGAGAGAAGGGGGTCTTGCATTAGCAAGTGGGGATCTGAGTTTGAGATAGAGGAGAAGGAGCAGGTCAAGAGGATAATGGGGTTGAATTTGCAGTGCTAGTGGAGGGCTCAAGAGGTTGGAGGATGGAGTTTATTATAACGGGAGCTCAGAGAATAATCATCTCTAATTTATTATTGACGCTGTGCTCAACATTCAACATCCATGTTCTTCCTCAAAAGCTCCCTGCTGGATAGTGTAAGTGCCACTACCATAGAAAGATTCTACTTCATCATGCCTGGTCTACTACAGCCTCTTAGCTGGTGCTCCTGACTCAAATTACTCTGTTTGTGGTCAGTTCCTTATTCCACTACAAGGCTCATCTTCTTAAAACATCACGTTTAATAGGTTACTGTGAAGATCTAAAAGCTTCACTGAGTACCCATTGCCTACAGTATAAAGGATGTGCCCCTCCATAAAGTGAGAAATCGCCATTTTTGCCGGCTTTCGTAATTTACCAATGACTCTTACACACATAATCTCATTGAATTCTTACAAAAGCCGTATGATAGTGAGGATATATATTTCTCTTTTTCTAAGTTTATAAATAACATAATAGAGGATCAGACATGTTAGATGACATATCCAGGGCCACACAGTTCATGAGTGGCAGAGCCAGAGATAGATATCAAGTCTTCTGAGTTCAAGTCCAAGGTCCTTTGCCCCATACCATGTCCTCACCTTGGAGCCCCATCTCCATTCTAACCTTAGGATTTCTGTAATTAGGATGATGAGGCGAGGTGCCTTCAGTCCCAGCAGGATTGCAGAGAGGCCTCTCAGTGTCCCTACAGTCACTTTTTATCACCACTCAGAAGTTGTGATCTGGGGCTGTCAACTGAGACACATTTCCTGGCTGGTTTTCCCTTAGATTGGGAAAAGCCTGTCTCCTGCCAGGACATCTGGGGAGGCACAGAAAACACTCTGTACTTCCCTGATGTCATCCTCAGTGCCTGCTTGTCTCATATGGAACTTGGAGACGGTTGCCACTGACTTCACATGGGGTTATGGACAGCTTTTGACCACTGCCGGCACCATCCCTTCCTGCTTCAGTTGCTGTCACCAGTAAGGCGAGAAATAGGCTTTGAATTCATGAATTCACACCCACAGAAACTCTAGGTCTGAATACTTGTTTCAAAATGTATTCTCAGTTGTTATCTTAATGGATGTATAAATTCGTTGCCATTTAGCTGTGAATCGTTTGGAAAATTATGTATACAGAAGGGTGTAGAGCTGTGCTTTGAAATACATGTTGAAATTGGGAACATTTGTTAGCTATGCAGTGATTAATGAGTCTGTGTTAACGTGATTTTAGAGTACACTCTGTTTCCATCATTTTCTCATTGTGCTGAAGCCAATGTCATGTGGATTTTGACAGAGTTTTTTGGAGACAATTTACTGCATCAGAAGTTTAAATGATATCAGAAATATGCCTGACAATTGCCGAGAATATCAAGATTGCCTCCACTCCTATAAAAATCAGTGATGGAAATATGTTCATGAGGATTAGTTAAATAATATATTGGAAGAGTGCTGCATCACCTTTTGGGCTCCATGTTAAGACACACACACACATACACACACACAGAAACACACAATCCCAGCACTTGTTTGGAAATTTTGCCTTTGCATTCTTTCACTTGCATTTCCACGATCAAGCAATACATCTTTCTAATCACAAAAGCTAAAGAATAGTTGAAATACCTTTTACAAGCCCATGTTATAATCCTCATTGTACCTCATGGTACCTCACTCCCTTGTACCAGTGTATTTCTTTTGGGGACAATAGCATAGTTTCTCAGGAGGCTGTGATCTCAGGAAGTCTCCTAATTTTTCTAGTGCCTTTCACATGTTGGAATTAAAAGGTCAGTAAAGATATAGTTTAGGAGTATGAAGGGCTCAACTGCCAAACTTTGGATTTTTTTTTTCTCTTTACTTTCTCTAATTTAACCAAAGGTGTAGAATGATGCACAATACATTGGAATGAGATACAATTTGGACTTTGGTAGTAAACCATTTTAGGGCGGGAACAAGATGTGTAAATCCTAAATAGTGTTGAATGGAAATGTTCTGGAAAAGGAATTTCAGTTCTGAACTGTGATATTACATTATTTACTTTCTGGGGAATTAAATAAAAATTTGTATTGTGGTATTCATTGGAAATACTGATTTATATTGTGGCCATATTTTCTTATATTGTGGCCATATTTTCTTCACTTGGCCTTAGTTACTTAGCAGTCACCTAATAAAACTTGAATAATTAAAGAGGGCATTCTTGATTAAAACTAACTAGATATATGTGTACTTCATGAGCTTGTTAGTGCACAGGTTGGACTACATGGTGAAGATGGCCAATAAGACTAGTTTATATGTTGTTCAAAGCATTAACAATGGTAAAAGTGATAATATATGATAATAAAGAAAAGGGCAAAAATATACAAAGTTGATACTTTTGTAGAAACTGTTATGCCTTATTTTTACCTTTATTTACTTTAATGTTTTTATTTGAGACAGGGTGTCACTCTGTTGCACCCCCTGGAGTGCAGTGGTGCGATCTCAGCTTACTGCAATCTCAACCCCCTGGGCTCAAGTGATCCTCTCACTTCAGCCTCCTGAGTAGCTGCGACTATAGGCCCATGCCACCACGCTCAACTAATGTTTGCATTTTGTGTTTGTGTGTGTGTGTGTGTGTGTGTGTGAAGATGGGATTTGGCCACGTTGCCCAGGCTGGCCTTAAACTCTTGGGCTCAAGCAACCCACCTCCCTCGGCCTCCCAAAGTGCTGGGATTACAGATGTGAGCCACCACTCCTGACCTATGTCTTATTTTTAAATACAGGCATTGTGTGACATATCCTATAATAGAATTTTTCAAAAGTACTTAGCCCTTTTGCATTTCATCACTTTATTTTCTCCTATCTTGTTGAATGATTCTTGGGATTAGTGGCACTCAATGGGAATCATTCTAACTTTCCCTGGCCTTGTGCATTCTTTGGAGCTGTCCCTATGGCCTATTCCTCTCCATTTTTGCTGTCTACTAATGCAGGCTCTCATCACTGCACCTGTCTACTATGGAAGCTTCTGTCTTGAATTGATCTCATACGCTGCTATCAGATTAATTTTACAATAACTCTCTTTTAGCACCCCTCTTTCCTGCTCAAAGTTCTTCAGAGGGTCTTTATTATCCATAGGATGACAGGTAGCTTAGAGCCACAAAAATAGCACAGGAAGTGGAATCCAGAGACCTGTTTTAAATTGCTTGGCTTTAACTTGCTTTGTGACCCTGGAAACATTACTGTTCACCAAAACTCCTCAAATTTATCTTTACTAACTGTCTTAAGTTCCTCACCTCTCATATATCTTACCAAAGCCAGTGATCATTCTTCGTCGTCATCTTCTCAACTCTTTACAACGTTTTGAACAGTTGACCACTCTGTCTTGTTTAATGAAATGCTTGATCCTCCCAGCTTCCATGACACTACACTTTCTCCCATCTTTCCCTGTCAGTCTTATTTGCTAGGCTGCCCCTAAGTGTTGGACTCCCTTAGGGTTCTATCTAAATCCTCCTATCTTCTTTATCTAAATTCTCTTTCTAGCAGATATCCCAGCATGGTTTAGAATATCATCAATATGCTAAATAATTTTCAAAGTTTTATTTTCATTAATGGATCTATCATGAATTTTCAACTTGTATTCCTCCTAAATCCATGCACTTGGCTGTCCAATGGACATATCAAAGTTGAAATAGGCAAAAGAGAACTATCAGTGTCCCCCTGCCTACAGCTGTGCTCCTCCACCAAACCTTTCCATTTCACCAAACAGAACCATGTTTCACTAAATCAACCATGTTTGTTGCTCAGGCCATAATTCCAGAATTCATCCTGGATTCCTCTCCTTCCTCCCAGACTCACATTTAATCCAGTAAGTACTTCTGGCTCTCTCTCCAAAATAAGTGCTGAATGTTATGTCTTCTTACTCTCTGCTCTGCTATAGTTTCAGTCCAAGCCACCAGCATCTGTCCTTGTAGGCTGCAAAAGCTCTTACTAGGCTTCCCTGCCTCCACACTCCCCAGAGTAGCCTATTAAATATAAATTATATAATACCCTCCCTTGCTAAAAATTATCTAATAGATGCATTCTCCTAACCTTTAGAATAAAATCCAAGCTATTCACCATGTCCCATAGGGCTCTGCTTCTCTGGGCTCATTTTCCTCTACACACCCCATTCCCAGATAGGTTCCAGTCATAATGGCCTTCATTCTGTTCCTTAAACTTGCTGAGCTTGTTTTTGTCCCTGTCTTTGCACTTACTGCTTTTCCTGCTGGCAGTGCTTTTTACCTGCATATCCCCTGCATGGCTCCTTGTCATTGTTCAAGTCTCAACTCAAATGTCCCTTCTTTGGACAGGCCACCTGTGACCCAAGTTTGAGCAGTTTCCTTAATCCATCCCTAGTTCAGTTTTTATTGCATTTTTTACTTCATAGAAATGATCAGAATCTGAAATGATCAACTTAATAGTTGATGTATTTTTTGTCTGTCTGTCCCCAGTGTGGACTCCCTGAGGTCACTGACATTTTATTATTCACCTCTGCATCTCAGTGCCTAGTAGAGAAGATGGTGTATAGGAAGCACTTAAAGAATTTGTTGACTCATTCACCACTTTGAGCCTAGCTTCCTTATCTGTAAACCAAAGGTGTCAGGACAGGGGACCTCTGACCCTGCCCTACCTAGCCAGTTTTAATTCTTATCGTGTCTCTAAGCCCTCTGATCCAGTCCAGTTGACCTCCTTAAGGTCCTATAAATGGACCATGTTTATTCAGATCTTCAGGCCTTTGCTCATTCTCTTCCCTCCTGAGTGTCCTTCTTTTTGGTCCTTGCTGGCTGCATTTGTCAATAATTTTCCTTCTTCTCTTTTGACTCTACCCCTCATAGAAGAGTATAATTGTTTTATATATACATGTCTTTCCTGTCCTAGTTGTTAGTCCTTAGGCATAGGGCTATGGTTTATAGTCATAACTCTTTTGAACCTCCTTGGTGATAGCATATAGGATATACTCAGTACATGCCTTATAATTCAATAAGGGTGTGCTGTCTACCGAAAACACTGATTTCAAAACAATAATCATGCTTGGTCTGCTTACTAATTTATATGGGATAAAAATAGATTTTTTAAAAAAGCAACTAAACAGGTATATCTTTGTTAAGCCTGAGCTGGAGAAAAAAAAATCTAAAAATGGAAATTTAAACTTCTGGTATCATGGTGTTTTGAAAACATTTGTAAGCAACCTTACCAAAAGTTTTGTTATAGATTTTTATTTCATTTAAGTTTTTATATATTCATGAGTAGTTGAAAAAGGAAGTGAACATTGTTTTTTATTAACTCAGGTTAAAAACTTGAGTTTTTAATTTGGTTCAGTTTGTTCAGGTATTTGGAATTTAGAGAAGCTCTGTGAAAATATCCCGCCTACACGTTTTGAATATCCTCTTCCTGCTTATCTTCAGAACAGCTTGGTTCTTTTAATAGCAAATGGCTGAGTGGAGGGGAACCATTTGCAGTGGGTCAATTTAAGTATGGTGTGTCCTCCCATTTCAGACCGAAGTCATGCTAACTGCTCAGGGATTGGTGCAACTGTGTGTTTCTTTTGATGTTGGTCAGATCCCAGAAAACTCAGTATTTTAGAAGGATGTTGCTCATTCCTTAGATAATTTGAAAAATTATTGGTCAACTTAAAAAAATTCAGGAGCTAGGGAACACCTCATCTATTCTTTTTATGAATATGTTAATTTATTATTCTGTTGGAGGCTGTTCTTAAAATTCCCATGGGCCAGGATAGGAAGAGGTAATGGGGAGAAGGCTTGTTTTTTCATGCAATATATGAACCTAGCGCTATATGATCATGCCAGATTCAGTATACGCAAATGGTGTATTTCTCTCAATCCAGAGTGGCTGGAAAATGTGTGCTCAAAATTGAGAATAATCATATATTCCATTCATGGATTAATTGTTTTCAAATAATGTAGTCAATTATACTTACAATGATTTTTTAAGTTTTAATAACATAAAAGACACTTCGTATATGTAAGCCTGTGGTAAATCATGGTGTACCTCATTTACTAGTCAATAGTATTGGTGTTCAAAATAATGGTGGTGATTGGATTAATTCTCAGTCCATCCCAGAATTTGCTGTTTTGAATATACAGCTTGTTTTTAAGGTATCCACTTCTTTTGGGAAAGTAGAGATAAGAAAAAAGTCTGCTTCTTTAAATGTCTTGTTTGGATTGGGGGCACACAGCCATTTTTTTTCTAGTGAGTAGATATAAAGGATTTCCCAAAAGGTGGCTGTGGCTTCGCACAGGAGAGCTGGAGAGCTCTTGGTACATATACTGCTGAGTGTTGAAGGCAGGTGAGTCTGTTCTATGTTTCTGTGCAGTGGGCTCTTGCTGGGGTCAAAGCTGTGTGGTGTCTGTAAAAAAGGGTTGCTGTGTAATGCTTTAGAATTGGAATTGCAGATTCTTCTTGTGAGGGGAATATTGCTGTTATGGGTAAAAGTTGTGTCTTATGGTTGCCCTTGTGACCTTGTTAGATCCTTTGGATAATTAAAACTTCCAGAAGTTGGGATTGTAGATGCTGGGAATGTAGAAAAACAATAGTCAAATCAGTCAAAAAGGTGCTAACCATTGGGATAATACACTGAAAAGCATCCAGTGGGAAATTTATGAATTGTAAAAAACCCAATACTGCATGAAATCATAACTTCCTTTTATGACCCTCAATCGTGGCCATTAAAGGGCTAACTTCTGTTACAGAAAAGAGGTAGCTAGTTAGTTCATATCTCTGGGTTTAGATAAATCACAGTATCTCTCTTAGTTTTGGTTTGGCAGGATGTCTTGGACCTTTTCCTTTGGTTTCCTTTGGTTGTTAGATAAAGACATGTGAGGATGGACTCTGTGACTGCATGGTTTTCTTCCGGGTGAGCTCACTGGCTTGCCACCGCCCAGATTTATCAGCAGCTGGAGTTTCACCTAATAGTATGGTTTGCTCCAACCATTTGCTGGAGCAGAAAAAGATGGCATCAACTTATATTTTAAAATAAACTGACTTTGAAAGGTTTTATGAAATCACGGTCCATTTTGATTAGTTTTTGCCAACAGCTGCCTGCATTTAGGCTTTGTTCTTTGTTGGACATAACTGTTTAGGAAAGATTGCTGCTTTATGGAAGCGATTCCAAAGACTCATTGTTCCAGACATCGGACATCCTTATGTTATTCAGGTCTGATGATATTTGATCTAACGCAGATTAATTACTAAGCTCTCAGTGAATAATTAACCATTTGACCTGTTCCCAAGTTATATACTCACTGAGTTAGAAATGATTTCCCCAACTACTAAAGATAAGGAAGGTTATTCCTGGTTTCACAGTGTCCCCATTGTTACTGACTTGTATGTGTGAGAGACATCAGCTGATACCTACGCACTGGTCCAGCTACTCAGTCAAACCACTTCCTGGGGTTTTCTCGGGTAATGGCAGTGATTCAGAAGACACCACAGAACTTTCTGAGGACTGTTCCCTGTGTGTTACTCTGGGCTGAATGACTGGGAACTGTCAAGTTCAAAAGGAACATTTTTTGTTGTAGTGCTATTAAATTTGTGGTTTGCTTTTGCTCAAAGTTGCATTTCAGCTGAATTTAGGGTGGCTTGTCTGTGTGCCATTTATTTTATAGTACCTAATTTCCATCAATTAACCATTTCATGCCTTAGTTGAGTCCCTTATAAAGTCCTGTATTAAGCCTGGAGGGGATAGGCAAACTAAGTCATTATAACTGCCTGCAGTGGCTAGTAGTAATTAGGGAGAGGAGAGATAAAAATGGATGGGGGCCAAATAGGGTATTAATGCAAACATTGTACTTTTCTACTTATGTATTTTTGTGATTTTTTTTTTTTACTTCTGATCTATTCACACAATGTACTCCATAAGGTAAATTTTGTATTTCTAGGATTATATTTATAATATAAAAATGCAGATAGAATTATTTTAATAAAGTTTTTGTTTTGTTTTGTTTTATGGTCTTGCATAAAAGGAAAATATTTCAAAATTATTTTGGAATCACAAGATATGTGTTCTTTTCTAGTCCTTCAGAAGTTCCAAAATTTCAGTTTTCATTGTAGAATGAATAAGCAAGAACCCTGGGCACTAGTTCTCTCCTTGGTTACTCTGACGCTTGGCTTACCTTTTTCCTTCCAATATTTGCACATCTTTTCTTCCCCTCATGGCTGGATGATCCAGTCTTGTGAGATAATGTATAATGGAAGCATTCTGTAACCTGGAAGTGTTATGAATAAGCATGTATTATTATCACCATTATTTTCACATATTCATTGATTGCATCATCTCATCAAACATACCAGTAATTCACTTCTGCAATGTCAGAGATGATTGTAAATATCTCAGTGGAGAAGCGACTTTCTTCTTGAACTTAAGAAAATCACTGGTAGAACCATGTTTTAGGCAAAATGTCGGTTTCACTGGTCCCGCTTTCAGTGTCCTGACCAAGAGAAAGTTGGGAAGAGTAGGTGTACAAAGTGAAAAGATTCAGTATATCTATATGGTATGGTAATTGTACATTGCTTGGCTCTCAGCACACTGTGAGGCTCACTTTACAAAAATTGGTATTTGGTTTTAGAAACAACTCTATTTTTAAAATGGGAGGTTGTTTGTGGTAGGGGTTAAGAGTGTGGGCTCTGGAATTAAATGGGCTTGCCTCCTGTCCTGGTTCCCTCAATTCTAGCTTTGTGAAAATCAGGTGAGTTTTAAATCTTTTTGTGCTTCACTTTTCTGCTGGTAGAACAGGGATGATTATTATATGGTAGGGTTGTTGTGAAGCCTAACTGAAGTAATGCACCCAGAGCACTTGCCACTCAATACAGATTACAGGAAGAAATAGAGTTCCATGTTAAAGTGATGGAATGTATCATTCGCATCTCTCAGACTGTTGTGGATTCTATCTGATGGGATTTGGTTCAGTTTGATGACCTGTCTCTTGAGAGTAAATAAAAGGGGGCAGGAGGATGCTCATGGGACGTCAGAGAAAGAAGAAGGAGAGGCCCTATTGTACATTCCGCAAAAAACAAATTCATGCGCTTTATGGGGCCTGGCAGTTTATAAAGTTCTTTCATGTACATTGATTTCATTTAATCCTCCCAACAACACCTGTTTTACAGATATGTATACTGAGCCTCAGAGACACTCAAGGACTGGCTCACAGGCATGTGGTCAGTGAGAGTGCGGTGAGGAAGCAGACCTCCTGGATTCTGGACATATTTCTTCATTCCAACCCATGGGTCCTTCTCTGCTGTATAAAAATGTTCAAGTCAATAATAACCTTTGGTGCTGAACCCCAAAGGATTGGCAGGGTGTGGGCTGCTGCAGACCCAGGTGGGTCTTGGTGGGGATCCAGGACCTTCTGTCTGTGATATGTAGAACATGAATGCGCAGCCCTTCAGTGGTCACGGCTGCCAGATGGTTTTAAGAGTCCCCTGTCTCTTTGTGGCCTCTGAGTGAGGCTTGCATTTCAATCTCTGTGAAGGGCCACTTTGGATCAGTGTTCTGTGGGAGAAATTAAGGGTCAGTCTTCTCTTTTTGCTAAGAAGGAAGGTAATGAACACCTATCTAATGGTTGAACATGTGTGTGTTTTACAAGATTAATAGTATTAATACCCTTTCAACCCAAGCCTTTTTGGGTCACTGTGTTAATAAAATGAAGTTGGAGAGTAGAGTAAAATAATTAATGTATATATAACGTAACTCTTAGTTTGATTTAACTGGTTAATCTGTGATTCAGTATACATTTTTAATACATTTTAAATTTTAAAAGTGGCGATACACTTTTACATTTATTTCTTTGGGTTCTGAGATTATAAATAGCTTTAAAAGTTGGAGTGCCCTATTTGTCATGCTAAAAATCAAGTGAGTTAAGACGTGGGAAAGTGATCAGAGAAAATTCAGTATAGTACTTCAGAATTTTTAAAATACTGAAAACAAATTTTAAAATTAGTTATTTCACACACATTAATGTGTAAAGACTGCATTGATTTGGGTATTACATTTGAACACATTATTTTTATGAAATAATTTTTTTATTCTGAGTCAGAAATTTGTACATAGTTGATACTATATATATTTATCAAATGAATTTGTTTTTATGGAATAAAATTTTGATTAGCTATAATATACTTTTTTTTGGCTACATGCACTTCATTTTTCAGGGAAGAGGTAGGTAGCTAGAAGAAAGCATGACATACTATCAGTAATTTATTTTTTAAAGCAACATCTAGGCCAGGATTTCTCAACCTTGGCATTGTTGACATTTGGTTCCAGATAATTCTTTGTTGTGGAGGGGCTGTCATGTGCAATGTAGAATGTTTAGCAGCATTCCTGGCCAGCTACCCAATAGATACCAGTAGTTTTCCTTCTCCCCAGTTGTGACAATAAAAAATGTCTCCAGACATTGCCAAATATCCCCTAGGGGGCAAAATCACCCTTGGCCGAGAACCACTGATCTAGGATTTTCAACATTATATTTAAATCTTCTACCTAACCTAAATCTACATTATTCTACAAATTTGAATCGATGTTCAGACTTACACTAAAAAGGAGAAAATGCTATACTTACAGAGGCAATACTTATCAATTATGAAAAATAAGATTTTTCAACAACATGGGTTAGGATAAGTGTTTTCTGATTAACCCTTATTTACCATAATATAATCCAATTAACCAGAATTTCACACATTTGAAATAATGTTTTATCCCCTTATTTTCTTTCAAAATAGATATATCCCCTGATTCTGAATTAATTTATAATAATGATCTGGATAGGGCTTTTTAAAAACTTTCAAAGATGGAAGTAGTATTGTAGTTTGCCCTATATTGAATTAGATCATTCTGGGTATTCCTCATGCACATACTGAAAAGTTTAATTGCCTTTATAGTTGGGTGTGTGTCTTGATGAATAAGGATTTGTGCAACATGAGCTGAAGAGTTAGATTTCAGAAGTCCACTTATCAACTCTTTCATGGACATTTTAGCATAAGGAGACAAATAGACATACTTGGTTATTAATTATTATAGGGATATAGACATTTCACTTGGCCCGAGATTTAAGTGATTGCTCTTTAAAATGTGTTTTGCTCATGATAGAATGTATTTTTGTTCTTGTGAACCATGCACTGAAGCTTTAGCCAATCAGAGGAAGGAATTTACTGTACGGTAAAAGGAAGTATTTGTTCCGTTATTGTAGTATGTGGCCTCTTGCCATTTTTGATAAAGGATTGAAGTGTTGTGCACCCAAAGTCTGCTACCCTCTTGACCCTTCATCAATCATCAGCTGGACTGTGAGGTTAAGTGAACTGTAGCCCGGTAGGATAACTATTGTTTAAGCATTGTGTAACTCCTGAAAGCGGAAATTACTGACACAGCTGACTTGCAATGTGATCTTTCTAGTTTTAAGATTATATGCATAATTTTCCTTTCTGTTTCTAATCTATGCCAGATTAGAGGTATAAAATGACAGTATATAGGACTTGAAGTCATGTTATTCAATGGATGACCGTGAGACTGTTGGAAATTTATTTTTATTTGCAAGAATAGGAACCTGTGCAAAAATAAATGACCTATTCTAGCACAACGTTTCAAGAAATTCATATGGGATCCTATTGGAATTGTTATTGCCTTAAAACCACTAGGATAGCAACCAAGTCTTGCATGCGAATCCACCTTTATTAATGCGTTAGTTACTGAAAGCATATATTTGTCCACATGTTTTCTAAGTAACTGGCAGCATACACAAATTCTTTTAGCACATATCCTGTTTTTTTGATTGGCTCAGGAAAACTTTATAAGAGCCATGTCCAACATTCACAGCTTTATGTCATCTCGTCTCTGTATTTATGTCACTTTCTTAAACAAGTAGAGTAATATATCAGCTGCAGCTGTTGCTGACCAAAGCTGTCACTGAAGTGGGTGGAGGAAGAGTCAGAGATAATGTGTTCAGATTCTGTGTACCAAAAGCATATCTGTTGCAATCAATCTGTAACGATAACAACTGGCTTGTAGAAGGCACTTCAAGCCAGATACTTTTTTATCTTTGACCAAATGTATAGTAGATTAGATGCCATGATGATAAATACCACTGATAGTTAATACAATCTGGTTGAGTATATATATGATTGCCTGGCTTGTATAATAAGAAAGACCACTGATGTGTAGTCTTCACCAGGTTTGGCCACAGCCTTCCTGTAAAGTTATTAACACAAAACTTGATACTTAATAGCATGCAAAGAAAAAAAAAGACTATGAAATACCTAATAGCAAAAGAGTAAAATCCTTGTTTTCTGATATAGACAGTGATGCTTCCTAATAAGTGTATTTGGATTAAAAGAAATATTCACACTAACACACACGTCCAATTATTTATTACAAGAATTCTACCACCATACTTACCCAGAGCAGGTTGGAAATACTGGAGTCAGTACCTCTCTACCTAAGATTTCTTATAACCCTCTGGATCCTTACCCTTTGTCAACTTCTCCTGTTCACCAGTTTACCACAGGGAGGACTGAAAATTCCCACTGGAAGATTATAGCTTAATTTTTATTTTCTTTTTCGCTTTTTATAAAGATAGTTAATGGCAAAGGGAAATTGTATTTTAGCAGTTAGAAAGGGGTAAGTAGCCACATTGGCCTGAGGCTCATTGCACTTTCACCCCATTAGAGTAAAATGAAATCCTGATGTGGTCAGATCAACTAAGGGAGAGACCGACCTCAAAGATAAAGAGAAAGCCCTTTCCACAGCTTTATATATTTATCCTTTTCCCAGTAATTCTCCTCGTTGTCCTTAGCATCAAAGTACCTATTTCTTTTGGAATTACTATTCTGCCTTATAAAGAGAATCTCCCAGACTAAATGCTCATGGTATAGAAACTTAAAATTAAAGGTAGGCACTTTGACATGGATCTACATACATGGGAGAAAGAGGTAATAAAGGAGTTAGGAGTTAGCACTGACCTAACGCTACAAGAAAATTTCACAGCAGATGTGGAATTTCAGGAACTGTCTACTAATGGGAAATAAGGGTTGTAGAAAAGGAAGAAAAATTAAGTATGGCCAAGTATTATTGAGCATCAATGATTATGCTCAGTGATTTATTAGTAGCTAACATCTATTGAGCACTTACTGTGTGCCAGGTAGGAATGCTTTCTGTGTATTAACTTATTTAGGTTCTCAACAAGTTTTCAAGGCTGTTGCTGATATTATCCTCATTTTACAGTTGAGGGAAAGGAGGCAGGAAACTAAATAACTTGCCCAAGGTTCTAGAGGGCATTAGAGGCAGAGCCAGGATTAGAATTCAGAAAGTCTGATTTAGAGCTTGCCTCTTCACCAGTTGCAGCATGCTGCTTACCTAATTTAATTTCCACCACAGCCCTCCAAAACAGGTATTTTCTTCCATTTACAAATTTTACAAATGAGGAACTCAAAGCCTAGAGAGGTTAATTTTGTCAAGGTCATCCAGCTGGCCAGTGGTAAAGGAAGGATTCGAACCAAGGTCTGATCCTCAAAAGTCTGTGCTTTTTCACTGTAAGAAGAGGCTGTCTTGGGATGGCCTAGAAGTGTAACTGACAGAGGGATCCAGCTCCTTCCTTGTAAGTTAAGATTATTAAAAAGCTTGTATAGGTTGTTCATAACTCGTCCCAAGGCAGTAGAGCTGATGTTTACTGAAGCATGCGAAACGCTTTCTGGTTCACCTCTATCTTCTAGAAATCGTCTGCCTGCCATCATCCTAGGTCGTGTGCTTCATTTCATTTGGTGTGCCTCTTTTCAATGTACTGGGCTGTTCTATTCCTGTTTATAAATCTTTTAAGTGTGCACATTAAAAAAGTAATTAAAATGTCATTATAATTTATAGTATGCCTGAAGTCAATCACCTAATTAAACTACAAGAGAGAAGAGGTGGTACGTTCGTAGGCATTTATGAAGTATTACTGTATTAATTATGCAGGGATTTTGAACCAAGTAAAAGAAAAAGGTACTGGTAACATTATTCCTTAAAGTGTTTCCTTTTTTTTTTTCTTCTCAGTTTCAGACCTTCACTAGTTGGTAGCATAACCCTAATGTGTCTTTTGGCTAATTTTTAATGAAATTAGGATTTTTATGTCTTTCACTCAGCATTTTCTTAAAATGCTCCTGACAGCATTAATGTGCATCATCCCACATCCTAACTGAATAAGCAATTAGAAGCACAATAGAAAACAAAATTTGAATTCATGGGTTATACATAGCTATCCAAATTCTCTTTTGGAGTATAAAAATGGCAGCATATTGGATATCTGGAATCATTCAGAAGAGATTTGGTTTTCCTGGAGCAATAGTAGCTATCAAGAGACTTATTTTCTTATTAAAGAACAAAAAAGCAACCACAACAAAAACAAAAACAAAATTCACATGGCCAAGTAAAATAGGCTGTAATAAATCTCTTGCTGGAGGAAACTATTTTTGAAAAGCTGTTTTTGAATTCTAAGTGCTAGCACATATAGGTAGATAGACACAGATATAGACATAGTTAACTTTTGTTATGTGAGAATTGATGACTTGGATAGGTGTTTCAGCCCCTTGGGAGGTCTTTGCAGTTTGTAATGGAATTGGTTGGCTATATGAATTCTTACAGGGTTAGGACCTTCAAGGAAAGGAGAATTCTGAGGGATATGATTTAGTGTCATCCATGTGAGTGAAAGATTTGTGCAGTGAATTTTTCCTACCCTGTGTTTATTATTTTGGAGGATGAGTAGAATGAAAGGCTCTAATTCTCAGAAGCAATCCTTAAAAAGAAAGGCAATAAAGGCATTTAACTGTTATGTAATAGCAAATGTATATAGCTTCAAGTTATTAGGTGCTCAAAAAATTATTGGGTGAACAAGTGTCTTGTGTAGACTCCAGTTTTCTTTGTTCCTCTATGTGCATGTACAATATCCTAAACGTATAAACAGTTTTCATATTAATATTTATTATTTTTCGCTAAGTCACAAAAGCTGAGTTGACCTGTAGTGTACTTGAAGTATTAGTAATAGTTAAGAAGTTAAAATGTGGATGTCAGTTTCTTTGGAAAACTTCATTCTGAGTGATAAGCTGTGATGTTGAGGAACACAGCTCTTTCTGCTATTGTGAGAGCAGCACTTTACCCTCCGTTTCTAGGCTGTTCCTAGAATTCTTGGTTAAAGGGACCTCCAGGCTCCAGGTGACACTCCTGTAGGCTGCTGGTGATGGGACTGGGAGTTGAGCAGGAGGTGAAATACAGAGAGTGAGCCAAGGCAGGTTTTAGTTCAAGGCTGCTGGGCTGAGGGGGAGAGATAGACAAAAGAGTAAAATACTCAACAAGGGTAGCAGAGAGGAAAGAAAGGACACCCCCTACAGCCCTCTTGCTGGCTTGGCTGCTTACTGGGTGGTCTTTCCAATGGTAGGGGCAAAGGTAAATCATGCACATTTAATTAGAAAATTGCTAACACACACATATCCTCTTAACACGATCTTTGTTTACAGCAGTATAAACATTTCTCCACATGGAACCAAAGCTACATAAAATAATAAGCATGAGATTTAAATAAAGATTTTGCTTATAAGTGTGTTTTTGGGACCTGTGGACTACAAATATTCCTTGAATCAGTGCTCACTGGAATGTGAGCTTTCCCACAGAAAGAAGTGTGTCTTACTCCTTGGGGGATCCTAATCTCTGTCCGAGAGATTCATACAGAGCAGGGACCTCAAAATGTGCAATATGCAAAAGCGTAGTTAGATGAATGTAGATGTGAGGTATTGTGAAGATTTTGGTATTTTTCATTTACTTTAAACCTGGCATGACATTTACTATTGAATTTGACCTCTTCTCTAAACTTATTTTATTTCCTCTTTCTTTCTGAGAACTCAATTAAATCTCTTAAAAAATTCATAACTTGATATTTGCGTGTCCTGTCTTTAGAAATATTTTGTAATATTTTATCAGATATGCCTTGATTCTTCAGAAAGCAATATCTTAGAAAAGCTATTTTTTGTATAGTAATTGTTAATAGTCATTAGTAATTTAAAGAAGTTAATTTGTAATTTCCAAAAGAATCTGAGATTTTGAAATAAAAACAGTCTTAATGTGTTAATGTCAAGAACATTGGACAAGGCAGATACAAAAGATTTGGTTTGTATCTAGGATTTACATTAAAGTAACACAAACTACTATAACTGGTAGTTTATTTTAACATATAGTTTTGTTATAAGAGGTTTTATATTAAATTTTGTGGTGTACTCTGGAGCTGTGAACAGGGAATTTATTAAAAAAAATGCAACAGAACCTGTTCTTGCCTTTTTTATATATTGCATTTGCTACATTAGCAAATCTATTATATATTATGTAATATATTTATTATATGTAATTATATATTACATATAATTACATATATTACATAATATATAATATATTATGTAATATATATTACATATTGTATGTAATATATAATATATGTAATTATATATCATATTATATATTACATATAATATAGTACACAATATATATTATATTATATGTAAAGTACAATATATTACATTTTATATAATACATATAATCTATTATATGCAATATATACATATAATAGATATTTATATATTATATATAAATAAATATATATAATTTATATATTATATAAAAATATATATGATATCTAAATATATTATATGTAATATAATTACATATAATATATTACATAATATATGTAATGTATAATATATAATTACATAATATATGTAATGTATAATATATAGTTACATATATAATTAAATGTAATAGATATAGTACACAATATATAATATATGCAATATATATTACATTTCATAAAATATATAATACATATAATCGATTATGAATCGATTATATGTATTATAAAATATATGATACACATAATCGATTATGTGTATTATAAAATATATGATACACATAATCGATTATATGTATTATAAAATATATGATACATATAATCGATTATATGTATTATAAAATATATGATACATATAATCGATTATATGTATTATAAAATATATGATACATGTAATCGATTATATGTATTATAAAATATGTAATACATGTAATCGATTATATGTATTACATATTACATATATAATAGATGTATTACATAATATATAATAGATTTGCTAATGTAGCAAATGCAATATGAAACTGTCAAGTTAGGAGAAATTGGGAGAAATTGTCTGAAGGAGTGACACTTATCTTTCACATCTGGAATCTAGTACAATACATTGCTTTATTCTTGTAAATATGTTAGTCAAACACACGTTTTGGGTATTAATGTTTATTCTCTACAGTGTAAAAAGAGAATGCAGGGCTGCTAACAGATTCCAGTATAAAAGATTGATAATAGAGTCTTAACAAACTGCTGGGCTGATGTGCCACTCTAACTTTATAAGCCTAAATTTCCCTGAAAAAAAATTTAAGTAACGGTATAAAACTTCAAGTGCCACTTTGTCATTGTTGTTGGTTTTAATTATTACAGCAATCAGTAGCCCTCAAGCTATTTCCCCCATCTTCCTGCAGCTGTCCAGAATAGCCATCTGTTCTTGCAGGTGGGCCAAATTCTAATCTCTAGTAAGGCTTCCACCCGGACTGGTGTGCTTACCTACCATTTCTTTCTTAGGAGCCCGCTTTGAAATGGAATCCTTTTCTAAACAGAAGTTCCATACACTGAGTTTTATCTATTTATAATTTGAAAGTGTGGGACTGACAACTTTGAACTTAGATGACATTAAATTGTTTGGAGGGAGAGGGCAAATTTTAAGGGCATTTACTTGATGATTTGGAAAGAAAGCCCAAACAGATTCTTTTGGAGTGTTAAATTTGGGATATTACTGTTTCATACTCATTACCTTTTACCAACAGTCGGATGGGAAAAATGTGTATGTGGGTTTAAAATAAATTCTGTTAGTATATGGTGCTATTCTACTGTATCCAAGGATACCTTCAAGTAATAGAATTACTTCTTTGCTCTGGCATTTTGCTTATAGTTCCTCCAATGTTATTGCCTCACAGCTCTGGTTTCCATGGGAGGAGACAATATGTTTTTCATATATAAAAATCTGGTTTATTCATCTCAAGCCATTAGTACCTATGTCAAAACTTCTCATTATTAGTAAATTTCATTTTATGTATGAATCATACAGGGGAAGGCCATTCCAATTGATTTGTCAATGAATGGGGAAAGACTGCTACTTGGTAATAATATATAAGACAATGATTATGTTATTTAGAAACGTACAGAACCAAAGAGGTCTATTATTCTAGCCTGCATTTTCCTTTGTGAATGAGCCTCAGCATTTGAATATGCTGAGAGTATTGTCTTCAGGTGTTACTTGCTGGCATGTCGTTCTGTTGTGATGTTTCTGCTATCTGATGTATGCATGTTCGTATACTGTCTGAGTAGATTTTAACTTCCTTGAAAATAGATCTGTGTCTTCTGTGAAATGATAGTTGACTTAACTTCTCTTTCTTTTTTAGTTTTTCCAACATTAAATAAGGCACATGGGAATTAAAGAAGCTTCCTCTCATTTTAAAAAGTCTATTGCTTAGACAAGTTGCAGAATTTGTGCGGAATAAAGCTACTACAAAATTTGTGCAGCAATGGATAGCCTGTAAAGCAGGGGTCCCAGTACCTGGGCTACGGATCACTAGTGGTCTGTTGGCTGTTAGGAACTGCTGCACAGCAGGAGGTAAGTGGAGGTGAGCGAGCATTACCACTTGAGCTCCGCCTCCTGTCATATCAGCAGTGGCATGAGATTCTCACAGAAGCGTGAACCCTATTGTGAACTGCGCATGCCAGGGATCTAGGTCTCTTGCCCAAAGAGAATCTAATGCATGATGATCTGTCACTGTCTCCCATCACCCCCAGATAGGACCATCTAGTTTTCCTGCAGGAAAACAAGCTCAGGGCTCCCACAGATTCTATATTATGGTGAGTTGTAAAATTATTTCATTATTACAGTGTACTAATAATAGAAATAAAGTGTACAATACATGCAGTGCACTTCAGTCTTCCCAACCCCCTGCCTGCCGCCAGTCCATGGAAAAATTGTCTTCCACGAAACCAGTCCCTGGTGCCCAAAAGGTTGGGGACCACTGTTGTAGAGCTTTATAGTATGAATGTACATATTAATAATTTATTTAAATTCTTGAAACAAATGATAAAATATACATATATTTTCCTTTCATCAGGAGTTCATTTAAGTTTTTATCACCTGGGTTCTTCTTAACATGAATGGGAGCAATATGAAGTCAATACATGTACATAACATACAAGGGTGATTGTGGCTCAGTTTTTTTCTTATCTTTTTTACAGTTCAGAAAAATGTTGGAGGTCCGAGGGGATAGAGATCTTTGCTGAATTTCTGTCTTTCCTTTAAGAGGAGAACTTACAGGAGAAAAAAAGATTTAACACTTTCCCTACTGTGAACTTTAACAAAAATGAAGATTTTGATTTTGCTTAGAATTCTTTCTTTTCAGGAACTTTCAAAGGATATTACCTCAACTTCTTGCATAGCAGTACAGTGATAAACACTTCTTTTATCATTTTCTTTTCTTTTTTTTCTTTTTCTTTCTTTCTTTCCTTTTTTTTTTTTTTTTTTTTGAGACGGAGTTTCACTCTTATTGCCCAGACTGGAGTGCAATGGTGTGATCTTGACTCACTGCAACATCTGCCTCCCAGGTTCAAGTGATTCTCTTGCCTCAGCCTCCCAAGTAGCTAGGATTACAGGTGTGCACCACCATGCCCGGCTAATTTTTTTACTTTTAGTAGAGACAGTGTTTCGCCATGTTAGCCAGACTGGTCTTGAGCTCCTGACCTCAGATGATCCACCCACCTTGGCCTCCCAAAGTGCTGGGATTACTGACATGAGCCACCGCGTCCTGCCTCATTTATCGTTTTAAGTTTTTATTTCTCTAGTCTTTGTTTCGACAAGCTTATGTGGATTCTTTTCTTTCTTTCTTTCTTTTTTTTTTTTTGAGACTGGGTCTTGCTCTGTTGCCCAGGCTGGAGTGCAATGGCAGGATCATAGCTCACTGCAGCCCCGACCTCCTGGGCTGAAGTGATCCTCCCATCTCAGCCTCCCAAATAGCAAGGACTACAGGCATGTGCCATCACACATTTTTTAATTTTTTGTAGAGACGGAGTCTCCCTTTGTTGCCCAGGCTGGTCTCGAACTCCTGGGCTCAAGTGATCCTCCCAGAGTAAGTCTTATTGCTATGCCTTTAAGCATATACTGTTGGCTGAGGAAATGCCTCAGACTTTTCTTGTAGGGATCAAAAGTTATAGTATTGGTTAAAAAAAATAGAGACAGAATGTGTTTCTACAGTATCTACATAGTTCCTGCCTTCAAAGTGGCTAATCTCAAATGATTCATTTAACAACACCCATCAAATGTTTATTGAGCACTTGTTATGTGCCAGGTGTGCTGAGCCCAGTCCTCAAGCTCCACGAGTTTATGGTTTATAAAAAAGGCATATGTAAACAAACTGCAGTATAGTAAATGAGGGTTTCCAGAGAGGTGGGCCCAAGAGATCAGGTGAGAGGGCTGGGCAGGGTGGCTCACACCTGTAATCCCAGCACTTTGGGAGGTCAAAGTGGGTGGATCACTGGAGGTCAGGAGTTTGAGACCAGCCTGGCCAACATGGTGAAACCCCGTGTCTACTAAAAATACAAAAAAATCAGCCAGGCGTAGCGGTGGGCACCTGTAATCCCAGCTACTTGGGAGGCTGAGGCAGGAGAATTGCTTGAACCTGGGAAGCAGAGGTTGCAGTGAGCCGAGATCGTGTCATTGCACTCCAGCCTGGGCAACGAGAGTGAAACTCCATCTCAAAAAAAAATTTATTTAATTAAAAAATAAAAAAATAAGAGGGCAGGTGAGAGGAGGTGTGATAAAAGATGAAGCAGATAAGGGAGGGGGGCATTTATTCTCAAGAAATATTAATCAAACACTTGTTATTTTCCAGGCACTGTTTAGGATACTGGGGCTATAGGAGTGAACAGAGCAGTGCTGCCTCCTTTGAGAGCTTCTATTCAGTGTGGGAGACAGATATTTATCATCCTGCCCAGCACTCATGCCTGTGTGTTAATTAGGTAGGGGAGAGGGGGGATCTGCAAGGAGGTGACATTTGCAGAGGGGCCAGAGTGAAGTGAGGGGGTCAGGCACCAGGAGCAGCCCTGCTACAGTGTGCACTGCCTTCATATACTTCAAACTCCTCTTGAAAGAAAGGAAATAACATGTCAAAGTGAGGAAGAGAAACGGCATAGTATAAACAGAAATAAGATGATATGTCTGGGATCTTGATGCTTTATGTCACTGTTAGTCCCCCAGCCTTCATCAGTAAGGGCTGTTTCCCAAGCCTGGGTTGAGATACTCTTCTAGGGGGAACAGCCTCTCTTCCCCCAACCACCTGTCGCCCTAGGTCAGCTGCAGCATCCCTGCCGGGGACCATGCATAGCTGGGCCATCAGGAAGCCAATGGTGGGGGACAGCTGCCTGGGGCAACACTGGGCCATAGATAAGTTCCCAGACCCAAGACCCGACCCCAGCCCCTCCTAGACAGCAGCCCGCAGCCCCGTGGCTTCCCCCCGCCCGCAGGAGAAGCCACACAAGTCTTAACAAAGGGGAGTCCCCGTGTGGAAAGAACAAATCCGACCTAAAATTAAACCTGGAGTTTTAATATAAAGAAATGCTCATGATTAGGTGTTTACAGCACCTAATCTTCAACAATTAAAAAGAAAAATGTGTGGGTGGGGTAAAAAATAGCAATACCCACACTCTGAAGTTTTGGAGAAAAACAGGAAACTAGTCTTTTTTAACCAGTGATGCCCAAAACTGGTTATTGCAAAGAGGGTTGTTTTTCTAATGCAGTGTGGTCAGCGCAGCTGCACCCGAAGTAGAATTCTGCTCATGATGCAGCCGTCTGTGGATTTCTTTAGCTGACAAACCTATAGACAGGCAGGCATAATTATCAGTTCTAACCTGGTCATTATGGCCGGATGGTGCTTGGAAAACAATTTGCACAAGTCCTGAAACCCCGTGAGAACATACAAAATAAGAGCATTTGGCGAATATGCAGTTATTTCCGGGAGTTGTGAATGACTTAGATCTAGGGGCTATACAATAGCTTATTGTAGAAGAACTGTTTGAATTCTCTTTTTATTTGGATTTTTTTTTAAGTTGACAGACAACATCTGATGGCAAATGACTTTTTTTTTTTTTCTAATTTGCTCATGAACTCAAGCTTCACTTTCTAACAGCGTTTTAGATGTTTCTACCTTTTTATTTTTGGCATTCGCTGGTTGGTGACAGTGAAGTCATGATTTTAAAATTGGGGTTACAGAGATGTTGTTTCCTGGCCACAGAGTCTCACAAATGCACTATCACCACTACGTTTCTGAACAACATGAGAAAAATGATCACAGAGGAGACCATTTGGGCAACACCTGACTAGATTTTTGTCCTTTTGAATAATGTAGAATGCTTCAGAACCCACTTGAAGTACAGTAATCCCCTTTATCTGCATTGTACCTTACACGGAAGTCCAGGTTGGTCTCGGACCAGTCACTGAGGTTTCCCCTCCACTTCCTGCTGTGGGCTCAGTGTCTTTGGGGAGCCCCTGCTAACCAGAAGTCTCCCTCACAGGTCATTTCTTTGTGTCATCTTTCTAAGGATAAAAAGGGGCATTAGACTTTTGAAAGTTGAGTGATATAACCTAGATTTCATTGCTGATTGCATTTTATGGTCTCCAAGCCAAGCATTTGGTTTGTGCATTGAAGGCTTTACGCTTGTCTGTTTGTATCAGACTTTACAGTTATCTCTTTAATAAGTAAATTACTCACGCTTCTCTTTTGTGAAGCTTGATTTCAGTGCTTGATCCAGGCAGTGTGCCTGGGCTTAGCAAGGCCCCCTCTCCAGCTGACTGCTGAGGCAGTTCCAAAAAAGGTAGTCATTACTGCTATTGATTTCTGTAGCACATCGGTCATGTTAGAATTATTTGCAGTGAGAGGGGAGTCAACTCCTTGCATATGACTTTTAGTTTCACCACCAATGTATTGTACATTGAAGTCTTCAGTATCTTTGAGTCTTCAGTGTCTTGGGGGCAGTGACCCAAGCAAGTCAAAGGAGATTCTTTTCACTTTTTTCTCTGGGAATGGCTTGGGGAGAATCCTGGATATTAAAGTGGTGCAGTAGGTGGAACTGGGAGACATAAATTCTCCTTTTCTTTTTTTTTTTAACCCCTTGCTGTCTGTTTTTTAGTGAAAAGCGATGCAGTTACCTGCCATTTCCCCCTTACCAGGATGTGGTAAAAAGTAACGAGAGAATGGTTGTCAAGCGTTGTCAAATACTGAAGACAGATATTTTATAAAGTGCCAGCTTTTACTGAAAACAAACACACCAAAAAACAACAAAACCAGCAAACAAGCATAATTTATCAGAAGGTCTCAAATTTCAGACACATTAACATCCTGGTGTTTCAGTTGGGAAAACATAGCCCTGTGAGCTTGTGATAATGTTGAACTGGCAGTAATAAGAAATAAGTGAAAGAATACTTTCACTTCTTATATATGCCTCCACCATAGTGTATTTTTAATAAGTTTGCATACTGAGATTTTGGAAATCTGTGGATACAAATATAATTTTACACTTTCATACCAGTAAAGCCTGAGTCCAACGTTGACACTCTTCCTTTTAAATGGCTCACTTAAGCATATGAACAGAAGCACTGCATAAAAAACTCAGTGGGGAGACTCAGGAAAACAGATTCCTTTCTTATTGTAGATCCATGAACAAAACCTATCTCAGCAGATAATTCAGTATAGTTGAGAGGTTCCCCAGAACTAATTTTGGTTTCTACCACGTGGTTATTAATACATTAAGTATTTGCCCATTAAAATTAAAGGCTCCTCAAATTCATACTGTTTGTGCCCATTTTGTTTTTGTTTGTGATTTTTATTATAACACAAAGACAGTTTAAAACACACTGTACTCTTCTTCTTCTGTCCTTCCTAATGATAAGATGGTGCTCTGGGGATGACGGTTACTTGTACAGAAGGTTGTAGCGGAAGAGGCCAGTGTGGAATGATTAGTCCTTTCCCTGCTGTGCACACACAAAGATTGGTCCTTCATCCTCACAGTCAGCATTTCTCATGTGGCCTGGAGCTCAGTGGAGACTTCGCCTATCAAGCTTGGGGTCAGCTTTTGCCTGTGTTCAAAAAAGTTGCTCTTGTGGGTGAACTTACCACGTGGGTGGTTCATCTATTGTAGCCCACAGACACTCCATGTGACTGGGACCCTTAATGAAGCGGGTTTCATAAGCTCCCTCTTACCTACTTTCTTTGGAGCCAATTCCCTTCTCTTTACCTTTTGGGAAGAAAACCAGCATGGTGGTGAGAACTGAAAGTGAAGTTGCAGATGACTAAGCCAAACTTTTTCTGCTTTTAGTTGAGGAAAAAAAGGACCAGAAAGAAGTTACTTAACGTTCCTTGCCCGGGTCATGGAGTCATTTGTGGTGGAGTGGACCTGAAAGCTGTGCCTGCTTTCATTCTTTTTCCTACATCCGGCCCAGTAGGACTTTTCCCTGGGGGAGATTATTGCTTTAATACTGGGTGGCTGCGAGCATTTCAGGAACGTGTGCATGTTCCTGGGTTGTCATTTGATGCTTGGGGAGGAATACAGCTGCTGTTTATGGAAAAGCTTAAGAAGCAGGATGTGGCATTGGTGGCAGGGTTCACATTCACAGAGGAGTTTGTGCAGTGCCTTCCCTGGAAAATTTCAGTTACATTCAGGTGATACCAAGTTCATCCCGTGCCCTTTCTGCCAGCCTCCTAAAGTTCGGCTGTCTTGATTGGACATCTTCAATTAAAAAACAAATGTCACACTTTGTAATTCTGAAGAATACTATGGGTTTTTTTGTAGAATTTCTCTTGGTTGAGCACGATCTTTAGGATGAAGTTTGAGTAATACAATTAGTCTAAAGGATTTTTGTTATAATCACTTGCTTAAACATCAGGAGCCTAGTGACATGTACCAAAAAGTTATTGCAGCAGAGTTACAATGTTACCGGTTTTCTTAGCTCCAGCATGGTTAGGCATTTGGAGCCAGATAAGTCTTTGTTGTGGGCGACTATCCTGTGCATTGTAGAATACTTACCAGCATCCCTGGCCTCTACCCACCAGGGTACAATAGCATACCCCTTCCCACTCCCAGTCTTGGCAACCAGAAAGAACTCCCAGACATTGCCTAGTGTCTCTTAAGGGGGCAGAATCACCCTAATTGAGAACTACCACAGGCTAACAATAAATCTGAGGGGGATGGCACAGCCACCAGCCTGAACCGGGTTTTTATGAACAACACAGAGCTTGAATTTAAGAAACCAGAGTAAGAAACAAAGACTGAGAACATTATGTGACTAAACAGTGAATATTCCCAGTCAGTGACAGAGTGAATGGCAACCCCAACCAGGGAATTCCCCGGTTGCCTTGTGGTAGGAATTCCCTTCTCTTCCTCAATTCTCTTGCCCTCAATTCTAGGACACTCCCTTTTCAAAGGCTGCTCTAGCTTCTGATTCACTTATTTTCCCTGCCCTCTTTTCTTTTCCATTCTTCTGCCATCTCTGCTGCTACCAATGCCTGGACCACCACTGCTGCCCTGACAAAAGACAAGAGCCACTGAGATTCTTCCTACTGATGCCCCTGGCCCATCTGTGTCTTGCTATTCTTACTTTGTTATTTACCTCTTAGAGTTTCACCTAGACTTTTACGGTCCTTGTAGGAAAAGGCAGTTTCATATCCTATTGACTCAATTTCTCAGTGTGACTATTTGACAAGAAGCTATGCCATCTAAGGTGGGTAGGTTCTATGTTGCTCTTATTACATTGCCTTAGGCGAATTCTAAATCAGGTTATACAGGCTTTTGAAGGGTGGCCTTGCATGCCAACCAGTATTTATGACACTGGTTTTAGAGGGAAACACATTCCAAATTTCAAATAGTAAGCTTAAAAGTGAACTGTTAGAGTATGATTCATTTTAAGTAGGAACTATTCTGGGAGCCGGAAGAACAGGTGCTAGCACCTGTTACAAGTGAATTCTTATCGAAACCACAGGGAGACCCTTTGGGTAGCCAGCTTAGAGTCCCTTCTCTACTGGGAGTGTAACTTCTCACACTAAGCCCCAGGCTCAGAGGGCAGACAAGCTGGATTAGCTAGGGTTTGCTTCTCTGATGTGGAAAAAAAAATAGATATCTGGTAATTTCCTTGGATTCCTTTTGGACATGATCTTGTGTACAAATCTGTGCCAAATGAACTTAATCTGCCAAGAGAGGAAAAGAAAAATACCTTAATCTATGGATCTAGCTACCAACTGAAGGAAGTCAATAAGAAAATAACTGGAATCTTAGCAGGTTCTAGAAAAAGTAAGAAAAGAGGTATATGTTGTACAAGTATGCAATTAAACTAAGAGAAGTTTGGAGTAATTAAAAGATAAGCACAAAAATACCTCACTTTCTACATCAAATGACAAATATTTATATCAAATTTTTCAAAGATAGGAATGTTTATCATTTTAGACTAGGAAAGATACAACACAGAAGACTCTAATACTCAGAGGGTTTTCCAGTTCTGAGTATCTTATGTATTTTTCCCCTGTTACTCTAAATTTGTCAAACTGCACAAATTGATTCATTAGATTGAGTGTTAAGTCTACCTAAACTAGAATGTGATAGTGATGGGCCAGTGACTTCTTTGGAGAAATCTCTAAAACATCTATGCTGATGAGTTTTGAAACTGGGTTCAGGGTGTCCTGAGACATCTGGGAGTTGTTGAAATAAAGTATATCTGTGGTGGATTTAAGAATTACTCTATATTTCAGGTCATGATAGGAGGGATACTTAGCTCCCAAGTTTTAAAGAATTTAGAAGAGTGCTGCCTTTCTCAAATATTGTTATGTAATTGATTATTCAGCATGCCTTTTGTTATGGGGTCCACACAGTAACAATCTATTTTCAGTGTCTGACCTTCACTAGCCCCTGAGCTCCATGAAGACAAGAATCATGGCTTATGGGAATGCACAATTGTTTGTTGAATAAATAATTGAATAAATGAGAGAAAAAAAGAGTTTATTGTGAGCATTTTATTAAAAAAAGCGAAATGCTACTTCTTGATAGAAAGATTAAATAAAGTCATTTCCCAATAATAAAGTTAAAACAAAATTTAAAATAATATAATGGACTGAAGTTTTAAGTTTGGTGGGAAATCTGTGGCTTTAAGAAGGAAGAAATAGACTATACTTTTTAAAGATAGAAAGCATGGCATGCCCTCCAAAATTAACCTAGTGGAACATGGTGTGTAAAGTCTCCCAAACCCATCAATTTTAGCCTTACTTTATAGTAATAAACACTTTTTATTGCCAAAGTAAATTAGGACAATGATCTGGGTAAAATAATGCTCTTGAGCTGGATAAGAAAGACTTTGATTTTCTTGCCAAATTTAAAGCAATGACCTTCGTTCTAAGTGTGAAAGCAGCATATCATTGTTGTATAAAGACATGAGTGAACCCCACTGAAACTCTTCCACCGTGAGGTTCTGTCATACCAGCTCAAATAGTGAGTAATCAGGAATGGTTCAATACATTAAACATTCTTTTGGCATGGTGATCCTTTTGTCAGGTCAGAATCATTATGACTAGAACTGAAAATTGAGTGCCAGTCATGGCAGGATATTTAGATTTCTTCAACCCATGTATCTTTTTACATTGCCACTATGTCTATTTTCAAGAGGGATGGTTCAGACTCAGGCTTAAAGGATTAAAAAACTCTCTCCAGCACTTACAGTGAGGCTGTAGACAAGTTCCTGAGCCTTTCGGGGCCTCAAGTCCTTTGTAAGCTAGGGTAATAATTGTACCTGCCTCATAAAAGATTAAATGGGAAAATACTCAGTAAATGTTGCTTTCTTTTATTTTTCTCTGTGATGATTGTTTCAAACTCCATTACCGTTTCTAGATCTTTCATTTCCTTAAGGTTTTCAGTAGTCAGCCCAAACTTTTAACATTCCTCTTTGTGGAAATCATAGCAGCCTAAAGAGTCTAGTTTGCCAAAACTATTTGCTACATCTTATAGAGAAATTAAATCATGCTTGGGGTGTACCTGTGTGTCTGTATATAAAAGAGCCTCAACCCTGAGTCTTACCACAGTGAAAGCAGGTGGACCCCACTCTTGGCTATGAGCCAAATCCTATTACTAGGCCTTATTGATTCCAGGCTGGCTACAGTTGCTTCCTCTTGTTGTTGCTTTTCCTTCTCACCTCTTAAGGGAGTTGGAAAACTCTAAATTCAACTTATGAAAGAATATGAAAGTGCTTCTATTATTTGTATATTTCCCAGAAACTAACCATCTAGAAGTCATTTCCTAAGTTATAAAGAAACACTTTTTTTCCTGAATTTTTCATCACATGAATAAAACTGGGTTTTCCATTATGATCATACAACACAAACCACCAGACTGTAAAACTAACATTTTTCAGTTGGGTTTCTTGCTTACTATTTTCAAAGTGACTGTTTTCTTGTCCTGCGACAGTGTTCAGGGTGAGAACCACGGTGAGGTATGACCCCAGATGGAGCAGGATGAATTAGTCATTATGTGCTAGGAGCGTGAGCAGTCAGTGAATTCTTTCAGGGTGCTTCTTCAGAAATTGTCTAGGTGGACTTACTGATAACTTATAATTGTCAGGCTTAGGAATTCCCTCCCATCTAGATGTCTGAATAAAATGTTTAAAAGTTTCTCAGAGTAGTTTGGGCAGCCTCTTTGTCATAATCATTTTCTTTCTTGCACAATTTAAACTTAGTTTTGATATTTTTCAGTGGAAGTTGTTATTATTGCATTGATTTTAAATCTGTTTCACAATAAGAGATTTAAGTGGATGATCTCTAAAGCTTTGTTCAGCTTGAAAATTATATGGTCAAAGTTTATCTTTTAGTAGTTTCATTTTCAAGATTTCCCCACAGTGTTATGCGATTCCTTATTGATTTATTCGACAGAACAGCAGCATATTCCTTCAATTAAAGACTCCCCAAATCATTATATCATCATTAGTAGTCAATTGCTGAGAATTTGAACTTTTATATTAACACAATCAAGTCATAATTATCTCTCCACTGTGGCCAAAATTTAATCCAGTAAAATATTGTTAGGACATTGTATTTTTTTTCAGGGCCATAGCTGTTAAAGGTCTCTCAACTAGAAAAATTTAAATATGCTCCAATCCCTTCCATCTTGAAAACAAGCAAACAATAAAACCAATAATCCTGATGGCTTTTCTAGCTACTACTTTACCTGTCCCAACTGCTTCACAGTTTCGACCACCTGCTTTCACGAGGAACATTTATAACCTCTTAATTTTGAAATTCAGTGACATCTTTTGGGTCTTTGACTTATTTGACCTGATTTGTGTCTGACTCTGTTTATCATTTAATTTTTTCGCCACTTGGTTCTGTGATGCTGTGGCTTAGTAGGCCTGTCTCTGTTCTCAGCCCCTTTGCACACTTCCTAGTCTTTGAGGCTTTTCCCAAAGTTCAACCCTTAAGCCACTCTCTGTAGCTTTTCAGACTGTTTTACAGAAACCCACTCTAGGCCAGGCGTGGTGGCTCATACCTGTAGTCCCAGCACTTAGGGAGGCCAAGGCAATCAGATCACTTGAGCCCAGGAGTTTGAGACCAGCCTGGGCAACATAGTGAAACCCTGTCTCTACAAAAAAATACAAAAAACATTAGCCAGGTGTGGCAGCACACACCTGTGGTCCCAGCTGCTCAGGAGGCTGAGGTGGGAGGATGGCTTAAGCCTGGGAGGTCAAGGCTGCAATGAGCCTTGATCGTGCCACTGCACTGCAGCCTGGGTGATAGAGCAAGACCTTGTCTCAAAAAAAAAAAAAAATAAATAAATAAAGAATCACTCTAGCTGCTAATGATGCTAATAGTCTTCAATACTAGTTTTTCAGTTCACATATTCCCATGGATTCTACATCTATGTATCCAAATGTCTACTTGGACATTTCTACCCAGTTGTTTCTAAGGCACCTCAAACTTAGTTTGCTCTAAAACCGAATATATTTCCTTTCAGCTTGGTTTTCCTCTTTTCCGCCTCACAAATGTCTACTGATTACTGAAGATCCACTGCAAGTGTCTCCACTGTCAGAGCTTCCTTAATAACTCCTCCTCTCTTTCCTATGGACTCTGTGGTAATTTGTACTACAGCACTTTTCATACTTCCTCCAAGCCCGGTATTCTCTAAGATCATAAAACACATTTGTGTACCTTTGCATACAGCCCAGTGCCTGGTGTGTGATAGGTGCATGGTAAATGATTGTTGAATAGGTTAACAGATGACATAAATAGCAAATTATAGATATTGAAATAGGAAAAAATAGATTTCACCAGGTAGAAAAGTGTATAAGTGGTTAGATATTAAAAAGATACTTTTTAGAGTGTTACAGAAAATAAAACAATCAGGCTTAGTGATTAGATGTAGCCTCTGGGACCTCAGAAGTGAAGAGAAGCCTCTAGTTCCTTTCATAGACTTGGGGTTGAACTGGTGCTTTCACTTGATTTAAATAGAGATCAGTTCATGGAATGGCAGCAGCAGTTATTTGGGTGACTTTTCCAGCTATTTCAAAAGCATCAGAATGGACAGAGCAGAGCCCAACTATTTGTTTCAGATTTTTTTTTTTTTGAGACAGTGTTTGGATCTGTTGCCCAGGCTGGAGTGCAGTGGCACAATCACAGCTCACTGCAATCTTAACTTCCCAGATGCAAGCAATCCTCCCACCTCAGCCACCTGAGTATCTGGGACTGCAGGTGCACCATGCTCCAGTTGAATTTTTTTTTAATTTTTATTTTTAGAGACAGAGTCTCACTATGTTGCTCAGGCTGGTCTTGAACTCCTGGGCTCAGACAATCTTCCCACCTTGGCTTCCCAAAGTGCTGAGATTACAGATGTGAGCTACCATGCCCAGCCTTTAGGAAAATATTCAGGTGCAATTCTTTCCTAAACATACTTCCTCCCTATTTCTTCTACACTTCCAAATACAGCTGTGTGTGTCAGGAAAAGAGGATATGAATGTTTTCATTTACTTAAGCAGTAAAAAATAATGGTTTCATTTACAGAAGTGATACCTTCCCCCATCCCACATCCATAGATAAGACTGTATTTGTGTGCTAATCATACCACTTTAAGTTATCTCTAAATCCACTAATATTAAGTTCATTCTTGGTGCAGTAGCTTCATCACAGTTCATTGATGGTAACATTAGAAAAAAGTTTGCTATTGGAATCCTTATGTTGTTAGGATTAGCCTCTAACTAAATGGAACAGGTATCTGGTTACCATGGGATAATCCGTTGTTAATGTTAAATATAAGAAGTCTTAGCAGTGAAGACTGATTTGTGACAGTCCTATATTTAGGATTAAGTTCTCTGCACTGTGATGCTGAACCATTGCAGAATTATGTTATATAACTGTGTTTCCTTTTGGCTTTCATAAAAATAAGAAACATGTTTCCTGAGGTCATCTTACATTGAGCAAAAATGTTAAATACATGAATAAAAATTCCACTTAGCTTTTTTTTAATATTAGTAGACTTCATGTAGATTTGTAGTCTTCATATATTTTGGAGTCTTATACTGGTTCAGTAGTCTTTTATGAAGAACAACAAACAAAACATCCTGTTTTTATAATGTTCAGCACAAATCCCAGTGGAATTATTACAGAAATAGCTGAAGTTCTTCCTATATCAGTTAGCAGTTGTTTAATTTTCATTATTTATTGTTACTCTTCAAAGTCATTTTTCGAAGTGTGACTATAACAGAATTGATTTTGTCATCAGGCACCGAAGTCCTGCTAAGTGTTAATTGCCCAGGGTTTTTATAAGGAGTTTGGAGATAACTCAAGTCCCACTACCATAGCAGCAGTGACCATTTTAAATCGCAAATATGTGTAAAACTCTTAAACTCTTTTTCGTCTTTTTTTTTTCTAACATTTCATGGCTTCATATTTCAGAGACTTAGTGGGATTACTTTAAGTGTTTGCTTATATTAAAATAAGGGAAAACCGAATAGAAAAGATGTTTTTAAAGGGTTGTAATATGGCTTTAGGACTGGTGAAAGAGCCAGAACGATGATTTGGAAGCTGAAAATAGCTCTATGTTTTATGCAATCAAGTAAAACTCTGTACCTTGGCATTCCCCGCACCAGATTAGTGAGGAATTGGAAGTGATTCCACCCCCAACATGCCATTATGGATGACACGCTGGGCTATGACAAACTGCTGGCTTAGTGGAGCATGTGCTGCTGGGAGTATAACCCTGAGGTACAGGGTGGATTAGAGTTGAGTGATCTCAACTCATATTCATTTCCTCTGAAAGGAAAACTGACCAGTCCTCTCTGTTCTAATGAGCATGTTTACAGCATGGCTTCTCAAAGTGGGGCCAGTCGCTTCAGGGGCAGAAGTGCACCATATTTCTGTTTGGTGCCAGCTTTACCTGCGTAGCCTTCACAGCACCTCATCCTGGTCCTTAAGAATTGCAGATTAAGACCACAGAACAGAGGGAGATGGATATTTCTTTTACACTCTTACAGGTTTTTTTTTCCTTAGTTTGTTTTTGATGTGTTGTTTTGCAAAACGCTGTGAAATAAGTGAGGACATAAGATGATTACTGAACTATTTCTGTTGAGCAAGTGGGTAAACCTCTCCTGGTAGAAGAATCAGAACCTCATCAGCCCAAGAGGCTGAGTCATCTTTGTGACTGAGAGGTTCATGCTTCACCTTAAGTCCTTGGTACCTAAAATGGGACTGTATGATGTGCCCTGTGAAATCAATAAAACTGTCAGGTTATAATTAACGTGTGGTGCTACTCTAATTAAACAGAATTGATGGGAAATATCTGGGAGTCTAGTAGCAATGGAACAATGATGTTTGCATTTAAATGATCTTAAGTACTCCTTAGACTTAATGCCCTATTAAGGGGACCGGGAGAATGTCACATCTCACTTAGCTGTATTGTGTTAGACAGTGGCCGCTGGCCGGGAAGGACCAGAGTGCATTAAGCTTGCGTTGTGGTGTCTGCCTTTGCAGACAGAAGATTTGGGAATGTATATTCTTTTCTTTTTTCTTTTTTTTTTTCTTCAAAGGAAATTAAATCACAGCCCTGACAGGAGAGGGTAAAATCTCTGAGAAGACCTCCCCAGTGCTTGGAATTTACAGACTCTACCACGTCCCAGTTTGCTATTGTCCTAAGGCAACACACTCCCCTGCCGCTCTCAGGCGTCTTTGGCGGCTGGCCAGCCTCCCAGGGCCTCTGGCTTTGATGTGTGGTGCAGGCTGTCCTCAGGCCAGGCTGTTGTTGCCGTGGCCTGGACTTCGCTCACACTGGATGCCAGGAGGGATGTCCTGTCTGCAATATACATTTCGACAGCCTGACAGTCCTAGTGATCGTCCTGCGGCAGGGGGAGCCTGCCTTTGTCTCAGCCACAAGTGGCTGTCCCCAGTCGCTTAGCTTTGCTGTGCTCTCTTTTGGTGTCTGCGGAAGACGAGTTTGCACCCAGCTTGTTGTCCGGGGGAGGGCCTCTCTGCCTGGGGAAGACAGCAGCTCTGCCAGGGCGCTGTCAATCTGAGGAGCCTCCTTGGCAGGGCTCTGGGGAACCGACCCGGCGAGTTGAACAGCTTCCTCTGGGGACATTGCATCGACCTTCATTTGATTTAAGCCTGGCAGCCTGGTTAGTGAGGACATCAATTCTGGCTCGGGAAATCTTCCTTAACTGAACCTTTGTTTCCACCATGGTCCCAGGCTTGTAGTTAGAAGTCTGTGCTGTTGCAAATTTAACTCTGTAACTTCTGGTAATATCCATGTGTAATTCTAAAAGCAGGTGACACAGAAACACAGATGATTATAGTGATAGGTACCAAGGAGAAAAAAATGGGACTACGCCTAATAATTAGTCAAAAGACATACGTATATATACACACACACACTTTGAAGAGAGAAAGAGAGAGAGGGAGGGAGAGAGAACTTATTGTTGATTAATTGTTTTCAGAAGAGCCACTTCAATTCCAATAAGAATCACCTCAGAGAACTGAAAGTAAACCATATCTGCTTCTAGTGTCTATGACACACCTTGCACTGTGCCTTAATAGGATTACTAATATTTCCCACAGAGGAGGAAGTCTTGCTTCTATTCTTGCAAAACCCCTCCCCCAAATCTGTCTCTTCACCAACAGTTATTTGTTTGTATTAAGTTTCATGATGTCCCAAGATTTTTGTTTGTTTTTGCTGTTTTCTTAATGTAAATGTTTTCATAATGAGAACACGTTACATTTTTGACAACCTAGCATGAAAAATCTTACCAGCTCTTTTCTGCAGTAGATGCAGCGTGCAGCCTGCAAAGACCCCATGTCCAGGTTAGGCCAGGTCACCTGAACAGGACCAGGATAGAAAGGGGAAGAGATTTGTAGAAGACACACTTCGTGGTCTCACTAGGGTGTGCCTGTTTGCATTTTGTTTATTGTTTTTGCAACCATTCATATGTGTTTATTGTTTTTGTAACCATTCATAAGTAGCAGTAATTTAGCATTCTCATATTAATATTTTTTTTCTTGTCACTAGTGAGTGTTTGCATGTGTGTGTGCATTGGATTGACGGGAGGGAAGGTGACTCTGTTGGTACATCCTGAATACTAGGATCTTGTTCGGCCCAATCGCAGTGTTACAGGTATCTTGTTAACATTCAAGCCTTGATGCTTTGAAATAGCAGTTTTGCCGTAATTCATTGCCTAAATTCTGACTTCCTTACTAAGAACAGGAAGCATAGTGAAGTTTGGTAGGAGAGAAACATACCTCGGACAGTAACTGTGGCTAAACCATAGTCATGGCATTTAACATTAATGTGAAACATAAGATTTGTAAGTCTTCCAAGTACCATTTCTTAATGCTTACAATAAGATGACGAATTTCATAGTTCCCAAGATGAAAAGATGGAAATAGAACTCAGTGAGATTACTGACCTGACTTAGGAGAGCTAAAATATTAGGTTTCTCTTTCAAATACTTCCTTCTTGCAGCTTGCAAGTATGCTCATCCCTCTGCAATTCTCTTCATTAAAAAAAAAAAGTTTAGAGATTGAATGTTTATGTTTGTATTGACCTGTGGAATCCTCAGTTGCTTTTCTGTTGAATCCATTGTGCAATACCCAACGTATTGTGGGTTGGTAGGAAAAACTCTTTTAAGATTAAAAAAAACACATAAGGTATAATTCATTAATAATTTCATTCTGTTTCTGGATATGTTTTCTTCCCATTGTCAGCCAGTGTGGGAGGAAAGAGAAGAATGGAAGAATATTGCTGGAGTTGAGGGTGTTGTGTGGGTATGTGCCATCCGAAAGTATGTTACAGGAGAAAAAAATTCTTTTTATAATAAAAGTAAAATTCAAGTACTCGAAGTAACAGAAGATTATTAAATCTATTGTAGTGAAAAGTTATGATTCTAATGCTCTGAAAGTCTTAATCATTAAAGACATATGTTAACCAAAGGCATACATATGCATAAATATATGTACAAAAATGGTAATTTTGTGCTCCCAGGCTCAAACCTAAAATGTCATTCATAACACTATTGCTGCTGCCAATGGAGAAAATTTGCATAAGACTAAGGCAAAACTACCCATTCTTTCCTGTCCTGGAATAGAATTATAATTTCCAAACCGACAAATTTTAAACAAGGCCAGAGTTTCCTTTCACCTGGTTCAAAGTGAATTCTGATTAAAAGCTTCCAATGATAATATCTATAACCACAAAGCAGGCTCACCGTAGCTTTCTCTTGTGGGAACTCTAGGCTCTCCCTTCTAGAATTGCCCTTAGTGGTGGCCTGCTCTTTCTTTCTCTACATCCACCCCTTCCCTTAACTTGGGGCTGCACACGTCCAGCTTGCTCTATGAAGCCATTTGCGACCACTCTAGTCCCCACAGAACTCTTCCTGTTCTCAACTCCTATTATCCTTAGAGTCTTTTTCACACATTTAGCTTTTATTTTTTTAAAACATACTTTTTTTCTGTATTAGCTCAGTCACCTGTTATGTACTTTATTATAACAACTGGCACAGGTAACTAGTAAGTGTTCTTAATTGGTTGATTGTGATTTCTGGTGTCTGGCTATTAGGAAACTATTGTTACAGACTACAGTCTTGCTTCTCAAAGTGTAGACCAGCGAACTTATCACCTGGGAACTTTGGGGTTCCACGTAGACTTTCGGAATCAGAACCCATATTTTTAACAAGCTCCCCTGGTGACTCATCTACATGTGAAAATATTATAAAGCACTGCTGAGGAAGGTCCCTCTCTTGGGAAAGGGTAGAGGCCCTATAGACATTCAGCTTTCCCTTCGTGCAAGTGTTTTCCTGTTGTGATTTAGGTATCTGATCGTAGCAGACAACAGCTTGCTCTTACTGTAACTACGATGTTGTCAGTTTCATCTTTACACAGAATGAATCATGTTTAAATGTGGCCAGGGGGCTCTGTCTGAGGTCACCAGGACTGTATTTGTATTCTGATTCAAGACAACCACCAGATCCTAATCACTAATATCTCTTTAAATGGCCTTTAAAAAAAAATCTTATACTAAGAAGCAGAAAGTACGATTTCCTTTTCCTTAGTTACTTTTTTTTTTTCACTTAAAGTGCTTACACCCACTCAGCTTGCTATTTTGAACTCTGGGAAAGAAAATTTGTGGGCATCTTGCAGTCTTTCAGGAAACAAGGCTTAAATTAAATATTTGCCACATTTTCTACGTGGTTCTTCAGGAAAGTGGAGAAGCACATCACTCCTTCTTTCACTCGACTTGACAAACTTGACACATAGTGTGACTTTCAAAGTGCGGATGGCAAACAGTTTCAGTTCTTATTTGCCTATCTACACACAGACGTTCAGGTCTTTTTTTTCTTCCCATTTTTTCTTTTTGTCCTTCTCTTCCCTTTCAGTACAGAGTCTAGAATTCTTCATGTACCATATCGGTTATGTAAACCATAAGATTCCTTGAGAGTACCTAGCTTTGTGAAATCAAGGAAGATAACACGTGGATTTAGTTAACATGCACAACAAAATTTAGACTATTTTCAGTCAAACTTAGGTTTAACATATTTTATTTATAATTTTAAGTGATTTGTATTTCTGCACTTTTTCTCTATCTTTGAACTCAGAACTGTTTCACAGATAGCAGAAATAAGAGACAATGGTGGGTGGAAGGGAAGGAGGAGGGCTCTAGCTAGCTGAAGCCATTCAGCTGTGTTTTAAAGGAACTCAGGGCTTTGTCATGTAAATATTCTAAGGAATAGAATGGTTACATGAGATATTATTTTGTGGTGGTGATATTGTTTACATGCAGTTTTAATTTCATTTTGGTCAAGGAAATGAAGATATTTTATTTAAGATAGGATTTTAAGTACTTGTCTTCTATTTAATCAGCATTTTCCGGCATGTAAAGGAAGTGATTTAGGGAACCTTGTGAGGAATTCACACAATTTAATTGCTGGACATGAAGAATGAAGTATTTCCAAGCAAGTGAAATGGAAATGAGGAAAGACAGAGAATCAGGAGACTTGCAGAATATAAATGTCTATTGAATATAAATGTTAAAATGTCGTATATGTAGAGATTCATAATAATATGCAATTTTTTTAAACATGGGACAACAAAATGTTGAAAAGATGCATATGTATATAATTCAACTCAATTTTAATCAGACTGCTAATGGGAATATTCTGAGTATGACTGAATATGGAGGGCAAACAGTACACTTAATTAAATAATATAATCTGAAAAAATGGGTGAAAATTTCCCACATATACTCATGCAGAAAAGAAAATATCGATGAACATTTGAAAAAAGAAAATGAAGAGTAGTTTCTAGCTCTACCATGGATTTGAACATACTACGAAACAACAGTAATTAAAACTAACACACACACACACAAAGTTCATGTGATTATGCACATGAAAACGACCTAACACAATGCCAGTCACATCATACTGGCAGTCTGAACAAAAGTTCCATTTTAAATATGTGGATTGATGTAACTAAAGGGTGAGCCCAGAAATAGACAAATTATAATACAACATAATAAAGCAAGCTTATAGAAAGATGTGTGAGGAAGGAAAACTTAGTAAATAGTATTATGGATAATTTGGAATTGGTCAGAACTATCTGAATACATACCTTATGCTATGGATCTAAATATATGCCTGATATATTAAATGGTTAAAACAAATTTACAGGAAAAAATGTATAAAAAATTAATATATATTACATAAAGGGTCATTTAAGTTCATAAGAAGAACTATGACCTAAAGGTAGTCAAATTATGTGAGTAGATACATTTTATATTAGAGGTGAAAGACAATAAAATAATTTTTAAATAAGAGAATAATTATGGTCACCATTAAAATAAAAATGACACCCTTAAATATCATATTACATTAAATAAGCCTCTGAAAAGAAATTTTAATTACATGCAATGGTGAGGAAGTTTGGTGAAAGTAGAATGCACATCTACTGCTGGTGGCTTTGTAGATAATTTCAATCTCTTGAAATCAATATGGCCATAAATATGAAGTCCATTATAAACATATTTTTGCCTTTCAATTTGATAATCCTATTTTTGAGAATATTCTAAGAAAAAACAGTATTGGTGGTACTGAAAATTAGTGAGAACATTTGAAATGTTGCCACATATAGGAATGATGAAGGAAATGACTTTATGTTAGCTTTATGGAATATCATATGGCTAGTAAAAATGAAAACTGAATTTCATGGAAATAACATACTTACGAAATGTTAAATTAAAAAATCAGAATACACAATTATATGTGCATTATGAGGACATCTCAGTGAAAATATGCTTACATGGGGACAAATAATAGATTAAAATTTTTAAAAATGAAAAGATTGTGTTTGGGTAATGGGATAAATGGTGTTTTTCTGGTTAAAAATGTCATCAATGTTTTAAGTGTTTATAAGGAAAAATAATATTAAAAATATTAAAATAATAATATTTTAATAAAATATTAAATATTAAAATATTTAATATTAAAATAAATAAAAAAATATTAAAAAAAAAAAAATAAATAAGGATAGCTGTACTAATTAGCCACAAGGGGAGGGCTTTTCAAGAGTCACTTTGAAACCCTACAAAATAGTTAAGATGTCTTGGGCGTATAACTTGTCAAGGTATTCTTGATTTCCCTATTTTAATTGGCCACTTCTCCACTGGGTTTGTGAAGAGACGAGTTGATTGTAACCATGATGAAGGGGGTACTCTGGAGACCGTGGTATTTGAGGTCTGTTCTCTCTCACTCTGAACTCATTACTCTCCCCTTTTCCTTCCCATCCTAAGCTGATAAGCAAGTTTAACATAGTTGCTGTTCAGTAAACTCTTGCTAGCCATGATTGAATTTTTGCCTATGAGAGGCACAGTGGCTCTACGATGCAAAGGGGAAAACAGTAGAATAGTATTCAGGAAAACTGCTTCTAGTTGCATGACCTTTTGCAAGTGACCTTCTGGGCTTCAGTTTCATTGTCAATGAAAGGAGAGTGTTTGATGACTATTAAAAGAGTTATTTAGGTCTATAGAGACATTATGATACACAGGCTTACTCGAGAGTGTGGTTGCTACTCTAGAGGGCTCCTCAAAAAGCTCATTTACTGTGATCAGTATTGCAACAGTATGATCAATTCAACTGCTCCCAGGGAGTGTCCTGGTGAACTCAGGGAGCATGGTTCCTGTGTACTACTCCCGGTAGACCACTCAGCTAGAGAAAGTCACTCAAGCCCAGCATTGTGTGTACATCTGATTTATTACATGCGAATAACTGAAACAAACCAATTGGTGACAAGCATGATCAAATATTAGCTAATGATAAATTGCTCCATTGTTTAGACCATGTAACATATAACTGAAATACAAAGGTCAGATGTCCTTAGATTTTCTGATAGAGCCAAAAAACACTAAGAGTCCCTCCCCCAACCCCCAACCCCTGCCCAGGTTGGTAAGGCAGGCAATACAAACAAATTAAAAGTAAGGAAGTTTAGAGTCAGTGACTTTCATCAGGTTATAAAATTATTTGAGGTGTTGCACTGCTGTATGGTGTAGCGATTGTAGGCCATTTACCATCGTGTGTTTATTTTCCTTTCATTATATGTGGTTATTTTTAAGGAAGTGAACATTTCTAAATAAATATTATATTGTGGTTTGTACGCGAGGCTTACCTGTTGCACAGGCAACAGATCTGCTTCTTCTGGGCTAATCAGTACAGTCATTTAGCTGAATCATCCATATGGGTGACTAATATATTTTGTACTTAGTGCTTTTGAACTTTGATATGAGGTGTCCATTACTACCACTTTTAGGTACTCTATGGGAACACTGAAAAATTCCTAAGTAGATTGAAGTCACTGACCACTTAGACAACCAGTTAGAAATGAGAGCATAGTTGCTGCAATACAGGTGAAAAACCTTTTAACATATTGCTTAATGACTGGTTGTCTTAGGAAATGGAAGACCTCTTACGAGGCAAGAATTACATAATTTTAGAAAACAATACCCTACCTAAGAAATGAAGAGGGACTGAAAAAGACTTTTGCGTAAGTCAGTTTTACATTGTACATCGAGAAATCAATGAGAAAGGATTTTTAAGAATCTTGAAGTTTGTCCTGCATCTTGAAGGGAGTGCCCTACCTCTTTCTTGGAAAGTGACTAACAGAAAGAAAAGTTATGCTAGCTTCTGCACGAAACCATCCTGGGAAGTATTGAGAAGTGGTATTATGAAGCTAGCTACCAAATATTATTTGAGAGAGGCTTTGTAACTTTTGCATAAAATGTTAGGAAAAGTACAGAAATATTTTCGCCGCTCTAGATATTCAAATGCGAAAAATGTGTGTGTTGAATCATTTTGCAGTTCATTGTTCAGGTGATTGTGTTTGTTGATTCAGTGTAATTTTAAATAACCAAACCATTTGACATTTGTCTTGTCATGTTTATGGCAAGAACCCTGGAATAAAGATTATTTATCTCTGTTAATGAAGAAGTCTTTTGAGACCATGTCCAAATGAGTTTCCTAAATAATTGTTTCTTGAATAGCAGTAAGACTAGAATCTAGACACAGGTTTTCTTGAAAGTGAAAACATATTTCCCATGACTACATGGATTTCTAGTTAGTATGTATAGTTACTGCTATTTGTCTTCTCTATTGTTAGCAACATCTTTTGTTTTGTTCTTTTCTGGAGCAACTACCTTCTAATACTAGTGGATAACATCTGTTTCAACCTTTATTTTTTAATACTGAGATTATCAATTAATTTTGTTAATGTGGTTAGTGGGTTTGGGGGAGTGGCAGTGCATGGCCAATTTCAAATTGCACAATTAAAAAATCTTGTGCTTATGGCTTTGGAATAAGTTTTTGAACTTTCACTTGAATATGATTGTGTTTGATGTTCAGAGACTTTTTGAAATATTAGTATGTTTGAACATACTAAGTCTACCTTGGGAAGACCTAATTTGGGAGTAGCTAGAAACTGTCCAATTTTCTATTTCACTCTTCTGCTCAACCCTCTAGCATTCATTTTAGGCTCTCTCTCTAGTTAAGTTAATGCTTGCTTTCTCTCAAACTTTCTCTTAGAGCTGAGATAGTAATTTAATGTTTGAAATTCAGGAAAAGTGGTTCTACTGGCAAAGTGAATGGAATAAACCAATATTATTTATAAATAATAATTAAGCTATTTGTGAGTCCTTAGGAGAGTAAACACTTTCTGTGGAGACAAGGTGTAACATTCTCAGAATGATTTGGAAATCCATGCCAGTGAATTATCTCCAAGACTTCTTGACCATTTTTATGTTTAAATGATCTGTCTAGATATTAGTTTCTATTTCTCAACAGAGATTGCATGTAGCTAGGGCTTAATGGCTTTCAGGAACTGTCACCTACAAATTTTCATTGCATAAGTAAATTAGAAGAATCAATGAGTATAATTCCAAAGCAATAAATTGCATTTTCCCCCATCTCTAATTTTAATGTCTTAACTGACATTGTATAACCATTATTTCCACCTGCCAATAACAAACTCTTCTGTTCTCACACTTTGTTGTATTCTTTTATTGTTTTCTCTATGCTTGAACATTCATTTTACCCCAAACTGGAAAATTTAACTTAATTCCTAGACGCTTTTGTTGTTTGATAGCTTTAAGTAGCACAGTAACGTAGGAAAAGATAGTATAATATCATAATACTCTGGATTTGATTTTTGTGTTATTAATGTATAGCTCCTATAATCACGCTCCGGTTTAAATGTAGTTCTTTGTTTTTTTCTCATTAGGTGGAGCCTTTGAATTTTTTAAAAGACCATAGTAATCAGATCTACTTGAAAAATTAAGTGAATTGATTTGGTTGGAATGCTCTTTTACCGATGCTTTAACATACAGCCACTAGGTAAGTCAAGCCAAGTGCTTTCTATATGGTTTGATTTCAAAGTTATTGGAAAGATTCCTCAAGCACAATATTAAATGAGCTTTATGTGAAATTTTGACAGTAATTATTTGAGGCTCTTGAAACCTGTGATAGATGTTTTGGATATTATCTAAATGAAAATATTCATACTTTATTGCATTTCTGGAAATGTCTGATTTTAGCTGAAGATTAGAAAATGTTGTCATTTATAGTTCGAAACCAGATTATTTTATTTGATGTATTAATGATGATTTGCTTATTATAATCTTGAAGTAATGTAAAAATATCAGATTTTACTTTGAATAAGGTTTTTATATGTAGTTTTATTGCATTTTGTCAGATTCACATCTAAGATGTAATGAACATTTGAAGTAAATTAGCATCTTTCTGTATTTTAAACCATTCTCATTTTATAGAAATCATGATTTCTGTAATAAGAATAGAAATCTTAAGGAAGGACTTGATGGATTCAGCTTCCTTGTTGCACTGTGCTGCTGTGGAAAGCTCCTGAGGTTGAGAACACATTAGTTACCAGGAGGAGTTTAGGCTTTTAGCAAATTATTGGTGCTGCCAAGACAGAATTTAGTGGGAACAGGACTTTGGCTACTGTTAAAATGTCAGTATAGTAAAGCCTGCTCTGTCAAACAGATTTTTGGCATCAGAAATTTATATGATACTGATTTTAGGGCTTGGTAATTTTTTTAAAAAATCCAAGCAAACTCATACTTTAATTAACCCTTTACACAGTAAAGAAAAATTGGAAAAAAAAATTGTATTCCTAATTTAGGTCACAAGATTTGAATTTCTGAAATTCTAAATGTTATTCATGATTCTAAAATTGTACAGCTTGTTACTTAATTTTCCTCCAAATAAACTGGAGCTATTTTAAAACCTGATGACTGATAACGAACAAGAGAGGAAAGTGTCTAATCATCTGGGAAGACAGCTTCTAAACTAAACCCACTAATAGTGTCTGCTTTACCTGTGAACATCTTAAGACAAGATGATGTCAGGTGGTTTTTTAGCGATAGCGTTGTAGTTTATGTAGTGCCAACAACTGCCCTAAGCTTTGTCTAAAATAATCTCCCTTTGTCTAAAATAATCTCCACTGCCTAAGAACTTGATATGCTAGTGTAGCTTTTGAGCATCCAGTGAGTGTAGAAATATCAAGTGTGGACATTCCAGAGACCCCTTTTCATTTGGCCCGTAAGGTTCATGGTTCAGTCTTCATTTGCCACCAATAATTTTCATTGTTATGGGCACATGGTGCTGTTTGGAAAAAGTTTTGGATAATTAAAGGGATATGAGGCAGTTAGATGAAAAACCCATTAGGAAGACATATATTTAAAAGTGTGAAAAGCAAAGCCTTAATTTTTTCAATAGCTATAATAAATGTTAGAAGATGAAATTAATAATCTGAACCACTAACTTAAATGTCTTTATTTGCAACATTTAATTTTCCATCTACTCCCAAGTTTGGCTTTTACAGTTATTTCCAAAGTATCCTAAGTGTTAAGTGACATTTAAATTGGTGGTACCTAATTTAAATTATGTTCAAGCGACTGTTTTATCAGTGCCTCCTGAGAATGGACATGGCCTGGACATTGAGTGCAGATGGCCTCCTTGTGTATTGCACTGTGAGTTCTGGACTCCTCTGGTTGAGTCAGCTCATTGGGGTCACTGTGCTTTGTAACAATTGTTTTGCATTAAATAAGGATGCTGCTTAGTTCATAAGGCTCTATGAGGATTAAATACCTGGCAGGTACTAGGAGTTCACAGTAGTGGTTATGATGATGGTGATTAATAGGGGTAATAGTCATTGCAGTCACTGGTTAAATGTAACCAGAATTATATTTCATCTATCACGTGACTGATTCTTTAGCCTGTCAACATGGTCTTTACTCAAAGAGCTAGGTATATTTTCTCAATTAAATCAAATACTTCTTTTGGTAAGGAAGGACTTCATATGGAATCGGTAAGCATTTTCGTGATGCATATGGAATACATAATCAGCAACCTCTTAGTGACTTTATCAGTGAACCTGGCCCTGTGCATTAGCCCAAATGAGGGTTTTTTTTTCAATGTAACTTTTTTTACAAATAATAAATTTTAAAAATGTGCCCAACTCCTCCCACCACAAATTGGTAGTAAATAGAAAACAGTTTGCAAAGTAAGAAAGGAACATTCTCATCCACACAATATTCTTCCTTTTATGGTACTTTTTGAAAAGTTAGTACATACAAATTATTATTATTTTTTATAATAATATTGCTTTGCATGTCCTGGCATTTTCCTTCAAGCAGTGAATGTTTTTGACTGGTCTTGACATTATTCATTTTAAAGTGATATTAGCTGGAGTCTGGGCTTTTAAACACATGGGTGATCAGATTTATATGCTGTCACTACATTGGATATATTTATTTAGGAATTATGTAAGTGATATTCCTTCCTAAAAAAAGAAGGTGAAAATTATTAAGACTCTCATAAACTTGAAAATATTGGGTTAAAGAGCAGTAATTAATTTGCTGATAATTATACAATTATTACTGTTAGTAATTTCTGGAGTCAGACATCACTGAAGTCTTACTTTAAATTAGGAAGTCCAAAATACATAATTCTGTGTTCTGTGGAAATTGCTATATTTTGTGATTTCCCCAAACCTTTTCTTCATCTGTTTATCTCTCCTTTCTCTTTGATATGCCTTTATATGTTTTTTCTTATTATTACTTATACCAATTAGGAAAATGAAAAGGAAGAAAACCCTTTTAATTCATTCTATTTGGATACCTTTTAGCTGGTCTTATAACGATTTGATAAGGTTGCAAATTAGATTTGCTATCTGTTATCTCCGGGTGTACTATAACTTCTGCTATCACAGATCATTCAGAGTAGACCTTTAAGTTTCAGTATATTGTGGCCTTCAAAATGTTTCCTATTATACAGGACTTCCTTTTATATTTTTATAGCTCTTCAGATGCATACAAGTCTTCTGTTTGGTTCCTTGTATTTTGAGATAACAGAAGAGGCTATCAGTATTTATGTTTGAGTATTAATATTTACAAACTGATGTGAAAATGTGGACTCTTATGTATGCTCTACATTTCTTCTGGCCTCCTTACAAAGACTGCCCTTTGTTTTGCTATTCTAGCTTAGGTGAGTGGAGCCCAGTACTGTTAGCTTATTTGAGCTACATGGCTTCATTTTTCCAAAATTATTTTCTTATTTTTTCTTATTCACAATTTGACTCTTCCTGCTTTGTTTTTCAAGTATTTTACCTGGTTATACCTTCATTCGTTCATGCATTTAATAAGTTTTCATTCACATATTCATCATTCCATCAGTAAGTATTAACTAAACCAGTAGTATGAGCAAATCCCATTTTGTTCCACAAGCATGCTGCAGCCATCTGAAACCCTGACTGAAGGCTTCTTTCATATCATTTCATAGTATTTCCTTCTGTCTATCCTTCCTGTCTCCTTCAGTTTGCAGTATAGGATGGCTGTGTGAAGGAGCCTCTCATTTTTCACTCTCCATGCAAAACCTACACAGTGAATCTTAGTGACTGATCATATGCCTTGTTTCTATGATGGCATGAATTAATATTTGTGTAATGACTTACTCTCTGTCTGCAAATGGCTTCCATGTACATTATCTCATTTGAGGCAATAGCTATTATGTAGTTATTACTCACACTTTATTTTGTGTATAAGGGACCGGAGGCTTCATGGTGGGGGGGTTGGTTTTAGTTGAGTAATTTGCTTAAAGTCACAGCACTAGTGAGTCATAGAACCAGAATCCAACTCTGTTTCTCCCATTTTTGGCTAACATGTCAGTCACTACCAAGTCACCAGTCTAGTTAACTGGCAGTGTTCAAATGTTGGAGCGTTGTGGATGTGGCCACTATGTTCTTTTTATTATGACTGACATAAAGAAATAGAAGCCAGCCGTATCAAAATCTGGGGGCAGAGTCAAATCTTATACTTTTAGGGAATCTTGAGGTAGTCCAAGGAATAAAATGCTGTAGAAAGATGTGGACTGTAAATTTTCCAGACCTCTGTCAGTTATCACCTTCTGGAAACTGAAACCTGATGATACCAATTGTTAAGTTTACCCAATCACTTCCCTGATCTGAGAATCTCATGATTTCCAAGCAATATCCCTTGTGGATCAAGAATGGCCTCTGGAGTTCCGGTTCCCTTGGCAGTTACAGTTTTCACTATAAATCCTTTAATTGGATATTGGACAAAATCCCCCACATAGAGATCTTTATTTTATGTTTGAATCTGATATCACATTGATGTCTCACCCATGAATTGCCAAGAGAAAAATTCGCTTTCTTAATCGCATTTTCTACCTCATCTATTATTTGCATTTTGGGTTAATGCACTTTACTGACGTCGGAGTCTGGTTAATAATTTTATTGTAGTATTACTTCTCTTCATGTTTGAGCTCCTTTGCCCGCATCACCCCTTAACAATTTATACTTCTCTCATGCCACTTTTTGTATGCATTTTTGTACTTGCACTTTATAATAAAGTAATTTATGTGAAGTTTTCCTGTCATATGCCTGCACTGTAAATTGCTTGTGTCTTCTTTATTCTTAAAAATGGTGATTGAAAAAATAGTAGACATTTAATAAATATTTGTTGGGTTTAATAAAAATAATTGCTTGTGAGGTTTTTTTTGTTTGTTTTTGTTTTTTGTTTTCTGTTTTTTTTTTTTTTGAGACAGAATTTCACTCTTGTTGCCCAGGATGGAGTGCAGTGGCACAATCTCGGCTCACTGCAACCTGTGCCTCCTGGGTTCAAGCGATTCTCCTGCCTCAGCCTCCCTAGTAGCTGGTATACAGGCACCCACCACCATGCCCAGCTGATTTTTTGCATTTTTAGTAGAGATGGAGTTTCACTATGTTGGCCAGTCTGGTCTTGAACTCCTGACCTCAGGTGATCCACCCACCTTGGCCTCCCAAAATGCTGTGATTATAGGTGTGAGCCACTGCACCTGGCCAAGTTTCTGTTTTAAAATTCACTTTGGGGACTGAAAATCGATACCTGGACACAGGTTTAATTTTAATTATATTTGTGAGATGAATCTGCAAGTCTGATACCTATTAAATATCCAGAGCCAGGTCATGAATACAAATTTATGAATTTTGTAGTGCAAAAATTGCTCTTAAAGTAAAAGAGTAACAAACCCCTTCCCCACACAGCAGAACAAACCTAAAAACCCCTACAGTCCCTGACCAGGAGGTCTCATTCTCCTTGTTTTGACTATGGCAACAAAAATAATTGACCTCTGAAAAAATTTAATGAGATAAATTACATGTGGCCTCTGACTATGAGGGATTCCTGTGTAGTGTGAAGGCAAAGCACAGCTGACATTGACTGCAGGACAAAGGGGCGTGGGAAGCCCATGAAAACCTTTGAGCAGGAGAGCACTGCACTCAGAGCTGCGCTTCAGGGAGATGGGTCGGGCTGGGCCCTGTTGGATGGCGGGTGAGGTGGGGTGGGGGGCAGCAGTCACTGCAAGCATAGAAGCCACTTAGGAGGCACTTCCATGAATTCAAACAAGAGCTGTCATCTCATGTTGTGCCCTGTATGTCCTCCCACGCTTACATCACAGATGAAGGCACTGCATCGCAGACCTCAGTGGAGACTCGAATCCCAGGCTGAGGAAGTTCTTTCTGATTTCCTCCCATATCCCCCTCAGCTCCTTACTTCTCAGGTTTTGCATCATGGTGCCCTTGTGGCTGCGTTCCACTCAAATTGTTTTTCTTAGGACCCTCGACCCTTCCACGGTTCACTGCCTCTGAGAATTGTCCCTGGATCCCAGGCACGCAAGGGCATCAGGCCTGGATCTGGCCTTTGGCACTTTGCCATTTGTACCCAGAGTACTTGCTGGTCTCCTGCCTACTTTGTGTGGTGGGAGATCAGACCGGTGTGAGAGTCTGGTTGGAGGGTAGTGATAAGGATTGACAGGCACTGGCTGTATGAAGGAAAGTATGCAGGACACCAGCATAGGGGCTGCCTGATTGGGTCTAGGGTGAGCTTGTGTGGATGTGCATGCATTCTGGGGGTGGGTAGCAGGAGGAAGCGGTCAGTGATGACCCCAGGCTTTGAGCTTTGGAGTTTGAATATCACTTTTAATAGAAAACATGAGGTAAAGAGAGAAGCTGGTTTGTCTAGTAGTGTGATGAATTTGATTGTGTACCAGTTGAGTCTGATATAAATATAGATAAAAAGCATGTATTTTATAGTACTTTACTTTTCGTTTTTCATGAGGGTTTATAGTTGGAAACAGGAATTCACTGGAAGACTTCATCATCTTCCTCTTTTTGCTGTTTTTTTTCAGCTCCTTAAATATTTCCCAAGAGTTTAGGATGATTTTAGGTTTTCTTAACCTTCACCCTGCCAAAATTCCCCCACAAATTCACCTCCTCAGGAACATGTGTATGTGTCAGAGTACTCTCAGCAGCCAGAAGTGTGCCTCCCAGCCTCTTAAAATAAAAACATACAGGAAAAATAGCTATCTTTTTCTTTTGAGGAGGGTGATCATTGCCATCTCACGACTTGCTGAAATAGCACAGCAAAGAAACATTTTTTGGCAGGCTGGAACATCTAGGGAACGCGCAAACACATGCACTTCTCTTTTTCTCTGATGTGTTTCATTGATTGAGGCAGTCTAGTTCGGGGAGGCAGGGGGATTTTTAATTGAGCTTTAAAAAAAAAGTACTAGGCATTTGTATCTAAAGTTACTTTTTCAATTGGTGGTATTTCTAACAACAGAAAACCTTAGTTTCTTAAATTTGATGGTAGCAGTGAGTTGATTGGTTCCAGTGTAATCTTTCCCATCCCCATCCACTGAGGAGTTTTTGAATTTCAGAAGAGATACTCTTGATTAAATCAGTTTAAGAGTATATAATGATACTGTAATTATCATTTGTCATTACCTTGTGTACCTAATGATTAAAGCAAACATTTAATAACTATAGGGCAGTAAATACATTTTAGATCTTGAGCCATAAAAAGATTTCCATTAACAGAATGTTTTGTGCACAAATAAATTATTCATTGGCTGTAGCAGAGCTTGATTCTGTCATCATCCTTAAGTGGAAATTTTGAGGACACCAATCATCACAGATGCCAACACTCAGTTGGCTTGAGCCCCATTCTTCTTACATGGAACCTGAGCTTTTTTGGCTATTTTTAAAAGCTTTAGTTCATTTAAACTCAATGAATATTTATGGCATTTCTGCCATATGCAATGTAGTGTTTTGGTGCTGTGGAGGAATACAATGATGAGTAAGTCTGCATTTCAGCCTTCAAGTTGCTTATAAACCCTACCTAAAATAGAAATCGGACTAGTACATACCTGACTTGGATATAAGAAAACTTGTACTAGGGTCCTCAGAGATGTATAAATAAAATGTTTTGTGAAGAGAAAGAAATCGTATCAATTTTCTTATGGGTTTGCTTGGGTAGAGGGCTTGGGGAGCAGGAAGTATTTCCTGAGGACAGCTTTAAGGATGTGCAAGGTTTTGATAGGTGGCGAGAATGATATTCACCTACGTAAAGTGTTGGGATGGATAAAGTTGGGGTGATTATGGAAGGAAAAGTCATATGGTATGTTTGGAACATAACATTGGTAAGCGAAGAGGAGACATGAAAGAAGAGGAAGGGAGGAACCGAGAGACCTAGAGAGTATAGAACGTCTGGAATGTAATTAGCACATCAGTTTGGTAGGCATTAGAAAAACTTTACCCACTTTTGAGCTAAGGAATCACATGATTGGGTTATAGTTTGAAAGATTAATCTGCTCACCACAGATGGCATCACCAAGAAGAACTGGAAAACCTGGAGGGAGGCAAATTAGGAAGCTATTGGGATAGTCTCCATAAGAGGTAGTAAAGTTCTGAACTAGGATGACCATAATAGGAATATAAAGAGGGTTTGGGAGAGATACTGTAGATGAATATTCTATAGGCTTTGGCTTGGGATTGGCTATGAAAGGTGGGAAACAGGAAGCAGTTAAAGATTCAATTTAATATCTGTTGTCAACTTTTAAATCAACCAACATTTATGGAAAGCCAGCCATGTGCAAGACATTGTGCTCAGTATTGAGAGAAATAAGAATGGTCCTGTTCTCAAGTAGCTGAAAATTTAGTTGGGGATATAAAATATGTTCTCAGGCCAGGTGCAGTGGCTCACACCTGTCATCCCAGCACTTTGGGAGGCCGAGGCGGGTGGATCACGAGGTCAGGAGTTCGAGACCAGCCTGACCAACATGGTGAAACCCCATCTCTAAATACAAAAATTAGCCAAGCATGGTGGCATATGGCTGAAATCCCAGCTACTGGGGAGGCTGAGGCAGGAGAATGGCTTGAACCCAGAAGGTGGAGGTTGTAGTGAGCTGAGATCGCTCTACTGCACTCCAGCCTAAGCGAGAGCAAGACTCTGTCTTGAAAAAAAAAAATTAGCTCAACTAAAATCCAAAGCAGGCCATGATTAGTGAGATAATGAGAGTTGAGCAAAGATTATGAGAACACGAGAGAGTGGCATTAATTCTGACACTGCAAAAGTGGGGAAGTTTATTGGGGGAAAACACTTTGTCTGGGCTTTGAAGATCAGATAAAAGATTCCAAAGTACTTTAACTGTCAGAAATGTAGCTGGAAAACTAACAGAGGCAAGTCTCAAGGAAGCTAAGGGAGGAGGAGCTCGCTGACAAGAGTAGCTCTTACTTATTGAGTGCCTAGGGTATGTCAGATCTTGAGCTTAGAGCTTTATATTTAAGGGAGTGTTCAGCGTATCATGCCGCAAAGTCATCACCAATGTTGTGATCTAAGAAAGGACCAATGGATTTGGCAATTTAAGAATGCTGTGTGAATTTGAAGAGGTTTCAGTATAGAAATATAGCTGAAAACACAGCAAACACAGGATGAAAACATTCTAAAGGTTATTACTTATCTTGAGTACATAAGTACACCAGTGAGGAAAAGCCTGCACTGTTTCTGTGACTTCTCCTTAATGGGCAAAGTTTATATAAGCCTCAGAAGATCTTTATGCTTGGGTTGGTCTTAGAGGTGTCATTTGAGAATGTGCTAGTCCTGTGAAGTCTTTGCACACTTTAAAATACTGCAAAAATGTTAGGCTCCCAGATTATTTTCTTGCAATTAAAAGATCTCCACACTTACTACCAGCTTTCCTCCTCCTCCCTGCTACCTCCTTCCTCCTTCCCACTCCTTCCCTTTGGGCACCAGCTGATAATGGTGAGCACACTTGCCACACCCTTGGCTTAGGGTCAGGGAAGTCCTCGGGCTCTCCTTGGCTCTTTTCCCATCTGGAGGGAGATTTCCATGGAGAACAATCCAGGGAAGTGCGTGCACGTGCGTGCGCGCACACAGACACATACACCAGTTCTTTTCCTGTCCTCAAGGATATTTATGTGCCAGTACATAGACAAAACACACAGTCATATGCAGGCGTACTTTGTCACACCCAGCCTGAGGAAACACAGGGCAGGGGTGCAATATGCTAGCAGGAGGTGATAGGGATACTATTAATAATTGAAACTTTAGGAATAATAATAGAGCTTGTTAAAGAAAAATTCAGAAATTGCTTTGTTAAGATGAACAGCCTATTATTATAAAATGTAAAGGGGTGAAATTTATATCATGGTTATGTTTAGTTGGTTTTTGTTTTTTCAAGCAATTATATAGCCAACCGGGCTTGATAAAAGAACTTTCACAGAGGTACCCATATTATTACAAAGGGGTATTTTAAATTGTATCAAACCATCCTATAATTTAACAGGAATAACAAGAGAGAAATTAACAGGAGTAGTAGAATGGAAGAAGAAGCAATTGCTCCTAAACCCCACAAAGGCACAAAAGTACATGAGTATGGAGAGTGAGCGTGTTTACAATCATTCATTCACTCATTCATCCATTCACTTGATCACTCAATCCACAAACGTTTGCTGAATTCCTGTTTTATCCCAGGCCGGCAGCTGACAGATATAGCTGAGCAGAGAAAACAGGCAAAATTTTAGATAAAATACATCCTTCTTATAGGAAACTAGCCAATATAAGTCAGCTCTCCTGTTTTATGAGTAGACAGCTTGTTTGAAATTACATTTATGAGGTGAGTATTATATACTAATGTTTCTACCCCACAAAGCTATTCCCTGCCATTTAGAACCCTAAAATGTGCTCAGCCTGCTAGAATACAACAATCTAGCTGTCAGGTTCATGGTAGTAGAAATTCTCAGAGCTTCTGAAAAAATTGCCATGCATTCTTATCAGGCTTTACCTATTACAACATTGGGATTCCTTTTCCTTGAGAATTGAAGTGGTAAAATGTTTTATTAGACTGATTTTCTCCTTTTCTATGGGAAGACCTGGGATAGATAGGGTTAGTATGTTTGTTCATCTGTACATGTAAATATCCTCAGGGAATTCCCCAAAATATGGGGACATCTTCCACCTTTGGAAGCACTAGCAAGATATTTCAACCAGTGATCATGGTCGGAATTGTGAGGGACCATTGAGACTGGGGAGACCTAAGCCAATCTCTTAGGTCACAGTAAACCTGAGTGTAGTGATATGTCCCTTCCCAGGTAATAATTTATCCTTTATTAAAGGACAAGCTTGGTTTAAGAGTCTTGATGTAAGTTTTTATTCTTAAGCTATTTAAACATACACATAGCGGAAATTTCTCCTAAACCAAGAATTATGTAATAAGATATATTTTATTTTAACGAGCTTAGATACTTTTCAGATATTGAAAATAAATTTCTAAATCAGATATATGATATTTGTGTTTTCTGAAGAAACATGATTGGTCTGTTTAGCGTGGAAGATCTGTTCACTTAGGATTTTACTTAGAATATAGAAGCAAACTAGTGGATGAAGATAATTAATTCATTTATTTGAAGATATTTATTGCTTTATTTTAAATTTATTAAATTATAATCATTTATTATTTTTATTTTACATATGCCCTTTTTATGTGCATATGTTTGAAGCATGTTGAAAGTCTGCTGAAAAAATTAAAACAATTTTATTTTAAGGTTGGCACCTTAAATTAATTAATTAAATTCATTATTGGCACTTTAATTATTCTTTAGAACAGATGCAATTAGTTAACATTTTCTGGAGAACACATTTTTAAATCTTTTTAACTCACGATAGCATTTTTAGTCACACTCTCTGAGATGCCTTAGAGAATTAAGTTTGGAAATGTTCTGTACAATTTCTGTAATGTCTATTAAAATCAGATATGTTTGACCTTACACATTTTTATAATAATGTATAAAATATAAGAATGATTCTTGATAGCTTAATGATTTCTAAGTTTTATTTTCTAATATTATCAAAACCTTAATAAGAGATTTCTAAATTGAATAATATCAATATCATGGCAACAATGTGAGTGGTTAGCTGTGGTGGGAGGGCTCAGTGATTAACTGGAAAGGTCATTGGTTGAAACATCAGGAAACTGAGGTTCTTGCTCTGAATTTCATAGAATAGCTTGCAGAGCTTGGGCAAGCAACTCAACCCTTCACTGTTTCACCACTCAGCCTCGTGCTTTTGGGGGTATGTGATGTGTGTGTGTGTGTGTGTGTGTGTGTAATTGGACTTTAGTATGTGTCTGCAAAACCTCTAAAATTATTTCTCTATTTAAAACATGAAAATCAAGACCCCATAGAGATCTTTAAACAAATACTGATATGGATTACTGTGGGAGTCAGTCCCTTAATCCAGATGTCTAGGAAATATCCTTCCTCTAAGCTTCTAAGTGTGAAGGGCAGGCTCCATGGAAAATGTTCATTGTGCTCATGTAAATTGTTAGGAAGAAAAAAACTTGCTACAAGATTTGTCCAATAAGTTTAAGAAATGGATCATGAGCAAAAATGTGAAAAGGCACTTTCTGAATCTTCCTTCATTCTCTCTGGCCTCTGTGGCCATTCTTCCTCCTACTTGACCTGAATTTTAGTGTCGGGTAGGGAAATGCCTTCTACCAGCTCCAGAGGTGTGAACTATAAATGTATGGACTTTATTGGTTTCAAATTGCAGAACCACCCCTCCCTCACCCCTAAGATGTGTTATCACTCACTGGTATTCAGCTATGGTTTTGTAGCTGGCTGAGATGGGGCAGAAGATTTCCAAGTTGGTCAATTAAGGGTGTAACTGTTGCCTCCCTAGCCTCTGGGACTGGATCTGAGCCATTGTGTTACACGGCTACGAGGTATTAGGCATAAACTTTGTGAGATTCTGAAGAAGAGTGGAAGCAAAAAACCTGATGGAACTGCTTTGGTGACAGTCTTGAAGGAGAATTGGTTATAAGCCAAGCTTGATTTGGACCTTACGAACACACAGCTGGGGAGGGTCATTGCTGCCAGTATTTATGGGGCCTCTGGGGCAAGAGTTCAAATGGAGGCCCACAAAGATTCTTCATTTGGTCAGTGATAAAATCTTTATTTGCACAGAACATGAAGTTGCAGGGATTTCATCTGACCAGTTCACGTTGTGGATTTGACTAGAATAATTTTCTGGCTCATTTTTATTGTTTTGAACAGTAATTAAATCTTTATTAAATAAATAATTTCTAATGTCCTGTTAGTGAATTTTATATGGGTCATGCTTGACAAGTCTGCTTACTTTCATTATTTGCAGCTTTAAAATTTAAACAGACTGACTCTTTTCAGATTTTCTACTGCTTCTTAAAAATCTCTGCTTTTTAAGTTTTTGAACTCCAAAAAAGCAATTATATATACTAAGGTGTCAACATGTACTAATTCTCGGGACCTAAAGGATTTAAGCATGTAATGTAATTGTATTCAACATATACAAAATATTAGTATATTTTCATCATATATGTAAATTAGAATAAGTATAAAAATGTTTTAAATTAAGCTATTTAAAAAAAGGATTTTTCTTACAAAATATCCAAAATCACATGTTAAAACTGAAAGGTAAATAAATCTATATTAAAATGAATGAATAAAACATTTAAAATTCAAAATTATTTAAATGCTGCTGAAGCTTTTTAATATTTTTTTGAAATTGAATTAAATCCTCAGCTGTTTTTACAGAAGCAAAACTATTCACAAGTTTGTTTTTAGTGTCCATTTTAGTTGCTAATGTAAAGAATTGGCATCATGCTTCATACAGGTTACATCTTTACAAATTTAAGAATAAGAATTGTTTAATTGCGAAACACTCTTCAAGTGCCATGTGCAATTGTTCCAAATGCTGCTCTAATTATTAACGATTCTAGAACCACTGATCAGAGCACGAAGAGAAACCAGGAAAGGGATGCTTGGCATGGTTACACTTGTTATGCGAGAATCTGTTGCGTCCACACCATCTGAGAGAAATGACTCTTAAGTCTTTTCTTTTACCTAAGCATTAATGCTGCTTGAATCTTCTCTGCTTTGGAAATGATGTCTAACTCCACACTGCAATGTCACAATCCACGAACCTTCAGGGCATTCCAACTCAGTCACTCTTTGACTGGTGCAAAGAGATTGGGCAAGAGAAGCATTTCCCTCGGGGCTTAAACCGTTGTCGCGGGGTTTAGGGTTACAGGACATCTGGATGCCTATGATAAAGGTGCTGTGGATTTTTCAGTGAATTTATTTGTGCTTGTTTGTGATATGCAGGCTTTCTAAAGTGTGGGACCCATGACAAGGACCCCTCTTTCCTGGAAGTATGGACTCTGCTGTCTGTGGGGGCAACTGGGCATTAGGATTCTTACTGAGGGCGCCATCTGCAGAGGCGGCAGAGGGGTTCCTTCCTGAGGACGCTAGGGGGAGCTGGTGCAGGAAAGAAGCCATGGCAGATGGTGTTGTGACTGGCTGTCAGACTGCCTGTGGGCTCTTGTAAGTCTCCCTTGCTGGAATCCTAGATATACTTAGTTGGGACTTTTTAAGGGGACTGGAGGTCCTGTGTGAGCAGGTGGGGCTGGAACAGGAGCTGTGGTTAATTGGTGTTAATGTCACTTCTTATGTATTTGCCTGTAGGCTGGTAGGGCTTGATAGTGTTTGGGTAACTCATTTCCAAGTCAATAAGTGTTCCTTCCCTCACTTGGAGAGGGATGAGGAAAGACACTTCTATCCTGTAAATCTGTTTTTCTCCACACAGTTGGAAAGAATAGGAATTGCTTTATTTCTCTTTGTGAATCTTCTCTGTGGAGGGAGCCAGGGACACAATGCAATCATTGATCTGAGATAATGGAATTATAAAGGGATTTATTATTTACCTAGGCTGGGGCTCTTAACCACAAATGGACAGAATTCAGAAAATTTGGTTGAGAAAAAAACTGTTTCATTAATCTCTAACTGAAGTTTAGCACTTCCTTCATTATTCATGTAAGCAACAAATGACAGTAGTTTCAGCAGTGTCAGTGATGTTGTCACCAATAGAAATCACAGACAGTTTCATATCACATTACCATTGTGATTCATATCTCAAAGTGTCTTTATGATTATGACTACTCCGAATTATGGTGAATATTAGACCTGCACTATATCTTGTTTTTAATTATTAATAAAGAATTATGTATATTACTATCAACAAGTTTGCTTTGAAAGTTATTTTGAGATACCTATATTCATGGTAATTGGTTTCCTTTGTAATCCAGTGTAGTTTAAAACATTCTGCTAAGAATGAGCCCACAGGCTTCATCAGACTGCCAAGGAGGTCATGGCAGCCAAAAGACTCAAAAGGTCTGATGTAGACGAAATCCTGTGTTTTACTGCAGATTAAGGCTTTAGAGTGTGAGAGTTACTTAAGGTCATATGGTGGAGCCGGAATTAAAAGTAGCGTCTTTCCTGCACTGTGTGGCCTCCTGGCACCTCAACCCTGGTCTTAGTGCCAAGGGAATGAGTGCCTTTGGCTTCTTTGATGAGTACTTTGATTATGACGAAGTCCAAGCCAGCTTCTGTCTTTGTTTGCACTTTGCTGGTCTGTGGTGGCTTTCTCCCCACCCCTGCTTTCCAGGCCTGGAGGTGGTGGTGAGGTGTGGTCATCTCCAGCCATGCCTGCCTCTATGTCCCATGGCATCACAAGGCATGCTGTCCTGTGACAGCTAGGGGATAGTCAACAGAAACAATAGAATATTTAGCCTTGATTGCTTGACCTAGTTTTGGTGGTGGTGTTTCAAGCAATGTGAGTATTATCAGGGGAAATCTTTCAGCCAACCCAGTGGGCTTTGTTAAATTAATTTAGGAACTCGTGTCACATTATTTCCTCCTCACTATTAGGCTAATAGATACCTGAAATATCAACAGAAAAATATACAGTTAACAGCTAGCATTTAGAGTTCACTTCCTCGTGCCATTTTTAAATGCTGTATAATTCTGTTAACAATATTATTTGTATCCCCATTTTCTGGATGAAAAGACTGAGGCACGGAGAGGTTAGGTAACTTGCCTGAATATTTGTATGTCTGGCAAGTGGCAGAGATGGGACTGAAAGCAAGTATTCTGGCTCCATGGTCCATGATCTGGGCCACTATGCTACATGTCCAGTTATTACTTTAATGCTTTAAGCCATAGTTGTCCAATCTGTCTTTCTTTGGTTCGGGGTTAGACTACGAATGAGTGTATCTGGGATGAAGAGCCTTTGGATTTTTTTTTTTTTTAAATGTAGTCCTAGGAGGAACTCTTCCCAGTCTGCTGGAGCTGTCTCTGAAAGGTACTATGTCATTTGGTTCAAAGTCTGTTCGGCTTTAATCCCTTGCTTGTATATATTCAGGCAATATGGGGAAGGAAAAATATGTTCATACCCAAAAAGTTTAGTAATGCTGCAAAATGCTAGATTTGGATTGACTCTGGCTCCATTTCAAGGACATGACAGTGCCTTGATCTTTGCTTTTGAAGCCTTCTTGTCAGCAACATTGGCAAGTACACCTTTGAAAATTTATATCTGAATTCTTGTGTTTTGAAAAAAAAAATGTTTGTTAGTGTTTCTCTTCTTGAACACTGGTTGATGCTTTGCCAACTAGTTAAAAGTCTGCAAATCTGAGTGCTGGCTGAGAAGCTAAGCTTGCTATAACTAGTTATCCCCAGATGGCCAGATTCTGTTATGTACCACTTTTATAGATGCTCAGTGGTTGCCTACATGGGGTTATGAGGTGTACTGTTCCACTTGTTTTTGCCAGGCATGCACAGTACATTATTTGATAGGCTGGGACAGATGGTATAGCTCAAATGAAAATGATGAGGGAGAAAAGAAAGTGAAAAAAAAATAGAAAAAGGGCATTTGATTTTCTAATTCACATTTCGGAAGTGAATTTTAGCGTCTGTGATTGACTAATAAATGCAGTGTTGCTGTAAGACTTGAATTCATGAACGTCTGTTTAAACAGCTATAACTGAGTAATCAGCAGGAAGCAACCTTTTCCTTCGTGGATGCTGTCCCAAACTTCATGGGGTCTCCTCCAGATCTGAAAATGTTTGGGCCATTGAAAGACATCAAAAATAGATCTGGATATTTCAGAGTATGATATACCACCACCAATACCAACCAAAACAGAAAAATCCCAATTATATTTTTAAACTGGAAGAGAGGGAGGGGAGGTGGTGAGGATACAGAGAGAGAGAGAGAGAGAGAGAGAAGAGAGAGCGAGCCTGGTAAAGTAGTGGTGATAAGGACAATTAATCAGTCTTCGTACAGCTGCTTCCTGACATTTCTGCAAATTGTTGTGGAAAAATTAATGAAGGTTAGATCAGTAATAGTTTCAAGCTTGGCCAGTGGAAAGTATGACAATGTTTCCATCAGCAATTAAATCGGGCTGCTTTCTTTTTTCTATAGGGGAAGTGGTATGATGTATGTTCCCCACAGGAAATGGAAAACGGCAGCTGAACTGTGTGTGAGCCCAGGTATGGAGGAGCATTTGGGAGTGCTCCAGCCGCCTCTCCTTGATTAGCACCACAGATTTGCATTTTTCTGCTGAAAGGATTTTGCTATACAACACGCCGAAATCCTTCCTTTAACAGAGAGTGAGAATCTTGGGATTTTATTGCACGGACATGGATGTACTGTGGATCTAAGCTTTGGGAGCCAGAAAGTGGAACTTATGACAAACAGAAAGTGAAACTCACCTATCTAATTTTATTTTTCAAGCTGAAGGTAGTTCAGTACAGGCCCTGTTCACATCCTGTGTAACCCTATGGGATTTTCCCCAGTATTAGTTAAAAATTTTCCCATAGGGTCACACAGGATGTGAATTAAAGTAAACACTTAACAAGCATGATGAAAAGGAAATTAGCTTTCTAAATGGTCCTTTCACTGTTAACATCCTGAATAGTTATTAGAAACATGGGAAAGGGTCACTTCGGTGTCTCCTTATCAAGTTGTTACCTTATAGTAGAATATATGAATCTTCTTCCCTGTTATATATGAAATGGATTTCCTTGTATGTGAAACTTAAATTTACAAAAGTATTTTTCCTTTTGGAAAACATTAAAAAGCTTAGCAGAAGTTTGTAGATTCTTGCTTCATAGCCTTTTCTGGGGTAGAGGTTTATAAACCCCTTTAAGATTCATAAAAGCTCCTGACTCTTTTCCCCAGGAAAATGCACATAGACACAACATTTTGCAACATTTTTGAAGTTTTGCATATCTCTTACATAGACCTTGAACCCCAAGCATTTTTCTTTTTTTCCCCTTTTTTCTTTTTTTAAAATTTGAGACAGGGTCTCACTCTGTTGCCCAGCCTGAAGAGCAGTGGAGTGATCATAGCTCATTGCATCCTGGGCTCAAGCAACCCTCCTGCCTCAGCCTCCCAAGTGGCTGGGACTACAGGTGCACACCACCATGCCCAGCTAATTTTTTCCTTCCTTCCTTCCCTCCTTCCCGCCCTCCCTCCCTCTCTCCCTTCTTCCCTGCCTCCCTTCTTTCCCTCCCTCCCTCCCTCCTTTCCTTTCTTCTGTCCTTCCTTCCTGACAGGTTCTTGCTATATTTCCCTGGCTGATCTTGAACTCCTGGCTTTAAGCAGTCCTCCTGTCTCGGCTGCCCAAAGTGTTGGGATTACAGGCTTGACCCACCTTGCCTGGTTCCTGGGCATTTTTTAATGGACTGGGTTTTAAAAGCTTTTTTTTTCTTTTCTTTTTCTTTTCTTTTTCTTTCTTTCTTTCTTTCTTTCTTTCTTTCTTTCTTTCTTTCTTTCTTTCTTTCTTTTCTTTCTTTCTTTTCTTTCTTTCTTTCTTTCTTTCTTTCTTGTCTCTCTCTCTTTCTTTTTTTTTTTGACAGAGTTTTACTCTGTCCCCCAGGCTAGAATGCAGTTGTGCAATCTTGACTCACTGCATCCTCCACCTCCTGGGTTCAAGAGATTCCCAGGCCTCACCCACCCAAGTAGCTGGGATTACAGGCATATGCCACCACGCCTGGCTAATTTTTTGTGGAGACGAAGCTTCATAATGTTGCCCAGGCTAGTCTTGAACTCCTGACCTCAAGTGATCCACCCGCTTTGGCCTCCCAAAGTGCTGGGATTACAGGCGTGAGCCACCGTGCCCGGCTTTAAAAGCGTTGTATGGGCAGATAGAAACTTACAGCTACAACCATAAACTGTTAATCATTATAAGTAAATATTTCGTAAGAGGTAATTTTTAGGAAACTTTAAGTGCAATAAAGATTATTTCACTTTTCCACCTAAAGAAGGCTTCCTTGCCTTTAGAAGGGAGCTTGTACATTGGACAAAACATACAAAGCTGTGTTTGAAGCTGGCTGTGTGGCATTCTAGCAGGTGACTTTAGTTGTCCTGCCTCAGATTCACCATGTCTAAAATGGTGGCAACAATGAGGTAATTTGTCACCTGTGTCTGGCAAATAATACATGCTTCATACACATCCCTTCCTTCCTCCTTTGAGATTTAGTTTATTTTTATTTTACTTGTTTTTTTTTTTTTTGAGACAGAGTCTCACTCTGTTGACCAGGCTGGAGTGCAGTGGCGTGATCTTGGCTCACTGCAACCTCCGCCTCCCAGGTTCAAGTGATTCTCCTGCCTCAGCCTCCCGGGTAGCTGGGATTACAGGCATGTGCCACCAGGCCCAGCTAATTTTTGTATTTTTAGTAGAGATGTTGGCCAGGCTGGTCTTGAACTCCTGACCTCAGGCTATCCCCCTGCTTCAGCCTCCCAAAGCGTTGGGAATTGCAGGTGTGAGCCATCCTACCCAGCCAAGATCTACTTTAAGTGTCACTTTCTTGCGCATCATTTTACAATTCTTCAAGGCAGATTCTTATCTTCACTTCCTACTTGGTGTTCTTCCGTTGCCTTGTCAATTTCTTTACTCTTAAAAATTGTGCTGTCATTCATTATTTACATCTCAGAGTGTGAACTTTGAGGATCTTGTACTTATTAGTAATGTTATATTTATCTCCATGCAAGTTGTGTCCAGCATAGTACATAAGACACATGGGCATTTCCTGCTTATTAAATTAGTAATAATAGTCCAATGCTTATTTGAAATGAAATAACTTAGATTTGGCATTGTGATTGTCACTTCATGGTGTATATGTGACTGCTGGTCGTCTCCAAATGAGATCAAATGATCAGCATACAGCCAAAGTGAAATTTAGTGAGAGAACAGAGCCTAGAACTGAAAGTGTGTTTTTTCTAGCATTGGCTACAACCATAGAGTATTCTAAGCTGGAGCCACAGTATTTTAGCCAGAGCTTTCAGTCAGGTTAATTACCAAGTAATTTTTTAAGAAGGTACTATTACATTTCTAAAATATATAGACCTAATCTCTGAGACTCAGAGAAGAAAATTTGGGCCCTCCAACCTTAGTTTGTATTTTAGTCTTTAGAATCCAGGATCAAAGGATAGCTTGAAGAACATACCTATCTGCCTTATTTTGTATTGTTTCTTAAGTCCTCTCATGCCCTTGCTAATACAGTTCAAGTCGAGTTGAACAAAAGTGTGTCCTGTCCTCAAGGAGCTGTCATTCTTCAACACCCACTCCTCCCCACTTTGAGAGAGAGAGATAGCGTGTTTGTGTGTATATGTATATGTACACACACACACACACACACACACACCCTCTGGTGCTATTACAAACATTTTTATAGGGAACTTAAATAAAAATTCATATAGAACCAGAATCTATCTTAGTATTTGAACAACTCATTGGCAGTAAACTCAGTTCCTTCTGTACAGGATTAATGGTTTCCAAGCTGTAAATTATGATTTAGAGCCTTGTGCATTAAGATTGACTTTGAGCCAGGGGAGGCTTGGAAGAGGACAATGTATAGTTTGCTTTAGGAGGTCTTGGAGCACATTTGTGTGGGGAAAACAGCAGTGAGTTAGAGTGAAGAACGAGAAATGCCAGACGCAGGGGATGGTATCTGGTAGTCTATGTGTCCTGTTGTGCAGAGTGCTAGGAAATCCAAAGCGACTTCAGAAGTAGAACTGTGGATTCTTAGCGGTGCTAATAGTGTGAGTTGAGTGATGAGGAGGTGGTCGTAGTTGAAATAGGATAGGATAACAGAGCTCGTGACCATGAGAAGTAGACAAAGAGATGAATTAAGGAAATATAAGGAAGGAAAAAATATATTCTGGAAATGGGCTGAACTGGGGGCAAAGAACAGTAGGGTTGAAGATTTTGCTAAATAAATCATTGGCTGTGAACTCTTGGCTCTCGTGAGATGCATGACCATTCCCTTGCTCAGGCATTTCCACCTCCTGGAAAGCCTTGTCTTTGCCTGTCAGAATATTCAAGCCCTAATTTAACTTCTACCAGCTGCATAAATATTTGTTTCATGACATTAGCTCATAGCAATCTCTTTTTTACTGCACTCATGTACTACTATTATAAATGTAGTAGCACTTAATTGATGTTTAGAGCTATAATTTAAATTTTCACCTGCATGCTTTGTGTCTCCAATAAGGTTCCAAATTTGTATAGAATTGGGTAGTGTAAAAAAAAATCCTCTCTATTGTCCAATACAAAGTTATGTGTATAGCAAGAACTTGGTATGTTATCAAGAGTTTTAAAGGATATTGAGTTTCTATTATGTCCCCAAAACTTTACCAGATGGCACAAAAGAAGGGAATTATAAGACGCAGTTCTTATTCTTAAAGTACAGATAATCAAGTTGGATATTTTGTGCAGAAGACTAGCAATTTGTGATTCAAGAAAGACTCTTGTGGAGTCATCTAAATTATCTAGAATTAAACAAGACCATGCATGTGAAACGCTTAGCACAATGCCTGACAGATAATGAGTACTCCATAATCACTTAAGAGGATCACAGTTATCATTATTAATATTAATGTAATAAGTTGACTAGGCTTCCTGAGCCACCATGCCCAGCTTGAAATTCATAAAGATTAATCTATGTTAGAAATGTCAAGTTCTTTACCTTTTGTTTTAATGGAATCTGGTTTTAACATCTCAGTCTCCCTGGAATTATTCATGTAAAAGGCCTCAATGATCTATCAATTGGCAATTTCAGTAGACATTTAAAATTTTCTCATTTAATGTGACTTTTCTATTGTGTTTGAACTTTCTCCTCCTTGAAATATTCTACTCCCTTGGATTTCTTGACTCCAATTGCCCCTGGTTTCTCTGCTACTTGCCCGATTACTCCTCAGTCTCCATCATTGATTCTGTCCCCCAATCAGCCTTATTAAATGTTGCAGTGCGGTGTTCTGTCAGAGGGCTTTGCTGTAGTTTGAATGTGTCCCCCCCAAAGAGCAAGTATTGGAAACTTAATCCCCAGTGCAACAGTGTTGAGACCTAAGGAGAGGTGATTAGGCCACGCCTTCATGAATGGATTAATGCTGTTATTGAGAAAGTGGGTTTGTTATCTTGGGAGTGAGCTCCTTATAAAAGGATTAGTTAGCCCCCTTTGTCCCTCTCTTGTGCGGTCTCTTGTCTGTCTTTGCCCTTCCACCATGGGCTGTTGCAGCAAGAAGGCCATGGCTTGATCTTAGACTTCCTAGTTTCCAGAACCATGAGCAAAAAATTTCTGCTTGTTATAAATTACCCAGTCTGTGGTATTCTGTTATAGTAGAACAAAATGAACTAAGCAAGACTTTCTCATTTCCCTTGTTACTCCATATACTTTGCAAAGACTGAGTGTTTTATCTACTTTGATTTCTTTGACTACTATTCTGTAGTAGAAGCTCTAGTTTCCTACTTCTATACACTATATACTAGATATCTCTGCATAAATAGCCCAAAGAAACTTCAAATTAGACATGTTTACAATCATACTTTTCCCTCAAGACTTGTTTGTCCTACCTTCTTTCCATGCAAAGCCCCACTATCACTATAGACATCCAAGCTAGAACCTTGGACTCACCCTTCACTCCTTTCTCACCTTCTCATCACACTGACACATATAACCGATTCCCAAATTCTGTCAATTCTTCTTCTTAAATATCTCTGTAATCAGCCTCCTCCAACCCACCACCTCTGCCCAATTCAGTTCTTCATCATATCTCCCTGAACTATTGCAGTCAACTCTTGACTGATGTCCTTGCCCGAAGTCTCCACTCAACTCCCCACCATTCTCCACACTGGTTCCAAAGTTGTTTCTCTAAAAGACAAATCTAATCATGTCATTCCCAAACTTAGAAATTTTTGATGACTTCCCAGTGCTTTAGGGTATACATTAGTAATACCAACATTTATTTATTCCCAGAATATACCTGGTTTCTTTATGCTTTGGTGCATTTACAGTTGCTATTTCCTCTGCCTCTGATGTCACATTTCAATTTCTCTATTAGATGAACTTCTGCACATGTTTCAAGACATAAAAGATCATCTCCAGTATGAAGTTTTTCTTACTGTGTTCCCATATCCCTCTCACCAGCACACTTAGTCATCTCCTTGCTTCTGCTTGCTAGTGCTTTGTCCATATTTGACCATAGATCTGGTGTAAAATTATTTTTCACCTGTCTAGCTCTAGACCATAGACTCTGAGGGCTATGTCTTATTCATCATTATATTTGCAGTGACCAGCATGGATCTGCTAGAAAGTCAATAAAATGATAGAGGAAAGATTGTAAAGAGAAGCCAAATATATTAAAAAACATCTGAGGCCAGGCATGGTGGCTCATGCCTGTAATCCCAGCACTTTGGGAGGCTGAGGCAGAAGGATCCTTTGAGTCCAGGAGTCGAGACCAGCCCGGGCAATACAGTGAGACCTTGTCTCTACAAAAAAATAAAAAATTCTGGGGCATGTACCTATAGTCCCAGCTACTCAGGAGGCTGAGGTGGGAAGATTGCTTGAGTCCTTGAAAGTTGAGGCTGCAATGAGCCATAATTGTGCCACTGTACTCTAGCCTGGGTGACAGAGCAAGATCATGTCTCAAAAAAAAAAAAAAAAAAACTCTGAACTGATGATGGAGCATCCAGACATAATGTCTTATATCTTATACATGATTGAATTTAAATGATTTAATAATATACTATCTCTTACTACAATGAAGGGGCAAATTTAAGGAAAATCAATTAAATATGTATGTCATCCATGTATATATGTTAATAAAATCATAAGTGTGAATGATTTTCAGAATCCAGAAGATTCAACCACAGATAACAGAGAGACATAGGTGAAACAAAAGATAGTCAGAAACTAGATCAGAAAAACAAAGAATATAACCCTTTAAGTGAAATTAGCCCTCATAACAATTTTGATTGCATTAATATAATTCTGACTATAGTAACTGAAAAATAATAACCTGCCTATGGGTTTTCATTATTGATGTATATTTGGCTGTATACATAGCAGTGACAGATCTTATAAACAGTGTATATATCCATCAATAGAAAGATTATAAAGTGAAATAATTATATTAAATATTATAAAGTCATAATTTTATTAACAAAAATAAACACTTTTTTTACAGTGTTCAGTTGATCTTGAATGATGCAATGAATTTTGTCTGAGCCTCAGAATAAGTGGTAGCATTTAACTTTCAGACACAATTTCAGAATTGTGGACTTCAAGTAGGGCCAAGTATTTTGTCTGTTTCACTTTGAATCATTTTTATTGCTGTGTCTTCAAGTTCACTAATCTTTTCTTCAATAATGTATTATCTGCCTTAATGTCTAATCTGCCATCCACTGTATTATATATATCAAATTTTGAACTTTTCCTCTCTAGGGGTTTAATTTTGGTCTTTTTAATCTTTTCCATATTGTTTCCACTTAACACAGCCATTCTTTAGTTTCTGGAACATATGGAATGCAGTTTTTAAAAAACTGTCTTATTGTCCTTTTCTACTAATTCTATCATCTGGGTCGGTTCTGATCAGTTAATTTTTCTCCTCTTTATAGGTCACACTTTTCCACTTTCTACTTCATAATTTCGGATTAGATGCCAGAATTTTACCTTATTGGCTACTAGAAACTTCTGAATTCCTAAAAATTTTACGGAGGTTTGTTATGGGGCATGGTATAGGATACTTAGAAACAGTATGATCTTTTTATGTCTTGCTTTTTAAAAAGCTTTGTTAGGTAGGACCAGGGCAGCATTTAGTCTAGAGTGGATTTTTCTCCACTATCAAGGCAAGACCTTTCTTAGTACTCTAACCAATGCCCCATAAATTATGGGATTTTCCCCTCCGGCTGTTGGGAACAGAGCTGGCGGCCCTTTGTGAATACTAGGCACTGTTCCCTCTAATACTTTCAGGTGGTTTTTCCCTGGCTGCAGGTAGTTTCCTCACGTGCTGATCAATCAGTACTCAACTGAATATTCACAGCTCTTTGGATTTCGCTCGGTGTAGTGCTGTCCTCCCTGGTATTTCACCCTGTGACCTTTAACCATCTTCGGCTCCCTGGACTTCCATCTCCAAGTCCTCCACTCGGGGACTGCTGATCTCTGCCTAGGTCACCCTTTCCTAGGCCATGGCCTGAACACTCTCTCCAGGCCAGCTGCTGGGGCAATTGTAGAGTTCACCTCATTTGCTTCCCTTCTTTCAGGGACCACTGTCCCTTCCTGCCAGGTGGCTCCCAGCATCTTGAGAGCTATTGTTTCATGCATGTTGTCTACTTCTATCGCTGTTTTCAGGCAGGAGGGTAAATCTGGCTTCAGCTACTCCATGTTCATCTGAGGTTGAATCAGAACCTCTTTTGGATTTATTTACTCATTGATATGATATCCGTTAGTTTGAAGAATTAAAGGCACTGTTAGGATAATTGCTACATAAAGGATTTAACTTAGTGTACACACTTAACATGGGGGGTGAGGTCTGTGAAATCCGTGTGGAGAGAATGTGTTAGGAAGTATTCTCATACCATGATGTAAGGACTGTTGGCTCTGCCTTTCTTACTTCAACTGAAAGTTGTGTAATTTAAATTTAGTTGTGAATTTTTGAGACTTTAAAAGAATGGCTCTTTTTTCTCCTTGTTTCTAATCTGACATTCTTCAAAGCAGCTACATTGTGTGTAGGGGGAGGGGAAACACTCGTGACATGCATGAAATTTTAGCCATTGCACAAAATGATAGGGTTTAGAAGATGTAAATAGGGTGGTTTGGAAAAATCCACCTACTTACTCCCATTTGTAAGCAGCCAGGTTTCTTAAACTGATCTTAAGTGACCACTCTGCTTTCACTAATCCCTCTGCATCTGCAGTGGAAGAGTTTGCATGTGTTGCATTTTTAATGATTTGCTTTACAGTGCTCTGAGGTCATTCCATGGTGGAATGCCATCAGCTTGTTTGCGCTTTCTCTCTGTCTCTCTCTCTCTCTGTCTCTCTCACACACACACACACACATGCACGTGCCTCATGAAAACAGACATTTTCTAGGGAATTTCCTGATGTACTGTTCTTTGAATGTAATGACATTGGTTTACACAGGAAGCTAGACACTCATTTTTGTTCTTCGGAGACTCTGTCCAAAACACATCGGTTTTTCTCAATATGGTGTACACATGTACCGCTTACATAGTTAATGTTTGGGAGGCACAGAGACTGATGAAGAATTCCTGATGTGTAGTGCTCTTATTGACCTGCTTTGAATATTTAATGTTGAGGAAACATCCTCTTTCCTATCCACTGATTATTTTTTTCAATTCTCCTTGGAAAACCATGAAGCAGAAATCAGTTTGAAGACAGATCCTATAGCCTTACCTCCTGTGCCATATATTGCATTTTCTGTTTCTTTCTTTCTTTTTTTGTTTTTTTTTTTTTTTTTTGAGACAGAGTCTTACTCTGTTGCCCAGGCGGTAGTGCAGTGGCGCGATCTTAGCTCACTGCAACCTCCACCTTCCGGGTTCAAGCAATTCTCCTGCCTCAGCCTCATGAGTAGCTGGGATTACAAGTATGCACCACCATGCCCGGCTAATTTTTGTATTTTTAATAGAGACGGGGTTTCACCATCTTGGCTATACTGACCACAAACTCCTGTCCTCAAGTGATTTGCCCCCCTGGCCTCCCAAAGTGCTGGGATTACAGGCATGAGCCACTGAACCTAGCCTAATATTTTGCATGTTTTTCTATAAACTCAAGACATCTATGTATTCCATTATGTTTCCTTTGCCTGTTGGATTGAGTTTCTTACTGAAAGCATGACAAATAATTTATAGCCCCAAAGATGTGGACTATGTATGGGGTTACTGAATTAAATTCTTAAGATTGATTTTGTAAAAATACACTATAATTAAAAACAATATATACGTATAGTCATTGAAAAAAATATATCAACATTTACTTTTACCTATCCTCTTAGTCTAGTCATTATAATTGCTATCATTATTGAGCAACAACCAATGGCTGGGAGCTCTGTTAGGTGCTTATTTACATAACCTGTGGCCCTGACAACATTCTGCAGGGTAGGTGTTGTTATCCCTATGGACGATGTGATGTGAGGAAATCAGCCTAGAGAGGGTAAGTGACTTATTCAAGAGAACAAACCTAGAAGAAGCAGAGCTGATATTCCCAGCTGGGGCTGCCTGACTGTAAAGCCTAGCCTATGTCCTATGACCCTAAGAGATTTAGCAACATATCCTGGGTTTGTTAACAATGATGATTGTACCTGGTAGATGTTTAAAAATTAGAATATTGGGCCGGGCACAGTGGCTCATGCCTGTAATCTCAGCACTCTGGGAGGCTGTGGCAGGTGGATCACTTGAGGTCAGGAGTTCAAGACCAGCCTGCCAACATGGTGAAACCCCGTCTCTACTAAAAATACAAAAAATTAGCAGGACATGGTGGTGGGCACCTGTAATCCCAGATACTTGGGAGGCTGAGGCAGGAGAATCACTTGAACTAGGGAGGCAGAGGTTACAGTGAGCTGAGATCGTGCCACTGCACTCCAGCCTGGCTGACAGAGTGAGACCCCATCTCAAAACAAACAAACAAACAAACAAACAAACAGAAAACCCAGAATATTAGCTAAGTACTTCTAAAATGAAGTACTTACAAAGAAGTCTTTATTAAGAGCCAAGTGTGTGCCAAATACTGTTCTGGAATAATGGGTCACAGAGATGAGCAAAGCCAACTCTTCTGCTCTGAAGAGAGACACGGGGGCAGTAGTTACATAGGAGCACACTCAGCCTGTATCTTAAAGGGGTGTGTGCCCAGTGCCAAGAGTGAGGAGAGGGAGGGCTTAGAATCTCAGGATGGGTGAGGCAGGGCGAGTGTTCTCAGGCTTCAGGGAAAAGATGGTGCCAGAATTGAGGCCTGAAGGAGGAGTAAGAGGTGATGACCTTGTCTGTCTCTGCCTAAAGGTAACTTCAGATTAGAGACCTGACTTTTGTCTGGAATAGTTAAAGCTGACGTAGGTCCATTTACAGCCATTCATATCTAGTATTCATCCCTTACATGGATTATGCTTTCCATTATGCATGTTTTCTGCCTGCTGCTGGGCATACCATACTACTGATACTGTGATATCTTAAGCACGTATTCTGTGAAAGACCTTGTACTCGGATTTGTGTGGGATACAAAGATGAATATAATTCAGCCTTCAGGAGCCTTTCATTTAATAAGGAAGAGAAGAGCTGTATTCAAATGTTAATGGAAGAAGAGAGCATGCAACGTTTTAAAATAGGAACAAATATGTACTATGGCATACTGACAGGAGAATGATTATACCAGCTGAGAGATTCGTTATGAGGTCCTCCACCATCCATCCATTTATCCCTTCATCCAGCATTCCCTTCCTCCCTCCATCCATTCATCCTTCCATACTTTCCTCCCTCCCTGCCTCTATCCCCCATCCATTCATCCCTCCCCCATCCTTTCCTCCATCCCTCCATCCATCCTTCTATTCATCCATCCTTCTATCCATCTAGCCCTCCTTTCTTCTCTCCATCCCTCTATCCCTCCCTCCCTACTTCCCTCTATCTGTCCATCCCTCCATCTATCCATCCGTCCATCCCTCCCCCATCTCTCTCTTCCATCCATCCCTTTCTTCATCCCTCCCTCCCTCCTTCCCTCTGTCTATTCATCCCTCCATCTATCCATCCATCCATCCCTCCCACATCTCTCTCTTCCCTCCATCCCTTTCTTCATCTCTCCCTCCCTCCTTGCCTCTGTCCACCCATCTATCCCTCCATCTCTCCTTCCATCCATCCCTGCCTCTATCTCTTCCATCCGTCCCTTCCTTCATCCCTCCCTCCCTCCTTCCTTCCATCCATTCACCCACAGACATATTTACAGAGCATTTCTTGTGTATCAAGTTTCATGAAACAGCTGGCATATGAGTTGGGTCTTATGTCTAGGTAAGTTTTAATAGATCATGATACAGATCATAAGGAAAGTCTGCCAAGCCAAGCTCATGGCCTGAGCAAAGGCATAAAGATGCCTCTTATGCTTGAGAATAATGACTAAGCCATCTTTCTACAGCCTAGCTTGTTGGAGTAGATGTAGTGGAAGATTAGGCTGGATGGACAGTAAACCAGATTCTGGAGGGCCCTAAGTGATAGACATGGAGTTTGGAACTGGGTAGGAAATGGGGAGTCACTGAAAGGCTTTGAGCAGGAGAGCAGTAAGACTAGAAATATTGCTTTAGGAGACTTTATGTGGATGAGGAAGAGCCTGGAGGTAGGGACATGCTCTACAGCTGGCCTTGATCTTGTAATCCTTTTGCCTACGACTTGACCCCACAGGTTTTGGGTCACTGGCCAGTCCTTCTGTTCTTTATGGCAGCTTTCTGCCAGCTGGTGGCCTCCTGGCCTTGTGCATAGCCTCTCTCTTTGGAGTCACTTTGACTTGTCCTAGAGTCCCTCCCAATATTGCAAAGGTTTTGTCTCCTGGGATAGTTTCGACTTATTAAAATTATGACTATGACACCAGCCAATTTAATTTACATGTACACACTGAAGATATTATTCTTCAGCAGATACAAGTTATGGGACTACTGTTTAAGGCGTTTGGGGTGCTTTTTATGAGAACGTGGGTATCCAGCCATTTATATGAAATATCACACTCATTATAACATTATTTCTATGGAAAAAAATTAGATTGATTTACATCATTTCAGTTTTGCCAGAACTACATCCAGCCATGAGTTGGCACTGTCATGCCTTTGGATGATAGAATGCCCCCTTCAGGCCAGCTGTATGAAGCCCTCTACCTCCCAGACATCTTGACCTGGATGAACTGGTTGGCGTCAATGCAAATTCACTATGGAGTGTACTCAGGGCATGCAAACTGAGTTTCCTATTTGCTTAAATTAAACACAAAGGGAAAGGTGACTTCAGCTTACCTGTCTTCCAGTCTTACAGTTCCTAGGTCCTCTACTCAGAACTATGAAGTACTGGCCAAGTTGACTCCTCCTTGCTCAATGCTTAGTCTTTCCAGCTCCAGGCTATTGGTCCATTGTTCCACCTCCCTGGGTTGCCATCCCCTCTACTCTTTGCCTTTTAAAATCCTTCTAACTCAGTCCTTCAAGATCTATATGTAACATCACTTATCCCCTGTTGAGTCATCCTTGATTACTCTAACAAGAAATACATGTTTTCCTCCTCAGAATAATCCATGCAGTACCTGTCACAGAGTAGGAGCTGGGTATTGCAATGAGATGTACCTAGTTCCAATGCCAGCTCCTTACAGCCAGAGGGACCGTGGATCCTGGACAGTTACTTAACCACTAGAAGCCTCATCTATAAAATAGTAGTAATACTGTTTATCTCCTAGGGTTGTTTTGATGACTAAATGAGATAATGTATATGCAAAAAGCTGAGCATAAGAACATCACATGGTATGCGTTTATGGTATTTTAATGTCTTAGATAGACAGACAGATAAGAATAAATAGATAAATAAGAATTATGTCTTATTTATCTCTGTGAGCTCCTGCTCAAAGCCTACCTCTAGAAAAGCCTGCCATTATACCTTGAATATGGTAAATTTTCCATAAATATTTCTTTGATGAGGAACTGAATATGGTTTTTGAATTAGAGAATTCACCTCCCAAAAAAAGGGATTTGTGAAAATAGTGATCTTAGGTTTTGAATTGCCAGAGACATTCCCAATATTAAGTATTAATAGTTCTCCCCTTTGCTCTGAGAAGTGTTATGATTTGGATAACACATGGTTTTTTAGAGTAAAGTGAAAGCAAGTTTATTAAGAAGTAAAGGAATAAAGAATGGCTACTCCATAGGCAGAGCAGCCTGGATACCAAATTTTATGCAGCCTGTTTATTGAATATTTGCATGAATTTTCCATAGTATCTTTTCCACTCTATCATTTATGGTTTCATGTAAATATTTTGTTTCTCAAAGGAGATTGTAAGCTACTTGAGAACATAAGCCATTTTGTATCCTATTTCTCCAAAATGTGAGTATATTGGGAGTACTGACAGTGAATAAGACTAAGGCAGATCTACAGGGCAGTAACCCAGTAGGTACAGTAATACTCAGTACAGGTATTGGTATTGATGATGAAATTTTTTAAAATACTGCTTTTTAGACGAAGATGTTAGTTAATGTGTAGATGTATTGAGATCTATCCAGGTTGAGAACAGTAGTTCTAACCTGTGTTGAGAGGGCTGTCCTCTAGGCACAATTTCTGCAGGGCAGACGGAGATGATGTCTGATTCCCCATTGTAGACCTGGCACCAGGCAAAACATCTGACACTTGGTATATGCTCATTAAATATTTGTTAAATTAATGAAAGGTAAGGCTTTTAGCACCCTACATATTGGTGTTTCATAAGCCTCTACCAGAGCCCTCCAAATTAGGCCCTTGGTAGGTGGCATTATAAAATCTATGTGCAGTCTGAAGAGCTCTTGTATGCTTAAATATGAGCTCAGCAAGTTGATGAGATGGTAGAGCTAGGTCAGGAGACACGCAGTCTTCTCAGACCTTCCCTGAAACTGTTCCCATATGCTATTTTCTGTATAAGGTCCTCGCCTTGAAGAAAAGTAGATTTTTTTTTTTTTCTGTAAAACTCTGCCCTACTTGGAAAGCCCTGAAGATGAGCAAAGGAAGGCAGGATTCCTTTGTCTCTCTGTGTCCTCTTCCACCAACAGAAAGAGCAAGCTCTAAGTAAAAGGTTCCCAAGTTGGGATAGGGGGCAGTTGTTGGGGGGCAGTGTTGGGATCTGGCTTATTACCATGATACTCTCTGAGGCTGGCTGGGATTTCAGGGGGTAGAGAGGAGCTGGGGGGTTCCTTGAGAAGGGAATGTTGGAGTTAATTGCTTCCCTGTCCCTCCATGGGGAGCACAAGCTGTTCCCTCTTGTGCACAGGCTGGCTGGTACAAGTGGCCAGGGTCACATACCAGGCCCTCCTGGCTCCTTTGGCTCTCTAGTTCCCTAAAGACATCTGCTAGCCTTGCCAGCCCATGTAATTACTCCCCTGTTTACAGCCCATCTTCTCCTTCTTTTATTATACCTGGTGTATGTTTTGCATCTAGTTCATCTTGAAGGGTATATACCTCACAATCTGGCGTTATGTAGGGTGGCACTCAGCACACTGTTAAGGGAACTTGTTGATTATGTGTTTTTTGTTGTTTGTTTGTTTATTTTGGGGAGCAAAGGCTAAAATTTGTGGCCATGGCCTGTGGAATCCAATTGAAAGGATGACTATTCTCCATTCATCTTTAAAAAGTCTATTCACAATAATTATCTAGCACTTTTCCTGTGGGATTTTTTTTAAGCCTTTCTCCAAGGTGAGGTGGAATGGCCTTATAATCTCAAGCACATTATTAGGCTGCCTTATTTTGTTAAAAGGATGTCAGCTTTGCCCTTCTCCCACAGACCATCTATTATGACTATAGAGTCCTTATTTGACTAATAAGCTAGAGTATCTACACCCCAACATGTGTCAGAGAACAATTTTTAACTTTTTACTGTTGCTTAATACCTTATGCAAAGGTTAGTTAGGTTAGTTGACAGAAGTATGCTGGCATTTGTTTTTCCAAGCAGGGGTCATAACTCAGGACCTCCAAATGTGTATTTTTTTTTCAATTTGATTCACATAAAGGCAGGCCATTAAGTCTTCAGTTGGCTTTTGGGCACTAATAATTCTCTTTCTTGTCTTCAGCAAGCCACTTTACACATCTTCATTACCTGCCTTCCTCTGAAAGGACTAGAGTTATGAATCCTGATGTTCTAAAAATTATCATGGTGTCAAGCCAGATCAGGAGAGTGTGACCCTATTATTGTACCTGCCTTCCAAACCACCTCTTACCTGCTGTCTTTGTGGGACACTCAATCAATCTACTTTAGTACTGGTGTAACATTTTCTGAAATTGAGTGGAGTTCTCCAGGCCACAACTACGTATAGTATTCATTTATAATTATTCACAAGTCCTTTGAGCTCTTCATCACTAAGGTGTGATTGTTTAAGCTGTGAGAAAATTTTTCCAATTAAAATTTATACATATTGAATAAAATACACTGGCATTGTGCTTCCATATGCAATTAAAGTTTGTACTAGAGTTTGATGCACTGTGTCATTGTAGACTTGCTTGGAAACTTCTTAGAATTAGGAGATTGTGAAAACAGGTGATAAACAGCTTTTGATAATTCATGCTTAAGAGCTCTTTCAGCTTAGAAGTTGAAATGCTTAGGAGTTCAACAGGTTCATATGAAAATGAGATGATTTGGTTCCTTTCCTGGTACTTTCAGCCTCCCACTCCTCAGGAGTCAGGGGTGTGTGAAGGAGTGATGTTCCCATACACTGGGTGCCAAAGAAGAGAAGTCATCTCTCTGTGTCTCAGGGAGTGAATTGTGGCCCTTGATTATAGGAAAGGAGGAATCATTCTTCATTGTTCTCTCTCCTGTCCTTGCTCTGTCCTGATTTTTGCTGACGCCTATGCAGTGAAGGCAACTACTGACTTTATTTTCAGTGTAAGCATCTGTGCGCTTTTGAGTTTAGGAAGGATATCTTCTCTTTGTGTCCTGAGTTTTGTGTGTGTGTGTGTGTGTGTGTGTGTGTGTATGCTATATATATATATAGTTGGGGTATTTTTTGCCTCAGTGTTGGTTATAGCTATGAAAGATGCAGACAGCAGTTGCTTCACAGTTAACCCTAAGTCTTTGTACCCACGTAGTGTAGGTGAAATCTTTTTTTAACCCTGTTCTTCAACTAATTATATGCCTTGCCTTTGCAACTGTAATTATTTCACCAGCATCTGTGAAACCTATGTCATTTCTCTTTTAAAATATAGTCAGAAAAAATAGCAGAAATAAATCTATTTTGAAAGCTTGTGTGGTGAAGCAAATTCCACTAAAGTAAAGAGATCCTCCTGGTTGGAGCATTCACTGTAGCATTTCATCACCTGAAACTTCTAGGTTATGATGAAATGCTGGCATATGCACTTAGTTACCAAATGAAGTTTAAACTTATACTTCATAGATTTCTTTTAGTAAGAATTAAATACACTAGCAATCTTGACCTGGTCAAATGCAGACATTTAAAAGTATATACTACAGAGTTTTATATGATGCCTTTAAAAGACCCTGCATTCATTCTTGCTGTACTTAGTGACTTTACTTAAAAATGCCAAAGATCTTTTTTTTAATTCATACATTTGGTCAGTCTTTAAACTCAATTTATTTTAAAACAACTTAGATATTAAACCATCAAAATCAGAATTTTATGTTGTAAAGTCTAGCTTAGCTACAGAAACATGGCAGGACTTTACCTCTTAGTATAAAAATGTAAAATTCCAAAGTAAATTGCACAGCAAGTAGAAGCTATCACATTATTTTTATCTTTTCTTTGTGTATTGCTGGAAAATTCTATCTGTTCATGATTCTCTTCTCTCCATGATATTCCCTTATTAGGGAGTGATTCTTTTTTAGAAACTTTAAGCTTTGTTTATGATGCTTTTCTTTTTTCTTTTAGCAATGTCATTTTTCATCCTTAAAATTGGGTTTGCATATATTAGGAATAGAAGGGCAAACAGTGATTTGTGAAATTAAGTGAATTAGAGCTGTGAACATGATTTACGTATAGTAGTTTTCTTTTTTTTTTTCCTTTATTACTTCATGGCCAAGACTCAGATGTACTAGTCAGTTCATTCATACATTAGAAAGCATCCTTTAAATTTCGAGTATGAGGGTGGCAGAGACTGGCTGGCTGTTTACCAAACCTGTGTCCTGTTCTTACTGGACTCACAGTTAGACTGCATTTCCCAGGCCTTGCTACAGAGAGATGAGCCATGTGGCTGAGTTCTAGTGAATGGAATGTGGGGGGAAGTCCCTGTGTGCAACTTCATCACCTGACTCATCAAACCCTCTCCTGGTTTACCCTCTATGCTTCTGTGCTTTTGTCATAATCATGGCAGAAGATTGAATCCTTGTTGCAGATGGTGAAGCCATAAGTTTGAAGGAGTTTGGGCTTTTTAATTCCTCCCAGTATGGAGCCACCCATCTATCAGAACACACATTTTAGATTGCTATTGAGAATGAGCCCCTATGCATTTTGGATTTTGTTTGTTACAGCAGCTGGTAGTATATTAACAAATACAGACAGAATCCCAACCTCCTGGGGCCTCATACTCCAGTCTACAGATTAATATGGCACAGTGAGATGGAATAATTAGTAGATGTCTATCTTGTGTTTTCACAGAAAAGGACTTGTGGAGAACTTTAAGGAGAAGGATATACTTACATTTAAAGATGAATACAAATGAACTATGTTGGAACTTAAGTCATGACACAGAAGGCCTGTGATGGGACATCTATAAAACTGTGATTGAGAAGGGCCATGGATTTAAAATTCATATCTTACAATGATCTAGTGATTTTCATTTTCATATTGTTTTCACATATGGAGATTCACTTAGTTCTTACAGTAACCCAGGAAGATAGCAGGGCAGGAATTATTGTGTCCATTTTATAGATGGGAAACCAAGTCCCACTAAGTGGAAGTGACTTATACAAGGGTACATAATCAGGAGAGCTGAATTGGTCTGCTAACTGAGAGGTGATGTGGAAATACTAGATCTGGAGTAAAAGAGAATTCGCTTAGATTCTTGTAATTACTGGCAATCACTATCTCAGTGATCGTTGGCCTTATTTAGCTTTTGCAAGTGAGAATGTTATCTAACTTTCTCAAGTGAGAATTTTTTTTTTTTTTTTTTTTTGAGACAGAGTCTCACTCTGTCTCCCAGGCTGGACTGCAGTGGCACAATCTCATCTCAGCTCACTGCAACCTCCGCCTCCTGGGTTCAAGCAATTCTTCTGGTGAGAATGTATTTTATAGTCTGCTGACATTTGCCTTAATCTAGTGTTCTTTTCATGCTATCATAGTACCTCTTAACTGAAGGTATTGTGTGTATTCCCTCGTTTTTTTTTTTTTTTTTTTTGACACTGGCCACTGCTTGACCTCATACCTGGTGAGTCCCTGGGAAAGGTCCTCTCTTCTGACCTGCAGAGAACATCAGAACTGAATAGACAGGGCAAGCCGAGCCATCACATGGGCTACCCTGGCCTCTTTTCCTTGTGCAGGCTCAGTCCATTATGTTCCCCACACTATATAGTGAGGTGACTCCTACAGTATTCACTCTGGTCAAAATGTAGAGGTTTCTGCCAGTTATCACTATGTAACTAGTCTTTGTCAAGAAATGCCATTATTTACTCATTAACATCAAAAAGCAACAAAAGATAAAATTATGATCTTCTAAAGCTATTGTCTGTTATAGCACATGACCTTTCTGAGCCGTTTGGATTAGCCTAGGGAGAGACACTCAACATCAGAACAGAAGGATCTTTCCAGTTTTATATAATAGAGCCAGTTCTTTGAATTATTTTCATAGATCTAAATATCTTCTATGCATTTTGAGGGATTCCTCCTCCTAAGCCTCTCAAATTCTCCTTTTTTTATTTTCTGTTTATCATCCCTGAGAATATTAAAGGGAAGCATTTCTAAGATTTTAGTTGCTGGTTTTAAATTTTAATCTCTCTCAATAAAACTAAATCATTCTCATCAAAAAGATACTTATCACTCTAAGCAGAAAATGTATTCTTTTATAAATTTACTTGTGATTAGTCATGCATTTCTTGTTTCTGAGCATATTAGGCATATATAAAAATGAAGGCCAAATACTTAGAAACTTAAGATGATTAGCTTGGAAAGGAACCCATTGTTTCATAGAGAAGCATAAATCCAGTGAAGATGCCATCTGACAGTTAGAGTCCCACCATATTAAACTTGAATTCTGCACTTTGCATACTAGAGGCAGAGGTGCTTAGTAAGTGTTAATAATGACTAATATGATACCATGGTTGTTAATTGAATATTGTCATCTAAAAATTGAAGTAGTAGACATGCACTTCAGCAGCTCAATGTGGTGATGCTGTCTTCCTAGGTTTAATTCCTCAGATATTTGTGAGCTATTAAGACCATTTATTCCACACCAGCCAAATGCAGACATTTTCAGTGTTTTTTGCTGCCACCTGGGTGTGTGGTAGCCCAGACAATAAATCTGAAGTAAAGGGAAAATATTTGCTGCTTAGTCTAATTTCTGGGAAAGTTCTTGGGAAAAAATGAGGTTTTTCAATATGCTAGGAAAAAAATAGCCTTTAGCAATTTGACCCTGGTTTGAGAAGACTCTTGGTCATTGGCATTAAGTGATATATGGCTTTTCATGCACAAATGAGCAAGGAAAATTTCAAACTAATCAGCGATGCTGGGTTCCTGTCATGGACCTGGTGCTGATGTATCATTCCCTGCTAGACTGCAAAGGGACTATGTTTGTGGACTAACTGCATCTTAGCCCAGAGGCTCCCCTGCTGTTTGATGTCACTAGTTTGCTATTCTACCACCTTGAACTTTAATTGCAGTTTCAGATAGCATTATAGAAGTTAGTTGACAACTCTGATGTTTGGGACTTCAATAAGGTTTTGGGGAAAACATGCTTTCAGCAGGTGTTGATTTTTCAAATAATTTGTTGATGTTGCAGCTGTCCACTGATGACCAGAAATTTACTAATTTTTAGTCACTTCAATAGTGACTAGTGACAATGAATAGTAATATGAATATTCATTTCTTCCAAGAAGAGATAATGCCTGATGCTCTGTCTCCTCTTTTCTTAGTGGTTTAGCCCCTCAGCAAGAAATGGCTGTCCCTGAAATGGACAAGATTCATATTCCTATCTGTCTTTTAAGGATGCCTAGGTGTTACCATAGATAGCGCTGTCTCCTCCCGGGCTGCACTTAGGACGAGAATGTTGTTTCCCACTGACAAGCCAAAAAAATGAGTTACATTTAATGGCTAGTCATTATGACATAATACAAGAACAAACTCCAAAGCAGGAATTTTGGCATTTATATTCTATGTAGTAATGTTTTGTTTATGAAATACATTAAGAACAGTTTGCCTTTTCAGCATTTCATGCTTTAAGTAATATTTCATGTTTTCAGTATTTCACCTGTGCTAAGACAAAATCTACAGATATAAACACATATTTCACATGTGCTTGCATGCATGCAAAATCAAATAACCATTTTCAACTTATGGTCACTTGTTACCCCTATAGCTCAAATAATAAAAGTCAAGTACCTACTTTTGTAAATGCAATGTTTGCCTGTATTTATAGCTTCTGGAAACTTAACTCTGCTAATATATAAATAAGAATGCCAATATTTTATGACATTTTACAAGTGCTAGGTATTGTCCTGAATGATTTGCATGTGCTATCTCATTTAATACTCACAACCTGCTGGCATAATAACTATTAGTATCCCATTTCATAATAAAGAAACATGTTAGGAGAATTAGTTATATAACCAAGATCTCATAGCTGGTGAATTGTGCATTAGAATTGGGACTCAGTTCTGTCTTCACTCGAAAGACTATGTACTTCATCAATCAACCCCATCTGCATGAGGTCATCCTTGTCCCTAAGCAGTTAGGAGCATAATCTCTTCTCATTTTGAGAGGGTAGGTTAGGCAGAAAACTGCAACCCAGGCGAAACACTGTACAACCTTGCTATTTCTTGGTTTCATGCCATCTTCATGGGCATGCAGGTGGATCTAGAAAGGGGGAAGCACCAGCCAACCAAACCTGTTTCAACCAAGGCGTTTTAATTATAGCATTTGTATGACACTATTGACAGCAAGGAACAGGGAACTTGACAGGAACTATCTAAAGCAAAAATGGAAACATTATTGATTCATGAATTGCAACAATACAGTGGTGGTGTGCTTTCAGCCAAAGCTTGCTCCAGAGATCTGTGAAGCCTTGAGGAGCCGGTTTCTTTTCTTTTCTTTTCTTTTCTTTTTTTTTTGAGACGAAGTCTCACTCTGTTGCCCAGGCTGGAGTGCAGTGGCGCGATCTCAGCTCACTGCAAGAGGAGCTAGTTTCTTTTGTTGGGGTGTCTGACTGTCTCCTCTGTGTATCAGATGTGCCATCAGGCTGTCTCCACTCATGGTAGTAGCAATGACCAAAGAAATCCCTGACTTTCTCTCCTCACCACCATAAGAGAGAATTCCTTATGGCTTCTCAGGATGAAAATCCCTTTTAATGTTTGACAGGCACCAGCTACTGTTACCTAGAAGCCCAAGTCAGAATTATTTATAATATTCCTCCTTGACATAAAATCACTAAGTTTCTGGCAAAAAAGAGGATTTTTCCAGACCTGTGTGTACAGTGGTCTCCCTTATCCAAGGGGGATATATTCCAAGACCCCCAATTGAATGCCTGAAACCATAGAGGGTACTGAATCCTATGTATACTATGATTTCTTCTGTGCATACATACCTATGATAAAGTTTAATTTATAACTTAGACACAGTAAGAGATCCACAACAATAACTAATAATTAAAAAGGACAATTATAACAATATATTGTAATACAAGTTGTGTGAGTGTGGTCTCTCTCTCATTCTCAAAATATGTTATTGTACTGTTCTCACCTATTTTCCCACCATGGTTGACTGAGGGTAACTGAAACTGCAGAAAGCAAAATTGGGAATAAGGGGGTATTTTGTCCATACTATCTGGGCGCCCCAAGCACATATGTATGCAATGGAAAACTGTTATTCAAGAAGAATAGCACTTTGTTTACAGTTTTGGGTGATATTGTCTCTATTCTCTATCTAAAATATTTATGCCCTTATTAGCTTAAAATCCTAATTACTGTCTCCCTGACTAAAGTATTTCAGACTTGTTACTTTTGATGAGTTACAACTATTTGTTCCATGTAGGAAAGTATTGTGAAATCATTTAGAACTAAATATTTCACATAAATTTGGAGTGACTTGGATAGATGAAGTTTAATGAATTCTAAAAAATTTTTTTTTAATTTTTCATCCAGAACTTGTAAGCATTGTGTTGATGTTAAGGTGGTTTCTATTTAATGAATAAAATATCAGAAATATCAAAAAATCTAGAAACATCAAAAAAAGAAAAAGTTAGGTGTGTTAGGAGTGTATAAAATATATGTAGACACTATTTTGTCATTTACTACCATGAAATATACATACATCTATTATAAAAAGTTAAAATTTGCCAAAACTTTTGCACACACATAGACCATACATGGCACCATTCATGATGAGAGACATGTAAACACAGGTAAAGATGCAGTATTAAATCTGCATAAAACTAACTGTTGTACCTGCTGTACTACCGTAATAATTCTGTAGTTCCCTCCTGTTGCTACTGCAGTGAGCTCAAGTGTTGCAAGCATCCACTTAAAACGCCATGTGATGCCAATCATCTCCGTGTGAGAGGTTTGTCGGCCAGCAAAGTGCAGACGCAATAAAAAGTGATCTCTCCTGGTTCTTGCACATTTTTCATCATGTTTAATGCAATAGTTTAAACCTTGAATAACACCATGGGACCCACAGGAAGTGCCATTACTAATGCTAGAAGTGCTCCCCAGAAGCAGAGGAAAGTCATGACATTAGAAAAAGCTGGATTGCTTAATGTGTACTGCAGTTTGAGGTCTACAGCTGCAGTTGCCACCATTTCAGGCAGATAATTCATCCTGTAAACAGATGATGAAAACTTAATGGGATCAATAAATACAGTACAGTACAGTAAATTTATTTTCACTTCCTTATGATTTTCTTAATAACATTTTTTCTAGCTTATTATTGTAGGAATACAGTATATAATACAGACAACATACAAAATATGTGTTCATCCACTGCTTAGGTTATCGGTAAGGCTTCTGTTCAACAGTAGTTTATTAGTAGTTAGGTTTTGGAGGAGTCAAAAATCATATGCAGATTTTCAACTGCTCGGTCCAGGGTAGGGGTAAGATCAACATCCTAACCCCTGCGGCATTCAAGAGTCAACTTTAGTCACTGTATAAAAGCTTTCTGACTGTTTACTATGCTGATAGGACGTACTCAGAGCCCTCAGTGAAGCAGGAAGTTTTAGTTAGGGCCTAGACATTAACATTTCTTCAGCTTGGGTTTCCTTATTCAGCAATAAAACTGCTTTGTTCATTAGTATCAATGACAACAGCAATATATCTACTACTTGGCAATTTAAAATTGACAGGTCACTTTCATGTGTCCTCTCCACGTGGGCTCCCCCATAGAGTGGTGGAGAAATGGGCCAGCACCTTTATTATCCCCTTCTTATGTATGAGGAAACTCAAGCTCCAACAGGGATTCACCCACGGTTTGTCCATGGCAGATGGGATCTTAAACCTATGTCCATGTACCGCCAATGGAAACAGCCTTGCACTGAGAAGCAGGAGGCCAAGGAGTGACCCACTGCTGTGTGATCTTTGAGGAATTTCTTTGACAATTGCTTAACCTTTCTGAGCATCCGTTTTCTCATGCTCTTCTTCCATTACAAGGCTATTGTGAGACTGAAATAAGTTTTGAAAAATAATATACATAGACAAGACATTACTAAAACATTTTCTTCTCTATATTGTATTGCTAGTTACCTGTTGAAAGACTCACTATAATCTATAAATATTTATTCAAATAATTTACATCTATGTTAAAATCAGAGAGCAGAAGCTGCAATAAAATTAGTTCTGGCACCTTATCTAAGGCCCTCAGTGAAACCAGAGCAAGTCTGATAGAAATTGGACAAAATGATTAAAATACTTTATGTTGCAATTTTCTTTGTTTTTATTTGATTATTTGTTTTTTCTTATTTTTCTCTACTTTTGTTTGTTTTGATGAAAATCTGTGCTAATGAAGAATTCTTGATTAGGTGGGTTGTTTTTTTCTTAAGCAAATTTTTTCCCTTCAGTGATATGTGAGAAAGAATGAAAGTGAGATTCCAAATAACATCAATAAATGAGAAGTCACTGAATATTGTATGAATTCAGACCATTCACAGGCCTGCAGATTTTGGCAAACTGCTTTCAAAACTAAAAACAATTTTTTAATTTATTATAATTTTTCAGGGCAAATAACTTCTGGTTGCCTTGTTTAAATTGCATTCTTCAAATTATTTATATGTGTGAGGAATATAAAAATTAAGCCAATATGTTTATATTAGATATTGCTCAATGCTGACTGAAACCCAAATTAAGAGTTCCAAACACACACTCTTTAGTGTTTACATTTATTTGAGGAGAAAGATCAAATTAGATCACATATAATTGGTTAATCAAAATGACACTGAAAATGATTTTCAGGCTCTTTAATTCATTGTTTAAAATTGGAGTAACACTTAGGATAGTTGAAGCTTTACCTTAAAAGTAGAGGTCAATTTGAGACTTGTAATGCTTTCTGATCAAATGGCTTCAAAACTTATTAAAGTACATGTTTCTAAATCTGAATTTATAACCCCATGGGTGTTCAACAGAGACAAAACCTTCATCCACCCGCTTCAGTACACTGCACAGGATTTGTGTGTAGGATCTGCCGGTGTAAGTTATCCATGTCCAAGAATATGTCAGATGCATTTGCCTTGTCTGCTGCTGAGCTTTGACAGTAGCTGGAAATTTGACCATAGCTCAAAGATAATATAATTTGACCATATTATTTCCATATTATTCTTAAGCAGTTCCTTAGAGAAGCAAAAATAATTAGTGCTCCTATCCAGTTATGTTATATGTACCTTTTCTGTTATATTTACGAAAGCTCTTCTTCTCTTGGAATCAATACAGTTGAAGGCTAAGGAAAAGGCACATATTCAGAGAGCTTCTGTCATTTTTCACAGAGCTGGAACTAATTAGTCTTCACAGTTGTGTTGCTCAAACTATTGAAATATACAAATAGATTCAACTTTGGAAACAGTTCCTAGTTACATTTATTGCCTTATTTAATAGTCCCCATTATTGAGATCTGTGTGTTTGTTTGTGTACATATTGTTAATTATCAGTATGAGACAATGGGAAAGAAAAGTAGAAATAGTACTTGAAGCTAGAAGTGATGTTAGTGACCAAAACACATGCCTAGAATGTCTAGATCCTTCCTATAAGATGGCCACAGATTTAGATCTTAGCTTTCTATCAGTCAGCCCAAAGAGGGAATAGAATAGGCTTAAAATGTAGTGTCTATAAAGCTAATTTTAAATAAAAATAAAATTCTTCCTGATTTTGAGTCCAGATAAATTTCTCCCATATCACTTCATTTTAAGTAGACAGTTAGAAATTATAAACCATGAGGGCTAGTCACAGTGGCTCACACCTGTAATCCCAACACTTTGGGAGACCAAGGCAGGCAGATCGCTTAAGCCCGGGAGTTTGAGACCAGCTTGGGCAACATGGCAAAACCCTGTCGCTACAAAAAATGCAAAAATTTGCCAGATATGGTGGTGGGCACCTATAGTCCCAGCTACTTGAAAGGCTGAGGCAGAAGGCAGAGGGAGGCACTTTAGCCTGGGTGTGACAGAGCTGGACCCTGTCTGAAAGAAAGAAGGAAAGAAAGACAGACAGAGAGAGAGAGAGAGAGAGAGAGAAAGAAAGAAAGAAAAAAGAAAGAAAGAAAGAAAGAAAGAAAGAAAGAAAGAGAAGGAAGGATGGGAGGTGGGAGGGGGGAGGTAGAAAGAAAGAAATTAATAAATTATAAAACATGGAGTTCCTTTTTAATTGCTAAATATACTAGAATTGACACCTTACTCTGCCCATAGTATCAAGCAATACATATTTTGGTAATCATGGTATCGGAAAAGAAATGTGGCATAGAATATCGTCATCAATTTCCTTTGTTAAATTATTGGTTAATTCACTGAAAAGAATCACCTCAGTCACTAATGATGCTAAAAAGTAAATATTCAAGTCATCAGTAAATATTCCCTAAATTTCTATACAATGAAGCACAGCATGAGTATCACAATTTTCTACTCTAGGTAGTTATGTAGAATTATGAGAGATATATACAGTTTTTAAAAAATATAACAGTCTTAAATCTACTGTTCATACATAATAGCTTATAGTTAATCATCTTAAGAGTTTTATTTTAGAATAAAAGATAAACTTTTGGATATATTATTAAATTATTTGGATATGGTTATTGACTCAGAAAAAAGTTTGGAAAATACTCTTTTTAAATGGCCTAATAAGAAGTAGTGTTTTTCCTAAGACTGCTGCAAGTACTAATACTTAAGGCAAATTGACTGTTCCCCACTCATCAAGCCCCTCTAGCACAGCTAGTTCCCTGCTCCCATCAGCAGACCTCACCTTCTACTTTTCTGAGATATTAAGAAGGGACTCCTCAGTTTCTTTTCTATCTGAAAAGTTATCTTGCTTCATTATATCTTCCTTCCCTCCATTCTAAAACAGAAAAATTTTCATGCTTTCTTCTGACAGATTCCTTATTTATGCTTTTGAGTTCCTTTTTGGTTCCCACTTTCTTTTATTCATTCTTTAATGAAATATTCATTTATTTATTTATTAGTTTTATTTTATTTTATTTTAAATTCTGGGATACATGTGCAGAATGTTCAGGTTTGTTACATAGGTATGCATGTGCCATGGTTGTTTGCTGCGCCTATCAACCTGCCATCTAGGTTTTAAGCCCCGCATGCTTAGGTATTTGTCCTAATGCTCTCCCTCCCCTTGTCCTCCACCACCCGACAGGCCCCGGTGTGTGATGTTCCCCTTCCTGTGTCCGTGTGTTCTCATTGTTCAGCTCCCACTTATGAGTGAGAACATGCCGTGTTTTTCTGTTCCCCTGTTAGTTTGCTGAGAATGATGGCTTCCAGCTTCATCCATGTCCTTGCAAAGGACATGAACTCATTCTTTTTTATGGCTGCATAGTATCCCACTTTTTAAAGAGTTTATTCCATTATCTTATTACTTGTATCTTTTCCTCCTTTGCTCCAAGTCTCCTTGCCTTAAAACAAACTTCTTCTTAATCTTTATTCTTTTTCAGGCTATACATTTGCAGAGTTTGCCCGAAAGGGATGGAAAGAAATGGGATATAATAGCTTTCTAAAGTGTCTCTGTGACTGTGGCAGTTGTCTTCTCAGAACCACTGATGTCTCTCTGTGTCTGCCAACTAAAGTTCTTTACCTTCTGCCACCACCATCACCTCAGTGTGCCTAATGTTCTAGGCAGACAGACTGTTTCTCCAATACCCCTTCTCTTGTCTATGTCACGATAATAACCTCACATTAAATGCATCTCTGCCTGCAAATCTGAGCCTTCTTTCAAAATCTAAGATAGAGTTCCTTAAATGCAGCATTTCTAAGCAATCTCCTGTCTTCATATACTCACAACACCATTTCATGCCTCTATTGCTTTTATAGCTCGTTGTTCATATGTTTTCCTTACTCATTAGACAGTAAGCTCTTTGAAAGCAGAATGTTCTCTCATTTGTCTTGATCCTACACATGCACACTATTTTTAATTCTTACTTGGTGTCATTGAAATTGATTTAAATTTATATGTATTTGGGGATTTTTTGGTAAATGAGGCAGTAATATCTGGATTCAAACTCAAAGAAATATGAAGTTTGCATTTTAGTAATGTTTTATTTCATCACATTAGTATATATGAGCTTTGGAAAAAATGTAATTTGACTGAATGAATGAGCCTGCAGATGGAATTCTGGAATTGCCTGACAGAATTTGCCCAATAGGATCTTATAAATGCCTGCTTGAAACTTGAATTTTTTTAGCCTTAAACTTTGTAGGCAATGATATATTCTGAGATGAGACCAAAAGTATGAATGCCATTCACAGTTTGTCAAAATGTCAAGGAGGTACCTGAATAACCATGTAGCACAGGTTAATAATAAATCTTTATCTAGTTAATTCATTTGTGCAAATCATGGCTTCCACTTGAGCCCCTTCCCTCTGTCTAGTCTTTCCTGGTTGTTCAAGCCATTTTTGATCATATGGTTCCTAATCTCTGAGAACAACTGATGTTCAGGTTATTTGCTGTGTGCTAACCTCATGTCAATTTCTGAAGTCTTGAGAGATAGTATCCACTTACCCTATGTACCTTATAGAACCTGGGACAGTGTGAGTCCAGATTTGTTCTTTGGTTTCCTGAGGTTGTATATCTCTACACAGGCACACAGACCAATTTCCCCACTCTCTAGGAAAATTGTCAAGAGAGGAAATAGAATTGATTCTTTCAGCAGCTCAGTTATTAGAAGTAGATAGGGTCTGTCTGATTAGGTTATATGATATGTCATAGGCTTTGCCTTGATTTCTTTTTGAGAGATTTTTATTGTGTGTAGACCTACGAGAGACTGAAGACAATTTTATTTTTCATCACATCTGAGAATTGTTTGTAGCATGAAATGTGGGATGCAATTCATATTTTCAGCTGTGCTTTCATTGCTTTGGGTATTATTTCCACTGATGCAGGAGGATCTTCCCTCAAAGATGGATTTTCTTCAGGCAAGGTCAGCCTGTTATATGAATACTTATGAATATAATGCATATTTTATGATTTGATTTCTCTGTTCTCTTTGTTTACTTAATTCAAAGTTAACTGCGGCCTTTCTTTATGCTAGTCTTGGCATACCCAGGAGTAAAAAGAAAATTGGAGAATCATGACCTTATTTATGTATATCTGCAGCAACCGAATAGTAAACATAAGCATTGTAAAAGATAAAACTTGAGAAAACAGTACATTGGAGTTATGACTTTGTTGTGTCATATATACTTCTCACTAGAGTATGGTAGTCAAATACACCTTTTTTGCTTTTATCCCTGTCTCTCCAAATATTTAGTTAAAGAGTAAATGTTTAAGCTGGCTTGGCTAGAAGTAGTTATTTACCTACCATATTAAGGGATAAGATAGAGGAAATGGAAGGGAAGGAAAAAAATAAAAATGGGAAAATGTATCACAAAAGAGAGAGCAAAAAAAGATTTTTAATTATACAAAACATCTACTTGGCTCTGCCCTTTTGCAAAACCAATGCAGCAGAAGAAGTAGTGCCTGTGGAGTTGGTGTTACCATGTCTTCACAGGTCTCCTAGGTGAAATTTTGGTATTATGAACAAGGGGCTTGCCTCCATTGACTTTCAATGAAAGAGCTATCTTTGCTTTTAGGAAGATGGTCTCATAACTCTACTTAAAATATTTACTGAAAAATTTTCGTTATAAGAGCATAAAAATCTTAGAAAATAGCTTATACTGAAAATTGGTTGTAAATTAAGTAATTATTTTTGCTTTGGATACTAAATAATGCACTGCTTATGGAAATTGATTATCTTCTAATTTTTCTGTCATTTACTCATTTTGGAAAAATTAAAATTTTTGTTGCATTTATTTTTATTTAGTATAAAAATTGATAAACATTTCAGTGGAGCATTGATCCTTAACTACTGTTATTTTCTGTTTCTTTGATTATGGATTATAAATATCTTTGCTCATTTGAATTTCAAAATTATTAATTCTTCATTTTTTACTTCTTTACTCATTCAATCAATTTCTGAAATAGGGTTAGATAAATAAACTTTGAATAAGAGGAAGTAGTGTGGATAATGGAAAATAATTGACTTGACAGTTTAAAGACCTAAGCTGTAGACCAGAACTATCATAATGAGCTGTGGGTCCCTAAGCAAGTCTTTTGACTTCTCTGGTTCTCACCTTTTTCATTTGTTAGTTGCCTGATAGATTAAATTCAATGGTTTCTAAATTATTCCATAGCCCTAAACACTGCCTATATGATTTAGAATAAGCTAAACATTTAAATAGTAATAGAAGTTTGTAGTCATATATTTGCTCCTAAAATCAAGTTAGTCAGATATATGACTTACGTGATGTCAAATTGGGTCAAGAAAACAAACCTAGGTTATAGCTCTTATCTTAGAAAACATGACGTGTGTTTTAAGGACACATGTTGGGAGAAGTTTGCATGGCCAATACCAGATGAGCACAGCCAAGATGCAGAATGACTGGAGAACACTATATGATCCTGAACCATCAAAGGAAGATTAAATTATGGTTAGTAGACTGTAATTAACTCAAGGCAAAAGCTAGTGTACTTTTGAAAATAAATTACCACCAGATGTTTAACAAAAAATGATTTTCTCTGTGGTCTTTACCTAACCATAAGATTGTATTAACTAGAACACCTTATTCCCCAAGCATCCTCATGAACCAACATTCCATCACACAAAATAAAGTATATATAATCATAGAGAAACCGGAATGGTAGAGTCTTGTATTTTTATTTCATCTGACAAATGTATTTGTCTCTAAATCTAACATTGATAACTGTGCATTTCTGTATATTAGCATATATAGTTTTATTTAAATATTAAGTTCAGTGTCGTTACATCTAGAAAGCCTTTTCTAACTTTCCAGAAAGGAGTGACCATTCCCTCTTGTAATCTCCTTTGTAATCTGTTTATATTTATGTCATTTGTTGAACTAATTCACAAATATCTCCCCGCTGAAGCTCTGAGCTCTTCGTTTGTTTGTTTGTTTTGTTTGTTTGTTTGTTGTTGTTGTTTTTCGAGATGGAGTCTTGCTCTGTTACCCAGACTGGAGTGCAGTGGTGTGATCTTGGCTCACTGCAACCTCTGCTTCCCGGGTTCAAGAGATTTTCCTGCCTCAGCCTCCTGAGTAGTTGGGATTACAGGTTCCAGCCACCACACCCGGCTAATTTTTGTATTTTTAGTAGAAACAGGGTTTCACCATGTTGGCTAGGCTGGTCTTGAAGTCGTGACCTCAAGTGAGCTGCCCGCCTGGGCCTCCCAAAGTGCTGGGATTACAGGTGTGAGCCACCATACCCAGCCAGCTCTGTGCTCTTAAATGCAATGCTTGTCTTTTCTTTTTCTGTATTGTGTAAATACAGCCCATTTCTGGCATATCGTAGGCATTCAGTAAATGTCTTTTTTTTGAGGGGGGGATTTTTTTTTATTATACTTTAAGTTTTAGGGTACATGTGCACAATGTGCAGGTTTGTTACATATGTATACATGTGCCATATTGGTGTGCTGCACCCATTAACTCGTCATTTAACATTAGGTATAAGTAAATGTCTTAAAGTATCATAGAATAATCAGAAATCCTATTTAAAGAGGCCTAAGTTACAATCTCTAATGCACATGTATCTGCTTTTTTTGTTTGTTTTCACTAGTTTTAATTTACACAATGCTTTGTTTCCTATCTTTTCTGTGCTCCTGCACTACCTGCTGAGAATCAGCAATAGACCATATGTAGCTTTGGTGTCATTTTTATGGGCAGTTTCTGGCTAATTTGGACTCAGTTTGCCCCAGCCTCCTATTATGAAAACTCTGTGGGAATCCTTCCTTCCATGCACCTTCTTGACTTTTCAAAACCTTCTACATTGTTGTCCCAGTAATGAATTGCCCCATGTTCCAAAACTACTATGTTTCTCTTTTCCTAGTCATGTCCCTTTAATATGTTTTCTTTTTTACATTTCAACCCCAACCTCATCCATTACCTTTATATCAAAAATATTTCTGAAGATCTAAGCTTATAGTCATCATCCTGTCAATGTATGTGTGTGTGTGTATGTGTGTTGTCTATCCTGTACCTGCCTTCTCTAGTCCTTCGCAGCCTCTTCTTCCTTTGCCACTTTACGCACTCCAGAGTGGAACAATGGGCCCATTTAGAGTCTTTTTTTTTTTTTTTTTGTAGAGAGGAAAAGATGCCTCTACAAAAAGCTTGTGAAATTGATGGATTATATCTTGAACATTGATATCTCTTTCAGTGCTCTTCTCCCATCTTTAGTCACTACTTTTGAATCTTTTCTATTCCCTACTATAAGAGTAAAGTGTCTCTTCTCTAGTGAAGAGTAGTGTTCATTCTTTTAAACATGTAATACTTAAACACTCTTTTTACTGAGAAATAAAACTATCATATCTTGTTTCCAGTTTCTATTTGCCATTTTTCCATTGAGTTTATAAGAATTATTTTCATTGATGTTGTTTTTATTTATTTATTTATTTATTTTTGAGACGGGGTCTCACTCTATCCCCCAGACTGGTGCAATTATAGCTCACTGCAGCGCCAAACTCCTGGGTTCAAATGATCTTCTTACCTCAGCCTCCCAAGCAGCTGGGACTACAGATGTGCACCACCACACCTGCTTAAATTTTTTTTTATAGAGATAGGGTCTTGCTTTGTTGCCCAGACTGGTCTCAACCTCCTGGTCTTAAGCAATCCTCCCAAAGTGCTGGGATTACAGGTGTGAGCCACTACATCCAGCCAATAATTATTGTTTTTAATTATGACAATGCTCATCTAAAGTGTAACTGGTTTACCTTATCAGCTCTTCTCCTAAAATTGTGATATAGTGTGTATTTATTTAACCTCAGAAAAAACAAGGGTGATGGGAGGTACTTGAGAGTTCTGCCAATGAAACCTTCACCTCTTGCTAGATTCATGTAAGAGTCATATTAAAGCATTAACTGTAACTTGTTTTGAAACAATTTGGAAAAGTAGAGAATGGAAAAAGACAACCCCACTAACAATGGGTATTTTTAAAATGTCTATCTTATCTGTCATCTATGAATCAGTAGCTTGACTCTTGCTTAGCTTAATAGTAATAACCTATAAGCATCCAACAACAAGTAACTAATGCCAAGGATTTTTTTTCTTCTAAGAATGGGAAGGCTGAGAAACCACTGGGATAGAAACAGTAATACTCAAATCTTCCAAGTGTTTATTACAAATAGGAGATGGAGGATTGGAAAATATTTTCAAGGGTCTCTTCCATTAACCTGCAGGTTGACAGAAAAACCATCTTGTATGTGGTGAAGTGAAATATAATTTTTACCTCATATTTAGGAAGGAATTTTAAATGACCTTTGGATTTTTATCAAGATTCATTAGCACTATTTCTGAAAACTTGTTTGTTTTATTAAATATTAAGGTTTCATTGCCTGTTAAGTTCTTATGAAGCTAATAACCTAAAAGCAAAGTTAAAGAAATAATCATCTTTCCTCCTTTAGTCCATTTCTTTAATAGCATACTATGTAAACTGTTGATTTCTTGAGAATAAGAGCATGAGTTGTCATAGTACATTCTCAAGAGCTGTTTGATGAAAGGATTTTCTTTTATTTTGATGGAGAAATAAAGACACAAAAACTCACTTAAAATTAATGCAAAAAATAAATTTCTGAGATGGCATCTCCATATCTCCATTTCAATAAGAACAATAACCAAGTCCCATGTAGAGGCCATTACTGATTTCAATTTATAACAAAATGATTTGTGCAAAAACGCTGCAATTGATATCATATCTTTCATGCTAATATTATTTGCATCTTTGCTTTAAAATCATGCTCATCTGGAACTTTCTTTAAGGTAAGGATAAGTATAACATGATTACCATTGCTTTTCTCTTCTTCAAGAGAAACCCAAACATTTAAAAGGTCATGAGTGATGCAACAGAACCAGTTTTTGAATCCTCTTACCGGGTAAAAAGGGGGCTCTTCTGTAATCTACAATTTCAAATACATGTGCATGTCATGAAAGGAGTGTTTACCATTTCCAGTAGCCATCATCTTAGAAAGTAAGACTGGAAAAACGGAGTCAGAACTGGGAATGCTGTCCCATCAGAGCTTGTTGGGGGGCACTCACGTGCTCTGTTTTGCCTGTGGAGACTGCTGGTAGGAATGATGATTTCTGGAAGGGAAGGGAGGTTGGTGCTGGCCTACTGAAAATTAAGCTCTTCTTTTACCTTCTTGCCTCTTAATTTGGTGACTGTGAGATTACCAGTCACAGGTAGTCACTGACTACTGCAAGTTAAGGTTCCGTATAAATATCTGCATCTTTAGAACCTTGGCCCATTTATGTCTTGGATGCATTTTGCTTGGAGTACAAAATAACTCAGTGATTTCTTCTTCTTCTTTTTTTTTTTTTTTTTTTTTTTTTTTTTTTTTTTTTGAGGAATGCCATGCTTTACTTTAGCCTAGATTATAGTTTTTGTGGGTTTTTTTTGAAGTGCTTTTATTTGATTTTTTAAAACAGATGTGATATTTAGTGTGTTAAAAATATAGATATAGTTGGCCGGGCACGGTGGCTCACGCCTGTAATCCCGGCACTTTGGGAGGCCAAGGCAGGTGGATCACGAGGTCAGGAGATCGAGACCATCCTGGCTAACATGGTGAAACCCCCATCTCTACTAAAAATGCAAAAAAATTAGCTGGGCGTGGTGGTGGGTGCCTGTAGTCCCAGCTACTTGGGAGGCTGAGGCAGGAGAATGGCGTGAACCCGGGAGGCAGAGCTTGCAGTGAGCCGAGATCGCGCCACTGCACTCCAGCCTGGGTGACTGAGCAAGACTCCGTCTCAAAAAAAATAGATAGATAGATAGAGATATAGTTAATTATCTTATAGAAAATGTATATTTTTTAGGATATCATCTCTATTCCTTCTATGTTAATGAATCATGCTCTTTAGCATTGATGAAAGTTTCAATTTTGAGAATAGTAGACCTTGTCAGGTGTCACTTTGAGTGCCAGCAAACGGTTGATTTGAGGCAAGAAGAATAAAGTTTAAAAAAGAAAATAAATCTAGCATTTGCTTAATAATTTGCCCTTTGCAGCACCAGAATCTTATGTGACCACCCACATTCATCTGGTTACTGACGTGGTTCTTGCTTCAATTGCAGAAGCTATTTTTGCACCTTTTGTGTCTTTTGAGGAACCGAGTGGGCCTACTTGCTTATAATGATTCATGTCTCAAGTGCACAGGGTGTCCTGAAGTGCTACTGCAGTGGTGTGCAGAAAGGAGGGGGAAACTGAAGCAAACTACTTCCTTTAAGCACTTTGAATGTTCACATGAAGTGGTACTGCAGGAAAGCACACTTTAACTGTTATGTTTTAATGCTTTAGTTATTCTTATGGGAGTTTTGTAATAACTTGTCAGGACAAAAGGGCGATTTTTTTAAAAAAATAACAAATATACGATTATGGGTATTATAATATTATTTTTAAGTAGGTCTTTTATACTGGGAGATAAACTCTGTTAAGATTGTTGATTAATCTATTCAGATTAGGTAGTTTGATCTTCCATGCATTTCTTTGGATCATACTTGAATAAATATTAATTCCATATATGAAAAGTTCCTTTCTTCATTACTTACTAGACTTTTAAAGTCTGAATTTTGCTTTGGTTGGGTTTGGATTCCTATTTCAGAATTTAATTTTAGCACAAAGTATAACATTGCTGAAATAAACTATAGAAACAAATTTACAACAAGGTTATCTGAGACTTCATCCTGCGAGGTTTAGTTGCTAATACACCCAAAGAAGTTCTGTAGAAATCTCAGCTTTGTGGCAGAACCGTATCATGGACTACAATGACACAATTTCTAGTGCTGGTACTTGAAGTTTTAACTCTAGCATTTCACTGTTACAGGGAATTCCCTTTAATTACAAGTATTTATTCAAAAGATTTAAACTATGTTAAAAGAAAGGAAATTCTTTCCTGGGGGCAAAAAAAAAAAGCTTCTTGAGAGATCCAGTTCCAAATTTTCTTTCCTAAAGGAAGGCAGGTTCTGTGAGTGAAGAAGAATGAGCGTGCTTATTAAATTCATTACAGATGTCATCATCTTTTAAATCTTCTTATTCATCTTTTAGATTCCCAGAAGTTGTGCATGAGTTCCTGTGAGGAGAGTTGGCATCTTGGAAATCAAAGACGGTTGTGATGCAGTTTTTTGATATGAGGATAACAGGTTAATAACTAAAATTTATTTATTCTTACTCTCTTGTTACATTAAACTTGAAAAGCTGTTTTGGCCTACTATGGACTCATATATAAACTGGAGGGAGGAAACAATATATTTTCCATCTAGAGAGAAAAGTGTTGTTTTGTTGTATTTTGTTTTTCATAGTAGACTAGTCTTTTTTTTTTTTTTTTTTTTTTTTTGTGACGGAGTCTTGCTCTGTCGCTAGGCTGGAGTGCAGTGGCACAATCTTGGCTCACTGCAACCTCTGCCTCCCGAGTTCAAGTGATTCTTCTGCCTCAGCCTCCCAAGTAGCTGGGACTACAGGCACCTGCCACCATGCCCGGCTAATTTTTGTATTTTTAGTAGAGACAGGGTTTCACCATGTTGGCCAGGATGGTCTCGATCTCTTGACCTCGGCCTCCCAAAGTGCTGGGATTACAGGCGTGAGCCACTGCACCCAGCCCACCAATCTTAATTATAATTAATTATCATTGTTATAATTAAAATAGCATTATTCGACAGAATTTATTTCTGACAAAGTTTATTTTCATGTTAGACTCTACTTAGTGAATCCTAATAACTTTTGCTGTATAATGAGAAAACATCTCAGTAGAAAAGTGAAATCACAATTTAAAAAATTATTTTAAAAGGTATGACAAAATATTAAAAGCAGCATGCTGTAGCCAAAATAAGTCATAAATATCTTGACTAAATAGGCAAACTCTACAAATATATGCAATGATGCCTGCATTGCAGCCCATGTGAAAAAATATGTTTGTTTCTCATTAGGCTTTAAATATCAAATTAGATTTTAATTACATCAAATTAGAGGATGATCATCACAGTATTTTTACTTTTCTCCAAAAGTTTTCTGAATTGCTTGGCAGGATTGTATATAATAGAGTTTTCTCCATATAGACAACTTGCTCATTTTGGAGAGAACTGAGGTTGTTATGGGAATTTTTACTAAAAGAAGCCTTTATAATGAATTTGGCTCTCAGGAAGCCACCTTTTTAAAAATCATCCTGTGGAAATAAGTCTTTATTCAGCTGGACTCTGGCACTCATCACGCCTTCTTTCTTGGTAGTTCCTTTTTCCCCTCATCCCATACTCTCTGAGCATATATGCTCTGAGCGGTGGTTGGGCAATGAGTGTCTAAGTGACTCGTGGGATCAATGTTACAACTACAATGCCCCGAGATGTTCATGTATTTTTTAAAGATTTTACAACTGATCTGTGGCACTTTAATAACAAATACAATGATGTCCCTTCTAAAATGTCATTCACTAATTATTACCATAAGACACGTATTTTGTTTACAAGTGTCAAACCACAAATCCTCAACAAAAGACGAAATGTTTAGAAGTGTCATACCACCAAATCCTCAAGAAAAGACCAAGTGACCATTTACATTTTTAAAAATGTTTTATTATTAAAATGTTGGAAGTGGAGAAGCCGTGTTTGCTGCCAGTCATTGTATACCGTCATTATTTAGGATGTCATTATTTAATGCTCACTTGACTTTTGCCACCACTCAAGTAATGATTAATTTCCTGAGGTAAGGTTTTTTTCTGAGATAATGTTTTCCTAAGCAAAAGATCCCAGATTGACAACCCTGGGTACTGTAGGTCTTTATTCCTCTGCAGAGTAAGCCTGTCTTCCTGCCAATCCCACCCAGCCGTTATCCTGAAGAGACCTCTGAGGAGGTCCATCTAGGAGGCTGTTTATGTGTCTTTCCTTTGGGACCCTGTCTGGGGAAATTATTTAACTGGGTGCCAAACTTATTTGAGTGGGACTCTGAAGAGTGGCCAAAGGAGAGGGCACACTTCTAGAAGAATGCCTGCTCTTCCCTGTAATATCATTTTCTTTCGCTTCAGTTCCTTTAGTTCCATTACCACTGAAATAGCCATGCAGAGGTAATCTCTTTTTTAACATGATCCCCCTCTGAAAAGTGTGATGAGCCTGCCAGACAATGTCTGTCTTTACTGACTAGAGGACTCCTGTGGGCTGTAGCAGCATCCACAGGAAACCCAAAGTCATATCCCCTGAGTTTTATTCTCCAGTAAATTATCTTACTCCTTTCATAGCACTTAAAACCCACTAGAGAAAATTTTAACTGTGAATGCAAAACTGTATTTGGAATTCCGCTCCTTTGTTGGCAGTGGGTGCCAAAAATGACTTTGTGTGGGTTTGGTTACCATAAAAGGAAATCTCAGTGAATAAAGTGACGACTCGCTGTTTTCATATGAGAATTACTCTCATACTGCATTTTTTGATATATCAATTGATTAGGAAACCTGGTATATATTTTAATGAAATATTAGAGAATCTGAAAAATGAATTGACTCTACACAGTCATAGAGAAATACTGTAGCTATAATTAACCATATTACTATAGATCTTTATAGTTCTAAGTGGATCTCTGTTGCAGAAATTAAACTAAAATTGCAGGTAGATACAATGGTACATTTAATGACTTGTAATAATGTTATGAAGTCCAAAGAAAGTATTTTCCTGACTTAATGATTCATTTAATGTAGATTTCCTTATCTAACATACTTTTAAAAATGTTTTGTTATCTATAAGCATTTTTATACATTTTAGTAATAAAATGTAAGCTCAAGAATTTATGCCATTTGGAAGAGTTAAGTTGCTTAGTAAAAGTGTCACCTAACAAAACAAGACAAATGCCATTATCTAATCTTGAAAACCCTATTGTTTTTAAAGTGAATTTATTTTCCTCAGTATAACATGAGTGGAGTAGCAGAGAAACTTTCAAACCCTCCCAAATCCTGCTTGTTTTTAAAGAGAAAGTCATGCCATGTTCAGTAATAGATTATGATGCACACAATTTCCATTGCAGAATCTTTTCAGTTTCCAGGATAAAGCAGCTGTAGAAAAGTGACAAATACAAATAGTCCATATTTTTAATGGTTCATAAATATGATCAATAAATTCTAAAAGAAGCCATCGCTCACTTTCTCTCCCACCTACCTTTCTTTATATGTCTCAGAAACTCCAAGAAGAGACGTGATTTTATGGATAGCAGTTAGTCAAAGGCTCCCCAAGGATAGTGTTGGAGAGAAAAAGACATCCTCAAACATGTTTCAAATCAAATGTGAAAGTTCATGTGAAATAAGCATGATTTCTAGTTCCCTAATAAGCCTTTCACTGAAGTGAAAAACTAGACATTGTGGATCAGAGGAGGGGTCCCTGTAGTGCTGGGACCTCCAGCTTAGGCACAAAGATGGAAGCTCTTCCCGCACAACCCAGGAGAGAAAGCATGGCGTGGGATATCACCTAGCTTCCTGGTAAAATGGTGGGGCATCTCGGGTAGGCTTGTCTTAGAAATTTAAAAGGAAGAGATTTTCTTGACAGAAGCTATTTGCATAATTGAGTTAATGTTTTGAATCTTAAAAACTTTCTGGATAATAAATGCTGTTGGAATATAGAAAGATCCTATGTTAAACTTAGCAAAATTATTTTTTAAAATAAAGTGATAGATAAGACTTTTTTTCTGATTATCCTCCTTCTCCTAAAAATTAAACAATTAACTTAATGGTCTAGACATGTTTTGTTCTGACCATGAGGTATCTGGTTTTGAATTTTGTGTAAGTCACTTTTTTTCAACTTCTGGTGTATTCTCTGGTAGCAAAATATTATTTCTGAATTTTATTTGATGCATTTACTATATGATATGCCCTTAGTGTATAAGAATGGTTTTATTATTTTATACCATAAAAATTAAATGTCTGATTTATAAAGGTATTACCTCATTGCTAAGTGAAAACATTATATTTTATTGAATAACTTATGAAATAAATTATTCCAACCCTGTTTTTTATAAAATTGTATGTACTTATTACTTGAAGTTTATGCTGTTTTTTGTTTTGTTTGTTTGTTTGTTTTGAGATAGTCTCACTCTTTTCCCCAGGCTGGAGTGCAGTGCTGCAATCATAGCTCACTGCAGCCTCGACCTGCTGGGCTCAGGTGATTCTCCCACCTCAGCCTCCTGAGCAGCTGAGACTACAGGTACACGCCACCATACCCAGCTAATTTTTGTATTTTTTGTAGAGACGGTGTTTTGCCATGTTGCCTGGGCTGGTCTCGAACTCCTAAGCTCAAGCGATCCACCTGCCTCCACCTCTCAAAGTGCTAGGATTACAGGCATGAGCCACCATGCCCAGCCCCTGAAGTTTATGTTTTGAGCAAAATTATATATTCTGTGTCAACCAAAAGATAGAAAATGATACATACCTGATTTTCACTTGTAAGGTTCTTATTTTCCTTAAAACTAATGATTTCCAAGCTGGGCACAGTGGCTTAGGAGCTACTTGGGAAGCAGGGCCCAGAGGATCCCTTGAGCCCATGAGTTTGAGTCCAGCCTGGACAAGAAAGTGAGACCCCCCTCCTCTAAAAATAAAAGTAATGATTTTCAAAGAACAAAAGAAAACAGTCTGGCATGAGACTTTATTATGGTCTTACAAGAAGCTGTTCTCATTAATACTTAATATACATATTTTGAACATTATTTAAATTATGGATTTTTTTATTTCTAGGAAATGGCATTTTGGGGCCATTTTTTGTACTACAAACATGCAGAGCTCATTTATATTCTCTCAGAACCATTAAAAGTTGAGACATTTCATATATTAAAGTTAAGTGGAAATATTTAGATGAAGATATTATTGAAGATGTATTATTTTAAGTTGTAATAAAACTTAATGGAGAGTAGTGGTGAGTCCTCCCAGACTTAGAAGTCACCAAATTTAGATCTGAATTTTGATTCTGAAACCCAACCTCTCTAAGAATCATTCTCAACTGTAAAATAGGTGTAATAATACCCTTAGCATAGAGGTATAATGAAGATAAAATAAGACAATGTATATGAAACTCTTTAACAGTATGTATCAGCCCATGGTAAATATATAGTAAATGACAGTCATTATCATTGTTATAATTAACAATGAAACTGCATACATAGATCAATACCATGATAAAATATTAAATCTGAAAAATAACTTAGAAATTATTCACTTCAAGCTCTGAGTCCTAATTGAGGATTCATACATGCTTGTCTTGAATTGAAAATGTAGTATATTTCCATTTTAGAGGGTATTTATTTACCTCTACAAGTCTGGCAGAGGTTGTGTCTACATGAACCTTAAATATTTAGTTAATTAAACACAGTCAGCCAATTTAGATTCAACATTGTGTCTTCTTCTTGTTAGCATGGTTCCTGGAATTGACACAAGGAAATTTGCATTGGAATATTATGAGACTATCATTTGTGTTTCGTTTTTGCCTCATTTCCTGCAGAGGGATGCTAAAGAAAATTATTGCACAGCAAAAAATTAAATCCAATAGCAAAACTTTTTAGCAAACTGAGATTAATATCTTTGTTTAGTATTTTGACTGCTGCTTTACAAATCTCTTAGGCTTCATGGCCATTAACAGAAGGAATCTTTGAGTACAGATGTCTTACTACAAATATCTGGGGGCTACTGATTTCTCACCCAAAAGACTTACCGTTCCTGTGGGAATTTCCGGGTGCTTTTCCCCTCTCAAAGTGCAACTTCTGTCATCATCATCATCACAGTCAAATTCGATGTTAGGGAGAAAATTGCCCATGGAAGTAAGACTACTATTTGAGTTTCGCTTTAGGAATCTGCAGTACATCTGCATGGTAGCATTTTAAAAAATTATTAACTAGTGTTTTATTTAAAAAGATAAACATGCTCATGTTAAGAAAAATAAACAAAAATTAAACTTACTGAAAGTCATGAGATGGAAGGTAAAAATCCTTTCTTTCCTCTTCCTCTGAATCCCAGGTTCCACTTTTTTTTTTTTTTTTTTTTTTTTTTTTTTTTTTTTTTTTGAGATGGAGTTTTGCTCTTGTTGCCCAGGCTGGAATGCAATGGCTCGATCTTGGCTCACTGCAACCTCTGCCTCCCGGGTCCAAACAATTCTCCTGCCTCAGCCTCCCAAGTAGCTGGGATTACAGGCATGCACCACCACGCCTGGCTAATTTTTTATATTTTTAGTAGAAACAGGGTTTCTCTATGTTGGTCAGGCTGGTGCCAATGCTGCCTGGCATCCTCACAGGAATTTTCTGTTGATCAACTGTTCCTCTTTTTCACCCATAGGATTAACAATGTGTCTTCGTACTAGGGTGCAATAAGCTTTTCTTGCATTTAATGTTACTATCCCCTGAACAAGTTTCTATATTGGTACTTATAGCTGTACTTTATTTATTTTAAATGCCTCAGTTTTATCATTGAGCCATAATTTATTTAAGCGGTTCTTGTACATATATATTGGTGTGCGCTTGTGCAAGTACACCTGTAAGGATATATTTCCAGCAGTGGAATTTCTAGGTCAATGTGTATGATCTTTTTTATTTTGATAAACGGACACATTGCCTATCAAGGAAACATCTGAGGTTCTATGACAGTGGATACAGTTTATCATTGAAGTTCTCAGAATCCTCTGGGTACCTCATTGAACACTCCCCTAAGGAAGTTGAGTATTCACTTAAAATTGAACGATTACTTAGTTGTCAAGTCTTCCTGAGCCATACGCCATCATCTAGAGGACTCCTTCACTTTGCTATGATGTAAATTTCCTAAAAGGGAAATTTATTCTTTTAAACATAAACATTCAAACCTATCAGAAAAAAAAACCCACTATTTTCATCCAGGCGAGGTGGCTCACACCTATAATCCTAACGCTTTGGGAGGCCAAGATGGGCAGATTGCTTGAGCCCAGGAGTTTGAGACCAGCCTGGGCAATATGGCAAGAGCTCATCTCTACAACAAAATACAAAAATTAGATGGATGTAGTGGTGCATGCCTTTAGTCCCAGTTACTTGGGAGCCTGAGGTGGGAGGATCGCCTGAGCTCAGGGAGGTCGAGGCTGCAGTGAGCAGTGATTGCACCACTGTACTCCAGCCTGGGCACCAGAGTGAGACTCTATCTCAAAAAAAACAAAACAAAAAACGCCTGTATCTCAACTTTTAATATCTAGGGAATTAGAACTAGGCTGATTACATTTAAGTAACTAAGATGTTTCATATATAATAATCTTATGTCTTAGAAAATATTACTATGATGTTTTTATAATATTTTCTCTGAGTTATTTTTGAGTCACAGTGTCAGTGTAAGGTTTACTCTTCTGGTGTAATGCTTTCTGAAGCAGTTTCTTGCTTTCGTTTTAGGGTACATAGCATTGTGAACCCTTTATATAATGAACTGGAAATTGGAATTTGTATTTGTATATATCGATGGTAAGGTTTAATGGAACAATTTTCCCTAACTGCATTTATTTTGTATCCAGGAAGCGTCAGGACAATCATGCCCATAAGAACTCTAAACTGTTCAGGTAATCATTTCGTTTTTAAACTGTCCTAGAAATATGCTTTGTTTTCTATATTAAGAAGACTTTATAATTGTTTTGTTTAGATGCACCCTTTTATCTTTTCCAAAGTTCTGTGACATCTAATTCTTATAGCCTTGATGTCATTTTATTAATCACTGATTTTAAGCTGTAAAATATAGTTATACTTTATAGTAATATATAATACTTTATGAATTATGTATTTTATAAAACATGTATCATATATGTATGCTTATATGTATACTATGTTATATTTATATTTTATATTAATATGTAACTATATATATGGTTTTTTTTTGAGATGGAGTCTCGCTCTGTCGCCAGGCTGCAGTGCAGTGACATGATGTCAGCTCACTGCAACCTCTGCCTCCCGGGTTCAAGCAATTCCCCTCCCTTAGCCTCCCGAGTAGCTGGGACTACAGGTGCATGCCACCACACCCAGCTAATTTTTGTATTTTTAGTAGAGACGGGGTTTCACCATTTTGGCCAGGATGGTTTCAGTCTCTTGACCTCGTGATCCACCTGCCTCAGCCTCCCCAAATGCTGGGTTTACAGGCGTGAGCCACCATGCCTGGCCACATATTGTTTGTATTAAGCTATAAAACATATCTCTATATAGAGATATGTAATACACTTTGGCATACAAGTCATAAAACTTGGTTAGGAATAGCTCTATTTTTTTTTAATGGGGCTTTCTAAAACCTTATACTTTTGTAGATAATATCCATCAAGGATTTTCCTTCAAATGGTTTTCTAAAGTTAAAAAGTATTTAAAAGAGTGACCAAAATTCAAACATGGAAGAGACTTATGTTCATGACTTAATGCTGAGTTTGAAATTAATATATTTTAATTGTGGAATTAATGTAATCTCAATAAAAATAATTCCTTGGAGTAAAAAACATTTCAAATTTATCTAATTTCTGGTTGGTTAGTTAGGTTTTTTTTTTTTTTGGTTTCTTATTTGAAACTGTTATGACAATCTCTTTGTATTTTCTTTTTCTTCAGATCATTTTATCTTAGTGAAACTGGCAATTGAACTTTGCTCTAGTTGATGGGCAAAATTTCTCCTAGACTATTCATCATCCCAATTTCATCCTAGTTGAAAATTTTCAAATGCCATAAGAAATCTTTATAGATTTGCACTTAGCTTTTGGATGGACGTTTCTACAATGGAGAGAACTGTGTTATAGCCCTGGTCCAAGGACATTACTAGCTAATGCCCATCGACTGTGGTGTGCGTGTGGAAGGTTCCAAAGAGAAGGAGCAATCAGCAAGTTTGCAGACACCCTGGAACATGGAAGCAACCAAGCTTTAAGAAGCACAGCTTTGGAGACACTCCATGAGTCTGCACTGCTTTCAGGGGAACTAGCACTTAAGACCTTGTGTAACAAAATGGACACTGGGGACACAGCTCTAGGACAAAAAGCTACCTCAAGGTCTGGAGAAACTGATAAAGCATCAGGTAGATGGAGACAGGAACAATCAGCTGTTATTAAGATGAGCACTTTTGGCAGTCATGAAGGACAGCGGCAACCACAAATAGAGCCTGAGCAAATCGGAAACACAGCATCAGCACAACTGTTTGGTTCTGGGAAACTGGCCTCCCCTAGTGAAGTGGTGCAGCAAGTCGCAGAGAAGCAATATCCACCGCATCGTCCGAGTCCTTACTCATGCCAACACTCACTCTCTTTCCCTCAGCACTCATTGCCACAGGGGGTCATGCACAGCACCAAGCCACATCAGAGCCTCGAAGGTCCTCCGTGGCTTTTCCCTGGCCCTTTGCCATCCGTTGCCTCTGAGGACTTATTTCCTTTTCCTATACATGGCCACAGTGGTGGTTATCCTAGAAAAAAGATTTCAAGTCTGAACCCTGCTTATAGCCAATACTCCCAGAAAAGTATTGAACAGGCAGAAGAGGCTCACAAGAAAGAGCACAAACCCAAAAAGCCTGGCAAGTACATTTGCCCTTACTGCAGCAGAGCGTGTGCCAAACCTAGTGTACTGAAAAAACACATCAGGTCCCATACTGGGGAGCGGCCATATCCATGTATACCTTGTGGTTTCTCTTTCAAGACAAAGAGCAATTTGTACAAGCACAGGAAGTCACATGCCCATGCAATTAAGGCAGGATTAGTACCTTTCACAGAGTCAGCTGTATCTAAATTGGACCTAGAGGCTGGTTTTATTGATGTAGAAGCAGAAATACATTCAGATGGTGAACAGAGTACAGACACAGATGAGGAGAGTTCTTTATTTGCCGAGGCTTCTGACAAAATGAGTCCTGGTCCACCCATCCCACTGGACATTGCCAGCAGAGGCGGCTATCATGGGTCATTGGAAGAATCATTGGGAGGTCCAATGAAGGTGCCGATTTTGATTATCCCTAAAAGTGGGATTCCTCTCCCTAATGAAAGCTCTCAGTATATTGGCCCTGATATGCTACCAAATCCATCTTTAAATACTAAGGCTGATGATTCGCACACAGTCAAACAGAAACTTGCACTAAGACTGTCAGAGAAAAAAGGACAAGATTCTGAGCCATCGCTCAACCTTCTGAGCCCGCACAGTAAAGGAAGCACTGATTCTGGTTACTTTTCTCGCTCAGAAAGTGCTGAGCAGCAAATAAGCCCTCCCAACACAAATGCAAAGTCTTATGAAGAAATCATCTTTGGAAAATACTGTCGGCTTAGTCCGAGAAATGCACTCAGTGTTACAACCACAAGTCAGGAGCGTGCCGCAATGGGTAGGAAGGGCATAATGGAACCATTACCTCACGTTAACACCAGGTTAGATGTCAAGATGTTTGAAGATCCTGTTTCACAGCTGATCCCAAGCAAGGGAGATGTCGACCCCAGTCAAACGAGCATGCTGAAATCCACTAAGTTCAACAGTGAGTCCAGACAACCCCAGATTATTCCATCATCTATCAGGAACGAAGGAAAACTTTATCCAGCAAACTTCCAAGGCAGCAACCCGGTTCTCTTAGAAGCTCCTGTAGACTCTTCACCCCTTATTAGAAGCAACTCAGTGCCAACTTCTTCAGCAACTAATCTAACTATTCCTCCTTCTTTGAGAGGAAGTCACTCATTTGATGAAAGGATGACTGGTTCCGACGATGTATTCTATCCAGGGACCGTGGGCATACCCCCTCAGCGCATGCTAAGAAGACAAGCGGCATTTGAGCTGCCTTCGGTACAGGAGGGCCACGTGGAAGTCGAGCACCATGGCAGGATGTTGAAGGGTATCAGCAGTTCATCCCTGAAGGAAAAGAAATTGTCTCCTGGGGACAGGGTTGGGTATGACTATGATGTCTGTCGGAAACCCTATAAGAAGTGGGAGGACTCTGAAACACCAAAGCAAAACTACAGGGACATTTCCTGCTTGAGTTCTTTAAAGCATGGTGGAGAATATTTCATGGATCCCGTGGTGCCATTGCAGGGAGTACCAAGCATGTTTGGAACTACCTGTGAAAACAGGAAACGCCGGAAAGAGAAGAGCGTAGGGGATGAAGAGGACACGCCCATGATCTGCAGCAGCATTGTAAGCACTCCTGTGGGCATCATGGCTTCCGATTATGACCCCAAACTGCAGATGCAGGAAGGAGTCAGGAGTGGATTTGCCATGGCTGGACACGAAAACCTTTCTCATGGTCACACGGAACGCTTTGACCCATGTCGGCCCCAACTGCAGCCTGGAAGTCCATCTCTTGTGTCAGAGGAGTCACCTTCAGCCATTGATTCAGACAAGATGTCAGACCTAGGGGGCAGGAAACCTCCTGGAAATGTGATTTCTGTGATTCAGCACACCAACTCACTGAGCCGACCCAATTCATTTGAAAGGTCTGAGTCAGCCGAACTTGTGGCTTGCACACAGGATAAAGCCCCTTCCCCTTCAGAGACTTGTGACAGTGAGATTTCAGAAGCCCCAGTGAGTCCTGAGTGGGCTCCACCTGGGGATGGTGCAGAAAGTGGGGGGAAACCCTCTCCATCTCAGCAGGTGCAGCAGCAGTCCTATCACACACAGCCCAGGCTAGTTCGGCAACACAACATCCAGGTTCCTGAGATTCGAGTGACCGAGGAGCCTGATAAACCTGAGAAGGAGAAGGAAGCCCAGAGCAAAGAGCCAGAGAAGCCTGTGGAAGAATTTCAGTGGCCCCAGAGAAGTGAGACCCTTTCCCAGCTCCCCGCGGAGAAGTTGCCACCCAAAAAGAAGCGTCTGCGACTTGCAGATATGGAGCACTCCTCAGGGGAGTCCAGCTTTGAATCCACAGGCACAGGCCTCTCCCGCAGCCCCAGCCAAGAAAGCAACTTGTCCCACAGCTCCAGTTTCTCCATGTCTTTTGAAAGAGAAGAAACCAGTAAGCTTTCTGCACTTCCTAAGCAGGATGAGTTTGGGAAGCATTCAGAGTTTCTGACTGTCCCTGCTGGTTCATACTCATTGTCTGTCCCAGGCCATCACCACCAGAAAGAGATGCGACGCTGCTCATCAGAGCAGATGCCTTGTCCTCACCCAGCGGAAGTCCCAGAAGTTCGGAGCAAATCATTTGATTATGGGAATCTGTCCCATGCTCCTGTGTCGGGAGCAGCAGCCTCCACGGTATCACCGTCCAGGGAGAGGAAGAAATGCTTTCTGGTGCGGCAAGCTTCCTTCAGTGGCTCCCCAGAAATCTCCCAGGGCGAGGTTGGCATGGATCAGAGCGTGAAGCAAGAGCAGCTGGAGCACCTGCATGCTGGCCTCCGGTCCGGGTGGCACCATGGCCCGCCTGCTGTGCTGCCTCCTCTTCAGCAAGAGGACCCAGGGAAGCAGGTGGCGGGTCCTTGTCCCCCGCTGAGCTCGGGGCCACTGCACCTGGCCCAGCCACAGATCATGCACATGGACAGTCAGGAATCTTTGAGAAATCCCTTGATCCAACCAACATCCTATATGACAAGCAAGCACTTACCTGAACAGCCACACTTATTTCCACATCAAGAGACAATTCCATTTTCTCCAATCCAGAATGCCTTGTTTCAGTTTCAGTATCCTACAGTTTGTATGGTTCATTTACCAGCTCAGCAGCCTCCCTGGTGGCAGGCACATTTCCCACATCCCTTTGCTCAGCACCCTCAGAAGAGCTATGGCAAGCCCTCTTTTCAGACAGAAATCCATTCGAGCTATCCCTTAGAGCATGTGGCAGAGCACACTGGAAAGAAACCTGCTGAGTATGCACACACGAAAGAGCAGACCTACCCATGTTATTCAGGAGCATCAGGGCTACACCCAAAGAACCTTCTTCCAAAGTTTCCATCAGACCAGAGCAGTAAGTCAACTGAAACGCCCTCTGAGCAGGTTCTTCAAGAAGATTTTGCCTCGGCAAATGCTGGGTCTTTGCAGTCCCTCCCAGGAACAGTGGTTCCTGTTCGGATCCAGACGCACGTACCATCCTATGGAAGTGTCATGTACACAAGCATTTCTCAGATACTTGGGCAGAATAGCCCTGCCATTGTCATATGCAAAGTCGATGAGAATATGACCCAAAGGACACTGGTCACCAACGCAGCCATGCAAGGGATAGGATTCAACATTGCCCAGGTGCTGGGGCAGCATGCGGGCTTGGAGAAGTACCCCATTTGGAAAGCACCTCAGACTTTGCCCCTCGGCTTAGAATCCTCCATCCCCTTGTGTTTACCTTCCACCTCTGACAGCGTGGCCACCCTGGGAGGTAGCAAGCGAATGCTTTCTCCAGCCAGTAGCTTGGAGCTCTTCATGGAAACCAAGCAGCAGAAAAGGGTCAAAGAAGAAAAGATGTACGGACAGATTGTGGAGGAGCTTAGTGCTGTGGAGCTGACCAACTCAGACATCAAAAAGGACCTCTCCCGCCCCCAGAAACCCCAGCTGGTTCGACAAGGATGTGCTTCTGAGCCAAAAGATGGCTTGCAGTCAGGGTCATCTTCCTTCTCCTCGCTGTCGCCCTCCTCATCTCAAGACTATCCTTCTGTTAGCCCGTCTTCCAGGGAGCCATTCCTGCCCAGCAAGGAGATGCTTTCCGGTTCCCGGGCACCACTTCCGGGGCAGAAGTCCAGTGGGCCTTCTGAAAGCAAAGAATCTTCAGATGAATTAGATATCGATGAGACGGCATCGGACATGAGCATGAGCCCACAGAGTTCTTCATTACCAGCAGGAGATGGTCAGCTGGAAGAGGAAGGGAAGGGCCACAAGCGGCCTGTTGGCATGCTGGTCCGCATGGCCTCTGCCCCCAGCGGGAACGTGGCAGACTCAACTCTTCTTCTCACGGACATGGCAGATTTCCAGCAGATTCTTCAGTTCCCCAGTCTGCGGACAACAACTACTGTGAGTTGGTGCTTCTTGAATTATACAAAACCCAATTATGTGCAACAGGCCACCTTCAAATCCTCGGTTTATGCTTCATGGTGCATTAGTTCCTGTAATCCAAACCCATCAGGATTGAACACCAAGACCACGCTGGCTCTTCTGAGGTCCAAGCAAAAAATCACTGCAGAAATTTATACTCTGGCTGCTATGCATAGGCCTGGAACCGGCAAGCTTACATCATCAAGTGCTTGGAAGCAGTTTACTCAGGTAACAAATACTGTTTTAGGAAGAACTTTGTATTGTGGATTTGATTGCTGAGCAGACTACATAGTGAAGGATATAAGGCCTAAAAAAAAAATACAAGTAAAATGAAGGTCAGTGTGGGGGCGTTTTCAGAAAGTCTGGCCTTACTCAGGAGTGGAAGAAGCCACTGACTGCACTTGGTTCTGAGGTCTCAGGCATGGTCCATTTTCAGAAGAAAAAGCCTACATTTATGCTTTTAAAATTTAAAAATTTGGGTGCCATGAAATCCTACCACTGGGATTAATTCCCATGGGTTATTTTCCTTCTGACCTTTGTGAGTGACCTAGCAGGTCTAATTTTCTCTGGATGTGAGGAATTCAGGGAATTGTGAAGTGGGCCATAGAGCAGGGAATGGAGGCTGAAAGGAAAGACGAAGAAGGAGGACCGAGCTTTGCAAATGCTGCAGGGCTTACTCTCATTGACGAGACATCTGTCTCCTTCAAAACTTATTTTTCCAAGTTGCTGGCTGGTTTATTCCTACAAGAACCATCAATGCCTTCCATGTAAAATTATAAAAATATTAAGGGGAATTTTGAAATTTCTGCTAAATTAATAAGGAGGCAAATAGAGGATTTAAAAATATGTTTTCACTTTTATCAGTTACCATTTTCCCTTCAATAATTTTTGAGACTACTTCCTTAATTAATATAGATTGTTTTCATTGCTACTTCAAAACATAGAATGTGTCTTTTAAGTATTAGCATTGCACAGAGTGCTGAGTGTATATGTGTATCTATATATTTTTATATATAATATATGTACTTATTATATATAGCTGTAACAGAATGTTGAATTTATTCAGTGGAAACTGTCATTCTTATCTGATTTTATCCCTAGTGGTCCTTATTTTATATAACTAGTTCCTGGCCTTTTAGTACAGAATTTAGGCTCATTTTCAGAGATGATGGAAGAGTGGGACATAGGGGCTCCTGTGTCTTGGAGAAAGCATGTGAAATGATTCTCTCTTCTTGTCTTACAGATGAAACCTGATGCGTCCTTTTTATTTGGCAGCAAACTAGAAAGGAAACTAGTGGGAAATATCTTAAAGGAAAGAGGGAAAGGAGATATTCATGGAGATAAAGATATTGGATCCAAACAAACTGAGCCAATCCGAATTAAAATATTTGAAGGAGGGTAAGGAAACAAAGTGCAAATGTAAAATGTGCAGTTATAGGTCAGAGTAAATGGTCCAGAATGTCTGCATGGAAAAGGTACTGTCTAATCTGGTTGAAAGCTGAAAGTAAATTCCTTTTCTATTCACAGTTCTGAACTCTGGCTGGTAATAGATCATAAGTTCATGCCCTTGCCTTTGGGATTTGCTTTGCAAGAAAATGTCCCTAATGGATATCATTCAAGCCTCTTCCTTAAATTTTCACCCCTCTAATTTATTATGAAATCTACTAAATTGGTGGACACTTGATGTCATCTAAGTTTGTTCATTCTTTGATCATTTTATAGGTATTTGTTTTATTGACGGACATATTTTTATTGTATGCTTACAAAAATCAGATCATGCACAATCATGTATAATCTTCAGAACTAGTTAATTTGTTTGTTTGTTTTTCTTATTATCTAAACTAGAGGCTTTAATGGGATTTCACCAGTTCCATCAATATCCTTTTCTGTCCCAGGATCCAAGTCAGGGTACCACATTGCACTCAGTTGTCTTGCCTTTTCAGTCTTCTCTGGTGTATGACACTTTCTCTGTATTTAGGAATTTCTTTTCAAATCTTGAGTCCTGAGTCATAGAAACTCAAGTAATAAGGTTCAAAGACTTTGTTATTTGTATAGTTAAGAAAAATTACACATATGTAATGTCTTGTTTTAGATTTTGATAGAAATGTATCTTTCATCCAGTCACATAGAAGGAAAAGCCTACACTTATGCTTCTAAAATTTAAAAATTTTGAAGCGTGCTAACCACATTTTGGAGATTATGATGTAATTAGCCTTATCTCTACAACAAATCTATTATTTACATATCTTCATGGGCATGACTTTATTCCAATTATATTTGGAGGAAATAATGTTACTTGTTTGACTATAAAATGTGGAATGTTCAGTGAGATGAAATATCCATTTCTCACCTAGCATTACCGGTTTGGAGATGGATTATTCTATTTGGTTGTCCCTTAGGTTTTGCCCTCTTTGGATATCTAGCATTTTCACCACTAAAACCACAATTGTATGTAGTCATGAAGCTTGTCTTGATATTTTTTTGACATCCCCCATCTTTTAACACAAACGAGAGAAATATAGATTTTATCTCTCCTCAGAGACTGAGAGGTCCCTGTGACTGAATCAACCCTCTCACATTCAGCAGCCTTCATAGCAGTGTACTTGCACCAATAGATTAGCGAGAACTCCACAATTACTGTATGCTTTGGGGAGCCCATCTCCACTAACGAAGGACACAAGTGAAAAAGCGTATGTGAACATTTTATTGCTGTGTTTTGGTGATCCAAAAGGATTGTGCCCATATTTCATTTCCTCCTCCTTTAATTGCCCCGTTTTATGGGCTGTGTCCCATTACTTCTTAATCTGTGGCCCAATTTCTGCCCAGTGGTGACCAAGTGTTTTTTCCAAACCTTGTGTTACCTCCTCTTATTTTGGCAATTGCAAAGTGATAGCTAAAAAAATAAAAAGTATTACTGACCAAAATTGTAAGTGTATATTGTCTAACTGATAGGTTTAATAATAAATTCAATAATTTAGTTAAACACAGCTTTGAATGTTTTTCAAAATCCATCAATTACCTTATCAAGTAGATTCATGGGCCTGTAGAACTGTTGTATGATATATTATTTATACCAGTTTCTCTAATACATCATTATATTTTATACAGAATTTTACTGTATTTTCATTCTGGAAGCAAGTTAATCAGCTAAGACATTGAAAATAAAATTATACTGCTTGATGATAAAATGCATTTCCCATCACTATGATGGCAGGCTATAGTAAGCTTGAAGTATCCTTCCTTGAAGAAAATTAGCTTTGTACAAAAGTATTTGTTTTAGTCTATATGTCTTAAGCAATTTCATCTAGTTAGGGGCAGAGAATAGTGAAATTTAAAGGTGAAAGACATTTGCATCTTTAGGGTTTTTTCTACTTTATTGCAAAAGACAAAGATAAAATTCAAAATAATTTTGAAGAACAAGTGGAAGTCAAAATTCCTGGTAAAAGGGGGGAAATTTAAAGGAACGGAAGACATGCAAAATTGATTATTCATAGTTTTGAATAGTTTCTACTTAACTCTCATCTGGATTGGTACTGACCAAAAAGTAGATAACGTTAAGATTAGATGTGAATCCGTAACAGAGTTGCTGTTTAAATATGTGGATGGATTTCCTTTCTTAAAATTATTTCAATAGATTGGATGACTGAAGTTAAACTTGCCTTTATTCCTGTTTGTGGATTAGCTAGGATAAAATGAGGAAGTTTGCAATGCTCTTAGAATGTAAAAAAACTGTAAATTTAGTGCCTTTAACTAAATCCACAGTGGATTAGGGCATTTTGCATGTCAGTTTACCTTTGGAAGTTATGAAAAGAACTCCCCAAATGGAGCGTCTTTCCAAAAATAACATTAGACCCAAAATTCTAGCCTAGCTTTGACTTAAGAGATAATGACAGTCATTGAATTAGTCCGTATACTACTACTATATCTTATGACAAATTATGTTTTATTGTATTCTAAAATGGAATGGTTGAGCATTGGGTAGATTTCTTCCCTTGATTATCAAAGAAAATACCTAAGACTGTTTTTCTAGCCGATTTGATTAAGCAAGATGACCTCAGATATCCTTTCAAACATCTCTATGAAACCCTTCTGGAAACAAATGCAAATTTGATTAAAAATAGAATCTCTAGTTTTCATTATGTAACTACCTTGAAGAAGCTAGTTGAAATTTAGACTCCACATTATTACAGATTCATGGTCTTTGGGAAGAGCAGATCAAATCTGTAGACAACAGTTGGTGAGCTGAGCTCACCCTGTGTAAACTAGAAATTTCTGAGGCACTCTCGTGCCAGGATTGTAAAAATAGAGTAGGAACTTGCAATGAAGAATTCTATTATCAGTTATACTTAATTTAGCAAATTTAGAGGGTTGTATGTTTGTACATGTACATCTTAGATGATGTAATGTTAACAAAAGATACATGATGAACATGTTGGTATGCTTTTTGTATGTCCCTTGATTGGAGGCCATACTAGAATCCAGTCCAAAGGTCTGCAGCTCTTTGAGGTTTACATAAGTCATTTTGAACATCTACTTCCCAACTCTATAAATTCACATGTAATAGTGAAGCCAATTCCATTTTGAATTCCATGGAGCATTACATTTTGTTTACAGTGCCAAATCTATTATCTAGTTCTTTCAGCCATTTACTGCATAAATTTCACAGGCTTCGTAGAAGTAAAGTTGAATAATTGTCTGCAAAAGACCCTCATAAAACTTTGCCGTGCAAATAATTAGCTTTTGCTTTAATATATAGCATGCTAAGAATATTTGAAAACACACTGGATTCCCTCTTTTTAAAACAGGTACAAATCGAATGAAGATTATGTATATGTCAGAGGACGTGGCCGGGGAAAGTACATTTGTGAAGAATGTGGGATTCGCTGTAAGAAGCCAAGCATGCTCAAAAAACACATCCGTACCCATACTGATGTTCGGCCTTATGTATGCAAGTTATGTAACTTTGCCTTCAAAACGAAAGGTACAAGTCTGATTTTTTTGAGAGGAAAAATACTTCTCTATGGCTACTTAGATTTCTGAGTGCTATTTTATAACTAACCTTCATCAACAATAAAGATAGTTTGTTTGTGAAAATATGATTCCACGAAATATATTTTCTCCCTCAAGTAAGTGATCAAAGGATGTATGTGAGACTGTGAGGCTCCTTTTATGACTTAATTAAGAGCAGTAGACATAGGTCCAGGCCAGTTGTCTCCAAAGGAAGTGGCTACAAATTGTCTGGATAGCTATTACTTCATGTTGGAAATGTTATGTGGTCTAGATAATATTTACACCAGTATTGAAATCCTGCACATGCAGTGGTATTAGAGAAGCAAGGCAGCAGCTGGGAAGAAAACATGTGCTCTTGGTCAGTTTCAAGATTATAAATAATGTAGAGACCCACACACTCCCAGGTGGGTGCCTTCATCCACAGTTGCATTAATTATGCATAGAAATTTGATAGCTTGTGTTCCCTGTTTTTATCAGCACAGAGACAATTTCTGATTCTCAGTACATAACTGTTAGTCTTATAAAACTAGGACTTGCCTTAAAATTTTTTTTTAAAATCTGTTTTTAACAGGTAGATTTATGTAAAAATATTTTACTCAAGGAAGTTGCTTCGGTTATATTTTTATTTTTTATAATATTATGAAAATGTTCATAAGTCTGGTAGTCTCAGAATACAAACAGTAGTGAATTAGAGGTTGTTCGACTTTTGCAGAAGTGTGTTTTACCTTAGGTTTAGTGGATACTATAGGCACCCCCTCAACACTTTAAATTTTCATATTGATTAATCTGCTCATTCAAGAAAAAGAAATACCAAGTAAAATTATCTTTGGTAGAGAAATGTATACCTATATTCTTTTATAGCTGAAAATCCTAAATTGCTAGAAGTGTAAATGGGTAGCCTCTCAACATATCTGTTTCTCTTTTATTAAAAAGATCTATGTAATAGAATTGCCTCATTTGAAGCTGAAAAAAGTATGTGTTCATTTGTGTCTCAAAAAATAATCATATGGCCTTTTAAATACCACTCACCTCTGCACAATCAAGCCTTTTATACAGAACTTTACTAAGAGATTCCCTAGGAGATAAGAAAATAAAAACTTTGGTTTCAGGGAATATTGCAATTCAATAGTCATTACGAATGATACATATCTTCACTGGGCATATGAGTTTGCTGCAGGTATAGTTGTGTGAAAAACTGGATGAAGAAATGACACATCTCTAGATATTTTTAAAAATCAAATTAAGTCTGCCTCTGAATCATCATCTCCTGAAGGAAATAATTTATTCTTGGTCATTATTGGAGTTTCCTTGTCACCCTTTGGGAATGTGCAAATGTCTCAGAATCTTAAAATGAGCAAAACATCCTGGGAAACCCTGCCAGTTTTCACCTCCGACTGAAATGCCTGTTGTCCAAACCCACATTGTCGTCTGAGCACAGATGGAACGCCCTTGCATGACCAATCCCTTCTCCTTGTCTGTGCCACTTCTTCAGGGGCCTCCCCCGCCACTCTCCTTCCCTCTCCTTGTCCTTATACATTACTTCTGCAGCTCATGACTTTAACAAACTAAAGCCATGGTAGAATTGTTTCAGATCCAGATTTCTAGCTACAGACCTATTCTGAAGATGGGAGTCTAAAGCCTGACTATCCTTGGAATGGAGAGAAAAATGTAGGAGAAAGAAACACATACTAAAATCTAAATAAACTATCCCGATATGCTTAGCATCTATACCTATACACATCCATAGCGTACTTGCACTCTGGCACAAGTGATGATTTTTATTAATTTGTAGATACATTTCATTAATTTTCTAGATTTAAGCATTCTTGATATGTCTATAACATTTTTGGGCTCTTTAAAAAATGGTAGATATAAGTTTTGATAAATAGGAGGAGTGGGGGCCTGGAAATATTTCTGTTTGGAATTATTCAAAACAGCATGTAAAATTTATAAGTATATAAGCAATAAGTAAATAATAAAGCAATATGAGTAAAATAATAAACAACAGTGTCCCAGTTTTAACTGTGGCTCATATATTACATGAACAGCAAGCTGAACACCCCTACCAGAGGAATAAACTGTGCTAGCAGGCTGAGTTTCCACGGAGATTTCACAGAGCCTTCTCTTAAAGTATTTGTTGGTACATTGCTAAAGCGTTGTCAAGGGCACAGATAACATTATGGCTATTTTCACTGAAGTGATGTAAAGGCGCCTTACAACTGAATTAGTTCCTGAATCTCTTTTGATAAGTTATATGGCATATAATTTATATGTATGTGTGTGTGTGTGTGTGTGTGTGTGTGTGTGTGTGTGTGTGCATTCTTCTGTAGATCCTGGGTCAACGAGGATTGGAACAATGTTTTCAAAATTTCTCACATTTCATAAAGCAGTTATACAAATTATATATATAATTTATATCCACACATGTATATACACATATAATTGTATATGCCATTATCATTATAACATATTCAGCATGAAACCTTTCTTTTTTGTTAGTGTGATAGGAGCCTGAAGATAAGTAAAGAGGGAATGTTGCTGCTCCAGAATTTTAGGAATTGCTGTCATAACTTTTGCTAACATATGCCAGACAGATAGATGCTAAATACTGGGAATAATGCTCCCTATGAGTAGTTAGCTAATTATTTGTATGGATCTTTCAGAGCACTGACAAGGTTGGCCCTCACATTAGTTTGTATGTATTTTTCTTCTGAATGGTGAAGATCCTTGGAGGTTACTCTGTACCTGATCAGTCACAGAAGGTCAGGGGCCCAGTGGGTGTGTTGAGAATATTTCATTCTGAAGTATCTCTGAGGTGTGTGGCCAGATTGCGTTTCCTGTTTCTGTGGAGTCCCAGGAGGCTGGTGTATTTGGGTAGATATGAGGTCCCTTCTCAGGCAGAAAAGCCTGGGATTTCTAGTCTTGCTTTGAGCCTACTCTTGAAAAGATGTGAGCCTGGACTTCCACATATCTTCTAGAATAAAGAATATCTGAGATTGGGCCAAAGCTCTCAGGGATTGATATCTTCAAAGACCAGATTATTCTTCTTAAGGTTGAAACAAGGGGTAGTGGGTAGAAACAAATCTGTGTTACATGATGAATTTAATAAAATTAGTTCATTTCACATTGAATTTGGAGCAGCTATCAGCAGTTATTAATTTGATAACCAATTAATTTCTCTCTTTTTTTTGCTACATTTTCAAGGAAACCTAACGAAGCATATGAAATCTAAAGCACACATGAAAAAATGCCTGGAATTGGGAGTCTCAATGACATCGGTGGATGATACAGAAACTGAGGAAGCAGGTGTGTATGTCATAAATGAGTTGACAGACCTCTTCATTATGCACAGTGGAGCTCTGTGGCTGAGGTAGTAAAATAAGTTTAGATATTTTTAAAAAGTGATCACTTTTCATTTTATTAAATACTAAATATAGAAAATAAAACTGACACATTGAATTGCTTGAAATCTACTGAGAAGAAATGCATTTCAGTTTTGACTCCGAGGGCAAAAAAGGCCTTACTTTGAAAATACTTATATTTAGAGCCTTCTATGAAGGGAATAGAATTGCACTTGCTTTGTGATAGCAAATTAGATTTTATGAGGCTTTTTGGGGAATTTGAAAAGCATTTTAATGTATTATTATTCAAGTTAAGAAGAAACCCAGTAGGAAAACAAATAAACTAGCAAACAAACATCATTAAGGTTGGCCAGACCTCCTGAGTTACATCACTTAGACATACGTTTGTACCTGAGCTTGCAGAGACAGGTTGTTGCCTTTCTTTCTCCTCTAGCATCATAATTAACATTATCCATGCTCATTTGTTGAGGGTTTTCTGTGAGTGGGATGATGTCTGAGATATAAAGTCCTACTATGGAATCTTTCTTGTAAGTTGGGGATGAAAACAAATAGATATACAAGAAGATAGAATGAACGCAGGGTCACACAGGTAAGTGCCTCATTTTATAGGAGTTCTCAGACATAACTATCTGTGGGCACTAGGGATTGGGAAAAGCGTTTAGAAAGAAATGAGGCTTAAATAAGATCCTAACCTTGATATTTGGATCTTGATCTCCATTATCTTTGTTTAATTGTTTCAGAAAATTTGGAAGATTTGCACAAAGCAGCAGAGAAGCATAGCATGTCCAGCATTTCAACTGATCATCAGTTCTCCGATGCTGAGGAATCAGATGGTGAGGATGGAGATGATAATGATGATGATGATGAAGATGAAGATGACTTTGACGACCAGGGAGATTTAACACCAAAAACAAGATCAAGAAGCACCAGTCCTCAGCCTCCTAGATTCTCCTCCTTGCCTGTGAATGTTGGCGCCGTACCCCACGGGGTTCCTTCAGATAGTTCCCTGGGACATTCTTCGTTGATCAGCTATTTGGTTACTTTGCCAAGTATTCGAGTTACTCAGCTTATGACACCCAGTGATTCATGTGAAGATACCCAGATGACAGAATACCAGAGGCTATTCCAGAGCAAAAGTACGGACTCAGAACCAGACAAAGACAGATTGGACATACCTAGTTGTATGGATGAGGAGTGCATGCTACCTTCAGAGCCAAGCTCCTCTCCCAGGGACTTCTCACCCTCAAGCCACCATTCCTCTCCAGGATATGATTCTTCACCCTGTCGAGATAATTCACCAAAGAGGTATCTGATACCCAAAGGAGATTTATCTCCCAGGAGACATTTATCACCTAGGAGAGATCTGTCACCCATGAGACATCTTTCACCAAGAAAGGAAGCTGCATTGAGAAGAGAGATGTCCCAAAGAGATGTTTCACCAAGAAGGCATTTGTCTCCAAGGAGGCCAGTGTCTCCTGGGAAAGATATCACAGCAAGAAGAGACCTCTCTCCTAGAAGAGAGAGAAGATACATGACCACAATAAGAGCGCCATCTCCCAGAAGGGCTTTATACCATAACCCACCATTGTCCATGGGACAGTATTTGCAAGCAGAGCCAATTGTATTGGGGCCTCCTGTAAGTATAATCCACTTTTCTTTCTAATACATAAGTGGAAGCACATTGGTCCTCCTGATAATGCACTGGTGTGAAGTTTAGTAGAACATGGGTATCTGTCATGGGTGGAGTGAATCTGGCTAATGAAAATAGCGGGGAGACATTTTTGTCATATGCTATTGTCAGTAACATGGCTGTGGCATTACCTAAAGTGTAGTATTGCATCAGAGCAGCAGTGCATTCCCAGTGGGAACAGGTGAGGCCTTTCTGAAGGCTTTCTAAACTTAACTAATGATAGACGTAAGCTGAAGCCTTTTTGTAAGTAAAAAAGATGAACCTTTAGAATGCCATGACTGCATGGACATACACTCACAGGGACATTTAGGCATCACTTATATAACTCATCACCAGGTAAGGATTCTGATTCAGCTGTTAACCTTGACTTTCCAAAACTTTTATTTTTAAAATTTTTATTTTATTTATTTTTTTTGAGACAGGGTCTCACTCTTTCACCCAGGCTGGAGTGCAGTGGCACGACTTTGGCTCACTACAACCTCCGCCTCCCAGGTTGAAGCGATTCTCCCATCTCAGCCTCCCGAGAAGCTGGGACTACAGGCGTGTATCACCACACCTGGCTAATTTTTGTATTTATTGGTAGAGGCAGGGTTTCACCATGTTGGCCAGGCTGGTCTCGAACTCCTGAACTCAAGTGATCTGCCTGCCTCGGCCTCCCAAAGTGCTAGGATTACAGACATGAGCCACTGCGCCTGGCCTCAAAAACTCCTTTTTTTAATAAACTCTACCTTGCCCATCATGAGGGGACATGTGAAACTGGTCAGGGCCAGGGAGAGGAGAGAATGACACACTCGGCATGTTTATAAATCAAAGACATGAGCCTGTCTGCTTTTCTTGCCATTACTACTATCAAGTGCACTTGCTCAGTGGAAGCGTGGGCCCAAGGAGAACGGGAAATCAGGAGAGCTAAGTGAGAATGTGCAGAGATTTCTATGATATGCCTTCATTATAAGTGAAGATAACAGTAACCACCATGGATTACATTTAAGCAGTAGGTTTAATACAAATTCATATAAAAGCACCTGTCCTGCCTAATTCCACGGCTCAGTAGACTGTGATGTCTCTTTCAGTTTGTGTAGGATTTTAAAAAATGAATAAAGCATGCACTTAGCATAGACAGAGGCATGATACCTTTGGAATCTGTCTGCCTTGAATGTGTTTTGATTTCCTGGTTTCTACTCTTTGTTGTACTCCCTTGCTCCGGATCTCTGTGTCAAGTGCATCAGCACCATCCTTCACAGCCAGAGGAGACACTGCCAGCTCCCAGCTCTGTTTTATCACTGCCCTGGCAGCCAATTTTCTCCCTCTCATCACCTTCCACCACCCTGAATCCTGAGCTCAGCCTGTCATTTTTTCACTTTAGGAAAGCTGCTGCATTCCTGTCCCCATCCCCAGCACCATCTTTTCACAAGTCTGGTACCAACTTCATCTTGATGAAGCAATTCCTGCAGAAACATATATAGCAATTGGGATGTTGTTTACCAAGCTAACAAATTAGCAAGCTAATAAGAAAAAGAGATACATTTCCACAGGTTTTGGTGCCTTAGCAAAAGTAGGAAAGAGGGATCTTCTGCAGTTTATGCCATTGCAGCATGAATAGAGAACTGTAAATCTCCTGGATCATGGGATACCAAGTCTGGGATGACACATGCTTTCTCTGGTATACACGCAGTGATGCTGGCAGAGTGTGTTAGATGAGCCTCTCCCTGCCATCCCTGCAGCTTGTGTTCTAGCATTGGCCAGGTGGATTGAGAGTGTGGCATTTGTGAAACAGTGGTGCATGTTCAGTCAACTGCAAACATGCGATTCTTCAGTCAGAAAAAGTAAGCCTTTATCGCAAACATGCTGTGGTTGTAAAAATTTATAGCAACCCACAGTCAAGTTAGGCAAAGGAATTGGAAGAGTGGACTAAGGGAGTTCATCTGATTTTTAGATACATGCCCAGAAAGTTAGAGAGAGATGAGTTTTAGTAGTCACTGAGTTTGTACAAGTTTTTTTGATGTGTTTTTGTTTTGTTTCATTTTTTTTTAAATATCTGATCATGGGTATTATTATTATTTTGAGATGGAGTCTCGCTCTGTCGCCAGGCTGGAGTGCAGTGGCACGACCTTGGCTTACTGCAACCTCCACCTCCTGGGTTCAAGCAATTCTCTGCTTCAGCCTCCCAAGCAGCTGGGCCTATAGGCACGTGCCACCACACCCAGCTAATTTTTGTATTTTTAGTAGAAACATGGTTTCACCATGTTGGCCAGGATGGTCTCGATTTCTTGACCTCATGATCCGCCTGCCTCGGCCTCCCAAAGTGCTGGGATTACAGGTGTGAGCCATCGCACCTGGCTGATCATGGTTATATTTCATAGTGTTATTAAACTTTATCATTTATGATGCTTTTGGCCTGTTACCCAGTTTAATTCTCTTTAGAGGATGTATAGCCTGCTGCATTGTTCACATGGTATGAGGGAACAGATCTGGGAATCCTCCCTGATGTAGGGACAGTTCGTCCCAAGCACTGCCCACTTTATGCTTTCTCACACCACAGGACACTGACTGTGGTGTGAAGGGACCTTACAGCCCAGTCATATTCTGCCTGCGTTTGGAGTAATGGTGATCATAGCCAACACAGGTTGGGAAGAAATGAATGAATTCAAATGCAGATTGTGTTAAGTGTATGTGCATATATATGTATGCACACATATACACATATGTACAAATGTACCTACACAGACATCTATATATACATCTATATACCAGTTCTATTACCCCACTCATCTCTTCAACAGTGTGGCAGTAAGGAGCTCTAGACACAAATGATGAGAAGGAGGTAGAAGTGCTCCAGTGCCCCTGTTAGTTTTAATTTTAAGACAGATGGATGGACGGATAGATAGATAGATAGATAGATAGATAGATAGATAGATAGATAAGGTATCTTTTATCCATTTATTCAGTATCTACTGAATTTTTGAGGGTCTACTACGCATGGTTCGAGGTTGAGGATGAAATAATATTATGGCTGTGGCCTTATCTTTTTTTTTTTGATAAATAAATTTCCTTTTCCATTTTAAAGCTTTTGTAGATAGGTAGCAGGAAGAGAAACAAAGGTGTGTCCAGGCCCTCAGTATGTAGTGTAGATGAAGATTGTGTCTAGGGAAACAGTCAACATTCATTCCTATCCCTTGTTATCTGTGTGATCTTGGGCGAGTCACTTAACCTCTTGACCACAGTTTTTTAATTTGTTTCTGGCAGCCAGGGAGGTGGCCCATGCAGATTTTTGTTCCTGAAAGAACGTGCCATTCAGCTGTAAGGAATGTAGTGGGCAGACAAGCCTCCTGCTGGCATGTCAGCACCTTCAGGACAGGACTGTTTTGAAGCCAAAGCCATGCTCTCCCTGCAGCCCCAGCCAGTGACTGAGCACAAATGGGTCACTTCTCCTTCTCTGCTCCCTGCTGCCCCCAAGGAGGCTCTTGCTCTTCTACCTCCCTCTCATCATTTGCATCTAGAGGTCCCTACTGCCATACTGTTGAAGAGATGCGTAGGGTAATAGATCTGGTACATGGCGTATAGATGTGTATATAGATATCTGTGTATGTACATTTGTACATATGTGTATATGTGTCTATACATACATATGCACTTAACATAATCTACATTTGAATTCACTATTTGTTTTTCCACGACAAAATTTTCTTACTGAGATTTAAGTAAGATGGAAGTTTGTCCACCACATTTATAAGGCCCAAATTACAAAACAATAGGATTGCAAATGGAGTAAAAACCAAAGTAGAGAAAACTTATTGGGAGTTTCTTTGGAGGATGAAGAAGGGGTGAATGAGAGGAGAGAGGATGTGTAGAAATGCCTGGTGGGGCTTGGAGCAGTGGAAGTGGCCACATGGTAGAAATTCTACTTGTACACGTAGCTCTGTGGTTAAAATCAGTGAAGGGCTGAATTTGAAACTTTCATTAGTAGCACTAATAAGATTTTATTGGATTTAGAACATGCTGAGTATTATTGTAGTTTTAGAGGACAATTCATGACTCCATTTGTCAGCCTGGATTTGGGGATCTCAAGTCAGTTTACGTAATAGGACATCTCTCTCTCTCTCTGACTTCTGTTCCACTTCCTTGGTTTCCCCACAGATCCACATTCTGACTGGTTGTATGCAATGGAGGTCATGGAATAGCAGCCAGAAGTAAAACAGAAAAATAACCAAGCTCGGTTTTATTTTAAACTTTGAATCTGTGATTGCTGTGATTAAAAGAAAACGTACTTGATTATCTTCAAAGATCGTTACTGTAGGCATTACAGGTCTTCCTCCCAAACTGGTGTTTGATGAAGGAGACGTGCCTTTTCCAAACCTGATTAAATACAAGGGGGATTTTGTCTATGTGCAGAATTTAAATGATTCTCATACCGTAAAATTCCCACCTTTCCCAGCTTATGAGGTCGTGGTAACGATAGTGTTAATGATTGCACCGTTTCACTCACACTTTCAGGAGAATCCATGTTTCCAGCTTGCATATGATATATCACAGAGAAGGGTAAGGGCTAAGCATCTTAGAGAGTAGCAGAAATCATAATCTAGATAGAACTGGATGAATCTTTAATGCTGCAGAGCATACCTTGAGTTTTAGAACTGAAACTCTTGAAATAGAACAGTTTCTTTGGCTCTATCCTGGACTACTACCATACTGTATGGGTTTATATCTATCTATCTATCTTTGGTTCTCAAAAAATAGAAAAATAAATGAAGTCCTTTTTAGATGACAATCCATTAAAGAATGAATCACATTAATTAAAATATGATAATATTAAAACCTGATAATCTGACAATCTAAGTTGTATTTCACTACAGAAACAGTATAGAAAATAAATTCTCCATTTTCAGGACTAGGACTATGAAATCTGAAATTCTGGCTGAACATTTTAAGCATCCTTAATTCATTGATTGCCAAGAAGATATTGAGGTGGAAATGATAATATGAACAAAAGAATTAAGATGCAGTCATCTTTGGTTCACAGTATAGAGTCGAATATAAGTTGTTAACTGTCTGAAATAATGTTAACTACTTCTATGATGGATAGTTTCCTTTAAAAAATTATTATTGATGTAAGACTTAAATGGACTTGGTTTGTTATTGGATGGAGAAGCTGGCCTTCTGCATTGAGTATCTCTTAGCAGGAATGCATTCCTTTAGACCAATGTCTTACACATTGGAGGAACCAGTTTGTGGATCCTCACCACTGTTTTGTCATCTGTTCTGTGGAAAACTTTTTAAAAAAGCCAATTTTCAGACTTGTCATTCCAATTATATACTCATCAACACTTAAGAAAAATATTAAAAATCTGTCCAGTATAGCAACAGATGGTAATCTTTTTATTTCCTTTTGAATTAAAAAAAATATTATTAATGTTTATTAGTGTTTTTTGCTCAGTAAACTTTTTTTTTTTGCCAATTATCCATTAATTTCTTTTCATTATCTCTTGTGAAAAAAACAGAGCTGAAATGTGTCTCTGTACCCAATGGAAAACACCCTGACTGCTTTATCACCTTGCTGTTTAAAAACAAAAGCAACTTTTCACAGGCCGACACCTTTATTCAAGGATTATAAAAGAGAACAGAGAAATCTCTTTTGTCTTGAAATAGGAAAACTTGATCAAAGAATTAGGTATTGAAGCCTCTCTAGGTAGTGAATGTGTGAATGGGTGAGTGAATGAATCCAACAGCTTGACCTAAGAATGAAGCGTAGCAGGCTCTGAATTTTGTGCTCTCTTTGTTTCTCTGCGCAGAATTTAAGAAGAGGATTACCTCAGGTTCCTTACTTCAGTCTCTATGGAGACCAAGAAGGTGCTTATGAACATCCAGGCTCCAGCCTTTTCCCTGAGGGTCCTAATGACTATGTCTTCAGTCATCTTCCACTCCACTCTCAGCAACAAGTGCGAGCCCCTATCCCCATGGTGCCCGTTGGTGGGATCCAGATGGTTCACTCCATGCCGCCAGCCCTTTCCAGTTTACATCCTTCACCCACATTGCCCCTGCCAATGGAGGGCTTTGAGGAGAAGAAAGGCGCGTCAGGGGAGTCCTTCTCCAAGGACCCCTATGTGCTTTCTAAGCAGCATGAGAAGCGAGGTCCTCACGCTTTGCAGTCATCTGGTCCACCTAGCACTCCCTCCTCTCCTCGGCTGTTGATGAAACAGAGCACTTCGGAAGACAGCCTAAACGCAACAGAGCGGGAACAGGAGGAAAATATACAGACTTGTACAAAAGCCATTGCCTCTCTCCGGATTGCCACGGAAGAGGCAGCTCTGCTCGGGCCAGATCAGCCAGCGCGGGTGCAGGAGCCCCACCAGAACCCCCTGGGAAGTGCACATGTTAGCATTAGACACTTTAGTAGACCTGAGCCAGGTCAGCCCTGTACCTCAGCCACCCACCCTGACTTGCATGATGGTGAAAAGGACAATTTTGGTACATCACAGACTCCATTAGCTCACTCCACGTTTTACAGCAAGAGTTGTGTGGATGACAAGCAGTTGGACTTTCACAGCAGCAAGGAATTATCTTCAAGCACAGAGGAAAGCAAAGATCCTTCATCAGAAAAGAGTCAGCTACATTGATCTATGATGCATGGAGACTTTCATTTCCACATTTTCCCATTTTTTTGTTTTTGTTTTTCTAGAAATGGAGGTAATCCAGTTTATAGCATGCCTGTCCTAAGTTACAGTAGTTTGCTATTATATATACTTTTGTTATATCAAAAGAATTAGGTAAATTAACAAGTCATCATGAGCCTGACCAAAACAAAATTTGAAATTAACCTATTGGGTCTGGTACTTTTAAAATTGTACAGATGTTTGTGCCTTTTCTTTACTTTGCTTATATTCTTATAAGCATTTTTTAGCAGTAATTTGTACATATTTTAGAATTTGTGTATCTGCTTTGTAATAAATGTAATTTCTTTCCTTTTTTGGACACTTGGATCTAAATGATGTAAAGCAAAACAGCATCAATATATATGTGAGGTTGCACTAAAACATATTTTTATATGATTAAAACTGAACAGCTTTTATGTACAGCTCTGATTCTGTAATACTAATATTTATTTACTTTGTTTCATAAATTGTACATTTTTTCTTAATGTTGTGGATTGCTTTTCTATGTGAAGCATGGGATTTACTGTTGCGTAACTAGAACAAAAATGTACATTGTAAACAAGATATTTAAACTAGAGTATCTTATTCTGCACTTATGCATTAGTTAAAAAAAGATAAAGGATGTATCAGTCAGTTCTTAACTCTTGTATATTTTTTTGTCTCTTGTTTGCTGGATTGACTATAACTTAAGTGCTGATTGTGATTTTAAAATGATAGTACCGTAAAGCATTAAAGTAAACAATGTGCTATTGTGAGTTTTTTCAAAGCTTTATAAATCAGTTATAAATAATATTAAAAGTATTTGGTCTTATGTGAACATGTTGATCTATATACTCATCTAAAAATATGGGAAAACATTCCACCCCATGTAAATATGTACAAGTGCATCACTGGTACAATTTTATGTAACTCAGTTGGACACTAGGTTGCCACAGACCTATGCTAGGTGTCTTTAAAAAATTAAGGTGACAAAGCACATGGGACTGTGTAGAGCTTGGTTATCGGCCGGCCCGGTGGCTTGGCAGGCAGTGCTGTGCGCTGCTCATGGAGAAGACCTGGGCTTAGCAATCTCCTTAGTTCTTGCTACACAGGATGGTGACTGGAACTAAGGCTACACAGAGGGTCGCACTTGGACTCTGAGGGTTGGGTGTGGAAGGGGGAAAAGGAGATGGAGACCTGCTCCCCAGCTCTTCCTGTCAGCCGGTTTACATGGGAACAGGGTTAACATCTGTGTTAGGGGAGGTCACCTTACCCTTTTTCATAGGGGAAGAGTGTCACACTCCTGGCTATCTCAGGGGGAATGGGGAAAAGAATCTTTCAAGGGCAAAGAACTCGTGGGAGGATGTCTGTTGTATGTAATACTCACAATGGCTTTTGGTTAGTGTTGAAGGTGGGAAGAGCATTTGTAGGTCCAGAAGAGTGAAAGAGAGGGAGGGGTGCAGCAACATGTGCACAGGCACGCACATGTGTGCACGCACACATACAATCTGGGTTATCTTTGTGCTATATAGTGGATTATAATTCTGTGAAACCAAGTTTGTATATTGAATTACATTAAGGAGTGTTCTTTAAAAAGAGAAATAAATATACAATTACATGCTTGAGGTGTCTAGTTCTTATGTGTTGCTTTACATTTTAATTTCCCAATTTTGTTTCTAAAGTAATTTTGATACTAGCAACATACCATCTGTGCTTTTAATTGCTAGGCTCTGCCCATCCTGAGTGTGAATGCTTTTAACAAGTGAGAAGACAGTCATTGGCTTCCATAGATTATCTGATTAGAACAGATAGTGGTCACCAAGGTGTGGGCCCTAGGAATAGACTTATCCAAACCTCAGCATGGGCCTGGGCAGCATACGTTGCATCTGAACAGATTCATGAATAAAGCAAATTATCATTTTTCCTCTGCCTCTCTTGCAGTATGCATACTTATCTGAAATTCCACTGGGGAAACCTCTTCTTTCTTTTTGCTAAGGTGGCTGAAGCTAAGAATCAACTAAAATATATCAGAAGATACCCACAAATCACAGTTCTTTTATTAGAATGAGTAGAATCTTTTTAATAATAAGAGCAGAAGCTCATTAAAAGTCAAAACCTATTAGTATTTTCACTATAAAAATCTCAAATTTGTGGATTTACAATGTACCTATTTGCTTTTATGAGCCAGACTGTCTTTTTAAACTGTGTTTTACAAAGGTGATTTAAAGGTCAACACAGACACTCTAATATCTGTCTCTTACCAAGAAGAATCTTTTGATTATGTAGGGTGATTTGTGTGTCATATTCCTCATTGATGTGTGCGTGCGTGTGTGTGTGTGTGTGTGTGTGTGTGTGTGTGTGTTGGTGATCCCAGGCCAAATCAAATTACTCTGTTTCCTCCTCTACCTAATTCATCACTCATTTATTCAGTCATTCATTCATTCATAAAAGTTATTGAGTGCCAACTATGAACTGGGTACGATAGTGGGCATTTATTTTTATTTTTATTTATTTATTTATTTATTTATTTATTTATTTATTTGAGAGTCTTACTGCAGGCCAGGCTGGAGTGCAGTGGTGCTATCTCAGCTCACTGCAACCTCCGCCTCCCAGGTTCAAGTGATTCTCCCATCTCAGCATCCTGAGTAGCTGGGTCTACACGTGCATGCCACCATGGCTAATTTTTGCATTTTTAGTAGAGACAGGGTTTCACCATGTTGGCCAGGCTTGTCTCAAACACCTGGCCTCAAGTGATCTGCCTGCCTCAGTCTCCCAAAGTGCTGGGGTTACAGGTGTGAACCTAATGCTCCCAGCCTGGTGGTGGGCATTTAGAATTAATAAAGAGTATCCGTGCCACCAAGGAGCTCAAGTAAATAGGAAAGACATATATGTAAGTAAATGTGGATAATATGATGTTTGAGCTAAAATAGTTGCACATTTGGTTTTATAACCATAAAGGGAGAGAGAAATCATCCTGGAGAGAGCAATCATCCTGCTGAGAATGAAGAAAAGCTTCATCACAGAGGTAGCCTTAGAACAGATCCTTGAAACAATAAATTGACTAATTCATTCAACGTAGCTTTTCATCACCTACATTGGAGTACTCTTGTGTGTGCTAGGTGTCCAATATGGCACAAAACAGATAAAGTCCTTGCCTTAATGGAGTTTATATTCTAGAGGAGAGGGCAATATAAAAAATTAGTGGGAAAACGCATATTAGATCTGATCTGAGATGTGTAAAGCAATTAATGTGTAAAAAGCAAGATGTAGCTGGCACCCTAGGTATGTGGCAAGGTAGTACATGGTTAAGCTAGAAACACATATCAAAGTCCAATTTCCTAATCCAGCCTACAGGTCTGGCCCTGTAAGCAATGGAGAACCAAGGAAGGATTGAAGCAATAAAGTGGCCTTGCTAATTGTTGTCGTTATCATTATTTTGGGAAAAATAAAATACTGTGGCACCAGCGAAGATAAGGGAAATAAAAGCAGCAACAATCCAAACAAATGATGGAGACCTGGAGAAAGAAGGGACAGTTTTGCTTAATGAAGAGGAATGGCTGATAGCTAGACTGATTTGGTGCTGGGATGAAAGAGATGGAGAAGTTAAAGATGATGAGTTTTTAACCTGGACAATAGAATGAGGGTGGCATTATTCAGCCACAAAAGAGAGTGGATTTGTACAGAATGCTGGTAAAGAGATGAGCTTTCCTTAGCAGTTCTGAAGGAGTTCAACCTCAAACAAGAGAGGCCAGAGCTGGAGACTGGTTTGTCAGTTCTTGTTTTTCATCATAGCTGAGAGCACTGAATTGGATGAAATTCCTCAGGGTATATAAAGGGGTAGAAGAGGAAGTTTGAGGGTTTCCAAAGGTAGACAAAGAACATAGGGGCGAGCAAAGGTATACTTCACAGGACAGCACATCTCATCTGCTGAGCCTTAATGATACAAAATTGTTTAATATTTTTGAGAACTTGATTTTCAATATATTCCCCAAGATAATTTCTAGAAAACAAAACTTTTAGAACATCATTTTCTGAGAAAAAATCAACTGCATTTGTGGAATTATTTACTATTAGTTACTATTTCCTTAGTAGCATAATAGTAGCTTCATTATTAAATAATAAATTAGAGGTTATTAAATTAACCTGTCATTTACAAATATCTTTTCCAAAACCTGTAGTCTAGAGAAGTTAGGTGAAGTTTTCAAGGAGAAATAGGTGGTTCATTACAGAATCAAGGCTAAAAATGAGCTCCCACCTCTTTGTCCAGGTTTGCTTAAAGAACAGTTTCTCATTATTTATGCTCTTCTCACTTAGATCAAGATTACAATCACAATAATGTACTGTGAAAGTTGTTGGGTTGAATGGGCTCAGAATCATACAAAAACAACAAAGCTTATTTCTGCCCTGGAAATGGTCTTTATTAGTTTAAAATATATTACTAAATATGGTGGCATCGACTTTGCCACAGTACAGTTTTTTTTCCCAGGGGCAATTTGACATTATACAGAGCATCAGCTCCCATTAATTTCCGAGTGTAGAGAAACATATGCTTACCCAGACTTTATATGCAACAATAAACCAGCTTGGCTATGCAGTAGTACTGAAGAACAGGGAAAGTGGTGGAAATTATTCTACTTGGCACCGAACAGTACCTAAAGAGTAACAAGAAGAAGACACAAACTCTATTTTCTAGAATTCTCTAGATGGATCATTTTATGCATACATATCCATTGCTTATCAACAACTAAGGCCACCTTCAGAAATATACATTTGACAGGATGTATTGACTTGTGCCTGTAATTCCAGCTACTTGGGAGGCTGATCTAGGAGGATTGCTTGAAGCCAGGATTTCAAGACTAGAAATACATGTTGGTTATCAAAATGAATCATATCAACAGATTTTCTCTCCATTCACTAAGTGCCTATAAATGTATTTCAGATTCTGCAGTAGATCCCTGCCATGGATTTTTATTTTTTTGAGACAGCATCTTGCTCTGTTTCCTGGGCTGGAGTGCAGTGGCACCATCTGCAACCTCTGCCTCCCTGACTCAAAGAGACACTCCCACCTCAGCCTCCATAATAGCTGGGACCACAGGTGCCCGCCACCACGCCCAGCTAATTTTTTGTATTTCTTTTGTAGAGATGGGGATCTCACCATGTTGGCCAGGCTGGTCTAGAACTCCTGGGCTCAAGTGATCTGCCTGCCTTGGCCTCCCAAAGTGCTGGGATTACAGGCGTGAGCACCCCGCCCAGCCCCTGGCATGTTTTATTCTTCAAGTAGATTCCAAGTGTTGTTACATTGTTGAAATACAAGCAGAATCCATATAGTTCGATGTGAATAAAATCTTATTTTGGCAAAATTAAAATAAAATGATTAATGATCATACATTTCCTTAATTTATTAAAAATCATATTAATAAAATATTTTTAAATGAAAACCTTTCTATTAAAAAATGCCACTGGGCACGGTGGCTATTATTTCCTACAGGTTATTGTTGCAGCATGTAGGAAAAACTACATACACACACATTGTACATGGTCCAGGGATCCAGGCCATTTATGGGGACAGCATCCCCATACAAAATCTCTTGTAGCTAATAATGATAAGTATTCTCTACAAGCCCTGTTTTAAGTGCTTTCATTTATTCCCTCATTTAATAGTCACAAAACTGAGTGAAATAATTTGCTTAAGTTTTCCCAGCTAGTAAATAGAAGAGGCAGTTAGGCTCTAAAGCGGTGCCATCCAGTAGAACTTTCTGTAATGGGAAAAATGTCCCATATCTACACCTTCCAATACAAAAGCCTATAGCTATACATGACTGGAGCACTGGGAATGCGGACAGTGCAAGTGAGAAACTGGACTTTTAATTTTATTTAATTATATTTAAATTAAACTTCACATGTGTCTAGTGCTTCCTGAATTGACTGGCCACCTCTGCAGGCTGGACCCTTCCCCTGTGCACAGGCTGCACCACCCACCTCTATAAGCACTCATCATTTGACAGCTATTGAGGTTCTATCACATGCTAGCTCTTTTCTTGGTGCTGGAGCTATACCAATGAACAACAACCACCAAACCACACCAAACCCAAAAATCTGCTATCAAAGAACTTAGGTTCAGTGCTTATCACTAAATATCTAGTTAAGGATTTTGGTGATACAATCCTATTGACTGCTTCTGTTTCCATTGAGTTTTGGACCCTGGAACTCACTCAAGCAATAACAGCCAAAGCACGCTTTTTTGAAGAAGTAAACAAGCATCCTCCTCCTCCTGCCAGAAATCTGTTAAAAGCAAGGATGGAGAATATATCCCATTCTCAGGACTCATGTGGGGTCTCTCACTTCTGCCTTGGTATAAATGCATATGCCCCCTTGTGGCCTAAGGAAAGAGAGATGCAGCTGGGCTCCCCAAGGGCCCTGACTCCCCTACTGCTTCTGCATAGGACATGGAGTCTATGAAGAGAGCGCCCTGGCTCCTGGAAGCCTTGCCTTGCTTTTCTACTGACCACATGTTATTAAGTAAATGGAAGGCAGAAGGAAGGAGTCTGACATTTCTTCTCCCACAGTGAAGGGTGGAGGAAGGAAAGAAACAGAGGGGTTTCCTTTCTCTAGCCCAGCGGCCATCCTGACTGTGAAGCAAGGGGTCTGAGGAGAAAACTGCTCCTTGCTGCCGCGTATCCATCTAAGTAGCCAGACTCATGGAAAACCACACTGCAAATGTTGCCCTCTTTGGAGAAAACCCACTGTCACCAAGGATCTACTGTTTTCCCCAAAACATAGTCTATGACTCTCTGTTATCCCCTTGGAATCAGTGAGATCATAATTCACGTGATATTCAACTGAAACAAACTAGACAAAGAGATTAAATAAAGCAACTTCATCTTAGCTCAAAAATTAGAACAAGCAGCCTTTCCCAGAGAGAATTAAGCCCATCAGAAAATGATTTGAGTGACTATTTTTCTCAAATCTTCTAAGGAGATTACGTAACTAGCACCATCCTTGTGTGTAGGAAAAAAGTTAATTTGTTACACACAATGGGTGTCTTAGGGCATTAGGACTTAATATTCATATGGAAGCCTGTTTGACAAGGGATGGACTGTGGTATATTTCCCAACTCGTATCATGCCTAGTCACATTGTCAAATCTAGTTTAACAGAAATAATACATTGAGTACCACAGGACAGCATCAAATCCCCCCAAATTGTATCATGCCAGCAATATTAAAATGCCCCAAATGTGAACACTGCCTCATTAATATTTTCCAGAATAAACTTAAATTGCAAAAAGATAACCTCCTTTTATATTAAATACTAAATAAATTTAAGTCCCCAGTTTTGCTTCCTTTAATTCCTTACCCCAAGAATAACATAACTTACGTTCCCAGGGAAGGTTACAATTCAAATGTGTTAGGCATTTCAGCCAGGACCTTGGTGTACCTACCACTCGGCAATATGGGATTTCTTTCAGGGAAAGTGGTCCACACAAGGAACATAGCCAGATGGGAAAAAATGTTATATTCCCTATTTATCATCCCTCCTCCCTCTGCCAATCACATGCAGCAAATGCTTCAGGTTAATGATGCATTCAAGAATGTGTCTTGATCTCCATTCTGAAGTAAAGCCACCTTCTTTCTATGTAAATCTAAATCTTAGGGTATGTATAACTAGACATTCCTATGTCAAAAGAGATATGTCCAGATTTACTGCATTCTGTTTAGATAAATAAATATGTGTCATTTTATGTATATATACATTATTTCATTTACTCCTTTTAGCTCCTGTAATATGGGCATTATAACTTCCATTTCGCAAATCACCAAATATTTGTAGAGAAAGAAACATAAATTTTATAACTTGCCCAAGATTACATAACTGAGTTTCAAACTCAGGTCTGTCTGACTCCAGAATCATCCATTCCATTATTTCATTGATTGTCATTCAGCCATAGCTGCAAGCTTTCAAAGGAAATTCATCATTTGTTCTTTCATTCATTCAAACATGTTGATTGACTGACTGCTCCTGCTGCACTGTTTAGTAAGCAAGACCGCATGTGAGCAAGAGATTTCAATGACAGCATGGAAAGGAATTTGAGAGAGGGATTGCTGCAATGCAAACCCAGATTTGAGGTAAGTGAATCTGAACTATAAGGAGGGAACCCTAATCTGAACAAAAAGTAAGGGTGTTCTGGAACGTAAGGTGATTATCAGGTTAGTGCAGAACATTAAAAGTGTTACAGGTAGGGGAGGCCCTCTGGAAAAATCCCACAGCAAGAGAGAGCAGGACATGTTGGAGAGAACAAAACAAATTCTACAGAGGGAGTAAAGATTCTGAGGTGCAGGGCCAGGAAAGGGATAGCAAGAGGTGGAGCCGACGGGATAAACAATGATGAGATACTGCAGGGTCTTGGAAATCATTTTTAGAGGTTTAGACATTAGGGCAACAGTTATTTGGGAATTAGAGCGTGCTAGGTAGGAAACTGATGGGACAGGGTTTGCGGTTTACCCGCTAAAAGGGCTTTAAGGTACACTGTCCAAGAGTCATAGCAACATGGGGCTACAGAGCACTTGGAACGTGGTTACTCCAAATTGATATGCACTGCAAATGTGAAATATATGCCAATTTTGAAGATATAGCACAAGGACGGTTTCAAATATGTTATTCATAATTGTTCATAGTGAGAACATGTTTAAATGATACTACACTACAAATATTAGGTTAATTAAAATGATGTTAAAATTAATTTCCTATGCTTCTTTTTTTAGGTTGGTACCAGAAATTTCACAATTGCATACGTGGCTCACATTGCATTTCTATTGGATGGTGCTGGTGAAAGAGAGAATAGATGAGGGGTTGGGAGGGGCCACTGAGTTCAGCTAGGCGGCTATTTCCATGATGGTGGCCTGCAATAATGCGGCAGTGGTGAAGATGAAAGAAAGCAGACAGACTTGAACTGCAAGAAGGTGGTGCACCATATGAGATGGTGGTTTATTAGATACAAGGTTCTCAGAAGAAGGGGGCGTCATGGTTAACGTCCCATTCCTAGCTAGCCACAAACAGATTAAAGATGATGCCTTTTCACAACATGGTTAAAGGGCAGGGGGCAGGGAGGTTTGGGAGAGCCCTGACGGATTTGGTAGCTCTTCCTTACTTCCTGACTTTGGGGGTCCTGTGGACATCTGAAAGGAGAGGTCCAGGGAGCAATTGGAACTGTGGTTCTTCTGATACTATCTTAATAATAATAAATCTATCTGTAATTTATTTAAAGTGGATCATATGCCAGACAGATATAATCTCATTTAATCCTTCCATGAATTTGTTGATAAGAATATGGCTACATTCCCTTCCTTTTTTATTGCTCTATATCAATGGTTCACAATTTTATCAACTATCATATTTTATAGTGCCTCTTTTGTATAGTTTACTCATCCTATTATATGGAAAATATCCATATAATTTTGAAATTATTATATGGATAATTGAAATTATCCATATAATGTATAATATCCATATAATATTTTCAAAATTATATGGATAATTTCAAAAATTTCAGTATAATACCCTAACTATATATAAAGGAGAAATGACAGAAACTTAATTTACAATAAAATTTTATTCATCTATTAAATAGGTAAATGTACTGTGTTATAGTTAAAGATTACAGTAGAAAGTATAATGAAGAAGTTAGGAGCTTGCACCTCCATGCAGATCACCGTGATTATGACAGCTACATATTCACCTGCCGGTGTATTATACTGGGAACTCAGATGCCACAAGTGGCATTGTCATTAGAACATGATTTTCTGAAATGAGAAAGAAAATCTCGGAAAGTTCCAAAAATAACAAAATGTGAATTTTCTCAATTGACATGTGGTTGCCCTCCCAGAAATATGTAACAAACCTGCACATTGTGCACATGTGCCCTAAAACTTAAAGTATAATAATAATAAAATTTTAAAAAAAGAAAAAAAAAAAATTATAAAAATTTTTTAAAAAATTCAGTCTCCAGTCCATTCTGCTGTAATGTTTGTTTTAAAATTTTTCCAACACAGTTGACATACTAGGGAACAATTTGAACATAACACATTTGCTTATGCTTGACTTTTTAATTGAGAAATACTAGGTGAATGCAGAAGACAGCACTTAGCTGAAGGAGCCATGTAGGAATATACAAACATAAACACTAACACAATTCCAATGTCTACCAGCTACCTCATTTCACCAAGAGTGTTATGACCCCACCCATATACATAGTGTACAGCATAGTGAAGTTGGACTTTCTGTTCAATTTCAGATGACCTTCCTTCCATCACTTCACAGTAAGTCACAAACTGCAGCTCTTCTGTCACCTACTTCTAGTAGCGAATATTAGATGTTTTTCAAGTTAAGCGCCGCATTTATTGGAGTACTTATGTATTTCTTAACCATTAATGCATGTAAAACTATGCTACCATTTTTACTGGCACCCTATCTTTTTTTAACATATCACTGATGAAGTTTTGGAGTATTGTGTCCCTAACCCTGTTTTCCCCATAAGCCCTATGGCTTGTTATTGCACAATTTTGCATAGTACAATGATTTTTGGGAGCACACTTGTCTTCTGGTAGCAGAGATGACTTGAAAATCTATACCCCCACTTCAGATTTGCTTTATAATGAAACAGAGCTTGATTCTAGGCTCACATAAATCCAAATGAGTATTTCACTTTCGTGTCCCATTTAGAGTAACATTCAAGTTTACAAAATGGTTCTGCTCATTGGTGGAACTCCAGTGTTGGAGAATCTTAATCACTAAATGCCGGCAGCACCCTGTCATCATAGCACCAATCAAAAGCCTCCATGAATTTCCAAAATGCCCTGGGGTGTGTTTGTGTGTGATTGATACTGCCCTGGTTGAGAACTGCTGATCTATTTGAAGCTAGAAGTTAATAAAGATGAATCGAAATTCATTAGGCAGAATTATTTATTAATCCTAGAAAACTTGTCCTCAATATCATAGAATCAAACATTTTGAGTATTATGTCTAAGAAACTATTTCAAAGCATTTGACAGTTTCTATAAGCACATTTTGAATATAGTTGCTGACACATAAATATATCTATAATGTGTTAAGACTATTACTATTTAAGTCAATTTAAAAATAATGATGTCAAAACTGCTTTTGTTACTACTGTGTTGCTGCTAATACTAAGATGATTGCATTCAAATCAAAGTCACTCAGACACCAGGATCACTCCTATTTCTACTACGCTACCGTAGCCCATGTAGTCTCACCATGACCACGTTTATTTAATTGTAGTGACATAGAGGATCTGAAAAATGCACAAACATGCAAAAATTACTTGACATACACATTTAAGGATTTTCAAATTGACCTATACCAAATAGATTCATAGGAGTAACTGCATTTCTTCATTCCCTTCATAAACCAAGCTGAACACTCCAGACTGCTCTCTATACAACTGTGCACTTTTCCTGTTGCCAGTTGAATTGTGTGCAGTTGAATTCAATCCCATACCAATGTATGCAAGTTTTGTGGATTATTATAATTACTTGATTTAAATTCCACATGAATCTATAAAATATGAGTGCAAAAAAGAGTGCTTTTATCTATGGCTGTTAAGTTAAATGCTTTGGAAAGAATAAGGAAAGGTCATTAAGAAAGTGGCAATTGAATTATGTGTGGGCAATTAGAAAAACTAAAAATTAAAAATGACTCTGCCTCCAATTTGTTACTGAATGTCTTCCAATACTCATTCCACTTTAAACAAGGTGAAATTATCATTTTGGCAATGTATTATAGTTAGATTGTATTTATGTTACCTGACTGGATCTCCAATCACAGCCCAAAGCTGAAACGGAAGATGGTACACCACTCTCCACCAAAGGATGACAAAGATGCATGTACATTTCAGAATTTTTTAAGTTAAAATATTTAATGTATTATGTATCAACTTGTATGATCCATTGTCATTTTAAAATTAATCTGCAATTAGTTCTGATTGCATTATGTAAGACTACTTTTCCTATGCATCACTTTTCTAGAATTTAGGATGGTATCTCCAAACCACAACAGCTAATAATGGTATATTCGCATATAGGATAAATTAGAGAGATACATATCATTTGTTTCTCTTTATAACTTTGGGTCCAGGATAAATGAATGTGGTAAATAAAAATAACCTCTCTGTCCTAAATTCCTGAACAAAATAATAAAGACAAAAGCCAAAATATGTAAGGAAAATTCCAGAATGAATACTTACTGTTTTCTCTCCTAACCATCTGTTTCCACATTAATCAATCATCTTCTATTTCATGAGATGGATAGGAGAGATTAATCATCTGCACCTTAATCTAAAAATGAAAACATTACCATAGAAACCTTCTTTTCACATTCTTTAACCATGAGTGAGAGCTCCGAATTAAAATATCTATTTTGAGGCCAACCAGTAACTATAAACACCAATAAAAACAAATGCTGCTGGGTCGGGGAAGATGGCAAGAATGAGCAGGAATGGTATTTTGGAATGCCACTTTCTTTCATTCCAAATTTATGAGAGAAAGACCTGCCCATTTTTTAGGTACACTATATGCCATCCAACATTTTGAACTTGGACGTGCTCCAGAAAATCCGTACTAGCTCCCCCTTTCAGTTTCTGTAAAATTCCAAGAACAAATCCTTTGCTGTTTCCTTAGTTACTCTAAATAAGGTGTCATCAATATTTAAAGAATGGAGATCTTGGAAAGTATGGGATGACTCCAGAGCCAGGCCTTACACTTCTCTTCATTCTACCTCCTTCCTTCCGAATGCTGCATGCTTCCAGATTTACAGGTGTATTAGTCTGTTCTCATGTTGCTAATAAAGACATACCTGAGACTGAGTAATTTATAAAGAAAAGAGGTTTAATTGACTTACAGTTCTGCATGGCTGGGGGGAGCCTCACAATCATGGTGGATGGCGAATGAGGAGCAAAGTCACGTTTTATATGGCGGCAGGCAAGAGAGTGTGTGTAGGGGAACCATCAGATCTCATCAAAAGTATTCACTATCACAAGAATAGCACAAAAATGACCTGCCCCCATGATTCAATTCAATCACTGGGTCTCTCCCATGACACATGGGAAGTATGGGCACTACAATTCAAGATGAGATTTGGGGGAGACACAGCCAAACCATATCAACTGGTCTCTACATTTGGTGATACACCTGATAAGGTGGCAGGTAGAGTTGGAGTTGGAAGAAATGGCACTGGGGTTATTTATAAGATGCAAAACATTCATCCTCTAGTTGTCTGTACTCCTTGAAAGAAGAGTACCAGGCCATCATCCTTGACACTATTGAATGAAGTCCCTTTTTACTAAATTTGGATATCTAGTGAGTTTTCAAGGGACATTTATTTTAAGTAGAACTTTTGCACTTGTCTCTGTGCACTTTCTTTTAACTCAAGATGAGAATGGGGATGGAAATATGAAGCATGTGATCCTCCTCAGCCCCTTCCCAACCCCTTGTTAGAGATCAGTAATCACAGTTGGTCTTTTTTTCTCAAGAGGGAGCATCGTGCATTGTCAGCAAGAAGAGGCTCAGGAACCAGACTACATGGATTCAGATCTGAGCTTTGCTACTTCCTTGCTGTGTGGTCTTGGGGCAGTTACGGATGCTCACTGCTGGAGCAAACAACCCCAACACTTCAGCGGCTTGATACACAGCAGTCTATGACCCACTCATGGAACATTTTCCGGATCAGCAGGTGACTTTCCTTTAAGTGATGACAGGGCAGTGCTGTGTCAATGAAGGCCTGTGAGCTGGATTTTACGTGCTACATGTTTTTTGTAGGACTAATGAGCTTAAAATGTTCTTATGTTTTTCAAATGCACTCCAGCCTGGGCAATCTGGGCAATAGAGTGAGACTCAGTCTCAAAAAAAAGAATCTACATAACATCCTCAATTCTGCCTCTTGGTCCTCGGAGCCTACAATATATATTATCTGATACTTTTTCACAGAAATAGTCTGCTATTCCTTAATTTGGGGACCCACACTCCATCCACCTAGAGGCTCCACTATCTTCAACCAGAGACTTCCAGAGTTATGGTAATCCAGAGTACACAGGATGGCACATAGGAGGATTTTATGAGCCAGACCCAAAGGGCCACTCATCATTTTTTTCCATATTCTGCTAGCCAGAACTCAGTTTCTTGGCCACACCCAACCTCAAGGCAGCTGGGACATTAGCCCAGCTGCCTTCCTGGGAAGCGAAAAAGATGGATGGATGAACAGTTAGCTAGTCTCCGTTCTGGTAGACTACTTAACTTCCCTGTGTCTGTTTCAACCTAAGTGAAATGGGAATAATAAGTAGGATTTCAAGGAGGATTGAATGAGTTATGTACATAAAGTGCTTAGAACAGAACCTAGAACATTTGTGAGTGCTCTAAGTGTTTACTATTATTTTCTGTACTTACAGGCTAGGAATAGATACTCTTCTTGATACCTACTTCCCTTCACTCTCCCATATTCAACCAGTCACCACATCCTATCAGTTGTATCCCCCTAACATCCCTCAGAAATGCCCTCACTTCCAGTATGCCACTGTTTAAAATGTAGGTTTCATTATTATTCAGGTACGGTGAGGCCAATCCATCAGGAGATGACTACCATTGAAAACAGTTTGTTATGGTGACAATCCTGAGAGGAGGGGGCATACCACATTACAGGGGCCCATGCAGAGAAGCACCCGGGTAGGTTGGGAGGCAGAGGGAGTGACGGAAAGTATGGGCAAGAGTCTTGATTGCGGTTTCTTTGTGAAGGAGTGGGTAAGACAGGGTAAGCAGGTTTAGGATTGATTAGTTTGGATAGTTTTAGCAGACTCTGGGGCAGAGGGGTTGTCTCTAGCTGTCTGGTCCTGGGGTGATTAATGCAGGAGGACAGTGGCCTGAAGTGTAGGAACTTGATAAAGGAGGCAGCTGGTGACCTGGACTCCGAATTGGTTGGTTTGCATGTGAAAGACATGTTTTCAGTCCTTGATTTGCTATCTCTAGGAATTAACTAACTCTGAGATAGGCAGTCCTATGGTCAGCTAGGCCCCAAATGTCAAAATATAATAGTGCTATATAGAACAAGACATGGCTAATACAGCCAGTATGTCTCAGCTGGATTGCTTGCAATGGCTTCCTAAGTGCTCTTCCTCCAACTCACTTACCCTTGTGAATAAGCCTTCCTCCAAACAGGCAGCTGGCCTTTGGGAAACCTATATCTGATTGTGTCACTATCCAGCTTCAAGCTATGCAAGAGCTTCCTGAATCCCTTAAGAAAAAGATCAAAGGCCTCTCTCCTGTCTCTGCTTGTTCTGCTTTTCCTTAGCTTCTGGGGGCACCTTGGTTCCTCTAATGTGCCTTGTTCTTCTATCGGTTGGGTCCTTGCACCTGCTTTGCCTTTTGCCTGAAAAGCTCCTCTTTGCTTTGCAACCTCTGTGCCTTTGGTATTTAACATATGCTTCAGATTTCAGCTCAGATTCAAAACTTGCATCACCCCCTCCCGATACTGTGTCACTAATTGCTTTAGTTTAATGTGGCAAAGTTGATAAATATCCAGCTGGGCCTGGCTTTGTGCATACAAATCCCAGCTTCATCATTTCTCACCTGTTTGCACTTGCGTTAGTTATTTCATCCCTCTAAAAGTCAGTTTCCCCTCTCATAGCATAGGGATAACATTAGGAAAATTTCTTGGGCTTTTTGTTAGGATAGAATAAAATAAAATAAAAGAACATGTACTTAATATGTAATCATTTCTAATACTTCAGTGTTTCATATTATTAATATTTCCTGTTAAGCTTCAGAATTCTTTGTAACCTAGGACTCTAGGCAGTTACTAGCTATTAGCTAGGATTCAAATTGAGAACATTTTCACATCTCTGATTAGGAGAATGATTAAACTATTAATCACTTCAGAAGGTTAATATAAGCTAATTAATATTTAAGATACTGTTATAGAAATGACATTTCCTCACCAGGGGGGAATTGAACTGACTTTTTTCCTATCTATTATGACATATACCATCATCCTTTTTAAATTTTTTATTAAATAAGAGTTCTACATATTGGTAAATGATATGGTTTGGCTCTGTGTCCCCAGTCAAATCTCATCTTGTAGCTTTCTTAATTTCCATGTGTTGTGGGAGGGACCCAGTGGGAAATGATTGAATTATCAGGGTCGATATTTCCCAGGCTGTTCTCATGATAGTGAATAGGTCTTACAAGATTTGATGGCTTTAAAAACAGGAGTTTCCCTGCACAAGCTCTCTTTGCCTACCTGCCACATAAGATGTTGACTTGCTCCTCCTTGCCTTCCACCATGAATGTGAGGCCTCCCCAGACACGTGGAACCGTGAGTCCATAAGCCTCTTTCTTTTATAAATTGCCCAGTCTCGGGTATGTCTTTATCAGCAGTGTGAAAATGGACTAATACAGTAACATAATACAGAGAAATACTTAAAAACAAAACATAATGAAAGCAAATGTAAGAGTATCATTCTTAACTTGCCTTTTCTCCCTTTCTGTAGATGAAATTTCATTTTGATCCCTGAATTCTTTCTAATAAAGTCTTACTTACTAGGGAAAAAGAGTGCAATATAATGAACATATTCATATACAAAGATTTGATTGATTAAAGGTTGTTACGAGCTGGGGATAGAGGAAGAATTTAACTAAAAAAGGTCATAAGGGAATTTTTGAGGGGTGGTGAATTTGTTCTATATTTTGATTATGGTGCTGGTTATGCATTTGTCAAAACTCATAGAGTTGTATATGTAAAAGGTGAATTTTACTCTATACAAATTGTACTGCAATTAAAGAAAAACAAGTGCTGGGCCTGGTGGCTCATGCCTGTAATCCTAGCACTTTGTGATGCCAAGGTGGATGGACCACTTGAGCCCAGAAGTTTGAGACCAGCCTGGGGTAACATGGTGAAACCACATCTCTACCAAATGAAAAACAAAACATCAGCTAGGCATAATGGCACGTGCTTGCAGTCCCAGCTACTAGGGCAGCTGAAGTGGGAGAATCACCTGCGTCTGGGAGGTCGAGGCTGCAATGAGCCATGATTGCACCACAGCACTCCAGCCTGGGCAGAGTGGCAAAACAAACAAAAACAAAAACAAAAAACAAAGAAAAAGACTGGGTTGATAATTCCTTTTCCCTTAAGCTTAGGAAATGTTAGTGGTGAAATTGTTTTTGGATTCATGAAGAGGTCAAAAGTGATACATTTATATATTTATTTACAAGCCTATGATCCAATGATAACTTTAAGTTTTAATACTAATTGCAAAATAGCTCAGTTATACTTAAGCAATAACTGTCCTTGCCATGGAGGCAGAGTATTGCATTCCAGAGGGTCTGATACAGGGAAGGCAAACATGCGAGAAGTGGTATCCGAGAAGGACCTTCCAGAGACTGCAGTTTTACCTAAATGCACTGAACTTGAGAAATTACAGATTTTTTTTTTTTGCTTGTAAAAAAAAATGGCAAGAGCACCTTTCCATGGTGTAACTGCTGCAATGTCATGATGGAGTACCCGGGTGTGAATGAGCCTATCACATCACAGGAGAGTGCAAGCTTTCAACATCAAAATTACTTAAGCGCCTGCTGATTAAATCTTGCTGCAAATGGCATTTCATTCTTATTTTTGATGGGTAAAAAGTGATTTATTATATTTACTTGGCTCTTATCCCTAGTGAATGCAGAGAGTGAATGCCTTCTGTAGCAACATATGGCTAGTTGGGAAGTATGACTCATCAATTGAACCAGCAGTGCAACCCCCCGCCCCCCCGACCCAAAAAACAAACAAACAAAAAGAATTGTTAAGAAGGTGGCAACTATCCTAAGGCAGATTCTGTTGTTATTGCCATCGTTGTTCCTGTCTTATTGGGGAATTTTTACCTCTAACTCTCATGAGTTCTTCTTCTAATTAAAAAGAATGAATCTGTTTTAATATTTGAAGGTGCAAAACTAGCCGTCTTGCTTTATTTTACTTTCTCTGGAGTGACTTGCTTCTGAGCTATTGGCTGTTGATAGGTTATTTCTTACATTTGTTAAACATTTATGATTGCTTTACTATTTTCCAGATAGTGTACTAGATATTTGGAATGCAAGGACCTGTTCCCAAGGAATTTTCTTATTATTACTAAGTCTATTGTCTTTTTCACATTTACTAGGTCAATCTATAATTTTCAGACTATCAGAATTACTTAGAAAAAAAAAGTTTATTATTATCAACCAGTACTTTTTTTTTTTTTCTGAGATGGAGTTTCACTCTTGCTGCCCAGGAATGGAGTGCAATGGCGGGATCTCAGCTCACTGTCACTCCGGGTTCAATTGATTCTCTTGCCTCAGCCTCCCAAGTAGATGGGATTACAGGTGCATCCCACCACACTCAGCTAATTTTTGTTTTGTTTTTGTTTTGTTTTTTTAGTAGAGACGGGGTTTCGCCATGTTGGCCAGGCTGGTCTCAAATTCCTGACCTCAGGGGATCTGCCCACTTTGGCCTCCTAAAGTGCTGGGATTACAGGCGTGAGTGAGCCACTGCACCTGGCCTCAACCAATACTTTTTAAACTCCTCTATTATAATAGTCTATATTTGATGCTATCTGAAACATCATAATATTTATCATTAAAATTCTTGCTGCAAACTGGGAAAGCCTATATGTAAAGAAGGGCAAAAAGCTAATGGATTAAATATTTCAGTTTCAAAAGGTTGAGGGGTCTAGGCACTTAAACATTTATCCACTTATTAAAAATATTTCTTCAGGACTTACCATATGCCACCCAATGTTTTAGAGACTACAGATATAGCAGTAAACAGGATGAATGAGATGTCTGCCTTTCTGAAATTTATATCTCAGTGACTATAATAAACAAGCAAAGGAGTGAGCCAACATGGTAACCAGAGAGGAAAGCGAAACAGAGAAACATGATTGAAGATGAGCTTCTGTAGTCAGGAGCCCTCTCTGGGAAAATGACGTGATATGGTTTGGATTTGTGTCCCTGCCTAAACATCATGTCGAATTGTAATCCCTAATGTTGGAGGAAGGGCCTGATGGGAGTTGATTGGATCAAAAGGGCAGATTCCCCCCTTGGTGTTCTCGTGATAGTGAGTGAGTTCTCATGAGATCTGGTTGTTTAAACGTGTGTGGCACCTCCCCATTCTCTCTCTTCCTCTGTAAGACATGCCTGCTTCCCCTTCCACCATAATGGAAAGTTTCCTGAGGCCTCCCCAGCCATGCTTCCTGTACAGCCCATGGAACTGGGAGCCAATTAAACCTCTTGTCTTTATAAATTACCCAGTTTCAGGTATTTCTTTATAGCAGTGACAGAACAGACTAATACATGACTTTTGACAGGACATCTGAGCAACGGGAAGGAGCAGTCATGTGGAGACTTGGGGGAAAGGCATAGAGGCAGAGAGTGTAAGTGTAAAGGTTTGAACTTGGCATATCTTGGGAGCAGAGAGTGTGCAGGGTGAGTAAGGTTCTATGTGGGGAGGTGAGTAGGATCAGCTGAGATGAGGAGTGAGCAGAGGCTGATCCCCCAACAGTGCTGCAGGTGAATAAAGAAAGTCAGGTGTATTCTTAGTGAATGGGAAGCAGCTGGAGTACTTTTAACAGGACAATGAAAGGCTTTTTAAGAAACTTTTATTTGGAAATAATTTTACATTTACAGAAAACTTAGGTGAAGAATACAAAGAATAGCTCTATACCCTTTACTCAGATTCACTTATGTGAACATTTTGCCCAATTTGCATCACCATTTACTATCTTTATCTCTAAAACATTTTTGTCTCCACCATTTGAGAGCAAGTTGCATACAGCATGGCTCTTAATCTCTAAACATTTCAATATGTGTTTCCTAATAAAAAGGCTATTTCCTCATATGAGGGTTAATTTTATATCAACTTGACTGGGTTATAGGGTGCCCAGATATTTCTTCAAACATTATTCCTGTTTCTGTGAAGATTCTTTTGTATGATATTAACATTTAAATCAGTTGACTGAGTAAAGCAATTGCCTTCCCTAAAGTGGGCAGGGCACATCCAATCAGAACAAAAGCCCTGGCACTCTACCATGTGAGAGACTTCTTCCTGCCTGAAGGCCTTTGAACTGGCAAAGTCAGTTCAAATGCTAGCCTTTTTTTTTTTTTTTTTAATTCAGACTCAAACCAAAACATCAGTTCTTTCTGTGTCTTGCACTTGCTGGCTTTCAGACTGGAATAACACTGTCAGTTCTCCTGGTTCTAAAGCCTTCATAGTTGGATTAGAACTAAACCATTGGCTCTCCTGGGTCTCCAGCTTGCTAATTCACCCTGCAGATCTTGGGTCTTGCCAGTCTCCATCATCACATGAGCCAATTCCTTATAATCAATCTCTTTGTATATGTGCATGCATTCTATTGGTTCTAGTTTTCTGGAGAATCCTAACTGATATACCTTACATAACTACAGAATAGTTATCAGCTTCAGTAAAATTTAGCATTAATATAGTACTTATATCCAAACTATCATCCATATTCCACTTTTATCAGTTGAGTCAATAACTCCTTTTACAGCATTTTTTCTCTTCCGTACAGGAGCCAGTCTATAATCATACATTGCATTTAGTTTTCATGTATCTTTTATGTCTTTTAATCTGGAACAATTTCTCAGCTTTTTAAAAAATGCTTTTATGACTATTGACAGTCTCAAAGCATGTAGCATCCTCCCTCTTATCCCCACCCACTCCCTGACCCCTTTCCAATAGGGTGATCCTCATTATGTTTCCTCATAATTAGATTTAGGTTATGCGTTATTGGAAGAAATAACATAGAACTGACGTTTGCCCTTCTCAGGGTATCCTATCTGGAGGGACACGATGTCCATCTTCCCCTCGTTGGAGATATTGATTTAAACCATCCACTCAAGTGTTGTATGGTCTGTCCACAGTACTGTCTCTATTTTCTCCTTGCAACCAATAAGCAATCATACAAATATCCTGATTCTTAGTACACTTGACTTCCTAGATTCAGCATTTCTTGATTCTTACCTGAATTTGTCTTTACTGAGACATTTGTGAAATGATGATTTTTCATTCATACTCCTGCCACATTTATAGCCAGAGATTTCCTTTCATTATCTTTTTTTTTTTTTTTTTCTGAGGCAGATTTTTGCTCTGTCGCCCAAGCTGGAGTATAGTGGTATGATCATGGCTCACTGCAACCTTTATCTCCTGAACTCAAGCAACCCTTCCAGTTCATCCTGTTGTGTAGCTGGGATCATAGGCGTGTGCCACCATGCCTGGCTAAATTTTTTTTAACTTTTTTGTGAAGACAAGGACTCATTATGTTGCCCAGGCTTGTCTTAGACTCCTGGGCTCAAGCAATTCTCTCAGCTTGGCCTCCCAAAGTGCGGGATTACAGGCGTGAGCCACCGTGCCCAGCCTCATTATTATTATTATCATTATCATTATTATTATTATTATTAGAGACAGAGTCTCATTCTGTCGCCCATGCTGGAGTGTAGTGGTGTGATCTCGGCTCACTGCAACCTCTGCCTCCTGGGTTCAAGTGATTCTACTGCCCCAGCCTCCTGAGTAGCTGGGATTACAGGCATGTGCCACCATGCCGGGCTAATTCTGTATTTTTAGTAGAGATGGGGGTTTCACCATGTTGGCCGGGCTGGTCTCGAACTCCTGACCTCAGGTGATTCACTCACCTCGACCTCCCTAAATGCTGGGATTACAGGTGTGAGCTACCATGCCCAGCTAAACCTCATCATTTTTTATTTCATTATCTATTATTGGTATGGACTTATGGATTCCGGTTTTTTAATGATTTATTAGTAATTACTGCCCTTAATTATTTAATTTCTCAAATTTTCTAGTGAGGGCTCCTTCAAGTTGTTCCCTGTGCCCTTCTGACAAGTCCCTATCATTTTTGATGGGGAGATATTTCTTTAATTTTTCGGGTAAAGAGATTTTTCAGTATCTTATTGTATTATCTGTATCCCAGACCTGGAAACAATCATTTCATTGAGAAGCCCTAATTCTTTTTAGTGGAGAAGGGTGTCAGAAATCAAGATCTGGGTGCTAGGTGTGGTCACATTGTCACCGTGCGTGTCTCCTAGTTTCATTCAGCAGATAGAGCCAGGAAATGTGCGTGTGTTCACATTTTACATGCATGTAGATACAAATGTATACACAAACACACATTTTACAAATCATGAATCCACATCAGTACCTCCAATTCCAATCCATCATTTCAAGATTCTTTCTTGCCTTTCACAAAGTAATAACAGGATGTTAAAAGATCCTTCTGGCTACCCTGTAGACAATGTTCTCCAGGGTGTGCAAACGTGGAAGCTGGGAGCCCAATCAGGCGCCATTCAGCTGTTCAGGGAAGACATGATGGAAACTTGGACTAGGCTGACAGAGGTGGAAGTCATAAGCAATGGTTACACTTCTGTTTTTAAGGTATAGATTATACTGTAAGGACAGGACACATGTGAGAGAAGGAGAGAAACCACATATTACACTTAGAAATTCAATCCAAGCAATGGCTATGATTCAATAGGCAGAATTTTCAGTGCAGGTGATCTCATTTTTTTAAAGAACAGAAACATGACTTTCTTCAGTAGGATCCCATAGGCTGTGGGAGCAAGCACGTGTTTGCCATGACCAGTGAAGTCCCCACAAACCCAAAGTCTATCATTAAGAAAATACTTTTTAAAGTCAAACATTAAAATACAAAAAGTGTTTGTGATACAGAAATCATGAAGAGGAGGTTGTGTGGCCAAAGAAAATATGTGGATGTTACAATTAGGAACAAGCTCTAGGAATAAGAAAACCAGTCTGCTTTCCAGGTGTTCTTTCGGTTTAAATAATTCCCTAACATCAGAACACCTCTGATGTACATTTCAAAGCAATTACAAAGAAAGCAAGAACTACACTGCCCACTGTTAGAAGAGTTGTGCACCGTAACTATGATAATAAGAGGGGAGAAGACTGACCGTCCACCAAAAATATAACTGCATTCATTTATGTTTTTGCCAGCCATGTTAATAGCAACACACTTTCTGCACTGAAGTCATCGTTGCCTGCTTTTTGATGTGTTTAACTTCTGTTTTCTGCTTTTGTTTCCATTGAACATCATAGCAGAAGCATTTTAATGTTTCTGCCTGTCCCCTGTTTGGGACTACTCATGTCATCTTTTCATAATGTAGATATTTCCACTCCACACCACTCCCCAACCGGCAACCCCCGGACACCCACACCTTCCCACATCCCCACACAATGGTCCTCTAAAATAAAAGCATCCTGAATGCGGACATCACAACTCTTACCATCATGCTTTACCTTATTGCTTACATCCTACCTTGCTTCAGGGTGGGAATGTGTTTCAAGTCACATAAAGAAAAATGATTAATAATTTATCTACTGATGCATTTGATCCTCTAACCAGACACTGGGCTGTCAAATCTGACCCTGCTTTCTTATGCAGACCTACCAAACACAGTTTGATCTGCTTCATTTACTATGTATATTGCTTCCATGAGTGAAATCTCACAGCAATGGCTAGGTATGTACTTACATGTAAGTTTATCTATACATACACACAGCAGCCTCTATCAGGTGCACAAAGCAATCTCGACTATCTAAGTTTCCCAGGTCCTGACAAACAATTCCAGTGGCTGATGACACCTTAAGAACAGCTTCCTGTCTGTTCTGCCTAGGACTGCAGGCTCTGTATCTTGTGCAAAATTCCAGTGGTCTATCTAAAAACTCTGAACAGTGCAGAAAACCTTCCTTATCTCTGAGAGCACAGGGTTCTTTGCAAACAGCACTTCCTGAATTACATAAATAGGAAACACAGCGAATATGATTTATTTCAGATGTTTCATGCTATGAGTTGCGCATCACCAAATCCCCAGGGGGTCTGCAGGGCTGTTGATCTCCTTTGCTTTTGAAACATTAAGGTTTATGATGCACTCATCAAAAAATGTAAAGAGGGATTCTTTCCACATGGAACAGATGCTGATAAGTTGACCTTCGATCACTTGAGAAACCTGATTGGGGTTTACTGATATGAAGAGGAAGTCGAGGGAAAGGAAACAACGCAGAGCTTGAAGCCAATTGTTTTCAAACTGCAGAGTCTGTGGGAATGGGATTTCATACTCATTTTCCCATTACAACTTTGCTCCCTGCCTGCTCTCCTCATTCTCCCACTCCCCCAGCCCCCCACCTCCCCACCCTGGGAAATGACATGTTTAAAACTTTATGAGGCAAGAGATTTTCACATTTATTCTGAAGGAATGCTAATAAACAGATTAAAATGTGAACCTCTAAATCCAAAATGTCATACACACATGGGAATAAACAAATAAGGATCTGACACAGGGAGAAGGGGGCTATACCTTGCAACTCAGATCCACTTTTTCTTGGCATGTCGTTAGCAATTTCCTGGTCCCAGTCCTAAGTGAGGTGTTGCCTGGAATTCTGCCAAATTGGTCTTATGCAATTTGTTACAATGACAGTAGGTCACAATTTTTAATGGTTGGCAGGTGTTCTGGACTTGCCCTCACTTGAGGAGCCCCAGTTAATCCAGTTTGGTATGATTCTTTTCTGCTCAGTTCTTGAAGATCCTTTTATATAATCCCTGAACCAGAAAAATTAGCTAGCAAGAGTTGAACCAGAAAAATGAGCTAACGTGAGCTTACATGCTCAAATCCCAATAGTGCTTAGAGTATCGATTTCCAAGAGCTGTGGGAATCTTTCAAAAGCCCTGCACATGTCTCCATCTATTCGCAAAATACTTTTCAGTGGATCTGAGAAGATAAAGGGAAGGTAGTGCACACCAACATGTTGTCAAGAGTTACCTGACCTGTATGTACTACTGCTGTAACTGTATGTATTAGTTTGCTTGGGCTGACATAGCAGAATATCGTAGCCTGGGTAGCCTAAATAACAGACATTTATTTCTCACAGTTCTGGAGGCTGGGAAGTTTAAGATGTAGGTGCCGGCAGATTCACTGTGTGGTGAGGGCCCTCTTACTGGCTTGCATCCAACCAGCCACCTTCTCACTATGTTCTCAGATGGAGACCTGCTCCCTGATTTCTCTTCCTCCTTTTTTTTTTTTCTTTTTTTCTTGGAGACAGGGTCTTGCTGTGTTGCTCAGGCTGGAGTGCAGTGACATGATCACGGCTCATTGCAGCCTTGACCTCCTGGGTTCAATTGATCTTCCCACTTCAGCCTTCCTAGTAGCTGGAACTACAGGTGTGTGGCACCATGACCAGCGAATTTTTGTAATTTTTTTTTGGAAGAGATGGAGTTTCGCCATGTTGTCCATGCTGGGCTCAAGGTCCTGGGCTCAAGCAATCTATCCATCTCAACCTCCCAGAGTGCTGGGATTACAAGTGTGAGCCCCCACACCAGGCCTCTCTTCCTTTTTTAATAAGGGCTCTAATTCCATCATGAGGGCCCCATTCTCATGACCCCATCTAACTTAATTATATCCCAAAGGTTCTGTCTTCAAATACCATCCCATTGGAGGTTAGGGCTTCAATATATGAATTTGCAGGGGACGGGGGGACGCAATCCAGTCCGTAACACTGTACGAATTCTGGAAGGAGCCTCACTGAGGGTTGGATCAAATAACTTGACAAAAGAAGGACCTGTCATCTGGGAAGGTAACTCTCCTACAGTTTCAAGAAGGTTAAGAGCAGTAGAACACTGTTGCCCTTGGGTGAGAAAGTATTAGGAGTTTTCCTGACATCTAGGGTATTTATTCAAAGTCCACTGGAAAGAGATAGCTTTTCCTGCAGAAGCTGTATTTGTGACTCATTCCATGGGCAGTTTAGCCCATGAGACACCTTTAAGAGTTGTAGCTGCCCATGTTTCAGCAGGGGAGACCCAGGACAAAGGGATTCTCATCCAAGTCATCTGGGGTTTCACGCTCTCCCTTCTGTTCAATGACCTCCAGGCCACTGACCTGGCTATACATCCTCTGGTCCTCTCCTTGCATTGCCCTTTGCTCACGGGCACTGCTTTCCCTGCCACAATGTTGGCTCTCACTCTAGACCGCCTTCTCACTCCCAAGAGGATGTTCCCCCAAGCTCCGGCTAGCCTCATGGTCCCCGCAGAGACTGTGGGTTGGAGATCACCAGCAGTACGAAGCACCACACAAAAGATACTGCTTCTCCAACATTCCTGATATTCCTGAGGTGTTAGTGTGGTGATGTCCTAGTTACCTTAGGCTATCCCTACAGCCCAGCCCAGCCAGTGATTTCCTCCAGTCACCAAGTAAACACTGAATGGGCAGCTTCGTTTCCATCCAGTTTTATCAAACTGCCCACCACCCCCTCCACATTCTTGTTAATTATGACAAATGACAAGGTTATCTGCTCTGTTGCGCTTGCTCATCTTTTATGATCTCTGTTATGTTAAGCAAGTGCTCACATTGCTGTATAGGGCTTTGCCATCCCATAGAGTCACAGGGTCCTTGTGTAGTGGGGAGAAATAAAAACATTATATCATACCTCTCTTCAAAAGATTTCTATTTTAATTAATATCCAGATAATGTAACTAGCTCAATTCTCTGAGGCCTTCTGCACAGAAGACTTGGTTGAATTTGAGTGATAACACGTGAAATACAGTTATGACCAGTCTCACAAAAAACAAAATAGAGTTGAGGACCTGAAATCACCTAGAAACACTCAGATAATTTCCCCTGTCTAGGTTGATGGAGTAGCAGAATGTATTACTTAATGTTCATTCTTGTCCTGCAGTCTAACCAGAGTTCCCTAATTTTTTTTTTTTTACAGGTGAGAATGTATCTTTTTCAACTAAAAATATAAATGCTGGCTGAGAAAATGTTACTATAACTGAAGGTTCTGAAAAATTGAACAACATTTTACATTTGGATTTTATCAGTGGTAAAATCACCTGGCTGCATTGGAAAAATGTAGCATATTTGAATGAGACATTTATTCAGGCTACAGGCAAAGCTCAAGACACTCAGAGTAGGCACTCGATAAATATTTGTTGAAGATATTATCTTTATTGCTCTATTAATATCTGTCCTGTTCAGACAAATTATTTACCGTTAATTTGAACAATAGTAAAATTCGTAAAACATGTGAACTGCAGAGAAACATCCTGAAGTTTTTGAATGCTTTTATCTTTGGGTCTACTTGAACATTTATCTGATGACCTGAAGTATAATTGCCCGACTTCCCTGGCCTGTGTAATAATAAAAGGTTCTGTAAGTCGGAGAATGTTCTAGTTCACTCTCTTCAAGTTGTTTAATGATGAGTGTCTGTGAGGCAGCAACGTCTAAGACAGTGGTTCTCAGACATTCCCTGGGTGCTGGAGCCCTTCCTTCAAAATCAGTCTCAGTCAGAAGCCCCACATGTGAACCACTCCAAGTGGGGATGCATGGGTTGAAGAAATGCCTGGGAGCCTTCCTGCTCCCTTCATTCTTGGAGGTCTCAGAAGGACATCAGAGAAGCCCTGGGGCTCTGAGGAGCACAGATTGAAAAACAATTATCGCTGCTCCAGGAATCTGGTGCATCAGGAATGCCCTCTTCTGCTGCACCCTGCTTAAGTAATCTTTGGCAAATCATTTTCCTTGTTCTTTGTTTCCTCATCTGGTAAGCAAGGAGTTAAAATCAGATCTGTTCAGACATTTTCTGGTCTGAGTTATGAACCCTCATGATGCCTTAATACTCTTACTTTCCTTCAGCTTTATTTTCATTTTCTAAGAGGCTGAGATTCTCTTCTAAGCAGGGCATGCCTGGGACGAGACAACGTCTCCCTGTGTTCCAGTGAGAGGCAGGTACCCAGGACTGCTCTGTGGCTGCTGCAGGAGGAAGTGACTGAGGAGGAGCCTAAATCTACCATGAGAATCTACCATGCAAGCCAGAACCCTGGGTAAGGAAGGAAGCCAATTCAGAGGGCACTTCAATGTCATAGCTGAGGATCCTATGGTGGAGAGCTGGAGTCTTGGCTGGGGTGGGCCTTCAATTCCTCAAACGCCTGCTCCTTCTCCTCAATTCTTCCTCAGTCCAAATATGTCCCTGTCTGAGGAGAGAATGTTCTGTTACCTGTGAACACACATTATAGTATGAGGATAAACTGTGCTGTTCTTCAGAGGAGCTGCCTGGTAGCCAAATTCTCATTTGTGTGGTGGCTCCGTCTATAATCCCAGCACTCGGGGAGGCTGAGGCAGGAGAATTGCTTGAGTCCAGGAGTTCAAGACCAGCCAGGGCAACCTAGTGAGATCCCATCTCTAAAAAAAAAATACAAATTAAAAAATTAGCTGGGCATAGGGGTGCATGCCTGTAGTCCCAGCTACTTGGGAGGCTGAGACAGGAGGATCACTTGAGCCCAGGAGGCTGAGGCTGAAGTGAGCTGTGATTGTGCCAATGCACTCCAGCCTGAGTGACAACAAAACACCCTGTCTCAAAATAATGATAATAATAATAATAATTTTGGCCTGTCTTGATGGCACATGCCAGTAATCTCAGCACTTCAGGAGGCCAAAGCAGGAGGGTTGCTTGAGCCCATGAGTTCAAGAACAATCTGGGCAACAGAATGAGTCCTCATCTCTACAAAAAAGAGAAAAAATTAGCTAGGCATGGTGGTGTGAGTCTGTAGTCCAAGCTACTTAGGAGGCTGAGGCAGGAGGATATGTTGAGCCCAGGATTTCAAGGTTGCAGTGAGCTATGATCATGCCACTGCAATCCAGTTGGGGCCATAGAGCTAGACCCTTTCTCTAAAAATAATAATAATTTAAACATAGTCTATGTGCCAATTACTACTAATAGACTCTTCACTTGTATTAGTTCTATAAATCTCACTTCAGTTGTTTGCTGTATGTGCTACATTCATCCTCATTTTATAGATAAAGAAACAGAGATATGCAGAGGCTAAGTATCCCCCAAAAGTCACAATCTTAATAAGTGGCAAAGCTTTCATTCAAACCCAAGCCTGGCTTTTTTGCTCTCTCCTCTCTCCTTTGAGAGGCTGCCAGGATCTCTTTAACCCATATCCAGACATGGAATTCTCTGTTTCTTTTCTTAGATTCCAACCAGCTATAAGTCCTTCCTATTCTTAATTCATGAAATACGTTGTTGGCAGCAATTAACTTCAGTGGTTAAAAATATAAACTCTGAAGCTACACTGCTGGGGTGAAAATCCCTGGCCCCACCACACAGTACTGTAATTTGGATGAGATACTTTTTTTTTTTTTTTTGAGATGGAGTTTCACTCTTGTTCCCCAGTTTGGAGTGCAATGGTGCAGTCTTGGCTGACTGCAACCTCCACCTCCCAGGTTCAAGTGATTTTCCTGTCTCAGCTTACTGAGTAGCTGGGATTACAGGCACCTGCCACTATGCCCAGCTAATTTGTGGTATTTTTAGTAGAGACGGGGTTTCATCATGTTGGCCAGGCAGGTCTCGAACTCCTGAGCTCAGATGATCTGCCTGCCTCAGCCTCCCAAAGTGCTGGGATTACAGGTGTGAGCCACTGCACCCAGCCTGGATGAGAAATTTAATCACTCTTTTCTTCAGTTTTCTCATCAGTAAAATAAGGTTAAGAATAAGGCTTTACTCAAATGGTGGTTTGAAGCCGAAATTAAATAAGACAAAATGAGACTCTGCTATAGGAGAGTCCGGATATGTAATATGCATTTGATAAATATTAGGTATTATTGCTTTCCCTGCTTATCAGAAACCTATATTGCCCTGAGCCATTGAGCTGAATTAGTAAGGTCTATGTCCGTGGTTATCTACACCAGCAGGCCCTGACAAGGGCAGTCATGTAAAACCAGGTATTTATCAAAATGCTTTGCAGATGATACTGGTGATGATAATATGTTATTTGGGAAATGTATGCCTGAATGTGTCCCTCGGAGGTTGTGCAGCCTGTGCAGGGTGGAAGAGATGAAACTGGTCATAGAATTGGACTCTGGGCCATGACTTGTCTTCACATGTCTTTTTGAGGAACAGGAGGAAAATAAAGATTCCTGAAAACCCCGAATTACCAGAACCCACTCTGTACCCCTGGGAAAAATGAACTATTTGTGTTGCAATGGTTTCCTTTCTCACTGGGAAATAAAACTAGTTCTCCTGCTAAAATATGAGTTCAGAGGCCCTTTTTGTACAGTCGTAGAACCCAATGTATTCAATCCCAGGAGCTACAGTTTACTCTGAAACTGGTGGTAGAATTATTTTCTACAGCAAAACTCACTACGGCCTTTGGTTTCAATTTTACTTCCAGGTTTTCACAAAGGAAAAAATAACACCTTTAAATAACTATATTATTATTGTTCCCTTTGTTAATAGAAATAACAGGAACACCACACAATAAACAAACTATTTTTCACATTCACTTTTGTTGATATTCATGAAAACTCTGTAAGAAAGGTAGAATAAATCCCCCCAAAACTCACTTTGTTTTCTCAGCATCTCCAAGGTTTAGGTTATTAAAAAAAAAAATGTGCAGCCAGGCGCTGAGGCTCATGCCCATAATCCCAGCATTTTGGGAGGCTGAGGTGGGTGGATCGCCTGAGGTTAGGAGTTCGAGACCAGCCTGGCCAACAGAGTGAAACCCCATCTCTACTAAAAATACAAAAAATTAGCTGGGCGTGGTGATGGGTGCCTGTAATCCCAGCTACAAGGGAGGCTGAGGCAGGAGAATTCCTTGATCCCAGGAGGCGGAGGTTGCAGTGAGCTGAGATCGCACCATTGCACTCCAGCCTGGGCAACAAAAGTGAAACTCTGTCTCAGGGAAAAAAAAAAAAAAAAAAGTGCAATGTGGGACTGTGAATGACATTTGACTAAATCCTCCTATTTTTGGACATTTGACCTTCCTGTCCTCTCCACTCCCACTGCAACTGGCTCAGTTAAAGTTTCTATCATTTGCTGTGTCATGTGTTACAACAGACGTTGTGCACATGTACCCTAAAACTTTAAGTATAATAATAATAAAAACAAAACAAAACAAAAAAAAACAAAAAACCAATTGTCACTTGTTGCTGTCAAAGTCCTGCTCAGCCTTCAAAGGGTCAGATTCAGTCTTATGTCCTGTATGAATTTTATCAAATCCCTCCATCAGAATTAATGCACCTGTTACTAAACTCTCATTGCCTCTTATTTAAGGCTCTTTTCATGATGATATACAATACCTCTTAGTTTAACAATACTTGTGAATATAGTTGTCTCCTCAACTGTAAGAAAGCCCTTTGAAGGCAAGAGCTCTGATTTATTCAGATGTGCAATTGTTCAGCCCCTCATCTAGGTTTTCTACTTAGTAGTATTACACTGTTGAAAGAATAGAAAGGCCACGACAATGAATTGCTCTAAAACAGTGCAATATACTAACATCAGTTACTCTTATTGTGTAATGCGAGTAACAGGTTTTCAATGTCAGTTCTTCAGTAAATACAGTTATTGTTTGTTTGCTTTTTATGTCTATTTTACACTGAAATCATTTCATTTGACGAAACAACAGAAACCCTCCTTTTCCTACAATTTCAGGTTGGCTCTTGTGGAAATCTGCTTATGGAGCAAATATAGAATTCAAAATGTTCCAGATCTTTAGAGAAATGTTTAGAAGAAATAAGGAAGTTGAAACCAAATTGAAACAATTTCATTTATAGGCCTCCTCAAATTAAGCAAGCTGTGGTTAACTCGGAAAGTTCTCAAAGGTCATACATAAAGAGAATTGAGTTTTTAAAAATGGGGTCAATTGAATTGAGAATAATGGAATTCTAACTCGTCAGTATAAAGAGAAGTCTGTCTTTTCAAAATGTGCTTTAGAGACTTTTGGTTATTATTTTCAAGTAGTGTACAAAAAATTTCAAGAGGAGTTAACTTGAACAAAACCAAAGTGAAGCAGGCTTTGATAATTGGCAGGGTAAAAATATAAGGAAGTCTTATTCAATAATTAGTAGAGAAACTTGCCAGGAAGAAATCTCAAGGCTCTCATCTTTCCCTTGAACTCCATATTTCTATGCTCAGTTTACCTATTTGATATCTATAATTGGATGCATAAGAGACATCTTATATGTACATTTCCATTGTTATGTGCAAAAAACAAAACAAAAAAGTAGCATATATAATGTGTTATATTTTGTATATGGAAAAATAAGGAATAAGAATACAAATACATAAACACACACTCCTAAATGCAAATTTGCTCATTTAAAAGAACACACAGAGAAAATATATCAGTAATGTAGATGGTTTACTCTACAGAGAAAATAAATGAGTAATGTCAATGGTTTGCTCTACAGGTGCACAGAATGCAGGAGAGGAGTTTGGGATAGGAGAGGGGTTCTCTGATGGCTATGATTTTTGTATCAAGTAAAGGTTACTCATTTTCAAGAAATAAAATTGAACTAAAATGGTGAGATAAAAGCAAGCTCTAAAATTAAATAAAAACAAGAAATAAACTTAACTGTATTATCAAATTTATAACAAAATCACATAGAAAAAAATCCAAATAACTTTTGAACACAGTACTCTGACTATTCATACTTTGTGGGAAATATATTGAAGACAATAATAATTGGAAAAGAATCCTAAACTTTACCTAGTAGGTTTGTTGTGGTAATGGTATTGATGTTATAATTCTGAAATTATATCATATGTACTTAGTAAGTAAATAAATATAGTGATGTTTTGAGAACCATGGTTCTTGTTGTAGCAAAAGAGGGATATAAATATGGTCTGAAGAAGGTGAAGAGAATGCTGTTAAATTTTAATTCAAGATATCAGTATAGAGCAATGATTTCAGAAATTATACTTACTAAATCTATCCAATAAAAGCACACTGATTAAATGGTGCCACAGTGTAAATGAGCACATCTAGTACCCATATCTTGTTTTCCAAATGCTATTTCCCACTAAAGGAACAAGAGCTCCTTGGAGAAACGGCTGATTCTGGGTATGGGACTAGCGAAATAATAATTTTAACCTAGAATATCCAGTTGTGTCAGAAAGTGCAAAGGTAATCAAACACTGATGGGGACTTGACAAAAGACATAGGAGAACTTTTCCTTTCATCAATGATAGAGTAACAGGCACCTAACTGATCCCCCTGCCTTAAACAACTAGAACACTGAGCAGAAAGTGTGATACAATAATGTTAGACATTGGACAATAGACATCAAAGGATTATCATTCCAGAGAAAAGGAAACAAATGAAGTCAGTCCTATAATTGACCCAGATTACTGCTTTAAGGAAGTTTCCAGGCTGCAGTACAGGGGAGGGGGAACCCAACAGAGTCTGGGAATCTCATTAAGTTAAAGACAAATAGATTAGAAATTGGGGAGGCCAAGGCAGCCAGAGTTTGCAGGGCCATATACTAGAGAGAAGGGAGTTGCACAGAGAGAGCCCTAGAGATTTGCAGAGGATTGTCTACAGGCTTTAGCAGAGTGCTGCTCTGTGCGTACTAGAGGAGAAAATGTCCAAGACCAAGGAAAGAATTACTGGAAAGCAGTAGCCTGAAGAATTCCTAAAACTCACAGAGGGCTGGGAATAGTTTGTGTTTCCACCAGCCAAAGTGGGAAGACCTCATAACACATGGGATGTTGGGTATAGTTCTCAAAAGGATATTATTTTGGCAGTGGGGATAAATTATCCCTACATTAAATACTGCTCTTAACCCACCCCAACAAAATGTTTTCCAAGTAACACGAAAACAACTGATTCCAAGTAACTTAACTGCAAGGAAGAACAAGTTCCAATAATATTCAAAGAAATACAACAAAATACAGCACTGAAAAGCTCAAACCTCAGTGTCCAACATTAAACCAAAAATAGCTAGTCATGCAAAGAAGTAGTACAATATAGCCCATGTCTAGGAGAAAAATCAATCTATAGAAATTCACCCCAAAATGACTGAGATGATGAAATTGGCAGACAAAGACATTAAAAACACTACTATAAATATGCTTGGTATGCACCAGAAGACAAAGGAAAACATGAATATAATAAGGAGAGAAACAGAAGATACAAAAAGACCCAAACAGAAATATTAAAGATGAAAAATACAATATCTGAAATAAAAAGTGCACTAGATGCTATTAACAGCAGACTAGGCACTGTAGACTCAAAGGTTATATGAAGACATAGAAGTAGAAACTAACCCATGAATCACAGAGAAAAATGACTAAAGAAGGAGAAGAAAATGACAGAAGAGAAGAGGACCAGGAGAAGAGGAAAAGAAGAAAACTAAGGACAACAGCAACAGCAAAATCCAACAAAACAAATACAAAAATAACAATAAAGTTCCATGAGCTATTTGACAGTGGCAAGCAGTATAATATACATGCAATTACTTCTATTACAAGAAGGGAAAGAAGAAGCTAGAAAAAAATATGAGGAAATAATGGCAAAAAAATCTTCCAAATTTGATTCAAACAAACAAATTTACCTATAAACCCACAGATGTGAGACGTTCAAAGAACCCAAACAAAATAAATCTAAATAAAGCTACACTAAAGCATAGTACATTCCCATTATTGAAACTAATGCTAAAGAAAAAAGATGTTTAAAGCAACTAAAAAGTAAAACATATTATTAACAGAGAAACAAATGTAAGAATGGCAGTGGACTTATTGTGAGAAATTGTGCAAGCCAAAAACAGTGACATTTTTTAAGTACTGAAAGAAAAAATATGGATCTAAAATTCTATAACCAGCAAAAATGTCTTCTAAAAATGAAGCGTGACAAAATTGCTTTTAAAAATGAAAACCCAGACCAGTTGCGGTGACACACCTGTAATCCCAGCACTTTGGGAGGCCAAGGCAGGATTGAGCTCAGGAGTTCAAGGCCAGTCTGCGCAACATGGAGAAACCTTGCCTCTACAAATATTAGCAGGGCATGGTGGTGTGTGCCTGTAGTCCCAGCTACTCAGGAGGCTGAGGTAGAAGGATTGCTTGAGCTCAGGAGGTCAAGGCTGCAGTGAGCCAAGATCACATCAAAATCCAGCCTGGGAGACAGAGTGAGACCCTGTATCAAAAAAAAGAGAGGGAGACAGAGAATTCATTACCAGCAGACCCGTGTTAGAACAATGTTAAAGTTCTTCAAGTAAATGCAAAATACCAGGTAGACATTTAGATCCACACAAAGAAATGAAGTGTACTAGAAAACGAAAAATATGAGTAAATATAAGAAAAATTTTCTCATTTTAATTTCTTTAAAAATAGTTGACTTTAAAGCAAAAATAATTATTATTGTATTTATAAAAGTATATAGAAGTAAAATTACATGACAACAATAGCACACAGGGCTGGAGGGGAGATATGGATACGTGCTATTATAATGGTCACGAACAATTTGTAAATCAGTATAATGTTATTTGAAAGTAGACTGTGATAAGATAGCTATGTATATTGTAAACACTAAATCAGTCACTCAAAACAAAATAAAGCTGAAATTTCACAGAAGCCCCTTTGACCACATTTATGGCAATTCAAACATCAATAAAAATAATCACGGCAATGGCACATTGATTTAAAAAATATCACCAGGAAAGAGAGAGAGAAAGAAAGGAAAAGTTTTATTTTGTTTGTTGGCTTTTTTAAAAACCAAGTAAAGCCAATTAATATGTATAGAAGAAACAAAAAATGATAGACTTCAAAAATCATCACTTTGTGGCCAGGCGTGGTGGCTCATGCCTGTAATCCCTGCACTTTGGGAGGCTGAGGCAGGCAGATCACAAAGTCAGGAGTTCGAGACTAGCCTGGCCAACATGGTAAAACCCCATCTCTACTAAAAATACAAAAATTAGCTAGGCATGGTGGCGCATGCCTGTAATCTCAGCTACTTGGGAGGCTGAGGCAGGAGAATTGCTTGAACCCAGGAGGTGGAGGTTGCTGTGAGCCGAGATTGTGCCACTGCACTCCAGCCTGGGTGACAGAGCGAGACTCCGTCTGAAAAAAAAAAAAAAAAAAAATCAACATTTTGTAAACCTTAGTGGATAAATGATAAATGAATGATTTATACAAGGATAACTAAGAGATTCCAAATCTATTGGTTGAAAGGTTTTTGAGGAGCTGAATATTCATTAAGTTTCAAAATTTTACCCCACTGAATATTATTTATTAATTACAAAGAAAAGAAGTTCCTTTTGAATGGAGAGATCTGGCAGAAACCACCTTAAACAAGTAATCAAACCTGGTATCACTCCTGAGGGGACAAATTGGCATTATGTGCCACTCGATGAGATGCAATGAGACATACATCAACTTTGTAATATTCTTGCCACACTTTGAAAACCTGAATATAATCATGAGGAAAAAACAGGACAACTTCAAAATGTGAGATAGTCTCCAAAATAACTGTTCTGAATGTCAACATCAAGAGAGACAACAATAAACAAAATTTTAAAAAATACATGGGAATCGTTCTCTATTAAAGGATACTAAAGAGATATGACACCTAATTGCAATGTGGGCACCTTGACTGGGAAACTGAGGATCTCCAACTGTGTCTTCGTGTTGCTAAAAAGGAGTACCTGAGGCTGGGTAATTTACAAAGAAAAGAGGTTTATCTAGCTCCCGATGATGCAGGCTGTGCAAGAAGCATGCTCCAACATCTGCTTCTGGTGAGAGCTTCAGGCTGCTTCCACTCATGGTATAAGGCTAAGGGGAGCCCAGTTGTGCAGTCATTACACAATGAGAGAGGAAGCAGGGGTGGAGGGCACCAAGCTCTTTTTAACCACCAGCTCTCCTGGGAATCAATAGTGAGAATTCACTCACCCCGCCTCCAGGAAGGCATTAATCCATTCATGAGGGATCTGCCCCCATGACCCAAACACCTCCCATTAGGTCCCACCTCCAACACTGGGGATCAAATTTCCACAGGAGGTTAGGATGACAACATGCCAGCTATAGCAAAGTATAAACAGCTTGCCCAAGGTCACAAGCTTGTGAGAGGTAGAAACAGGAGACTAAGTTCGTTGTGATCATGTCCAAAGCCTGAGCCCTCTACTTTTTTGTCAGCATTCATGAATTTTCACAAGACCCCAAGTTTAGCTTGTTAAAAGTTATGGGAAAACTTGGAACAGTAATCTTCCGGAAATGCCACTTTCATAATTACTCTTCATTTCATTGGTTGAAGACAAAACAACAGGTATCCCAAATTTCAGGCAGCTTGTTCGTCTCAGACCACAAAAGTGACAGGTGATTGACTCCCTTCTAACGGGAAATTACAGGTAAATGGAGGCATTCTTTAGACCTAAAGATAGATCTAGAATATGAAGTCGCTCTCTCAGCCTCCAAGGTTCCAATCATAGGCACCTACATTTTAGAAACCAGGAAGGAAGTGAGTTAATGTGAAGCAGAGAAAGCAATAACACAAGAAGTAGAACATTTAACAGGAACAAAACGTGTCTGTAACCCCTGTCTCCATATTTAGCTCAGCTACCATCCATCATTTGCAGAGGAAAGCATGAAAAGCATCAGGTTTGTGTTGAAAGGGGAAAATGTGAGTGGCATACTTGGTAGCAAGGCTTGGAAGTGGGAGGCAGTGAAGAGCTATATATTATACCTGGAACTCAGGCATACTTGTGGCAGCTTCAAAAACAGATTTGAGAATAAGAAAGAGCTAAAATTTTAACATAAGCTGAAGCCTTTTGAAGTGTGAGTGAATGAAATGAGATGTGTGAACATGCACAGACCCAGTCCTTCTGTTCATCCCAGGAAGCTCCCAGCCTGCGGATCCTTAGATACCCGCAAAGGAAAAGACCTTCAGAATGAGGACACACTGTGGGCTTCCCTGTCTGAACAATGAGGCCACTAAGGAGATGTGTCAGCCTACTGTTTGGCCAGTTTTAGATCCCAAGTGATGGGGCTTCCTTGGGTCCATGATGGAGCAGCCTGTGCTGACAGGGACATCTTTAGACATTCACCGGCAGGCTCACAGTGTGATTAGATCTGCGAAACACATTTGGCTCTTTGTCTCTTCTTGATGGTTGGTTGCCTGTCGTTCTCAGCATTACTGCGGGAGCTTGGAAAAGCTAGAGCTGGCATCCCTGCAAGCTTTTCCTGTGGGGGCTTCATTTAGACTAAATCTCCCCTTGGAATTTCATTTCCTAGGGGATCCAAATTGGAAGCCAAGTTGTTAGATGCAAAATCATCCCAGTTCTCCAACATTTGGGCATTCTGTATAATTCTGACGAGAAGCCCGTGCAGGGAGCATAGAGGTAGCATATGGAGAACAAAGGCTCTGCATGTTCAGGAAATGGGAACATTCAATTCTTACATGTGCAATGCCTGATCCAAATATTAAGAATTGTGTTTCTTCCTGAAATTCAGTAGCCTCAGTTCTTGTGGAAAAGAATTTCATACACTATTCCCTTAATATAATTATTCCTTTGTTCATTTCTTAAAGCACTGAAGATAGTACTTTTAACTTTTCCTTATATTGCCTTCTGACTCCTCAGATAATTTCTGCTGTGCCCCAGTTGTTTTTCTATTGAGATTTCCCCAGCTGCAGGCATGGCAAGGCCATGCCATCCCCACTGTGCTTTCCTTAGAGACCATTTTGCTTTGGAAATGCGGAAATGGACACTTGCCCTTGGTCCCACGCACATGACTGATGAAGCTGGGAGCAGACTTCATAATTTCTGACTCCTGGAATTATTATCATCTCATTGCCCCACCTGCCTCAGAGGAGCTCCTTACCACCCCCTACCCCACTCCCCGACACTCCACAGAATATGCCTTCTGTTAGCTCCTGCTAATGAAAAACAAACAAACAAACAAACAAAACCGCACAGGTATTGAGGGTGTGATGATATTCATAGGAGGATAAATCCACTTCCAATTTCCCTCCCTCAGAACTTTGGCCTCCCTCCCAGGGGCAGATTCACAGCTGTCAGGGCTGTGGAACACAAGCAGTCCAGGAGGCTGAGCAATTGCACTCTCAACCAAGTCAGGCTGCCAGGCTGCCATATTTTTGTAACGTGCTGGGCTCTGTGAGGAGTTAAGTGAAGGGAATGCTTGCTTGCTGAAAGGGTAGGCGATTTGGACATTGTCGGCAGGTGATGAGCAGCATCCCCTAAAGGGGGTTGGGACTGCAGCATTTGAGCTTTCACCAAAGCTAGCAGAGGTCTTTGGAGTTTCTTTTGGCTACTGGAAATTCAAGTGTTATAAAGGGATTCAGATTGGGCTTGGTGGCTCATGCCTGCAATCCCAGCACTTTGGGAGGCCAAGGTGGGAGGATCCCTTGAGGCCAGGGTTTGAGAACAGCCAGGGCAACATAGTGAGACCCTGTCTCTACAAAAAGCAAACAACTTAGGTATGGTGTCATATGCCTGTAGGTCCCAGCTACTTAGGAGGCTGAGTGGGAGGATTGTTTGAGCCCAGGACGTAGAGGCTTCAGTGAGCTGTGACTGCACTCCAGCCCGGGCAACAGAGTGAGACCCTGTCTCTTATGAAAAAAAAAAAAAAAAAAAAAAGGATTCAGTTGAGAAGAAATATCCATTACCAGAAGAGTCTCCTTTCTCTTTACCTGGAGACAGAGGCTGTGAGAAGAAGCAAGAGGGATTCCATTGGGGACTCATAAAAAACAATGGCATATGAGAACATTCTCTTTTATACTCATGGTGGTGAAAGATAGGTGTCTTTTCAGTGAGAGGTTCAAGTCTTCCTGAGAGATGGGGGTAAAATTAGCTGCTCCTAGAAGTGGAAGCAGGGGTCATGAGTGAGAGCTGGGTGGTTACCTTTCAGGCAGAATTCTGGAGACTGTTTCACGCCGAGAGCAAGACCCACTGGAGTAGTGAGGCTTTGAGGGTTGGAGCATGGCAGCCACATGCTCCTAGCACGGTTCTGTTGGTGATGTGGGTCACTCACCACTTATGTTTGCTGAGAAAGGGTGCTCTTCAAACAACAAAAAGTGATCTGACAGAGCATCACTTTAGTTGATCGGGACCCAGTAATCTTCCTTTCCCTCTCATTCTTCCTTCCTTATCTTTTGGGTTCTTTTGAGAACCCTCTGACTCAGTGGTCCTTGACCTTGGTCATATATTAAAATCATTTGGAACATTAAAAAAATACTGATGTCCAACTCTCACCTGCGGAAATTCCTAATTCTTTTCAGTTGAGTCTGGGCAGCAGTATTTTTTAAGGCCCCCCAGGTGATTCTAATCCACATCCATGATTGAGTATTGCTCCTAGTCATTCATACTGCAAACCAAATACAGATTTAAAGCTTAGGAGAATCCTTTTCAGCATGATTCTGTAGGTCCATGTATATCTGCATGAACAAAAGATTCTGATCAGTAAGACCATCCCAATTGGCTTTAGTAGCTTTCTTCACTAGAGTTTTCTTGACCAGATGCAGTTTGCATTCTGTTCAGAAGCCTTGCCACAACTCTATGAACACTTTTAACAAATATCAAATATACAAGAAGCTCTGAAATCTACTGGCTTATAAGGTGACTTGCCATCTTGATGTTTCTGATTGGAAGCTTTTTACAAGGACCATTTAGGATTCATGCTGCCTCTTTACTAGTGAAAATGTAGGCTGAAGGTTACCAAACACATCCAGAAAGAATTTCCTTTGGCTCAAGATTTCAGTCCTTTTCTTACTCTCTCATTTGCTCAAGATTTCTTGGGACTCATTATAGGATGGAACAATTCCACTCCCACATTCTCACTTGGCATTTAAATCCTAGGTTGTCATCGAGACATATCCTAATCACTAATGCATGCAACAAGCACACCAGTATTGTTTTTTTTTCCCTTTCTCCTTGTTGTGTGGTGAATAGAAAATGTACAGTTGGGGAATCAATCAACCTCAGTTCTAGTTCCAACTGTAGCTAAATAGCTATGTGACTGTGGGACAATCTTCATTTCTTCATGAGTTTCTTACTTGTAAAACAAAGGAGTTGGACTAGAATCTCTGGTTTTCAACCATTGTTGTTTTCTTTTTGTTGCTTAAAGTGAGAGTGCCCTTTCTTCAAAAACATTCTTTCTGTAAAAGTCAACATGTAAAACTGATGGTCAGAAAGCTGAATTGTTGTGGGGCTTTGGGGTCCCTGAAATCTTCTGAGTTTCCTCATTTTCTCCTCCTAAAGCTACTCTGCCCTTAAAGGGGTTCTGTAGGACCCCTAGGACAAGACAAAGAAGATCTAAAAAATACGGGCTAATTAGTTAAGGTATTTTCTGCTGTATCATTCTCCGAGTTTACATGCATCCACACATGAACATATGTGTGCACATGAACATATATCCACAGGCACACAGAGTTTGATTGATTGGGCTCAAGAGGTAGCAGATACGGTCAGACTAGGAGGGATCAGGATTTGGAAACTAGGCATATTCACTACAAAGAGAGGGGTTCTTGGAGCAGGCCCTTGGAAATGCATTGTGCCTGCTTCTAGGGACAGCAGGGAGTAAAATGCACTATGCCATCCATAGTTTGGCAACTGGCAGGTGCTCAATGGTCTGCTGGCTCAAAAACTTGTAGCAGATGACATCCCAAAGTGGTGACTTCATGACTGGAATTCTGGGATAGCATCCTGGAGAAAGATCTGTGAGGAAGCAGGCTTGAGACAGCTGGTTACTCAGGAAGTCCATGATCAATGGAAGTTCACTGCCATTGGAAGAACCATTCCTCAGGTCTCACATATCCCACACAGACTGGTAACTTCCAAGTAAGTTATACATCCTTTATAAATAGCAATGATACATAGCATGTCTCATCATCTCCCCTGGACCTTCAGGATATTTCCATGATTTTAAATGCTTATCTGAGGGACAGCTGCTTAGCTATCAATTGATACTGTTGTCTCAAAAAAGATTTCATAGGATTTTCTTTACCCCATAAGAATGCCCATTCCCAATTCAGAGGGGATTTCAAAAAATAAGGAAATGACTTGGGGTTAGACATCCATTTCCTTAACACAGACATATTTAACTTTAAGCTTGCTGAATCTTAGATATTGGTCTAATATGTCTGGGATCCTCCTAACTCCAAGTGAAGAGGCCTAAAATTTCTCTATTTTTACTGGAAAAAAAGAGAGAGTTTGACTTTCAATGCCATACTTTTTTTTTTCTTCTTTTTTTTGAGACAAAGTCTTGCTCTGTTGCCCAGGCTGGAGTGCAGTGGTGTGATCTCGGCTCACTGCTACCTCTGCCTCCCAGGTCCCGGTTCAAGCAATTCTCCTTCCTCAGCCTCCCAAGTAGCTGGGATTACAGGCACATGCCACCATGCCCAGCTAATTTTTGTATTTTTAGTAGAGACAGCATTTCTCCATGTTGGCCAGGCTGGTCTTGAACTCCTGAACTCGTGATCCACCCTACACGGCCTCCCAAAGTGCTGGGATTACAGGCGTGAGGCACCGCGCCTGGCCCACCATACTCTTAAATAAAATCAAAAGCCATCTCGAGACTATTTCTTTTGGAACCTTCCTATGCATCAGGCTGCATAGTCTGCAGAGTGATCCGTGCCATTCACGTGATGAAACCATTGATAACTGGCGTTATTCAAATAAGTGAGATATCAGTCAACACTGTTTAATATGGTGTTTAGCACCCTTAAAAACAATTAAACCCAATGGATTTCAGGCCAAAACAACAGTCTTGGAAGATCACTTTAGTTAGGGCCCAAATAACTGAATTGAAGTCAAGAAAAGGCTGGCCTGCCAAGAAGTAACAGGTGATTATGTAGGAATACGATTTGAAGGGCTCTGACCTTCCAGTGGCAACACTGTGTGAGTTTGTTTTCTGTACCCAGGGGACCGAGTGTCAGGATCCTCACTGTTGAGTGCTGGATAGAATGGGGGTGGCAGGGAGTGTACCATTATTTTGGTATGCTCTCTCTTAGTAGTTGTAAAGGGGAGATGGTAGTTAATGACTTCCTACTGGGATATTGGTTGCATTAGGCTTCCATCAGCCATTGTGGAAACACTAAATGGGGTGTGAATGAGGTAGGTAGGCTAATGAGGGGGATGAATAAGATACATGGTAGTGCTGCACAGGGCAGAAGACGAACTTGGGTTAAGCTCAGGCTAATTTCTAGCAATTGTCTTGACCCTTAGTCTTAATAATTTGATGAAGGACATCCTTGTGCTGAATGTTGGTAAAGAGACAAAGGAAATGGCAGAGGCCAGGTGCAGTAGCTCACACCTATAATCCCAGCACTTCGGGAGGCCGTGGCAGGAAGGTTGCTGGAGCCCAGGAGTTTGAGACCAGCCTGGGGCAACAGGGCAAGACCCCATCTCTACAAAAAAATTTTTAAAAAAGCTCAACATCACTGATTATTGGAAAAATGAAAATCAAAACCATAATGAGATACCATCTCACACCAGTCAAAAAGGCTATTATTAAAAGGTCAAAAAATAAGAGATGCCAGCAAGTTTGTAGAGAAAAAGGAATGCTTATACACTGTTGGTAGGGGTGTAAATTAGTACAATCATTGTAGAAGACAGTGTGGCATTTCCTCAAAGACCTAAAAACAGAAATATCATTCAACCGAGCAATCCCTATTACTGGGTATATACCCAAAGGAATATAAATCATTCGATTGTAAAGACACATGGATGCATATGCTTACTGCAGCCCTATTCACAATAGGAAAGACATGGAATCAATCCAAGTGCCTGTCAATGATAGACTGCATAAAGAAAATGTGATACATATACACCACGGAATACTATACAGCCATAAAAAGAATGAGATCATGTCCTTTGCAGGGACATGGATGGAGCTGGAGGCCATTATCCTTAGCAAACTAATGCAGGAACAGAAAACCAAATACTGCATGTTCTCACTTATAAGTGGAATCTAAATAATGAGAACACATGGACACATAGAGTGGAACAACACACACTGGGGCCTATTGGAGGGTGGAAAGTGGGATGAGGGAGAGAATCAGGAAAAATAACTAATGGATACTGTGTTTAATGCCTGGGTGATGAAATAATCTGTACAATAAACCCTTATGAGATACGTTTTCCTGTGTAAAAATCCTGCACATCCTGCACATGTTTCCCTGAATTTAACATAAAAGTAAAAAAAAAAATCAGTTTTTTTCCTAGAAGTGCCTTTACTTACCTTTTACTGGTAAAGAATATTTTCACTATTATTGAATTCTTGGTAGATCTGGCACTTTAAAACACTTTAAACATATTAGTATGTTATCTTCTGATTACTTGTTTCTCTAGAGGAGTCAGCTGTCAGTGTCATTGATCCTTTGAAAATAAGGTTCCCATCTTATCTAGCAACTTTTAATGTTGTGTGACCATCACAACTATTTTCAAAACTTTTCCGTCATCGCAGACAGAAACTCCATATCCATTAAGCAATAAATTCCCATTACAGCCTTTCCCCAGCTTCTGGTAATCTCTATTCTATCTGCTGTCTCTATAATTTTGTCTATTGTAGGAATTTTATATAAATGGAATAATAATATTTACTTTTTTGTGACTGACTTCTTTCACTTAGCATGTTTTCATGGTTCATATGTGATGTAGCACGTATTAGAACTTCATTCCTTTTATGGCTGATTGACATTCCATTGTATGGATATATTGTCTTGTTTATCCATTCATCTGTTGGTGGACATTTAGGTTGTTTTACCTTTTGGCTATTGTGAATAATCCTGCAATGAATATTGGCATACAAGTATCCATTTGAGTCCTTGTTTTTAATATTTTGGGTATATACCTAGGAGAAAAATTGCTGGATAATATGATATTCTATGTTAACTTCAGGAGAAACAGCTGAACTGTTTTCTACAGTGGCTGCTTCATTTTATACTCCCACCAAAAATATGAGGTTTCCTAAATTCTGAAGTGTGGTATCACTGAAATCTCTGTCCCTTAGTTTGTGTCCCATTGGCAATTTGACAAAGATTTCCTTGAATGCCAGGAAGTTTTAAAAGTTGCCTTTTTCTTAATTCCACATTTTCTTAAGTTGCTGCAAATCATGACTCTTTCTCAACATTCTTATATATTTGGTTCTGATAGTTTTTGCTGTTTTTTTTGATGTTTTTTTGGGGGTACTGGATCTTGGAGCTGCCTACTCCGCCATTTTGCTGACATCATTCCCAAGAAACTCTTTTTCTTGTTTTTAGCAGTGGGGTGCCTAGGTATGGTTTTCTTAGTATTTCTCCAATTTGGTTTTTATAATGCTCCTTGAATCAATCTGTGGCTCAAGTCCTTCATTGGGTTTGATAAATACTAAGCCATTATACCTTCAAATAGTGTTTCTTCCTCATTGTCATTCTCTCCTTGCCTCTGGAGTTCCAGTTACATGAATTAAAGCTTTCTCCTGTTCCCATTTGAGTCCTTTGCTCTTTATTGGTCAGTGTTCTCCAGAGAAACACAACCAATAGGGTGTCTGTATGTGTGAGTGTATACATTGTTCTGAAGTTCTGACAGTTGCATCGACTTCTGGTTCACTCCTCATTGGGGTGTAGCCCCCAGAAGTCTCAGCTGAGATCCTGGAGTATTGACTGGGGCTTCTCCACCTTGACAGGTTCTGAACTCCAATTTTTGCCACTTCAACTCTGTGAGAAGGTCAAAAACTCTGCTCTGATTTTCTGTGACTTCCTGCTCTGCTTCTTGTCTTATGCAGCTTAAGAAAAAATCAGCAAATGCCTCTTGGAGAAAATGAGTATATCTAGTCTACTTCCTCCTGCTACCCTTCTCTCCTGGATTCTGTTCCCTTAAGTCTTGGATACTTTGGCAACTGCCCCCCCGTCCCCCTCCCCCCACCATCCCATCTTACTATTTTTGTTTTGTTTTCTCTTTTGTGTGTTTTTTTTTGTCTACAGCCGTGTGAGATTTCTATAAGCTCTGTTTATTTCTCTGTTTATTAGCTCAGTCCTGTAAAGTGGATTCTTAACTTCTGGTTTCAAGCCAAAATCTGTCAATTGCTCTAAGGGGAAAACCTGCTTGTAGAATATCAGCTCAGCTCTCTGTTTCTCCTTTTTCTCTTCTCTCCAGGATGTTGGTTCGTCAAATCCTGGTTGCCTCAGTCTCTTTCCAATGCCTTCAAGTAGAGGGTTGTTGTTCCTGACTTTTTTAAAAAATATTTTATCTGGCTTTTCTGTTTGTTCTTAATAATTGGTTTGGTGCAAACCATTTCATCTTCTAGAAGTAAAAGTCTAATACATGATTTTGAAGATATCACTCAACACATCTTCACTGTTTCTTGGTCAGTTATCTGAAGAAAATATTAGCCCCTTGCCTTTATCTTCCCATGCTCTAGCCCCTTCCAGGGAATTCGTAATGTGTTTGCTAAACTTCAGAAATAGAAGAAAAATTATGACCTTGAGATGTGCATTAGAAATACTGAAATTTGGGGAAAATAATAACTCCAAAGAAAATTTTGTGCATGGTTACTACAGGTATCAGTCATCCTTATAACAAAGTTATTATTAATGTTTGTTCTTCTCTTATTTTAGTATGCCAAGGCTTTCTCAGCTTCCCTTAATGAAATATTTTACATCAAGGCCTTTGATATTTAATCTGGATGTGTTTGAAGTCTGATTACACTTAGTCTAGCACCTGTAAATTTTGTAATTTATTTTTAATCTCTCCTACTTATAATTTCTACATTTCATTCAGATATTATTAAGGCAAATTATAGGTAGTCATATTTCCTGATGTTGAGTTGGCATACAGCTTTCTGTTTCGTTTTGGTTTTGTTTGCTGGTATCATTGTTCCTGAATTTCACTCTGTATTAGTCTGACTATAGAGGTTGGCCTTGTCCAATATTTTAGAAGGAAGTTTGTGTCTTCTTGCTTGCAATTCTCTGCCTGTTTTATTACTTGTAACCCTGAGGAATCCTGGAAGAATGAGTACTAAGCACAGGAACAGAATGCAGGTTTTCTTACATTTCGGCCCGAACTCTAAATCAGAAAAATGAAAGGCCAGATCCCAGATGGATTGCTTTCTCTTTTATTTCTTGCATTAGAACAATCTCCGCAAGAAGTGACCTACTTTCTCACAAGGCATTTACTGTCATATTTTGACCCATCTACAGGTATACTGCCCATAATGCTAGTGATTCTTCTGAGCCTGGGAACATAACTCAAAACCAAACCCAAACAAAAACCCTAAACTCATTGTCTTATCACCTCTCGTGTTTTTTAAATCCACTGCCACAGCATATAAACAGTAATTGTATCATATTAATTATATACCTACGTAAGTGATAAAATGTCATAAGTATTGATCACTACACCAATGAGCTAAGGTGGGCTCCTTAGCGAAAACAGCATTGTTCCTGCTGGATAGCAAAACTTAAGTGACTAGAACCAGAAAAAATGAATTCACTGTATTTTATTCTTGGTTGTTCTTGTAGCAGACAATGCAATCATACTATTATTACTAATTCTTTGCTGAAAGTCCTCCAGCCACCTGAACGGAGCTCCAGACATTGTAATGTGATTCACAAGGAAATCATAACATCATGGCAACTACACAGCAAATTGGAGAAATTAAGACTGGCCAATGAAATTGCAAGATGGAGCAGAATTAAGGCAGCTAAAAGGAAGGTAAGAAAGGAGAGAGTTGAGGAATTATTCCCCAGCAGCCATTGCAGTAGAAAACCTCTGTGAAATAATTATTTTGATGTAAAGAGTGGAGGGTGGGCCAGGAACTATAGAAGAGGAAACATCTGAGGGCTAACTACCTTGATACAGCAAATACACCAATGTGCATGGCACTAGGATACTAGGAAAACATTTTTAGGAAGCACTGATAAAACTAAAGTAACTTGTGATCCTCAATTGTGACATGTGCCTTCAGGCCATGTTGGTATTCCTACCCTTCCAGGCCTCTCAGGATGCCGTATCACAAGATAAATTTAATTACTGACTGCTTAAGCCACACTTAAAAATGAGGAAGAGGTTTGTTAGTTCCCTATTCGTCTACCCCAGAGAGGGAAGCTGGTGGTCCTCTCTGCATACTGCTATGGGAAGCCCAAATTTGAGGTGGGGGCATGGACTCATAAACTCATAGTGGACCCACCGGTTACTAATAAATTTTATTTTACACTTCTTTTTGGCTTTGACTATATTTCATACTAAAGAAACATAGGAAATAATGAGTGAACCAAGAGCCCCTGGACCAAGGAGCGGTGAAGATGTTCTGGCATTCACCACCTCTCACTCTGTGAGTTTGGGCAAGTCATTTAGACTTTCCAACCTCATTTTTTTCATGTAATGAATGGAAATAATAATCCTTAATTGAGGGATTAAATGAGATAGTGAATCTCAGGTGACTGGCACATAATAGTTGCTCAGTAAATAGTAGCAATTTTTATTAACTCAATTTTTTTACAATTAAAATAAAGATAAGTAATAAAAGAACACAAAGCTGTTTTTTTTTTTGATGCCATATTCAAGGGCTGGGGCAAAGAAAATTCACTTTTGTAATATTTGGGAGAAGGTGTGAAATGAAACTCGAATGACAAGAGAAAGTTTCAATTACCTTGACATTTGCTTTAAACACTCTTGATCAAATTTGGACAAGTGTAACCACTTCATACCAGAATGGCATTGGATCTAGTTTTCTCCACTTGAAAGTTTGATGACTGGGCCCTGCATAATTCCCAAATGCCACAATATGGGCTGCAGACAGGTTCTCCAGCCTTAATTGTGAGTTGACATTAACCAAGTCGCCCTGACTCCAAATGATCTCAAAGAATTCCAGTATTCCTTTATGTCTTTCAGACTCTAGAAAACAAAATGTTTAACTCTGCATTGTGCTTATTTCCTTTGTAATCAAAAAGAACATTGCTGTTAAAGGTTAACAGTTTGCATTGGAAATGAGCTCAGGGTTAAAATTAATATGTAACAGTCCATGTTTTTCCCAGTCAGTAGCAACAGATATTCCTAAGTCGTTTGGATAATGTTGGTCTTTTACATTTTTTCTTTTTTTTTTTTCAAACTTTCTCATGTTGAATCTCTTCAGGAAATAGCAGCAAGTCCCATTTGATGACACAATGACCTTATCTTTTTCATAGATGTTGTGACAGTTGCCTGTTGAGAGGGTAACTGCCAATTAAGAGGTGGGTATTTGATAATTTCTTATCTAATGTGGCTCTAAGAAGAAAAGGTCCTTGAACTACCTGTTCCTTCTTTTAGGCCTATATGAGTTTCCCACCTCCACCATAACAAATCACCACAAATGTAGTGGCTTAACACAACACAAATTCATTATCTTACAGTTCTAGATGTCGGAAGCCCCACACAGCTCTCACTGGGGTAAAAGCAAGGTGACTGGAGGGCTGCCTTCTTTCCAGAGGCTCTAGGGGACAATCATTCTCTTGCCTTTTCTGGCTTCCAGAAGCTGTCTTTATTCCTTGGCTCACATTCTCTTTCTTCATCTTCAAAGCCAGCAGTGTTGCCTTGTCTTAGCCACCTCTCTCTGATCACAGCTAGGAAAGTTACTCTGATAGTTAAGGACCCATGTGAATACATTGACCCCACCTGAATAATCCAGTATACGCTCCTCAACTCTGGATCCTTAACTTATCACAGCTGCAATGTCCCCTTTGCCAGGTAAGGTCACATATTCACAGGGTTCCGGGAATTAGAACGTGTGTGTGTGTGCGTGCGCGCGCATGTTGCGGGGGGTGGGGGGGAGGTCATTATTGTGTCTTACTTGAAAGAAAAATGTAATTATAACTTTTGGGGAAAACTTCTAAATATTGTCTGCACCCCTTGAACAGGTACATCAGTTTTCCACCAGACGGGTTTGGAGATGGCTTGTTACAACACGTCAGTAAGTCCTTGACTGAATGCTGTCAACAGAGGAGCTCAGCCTTTCCATGTCATGCACCACCCTGCAGGAAGTGGGGCTTTCCACCACACTCAAGACGTTATCAAGGGCACTAAATTGCCCCCAAGGATCCTGGAGAGCATGAAGGAATGTGAATGAATTGGAAAAGGCATAGAAAGTGGAGTCTTACCCAAGAAAGACCCTGAACAGTCTGGGCAGGTAAGGCAGCTCAGCCTGACTCAGAGATGGCCTCTCTTGAGAGAGACAGGTTTGCCAGAATTGATAAATATCTTGTGTCTGGCAATCTGAGCATGAATATAACAGAAACAGGACAATGTAGCTCTGATTGGATTAGAGAACTGGAGGCAGCTGCAGGAGTCACACAGACAGTAGAGACAGTGAAAAACAGCCCCCTGCCAGGCAGTGTCACTGTGTGTGGCGGTGCCAGGGCGCCTGAGTCTGTCTCTGGGAGGCTGAGGTAATGGCCCCTTCTCCTCAGAGCCCCGGAGGCTGACTGTGAGCTTCTAGGCCCAGACGTGACTGCTCTCTTCATGGGAAGTACAATGTTGAGTGTGTTCCAGGATTTGTCCTGTGCTGGTTTCCCGGGCACATTTTCTTATGCTGCAAATGAGGAAGCGAAGGAGTAGGGAGAGCAGCTGGGGGAGGGAGGAGGCGTGAGGAAAGGGGAAGTTGAAAAGGTGATGGGTTTCCTGGAGTGGGTTAGGCCACGTTCATGGCCCTTCTGTCTCTGACCACTTACAGTAACAGAGACCATTTCCAGAAGCCAGAGGAGTTTGAACAGTCTTGAGGGAGGAAGCAGGTCAGTAACGATGATGAAGAAAATAATATGACTGAAAACAGAGCACAGAGGAATGACAAAGACGTTGCACCTTTTTTTTTTTTTTTTAATTTAAATATTTCACCTCGGCCTCCCAAAGTGCTGGGATTACAGGCCTGGGTCACCACAACCAGCCGCAACTCTTGATCTTGGAAAAATGGAGGCAGCTTCATTGTCAGAGAAGGTCTGGACTTGCTGTTATTTTTTATAGCTGTTGAAATTATTAGGGCCAAATTAATGAATGGAAATACAGAGATATGAGGAAGTTGCCAATAAGCGGTTATATGAAGGCTTCTGGAAGTGAACTGATGTGGTAATCACTTATAATGTATATGTATATCAAATCATCACGTTGCACACCTTGAAAATACACAATTTTTATTTGTCAATCATGTCTCAATAAAGCTGGAGAAAAAAATAAAGTAAACCAGTCTGAATGGCCACGATTTGTGCTTTTGGAAGAAATACATTAAAGCAGATATGCAAGTATTATGGTTTTTGTTGTCATTGTTATTTATAGCAGTCACAATTCATGGCACTGTGGTGAAAACTATAGGCTTTGGATTCAAATGGCCTGTATCGAAATCCCAGCTTGACCATTTATTAATAGTATGACTTTGGGAGACCACTCCAAACCTTGCTTTACTCATCCAAAAAATGGGGATAATACAATACTTATGTTGTAGAGTTGACAAGATTAAATAAGATGATGTGGTTAAAATGATTGGTGCAATGTCTGCACCTTGATACTAAAAAATGTTGGCCTCTATTTTTAAAAATTGTTATTTAGTGGATAAGTATTTTACAAATTTACTCTCATTAGGCTACTATTTATATGTACACCCTGAGCTGAATGAGTTTATCAGACCAGTACCCTTTTGTCAGGGCACTGATAACAGGAAACATAATAGGGAAATTTGGTGACGCGTAAGAGGATGGAGAGACCCATCCCAAGTAGGGGACACTAATCAGGAGAAGTTCGATGATAGGTCCTGGGGGTTGTATTATGAGGCACTGAATACTTGAGGGTATAGTACATAGCCTATTTTACTCTTTTGCTTATTCTAAGTGTATCAAGGATACAACAGAGACAGCTGTCTATAACTTCAAAGTGTACCAAAATTCTGTTTTCCAAGGTATTGAATCTAATTGTGTTTGTTTCTAAAATAAAAATGGATCCCAGTCAAGGAATCCTATTAAATAGCTCCACAACCTCTGGCACCCTTGATCTGTAAGATGCATGCATAGGGCAAAATGATCTCTAATATCCCCTGTGACTTACATTCTGTGACTCTAAAATAATGCTAGGGCCAATGTTATGTATTTCTTTTTATAGGCATTCTCTTTGTCTGGGGAGAGCAAGACCATATGCCAGAAGCATTGTGTAAGTCAGGTCAATTAAGAAGGATTGCTCCTTCGGCCTTGGGTTTGCTTCAGCAAATCTTTAGAGCTGGCTTTTTATTTATAACTCTGTAGAGGACCAAAACAACTCTGCATCTGACTAGGGTGTGGAGGAGCAAAACATAGCTCTATGCATTCCCAAATCATGAATTTTTCTCCTTGACGTACGTGCCATCACAGACAGTGCAGCTGCATGTCATAGATTTTTAAGGCTTGATTACAAACAACCTCCGACAGACTTCCCTGGGAGGATGATGAGGAAGTTGTCCCCGGCACGCAGCTGATCCTTCTCCTCCTTGGAACTGAGGCTACAGCGTTGAAGGGCAAAGATGAGCACCAGTCCTGGCACCTAGGGAAGAATGGGATGAGTTTAGGGTTGGGGTAAAAATCTAGAGCATTCATAATCAATTCTCTCATATATTGGGTTTGATGTATTTTTTTCCTAGCGGTCCTTAACATTCCTCATTTCTACCTGTCAAGAAATGCTAGAACTTGGGGCTGGATTTTCTGCAGCATTCAGGCCATCATTATATTCTGTTCATTTGGTTGCTTGAATTTGGACTGTCCCCCAGTCTCATGCTCCAATGCCCTCAGGTTTTGTCCTTTGATTTCCAGGACCTTAGACAGTGGTCTCTATGCTTACTGGTTCAGATTGAATTAGGGTCTTATAATCTACCCTCCAATCTCCCCACACCCACCCCAAATTTCACTCATAAAGTCAGTTAATAACCCCCAGGACTAGAACAAGTGCTCCTCGTAAATGGTCCCATGGTAACCTGTGCTTGTGCCTTTTGAAATACTTCTTGTGTGTGTCAATGTCTTCCTTTACAGAAAAAACTTCTTGAAGACAGGAACTGAAACTGATTCTAATTGTATCCCTAGTGTCCAGCACATATTAGAGACAAAATATATTTGCAGAATGACTGAATGACTAAATCTCCTGTCAGATACCAGACACGAAAACATGAGCTAATCACCTGATCATTTGGTCCATAGTGATTCCTACCCTGGTCCAGCTTTTGGGTCACGGTGAACAAAGCTACCATCATCCTTGATGCTCGTGAAAGAAACCTCAGCGTAATCATGATTCTTTGCTCTGCTTTGTATACACACTTCATGCAGCTGGTTTTTCCTCTTGAACTTCTTGCATATTATGTGAAGACAAGCACTTGTATTTTTAGAATGTCTGTACCATTCATTTAGACCCTTTCCTCAAGTGGAAATATGGCACTGAATGACTCAGTTGCAATTAGTCCCCTGAAACAAAGACTTTTACCTATTTCATAGAAGAATATTTTTCTGTCCTTTATAGTAGGGTAACCATATCATTTATATTCCAAACCAGAATTGCTTTGAGAGTGAATGAGGCCACTATTAATAATTGTACAGGTCAACTAGGGGTAAATTTGGACTCTACAGGGCACAGTGGGACATATGGTTGCCTTATTTATAGATGAAGATGCTGCTGAGCTAGCACCACCAAGCGTGTGATGTGTACATGATGAACCAGTTACACCTCATTACCAGGGTATCTCTGTCACTGGTATGACAGATGTGGACAAGGTTGATTTGTGCCCAGCTCTTAATTTATGGAAGTGAATGAGTAATGACAAGAGAGGCCAGTGCCATTGAAAGAAGGTTTTTATTACCTACAGTTTCCAAGAAAAGGGGGCCACCACATCACAGAAGGCCACGTGGGGAGGCACCAGGTTTGGTCAGGAGGCAGAAGGAGGTGCAAGGGGAGACCATGGCCAGAGCCCTCATTGTGTTTTTCATAGGAGAGGAAAGGGAGGGTAGGGAAACAGCTTAGGGTGGCTCAGTTTGAATAAAGTCAGTGAGCTCTGGTCTAGTGGGGTGGTTTCTAGTTTGGTACCTGGCCCTAGGGCAGGGGACTATTGACTGGGTTTGTGGGAGTTAGTTCAATGAGGTGGTTCGAGGTACTAGTTTTGGGATGGATCGGAGGGTTGTTAATGCAATTTTATGGGCCAGTGCAAGTGGATCACAGGGAAGATGCAAACAACTGTGGCTGTTCATTTGTCCCTGTGATTAATGGATGCCAAATGCAGAATCTAAGAGATGCAGAACAAAGGTAGTTGTTGAAAGGTAGGGTGCACTTCTGGGAATAGAACATAGATGGCCTCGGAGAGACCCACTGGCTGGGTGGAGATTAAACCAGCAAACTTCACATCATTAGCTTGAAGCTCTGATCCATACTTACCCAGCCTGTTCTCAGCTTAGGGAATAACAACTTCTAGAGTTCTTGGGACCCAGAAGAAAAAGGCAGTACTCAGGGTAGGTTGAAGATGCATCTTGGAAATCAATGGTTTGGAGAAGGCTCCTGTCCAGGTTTTGCATGAAGATGTAAAAAATAAATACTTCTTAGTATATTTTAAAGAATGCTGTGGATGATTGGCTTTATTTTAGGAATTATGTGAATGTGAAGTTCTTCTCTTAGTTTTATGTCAGGGAGGTGTTTACCATGGTGAATAGATAACCCAAACTTGTGCTTTCCAAGGATGGGGTAAGGAAACAGTGAGTCCAGCAGGAGTGCAATGAAGGTACAGCACCACATGCCCTCATCAGAGCCTGACAAAAAGGCCGTGGCAACATTCATATCCTTATTTTATAGCTAAGGAGACTGAGAGGGGTTAAGTGAGGAGTCCAAAAGGCTGCAGCTTTTCAGAGGCAGCATTTATCACAGAACGAGGTCTGTCTGACTCCTCACTCAGGGTCCTGGCAGTCTGACTTCTCTAGACTCAGCTGTGAGTTTCCATGTGAAAGAAAAGTAGCAGTTCTTTCCACTGAGCCAGCTCTTGCCTGGTTTAAGGGCCTGGTTTAAAACCTGCAGACAGTCTCCTAGGAATGGAAGGCCCTTCCTTCTCTGGTTCTAGCAGCGGGCGGGCTTTTGCTTATCTCCCAGCATGTTGCCGTTTATGGATTTGGGCAAAATAACAGAATTGCACAGCTTTGGAGTGTCAGACTTCTTTTTTTCCTTTTTCTTCCACACTGAGCTTCCTGTTTCTATGGCAATGAATAGGATGTTTTGCACCAAGAAACACTTTAAATGCCACTGGGGGAAGGTAAGAGCCACGCATAGCTCTCTACAGAGCAGGAAGGTGAAATGAGATGCAAAGAAGAACTGAGTGAAACAAGGAGAGAAAGGATTCAGAAAAGCTGGGAGCGAGGTGAGAGGCAGGAGGAAGGAGGTTAAGAAGCATCTGTTTGGAAGGAGAAATAAAATAGAGATAGCAACATGGCAGAGAACTGGAGCCTTCAGAGTGGCAGCCTCAGGTTCCGGTGTATCTTCCAGCACTTAGAAGGAACACAACTTCCTGAGAGCCACAGGAGTGGAGGGACAAGTAGTCTTCTGGAAGCAGGCTTGCAGGAATGCTGGAGGCACTCCCACACACTCGCACTACATAGGACCCAATTGATGGTGTCTTCCAGTGTAACCTCTAAGATAGGGAGGCTCAAATATCCCCCGTGAATACTTACCATGCTCATCTAGGCTGGCACAAGGCCCCTGAAGTCAGCTCTTCCACCTACCTGGTCAGAACTAGGGTTTTCGATCTGTGACCGATGCCTGTGGGCTGACTCAGGAGGGCAGTGATGGCTTCCTTGCCTTTACCACCTTCTCTATTTGGGTGGGATCATCCACGCATGCTCCCAAGGAGGCAGATAATTTATAATAATGAGGGATGTGAAAGGACACTTTGAAAATTAAAGTGGCGACTTGGAAAACATTCTTTCTCTCTTTCCCCTGTCCACCTTTCTCCAACCACACACAAAATTATATGACCTAATCAGCATGCTGGAAAGAAAGGCCACAGAACAATTAAAAATGGAACCTAGTAGAGCCTAAGTGCATACTAACTACTTCTCACTTTTGATTTTGCTAATTCGAATTCCTCCGCCACAGCCACGCCAAATCCAATCAAGCTCTGTCTAGCTTGAAGTTCCTGTTCTATAAGGTTTTAAGATCCATAAACTGCAATTAAAGGCACAGTAGTAGGAAGAGTCAATCAAAGGGGAGCCTCAAAATAGCTGGTCCCCCTGGAAAGCCAAGGCAGATATATTTGTCCAGCTGCTTGTGGGAGAAGGCCCGAGGCCTCTCACTCACTCGCCAGAGGCCCGTAAAAGGCTCACCTACAGCTGCTTGTGAAATTGGTTCCTTGTAAGTGAAAGTCGACCAAGAGTCCTATGAGCCAGTGGCAGCTGGACAGAGAGGACCTGGGTGCCAAACGGGGCAGGAAATGGCCAGGGGCCAGGGTAAACAACCTGGGGCAGGAGCTGAGGGGAGCATCTGTCCCAGGATAGCTCAGAGAAGTGCTGCTTTCCAAGGGTTTGGCCAGGGCGACTTGATTTATTTTCAGCAAAATCTGGGTATGCCCTAATTTACTATGGGAGCCTCGAATTTGCATGTCTGCTTTAAGAGACCCTAACAAGCACGCATAATAAAATGTTAATTTATGCCTTCTGCTAGGATTGGAATTGAGTGTGGCTTGACGCAACTGCAAAACAGAACAAATCTGGAAACTCTGGCAGGCAGAAGAGGAGAGTGGAGGGAGCACGTTTCTTTGAGTTTGGGAAGGGAGGCTGAGAGGAGTCTGGGAAACTTCCTGGCACCCAACTCCCTCCAGAACCCCTGAAGGGACTTTCTACAACAGCAGAGGGATGGCCCTTCTGTCTCTACAGCACTGACCGAGCACTACAGTATCGAACAGCACTGGGCACAGACTAGGTCCTGGGTAAATATTTGGTGTGTTGATTAATAATATGAGAATGTTCTGAGGTCAAACACTTCCTTCCATGTTTTGGGAACAGTGAGGTCTTGCATAGAGCTTTAAAAACTCCACACCCAGCTTCACATTAAAGTGGAAAGCCAGCACACTTGTGATGTTCTGAGCTATTCTAAATAGCAGCCCTCCCTGGGTCTCTGAATTCTTCTGAACCTAGTAGTGCCACTGCCTTGGGCAGTTTTGTGGAAATGCCTCTTCCCATTCAGCTTTGCCCAGACCATTCTATCCTGATGTTATTCCCATGGCTGGCACTCCAATGTGTCCTAAACCTGTCCGGTTTCTAGAAATATGACAAACATTACCTCTATTTATCCCTTTCTTCTGTTCTTACTGACACTGAGCTTGCAGGATGGCAGTATTAAAATACACCAGCAGACTTCTGGCAGGTGGTTGTAAACATCTTTTGGAGTTCCTTCCCAGTCTATGACACCATTTCTCAAGGAATCATCCCCCTCTCCACAAAAGGGAAGGCCAAGTAACCGAGCATCCACCATGACTCTTCCACTTTGGCCATAGATTGCATCAGAGTTCTCACTGACCCAAGCTGGACAATCAATATCTTTCTCTTGGGAATTTGGAATTGGACTTAAAGAAATGGATAACTAGAGATCAGCGTCTGTGTTTGGCTCAGACATGAATTTTGGAGCCATGGTGGCCATACGCAGGGAGAATCAGAACAAGTCAGTGTGTAGAGAAAACCAAAAGGCAATGCCAAAGAATGAACCGAGTCAAAAGAGGCAGGGCTACATCTGCTATTGACTTCTGAGGATGACTTTGCATCTTTACAGTAAGTTCTTGTTTATTGATTAGCCAAACTTTGCTGGCTTTGATGCTTGTAACCAAAAAGACTTTAAAAAGACATGAATAAGTTTTGCCATGGATTTCTGTAGCCCCAATCCACTCTGCATGCCTAACCCTAGTCTCTTTCAGATGCCACCACTCTAAGTCTGGCAGGGCTCCCAACTGCCTATGATGTCATGACCATGACCCCTTACTAGCTCTCAGGGCACTCCCCAAACTATCCTGCCCACTCGTCCAAAATAATTATTCTTTCCTCCTGTGATGTGCTCCTTTGCTTGAGTCTAATCATGCTCTCTCTACTCTAAACACACTTCCCTGGCTCTCTTCCTCCTGTTTCCCTGGACGGCTTCCCAGGCCTGGAATGGTCTACCCTCTCCTCCCGGCCATACAAATACATGTAGATTGGACAGTAGATGTATTTTCTTGTCTGCAAATGGAATGGTTTCTATCTGATGTCCTATGTTAAGGAACAGAAATTATCACAGTGGAAAAAAAAAAGCCTATTGGTGGGGCACAGCACCTCCAGCCACTTGGCTTTGGTGAGCCTGATACAGTATCTGGCCCCTGCTAATATTTGTATTTATGTAATGAAAGATTTACCCAATTAAAATAGATCTGAACTACAAAGGAAATGCTGCACTAAAATGTGTTCTTGGCTCATACAAGGAGAAAGATTCTCCTTCACGGAGGAAGACTTGAAGGGTATCCAGCCCTAGGGAAGTGAACTAGGTCATGCCAGTGTTCTCCCAGGCATAAAGGGTAGGCTCGATTTTGTGATAAATACACAGTATATGATGATTCACCTGACTTACTTCTCTATTTGATATCAGTAAATGATAACAATGAAAGTGCTTGTGTTGGGGGGAAAGTGCAATGAATGCACGGCCGCTTCACCATCTGATGAAAGTATAACCAGGGAGATGCCTCAGACGCTAAGGGCTCTTGGTGAGGGGCCCAACAGGAAGAGAGAAGTGCTACTTTCAGACAGAACGGGACCGAGCATTTCAGGATCCACAGAGCCGTGTCATAAAATATTTCACACGATATGTATGACAAGAAGCCTGAAGAAGCTATGAATTTCCAGATTGATGTGAAAGAAATCCACTCTGTACCTTGTGCCACACAAACATTTAAGTCAATCATTATTGAGCATCAACTGGGTGTATTCTAGCCCCGGGTTTTATCTTTTTTTTTTAACCTTCCTTGTGGTTGCTTTGTCATATTCTTTTTCTTTTATAAGAAGCACTGTTTGGTAATAGCCACAAGAATTGTGGGGGTGGGGAGACCATTTTTACTAAGAGATAGGGTTGTATCCTGCATAGGCAACATAAGGAATGGTAGCAATTTTTTTAAGAGGCTACACATGTGGAAAGGCCTCCCATTGCTTTATCCTCTCCACTGGATCTCTCCTGTATTCCTTCTGCCTTCCTGTTATTCCTTGCCAAAAGAAATGTTTTTCTGTCATTCTTTGAAGCCATTTTAATTTTGTTCTGGAGTGGGCTCCAATTTGTTTAAGTGTGGGATTGCACGTTGATACAAATAATTACAACTGTTAAAGTTTGAAATAGAGCCCTATTAGGGAAAAACTACAGTTAAAATAAAAGCTTTCATCAGGACAAAAGCTTTTAGGAGGTGGAAGACCCATATGACACTGAAAATTTCATAGTAATTGCCAAAATGCATTTACGAGTTGCTTGTTGCCAACACTTGGTGGGCACTGTGCATAACAGTGATAAACCTCATGGATTTAGCAAGTTAGCGCCACTAGACACTCTCTAAAACACAGCCACAGCGCCAGTATTGGGTTCCAGTGGACAAAGAAAAAGCCTTCTCAAGGGAATGAAACATTCATTTTTCTAATTATTCCCCAGGCCAAAGGTTGAGTGAGTAACTTCCCAGGAAATCCACAAGCCTCAGCTCTGGACTCTTCATCCTCACGCCACTCACTCAGCTACTCTCTGTTTGCAGTAAAAGAACAGAATGGAGCAAGAGTTTTTTAAAATTAGATTATAAAAGACCAAGCTCTGCTGAAATATTGGAGAGGTGGGGATCTGAAGGGAGGGGTGATGTGTCAAAGACTTTCAAGGCTGTATGACCTGATGGAAGATGAAACACAGGAGAAATGAGAGCAGGGATATTGACCAAGGGCCCTCTGATCTGCCGTTGTATTTAAAGCAATGATTCTCCCTCCTTCCCTGGGACCCCTGGGGGTAGATCATCTGAATGCTTGTCTCTTAGGGAAATGGTATGGGGTGGAAAGCGGCGAACGCAGCAAGGGTTCAGGAAATGCCTGGCTTGTGAGTGGAGGAGAGGATTCTAGCAACTCTTCATGCTTCCAAGTGATGTCATTGGGAAACCAATCCTGGAGAAAGGGGGCCGTCGCTGATAAAAATCACTGTGGAGAAGATGGCCTAGAAGATCCCGAATCTTAGTCCTCATGCGCCCCCTCGTGTAGGATGTGGGGTAGTGCCTTGGTTGCTGGGTGGTGAAAAATCTGTCATTCTCAAGGGACCACCGTTGGAGAAAAAGGGACGTTGAGGGGGAAATGCATGAGAAATAGAATAAAGTTAAGTAATGAGTTAATTTTGCAGTTGTGACAATTGTAGGCTACAAATTAATAGTTGATTTAAAAAAGCAAGTAGCTTTGAAAGCCCAGGACTAAAATGCGAAGAAACTGAGCAGAATCGCCACTGTGTAGACCAGAGCTTCTCAAACTTCAATGTGCATATGAATAATCATCCTGGGAGCTTGTTAAAAATCTAGATTTTTTATTTACTAGTTCTGGACGGGGCCCTCGATTCTGTACCTTTAACAAGCTCCCAAGTGGTGTAGAGGATGCTGGTCCGTGGACCACACTTTGATAACACTTGCAATAGTGTGCAGGACTGACCTGTCCCCTCAGATAAGCCTGTTTGTATTGGAGGGTTCTGAAGTTCAGCTAGAACTTCTATCTCCACCAGATCTCCCAGGATCCCTGCTAGCACACTATACAGTAATTCCTTCATTTATTGGTAGTGCGGTAAATTTGTCAGCTCAAAGATAATTACCTTTTATTTCCTGAACTTAAGTAGCATTTACCAATAGCACTTACTGTTTGTAATGTTGAATTGTTAATTGCTATATATTACCTTGTGATTTCAAGAGTTTATTTTGTTTTTGCAATGAAGTGGTCCTGCATAGTTTAGGGTGTTTAAGAGACAATTACAGAATTAGTTGATTGGCTTCTACTATAAGCTTTGATTTGAAAAAATTACAAATCTTTCTCCTAAGTGTGAATTTTGAATTTGAGGTGGCAGAGGGAGGAAGGGTTAGGTGTCTGAAGAAAGTGAAGAGAGGATGTCTAGGGATAATTTGGACATCTTGTAGCATTCAAGATAAATATATTCAAAGTTTTACCTAAGGCTTTTCTTAGAGTTAGATGTCTTGTTTTGAATTCGACTTAGGTTCACACTTAAAGTTACTCTATGTAAAAATGTTCAGACATCCTGAGCAGACATAGAACAACAACAAATGGATTTGATAACAGAATACAAGATAGAATTAAAGATAAAGTCCTTATGTGCTTTGAAGAAATAAAAGATGAGATTTCAAGTCAAGGAAAATAGATTGTACACCTAGTGACAAGACCTCTTTATTTTCATTTTGAAAGATCACAGAGTGACTACAATATGAAAAGATTGTGTGTAGGCTATCATTTCATGCTTGAGAAACAAATAGATGAAGATCATTTCATGTACCACTGGGCTGGGTGTTTAGAGACAAATGTGTTTCTTACCTGCTAGTGTAGACCAGTGAGCAGCAGGAAAGGATATACATTCCCAGCCATGGGCAATCCTTTATCCGCATGTGTGGCCAAGGATTTTTCATACTGTCTTACATTGGCTGGGAAAGTTGACTTCTGAGTTCCCTGACAAATCTGAGATTCTATGACTTTATTAATCATAACTATTAATAACTACAGGTTATATGTTAATAGTTATAGTGGTTATAATTATTAGTTATAATTATTATTTTGTGCAATAGATTCTCAGAATCTGAAGCACCATAGAGGTTAAAAGAGGTAATAGCCATCTTCCTGTCTATAACAGTCTCCTTTTCAACATCCTGGGAGTTATCAACAGCAACTACAGGTTCTGCTCAAACACCTCCAACAAAATAGAACTCCCTAGGTCCCACAACCATTTTTGCTGTACAGTGTTTTCCTGTCATAAGAAAAATAATTTGCATTCACTGTAATAATTTTAGAAAACAAAACCAAAATGTACAAAATAAAAATTAAAAATATCTGTAATACTATCACTCAGAGATAAACACCATGAACATTCTGATGTATGTGCCCAGGTGTGCGTATGTGTGTGTGTGTGTGTGCATGTGCATGCGTGCACATGCGTGCATGGGTATGCACACCTTTATTCTAAAAGAATTGTACTACTCATGTTTTAGAACCATCTTTTATCCTTTTTCATTAAGTATTTGTCCATAATATCACCTTTAAAAGTTCAATAAGCATATTTCGTTTTTAAATAGCTATAATTATTAGGATTTTTCCTTTTATCAAGCTAAACCTTACCTCTTTATAATCTATATGCCTTGCCCCTTTCTCTGTCCTCCAGAGCCAGATGCAATAAAAAGTCTGATCCCTCTTTTGCAGGACAACCCTTTAAATATGTGAAGACTGCTTTCTGGTCTTCCCACCAGTCTCATTTTTAATTTTTTAACTCCCTTATTGAAGTAAATTGGCATATTTAATGTACAGTTTGATTAATTTTAATATAGGCATACACCTGTGAAACCATCACTAAAATCAAGGCAAGAAACATATTCACCTCCTAAAGTTTCCTTGTGCACCTTTGTGTACCTGTGTGTTTGTATCAGGCAAGAATATATATTTATTGTACATACACACCATGGACTATTATGCAGCCATAGGAAGAAACAAGGTCATGTTTTTTGCAGGGACATGGATGGAGCTGGAATCCATTATCCTCAGCAAACTAACACAAGAACAGAAAACCAAACAAATGCTGCATGTTCTCACTTATATGTGGGAGCTGAACAATGACAACGCATGGGCACAGGGAGGGGAACAACACACACTGGGGCCTGTTGGTGGCAAGGGAGGTGAGGGAGAGCACCAGGATAAATAGCTAATGCATGCAGGGCTTCATACGTAGGTGCTGGGTTGATAGGTGAAGCAAACCACCATGGCACATGTTTACCTATGTAACAAACCTGCAGGTCCTGCACATGTATCTGGAACTTAAAATAAAATAAACATTTTTTAAAAAGAATATTCATTTATTTATTTATTTTTGTAGGAATATTTAATGTGATATACTCTCTTTAACAATTTTTTTTTTTTTGAGATGCAGTCTCACTCTGTCACCCAGGCTGGAGTGCGGTGGCGCAGTCTCGGCTCACTGCGACCTCTGCCTCCCAGTTCAAGCAATTCTCCTGCCTCAGCCTCCCAAGTAGCTGGGATTACAGGCACCTGCCACCACGCTTGGCTAATTTTTTGTATTTGTAGTAGAGATGGGGTTTCACTATGTTGGCCAGGCAGGTCTCTAACTCCTGACCTCAGGTGATCCACCCGCCTGGGCCTCCCGAAGTGCTGGGATTACAGGCCTGAGCCACCGCACCCAGACTCTTTAACAAATTTTTAAGTGCACAGTGCAGTTAACTATAGGCATAGTGTTGTAAAGCAGATCTCTAAAACTCATGCATCTTGCATCATTGAAACTTCATACCCATTGAACAACAGCTCCCAATTTCTGCCTCTACCCAGTCCCTGGCACCACTGTCCAAGTCTTTGCTTCCCTAAGTTTGACTATTTTAGCTACCTCATGTAAGAAAAATCATGCAGGATTTTTTCCTTCTGTAACTGGCTTATTTCACTTAGCATAATGTCCTCCAGGTTCATCTATGCTGTTTCATGTGGAAGGATCTCCACATGGCCGAGTAATATGCCATTGAGTGTATAGACCACATTTTTTATCCATTTATCTGCTGATGGACATGTAGGTTGTTTCCATGTCTTGGTCATTGTGAATAATGCTATAGTGAACATGGTTGTGCACTATCTCTTTGAGATCCTGATTTCAATTTTTTTTTTGGATATAAACTCAGAAGTGGGATTGCTGGATCATATGGTAGTTTTATTCAAAAAAATTTTTTAGAACCTCCACAGTGTTTTACATCATGACTGTACCAACTTACTTACATTCCATCACCTATGTGCAAGGGTTCCCTTTTCTCCACATCCTCACCAAAACTTGTTGTCTTTTGTTTTTATGGTAATAGCCAATCTAACATATGTGAAGTGCTATTTTGCTGTGGTTTTGATTTGCATTTCCCTTAGTGATTAGTGATGTTGAGCCTTTTTTCATATACCTGTTGGCTATTTGTATGTCTTCTTTTGAGAAATGTCCATTCAAGTCCTTTGCCCAATTAAAAAAATTGGATTATTTGATTTTTTGCTATTGAGTTGTAGGAGTTACTTATATATATTTTGGAGATTAACCCCTTATCAGATATATAATTAGTGAATATTTTCCTTAATTTTGTAGGTTGCAAAAGAAACAATTGTTTTGCTGATTATTTCCTTTGAAGTGCAGACTCATTTATGTTTGATGTAGTCGTACCAGTCTACTTTTGCTTTTGTTGCCCATGCTTTAAGTGTCATATCCAAGAAATCATTGCCATGACCAATGTCAAGAAGCTTTCCTCCTATTTTTTACAGAAGTTTCAAAAGACCCTGAACAGCAAAAGCAGTCTCGAGAAAGAAGAACGAATTTGGAGACATCACATTTCTGATTTCAAAATATATTATAAAGCTAAAGTAATTAAAACAATATGATACTGACATAAAGACATACATCTAAACCATTGGAATTGAATAGAGAGACCATAAATAAAGTCACTTGTTTATGATCAACTGATCTTCACCAAGGGTATCAAGAATACACAGTAGGAGAGGGTCGTCTCTTTAACAAATGGTTTTGGGAAAACTGGATATTCAAGTGCAATAGAATGAAATTGAATCCTTATCTTACACCATACCCAAAGATCAGTTCAAAATGGATTAAAGACTTAAAGGTAAGATCTAAAAATTTTTTTTTTGGTTTTAATTAGCCTCAGAGGTTTAGGCCTCTTTCATGGTTCACAGGCCCAACTATCATGTTAGCTTGCCTCTGGATTAATTTCAGTTTGTCATTTTCCCCAGAACTGCATACACAATTTCAAGGATGACTGGAAGTGTACTATCTCCTTCTTTTTTGGTGGAATTTTGAATTTATTGTGCTGTACTAACTGTTTGAGGTCTTGACTTATTGTTGATATAGTGAGGTTTCTATGTCTTGCTGTTGTATCTGCTACTCTTTAGCAATCACAATCTCCACCACCCCCCTGCTACATCTTCTAATCACACACTAATGCCTTTAGCCAAAATGCATGACATTTTGTATATTCTTTTTTAACTCAAAGAATTTGTTTGAAACACTTGTTATGTGCCAGGAACTGCTATGAGCACTAGGAGTTCAATGGTGAATGAGATAGACTTGTTCTCCTGCCCTCAACAAATTTATGATTTGCACACAAAGAAAGGGACAGGACAAGATACTCCAGAAGCACATGAGAGACCTTGCCTGGTCTAATGATTGGGGAAGAACTTGCTGAAGAAATATGATTTCAGTTAGGTCCTGAAGGAGGAGTGAGATTTACTGGTGTTGGATTCGGCCCATTGTCCCAGCCTTTGAGATAATTTCAGACCTCAATTCAATGTTTTTTAAAAAATTTTCTGTAAATGATAGAAATAGCATCTATATTATCATATGAATCACAGAGAAATGGTGAACACAACAAGGCCCAGGACAGATCTTTGTGACACCACAGATCTTCCTCCAAATTTTTCCAGATCCATCTGATGGTGTTTTTCTTTAAGGAACTTTCAGTTAATATTAAATTTACTTAACTTTTTGCATTAGGGTTTCCTGCTTAAATCAGTTATATGCTTAAAGCTCCACAGGCTTGCTCTGGACCAAATGTGGATGCATTTCACACAGCCTCCTGAAGTGAGCTGCCAATCATGAGCTCTGGCTCCTGAAGCAAACATCTGCCGCTAGAGCCTCATGGTTCTTTGGGTGGTGCTCTTAGAAATTGCTCTCAGCTGGTTGGTAAGCATGTGAAACTGCGTTTTCCACCACATTCTGCAGCCTCCACTCCAGAGTTCTCCATTATTCTTACCCATATGTTTACACTCCTTTTTGCCATTTTAAGTAATTGTGTGCTCATCATTCCTCCAAGTTACACTTTGCAATTTTCAAAGGGACCAATTCAGCTCACAAAGAGTCAAATATTTGTTTTCACCACCAACATAAACAACTGAGAGACTAAGTGAATCTTTCATTCTTCAACCTCTTTTGACATTGTGGAGACACTTATTGATCTTCCCTTGCTCTCAACAGTCTTCAGCCACTACCTGCATGAAATAAAAGATAAAGCAATATTTTCTAATTGTAAGATTGATTTTATTCCTGAATTGTTGCCTCATTTGATCATGCATATGTTTTGGATACAGGATTGTAAACTCTCAGGAAGACTGGTTGGTTTGCTATAAAATGTGAAGTGAGAGTCTTTGTACCATGTGCAACACAGGGACTGTGGTTCCTATTACCAACTCTCAATCCCTGTGATGAGCCAGAGGGACACAAGGAGGGATCTCTGTCCACGGTGCAGAGTAACTGCTGTTGAAAATGATGCAGCTGATATATTTTTTGTGGAATGATAATCTTTTTAAAATTACTTCCAAACTTGGTTTACATACAGCCTTGCCAAGAAAGCCAGACTGTCCTTCCCTTCTCATAACTCTATGACTTCATTCAGTTAAAGAAAGCATTTTTCAGATGCATCTCTTCCGTTTTGCTTCTGCTTTTTGATATGATCTTATGTTCTTCTGTGAATTTACTGAAAAATTAGACCTTTTTGCAGATTTATGTTCTAATGCCACCATTTATACAAATACATCACAGGCTTGTTTTGAGGGTTTAATTTTTTTTTAATTTTAGCAATAACATGGTACTGAATTTCTGTGGAGAGAATACTTTTTTTCTGTCTGGCAGTGAGTCACGGTTTTAATACCTTGCACGGCTTGCCACAGGCCCCTTTCTCACATGTGGGTTGCACTTTGAAATAACAGTGGGTTGAACCCACTGATGTGATTTTTAGGTTAGCTCTTTTGCTGTGAGCATAGAAAGAAGAGATAGAGAGGTATTTTGTCAGAGGTCTCAGGCAAGGTGAAAGACCACTTTAATATTCACTGTCAACTTTGATGACACAAAGAAAATATCTCTCCCTGATACCAGCCATGAGGCAGACCCTCAGCAGGAGCCATGGCTGACTGTTAGCTTTTCACATTTAGCAGCCGTTTTTTTTTTTTATAATGATACTTTGATGTCTCTCTTGGAGCCATCAAGCACATAGAAGTCACTGAACATTTCTGCACCTCTCTAGGCATATTATGTATAAACTAGCAACTATTTTCAGGTCACATTTCTCAGTGCAGAGTGCTACATTTTATTTGCATCTTAGCAATGACCGAGTATCTCTTGCACATAATTGAATGCTTTACTCATTTGGGAAAATCTGGGCAGGGAAAATAACTTTGGCCAGTCAAAAAGATAAGACTGAACTGTTGATGTGCAGTGTTTATTGATTCTCTAACATTTAATAAGTTGAATGTTAAAACACTACAAGGGATTTAAAAATCTCAACAACTGGTTATTACCCATTTACCCCTTCCATATGGAACAAACACTTCCTAAAAGTTCTGCACTGAGCATAGATGATAGAAAGGTGAATGAAGCATTGACTCACTTTCTATGAGTTTACAATCTATTTAATAGTAGTACAGCCAGGTGATATGGTTTGACTCTGTGTCCCGACCCAAATGTCACCTTGAAGTGTAATAATCCTCATGTGTTGTGGGAGGGACCTGGTGGGAGGTAATCAAGTCATGGGGCTGAGTTTTTCCTGTGTTGTTCTTGTGATAGTGAATAAGTCTCACAAGATCTGATGGTTTTATAAAGGGAAGTTTCCCTGAACACGCCCTCTTACCTGCCACCATGTAAGATGTGACTTTGCTTCTCACTCACCTTCTGCCGTGATTGTGAGGCCTCCCCAGACATGTGGAACTATAAGACAATTAAACCTCTTTCCTTATAAATTACCTAGTCTTGGGTGTGTCTTTATTAACTGCATGAGAACAGACTAATACACAAGGAATGTCAGAAAAAAAATTACATTCATTTTTCTACAGGGAAAAGTCATCATTCTAGAGGGAAAATAGATGGGGGATCTCAGAAGAGAGTTCATTTTATTCTTTATAGGGGAGGAGGTAGAGGTCCAGGGAAGACACCAAGATCTAGTAACATTACACAGACATCAAGAAAATACTAATGTAATTGGCAAGACAGGAGTACCTCACACAGAGCAGCACTGGTCAGTATGATGCAGGATCTGTCTGAGTGCTGTGCCATCGATGCTCTGGGATTGCAGTGGAGAGGTGACCCATAAAGGCAAGGGTCCTCATGGAAGCCTCCATGCGGGGACTGTGCTGAGCATAAAGGAATGGTGAGTGCTTGGGTAGGTTTTTTTTGTGCAAGTCAAGTAGGGTAATCCAGGACAAGAATATTATCTGTCATAGGAGATGGAGGCCATCATCTATGTTTCCTGGAGATTTACGGAGTAAATGATTCAAAGACAATTTCATTTTTAGTGACAAACTCTTGGGTAAGGTTAAGTAGATCTACATGCACCACAAACAGATGAGTTCTAAGATTGAAATTGAATAAATATCTACAGTGAAAGTAACAGATGATAAGAATAATGAACTGAAGTCACACATTTGGAAGGGAGTGGGCATGGGGATACATTGCAAGGAGAGGCTGAGAACAAATCCCAGTTTTCATAGAAACAAGAAGTAGCTTTCACAGTTTTACAAGAATTGATATATTTTTGTTGATCACATGAGAAGCACAGGATGGAAATTGAGGAATGTTGAGATTATATATAGCTTTCCAAGAAAGGGAACTTAAGGATCTCTAATGCAATGAAGGGGGTCAAAGGATGTGGTAAATGAAAAATGGAGCTTATGCTGCAATAGTCACAAATACATGCATCTGCCCTGCAGGTAATGAGCAGATGAGAGACACTAAAGTCATCTGTTTCTGCTATTCATTTCACCCACTTACATAATTCTGGGTCAACTTTTAACAGGAGGTTTTACTGAGTTTCCTCTTCTGTAGTTCCCAATAAGTGACGAATCACTGTGTGCTTAAGCTAAAGAAGACAGATTCCTGACAACCAAGAGAGTATAATTTGGAGTAAGTGGGGGTAAAATAGTTAAACAAGAAACTCCCTGTGACCAGAAAGTTCATGGCTTGATTCATAGCTGCTGTCTTTCTGGGGCCATTGGCTGGTGTGACTCAGGAAGTCACCTTGGGGTAATACCTTCCACATAGTTGGGAAGCATTCTTTTAGACAGTATTCAATTCAGACGTTCTTTTCATGCCAAAAGGCAGGAAGGTCCATAGAAGCCCTTCCGTGGCTGCGGGCACAGAAAAGAAGGTATTTTTTGTAGCAGGCAAGTGGCAGCAATCCCACGTTGTAGAGTGGGCCCTGGAGGCGAGCCATGCTTTCCATCGTCTTGCATTTGCATAAGTCTGTGCATTCACAAGTAGGAATAGAAATAGCTAGAGTTATATAAAGACAACTGATGAAGACTCTGAACTTTAATGTGTGAATGTTGTGAAATCATAGAAGCCACTAAGAATTCTCCCAATCTGTCTATAAAGAAGGTCACATACACACTGGTATGGAATACAGGAGGATTCCTGCCCTGTTCTGAACGAGGCCTATAAAACGAAGATGAGAACAGAACCATGACAGAAATATTTGCCTTCCAGGTATCTGTCTAAGTGTTTATATTAACATGTTGGAAAGATTGGAGGTACTACAGCAAACCACCCTATAGTTATATGCGTGCAGTGATTGTTGCTAGTTGATGCAACTCTGGATCTTCATGTGTAAACATAGCGTTAATAAACTGATGCCGTAGAACATAAGATACACAGCTTATTAACATTCTGCTTACACACAAAGATCCACAGTGCATTCATAGATTTTTTTCTCCTTTAAAAATCTAATAAAACATAATCCTACCTGGACTTGCTACAGAAAGATGTGTGAACTAGGTAGGTCCAATTGACATTGGCAGAAACAGTACAGAACAGGCTTCACTAAATGGAGCCAGAACAGGACAAATTCCCTTTTGGGTGTGCCACATGAACACCTGCAAGTTGATGCTTGTTAAATAGACCCATGGAATGTGCGAGAGCTGAACAGACACCAAGCCCAGGGCCTTTTATTTTATAGGCAAGGATGCCGAGGCCATGGGGACTTCTCAAGGAACAAAATGTCATCCCCAAGACTAGAACCCCAAGCCTCAGCTCCCAGTTGGGCATTTATACAAGTACACCCACTTAGTCTTGGAAAAAGGAAAGAAGGGATCTCTACTGGTTTTCAGTAAGAAAATATTATATAATGGAAACATTTTTATCCACTCCCAAGGGAATTTCATTTCTCAATTTGATGAACATATCCTGGAGGTATATGTGTGTGTATATATATATATATATATATATATATATATATAGAGAGAGAGAGAGAGAGAGAGAGAGAGAGACAGAGAGAGACAGAGAGAGAGAGAGAGAGAGAGAGGGTCTTACTCTGTTGCCCAGGTTGGAGTGCAGTGGGGCGATCATAGCTCACTGCAGCCTCAGTTACTTCCGGGGCTCAAGCGATCCTCCCACTCAGTCTTCCAAGTAGCTGGGACAAGAGAGGCACACTACCATACAAGAGAGGCTAATTTTTGTATTTTTTTTTTTGTAGAGATGGGGTTTTGACATGTTGCCCAGGCTGGTCTTGAACTCCTGGGCTCAAGAAATCCACCTGCCTCAGCCTCCCAAAGTGCTGGATTACAGGCTTGCACCACCATGCCCAGCCCATATCCTGGATATTGCAAAACCATGACAAAGAAGCCAGCAGAGATCCCACTTAAAGTTTCTCTTGCTCTTTCCTTTTCCATGGGCTACCAGAGAGAATGACACATTTAATCTCTTCACTGACTCCTCTTCTTTCCTCAGCATGGCTAGGAAGCAACTAATTTACAAAGGCTGACAGCAAGAGTGTTGGGGGAATTGAACAGTTTTGGGAACTGTGTGATGGCTGGTGCCTCTCACTGCCTGGATGGGTACATCTGTGGCCTGAACACTTAAGGAGCTCTCAGGAGGAGTCAAGGGTTCTTCTTCACTCCGGTCTTTCCAGTCACAGGCACATCCTATTAGATTACATATTGCCTCATCATAAAACAGAGGAAAGTCTGCTTTATTTATTATAAGAAAATAAATACCACTTTCTCCTTTGAGAAAATATGAGAATTTCTGAAGACACCTCAGCAATTCTTTTAGAACAATTTTGAGCCTAGAGGGATGGAAACACATAGGATGAACATCCCTTACTGAGGAATGAGTTTGTGAAATGCGATGCGACCTCCCCACTTAAAGACTTAACGGCAAGTCTTGGGAATCCCAAGTTGTTAAACGTCCTCAGGAAGGGGCATGAAACACAGGGATAAAAGATACAGAGAGATGTCTGGAAACTCCAGCATGACTACACTGCAACCAACCAGGTTCATCTGAGTCTGCGGAGAGCTGAAATTTTTGAGAGATCTGTGTTCTTTCACTTCCTACTGTCTCCCTCTATGTTCTACTATTATTCCTTAAAGGAAATAGTAAGATATATTTCAACTGAGAGAATTCGTATGCTGCAGTGTGGGGGAAATAAACTAAGTAGTAAGGAGGGAAGGAAAAGGCTGGAGATGGACAGTGGTGGAACCAGAGGATCCCGCAACCACGGAGACGCATGTGCTCACCCTGGAGTGTTCGGGAGACCCTGGAACACAGCAAGCTTTTCCTGCCTCAGTGCATTTGTACTCATTCCTTCTTTCTGAAATATTCTTCCCCTATCTCTCCCCAGAGAGGTTATCCTGGCTCTGCTATCCCCGCTTCCTGCTCTCCCTGTCCTCTCTTCTATCACTCTTTAAAATTTCAGTCATTCAACAACTATTGATTGAGCACGTGTTTATTTTATTTCAGGCATGGTTCTAAGCACTGGGATGACAATGGACAAAACAGACAAGAGGTCCCTACTCTCTGAGCTTCCATTCCAATGGGGCTATAACAGCCTGCACATGGGCAAAGCTGACCCAGAGCCAGGCACTGTGCTTAGCCTCAAACACATAACACTCATTCATCCGCACGCCAAGCCTACACACCAAGTCATGTCGGGACTATTAGCAGCCCCCTTAAGCAGATGAGAAATAGGTGGCATAGGATGATTAAGACACTTTCCCAGGGTCACAGTTTGTTCATCATCCCTTGGTGTGCATTGTTTATAATCTATCTTTTCCGGTAAAATAGACACTCCATGAAGTCAGGGAACTTCAGTGTCTTCTTCTCTGTAGTATCCCCAGCATCTGGTACATAGGAGGCACTTATAAATATTTACAGAATGAATGAAAAAAAGGAACTTGAAAATACCCATTAGAAACAGGCTGGGCTATTGCCATAAAAAGGCTGTGGATTTAAGAAAATGCTATTTCTGTCCATGTAGACTGCGTGTATGGAAGAATCAAAGCCTGTTCTGCCTTTGACTTTGACCTTTTTCTTCCACTGTATAGAAATGCATTCTATTGTATAGCTATGTTTAACTATTGTATGCTTTTTAGCTAATATTGAAACTGAGGTTTAAATTCACCTTTTATCACTGCCTCCTTTCTACCCTATTTATTGATGTCGCTGTGTTTTGTCTCCAGGAAGCTAACCCAAGTTCCTGCAATGAAAACCACCTCCCCTCAGCTTGGCTTTCGGCTGAGTGACTCAGGGGCTGGCTCTGACACCCTGGCATAGCAGCTCAACAGCCAGAAGTTTGGAAGAGGCTTTATTTTCGTATCTAAGAGAGAAGGAAATACCTAGTGCAACTTGTCAGCATTCAAGAGGAAAACAGAGAGTAATAATAATAATAAAAGATGGTATCCTGGGTGAAGGTGAGACTGTTTATAAGCATATACCCTGCACACAGTTTGCTTTGCAGTGTGTGTCGGGATGTTCACTCTTAGCTCCATGGAAGCAGATCTGTTGTTAGTGGATTCTTATATTTTGGAGCTGCTTTGGAATGGCTGGAGATTATTTAGATTCCAAGTTAGTGGATTAATGGAATTCACACACTGTTGAACATACTCAGAAAGAGGCTAAAAAACTTGTTTCCTGTGCAACACAGTGAGACTGCCTCTCTACAAAAAAAAAAAAAAAATACAAAAATTAGCCTGGCATGGTGGTGTGTGCTTTTACTCCCAGCTACTCAGGAGGCTGAGCTGGGAGGATTGCTTGAGCCCAGGAGGTTGAGGCTGCAATGAGCCAAAGTCACACCACTGCATTCCAGCCTGGGCAATAGAATGAGACCCTGTCTCTAAAAAAAGTTTTGAAAAGTTTACAAATAAAACCAACTAAACAAGAAGGAAAAGGAAAAATCTCATAACAGATGTTATTTATTGAAAGGTTTCTTAGCGAGTGGACAGAAGATGTTAATAAGAAAAAGAAGAGTGACACTAGTATTGTCACTGGGTGAGACCTTTCTGTGTCATCTCATTTTTTCTTACAATAATTCTATGTCATAAGTAGGATGGTCCCTGTATCACACATCAGTAGGCTCACTCACCCTCTGTGATGGTGTTGAGATTCTACTGAGGCCTGAGTGACTCCTAGGCTTTGAGGTTGACCCATGACACTGTATTTGACAGGATCACCTTCTGGGACACCAGGAGAGGAGAGTGGGTAGAGAATAGTGGACCTGCGCTCCTAGCATGTCTGTCTCCTCTCACTTGCTTGATCTGGCATGTGGAGCATAATAAGATACTGGGCTGTAGCAGAAAAATCTTTGGACTCCTAGGATGTCTCCCCTGGCCTTTCTGCCATTTCCTGTCCATCCCCCAAGTATCTTAGCGAGTAATTTATTGCATTTGGGAGAGGTGTCAAGGAGAGCAGGAACTCCTAGGCTCCTCATGGGGACTTTGCAAGGAAGGAATACCTACCATTTTACAGAAAGGACTCTGCCAAGAAGCAGAGTAGGGATTAATTTGCATAATATCTCAGGGGTTCTAAAGGGTAGAACCCATATTTGAGCCCAGATTTTTCTCAGTCAAAAGCTTTGTTCTTTACACAACCAAACTGGGTTCTTTTCCCAGAGAGGATCTCTTCTCCTCTTGCTTGGATATGCGTGGCCGGGGTTCCTCCTTCAAGTGGAGTGGGGTGGGGAGTCACGAGCCCATGCTGCCCCATGTTTTCTTCTATGTCAGCTCCTCAGCTGCAGATGTCACTTCATCTGTCTCTGGTTGTTGGTGGAGGGACAGTTGATTGAGTTGTTGACTGTTACTTGATTCTTGTAGTCGGGCCTCATTTTGGAAGCACACATGTGGCACAGGGAGGAAAGTGGGAGTAACCAGGCAAAGAAGGCAATCCTTCTTAGATGCTTAGGGGTCACTGTGAGAACTCAGTCTTGTTACACTAGAAGGTCCTGGGAGAGGAGTGGGTGGATGAATTGTAGTGCTCTGAGTTCAAAAGACAGAACTGACTGGGCTGAAAAGGAGAGAAGGAAACCGGAGGCCCAAGAAAGTGTTACAGCCTACCCCATCATACGCTTATATACAGAGCCCCAGAAGGAGGATAGCTCAGGGGCTGGGAGAGTGGACTAAACATAAATGCCGAGCTCAGTGTCCTTGCTTGGCATGGAAGCTGAAACTCCTCTTGGGCTTGGGAAGCAAGCACGCCAGTGATGAGCACATATGAACAGAAGACCAGGTGCCCTCACCTAACACTGCCAAGTGCCTAGGACCACAAGGAACTTTGCTTGACTGGGAAGGTGGGAATGAAACCCCAAATAATGATCATGATTGGATTTTTCATAAAGAAAAAGAAAGAAAAGAAAAAAAAAGAAAAGGAAACTTGTAATAAATTAAGAAAAGAAATAAATGTGACATTTATTGCACTCTAATTTTTGTGGACTAAATTTCATATGCACTATAGAAGCATTACTTTGGCTAAAGAAAATGCATTGTTAAATAGATAGATATAGCTGGAAGAAATTTACAACCTAATGTCCATGATCAAGCACCTCGAGAGATGGGCAACCAGGAAGGCACACAGCTCACCTTCAATGATCCCTGCCTGAGTTTTCAGGACATGCTTTTCATCTTCCCATAAAAGTCCATATTGACAGATTCTGCAGCTCTATCTTGCTCCCGTCCTTGCCTTAAGAACTTGGATTGGAACCTGTTAGCACATAAGGTTGAAATCATTTACTAAATATTTTTCCAAAGAGAAGAAAGAAGCACTTAGTTTTGGTAGGAGAAAAAAATCAGGCCCTCTTCCCAGGTGGGTCTTGTTGTGTTAGATGCAGACACAGAGGCCCAAGGTCACACCAAGGAATTATTCAAGGTCAGCAAGATGGTATGCTATGCCTGACAAAGGGCCAAGTTCATAAAAAGGAGAGGCAGGCAGGAAGTACTTTACTTATGTCACCATTCATCGTAGGAGCTGTGCTGCCCAGAGTGAAGGGTGTAAAGAAGCTGAAACCATGCTCCCTGAGATGCTGGATAGTCTGTCTCCAATAGTTAGTAACATTGAAAGGGGGCAACTAAACAGCCTAAGCAGGCTTACCAAGGTTACACTTGCTAGGGACAAAAATCTCATCCCCAATTTTTACAACAATGACTCTTTCCAAATCGTAACATCAAGGAAGGTGTGATTAGTTAGCAAAATTTCATATCGTGGAAGAGATTCTTCAGTGCAATCGCTTCATTATATGGGAAATCTAAAAGAAGAAAGGAACAATAGCAAGAGCTTTAGTTTTCTATAAAGGAAAAGATAAATCCACCTGTTTAGTGAACCTTTGATAAGCACTCAGCTTTCTCACCAGCTGAACACTGATGGAAACGGGGAATGTGTCTTTCTCTCTATCCCTCCCTGTGTCCTATTCATCCTTCCCAGCCCAGTCACCTTTCCCTATCTTCTTTCTCTTTCTCTCTCCCTTTCTTCTTCCCCTCTTATTTCATCATTCTTTTCTCTTTTATATCATTTTTCTCTCTCTCTGTGGATAACCTCACCTTATTCAGAATTTCAGCCAGCTGAGATGATAAATGAATTGCTTGATCAACTGATGCATAGATGAGAACGTGTGAAACCAAGTCAGAAAAGAGAGAAATGCAAGGAATCAAGTTAGATATCACATTTGTGCCTTGGAGTCCTCTGCATTCTCAGTGGGGATTGCCTCTTGACTCTGAGCTTTCCAAAGGCCAATGTAAAGCAGGAAGCGGGAAACAGGACTGTGTCACCAGGCAAGAATAAATCAGTGGCTTGTCTAGTGAGCACTACATGCAGGAGCACATCTACTGTGGGCACTGAGACCGGAAAGAAATTGCATTTTGGTGTTTTCAACATTGAGTCTTTTCCAGAAAAATCTTGTTAGGTTTTGAAGAGGAAACAATTATGGCGCTGACTCCACGTGGTCTCTTAACAGAGGGGACAGAATTCCTTATTCACCAAGTCCCAGTACTTTCCAGGTTCTCCTGGCATGGAGATTAGTATGAAGTTGCTTGTGGGGTTGCAGGTAGAACTACAATAGACTGTAGCTGTCTGCTAAATTTCACAGAGCTGTTTGCTTCTCTATGGCAGTCAATATGTAAAGGAATGCCAGGACTTATTTGGATATGAAACAGTCATCTTGAAAAGATTCAGGTGTTGAATTTTGAAGAAATAATGCTCTAATTCTCAACATGTCACTTAATACTTTAAGAAAGGTAATATTAACTTGCAGCATGTGATTCCAAGCAGAGCGGAGCCTTGGAGTGTCTGCTGCTTTCCTAACCATTCTTAAATTAAGGCTCTGCAATCTGTTACATAAATCTCTATTTTCTTATTTTAGGTTCAGCCAGCATTTTGCTAGTGAATAAATCAGACATCCCAGATGTCATTTCTCCCTGACTAGATATAAATCACAACCAAAAGGCTCGCTGGGTTTGCCAAAATTGCTTCACATGTCAACGGAATCTAATGTAATTGCCCCAGGTTTCATCCTCCCTCCCCGTGTAAGGAATAAAGAGATCATTCGCCATCAGTAGGGGATCAAAGAAAATTCAAGCCCCTCATTGAGCAATGAAACCCTCCCCCTGAGTTTTTATAGTCTGTAAATGGATGGGATGCATCCCTTGCTCAGAGGACATGGAGAAGCTCCTGGCGTTGATGCTTTTCACATGAGAGATGTCATAACTGAGACATTGAAAAAGATCAACTGCTTCACAGGACTAGATGAAGAAGTGGAGCTTGTCCTTATCGCTCGATTTCTTTATTCGCTGAATTAGCCAGAGAAGACTACTGCTGTCAGAAATCACCCCACACCTCAGCGGCTTCACACAGAGTTGTATTTCTGACATCACTCATCCAATGTGGGGCTCTGTTGCCCTCAGTTATTCAGAAGTCTGAGAGAAATGCAAGAAATCAAGTTAGATATCACATTTGTGCCCAACGGCTCCACCATGCCCCAGCGCCTCCTGAGAGAGCTGCCCTTGATCTGCTGCTGGGTGGCCCTGGGAGAGGCAGAGCATGTGCAGGTTTGTGCAGGGAGTTTTACGGGTGAGGCCTGAAGTGGTGAGCACCACTTGTGCCCACGTTCCGCACAGCCCAGAACTCAGTCTCATGGCCACTGCTAACTGCCAGGCATGGGTGGCAAATGTGGCTTATTCCTGAGCTCAGAAGGAGAAATGAGTTTGTAGACACCTGGCCAGCTCCATCACAGATGCCAGACTCCTTCCCTTTCCTTCTCCTTCCCCTTCTACACTTTTTCTGCTTCCTAGAGTTTACTCAGTTTTAGGGCTCCGGTGAGAAGCCGCCATTTTCTACCCCTTTCCGAAGGTCCCTTAGTTGTCTGGGAGCCAGGACTTTGCACTGGAATAGCTAACTCTGTGTTGGACAGGTAGTCTGGAAGAATATTTAGAAATAGTACTTTTCAAATGTTTAATCATTAAGCATTAAAGTGTGGGAAGGAATAATGTATGGCTGACACGTGTATTATTTTCCACAGAAAAATGGCAAAGTTTCTGACATGGTCTTTGCCATGTCAATATTTCATGGAAGTGAAGTATTTCCAAAATGAATTTAGCCAAATATTTTCAGCAGACATAAATATATGGAGGAAGCTCTATGTAGTCTAATTTATTATTTAGCAAGAGACATAAAGTGTATGATGAACAATAAACAGTAATATTTTAAGTTCAAAGTTCCTACTTTAAAAATGATTTTGCTACTTCATGAAGAATGTATTTCAACTTTCTGTCTTTACCTACCCTTGGTGATCAAAGGCACCTGGCTGATTATTATTCAAAAAGAGAAAATTAGAAATTTAAATTTTAGAAAGAAAGATATGTCCACCTCCTCTATCACTAATGCCTACCTCAGTCATTCATTTTTCTGTTATTACGGGGGAGGAAGAGGGAAGCTAAGTGGTGTTAACTTCCACATGGGTTAAATGCATCACTTTGATGTTTTTCATTAACAGTATTTTATTCAGTAGATTATATAAGACGTAAGTAAGTTTTTACAATTGGGCATCTTGTCTGTGTTTTTGCCCTCATGAGAATTTTAGTGAAGAAGTCAATGCATTTGTAAAAGACTGTTAAAGGAGACAGGAGGAATTAAGGAGGGATAACACATAAATTAGGGAAACATTGGCTTTAAGCACAGAATACAATTTCATGCAAATATAGTTCAGATAGTTCTTCCTGGGGCACATTTTTGATTTTTATCTTAGTTTTTTTTTTTTTTTTAAATGTTTCCCTTATGGATGTACCAATTAGGAAGGAGAAATGTAATAATTTTTCATTTCTACTTTTCAAGGAGTAATTCGTTTTGGTTTATTCACTTGTGAGATCAAAGCCACTTTGTTGTTGAATTTAATAAATCTTAATAGACAAGTCCCATTTATTTACCTGTAAGCCCAAGCTGATGTGGTGTAGTATTCCTTCCCTGGCTGGCTGCTTTTTTGCTATAGAGAGATTCTTTCCTCGTCATTTTCTCCCTAAAATATAAGCTTCCTTAGGGCAAATTCTTGGCTTACTCCCATCGTATTCCCAGCACCTAAGAAAATATTGCACAGATACTGAACTCTCAATAAATATTTGTTGAAAATTTGAATAGATAAATGGAATCAAGGGATCTTTAGTGCCTCTTGGGCATAAATAGAAATTATTGTGCCAGAATGTCCTGGGTGTAGACCTGAAGATGAATTAAATAGTTTTGTAACCTACATTGACTGTATTAAAAATTTACTCATTTGCTTTTTTTTAAAATTGACATGTTATAATTATACATATTATGGGATACAATTTGATGTTTGATACATATATATTGTATAATGATCAAATCGGGTATAACCATCACCTCATGCACTTATCATTTCTTTGTGGTGAGGACATTTAAACGCCTCTCTTCTAGCTATTTGGTAATATACAATACCTTACTGTTAACTGTGGTCACGCCACTGTGCAATGGAACATCAGAACTTATTTCTTCTATCTAGTTTTAACTATGTACTTGTTGACCAAATTTTCTCCATCCTCCCCTCCTGCCTCCCCTACTCAATCTCTGGTAACCACTGTTTTACTTTCTGCTTCCAACTCATCCACTCCTTTATTTATTCATGAATGTATTCTGTGGATCAGGCACTGGGTTAGGCATTGAGAACAACAGGATTTATAAGCCCCTGCTAAGAATTTAATTTACTGAAGATTAAAAGGCTTATTCAAACTTAGGCAATACGATGACACACAAGATGGACTGGAACTGCCAAAGGAGAGTGTAGACCCATTTATGGGGCACTGCAGGACATGACTTTGTCTTTTTAATGGGTCTTGAAAAGCCAGAGACCCTCACAAGTTTTTGCAATTAGACTGGCAACTACTTCAGGGCAGAAATAGTGTTTTTCCTTGTATGTTTTGTAGAAGGAAGAAGCTTTCTTCTAACTGGAAATCATTAAGTATATGTTGGTTGATTGAGTTATACTGATAACAACACCCTAACCCGTTGAAGAGATTTAAAATGGTAACAGCGATTCCAATTAGTCTTCCATGGAAAGCAGGGGTGTAAATGGCTTTTCTCAGGCAAAACTGGCTTTATTGGGTGCCCTTAAGATATCTAGGGAAAGACATATATTGCAGAGCTTCCGATAGTCTGAAAGTAAGAAAGCTTGAATATCTCCATGGAACTTTTCCTCTGGAGTGCCTATAAATTCATTTCCCTGGACTTGGATATAAATGAACTGTGCCTCATTTGCATTGTGTAACCCACTAAAAAGGAAATCACCCTCCACATAAAAGAAGATGTGGAGAAAGCATTTTCCAAGTGGACCGAATTTTAAATGTTTGTCTTATGTTATCTGAAGAAAGTAATACCTTCCTTCTTTTCTTTAATGTACCACCATTTGACAGGGGGTGGTTAGTGGTAGCTAAATTTTATTTGTGCCCCCTCCCCAATAATAGATTTCTAATTAAATAAATGTTAGATCCAAAATAGACGAAAGCATGAGATGGAATAAAAGACCCTTGCAATAACATAATGAGAAAAGTATTTTTAAACTGAGTTAACACTGTTTGAAAAATGAGGCAAACTTGATTCTGTCAAATCTGGGGCTCTCATGAGGTGAAGTTTTTGTACACACAGGCACAGATGTGTGCTGACAGATATTCAGAAGCGAGAGAAGATCATTCTGTGGAGAAACAGACATGAATTGGTCATATAAATCTTTGGAACAATCATAGATGAGTCAAGGCAAGTTTTTACAATGAATGCATGTTAACAAAACATTTATGATTTAGCCAAGGTGTCTCAATATTTAAAAATTGTACCGATTAGCAAGAAAAAGAGGTAAGTGATGATAAATCAGTTTTTCTCAAACCCAAAGACAAGCAAGGAAGGGGGGAAATAGCCAGCCTCTGTAATTTATTTACAGTAGAATGTGGAGTAATCAACTTGTCATTTTTTTCACTTTAAGATCTTTGAAAACCATAAGTTCTTAGAGACCTGGAATTGATCCTCTTTTTAGACATCCTTGTCTCTGATATAGGTTATAATAGACCATAAAGAGCAAAGGTGCCAAGTAGAAAAGGATAATCCATAAGAGAAAGTAAAGCTAACCTGCCATGCTTGTTTAAATGTGGGTGGCTCTGCCCTGGGAAGTCTCAAGGGACCCAGGCTCATCCTGTCTTCTTGCTCTGTTGCCTTCACACGTGGCTTCCATCTTGTGGTATGCTCACACTTCTGCCAGCAGAATGGAGGGCATACTTCTTCTTCTATAATAGCATGATCTGAAAATTGTACACTTCAACTTATCTCAGCTCCCATTGGCCAGAACCTAGTTTCAGGGCCACACTTAGCTGCAAGGAAGCCTGGGAAAGGTAGTCTTTGGCTGAGTGACTGGGGATCAGCTAAAACTCAGGGGAAAGAGGCAGAGAAAAGATACCAGGAACAATTAACAGACTCTGCCACTCAGCTTGAGAGAGGAATATGGGCAGAGTCTTGAAACTGAGATGGTGCAGGTTGAGCACCACGGCTGGGGTATGTGAAATGGAGCAGTGCCAAATAGAGTAAGAGGTCAAGCTGTGGTCAATAGATGAATTGATGAAGATTAATAAGGTACAAGTATTGACAGCTTACTCAGGACCAGATACTATCCTAGGTGGTTTGTGTGAACTCACTCATTTAATCCATCAAGCAACCCTTTCAAATAAGTATGATTATTACTTCCATTTAAGAGATTAAAAAAAAGAAAAAACGCTGAGGAACAGAACAGTTTAAAAACTCACTCAAGATTGTCATATTAGTCTGTTCTCATGCTACTAATAAAGACATACCCCAAACTGGGTAATTTATCAAGGAAAGAGGTTTAATGGGCTCACAGTCCCATGTGACTGGAGAGGTCTCACAATCGTGGCAGAGGAGACTAAGGAAGAGCAAAGGCACTTTTTACGTGGTGGCGGGCAAGAGAGCTTGCGCAGTGGAACTCCCATTTATAAAACCATAAGATCTCATGAAACTTATTCACCACCACTAGAACAGCATGGGAGAAACTGCCCCCGTGATTCAATTATCTCCACCTAGCCCCACCCTTGACACATGGGGATTATTACAATTCGAGGTGAGATTTGGGTGGGGACAAAGCCAAATCATATTAGTCATATACCTAAAAGCTGCCAATGTAGAAAGACAAACTTAGGATGAACAGATATTTAAACATTAAGGTCAGCATTGAGTCCATATGAAAGTGGAAAGGACATGTCTCCCCACTGTGCTTATTTTGGATAATCTCTTCAGATGGGGTTTATAATCCTGTAGCACAGCCCATAATTTGGCCACACAAGGAAAGATTTTTGAAAGCTGTCTTCCCTATTCATCATGACACTTCTGTCCTAAGATTCTTCCAAAGACATCCTCCGTCCATTTCCCTTCCTAAGCAGTGTTCAGTCTGTGATGAGGTCTTCTTGGCTCCAGTAAACAGTCCATCAATCCCAAGGCAAGGCCACTTCTGCCTAGCAAACCTCTGGCATTCTAGACAATGGTGAGGATAGGTACTTTCCCTACCTTACACTGGAACCATTGACTTTGCCTAGCTGATGCTGCCAGGCTGGGCTTGGGGCCTTTCCTCTCCTAAGAGTTTTCTATTCCAGTTAGCCTCCCCATGCCTGCTTTACCCATAGAGGCCATAAAGTATCTGGGGACATTTCAGCAAGTGGTTCTGGCCAGCCAGAGAAAAACTATCTCTATACAACTAGCATTTTAATTTATTAAAATTCAACACATTTATTATGCATAGTGAGGCCTAGAAATATGAATGAAAAACAATCTGTGACCATAGAAATCTTATAATCCATGCAGAGGGGTCCAATAACAATAATTACAAGGAAGAATAAAGTAAGCACCAAACGAGATGAAAGGTTGGTTTCATATCTATTGAAGAAGTATGATATCAATCCACTTTGAATGACTGACAGCAAATCACATGAGTAATTTACATGAGTTGAATTACATGTGCTATAAATTAGAAGAGAAGAAGACAAAGCAACTAAGTTAGGTCAAGGTCATTTCCAACCACCCTCCTATTTGATGAGAATGCATCCTGGACAGAGCATGAGATGGAAGACATGAATCTACTGTTGCCTCGGAAGCCTCTGTTCTCTTAGGCTGTAGAGATTTACAATGACACGTGCAAGGATATTGAACTTTAAAGGTGATTTCAGGCATTTTAAAGATTAACTTTGACCAAGTTGATTTATGCCCATGTGTTGACTTTATAATGTAACTCCTGCACTGGAAGTGACTCCACTTCATTGGAGTTTGACAAGCATAGAGGAAGAAAAGAACTTTCCTGGCAGAGGGAATGGCATGAACAAATGCACAGATGGGGCAAAGTAGAATATTGGAGCACAGGGCGAACTCACGGAAGAGGTGGGAGAGAAGCCTCAGCAAATCAACTGGAAGCTGAATATTTACCCATCTGGAATTCAGTTTTTCTATTCCACTCAGAATTAATCAGAGCTAGGGTTCATTTCACTTTCACATGCCAGATATCACAAGAAGCAAAATTGTGAAATAGGCACCAGTGGCATCTGGCTTCCTCTGTCTCCCTGCCATGTGTCATGTTCCATACATTCTACCTTCCTATAGTTCCTGTGAGGAAGTGAAATTGAGAGTGTGATCATGAATCCAAATCCAGATGCTGATATAAAGTAGCTCTGTGAACTTGAAGTCTTTGGAGCTGATTTTCTTTTCTTTCCACTAGTATGGTTGCCTTTAACTCTCATGTGTGTCTTGAGGATGAAGGTAAGATAAGATAAGGTAATGTGTTTGAGACCACCCGTGCTGGGCAAATAGTTGACTTTCTCAGTATCCCATACTTGTTGGTGGCTCTGTCAAAGTGTTTCTCCTAGGCCTGTACTTCCTTGCTAACTATATATATGTGTGTGTGTGTGTGTGTGTGATTTTATGAAGCAAGGGAGGGTGACTGCCTGCTTGCCCTAAAGGCTCTGCTGCCTTCCTGACTCAATATCCCCATTAAAGTCCCATCTTACCCCCTCAGGGCTCTCTACTTGGGAAATGACAATGTATTTACCACAGATCCTAGTATGCATTCTCAGTGACACGTCTATATTTTCATTGAGTCTTCTGCATAGATCCTCACTCCAGAAGGTAAGGGTGGGGAATTTTGGAGGTTACAACAATTTGTGGGGGGAATTTTTACATCAGAGATGTCTTATTTTATACCCTTCAAATAACATTGTGTTAAGAAGTTACCAAATCACTCTACCTATGGCATGGCAGCCTGGCGGAAAGATAAATTGCTATCTATTAGTGAATAAGGAGGATTAAAATTCTAAAGCTGAAAAAAATATGCTGGCTCTTCCCTAGGTTTTTTTTCCTCTCTGTGTGCATTGTATCTTCAAGTGTTTTGTCAATAATTATAAAATTTACAAAGGAGACAAGCAGATAGGAATTAGGAAGAACTATTGAAACAGCGTGTAACTGGGTTTTATGAGATTACAGATTAATTATGTAGAAGGTACCAGACTTATTTGCAGATGTCATGTTAGAAGTTTGGAGAAACGAAAGTTCAGGCCTGCTGACATGAGTGTATTTCTTTTGGAAAAAAGACACCATAGCAACTTCAATGGCAATAACTGATTTATCCTTCATTTCTGAGTTTTAATGCAGATCTGATTGCAACGAAGTACATTGTCCAAGTTTCTAAAATTGGTCAGCCTAACAAACTGAAGTAATTGCAATCAGATGTAGCATAAGATAAGGTCAGCAAGTTATCTGAATGGGGGAAGAAACTGTGTAGGATTTTAAAAGGCAATCCCAATGTGTTAGAGTTTATCACTTTACTCTACACCCCCTTCTCCTCTCCTTTCTTTCCTGTCCCCTGCCTTTTCCCACAAAAGCTCCATTATTTGGGTCTAAGTCATAAAACAGTTCATTAAATTGACAAACACTAAAAGAACAATAAGAATCTGCCTCACTGGGAAACATAGAGTCACAGCAGGAAATATATAACCTGATCTAGGAGCAGGAAATGACAGAGAAAATGGAAAAATTTTAAAATGACCTTTGAAGCTCTAGAAAAAATTTTAAAATCCTCCATCACTATGTTCATGAACAAAAATGAAAGTTTTACAAATGTTTCTAGGAGGAAAGTGTCGCCCAGCATGCTATGTTATTTGCCCCAAGACATCTTTCCTTTGGTCTTTTCATTTACCAGATAACTCTTAGGAAAATGTTTAGATAGATTGATCTTGGTGTTGAATGGTCCCTTTGCAAGTCTATAAAAATAAGGTTTAATAGAATCGAAAGCAAATATGAGTCCCTTTTGCATTCTGAGGAGTGACTGTGAAAAGAGAGCAAATGAGTTGATGGTATACAGAAAGATGATCAGCATATTAGGGGAGATGACATAGAGTGCCAGAGAGTATCTGGAGAAGAGACTTATTTGCAGGAGTGACCCAGTCCTCATTCTGTCCCTGATCTCGTGAACTTGGAAAGAACATTTCCTGATTAAGAAAACTTGACTTCTCTTTGGCTATTATTATATTATCCATAAAAGAAGTACGTTGGATTTCTTAAATGATTTTTGACATGCTCTAGAGAGCCCTGGGGAGTTCTGTGGAGCTGCTTAGGATCCACAGAGGTCCGAAGATCAAGATGGGAGCATCCACCAAGTCAGGGGCCTGGTATCTCCCAACTGATTCCATCATAACATCTCTACATACTTGTTTTACTTCTTTAGGTTTCTAGTTAATAATGCTTTTGAGCAAATAATTCATCACCAAAAGTAAAAAGTAATGTAAAATTTGAAAACTTCTGAATAAAATAATCTCTGTATTGGGAACTCCCTCCCACTCCCATCCCACTGTGTATATTTTTTGAAGTCTTCATAAAAAATCACTAAACTCTTTGAGGACAGGATTTATAAAATTATAGATTTATAGTCTTGTGCAATTTCAAGAAACCTGAGAGATTTTTACCCCTTGGAAAACCGAATTCTGGCAACATTTGGATTTTCTGGTGTCATATACTAGGCTAGGGATGGAACTAAATTAGAACTTAAATGTTTGTCTCCTTCACCTTTGAATTTCCCATGTCACCTAGCACAGTGCTTGCACGTTGCAGGCATACAATGTATAATTTTAGAATAATTCTTCGATTTTGCACATGAAAGCTGAAAAGAGACAGGGCAAGTCTCTGTTTGCTCAGTGATTGTGGGTCTTCCTGTGGATGTGTGTCCCTTCTATTTTTGGCTCCTTCCTGTTAAAATGAGTCTAGTTTCTGAAATCTATATCTCTGTTAGCTCATAGAGAATGTATTCAAAGACTGAAGAGTTTTTACAGATGATATTAAATCCTCTCAGTCTGTGCTTCTATAATTTCTCAAATTTCACCTTAAGTGGTTCCTTATTAACGACAGCCCTATATTTGTGCTCAGTAGTGCACTGTAGTGCACACCGAGTCCCTGCTACAGATTTCCTATGATTAGAGAGTAGATTCTTTCTCAGTTTGCATGATCCTGCATCTTGAGGTGCTCTTTTCACTTGCATCTTGGCATTCTATTCTGATTTACAGCAATCAGAGGTAGGGGAAATTCTGCTATTTTGATGGGGATAATCATTTCCTGATTGGGGTCCATGTTAAAGACAAATACCTGTCTTGGAGCTGTTAAGAAAAAAATGGTGAATATTGAAAATTAGAGGAAAGGAAGGCTGTCATTCAGCACATTTTCTAATGGGCCTGTCCCAAAAGTACTTAGTTCTCTAGAGGAATTGATATGGTTTGTGGTATGGTTTTTGGCTGTGTCCCCACCCAAATCTCATCTTGAATTGTAGCTCCCATCATTCCCATGTGCCATGGGAGGGACCTGGTGGGAGGTAACTGAATCATGGGGGCAGGTCATTCTCATGTTGTTATCCTGATAGTGAATAAGTCTCATGACATCTGACGGTTTTATAAAGGAGAGTTCCCCTGCACATGCTCTCTTGGCCTGCCTTTGTGTGAGACATGACTTTGCGCCTCTTTCACCTTCAGCCAGGATTGTGAGGCCTCCCCAGCCATGTGGAGCTGTGAGTTCATTAAACCCCTTTCCTTTATAAATCACCCCCTTTATAAATTATAAAGGAATTTAGAAATTCCTTTATAAATTACCCCTAGTCTTGGGTATGTTTTTATTAGCAGCATGAGAACAAAACCAATACAGTTTGATTCTGTGTTCCCACCCAATTCTCATGTTGAATTATGATCCTCAATGTTGGGGTAGGGTACTTGGTGGGAGGTGATTGGATCATGGGGGCAGCTACCCCTTGCTGTTCTCATGATAGTGAGTGAGTTCTCATGAGACCTGGTTGTTTGCAAGTGTGTAGCACTTCCCTCTTTTCTCCCTCACTCTCCTGCTCCCCCACGGTAAGACATGCTTGCTTCCCCTTTGCTTTACACCATGATTGTAAGTTTTTTGACCTCCCTGCCATGTTTCTTGTACAGCATGCAGAACTGTGGGTCAATTAAACCTCTCTTCTTCATAAATTACCCAGTCTTGGGTAGTTCCTTACAGCAGTGTGAGAATGGACTGATACAGGAATATATATTTTTTGACTTGTTGTTTATTTTGGCTAGGGCCTACACTCTGTAAAGTGTGTTAACTTGATTTTGTCTGGAAGAGCTTCAAAGAAAAAGAAGTCCAAAGGTTACCAAGTTTTATCTACCGTTGGGTATTACCATACTGAAATTTTCTTCCAACTTAACACACTTATTTTAGCATGCTGTTTCTAAAAGACTATATTTCTGAAATGCTCTCCCCCGTTTTAACTAAATTTGGCTGGTTGCCTCATTAATGAGTTAAATAAATCTTTGAAATGTGTTTATTCTATATTTATATGAATCTTTGTTATGGTCTGAATGTTTGTGTGCCCCTAAAATTTATATGTTGAAATCTTAACCCCCAATGTGATAGTATTAGGAGATGGAACCTTTGTGAGGTGATTGGTTCATGAGGGCAGAGCCAACATAAATGGAATCAGTGCCCTTATAAAACAGGCCCCAGAGAAACCCTTCCCCCCCTACTATGTGGGGACACAATAAGAAGCCATCTCTTTGAGAAAATGGGTCCACCAGGCAATCTGTGAGCACTTTGATCTTGGATGTCCCAGCCTCCAGAACTAGAAGAAATAAATGTTTATTGCTTATAAGCTACCCAGTTTATGGTATTTTGTCAAAGCAGCCCAAATGGACTAAGACACTCATGTTTCTTAACCTTTTGAAATTTATACAATGAATTATTATGTAACAATTTTTGAGGTCATTCCACTAAGATGTCCTAGTGGACTCACACTTACCAGAGCCAATTATACCATGTTGCCATATAAGTGTACTTCCTGGGCTGCTAAAGACTAGACATATCTTTTCTGGCCTCCCAGAATGAATTTCAAGTAGCATTAGAACCTTTTTTTTTGTCCTGAATCTTTTTGTTTGGTTGTTTTTCTTTTTTTTTTTTTCCTTTTATATTTTTGTGTTCTTTCTGGTTCATGGCTAAATCTGTTGGTCTATCAATGTCTGTCTATCAGAGCTAGGGCTGTATTCCTTTCCAAAGGTGAGACCAGGGATTAGTAGTTTTCAGATCACCAGACTGGTTGTGACTGTGTAAGTAATAGAAAAACTTGTACATAAATTGGTCGTTTGGGCATTGTGTCTTTCTACAACGGGGTCCAGAGATTAAAGATTATCAGACTACTGGGCTGGACTCATCTGAGTAGTCAGAAAAGCATCTCATATATAGGAATACAATTTGTGCACCACTGGTAAATTATTTGCTGTTGGAGACAGTGATAACCAGGAACCTTGTTTTACGGTCTGATCATTTTGTGATCTCTCTTGTGTGGACAGTGAAGAGCTATCTTTGAAGGAGTGAGATACATCAGAGAAATTAAAATTGTGTCTTTTTGTTAATGTGTTTTTAATGCAGTCAGATCAACTATGAAAATATTTCATACTCTCTAGATAGGAGAGAAGCCTTTTGAGATCTGGACTGTTAAGACGTTTTTGTTCTGTGTTTATTTTTGACCCTTGGCTAATGTTGTGGAACTGGTGTTGTAAGTTCTCTTTGCATTTATGTGACTATAATTGAGAAAAACATTTATCTCTCATTGTGTAAGATTGAAATATTTTCTACTTCCAGAAAGTATTAATAAATTAGATTACAAAGCCTGTAAAATTAAAAGAGCCCTTTTCTGATTGCTTTATATATTTCATTCATTTAATTCTTTAAAAATTTCTCTTTTCAATGTTTTTTAGTTTTCATTATATACATCTTGCACAATTTTTATCAAACTTATCTCTAAATAATCTGTATATTTTGATGTTATTATAAATGGTGTTATTAATTTCAATATCCAATTGTTATTGCTGATATAGAGAAATTCAAATGATTTCTTAATATTGATCGTATATCTCTCTTAGTAAACTTCTGTGTTAGTTTGAATTGTCTTTTTGTGGATCACTTAGGATTTTATACAATGGCAGGGCAAGTACTTGTCCATGAATAAAACATTTGTATGCCTTATTTTTCTTGCCTTATTGCATTGTGTAAGATCTCTAACACAGTGTTTAATGGTGGTGGTGAGAACGGAAATTGTCTTCTCTTAGGGGGAATACATTCATTATTTCATGGTTAAGAATGGTATGATATCAGTTACCGTAAGTCCCTAGTAGATGTCCTTTATCAGGTTAAGTTCTCTTTCTTTGTCTGTTTATGGGTTCATATCTGTTGAGATCATATGTTTTTATTTTCTATTTTAGTTTGTTAATATGAAATACATTGACTTATTTTCTAATGCTAATCTAAACTGGCAACCCTGGGGTAAACATCATCTGGTCTGTTTATTATCCTTTCTGTAAATTACTTAGTTCGACTTGACAAAATTACCTTAAAGATTTTTACTTCTATATTCATGCAGAATATTGATTTGTGGTTTTTTGTTCTTATAGTGTCTTTGTCTGGTTTTCTTATTAAGCTAAGATTGGCTTCATAAAATGAGTTGAGAAGTGTTCTCTCCTCTTCAATTTTCTAGCATATTTATGTAAACTGATATTTTTTTTAATGTTCAAAATTATTCACTAATGAAAACGTTTGGCATGAAAATTTCTCTGTTGGAAGGTTTTAACTACAAATTCAATTGTCTCCAAGCAATAAGCTGGAGCAAACATAAAGCTCTCCTGATTTTTTCCCCTTCTTTCAGGGATAATGGTCGTTTGTTTACTGTTGTCCCATGTTTGAAAAAATCATTGCCTCATGTAATTTTTTTCAGTGTTCTGGTTGTTTAAGGTGGAATGATAAATCCTGTCTCTGTTACTCCATCTTGGTCAGAAGAGAAGGATTTTGGTTCTCAAGAGTTTGGTTTTGATGTGTTCATTTATGATATGATTTGGCTCTGTGTCTCCACCCAAATCTCATGTCGAATTGTAATTCCCAGTGTTGGGAGGGGGACCTGGTAGGAGGAGATTGGATCATGGGGCCAGATTTCCCCCTTACTGTTCTCATCATTGTGAGTGAGTTCTCATGAGTTCTGATTGTTTAAAAGTGCATAGCACTTCCCCCTTTGCACTCTCTCTCTCTCTCTCCCGCCGTCATGTGAAGACATGCTTGCTTTCCCTTCACCCTTCCACCATGATTGTAAGTTTCCTGAGGCCTCCCTAGCCATGCCTCCTGTACAGCATGTGGAACTGAATGAATTAAACCTCTTTTCTTTGTAAATTACTCAATGTCAGGTAGTTCTTTATAATAGTGTAAGAACAGACTAATACAATTTATAAAATAATTTCATTAAAAAAAGAGTAGAGTGTCAATTTTTCAATCTTCAAGTGACAAATAAGGTTTGGAGTATCTAATCTACCCTTAATAAGAGCGAACACAAGAATATTCTATACTCATTGGATAATCTTGCCAGAAAGCAGGATTTTATATGTCAGCAAAATAACTTTCTGTGCTTTGTAACGACTTTGTTGTATAACTTGATTTGTTTTAAGAAACAAATAGCAACAGCTTCTCAGTTCTGAACTGTTGTGGTTTCTTCCAATTTATCTTCTTAATTTATGTTTATTTTAAAATATGATAATATCACTTTAATTAACATGCAGTTAAACTCAACCAGTATTACCTCAACCATTTATTACTCTTACACACATATGTTCCAAAGTCAATAAATGATGATCTCTTCCCTAATATCACTTTTCATTTTCTCTTCACAAGATTTAGTCTTAAATTAAAAAATAAAGTCACAATGTCTTTTACACCTAAAACTATCTTTGAGATTTTCCAGATGAATATTAGCAAATCATAAACTTTTAAGCTGGGTGCAGTGGCTCCTGTCTGTAATCTCAGCACTTTGGGAGGCCAAGGTGGGAGGATTGCTTGAGCTCAGGCTCTGGAGTTTGAGACCAGCATTGGCAACAAAGCAAAACTTCATCTCTACTGAAAAAGAAAAGAAAATTAGCAGAACATAGTGGCGTGTCCCTGTAGTCCCAGCTACTTGAGTATCTGAGGTGGGAGGATCACTTGAGTCTGGGAAATAGAGGCCACAGTGAGCTATGATTGTGCCACTGTACTTCAGCCTGGGCTACAGAACAAGATGCTATTTCCAAAAAAAAAAAAAAGAAAAGATAAGAAAAAAGAAAATCATAAACATTTTGTCTTTTATAGAAAGAGATGATAAAAATAATCAGACTTCCTGGTTTCATTGCTCTTAATTAGCTCAACTTGTTGCATGAATTTCATAATTGTCAAATAAAAGAAGAAGCTCTGCTTTCTCTAGGTTAATTTTGTGCAGGGAAAACATTATTAATATAAATACATATTATATAGATTGCACACATTACAAGATGCGTTGGATGGCCATGAAAATTTGTTAGTCCATAATATATTCTTACCCTGAGTGGAAACATTGATTTGATCCTTACAAAAGAGTTGTGTATTTGTGTACTTAAATAGAGAATTTTCTACTTCTCTATCACTGTATTATTTATTACTGTAAAAAATTAACAGCTATTCAACCTTAACATTGCCAAGTTGTTTCTACTTTCTGCTCACAATTGCCTGAAGTCATGAATTTGGTTGTCAACAAAGGAAAACTTGAGAGCTTCTTGCTAAAGACTGAACCAGTTGGGGGCGGGAAGGGCGGGGATGGTTAATGGGTCCTATATGTATACATATATATACACATATAGTTAGATAGAATGAATAAGATCTAGTATTTGATAGCACAATAAGGTAACTACAGTCAACAATAATTTATCGTACATTTAAAAATGACTAAGAGTATAATTGGAATTTTTGTAACACAAAGAAATGGTAAGTGCTTGAGGCAATGGATACCCCATTTACCCTGATGTGATTATTGAGCATTGTGTGACTGTATCAAAATCTTTTATGTACCCCATAAATATATATACCCACTATGTACCCATGAAAATATATTTTTAAAAGGACTAAACTGGATATACTTAATGTTATAAGCTGAATTATGTCCTACAGAATTCATATGTTGAAGTCCTAACCCCCAGTGCTTCAGAATGTGTCTGTACTTGGAGATATGGTCTTTAAAGAGATAATTAAGGTAAAATAAGGGCACATTATGGGCCCTAAGCCAATATTACTATTGTTCTTATAAAGAAGAGATTAGGACACAGACACAGAGAAAAATGTGAAGATAAAGGGAGAAGATAGCTATCTATAAGCCAAGGAGAGAGGCCTCAGAATGAAACCAGTCCTGCTGACATGTTGATGTTGAACTTCCAGCCACCAGAACTGTGAGCAAATAAATGTATATAATTTAAGCCACCCAGTCTGTAGTACTTTTGTTATGGAAGTCTTTGCAGACTAATGCACTTAACACTGATATTTTACAGTGTGGGCTTTCAAACTGACGTGACTTAGGCAACTCTGACTGTATTTGGATTAAGTGAGGATTTCCAGAGCTTTTGTCAATCCAGAATGAGATGATTTTATGAAAGCAACTGCTGTCCCAAGATCCAGCAGAAAAAAAAAAAAAGATTAACTAGGATCGATAAGGAGGAAAATAGAATTATGGTTATTTGCTTTGAAATATTATTGATACTGTTTTTAATATTCTGTATTTTACTGTTATTCCAGAAAACCCTTTTCCCTTTCTCTTCATCTGTCTCTATCCCTCAACTTAGCACAAAATAATTCTGCAGCTTGAAAAGAAACATTCTTTAAATGTTATCTTTCCCTTCTTGATCTCTCAAAATATAGAAACAAGCATTTTACTATGTTTACTTTTCACGGCAATGTGGTTATTTGCATAGGTTCAATATGTACCTGATCTCCTTTCTACCAGGATATAATTGAAGAAATTTATCGTGTAACCAAATACTTATTTGGAGTGTCATGTTTGATAACTCATTTAACACTTTTGTGATAAGATCACAATTCAGGAACAAAGGTAGCTCATTCACAAGTGGAATCAATACCTATAAAGCCCTCCCAGGAAACTAGTCTGATACCTGTTTTGTATTTACAGAGTCCTAGCATTACAGGGAGTAAGGAAGGTCATTTCTTTGAAGGTCAAGTATGTTAGCAGATATTGATAAACTCCAGGAGAGAAGAGTTCACCCACATTTATAGATATTGCAAGTGAAACCTAGGTGAGAGAATTTCTTGGGCTTGGCTTCCTAGCTTCCAGATTGAAGAACAAATAATAGAGGCTTTTAAAAGTTTATTCAGAGTCCAAGATTCTTTATAAAATTTCCAGACAAAAGTTAATTCTTTGATTTTAGTAACTGTGCTTAATAATCATAAAGATCGGGTGATTATAAAGAAGGTTATATGGTTTAATAACACTTCTTGCTTAACTTATATAAATTAATCAGGTGGAATCATTATGAAACCAGCCCTTTTGTAATTAGTGATAATCCTTTGAGATGATTTTGGCTGGAAGGTTCTAAAAAAACATATCTAAAGCATGAAAATAAGGGAAAAGAATGGCTCCAAGTCCTTTCAATATCCTACCATGCTACCCAAGAGACAGTCAATTATACTGGGATATGTGTCTTTGTTTGACCTGCTGTATACTACTGATTGGAGCCAAGACTCTGGGATGTTACATATTAATTTGCTGACTCGTATTCAATAGAGGTGTATATAATTTATGATCACAGAAAAGGTGACCCCAAAGGTTGTGGGTTTATAGTTTGTAGGCCATTTGTCACTTTAACTTCTAACTCTGTAAACTTATTTCACCATATCTTTTCTGAGGAATATGTAAACCTCTGTTCCTCAAATATTCTTGAAATTAGTTTTATCATCCTGCTAGTTCTCTGGTGAATTAGGTAAAACAATTTTTGGATACCTGTTCACTTTACATTTATTGCAGTATCAAGTTCTCGACACTTTGAAAATCATATTTGATGTGGCAAAGACATTGAGGTCATACTATTTTCTCTGCAAGATAATTAAATATTCATCCCGATTACAGTTACTCATGTGTTATGGGTTGAATTTTGGGGCTTACTAAATTCATGTGTTGGAGTCCTAACCCCCAGTACCTCAGAATGTCACAATAGCAAAGACATGGAATCAACTTAGATGCCCATCAACAGTGTACTGGATAAAGAAAATGTAATATATATACACCACAGGACACTACATAGCCATAAAAAATGAACAAGATTATGTTGTTTGCAGCAACATGAATGCAACTAGGGGCCATTATTGTAAGCAAATTAACCCAGAAACAGAAAACCAAAGAGCACATGTTCTCACTTATAAGTGGGAGCTAAATATTGAGTACACATGGACATAAAAATGGGAACAGCAGACACTGGGAACTACTAGATGGGGGAGGGATGGAGGGGACAAGGATTGAAAAACTACCTATTGGGTACTGTGCTCACTATCGGGGTGACAATATCATTTGTACTCCAAACCTCAGTGATATGCAATTTACCCATGCAACAAACCAGCACATGTACCCCATGAACCTGAAATAAAAGGCTTTTTTTTTTTTTAAGTACCTCAGGATGTGACCACTTGGAGATAGCATTGCTGCAGATGTAATTAGTTGAGATGAGGTCACTGGGGTGATGAGCCCTAATCTAGTATGAGTGATGGATGCCCTTATAAACAGGGGAAATTTGGACACAGATGCACACACACAAGAACACCATGTGAAGATGAAGGCAGATACTAGGGTGTTGCTTCTATAAGCCACAGAATGCCAGCAAACCACCAGAAACCAGGGGAGAGGCAAGGAACAGATTCTCCCACACAGCTCTTAGAAGCAACCAACCCTACTGACACTTCAATCTTGGATTTCTAGCTTCTAGAGAGATGATAAATTTTGGTTGTTTAAGCCACCCAGAAGATTGTGTATTGTTATGGCCAGCCCTAGGAAACTAATATACCCAATTAACTGCTTTACACCTGAGATTGTGTGAGTAACAAAATACTTGACTATGTGAGTGACACAAAGGTTTGAAATATGGTCCTTATCCCTGAAAGGCTTATGATCTTCATGGTGAGATATGTTAACAGAATTCAAGTGAGGCTAGGGCGAGGAGTGATTCACAAATTTTTGAAAGGAATTGATCTAATAGCTGGACCAAATCAAATAGAGAAAACTCTCTAACAATACAGCCCTGGAGATAGAAAATATGGTGGAGATATTAATGAAAGCACAGTATTGTTATAGCATTGAAGTGAATGTGCTTATCTGTTGGTGAGGGAAATGGGATTCAATCTTTCAAACCCAAGGCAAGAACAAATTCATACTCACAAGGGAAGTAAGGAAGGACAAAATGAAGGTGAACAAAACATTAATGTGGGTGGGGAGATGGAGGGAAAACAAAAACTAATGTGTATCGAGTATGTATTACTTGCTAGACTTTTTTTTAGGTTTTTTACTTTTTATACATTCCATCTCATTGAATCCTCCCAGTAACCTTGTTAAATACCCATTTAGAAGTTAATAAAATTGAGGCTCAGAGGGATTAAGTATGTTGCCCAAGGCCACACAGGCTCAGCTAACAAGTGGCAGAACAGGGTTCTGAACCTAGGCTATCTGGCTCCAAAATGCATACTCATTTTACTACCTTCTATCATATTATAATGAAATGGCATAAATATAACACAAGTAGCTGAAGAGTAGTTATAGTTATGCTGTTTACTAGAGCTGCCCATCAACTTCAGTACAGCGTACATGGATGACTGAGCTTCCTGGCTCCTTTGTGGTTGGGTGGGTCATGGATTGTTCCTGAACAATGGTTCCGGCTTTTGTGAAAAGATGTCATTCGTGGGCCAGAACTTTGTCACTAGGGAAAGATCTTCCAGAGCTCTGATTTCTCTGCCTCAGCAATAGTAGAAGCGTGTGTTATGATATAGACTCTATCTACCTGTGTTCCTGAGAGACTGTGATGAACTAATATCCTCCCACTGACCTATACTCGATATATACCATTAGTGAAAAGCAAGCTTTGGCTGGTTTAAAGTTATTCTGACTGATAAAGTAACATACATTTAAAATTTTTTTTTGGTAAAATAAGTAGTGTAGGAACTGAATGTCCCTTCATCTCTAAAATTCTATGATTTAGGCAGGGTTTGTCACTATAAGAGCATTGCATTCTGCAAGTATGAAAAACATTTGTAGGTATGTAAAGGAAGTGATTAAATTACTATTTATAATGAGTTCTAATGTCAGTTTTTTGTGTTCAATCATCGTATATGTGACAGTGATGATAAATCTGCCCTTTAATGGTGCAAGGTGTCTGCCTGCCCCACGCAGGTCTCACTCTTCTTGCACCCCATGATGATGAGGAGGAGGACAGGCTTACACAAGAAGGGGCTTTTGTGTGGCACCAAACAGTAGTGACAGGAGATTTGAAAAGGTAGGGAAATGAATCAAAAGTTTCACAGACTCAGAGGCTATCACAACTAGTATACGCTTTATTTTTGAACACTAGGCAGAGATAATAAATGCGAATACACGTGATGAGAAACCACCTTGGGGTGGTACACCTGAAGAAATTTCATGAAAAAGACTGAACTTGAACAGAGACTCAACAACTTGGAATGAAATAGACTAGATGGCTTGTGGGAAGCAGAGGTTGGAGCAAAGTAATGGGTCAACACATAGAGAGGGCAAAAATGAGGTGTAGTCAGGGAGCAGAATGTGTGTGAAGGGATCGGAAAAATAAGGTGGCCATAGATAAGCATTAAACATTTAATTTCTAAAGAAAAGAACACCAAATCTATGCAATATTCATCAGATTTACAAAGGCATCAGCATGCCACGTGATCCCAGCAGGCCTGAAGTCTTAGGCGTTGAGTAGCAGGGGTGATCAGTGGTATATGAATGCTTTGTGTGAGCCGCAAATGAGCTCACTCAAACTGTGCACGAGGGAATTCACATGAGTCTGGAAGAAGCAGCTGGAAATGAGGAGCTCCCTGATCCAGCTTCCCAAACACCTGACTCAGGGGGCATAGGACTATGCAGCCTCTCACCTGGAGAAGCTTTCTGGGGCTGTGAAATCCCCAGGGAAGTGACAATGTTTGGTCAAGGTTAGGAGGTGAAAGGAATAATCATGGAAGTAGAATTGGCTAACCATGGATAGGGAGTTCCAGAGAGCACTGAGGAAAGGTTAAGAGGAGAAGAAACTTGTTGCGGGCTTGGCAGAGGAAAGAGGCAACATAGAGCAATATGAGGATAAAACGTTGAAACAGGAGAGAGGATCAGAACAAAAGGGGCAAAGTAGGTGAGGCATGGGGGATTTAGTTTGGCAGTAGATGCCAACTTAGGCCCAATAGTCCCCTGGTAGCCTCAGAAGGCATGGCCCCGAGGCCCATCAAGAGCTAGCTGTGCTGGAGTTCCCTGTCCTTCCCAGGAAAGAGAGTCTCTAGGGAGATTGCCATCAGCCTCTTTTCAATGAGTCAGCTGAGGCTGGGATGGACAGTGCATATCCCAAGCACAACTTCCTTGAGGTTTTTCATGTTGTCCATAAGCAGAATAGGAAACTACACACTGCTCTGAATAGGACGTGCAATCCACCACCTGCTGCTCAAGGCTATTACCAAGACTGTACATGAAGCAAGTAAGGAATGAACAACTTCACAAAAAACTTCTTGGTACCTCAGAGATCTTCCTGTGTGTGGGGAAAGCCCATCTTAAAATACCATCATCTTTAGAAAGAATTGTAATTCTTGAGAATATCACATCAATAATGATTAAGTACAACACAGGTAATTTAGACTTAAAAAATGATCTTTGTTGCTATTTTAAGTTCATGCTCTTTTCACTATTCTGGGGAATGGATGCCATCGCAAAATTGTGAAATTACAGCGAAAAGGAAAATACTTATTAAAACTGTTCCTTTCATTCTCCATCCCATAATGGCCATTGCAGAGAAGCAATCCTACACAGCGCTGCTCTGCCTTCACTTGGGTTCTGGGCTGAGGGGAGCAGAGGCAGCACTGGCTGCAGGGCCTGGCTGCAGAGGTCGTGCTCTTCCACCACAGGTAGAACACCAGGGTCTCCCTGAAATGCTGCACTTCATGTAGTTCCAAGCCTGAATTTAGCATAGAGGACCTACTTCGAGAGGCCACTATTCCAATTTTCCTCTGACCTCTAGCAGCAGAGATGATAACTCAAGTGCCATATGATGCTTACAAAGTCTGATAGCAGAGATGCTTTAGTCACCTGTTACTGCCACGGATTTGCTTTGCACTCACTCCTAAACTTATTTAAAATCTTTTTCTGCTTTCTTTCATATGGCCCGTGATTAAGTTATCCAAGTTAAGCCGCCAAAAGCAACCAAAAATGATGGAAATAAAGACAAGAAATGGTTTTATTTACAATGCAAATGATCTGGTTCACTCTCAAATAAGAGAACAAATTAAATTAGCTGCTCTTCAAATCGAGAGGAAGGCACTGCACAGACCCGCCGGCAGTCATCAGATCGGGGTTCTCTGGTGGATCTTGGCTCTGGGGAGGGCTTCAAACCAATTTCACTGTAGCAAGGGTTTGATTCACTGCATGTAATTGGAATGAAAAAAATATTGAATATATTGAATGCAATAGCAATATACTCCATTACAACATGACAAAATGCAAGTGCCAAGTGGCTGTCAGAATGTTTCAGTGCACAAATGACAAATGCCCTGGGGAAATGATTCAAAGTAACAAGGACAGCATTTATTAGCACTTCTACAACCTTGGAGCCTGGAAGAATGGCAGTTTTACTTAATTCAGTCTTTCCTCCTCAAGGGGGAAGATAGGCACAGCAAGAATTGCTCATAGCAAGAGGGCTGGGGTAATGGGTTAGGTGAGGGATAGAAATGCTCTTTACCACCGGGTTATTTTTCCAACTCACTGCCAAATGTTTTTCTCCCTGGAATTTCTCAGAAATGCTTACTATCAGTCAATGCTTCATCTTGCTTGTAATAAGCTCTCTCTGTTATTTTAAGTCTCTCTTACAGTTTAACAACCTGCCTTGCTAGCTGGACAGGCTGTCTTGATGCAAGAATGTAAATACACAGTGCTCTGATAGACAGAATACCACATACCACGAATCTCCCCCCAAAAGAATATTATAAATTCATGGAAAAATAGTGGGTGAACAGAAAAAAAAAATCCAATTTCCTAGTAGAACAGTTTCTTTTAAAAAATGACCCTCTTTTGCAACCTGGGAATGTTCTTTTGTTGACTTAAATCTCTTCTTTCTCTCTTGGAAAAGAAGGAAGCACATCAAACAGAGAGTAAGTTGCCGTGGCTTTATTTGTTTTTAATTTATGTAATCATAACCTTTAATTGACACATAATTATTGTACATATTTGTAGGGTACAGTGAGATGTTTCAATACATGTATTTATTGTGTAGTGATCAAATCAGGATAGTTATTTTCATTATCTCAAATATATATCTTTTTTGTTGTGAGAACGAACATTCAAAATCCTCTCTTCTAAATATTTTGAAGTACACCAAGAGTTTGTTAACTATAATCACCCTTCTGTGCAACAGTATTCCAGAACTTATTCCTCCTGTCTCGTAGGAGATTCCTCCCAACTGTGACCCTGTACCCATGAACCCATGACCTCCTCTCTTACCCAGTGGTGTATTTGCTTGGAGCACAATGGTAACCACTCTCCTACAAGATTAGCTTTGTTAGTTTCTGCATATGAGTGATATCATGTCTTTCTGTTTCTGGCTCATTTCACTTAACATAATGTTCATCCATGTTACTGCAAATCACAGGATTCAATTCTTTTTATGGCTGAATAGTATTCCATTGCAGAATATAGGTATACATACCACATTTTCTTCAGCCATTCATCTGCTGATGGACACTTGGGTTGCTTCCATCTCTTGACTACTATGAATATTGCTGCAATACACAAGGGCGTGCAGATATCTCTTCATCTTGCTGCTGTTCATAGGGCAAGAGTCACATTCTAGAAGGTGGTGAGCACCCAACCTTTGCTGCAGCAGAGAGTCCCCTGAATGGCTTGGATCTGGGATCCTGAATGGAGTCCAGCCTTTTGGGAATTGTAACCAAGTGATAAGTCCCAGAAATATTTTTGCCTTGATATTTCCCCAACTTTCTAGTGCTGAGTCCAGAGCCAGGCCCATAGTAGGTGTTAGTAGGTTTTCTAATGAAAGAGAAATAGACGGCTGGGATCCTAAAACTCTGAGTCCTCCACCGTCTGCCTTCCATCTTTGCAGGTCTTCCAGGAGGCAAGCAGATGGGACCGACAAGGATAATTAACACTCTATTACTAACAGGGGTTTTGGCCTAAACTTTTATGTAGCTTCCTATGGAGGAAATGAGTTGCCCTGTACATTGTCTCTGAGGACCCTGTTACCCAAACTAGAAGCTGGGGAGAGGGACAGCTGACAGTTCATTCACTTTCAACTTCTTGACATTTCACTCAACGGGTCTCATCACTCAGCAGCTGAAAAGGTACCATTCCCCAAGTGGCTGACAACACCATCTTCCTATTACAAAAAAAAAAAAGAGAAAATCCAAAGGAGAATTTCTCAAAGTGAGATTCCACACAAAAGCAAAAGCATTTTTAGTCTGGGCTCTGTGGCTCATGCCTGTGATCCCAGCACTTTGGAGGCCAAGGCAGGGAGATCAATTGAGACCAGGAGTTTGAGACCAGGCTGGCCGACGTAACAAAACCTCATCTCTATTAAAATTACAAAAAATTAGCTGGGCATCGTGTGCACGCCTGTAGTCCCAGCTACTCAGGAGGCTGAGGCGTGAGAATCACTTGAACCCTGGGGGGTGGAATTTGCAGTGAGCCGAGATCTGGCCACTGCACTCCAGCCTGGGCAAGAGAGTGAGACTGCTACAAAAAAAATTTTTTTTAGTGATTTTTTTGCTCTTTTCTGTGAATGCTCCAATCTTCACTCACCTGGCTCAATTTTAAAATCTTTGACTTCCACCTGAACTCTTGTCAATGTGGAGTAGGTAGTTGGGCAAAGAGTTTGGGCATGTCAAGTTCTTCATTTGCAAAGATTAGAATATGCATCTCACACATGATTTGCATAAATCCATGAGAAAAAGCAGAATCTGTGTCTCTGCACCTCCTCCCTGTATCTCAAGTTCCTATCAGTACTAATAAATCCTTTCCATGTACAGTGTCTGAGGTGGCCTAGCCAAGCTGAGGTCATCCTTCCAATGATCACAGTCAGTGTTAGCTCCTTCTTGGAATGATTTACATCTTTTTTTTTTGTTTGTTTGTTTGTTTGAGACAGCCTCTCTCTCTGTCGCCCAGGCAGGAGTGCAGTGGTGCAATCTCCGCTCACTGCAACCTCCACCTCCCAGATTCAAGCAAGTCTCCCGGCCTCAGCCTCCTGAGTAGCTGGGATTGCAGGCACCTGCTACCAAGCCCGGCTAATTTTTTTGTATTTTTTTAGTAGAGATGGAGTTTTGCCATGTTGGCCAGGCTGGTCTTGAACTCCTGACATCAGGTGATCTGCCCACCTTGGCCTACCAAAGTGTTGGGATTACAGGCGTGAGCCACCGCACCTGTTAGATCATTCTAATCACAGTGACTGGCCAATTTACTTAAATCCTTGTTGTACTGGGGGACTCCTAATAAGAATTACTTTTGACAGACTCTTATATTAACATTATTATTAATCATCAGACATCTTACAGTATATCTAAATTATTGTATTATTATAGAATGGGAGTCCCTCTTGTGGTCTAAGATATGTTTATCCTAGGACTCAGAATCCCCCATCTGCCAGTTTTGCATAAAAGCAGTGCAGGAGATGTAGGAGTGTAGTTCATTGTAAAGCTAAGAAAACCAAGGCAAAACCTCTGATCCTAAAACAGTGAGGCCCCAGCAGCATAGTCAACTTTATGAGATGTAGGAACAGCTAAAGACAAGTCTGGAATAAAAAAAAAAAAAAAAAAATCACGGGATCCTTAGGGAGTACAGAGCAACTTATTTATGAGTATATTTGAGAAACTCTAGGGGGATGTTCAGAAGTAGCTGGGAAATTTTTGAATAGTGGATGCAACACCCAAGAAATTAATTTTTTTTGTTTTTCTTATTGGGAATGTATGTAATCTGGGAAAGAAAAGGTAACAAAACTCACTCCACAAAGAGAAAACCTCACAATTACCAAGTAGAATGCTCTCATTTAAAAAATGATAAACCAGAAACTCTAAGAAAAGGAAACTCTCGCCAAGCACGGTTGCTCATGCCTGTAATCCCAGCACTTTGAGAGGCCTAAGTGGGAGGATCATCCGAGGTCAGAAGTTCAAGACCAGCCTTGCCCACATAGTGAAACCCCATCTCTACTAAAAAAAACAAAAATTAGCCAGGTGTGGTGGTGGGTGCCTGTAATCCCAGCTACTTGGGAGGCTGAGGCAGGAGAATCGCTTGAACCCAGGAGGTGGAGGTTGCAGTGAGCCAAGATCGTGCCACTGCACTCCAGCCTGGGGGATAGAGCAGGACTCTGTCTCCCTAAAATAAAATAAAATAAAATAAAGAAAAGAAAAGAAAAATACAGTCTTTTAAAAGTCATCTGATTATATCCCCCACCTATTTTATAGGTGAGAAAACTGGAGCAGGACTGGAGGTTACATGGCTGCATTGCAGGTTGTTTTGGAAGTGTTACCACCTAGATATGGGAGGAATGGTGTCTACTTACAGGGAGTCAAAGGCAAATGGCTGCAGTGCCCTGTCAGAGCAAAAGAATAAGACCATTCAGCAATACATGTTTTCATCCTGACTTCAACTATTACGTCTTAACTTCAGGATGAAACTTTCATGTGCGTCCGTGTGAAGAGACCACCAAATAGGCTTTGTGTGAGCAACATGGCTGTTTATTTCACCTGGGTGCAGGTGGGCTGAGTCCGAAAAGAGAGTCAGCGAAGGGAGATAGGGGTGGGGCCGTTTTATAGGATTTGGGTAGGTAAAGGAAAATTATAGTCAAAGGGGGGTTGTTCTCTGGCGGGCAGGAGTGGGGGTCGCAAGGTGCTCAGTGGGGGTGCTTTCTGAGCCAGGATGAGCCAGGAAAAGGACTTTCACAAGGTAATATCATCACTTAAGGCGAGGACCAGCCATTTACACTTCTTTTGTGGTGGAATGTCATCAGTTAAGATGGGGCAGAGCATATTCACTTCTTTTGTGATTCTTCAGTTACTTCAGGCCATCTGGACGTATACGTGCAAGTCACAGGGGATGCAATGGCTTGGCTTGGGCTCAGAGGCCTGACAGAAACATTTACTAAATTGACATATCTAAATTCTAAAATTTAAAAAAATACTAAAATGAAAAATCATTTCTGTTTTTATTCAAAAAATAATGCAAAACGAAATAGGGAAGTCTTCAATATTCATTCAACAGACATTCAAAAGGTATTTTACAGGAAAAATCATTTTGCTTCCTGCCCTCCTGAGGCTTTCATTCTAATTAGGAAGATGAGATTTGTGCAAAAAGAAACTAGAGCACAGTGTAATAAGTGGCAAGTGCTACACAAGGCATAGGATTAGAGATAATGGATAATTCAATTCTAGCAGAGAGGACTGGGGAAGCTCCTGAGAGAGGACATTCGATAACAGGTGGAATTTCAATGGTTGAAAATATAAGTAAGAATGAGAACTTATTTTCTGTCAGAAAAAAATTAATACAAAGAGGAAGTTAATAACAACAACGGGGATAAAAACAAGCTACCTTTCATTGAACACCTACATTACATGTATTAGCTAATGAATTCTTCAATGACAATCTTATGAAGTATTTATTATTATCCCTATTTAACAGATGAGAAAACTGAGGCTCATGGAGGAAAAATAATTTGCCCAAGAACATATAGTGAGTTAGTAGTTTGACTTTGGCTCTGTTTGATTCCAAAGCCTCAGCTATTTACCTCAAAATATTTATAATAAAGTAGAGAAAATACTATTCATATTCAGGAATCCTCAAGCAGTCAGTATAGCTCTAGTTAGGTGTTAGTGTTGGTGTGTCAAGGGAAACACAGAGACAGGTTTGATTCCACAGCTAACAGTGAAAGAACTGACTGCTGGGCAAAGGTTCTGTTTATTAATTGTTTTTCTGTGATTAAGCTCCAAGAAAGAAAACTTAAAAAGTTCAATGCACAATACATTTCCTTTAATAAATACGTATTTTGAATCACTAAGTTAGAGAAAAAGTGTTTTGAATCATGACATTATGAATTTCAAGCCAATACGGAAGCATGGAAAAGCTTAATACTATTTAAATAGTATTTTAAAATTAAATATGTGTGAAATCTGGCTTCTGTTTCTCAATGGCCTCCCACCATATCCATCCAAAAAATATTGGAAGCAATTCTATTAGTCTTATTCTTGTGTAATGAGACGTACTTGCCATACATGTACTCAAGGGATCAGAGAGAAATACTCAACATCCTGTTAGTGAAATGATAGTCCACCTTCTGAGAAGAGACCTCAGTTTTGCCTAATAGAGATCCAGCTCTAAAACCATTGAAATGCTAAGCTGAAGCACCCACAGGCAGTGCCTCTTCCGTTTTTCATATCTTGACTTTTGTCTCTGCCATTTCCCCTTAATTGAGATGAAAGAACAGATTGCCATCTGGAATCCCTATGTTAAGGTTAATAATTACCCTTTCTGTTTTTGCTGCGTACCATTTAGAGAAAAGTTTTCTGATTGACCAGGATGACTCTTCAAGGGAATCTGTGGCGTTTTCTTATCTGACTGTCAAAAAACAGGCAGACAATGATCTTTCTGGTTTGGTTAAAGAGCAGCGTTTCCCAGAGGCTGGCGGTCCCTCCAGCTCTATAGTTGAGTGACTTCTCTGGGGCCCGGGAGCAGAGAAACTCAGTGTTGTGTCCCCTAGTCTTGGCTACAGGCTGTCCTGCCCTTCCTTGTCAAATAAGGACAGCATTGGCTCAGGGCAGGGAAGCACCGGGAAGGTATGTGCTCAGATTTTCCTGGATGGCAGCAAAGATGTCTGTGCAAACAACTGGCTGAAGAGGATATTGCTGTTTTGAACAAATCTGGATTTCTGTCTTAAACAAATATTTTCTGGACGCACTCTCCATCAGAATGAACTGTCAATTGCATCCCACAGTTTTGGCAACTATGGAGTTGCAAAGTGAGCTTTGAAACAGAGACAGAGGCTCTGGCTGCAAACTCCAGCCCTTCCTTGCAGAATAACCTCAGGAAGGCACAACATCCCTGGATCTCAGTTTCAAGTGAAAAGTTGGTGTAAAATTACCCTAGGTAATTTGGTGGATTAAATATGTGACTGCTTGAGAATCCTTTGACACACAGCAGGCATTCATTAAACGTTCCTTGTTTTGAGTGAATGTTGCTCACCCTTTGACATATTTACAGAGGCATATATATGTAATTCCTGGGTCTTTCTTCTTTTATCCAAAAAACAAAGGATTTTACCCCAAATGCCCTCCTGAGCCATAGCTGAGTAGACCTGCACATGGGGCAGGATCTTCTTTTCTTTTTCTTTCTTGGAGCCAAAACTCCTTTACCAGAAACATTACTGTCGATATCAACACCGTTATCTGTAAGACATGATTCACAAAACTGGCACAAAGCACATAATCACATTATGACAAAACATGTATTGAGTTGATTTTTGAGGTAGTATTTTCAGATTTTCAGGATAAGGAGAGTCATTTTTTCACTCAAGGGACTTGCAGTGTATGTAAGGAGTCAAGATGTTCCTTCGTTTCTTCGTTCTTGCAATCCGCTCAGAAGTGTCAACAATCAGCATGTCTCAGATGAGCTCTCCTTCTAGTTCCAAGCACTAGCATCCCATGATCCAGCTGCTCCCTTCAATCTGGTGGAGATTGGCTTCAATCTGGCTGAGATTAAGTTGGAAAAAAAATGCATATATTCTATTAAGTCTTAGGCAGTTTGAGAATTAAGGTGGGGGCGGTGGGGAGTGTAAATCAAAGGAGGCTTCTCAGAGGAGATACTCTCCCAAGGCTTTGTGTGTAACACCTATGCCCCTCCAATTCCCATTAATCCCATTTTTTTTCTCAGCCTTGGTACTGTTCCCCTTCCTCAGAATGGCTGGGTCTATGTCAAGATTTCACTCTTCAGACAGATTTCTTTACCTTACCAGTAGGCACACAGCACAGACACTTGGGATTTGTTTTTCACCTGAGAAAAAAGCCAATGGGATTAAAGCCTGGGGAAAAAATCATTGGATAAAAGCAATTCAGATCCACTGGGACAAAACTTAAAAGAAAAGATGCGGACCCTGGGCCTACTTAATGCTGCTTCCCCCTATACTTTATATTAGTTTTGATCTTCATTTCAGCTTTGAAGCAAAGCTCTGATACCGCCCCTGCATTACTGGATGTAAGGTGACTAAACAGTTATATTCCAAGCATCAGTTGCAAGGGGAAGCATTAGCCTTATTGCAGAGGAATGTCGCCACTTGTATTCTTCTACACAACAAGGGGTTTGTTCAATCTCTCTCACTAAGCAAGGAGTACTCTTTCCACCACAGGCATTAAAAAATATCCTCCCATAGCCATGACAGAAAGAAGAATTCCAAAGCTGTAGCTGTGAAGGACTGCAATTAAGGAATGAGAGGTGTAGCTCTCTTCCTTCCAGCCAAGGAGCAAAGACTAGAAACCATCTCCTGTGAGCAGTCACGGCCCCAAGCAAGAAGCTGAGATGGGGAGCAAGCATAGGGCAGGTACATGGGAACACACACAACGATGTTATACTGACTGAGGCTTTTTACCAGTCCTTTGGTGAGTGGGGAACCAGACTATTATCAGAATCCACTGACTGTCCTTTAGAATGTATTGTATTGTTTTAGTCCCTCACACTCACCTGGTCCTTCCCACCACAGGACCTTTGCACATGTTCTCTGACTGGAACAAACTTCACTCTCCTCTTTGTCTACTTAACTCCTAAACATACTTTTGTATCTTAAACCTGACTTCTTCAGGAAGCCTTCCCTGCAAGGCATCTCCTAGGGTGTATGCTGAAACCACTTTTTTTTTTTTTTTTGAGATAGAGTCTCTCTCTGTCACCCAGGCTGGAGTGCAATAGTGCAATCTCGGCTCACTGCAACCTCTGCCTTCTGAGTTCAAGTGATTCTCCCACCTCAGCCTCCCGAGTAGCTGGTATTACAGGCACCCGCCATCATGCCTGGCTAATTTTTGTATTTTTGTAGAGATGGGGTTTCACCATGTTGGACAGGCTGGTCTTGAACTCCTGACCTCAGGTGATCCACCCACCACGGCCTCCCAAAGTGCTGGGATTACAGGCGTGGGAGCCACCGTGCCTGGCCTGGAAAACACTTTTTGTAGGATCACTGTCAGTATAAACATTTTGATTTGAGAATGTATTACACAATTCAAGCAAGAATTGAATGAAGATAATAGAATAATGGGTAGAGAAGTGGTTACATATTTGTGTAAATTCTCAGCAGGGCACATGAAAGATCTTTAGGGTGTCTAGGCACCATCTCTTCCTGTTCAGGTTTAGAAATCATCTGTTCATGTTCTTAATTGTCAAAAATGCTGCCCCTGGCTAATTTCATATATCCCATAGTGGGAAAAATTTTGCAACTCACAATGCCATGGCTCTTCAGAATGTTTGATAGAAACAACACAGATCTTCTTGCTGCTACAGTTCACTGACATCATCGATTCGATGCTGGTGACATCATTGCTCAGGATGCTGGGTCAACCAAAAGCAGCCCATGAGTGTGGGCTTTTAGTGACTCTTTCAAAGGTTGTTACTTTGTTTTGTTGATGATGACTGCAAAGGTTGCCCCCAGAGTACGTGGGAAAATACAGACAGTATTTTGTTTCCTTCTCATGTTAAATTTACCATTAGGAGTTTTATAGCATAAACATAGAGGAACACATCTTCCAACCATGACCTCTGGAATTCTTCAGGTTGTAATTATATGATCTCTTTCAATAATGACCATATCCCTGGCTTCCACAAATTTCCATCAGGGGAGAATAGGGAAGGGACCATGGTAGAGTAGTCCACCCACTTAAGCAATGCCTGTTAGCATGGCTTATGGTGAGCAATGATATCAACACATTAATTGGGAGCAAGGAGGATACCTATTTGAAGGGTGCATTAATGTCACAGAACAAAGGACTTGAGAGCCCTGAGGTAAGTACAGCTACCCCCAGTGGAGGACTGCCTGATAAGTCACATGGAGCTTATAGAGGACGTAAGGTGACCATGCTGGGCACCAGTGATGAGGACACACAGGATATTGCACATGCTACATTCTACTCTCTGGTCCTGTAGAATGGGAGGTGGCCACAGTAGGAGGAGAGCTCATGCAAGAGCCCACACACGGGATTCATGCCCAAGGATCTGTAGCAGATCATCAATATCCTCGAGCCCCAAACTTGTCCTAAGTGTAACAGAGTGAGATTCCTCCAAATTCAGTACTTTAGCACCACTCTGGTCATCCAATTGCCCCTTATGCTGCAGACATCAAGGGGCCAGCCTGGTGCTTCAGCTAGGCTTTGATGTGCTGTCGTTGAACACAAATGATTTCATGGGACATCAATATCAAATAAGGCCACTTTGTGAGCATAATACACCAAAACAAAAACAAGACCACTCTTTACTCATGTCTAAATGTGATTACATGAGATAAAACATGAATATAAACCTTGTCCAAGAGATGAAATTCCAAGCAGCCTTCACTGCACAGATAGTTTTCTTCAGTACTGGCCACATGGCAAGGAATATGGGTGGCCTCTGAGATCTGAGTGGCTGTGATTGACATCCTGCAGGGGAATAGGGACCTCCATCTTACAAATGCAAGGAACTAACTGAATTTGGCCAGCAACTTGCATGAGTGTGGAAGCAGATTCTTCCTCAGAGCTTCCAGAAAGAAATGCAGCCTGGCTGACAACTTGACTTTAGTCTCATAAGACCCTGAGCAGATAATCTGGTTACACGGTGCTGGGACTTGTGACTTACCAAACTGTAAACTAATACATGGGTGGGTGTTGTTTTAAACCTCTAAGTGTAATTTGTTATAAAGCAATAGAAAACTGATACAGTCATCAAAGCTTATGGTCTTACTTAAGATTCTTTGGTTTATTTCTGGTTTTACACTGCATTTAACTGTAGCAACTGGGTTAAACATAATTTTTCTAGAATTTTTCTTCCCACAGTGAACTTTATATAAAGTGCACTCTATACCACTTGAATAGAGTACGATAACAATGCTATCATCAAGTAAGCCCACCTCTGCTTCTTTACCTCCTACCCTGACATCAGCACCTGCAGTTTCTCACATCCCCATCACTGCCAACTCAGCATAGACACTCCAGGTTTTATGTTTGGCCTCATATTCATTCACATGTTATCTAATCCTCCTAAGGGTAAAGCCTTTGCTTTTATTTTCACAAAGAGCTGTCTGAGAAGTGTGTGTGTGTGTGTGTGTGTGTGTGTGTGTGTGTGGTTTCAAACTCTTTGTAGATTAAATTTGTTGAACTTAAATCTCTGAATTAAGAAGTATGTGAAGGGACTTCAAAAATTTCATAGAAAATGAAATTAAATAAATAAAAAACATAAACTTTATTTCTCATAAAAACACTATCATATACACTTTATTAGCTCCATCAAATTCAAAACACTTTTGTAAACAATAATACCGGCCATTTAGTCCATCCCCTACAGAACTGAGGGTCCTGGGAATTTACTCATGTCAATGCAGTCTTTTTTACATTATTAACTGAAGAAAAATGGATGCCCTTTAAAAATTTTATAAGTTTAGGAAACAAAAAGAAGGCAGAAGGAGCCACATCAGGACTGTAAGGTGGATGCCTGATGATTCACCATAAAAACTCTTGCAAAATGTCCCTAGTTTGATGAGAGAAATAACATTGTTATGGTAGAGAAGGACACTCCAGTGAATATTTTCCGTGCATGTTTCTGCTAAAGCTTTGGATAACTTTCTCCAAGCACTGTCATGATAAGCAGATGTTATCATTCTTTGGCCCCTCAGAAAGTCAACAAGAAAAATGCTTTTTGCATCCCCAAAAACCATTGCCATGACCTTTGCTCTTGACCATCCATTTCTGCTGTGACTAGACCACTTCCACCTCTTAGTAGCCTCTGCTTTGATTGTGCTTTGTCTTCAGGATCATACTGGTAAAGGCAGGTTTCCTATCCTGTTACAATTCTTTGAAGACATGCTTTAGGATCTTGATTCCACTTGTTTGAAATTTTCATTGAAATCTATGCTCTTGTCTGCAGCTGATCTGGTTGCAACAGTCTTGGCACCCATGAAGTGAAAAGCTTGCTCAGCTTTAATTTTTCTGTCAGAATTGTGAAAGCTGAAAAAATTGAGATGTCTATGGTGTTGGCTATGGTTTCTGCAGTTATTGTTATTCCTATTCAATTAGGGCATGAAAAAGGTTAATTTTTTTCTTGTAAATTAATGTGGATGGTCTGCCACTGTGGGCTTCAACTTCAATGTCACCTTGTCCCTTCTTAAAATAAGCTACACATTTGTAAACTGCTGGTTTCTTTGGGGCATGGTTCCTGGAACTTTTTGTAAATCATCAATTATTTTACCATTCTTTCACCCAAGTTTCATCATAAATTTGATGTTTGTTCTTGCTTCAGTTTTAGCAGAATTCATGTTTTTCTGATAGAGGTTCTTTTCAAACTTTTCTTTATCAGTGCTTCCAACTAGATTCTTTTTGCACTCTCTAACAAATTAGTGCAAATTTATTTTGCTGAAAAAAATTTGAAATCCAAGCATTTTTTTTTTACAATATACATTCTCCATGGATTTTTTGAAGACCCCTCATACTAGATTTTTGTTATTTGAACTTTTGCCTTTTCATAGCATGTTTTTGGTGATCTAGTGAAGTACTCAGAAAACTGGAATAAATAAATTAAGGCATTTTTGATCCAAGACCATTCAGATATGTAGACGGAATTGCCTGAATTAATGCTTAAAATATTGTAGGAGAGGTATTATTTCTAGGTTTAAATTGGACCAATTTTTTCTTGCTTTGAAATAGGCACAAAATATACCTTTCCAGGTGAATATTTATCAATGTGTTTGATCAGAAAGATGCACAGGAATGGTTAGGTTGCATAATGTCATGATGAAGTTTAGTGAACTCCTGGTGTTTGCATGTCCCTCAACAAGATGAACATAAGACTTTTCATATTGGCCTGGACATTTCAAGCGTGTGTCTTATCTCTTACTGGAACTAAAGACCAGTGGATGAAAGGCCAAGTTGTCTTTCTTGTTACCCAAACCACACATTTGCAGTAAAAAGAAAAAGAGTAAGACAATTTCACTTAAGAATGCCCTTGTTGAAGCAGTAAACATGTTACCATTTAAAATTTTGATACTTGAATATATATCTTTTTAGGTTTGCGTTATGACCAAATGGGAAATGTACATAGGCCATTTCTGTTGCACACCAAAGTATGATGGCTATTGCAAGCAATGTGAGATTGTTTCAGTTGCAACCTGAATTAGCCACTTTTCCCAAGAATATCAGGGGTTTTTTTTTTTTTTTTTTTGAAAGAGCTACTAACAGATGAGATACAGTTATTCATGTTTGGGTATAGGGCAGACATTTTCTTGAAAATTAATGTCAGACTGTCAGTTCAGGAAAACAATCATCACTCTTTGTTGCTAATGATAAAATTAAAGCTTTCAAGAGAAAATTGAAACTTTGGAAAATGTAATCTGCCATTTTTAATATGACAGTTTTCTAGTACTTAAAAAGTTTCCGATGAGATTGGAGGTGATATTAATGAATGCCACTTATGATATTGCCTAGTAAAATGTGTTAACATTTGGGAGATCTGCCTAACTCAGGGAACGAATAGGAGTTTATGAATGAATAAAAGATTCATTCAAACTGAAAGTTAGAGGCACAGATGTATAAAATTTTATTGATATAATTTGATTCTACATTGCAGCAACATTTAAGAAATTACCTCTTGTCTACTTTTGATATTGTATCAAAGAAGAATATTCACAAATATCTAAAAAGCCAATTTAAATGTTCCCTTTTTTTTCCAAAGGCATGTCTGTATAAGGCTGGATTTTCTTCATATACTTTAACCAAAGCAACAAATATCAACAAATTGAGAGCAGAAGATATGAGAATTTAGCTGGATTTTATTAAGCCAGATATTGAAGCAATTTGCAAAAATCTTTTTAAATGCCACTTTTCTCATTAATTGTTTTTGGTTTCCAAAAATAAAGCAATTTTTTAAAAATATGTAATTTATGTTACCATGTAATTGTTGTTGTGATTTTTAAATTCATTAGTAACTATTTAAAACTTCTTAGTTTTCATTTTTAAAATCATAACTGATACATGTAACTTGTAAACAAAAGTTGTTTGTAATGATCAACAGTTTTGAAGACTTTAAAGGGACCTGAGCACAAAATATTTGAGAACCACTCCCCCAGGGTTACTCCATTTTAAAAATAAGATACAACCACATACAGAAAAGTGAATAAAATACAGTTATATCATTCAACAATAATACTAAAGTGAACCTCTGCGTAATCTCCAATATGGTCAAGAACAACATTACAAACACCCAGAAAGCTCCATCTGCCTTCCCCAATCACATTCCCCTCTTTCCCATTTTTTATTTTTTCTTAAATACTTTGAAATTTGTTTACACTTATGTATAGCTCCCTATTTGTCAGATACTGCTCTATGTGCTTTAATTTATTTAATCTTCATGTCAACCCTAAGAGGCACTATCATTAACCCATTCCATAATTGAAAAACTTAGGTTAAATCACTGGCTCAAAGTCAAGTGGTGAGTTAATATTTAAACCTAGGCAATCTGGTCTAGCATCAAGTTAGCTGGTTACTTTTTTCTATAATATATTGTCTCTCTCTAAAACTTTAAATTCTTAGCTTGAAGTCCTTAGGGCAAAAGTGGTCTTGGTGCTCTGTTCGTCTCTTTGGGTTTCTGTGTTGGTTTATTAATGCTATCTTGCTAGCTTTTCAGTGCTTTTAGAAATATCTTAAAATATGCTTTCAGGAAATTTTAGATGCTTTCAATGACAGGCTTGGTCTGATTACTTATCTTTCCATATGACATGTTAATATAAGATCCCATTCTGTATTAATATTGAACCCATGGTAATGTAATAAATGTTAAAAGATGTGCTTGGGGTTTGAGGGCTTTGATGATATTCAGTATTTTTCTGGGCTTTATAAACAGTGCCTCAACTGGCCAATATCTTTAGGGTCTTCACTTATGTATTCATTATCTATTGCTAAAATAACTTTAAGCATCACGTCTTCACAATACCCTTCGTAACTTTCCAAAACCATTATCTGGGCTATAAATTATAGCTCAGTGTCCGTAAGTTTATATCTATAATTGCAGTACTTTGTGCTTACTCACAAAGAAATTTATCTGCAATTTTTCTCCGTTCATTAGACCAAGTTAAATCTCCTGTACTCCTCATTAATGTGGTGTTTTCACTACTCCAAAGAGTTTAATTCCATCTTTAAACTTCTACATTCCCCTCCTGACTCCTCCATGACATTTACTTATTACATGAAACTAGTTAGAATACTGATCTTCCATGGTGTAAAATCCTTCATCTATTTCAGTGCCCATTTATCCTTACACAAGGCATTTCTCTGTTACTGATAAATCAATCTTTTTCTCTAGTCACCACAGACTGTAAGGATAGTCACATTGGAAGGCAATTTCCATGATAGATATTTGAATAAGCCCTTTTGAAGGACTTTTGGATGTTGAGATTATACTTACTGAGTTCCCCCTTTACCTATGAATTTATTCCCTCTCTTCCTTCCTTTTTGTTCCTTCCTTCCTTCCTTCCTTCCTTCCTTACTTTTTCTTCCTCTCTTCCTCCCTCTCTCCCTCCCTCCCTCTTCTTCCTTCCTTCCTTCCTCTCTTTCTCTTTCTTTCTTTCTTTCTTCCTTTCTTTCTTTCTTTCTTTCTTTCTTTCTTTCTTTCTTTCTTTCTTTCTTTCTTTCTTTCTTTCTTTCTTTCCTCTGTCTCTTTCTTTCTTTCCTTTTTTTGGAAGAAAAAAAAAAGAAAAGAACTCTTTTGCCCAGGCTGAAGTGCAGTGGCATAATCATGGCTCACTGCAGCCTCAACCTCTCAGGCTCAAGTGATTCCTCTGCCTCAGCCTCTGAATAGAGGGCATCACTGCTGATGCCCCACCGAGTCAGAGGCTGGGAATAAGGCATGTGCAACCAAGCCTGGCTATTTTATTTTATTTTTTGTAGAGACAGGGTCTTGCTATGCCCAGGTTGGTCTTGAACTCCTGGGCTCAAGTGATCCTCCTGCCTCAGCCTCCCAAAGTGTTGGGATTACAGGTATGAGCCACTGCATCTGGCTGAATTGATTTTCTTTCACAAAACTCTGATGTATTTGTTGGAAACTTGGTTCTTTCCTTTCCGTAGATAAGGTTTTTGTAAATATCCAGTGATTTTTATTATCTGTTATAGATACCACTAAAATGGGAAATAGCTTAGCGCTCGCACTGCAGAATGGGCTCCTAAATACATACTGAGAAAGTGTCTTAGACACAGGCACATTCCCTGAAGAATCAGTGTGTTGTCACAATGATCTCACCGTCGTGAGATACTATGGCTCTTTATTGCTGTTTTCTTTTGTCTACATCTAGATATTATCGAGAAGTGACCTTGTTATCTGTACAGTCACTACTATCTTACCTTTTTTTGAAGGGAGCTAGATTGATCAAAATGTTTTGTTTTTTGTTTCTACACGCATTGAGCAGAAACAGGCAGACGTCAAAAATCATAGCTATCTAGTGACCCTTTAAATGAGGCTTGCATCAAATCATTCTTTTACATGATGTAAGTGCTGCTGAAGCCCTGCTGAGTCAGAGTCCACAAATCAAACAGCCCCTAGAAACCTGCCCTTCTCTGGCAGGGTTAGGGCTGAGACTGGGCCCTCAGACCATTTGGAATGACCAGTGATTTCAGCTCTCACTCCCTTCTCATCAGCACGTGTCTACAGTTGCAAGTAAGTGAATATTTTTTCTTTTTATATATGATTTTCACTGTAGGTTTCCAATATAGTTACCCTGGTCTGCGTCTCAGACCTACTGATATTGCCAACATCAATGTCTGTAACAGGTCACTTATTTGTAAGTCTAAAGTGTTGGAAAACCATGCTGAGAACAGGTATTCCACTAACCAGCATTTTCTCAAATATCGTATGTCTCTTAAAGGGAAAGAAAGTAATTATTCCCTCCTCTGCTTAAGTGGTAAATGAAAAAAGTCTTTCTCTGAGCAGTCAGAATTTTGTACAGAATATAGGAAATTGTATAGCTCTGCACATAATAGTAACTCATGAATTTTTGTTGGATGAATCAATTAAACAGACAATAAAAAACATATCCTGTCAATAAATCCAGACAAATTTTGGAAGTAAAATAGAAGGTACCTGTGATGGTGAATTTTATATGCCAACTTGCCACGGCCATGGGGTGCCCTGATATTTGTTCAGGCATTATTTTGGATGTGTCTGTGAGGGTGTTTGTGGATGAAACCAACATTTGATTCAGTAGACTGAGTAAAGCTTATTGTCCTCCATATTTTGAGTGGGTCTCATTCAGTTAGTTGAGGGCCTGAACAGGACAGAAGGCTGACATTCCCATGAGTAAGGGGAAACCTGTCCCACCCAACTTCCTTGGGCTGGGATATAATCATGAACAGAATATTGGTAGAAATATGTACATTAGAGGCCATTCTGGTGAGGTTTCAGATAGAAATGAGGAACATGTTATAGGAAACTCAAGGAAAGGTTATCCTTGTTATAAAGTAACAAACTTGGCTGAACTGTGTGTCCTCACATTTTGCAGAAGGTAAAACTTGAGAGCAAGGAAGTTGGTTATATAGCTGAAGAGATTTCTAAGCAAAGTGTTGAAGCAGTGGCTTGGTATCACCTGACTGCTTATAGTAAAACACAAGAAGAGAGAGATAAATTGAAGAAGGAATTGTTAAGCAAACAAACAATAAAATCCCAAACCAACCAACTCACAAAAAACCCCCAAAAATATGGGAAATTAAATATTGAGAAAATCCTCAGTCTATCCATATTGCAAAAAAAGATAAAGCATGTTCTAAAGAGAACATCAAAGGTGTGGCTGAACTATCACTTGACAAAGAGTTTGTGGCGTATATGAGCAGAAACTCTGCCAGTTTGAAGGAAAGGGGATGGAGATGGGACAAAATAAAGGAAGGCTGTCAAGGCTGCTTGGATTCTACAGGGCAGGACCATAGAGGTATTTGGCTGTGAAGATGCACTGTTCTTCAAGAAAAGGGAAGAATGGCCCTGAAGTGAATTCAGAGATAGGCAGGACTGCCACTCCTGCCACAGGCCCAAGGGGTAAGACTGTTTTCTCCTTGGTTTCAGAGAAAGAGGATCTGGCATAGAGCTATGTGGCCCTCACATAGAGCCTCAGGGGTGGGGCCCTCTCAGACAGTTGTGGGGGCAGGTCCCTCCCAGATAGCTGGAGGAACAGGGTGGCTCTGCAAAGCTGTGGAATGACACTACCATCCCAGGAAGGCTGGAAGTTGGGACATTGTATTAGGGTTATCTAGAGGGACAAAACTAATGGAATATATATATATTATATATATAATATATATTAAATATATATTTATAATATATTTAATTTTATATATATTAAATTATATATAATATATAATTTAATATATATAAAATTAAATATATTTAATATATATTATATATACTATATATACTTATATATATTTAACATATATTATATATAATATATATATATAAAGGGGAGTTTGTTAAGTATTAATTCATACTATCACAAAGTCCCACCATAGGCCATCTGCAGGCTGAGGAGCAAGGAGAGCCAGTCCAAGTCCCAAAACTGAATAACTTGGAGTTTGATGTTCGAGGGCAGGAAGCATCCAACATGGGAGAAAGATGTAGGCTGGGAGGCTAGGCCAGTCTGTCTTTTCACATTTTTCTGGCTGCTTATAATCTAGCCATGCTGGCAGCTGGTTAGACTGTGACCATCCTGATTAAGAGTGAGTCTGCCTTTCCCAGTCCACTGACTCGTATGTTAATCTCCTTTGGCAATACCCTCATAGACACACCCAGGATCAATATTTTGTATCCTTCAATCTAATCAAGTTGACACTCAGTATTAATAATCACAGACGTCAAGCCAAAGAGGATTATTCTCAAACCTTAAGGTCTAATGGATTTGCCCTCCTCGGTTTTGGGTCTTCTTGAGAACATCACCACTTTCTTTCTCCCAATTTCTCTCTTTGAGAATGGGAATGTCTATTCTCACCATTGTATTTTGGAAGCCCATAGCTCATTTGGTTTCACAGGTTCACAAGCTGCAGGGGAATTTTGCCTCAGAATGAATCATACTGTGATTCACATCTATATCTGATTTAGATGTTTAGATGAGACTTTGAACTTTAAGCTTTAGAGCTGATGGTGGAATGAATTTAGACTTTTAGGGTTGGAATTGTTGGAACAAAATGAAAGTATTTTGCATGGAAGAAGAATTTAAAATTTGAGAGGTCAGGGGCAGAATGTTATGGACTGAATTTTTGTATTCCCCCAAATTCACATGTTGAAGGCCTAACCCACAATGTGACTGTATTTGGAGATAGAGCCTGTGAGTAGATGATAAAGGTTAATAGAGATCATGAAGGTGGGGTCCTACTCCAACAGGGCTCGTGCCCTTATGAAAAAGGAAGAGACACCAGAGCATGCTCTCTTCTGCCAAGCAAGGACACAGAAAGAAGGTGCCATCTGCACACCAGGAAGAAGGCCCTCAGGAGAAACAGAACTGTCTAGCCCCTTGACTGGGCCTTCTCAGGCTCCAGAACTGTAAGAAATAAATTTCTGTAACTTAAAACACCCAGTATATGGTATTTTACTATGGCAACTTGGGCAGACAAAGACAATATCCATCACATTTCTTCTGAGAAGATCTAAATAGTCTAGAGGTAACAGGAGAGCAAAGCAAATCACTGTCCCATGCAGAATTCCTGTGAAGACAGTATTCACTATTCACCTTCAGTAATGCCACTGGTAGACATGATCTGTACATGATATTGACAGTTGAGAGTGTTCTATTAGAATTCTGTTGCATAATTCTTATTCCGGATTGCTTGGCAAACAAAGCATAACAACCTCAAGGAGGTGAAGGTGAACCATCCTTTTCCTTGTTGTGATTAACAAAAAAAAAAAAAAAAAAAATCTATTTGCCTTTTAAGGTCTCTTTACAGACTGTTTATATGATATAAAATATAATAAGTGCAGCTTAAGCTATTAAGATAAAGCCTTTAAAATGACACGAGGACTACATCAAGACAAAGTGATCAAGTGAATTGCAGAACTGGGGAACAGTGAAGGGCTGCGAACTTCCCATCCAGAATACTGTTTAGAAGATGTCCACACTGAATATAGTAAGAAAATTATGCTGCACAAATGTCCTCTGCACATCTTTAATCCCGATTTAAACAATGTCTTCCATCTAACTTTTCTATAGTTTTAGAGCCTAGGAAATAGGAAGAGAATTTGTCAAGATTTTGGGAGATGAAAGGAAGAAATGACCAAAGGGCTAGAAAATAAAGGAGTAGGATGGCTACAGAAATCAGAATTACTTAAGAAAAACTGTGTGGCTAAAATGTCTTCATTTATACAAAGGCCTAATTAGCAAGATGCTGGACACTCTGTTACTGATTCAAGTTGAATAAAGAAAAGGGAATTGTTGAAATTGAAGGTTTATGTTAGAAACAAGGGGAAATTATCTTACTAGAAGTAGTAATATTTACTAACAAGATAAATATGTGGTCACCTGAGTCTCCCAGAAAGTATTCCTCTTTTTTTTTGTTGTTGTTGTTTTTTTGACAGAGGATCTCGCTCTGCCACCCAGGCTACAGTGCAGTGGTGCTATCACAGCTCACTGCAGCCCAGAGCTCCTGGGTTCAAGCCATCCTCCCAGCTCAGCCTTCCCAGTAGCTGGGACTACAGGCACATGCCAGCCACCATGACCAGCTAATGTTTTTATTATTTTATAGAGATAATGTATATATTTTATAGAGATGAGATCTCTTATGTTGTCCAGGCTGGCTCCAAACTCCTGGCCTCAAGCAATCCTCCCCCTCAGCCTCCCCAAACACTGGGATTACAGGCATGAACTATCATACTTCAGATCTCAAAATTGTTTATTTTGGCCTTAGGGCTTGTTATGGTCTCAGCACAGTCCACTTTGCCCATGAGCTAGGGTAGCCATGAAACTCTGGAGTAGCCAGTCAAATTGACCACTGACCAAATGAATAAATAGCCACTATCAATGCCAGGTAGATAATTACAACTATTTCCTCACAAATCCACAAATTCCATTTTCACTTAAGTTTTCCAGAAATGTTAGTTAATAATAGATACATAGTCCAAATTTTCAAAATTATTTCAGTTTTACAATTGATACAGATAGAAGCAGAGTCCAACCTATTGTTAAATAATGCAAAGGGTGGTTGAAAGCCTATGTGAGGACACCTTGCACAAAGAGAGAGATGGCAGGGGTTTTGTCTGAAAAGATTTGGACACAGCCTTTCTGGAGATAGAAGACTGGAATAAATGACCTCTGCAATTTCTAGCGGCCTTATGATTCTGCAGTTTATACATTGGTTTTCAACACAAATAATCAACTATAGTTGACTGACTCTGTTGGCTTAAAGCAACACGTGGGTCTGCAGCTGCTTTTCCTCTCCCTGGAGCCTTCTCCCCCTTCTCTGATTTCTGGGTCAGGTATATGTCTTTACCTCTGTTGAAGAAGGGCCCTGGCTTCTGCGGGATGCCCATGCTACCAATGACAGAGCAAGAAGAGTGGACAGGAGTTTCAGTCAGTCTTTGGGCCTTTGTGTCCTGCTCCATGCACTTGAGCTCCAGCTTGTTTTGCTCTCCCCCACTTTGTAACTGCCTTAGGCCATTTGGGCTTCTATAACAAACTATCATATACTGGAAGGCTTCTAAACAACAGAAACTTATTTCTTTCAGTTCTTGGGGCTGCGGAGTCCAAGATCAAAGTGCCGGCAGATTCAGTGTCTGGTGAGACATCTGTGGAAGTGGGGAGAGAGCTCTCTAGGATTTCTTTTATGAAGACAGTAACTGCATTCATGAGTGCTCCACCCTCATGAACTAATCACCTCCTGAAGACCCCGTCTCCTAATACCATCACATTGGGGGTTAGAATTTTAATAAATAAATTTTGTAGGGACACAAACATTCAGTCTATAGCAGTAATCTTCCTGACTATCTGCCCTCTGGACTTCCTGCATTGGCATCTCACTTGAAACTTAACCAGCTTCCACAGTTGTGAAATCCCTTATAATATTCTCATGCATATAAATCTCCTAGTGGTTCTGCTTCTCTGGTTGAATGCTGGCTAGTACACATGAGAAAACTCTTCCAAGAAGGTGAGACACCAGGCGAACACTTAATGAAATAAGTAAATGCCTCCACTAAGATTAGAAATGTGCAGTTGGTAGAATCCCACATCCTTCTATAATCAAATCACTTCCTTAAACTTCACTAGAGCCAAACCATAAGAGATGAACTGATAGAGAAAACTACTTAACCATACTCAAGGTCATTTGGTACCAGCTTTTAAATATTGACAGAGAAATACTCCCATCTCATACATAGGGAAAACAGGAGATCAAACACTTAAATAAACTTGAACCCCTGGCTGCATTAAAGGGAGTTCAAGGTTGAGATTTTGTAATATCCATATGGTTCCAGTTAGAGTTGGATGGATGAAGGAAAGCTGTGATGGTTATCAGACTGACTTCCTGGACTCAGATGGAAGGAAGTCACATATATGGTATATGCTAGATACTTGCTGATTTCATTCTCTACTCTCAGCAGTGATGACTTCCCACAGAACCTGTAAGAGAAAAACAAACAGAGAATAATGTCACATATAAGTCAGTGCGTGTATACACACACATGCACATACACACATAATAATAGCTAACACTTCTATAACCCTTTGGTTGCAGTAACTTAATTAGTCACCAGCATAACCTGTAACTAGGTAATATTATTACAACTATTTATCAGACAGGAAGGAAGATATTGTGGGATTAAGTGTCTTGAGAGGGTCATGCTGAGGTGTCTGGTATCTACAGCCTGGTAACCAATGCAGTCCTGCTCCAGGGCCTCTCTGCCTATCAGTTCCACTCTGCAAGTGTATAATCCATGTGGGTGTGCAGGTGTGCGAACCTGACATCCATAGTTCATAACCTGGCTACAAATTGCTTTTTCAACTCCATCTTTCTCCTCTCTTAGATGTTCTCGTGTTTAAAATTTCCATAACATTCTTATGTTTAAAAAAATTGAACATATTTATAATAGCTTTTCTGAACTCCTTCTTAATTTTATCTCTCTATTATTTCTGTGTCTGTGCCTATTGACTGATTTTTTTATGGTTGTGGGTCACATTTTTCATGCTTCTCCATATGTCCAGTGATGTTTTAATGGAAACTGGACATTGTAACATCACATTGCTGCAAGTATCTCTCTCTCTCTCTCTCTCTCTATTTATATATATGATAAGAGAGAGAGAATATATATATAAATATATATAACACAATATATATTTATATACTATATTAGCATATATATTACTGAATAATATAGTATATATTAGCATAATATATTTATGTATTATACTAGCATATATTATATTACTTAAAATATATAAATATATATACAATATGTCTCTTTGGGGTTTTATTTTTCTTTAAGTAGTATTAAATTTTCTTTTGGCAGTAAGTTATTTATATGTGAGCTCCATATTTTTAAAGCTTATTTTAAAACTTGTTAGGATGGGTTTAGGCCAACCTTTATTCTACAAGCAGTTTAGCTTTATTAGTAAGACTGGAGTGTCTTGGGTGTCTCCTGAATATTCTGGGTGTTTCAAGAGTATACTCCACACTAGCTGGATGAATCTCAAAGGTGTCTCACTCCTGTGTGAGCTCTGGGAATTATTCTGCACAGAGCTCCATGCTTTTTGTTGTTTTTCTTCAGAAGTTGTTTTTTATTGCCTAGTCTTGTGGATTCTCACAGTGTGCTCATGTTATTCAGGCAAAGACCAGAGAGGATTCCATGCAGATTTGGGGAATGTTTTTATCTGCATAGATTGCTTCTCTAGCAACCTGCACCACACATTCCAGTCTCTCCATCTTCCCTGAACTCCAAACTCTGTATCCTCAGCTCAGTGAGAAAGCTATGCTCCTTCTCCCAGTATTGTGGCCTGGAAGGAAGGAAGGTGAGGCAATTACAAGGGTCACCTCATTCGTTTATTTTCTCTCAGGGATAGTAATCCTGTACTGCCATTTCTAAGATCTGGTAACAATCCTTTTCTATACTCTGCCCTGTTTTCTAGTTGTTTACAGTAAGAAAGCAAATCTGATATCAGTTATTCCATTATGGCTGAAAGAGGAATCCAATAATTTTATTGTAAATTAATTATTAGTAGATAACAATAGTTTAAACAAGACTGAGTATGAATGAATTGATATAAAACTACATTGACTAAAGCTTTATGTTTATGTTTTTTAAAAAGCAAATTTCAATGTGCACAGCTTGCGCATTTTCTTTTCTAGGTTCTCAGTTGGATTGTGAGAATTTTTATGCTTTTACCATCTTTTCCTGCATATATGTCATCAAAGTGTCCTGATACTTGGTTTTGCAAGGCAGATCTGTGGATTTCTGCAGATATTTCAACCATATCAATGAGTACTATTTCATGCTCAGATCAACTGTGCATACATACAATGAAAATTTACTAGTCTATATTTTTCTCTCAGTCCAACCATCCCAGGAGATTGATGAAAAATGAAATAAATCCTGTTGGTATTTTTACAACTCTTAGGGGCAAAAACCATTACACTTTCAAAGAAGAGAGGAAGTGTATTTTAGTGGTCAAGGGACCAGAAGAGATAGAGGTACCCCAAGGTTTGGGGTACCTCTCACAGGTCTCACAGGACACAAATGTCCTGGCTGCATAGTGTTCCTGGGCACGGCTGTAGCTGAATGCTTGTATGTCAAAGGGGAGTTCCCTAGCAATGGAACAAAACTGATGATTTAAAGAGAAGGCCCTGAAAGGAGGTCATGTGTCTGAAAATCTGGAACCACTTGTCAATCTCACTCCTACTTTGAACGGGAGTCTTCCTTGTACGGAAAGTACTTTTCTATTATCTTTGAGCATTCAATAGGGGCTCAATACATGCTTGTTAAATAATCATTGTGAAAGGTGAGCACACTCCCTTGCAAACATCTCCCACTCCAGTGCACACTCTTCCTTTTAGGTTTGAATTTGTTTGTTTTTTCTCACCAAACAAACACAGAGGCCTTTTTATGAAAGGATCGTTTTCTAAAAATTACCCAGGAATCAAATGTGAAATGGATACTTTCTTTGGTAAACTAACATTTTACAATGTTATAGGGACATTGTTTTATTTATTTATTTATTTATTTATTTATTTATTTATTTATTTATTTATGACAGAGTCTCCTTCTGTCACCCAGGCTGGAGTGCAGTGGCATGATCTCAGCTCACTGCAGCCTCCACCCTTTCAGGTTCAAGCAATTCTCATGCCTCAGCCTCCCAAGTAGTTGGGACTACAGGCATGCGCCACCATGACTGGCTAATTTTTTTTGTATATTTATTAGAGACAGGGTTTCGCCATGTTGGCCAGCCTGGTCTCCAACTCCTGAGCTCAGGCAATCCACCTGCCTCTGCCTCCCAATGGTGTTCTTTATAATCCAAAGTCAAACTGCTATCTCTGTAATCTATCACCTGGACTGAAGAAGAACCGAAGGGGCACTGTGCAGCATTAGCACCCGTGTCCAAGTCTGCTGTAGGTACATCAAAGATGCCCGTGCAGGCAGTTTAGATGCAAGGTCGGGATCACTATCTTTTCTGTCATTCTCCAGAGGTGGGGGTTGGGGAACCAGTCAGTTACAAAGCACTTCAGAACTCCTGGGAGATATCAATAAAATGAGGCTTCTATATATATAATAGAATAATATAGCTCCCAGTAGTGTTTTTTTGAGAGACAATAACCCATTTAATATTTTGAAATGGCTTGCCCAGACAGCACTCGTTGGAACATCTTTTGCTTTTCCTGACCTCCGTCTCAAAGGTCTTCTAGCTTTGAAAAAAATCCACAATTCTCTGGACTTCGTGAGGAAAGCAGCTAAGATGTCTCATTGTTGCAAATGGGATTTTTTCAGAATTTCAGATTGCTGGTGTCAAAAACATAACCAAACAAAAAATGTCTTAAACTTGTTCTTCACTCATGTTCTCTTATCCCATGCTTCCCTTACACATTAAGAGCATGAATGTAGATCCAATTAGACTGGGCTATTTCTTAACCTATATTCTTGTCCTTGGAAATAGGAACATGTACCATGACTACTACTGATAATGGCCTGCTTTAACAAATACTTCACAGTTATCTGATGCATACTCAGAAATTACTTGAGCAACATAAATTAAATCAAGTAGGAATGTGTGATTACGTAGAATATAGTTTTAATTAGAAGGCCTGGGTCAAACCCCTGGAATTAGTAGTTCCTTAGTCATTGAAGGTGGTGCCATAGATTATCTAATCATGATCTCTTTATATAATGGGTGGAATATTTCTCACTTTACTTACTTCATAGGATTAATAAAAAGATTAATAAAATTGTGTATAGCATGCATGTATCTCTCTATGTATGTGTGTGTTTGTATCCTCTATTCACATTAGCTAGGCAACTGTTTCCAATTTCTCCAGGAATTTTATAAAAGCAATTTTTATGTAAGTAATTTATTGGTAGTGAAGTAGACAAGAGTAATCACAGTGATGATGATGATGATGATGAATAACAACCATTTTCCTGGTACCCCTTTAAACCCTTTGCATACATTATCTCCTTTAATCTTAGCATTTGTTCAGTTGAGGAAACTGAAACTAAAAGATCGCTTTGCCCCAGTCACACAGCCAGGAAGCCCAGCAGAGATTCACACTCGGGTCTGACTGGGGTCCACGTCTGTGTTCTGTATACTACTGTGCCCCTCTTGCTCCCTGCCTGGTAGAGCCAAAAGAGTCAGCAAGAAAATAAGAAAAAGTAGTTTGAGACATATTTGAAAATAAATTCACAATACAAAAAGGATCTCTTGCCCAATCATTAAAGAATAATAAATCAATAATAAATTATGCAAGTAACATCTGCCAATATAAATATGCAGTGTGACTAGAAACCAATAACAAAAAGTAAAATCTACCTGATTGGAGACAAGAATCCTTTTAAAAATAAATCTTGAGTCAAAGGAAATATACAAATCAAAATTATAGAATTTCTACAAAAAAAGCTTATAGAAACCATGTTAACATTTTTAAAAGAAAGAAAATAAAAGCAATAAACATACAATTCAAAAGTTAAGAAAACACACAAAGACACTAAAAAGTCAAAATAAGGAAAGAGGGAGAAATACAAGTGGAAAAATCAGTAAAGTAGGAAAAAAAAAAAAACAGAAAAAAAATGCCCAGGTCATTTATTGTTCACAGTTTTAAACCCAGGATGTATGTATCTGATATGCAGTAGCAGGGGCTTTTGAGGGCCCTGGCCACTTAAATAGTAGCATGCTCTCTTCAGGGTAAATTGGATGGGAGAAGGCATGAAAGGCAAATGCATCCCCACCCTTCTCCAAACTCCACTCCAAGCGGCAAGCAGAGCCTGAATGGTGTCACTGAACATGCATCCTTACTGGCCCTGGGGGCAAAAGATCACAAGATTTTGGAGGAAAGTTAGAATAATTATAACGCCCAGGGTATAGAAAACTGTAACTATTCGAACAAGTCAGCAAATAAAAATGTTGTCTGGACTATAGCATGGTTAAAACTGGTAATAGAGAGTTAACCTCAGAGGCAACCATAGAATACATAAAATAGCTTCAATTGATGGTCTCATTAAATGAAAACTTCCAAGCTAATGATCAAGACAAAAATTAATGAATTTTTCAATTGCTTTACTTAAGAAGAAATTAAGTGCGAGGCATGAAATTGTACAAGTGACCTTTTCTTGTCATGAGTTTTGGAATAATGCTTGTAAAAATCTGACTTTATGTTAGATTTCAAATTAATTTTACATGTAAATTAAATTTTATAGGGAAAGAAAGTTTCCTTTTTTACTTGTGCAGTTTTAAAAAGACTAAATTTTGAAGTGAGTTTCAAGGACAATGGTAAAATCCTCAAGACAAAGGCCTTGCTAAAGCATGTTCTTTGGACTAAAACAAATGAAACAATTTTATTTTCTTGCTGGAAAAAAATGTTCTGAGCATTTGGTTTGGTTTTAAATATCTTATTAGAAAACAGTGCAGGGTCTTGCGCTATAAGAATATATAGATTTTCACTATCAAATGAAATCATTTTTAAATTTACAATAATCTTTCTGATTCTGATATGTGTTTATTGAATACATATTATAAAAAGTTAATAGCTTATCATAAATGTGATCTCTTTTCTCTCTCTATATATGTGTGTGTGTGTGCATGTGTGTATACACACATACACACATAGACACATATATATGAAAATTTTTAATTCATACATATATACTGTGATATACATATTCTAATGTAATAGTACCTGGTCATAAATATCACCCCAAGTGCTTATGAATTATACATATCTGATTAGTATGAACTTATACCTAATCACAAGTACTTAGAAATATAATATTATCTACTTTTTGAAAGTCACAGACCTTACTTTAGAGCTGTTCTATATACACTGTAAACTTTAAAAATCAGAAAAATAGACATTAACTTGTTGATATGATTCTAGTTGTGCTTCAACTCTCTTTTCTCATCAAAACTATGTCCTGAACTTAGGTATCACAGCAACTGAAATTAAATGAATGGGTAGAGCATTGCAATTCTCTGGCTAGAGTTTCTTTAAAATGAAATTGCTTTGGAGAAGGATTAGCTCATTGATTTATTAGGACCTTGTTAGGAATTATTTATGTGTCAGAGGCTTTCTATTAAACTAGACAACTTGAGGCTACAAAGAGACACTGCCAAGGGTCTATGGAAAAGGATTTGGTGTGAGACACACCCTTACCCATACCATGGGCAGGCCCAGGCATGGTGATGCTTTGCTTGTTAGAATGCTGGCCCTGAGAGGGTAGACAAAAAAATGCCAATAAGCCATGTCACTGTGGGTGACTTGAAATCCTCAATATCATCTCTCTTATTTCTCTCCAGATGATCTAAAACAGGGATCACTAACTCAAATATTTAGAGGGGACCCCAGGTGACATTCATGAGAGAAGCAGGCCCAATAAGTCTATGACAAACTTGAGAGTGTGCCCAGCTCTACTTCAGATGAGTAGCACCATGCCTTTAGGGTTTAAAAAAATAACTGGAATGTTGTATCTAATGTGAAATTTCCCAAATTTAAAATGTTGGCACTATATTTGTATTAATCGCATAGGTCATCAAAACTACATCATTAGGCTAGAGCTGATTTTTGGTTTCAATGTACTATGCTTTTAAAGTGTTTGGTCCTAGGTCTTATTATATGAATAAAGAGAGTGGGGAAGATTAGCTAGTACAGTGGTGAGGGTGTTGTTTATTATTTCTTCATTCATTATAAATTTAAAAGAGGACCTACTATATTCTAAGCCCGGTTCTACTCATTGTGGATAAAGTGGTGAGCAAGTCCCTGCCTTTATAGAATTTACATTCTTGTGAGTAGGAGTGGGTGAGACTGCTGTAAAATGGATAAGGAAAGATGAGAAAGAAATGGCATGAAACGTGCAGGTCCATAGAATTTTTGAGTAGTATGAGAGTTTGTTCCTTCTTATTTCACAGACATGGAAAATGACTCCCATAGAGATTAGTGGATTGCTCAGGATATAGTAAGTTACTGGGAGAATCCAGGCAAGAACCCAGGGCTGTGTTTGTGGTTGTGCAAACTATGCAATTACACGGGGCCCCACGCTTGGTTTAATGCTCTGCTGTCACTGTTAGAAATTCCTAATTATCTTTGAACTTGTGATTTGTAGTAGAAGTGCAATGCAATGATGAAGCTCGTGCTGTTCCTTGCCACTTCATGTGCACAGAGCGTGCGGTGGCTCTGAGCACAGAATTCTGGTAACCACAATGCATGGAGTTCAAGGAGACTCCAAGTGATTGCAAGGTAAACCTGTTATGTTCATTCTGAGCGATTGGGAGGGGCGGGGGGGCGGGGGGTGGGCTTCTGACAGCCTCAAGAAAAGCTACACTTTCCATTCCAAGGGGAACTTGCTTAGAACACAGAGAGAAGACTATGGTGTTCCAAGAAACTCAAACCACCGAGGAACCCTATTGTGTCCTTTCTTACATGTGTTACTCACTTGCAGTAGTCAGCCACTTATGCTGAACATGCTGACATGGAAGGAAAGGGAAAGACAGGGCAACCAATAGTTCTTTTTCCTTTCAATCTTTCCTTAGCCATCAGTAACCCCAAAGGTAGGGAGAGTTTGTGGAATGTGTGTGCATCAAGAATTGAAATAAACACATTCAAGTTTGTTCTGTGCAGTGTTTCCACTGTTCTGATAAGAACAAAATAAATACGCATGTAAAAACTATGAAATATGAGGTGTTTGATTTTAGTGATTCTGCATACACATCAAATACTCTTACATTGGCATTTAAAACTCATAGCACAATATAAAGCTAAATGGTAAAATTCACTCATAATTTAACTTCTGTTTTGTTTTGTTTTTTGGAGATGGAGTCTCATTCTGTCACCCAGACTCTAGTGCAGTGGCATGATCTTGGCTCACTGCAACCTCTGCCTCCCAGGTTCAAGCAGTTCTCCTGCCTCAGCCTCCCGAGTAGCTGGGACTACAGGCACACACCGCCATGCCTGGCTAAAATTTTTGTATTTTTAGTAGAGACGGGGTTTCACCATGTTGCCCAGGCTGATCTTGAACTCCTGAGCTCCCAAAGTGCTAGGATTACAGGTGTGAGCTACTGAACCCAGCCAATTAAAAATTTTAATTTTAATTTACTTAGAACCACATTAAACAACATTAAATATAATTTAAAACCCCATGATGAAGAAGGAAGGAAACTTTATATTATTTTAGTGCCTTCAATGACTCTTTTCCTGCTTTTTACCAATGAACCCTGCATTTTCATTTTGCACCAGCCGTGCAAACTACGTAGCTATACCTGCTGAACCCAGGTTAGAATACATTCTCTTCACTTGCAAGTCACAATGCCTCCCTGAGCTCTGGTTTGATGCCAGAATTGAGTGGTGATGATTATTAGCCTACAACAAGGAAACAATGAAGCCTTGTTTAAATAGTTTTCACTTTATCTAAGTTGTCATAATCATAATTTCATAGTAAGTATTAATACACCCAAACTTGCCCATCTTTCGTCTGTTCTGGTTTTTAATTAATTTATCTCATAGCCCTGCTCATGAGACAAAATGAGGTAGTGTACAAGCAACTCATAAGACAGTTTATGTTAATTACTGCTGTTTTGGCTTGATTGTTGAAACGTGGTTATCTGCTGTTGAAATAAAAGAGCAGTTCTTTGTCTCAGCTGGAAACAAATGATTAGGATATAGGATGCCTTTTCCAAAGAGAGGAGCTTTTCAAAGAGCACATTGTCATTATTTTGGGAGAATCATTCTGAAGAGACAATATTTGCTCTTTTTTCTTTTCACTTTCAATGCTATTAACATAAATTTGAAAAGATTTTGATAGGCATTCACATCTCCTATGAGGTAGCATATGAACCTGGATACAATTTAGTTTCCAGAACAGTTTGGAGCATTAGCCTTGTGTATCAGCTTGTTAGGGCTGCCACAATAAAGCACATACCAAAAACTTAGTGACAGTCTTAAACAACAGAAATTTTTTCTCTTAGTTCTGGAGGCTGGAAGTCTGAGGCCAAGGTGTCAGTAGGGTTGGTTCCTTCTGAGGGCTGGGTGGGGAATCTGTCCCATGCCTATCCCTTACTTTTAGTGGTTTGCTGGCAATCTTTGGCATTCTTTGTTACGAACAAGCCTTACCCTGATCTCTGCCTTCATCCTCACATAGCATTCTCCCTGAACACGTGTCTGTGCCCCCAACATCCCCTTTTTATAAGAAACATCCCCTTTTTATATAACCTGTCATATAAGGTTAGGGTCGAACCTAATAAGCTTGTTTTAACTTGTTTACCTCTGTAAAAACCTTATCTCCAAATAAGGTCACATTCTCCGGTACAGGAATTAGGACTTTAATATATCTTTTGAGGGGATACAAGTTCTTGGAAATATTAAACTTGGCCAGGATAAGGAATCAAAATCTTCCAGTCTCCATCTGTCTCTCTGGCTTACTATTGAATTCTTCAGTGGAGGCCAGCCTGTAGAGGCCTCATGAGGCTGACACTGAAGTTCTCCTGGTGACAAAGATTAGAGAAAGTTGTGTCCTTCTACTCCAAGACATTGGTCGCCTGAACAGAAGGTCATGCCCCTTTCATCCCACCACACCGTAGTTTCAGACACATGTGTATGTGTGTATGTGTGTGTATTCAAAAGGAGTCAGAAGGACTTGGAAATGTTGCAGCAACTTCTCCCCAGAGTACAGTAGACTTGTGTGGACACCAAATACCACTCCTATCACATGGTTTGATTAGGTTATCTGACAGACCATGTAACAGTCCCTGAAACTTGGAGGGCATTCAGGAGTTTTTTGTTAAATAAATAAAACTAATGAGAGGGAGCTCTGTTTCTTACATACTTTCTCCAACTTTTTACTTCCTTATCTTTTTTCACTGGAGTCTAGACCATGAGTAGAGGGTGGGGATGTATTTATATGTTTAGTTCCTGGTCCACTGTCAGTGGGGTCTACCATTATCCCCATCCCTTGTACTCACAACTCACATGCTTTCCATAAAGAAGGTTGATGCTTGCAGTGCACAGCCAAGTTTACTTGATATAGACCGTCTAGCTTTTTCCTACCCTTAGAAATTGCTTGGACTTAGAGCAATGATTATGCAAGTGTGTGTCTGTGATCTACCTGTGACTGAGGTTGACAATCTCCTTTCTATCTCACTATTTTGCTGCCTAAGCCTTTTTGCTGACTTTGGGTGGCAGGACAGGTTCTTCACCAAACCCCACTTTTAGACATCTATTCCAAATTGAAGAATGAAGTCAGCATGTTATTTTTCAACTTAGTTTGACTTCATGAATGGGAAATAGTTTGAAGGCTTTTTATATGCTAATCTTAGTCTAAATTGAAAAACTGTTCACAAGTTTTATTCATTTACTCATTCATTTACATGTATGTATTTGCATATTCTCTTCACTATATCCATTTAAACACAAATATATTTATACTTCTTATAAGTGAAGATTAGACACCAAGATGAAGAAGGCAAAATACAGTTTCCTAGGTTCGGGGAACATCCAGGCAAAAATATTTTTCAGGATGTTGCAAGTATGGGTCTGGAGTTCAGGAAAGATATTTGAGACTCAATTCTCTCAAGATGATGGCTTGACTCTTGATATTAAATGAGATTACCAGGGAGAGAGTGAAGACAGAAGAGCAAAGAAAAGGGACAAGAGATAAATCATTATGTTAGGCCAAAAGAGACAAAATTATTCAACTTATTCCTGATTTGGTACTTTGATGTCCCTTTCTGGAATTTAAACAAGCTTGACTTAGTGTTAAAATTAAACCACAGTCCTATCTCTTATAAATTTTGTAAGTTTGTAAATCCCTGAGAAACTTCTACTCACCATGACTGACATCCTCATAGCCTAAGCTGGTTATGTCTTGAGAGCCAGGGCTAAAAATAAAGGCTAAAACTTATGTAGTACTTTGTCTTGTACTAGACATTAAACTGAACAATATTTACATGTGTAATATCATTTAATCTTCAAACTAATGCTATAAATCTATCAATTATCTCCATTTTACATATAAATACCAGGAATGATGAGGTTAATTTGTCTAACATTAAATAACTGAAAACTGGCAGAGTGCAGGTTCACACCCTCAGCATCTCATGTGAGAACGTGTGCTCTTAACTATTGCTCAGAATGGCCTCCCATGCCTGTGTCCTGAAGGTTAAGGCAGAGTCTCATTCACTTTTCTAATCTCCTGCTCAGACATTATAGAAACCAATGAAAAATAGTTATTATTCAATAACTATTATACAATGGCACAGACTTTAATTTGAAAGGGTTAAAGTGAAGATTTTTTAATATAAAAAGGAGGATAGGCCGGGTGTGGTGGCTCATGCCTGTAATCCTAGCACTTTGGGAGGTCGAGGCGGGCGGATCACGAGGTCAGCTGATCGAGACCATCCTGGCTAACACGGTGAAAACCCGTCTCTACTAAAAATACAAAAAACTAGCCGGGCGTGGTGGCGGGCGCCTGTAGTCCCAGCTACTCCGGAGGCTGAGGCAGGAGAATGGCGTGAACCTGGGAGGCGGAGCTTGCAGTGAGCCGAGATCGCGCCATTGCACTCCAGCCTGGGCGACAGAGCGAGACTCCGTCTCAAAAAAAAAAAAAAGGAGGACAACAAAGTAAGCACAGACCCCTGGGTAAACTAGCATTCAGGTCTTAAGAAAAGTCAGGTGAAATAACCTAGTAAGTCAGTAAGTTAGGGCTGTGAAAAGGTGCTCAGATTGTCTTTTCCTTTTCGTATTAATAACAGCTATCCCAGACCTTTACCTCATCAAAGGTCACAACTCCATCCCTGTCCCCATCACCCTTACAACTCCATCCCTGTCCCCATCACCCTTACCGTGAACCCACAGCAGGGGAAATCACAGAGTCATTCATGGGAAATGCAGGCTGCCAGTGTATGATGTTTTCAGCTTTCCCCATACTCACCTTCCTTAGGGCTTATCTAGATGGTTATCCATCCTTCTGACCTTCCTATTTTAACATGTTATTTATTTATTTATTTATTTATTTGAGACAGGGTTACACTGTGTCACCCAGGCTGGAGTGCAGCAGCATGAACACTGCAGCTTCAACCTTCTGGGCTCAAGTGATTCTCCCCGCTTAGCCTCCCCAGTGGCTGGTACCACAGGCGTGTGTCACCACACCCAGCTAAGTTTTTTATTTTTTGTAGAGACAGGGTCTTGCCATGTTGCTCAGGCTGGTCTCGAACTCCTGGGCTCAAGTGATCCTCCTGCCTTGGCCTCTCAAAGTGCTAAGACTACAGGCATGAGCCATCAAACTCTGCCAGGTTTCCCACTTTTTTCCAAGGAAGAAATGTACCTGTCCATTTCCAAGGCTTACCCTTAATACAAATTGCATATAAGACTATGATAATTCTTCTGAGTTAAGATGATAAAAACAATCAGAAAGTGTCAGTTCAATGGAAGTTCAAGAGGAAATTCAGTGACTTTGTTGAAGGAATCATATTCATGTCTATGTTCTCAACACAGAGTCTGGCATACAATATATCTCCCAAGAGTGCTTTCTGAGACAAACCGGAGTAAGATGGAGGACATATTTCTAGCTGAGAGTATTACCTAGAGAGGACAGTCGGGTAATACTGCCAGAAACTCCAGGCAGTTCAAAGAACACTAAGGACCCAAAGCTTCAAAGGGGAAGGAGAGAGAAAAGCACTGATTCTTAGTGCTTTCTTCTTGAAGTTCCATGTTTGGAAGGTTCTGAGATCTGTGTCTCCATGGATGCTGACAGCTAGCCTCTGTTCTTGTTCACATTTAGTTTTGGGGGTGTCCTTAGAAATTCTAAGATGTCGTCATCCTTATGGTAAAAGGCAAGGTAAAAAGATAATTAATGCATCTTAATCATTTCAAGCATCTCATAAGAGCTCTTCATTATTCAAACTTGCATCAATATTTGATACTTTTGACATATATATCAGCACTTTGAAATACTTCTCTGCACGTATTGGGAAAGTAGTGAGCAATGACAGTTTGTTGAATGAATTAAAGAAAAAATGTGTTCCTGAGGGATAAACTAAGACCAAAGACCATTATTCTGTAGTATAACCAACGGAGTCATATAATTTGATTTTTTCAGCACCCAGGATGCAGACACAAGGAAAAAGTGGTGGTTCGCTTGACCCAAAATTGGAGATTTGTCAGGTTAAGTGGGGTGGGACATATGAGACTGCTGATGAGAAGGCAGAGGAAAAGGTGAGTCTATGCAAAATAGAGAGTTAAGCATGAAAAGAGCCCACATGAAAGAATCTGGGGACTGAAGATGGGCACTATCCCAGGGAAGATGTGGTGAGAAAACGGGGTGGACTGGAGACGAGGATTTGAAAGTCCTCGTCTCAGAATTAATTATACTAAAGTGGAAGACTTCAGAATATTGATGAAGGGAAAAGATAGCTATGCATTGTTTGGTGAAATGGAATTATGAAAGTCAGTTGTAAGATTCTTTTTGAATGCTCCTTGAGGTTCTTGTCTTCATCATACAGTTAAACAGTTAAAGTAGCCTAGGGAGACATGCCTCCTGACTAGCCCATTTCAAGTTATCCTACACAGTATTTCTAAAAGCAAGAAAGAAGAGAGGCTGATCAAGTCTCAGTATTCATATTCTCTTATGAGAACATGTCCATTTGTGCTGCGCTGTAAACTGACTATTCTCGGCTAGCCCAGCCTGCTTAGCAGTCCGGATCTGTTCTCTCTGGACTATGCCAGTTTTGGAAGATACCCACCGGACTGTGCTTTTGGAATCTGGGACGTCTTTGGTTCTTCTCTCAACTCTTAGATGCTAAATTTAATCTCTATTTAGAAACCACCTACTTCCCTCTCTACATTTTGGCCTTAACTCTTCTTTCTTAACTCTGGGTACCTTTGCTCCCTTCCCTACAGTAGATGAATTCATAGCTATGGTCTCCTGTCTTTACAGAACTTTATTGTCCATCAGACTCGTTTGGCTTAGCTACACATTAGGCCTGCCTTTCTTTGAGTTTATTGCATTTAGTTGTTTTCCAAGACCTTATTCAGTATCTCCCAGGGATCCATACCTAAAAGTACCTGCTCTTTAATTCTTACTTGGTAAGGTCTAAGAAATGAGACCACACTTCAAGTATTTGATCTCATCTTAATTTACCTGAGATAGGCCCAAGGGGCAGTGTGTGTCTATAATTATGACAATGACAGTACCACTCAAAAAGTAGGGTGGATGTTTTAGGGCAGAAATCTCTTTCCCTGTGTCCTTAAATCAGAATAGATGGAAACACTATGGGTTAGAGAATAAGCCATTGAGGCTTCTTCCTTAGCTATTTCAGGGCAAGACTAGACTAGCCTAGACAAAGAATTAGTCTGGCAGATAATATTCCTTATAAAATACAGTAGCATAGAATGTCTAATAAGGAAGTTCATGGATGATTTCTCTTCCTTGAAAATTGCAGCTTTAATCTTGTTGACCTTTCTTGGAATACGAGGGCAAAACATATCCGGCACTGAGAAATCTCCTGTCATCATTTTAATGTGCGCTCTCCCCTCCTAATAGAATGCTTGTGTGTATCATAATGGGGAGCAAAAGGGCTCTGCTGCCGGAGAGAAACTGACACCCCAGCAGGCACTCAGGAACCCAGCATTAGCGGGTCTTATCTGTGTTTTAAGAGACAGCTGGTCTAGTGAAGTGGGAAGCATTTTGTTCTCTAAGCAAAAAGCTTCAGGGAAGGGAAGTTTGGGAAACTGTGAGGTTACTTTGCACATTCAAAATTAGTTGCTTTTATTTTCACAGAAATTAATTTTTTTATTCTGTCGTGTGTTTTGAAGATGTCTTTTTCTAAGACCTTTGTTTTGGGGTTTGTTGTTTCTAAGTATTCATCTAAAATTGTTCTTATTCTGAACCAAGTAAACATCTTCAATTCTTCAGCTTTTCCTATTTTTTGATGAGTGGGGGGAATGCTGCAGATTAATGCATTTGATTACATTTAACACCAATTTTTCTTCATGCAAACACATTACTGAAAACTGGTTTGCAAGGATGAAACTCAACTCTTAGGCCTCATACACCAGAAAAATACAATGTCCTCTGATGTGGAGCCTGGGCAAAGGTAGCTGCCCATTCATACAAGCTAGAAATGAGGTTTCTCTTGACCTCCTCTCATCCTTTATCCTCTGCATCTAATTCATAACACACAATCCTCAATTTGACAAGAGCTGTAGCACTACATAGATGTATTGTTTCTCTGGATCAACTTTAATCAAAGTGTTTTTGGCAAAATACTAGCTTCTACAGATGCTCTAAAATATTCTCCACATAGTTAACTTGAGAAACATAATTGGGAAATTAATTCCAGGCAAATTAGTTTGATAGTATGGGAAATAATGACTTTTTAAAAATTCACAATAAACATTAGTGAATTAAAGGCTCTGAAGAGTCCCACAACAATTAACTCTCTTGGACTTTTTTTTTTTTTGCTTTTTTTTAAATCAGACAATGGCATGAATAATTGTTTTGTGTGTGTGTGTGTGTGTTTTCTTCTCTAACAGCCAGTGTGCCTATTCCCTAAGTATTAACTAAATGAGTAAAGATTAAGTTCACCTCACACTTTTAGTAGGTTTACTCTCTTGAACATTTTTAGCCCAGAGTCTCTCAAACTTATTTGAAGAGGAAATCCCTTTTATTTTCTTTTGCATAATGCCTATTCATTTTGGATAAAACTCAACTTTTAGACAGCTATGGGACCTAGGCAATTATTTGAATCTCTGTAGAACTGGCTTTATTGAGGTGCACTTTGGCTTTAGTTCATCTGCCTACACTGAGGGGCATACTGAGATGTTGTCCTGGAAGCTCTAATTATTAAATTAATTGAAGGACTGATATTGAGGAAGTGTTCACTACAGACCACTTTTCTCTTCATGAAGACTCAGGGAGAAATTTTTGCTGAGTGTCAGTATCAAGAAAACTGTGATTCTTTTGGGTAACAAGTATGTTTTTATTTTATAGACACTTTAACATTTTATGAATACTATACATTATGTCCTCTGTGTCAGCAGATAGAAGAGTCAGATTTTAAGTCACCTGACCTGAGAATCCCAGCATGCAATTTATTTGCTAACCTCTTTCCTGGCTTAATTGTTCTCAAACACTTTATTTCGCCATCGTCACACCTATTTAATTAATATAAAGTTTCCTATTCCAGTGTATGCATTTTATAAATTGGAGTACATTCCTATTATAACAGAGAGGGTATAAATACATCATGTTTAAAATTTCCCTTCAACATTTAAATAAATGAATGAGATAATGAGGTGATTAAGCTCTTACATAATTCTCTTACACCACACACTATACTAGCTGCTTTGAGGAATATCAATTCAGAAAAACACTGATATTAAAAGCTTTATAGTTTTATCTTTTACATTTAATACTATGATCCATTTCCAATTAATTTGTACATGTAGCATTAAATAGGGATACCTTATCTTTTTCCATATAGATATCCAGTACTCCAGTACAGTCTGTTGAAAAGATTTTCTTCACCATTTAATTGCACTGGCAGCTGGAGTGGGCTGAACGGTGACCCCCCCCAAAGTTATCAGATCCTATTCTATGGAAACTCTACCTTCTTGGTAAAGTTTTCACAGGTGTGATTAAGTTAAGGATCTTGAGATGAGGAGATTGTTCTGCATTATCTGGGTGGATCCTAAATGCCATCATAAATGTTCTTCTAAGATAGCGGCAGAGAAAGATTAGACACACTCAGACGGCAGAAGGAGGTGTGATGATGGGAGCAGAGGGAGTGATTTGAAGATGCTATATTGCTGACTTTGATGGTGGAAGGGACCATGAACCAAAGAATTGGCTTCAAGTATGGAAGAGGCAAGGAATGAATTCTCCCCTACAGAGCTGCAGAAGTGTCCCTGTCAACACCTCGCTATTAGCCTAGTGATACTAATATTGGACTTCTGGCCTCCAGAATTTTGAGAGGATTTAAAGAAACTAAAAAAAATCTTTGGCTATGGTATAAATCACATAGCAGGGAAAAAAATGAAGTTCAGCACAAAGGAAGTCCCCCCCCTCCAACCATCTCCACAGGGTGGGAAACAAAATACCCTCTGGAATTAGGGAGAAGTTTGGGGGGCAAGTTAGAGAAGACTAGACTAAGGGCAGAGACACTACTTGAGTTCCTTGGGAACTAGCATATGTCATTCCCTGGCTTTGCAGCATGATGGATGATGTGAGGCAATATAAACCTCAGACAATTGGAAAGCAGGTGTATTCTACATTCTATTTGGAAATATGAGAGTCCCAGAAACCAGCACAGTATGGCAATGGTCAAGTTGTCATGACCAGGGAAGACTTCTAGCAAGTGGGCTCAAGAGAAGATTCAGGGGAGTTTCAGGGAAAGCAGCTGATTGTTTCTGAGCACCTGAGGAGGCTGCAGGGAAGCACAGTGAGAACAGAGTGACTAAAGCCAGATAGGAGATAAAGAAGCTGCAGAAGGCAGGGAGCTGCCATCTGGAGGCAATGACTAAGTTCCTTGTCTTTAGTGACTGATGTTGACATAATGCGCAAAAGGCCAGTGAGGCCAGACCAACTTCAGTGGTATCAGCTGAGGATGCCCCGTGACATGGCAGGCTCATGCCTAGAAATTAGGAGGATAAGATCCCTCCAACTCAAGCCCATGGGGATTGCTTACTCTTCTCTGGTGCCAGAAGAGGGCAACACATGAATCTCTCTGGGAACTTAGATCAACCTAGGAGTTGACAATAGAGATAGGGAAAGGGAAGAAACCTCCAAAGACTGAAGATGCTCCCCAAAGTGGCTAAGAATTGGAAAGCAACTGAAATAATAATCTGATTTTAAAGGTCACTGATTGCTGTAGATTTATTAAAATTACTCTGTGGAGATTGGAGCTTTAGGAAAGAGTTGAATTTAGATACAAAAAAAAATAAAGAATAAAGTTATATTTAGGCAACTCAATTGTTAGTGCGTAAGTTTTGATCCTGCTATTATATATGCATGTGTATATATGTCATCACTAATTTCTATTACAACTATAAATAACTAGCTAACATTTCCATTTTATGGTTAACGAGTGTGAGGCTTAATGAGATAAGTAAATTGTCCATGTACACATCGTACATGGAGACAGACTTCAAATCTTCAAATCCTGGTCCACCCAACTCCAAAGTCTGTGCCTTTTCCATTGTTAACACATTGCCTCTGATGGAGAAACCACCATCAAAAACCTGTTAGCACCACAGAGAGTTCACTTCACTTTCCTCAGTTCTCCATCTGTAAAATAAAGGTCCTTCCCAGATCTAACATTTTATAATTCTATTATATGGTTTAGCAGAGAGAAGTGAGTAATTTATTTCTCTGTAAGGTACTTCGAGAGTCACCATCTTAATTATGTTAAAGTTGAAATATGAAACAGTTGAGAAATTGAACCAGAATTCGATGGAAAGTTTGGCACATGACATACTCATTTTCTTTTCTTGTTGGTAGAGTCTGAACAGGGAGTCAGAAAAGTCTTATCTAGCCACCAGCATTATTCAACTTGAAGGAATGTAAAGTAATTGAAGTGTTGTTTGTTGGTTGGTTTTGGCGGGGCAATGAAAAGAACTCTGCAATGTTTGTTTTGATCAAAGCAGGTGGTGAGAGCTAAATTTTACCATAATGAAAGTTGTTAGACCTCTAACAAGTACCAAAATCTCTTTGCAAATAACCTCTTATTATATAAAGTTTGGGTTGGAGACACCTGTTTCAAATATAATAAGAATCAAGATGGGAGAGAGAAAATAGAGTTTCTAAATGACTTTTCTTATTCTAGATTCTTCTGTAAGCATTGAGAAAAAGTATGTTCTTCAAATGACACAACTAGCTGCAGAGATCTATTTCTCATTGCTCTAAAAGCCCATAATTCCTAATTAAGCCTTTTCTGTACCCCTACTTATCTTTTCTATTTTAGCCTGCCTTTTATTTAAAGAAAAACGTGTCTAAAGGTCGTCATAAAAGGTTGAGAGTTTTGTCCTTCAGGACTTTAAGGATATTGCTCCACTGTCTTGCTTGCATTGTTCCTGATTAGAAAGCTGCCATCATCCTTATCTCTGTTTCTCCATATTAATCTGTCTTTTCTCTCTGGCTGCTTTTAAGATATTTTCATTATTACTGTTTTTTGGATATTATAGGCTGAAATTTGTTCCCCGAAAATTCATATGTTGAAACCCTAACCTCCAATGTGATGGAATTAGTGCCCTTTTTAAAAGAGGAAGAGACACCAGAACCTTCTCTCTGTGTGTGCATGCACCATGGAAAGGTTGTGTGAGGACATATAGCAAGAAGTTGGCCATCTGCAACCCAAGGAAAGAGTTCTCACTAGACACTGACCCTGCTAACATCTTGATCTTAAATTTCCAGTCTCCAGAACTGTAAGAAAACACCTTTTGATTATGTAAGTCACCCAGTTTATGGTATTTTGTTATGGCAGCCTGAGCAGACCAAGATGTTAGCAATCTGATTGTGCTATTGCTTGGTGTAATATCCTTTATGTTCTGTGTATTTGGAGTTCATTGAGATTCTCGGACATGTGCATTTATTGTTTTCTTCAAACATGAAATATTTTCAGCTATAATTTTTTCAAATATGTTTTCTTCCAGTCCCCTCATCTTTGAGAACTCCAATTACACATATGTTAGACTACTTTCACTTGCCCCATAGCTCACTAATGCTCTTCAACTTTTATTTCTATTTTCTGTTTCACTTTGTACATTTTGTTTTGTTATGTCTTCAAGTTTACAGACTTTTTTTTTTTGCGATGTCTAACCTACTGTTAATCCCACCCATTGTAGTTAGCATCTCTAGAAGTCTTTTAAAAAATATATTCTTGGTCAGATGCAGTGGCCCAGGCCTGTAATCCCAGCACTTTGGGAGGCCGAGGCACCATGGATCACCTGAGGTCAGGATTTCAAGACCAGCCTGACCAATATGGTGAAACCCTGTCTCTACTAAAAATACAAAAAATTAGCCAGGCTTGGTGGCATGCACCTGTAGTCCTAGCTACTGGAGAGGCTGAGACCGGGTAATTGCTTGAAGCCAGGAGGTGGAGGTTGCAGTGAGCCAAGATTGCACCACTGCACTCCAGCCTGGGCAACATAGCAAGACTCCATCTCAAAAAAAAAAAAAAAAATATATATATATATATATATATACACACACACACATATATACACACTTTGTCTCTATTTCACACGCTCAATTTTTCTCTTCCTTTTTGAATATAAGGAATATGCTATGGACTGAACGTGTACCCCCCAAAATTCACATGTTAAAGCCTTAAACCCTAATGTGGATTTATAGAATTTGGAGGTATGGCCTCTAAGAGGTTTGGACCTGGTAAGGGGAGGAAGAGTGACCTGACTGCTCTCTCTTTCTCATGCTCTGCCATGTGAGGACACAATGAGAAAGTAGCCATCTACAAACCAGGAAGAAGGCCCTCACCAGAACCTGATCATGCTGGAAACCAGCTTTCATAATTCCCAGCCTCCAGAACTATGAGAAGTGAATTTCTGTTGTTTAAGCCACCAAGTCTATGGCATTCTCTTATAGAAACCTTGACTGACTGAGACAAAATTCAATTATAATAATACTTTTAATTTCCTTGTCTACTAATTCTGTCATCTTTGAAATTTGAAATTTCTGAGTCTCATTCATTGATTTTTCACCCCTCCTCATAATGGGTCATATTTCTAGCTCCTTTGTATGCCTGATAATTTTTATTGGATGCCAGACATTGTGTATGTTATTTTGTTTGGTGATAGATATTTTTGAATTTCTATAAATATTCTTGAATTTTACTCCAAGACAAAGTGAAATTATTTGGTAATAGTTTTATTCTTTTGAGGATTACTTTTCAGCTTTATTATGTGAATCGGAGCAGCCTTGGTTTAGGGCTGATTTCTTCCCACTATGAGTTAATGCCTTCTGTGTTCTCTACTTAATGTCCTGTGAATTATGAGGTTTTTATTCACTTGCTAGAATGAACACAAACTATTCCCAACTCTGTGTAAGTTCCACAGATTGTTCCTTCTAATACTTTAGGGTGATTTTTCCCTCCCGTGCCTAGTCATTTTCTTACAGTACTCAGTCATAGATTCACCTGAGCTGCTCAGGGGATTTCTGGAATTCTCTTTCTATGCATTCTGTCTTCTCCCATGATCTTCCCCACAACCTCTTCTTTCCTGGTCCTCTCCAGGCTTTGAACTGAATGTTCTCAATTCACAGAGATTTCTAGCCTCCATTTGGGCTCCCTTTCCCTGCCCTATTATGACCTAGAAACTCTCCCAACTCTAAGCAGATGCCTTCATAAGTCTTACCTTGTCTATTTCTTCCCTCTCAGGACTTATATCCTGTACTGTATATATAATATCTAATATATAATGACCACTGTTTTATGTATTTTGTCAGGGTTTTTTTTGATCTTTCAGTCAGGAGGGTAAATCTGATTTCTGTTACTCCATCATGGCTGGAAGAGAAGTCAGTTTACTTCTATTTACACTTATCCTTGCTTCTCTCTTCACGTACCTTTCCTGGCTTCTGTCCTGGCCTAAACAAATTAAGATCAGTATTTTAGTCAGAGTTCTTTAAAGAAACAGAACCAGTAAGATAACTCCATCCATCCGTCTGTCTTCCTATCTATCTATCTATCATCTATCTATCTATCTATCTATCTATCTATCTATCTATCTATCTATCTAATCTATCTTTCTCTCTCATATATAAATATATGAGAAGGAATTTCTTTTGGGAACTGGTTGATGCAATTATGAAGACTAAGTCCCACTGTGTCATTCACAAGCTGGAGAACCAGGGAAGCTAGTGGCACAGCTCAGTCCGAGGCTGAAGGCCTGAGATTCTAGGGGACTGCTGATGTAACTCCAGTATTCAAGGCTAACGAATCTGGAGTCCTAATGTCCAAAGGGCAGGAGGTAAAGGGTATCCCAGCTGCAAAAGAGCATGCAAGAGAGAGAGAGAGCACACACAAATTCACCTTTCCTCTGCCCTTTTGTTCTATCGAGGCCCTCAATGAATTGAATGGTGTTTGCCCATATTGGGTGAAGGCAGATCTCTGTCCTTGGTCCACTGACATAAATGCCAATCTCTTCCAGAAACACTCCTACACACACATGCCAAACTTTTCCTTTACTAGCTATCAGGGTATCTCTTAATCCAATCAAGTTGTCACTTAAAATTAACCGTCACATTCAGTAACATTTAAGTTACGTTTGGTCCTATTTTCATGACTGCTGCTCTTAAATCACAGACATATATAACTCTGTCATTATTAGGCATTTCCATCACATGATTCTAGTGCTGCATTGTCCACTATGATAGCCACTGTGTTATAGTAAGGATGCGAACTTGAATCCTTTCCTCAAGAAACTAATAACTTACTAGAAGAGTAAAACAAATGCACAAATATCAAAACATGGTAGAATACAAAAGAGAGAAATGAAATTACAAGTCAAAAGAGGTAGATATTTTGTTTAACTTGGCAACAGGAGACCACTGCAGGTTGGAAAAGATTGAAAACCTCCCAGAAGAGGAGGGGCTATTGAATATTTGCATAGTGGCTAGTCCAAGCTGAGATGGCCTCTAAGTGTAAAATATACACTAGATTTCAAAGACTTAATAAAAAAAAAGTAAAATATCATTTTAATAATTTGTTATATTTACGGCATTTTGGATTGAATATATTTTGCGCATAATTTCATGTTACTCTTTTCCCTTTTGTTACTATTTTAAATGAATGTACTAGATAATTTAAAAATTATGTATGTAGCTAGCATTATGTTCCTATTGGATCGTGCTTTCCAGAACACTTTCAAAGTAATTTGGAAACATATACTCTTAATCCTAGGATAGTTGCTATGTCATTGGCATGTTAAGAACAGAAAATGTGTGACAATGAAATGGAGAGAAATCTAAATAGATGACTTAGGTTGTCATCCATTTCTCTAAGAAGATGCCCACAGTGACCTTTGCAAAACTTTGTCACTTTTCTCTGGGCTCCCATTGGATTCGTTGCCACTCACAGGGCAACTTCTTCCTAGTCCTGCATTTTCCTCTGTCTGTGTCAGCCTAAATATTCTTCCAAGATAGTGGTTCTCAAAGGGTAGTCTCTGCTCCAGCAGCATCAAAATTACTTGGGAATTTGCTAAATATGAAAAATCTAATGTATTTATGATTTGGAAACTCCCACAGGTGGAGCCCAGAAATCAGTTTTTCATGAGCACTCCCTTTAAGTTTGATGCATGTGAATTATTGAGAACCACTGCTCTAAGAGCTCATATTTAACATACTAAACACATCGTCTTCCAGGTCACCAACCTGCTCCTCTTCCTGATTTCCCTATTTCTATTCGTCTTTCTCCTCGTCACCAAGGTGCAAAACATCAGTGTCATCTTCACTTCATCCTTTCCTCTCAATGTTTACATTCAATAAGTCATCAACTCCTACTAGATTTACTTCCAAGTGCCTTAGCTTGGACTGAATACACCTCCTTTAGTGTTTCCAAATGTTTTTTCTCTCTTTTTGTGCTCATCCCTGCTATGTTCTGGCCAAGTTGAAATTACTTTTTTCTGTAATCCTCTTCCCAAAGAGCATTTTTCTACTTTTTCTGCAAAGTTCTAGCCACTGGTTAGAAAGTATTCCTCATTCTTGAGAATCTACCCCCTATCCAAATATTACTTGGATAAATATTACTTATTCTTAAAGGTAAGTTCCAAAGCCACTTCTGAGAGGTTTTCAATCTTTTCCAACCTGCAGTGGTCCCCTGTTTCCAAGTTGAACAAAATATCCATCTCTTTTGACTTTTAATTTCATTTCTATCTCTTTTATATTCTACCATTTTTTTTTATATTAGTGCACAAGTTCTACCCTTCTAGTAAATTATAAGTTTCTTGAGGGAAGGATTCGAGTCCAATTTATCTTATCTCCTAAGAAATGGGAAAGAGGGAACTAATATTTCTTATATATACTCTCACCCAGGGCTTTTATTCTTTCTCTTCTTGTGCCTCAAATATTCTTTCCCCAAATGACTCTTTTCCTCACTTTCTTTAAGTCTCTTCTCAAGTATCACCTCTTAGAGAAACCTTTCTTCTCTTCTTATCCTATTGCCTTACTTTATTTTTCTTCATACCACTTATTCCTACTGGACATATATATGCATATATAGGTATATATTTCAAATAGCTTGAATTAGAATTATTTATTGAATGAAAGAATAATGTGTTTAATTTCTAAGCTTTAATCGCTGCATCTTTAATGTATGGATGGTTAGACCTACATGTAGGAAGTTTGGAAGAATAAATGAGGTGATCGAAATTCATCACATAACACAGCATTTGAAACATTGCAGCATATGGTAACTGAAAACTATTATTATCATTAACATTATTATTCTATTAATACATATGGTTTTGGGGCTCCTGCCCTTTCTCCCTGATAGATTTTATGATATCTGAGTGCAATGACTTCGGCTAACTAATCTTTGTACATCAAAAAGAGGTATCTGGGCCAGGCATGGTGGCTCACAACTGTAATCCCAGCACTTTGGGAGGCTGAGGCAGGTGGATCCCCTGAGGTCAGGAGTTCAAGACCACCCTGACCAACATGATGAAACCCCGTCTTTACTAAAAATACAAAATTAGCCGAGTGTGGTGGCTCATGCCTATAATCCCAGCTACTCGGGAAGCTGAGGCAGGAGAATCGTTTGAACCCAGGAGGCAGAGGTGGCAGTGAGTCAAGATCTTGCCATTGCATTCCAGCCTGGGCAATAGGAGTGAAACTCCATTTCAAAAAAAAAAAAAAAAAAAAAAAGAGGAGGTATCCAGTAAATAATTGCTGAATGCATGACGACCTCAGCATATCATGCAGCCTATCTAGATTGTAGTTTCTTGATGTACAAACAGGGGAATTAAGAGTCTCCCAAGTCTTTTTGGGCAGCACTTTTTCACTAAACAACTTGTTAAAAACTCCATGGTCTGATAGTTTTGGGACAGAGGTTAGAATCCAAAGACTGTGCTTCTTTCAGTGGTATATTCTTTCCTACTTCAAATCTTTACAATATCCTCAGTGAGAGACAGACACAGGCTTCTTGGATTTGATGTTTACCAAAAGGCTTTAAATATCCTCTCCTTCTTTTCTATATAAAAATACATGTATATAATTTTCTCCACTTCCTCTTGATTAAACACAGTTCTTCTTTCTGCCTTTCTGGATTTTACCCCCAACATATTCTTATGATAAGTCAACCAACTTTTTATAAACCACTGAATCTTTGTGTCATTTGGTGTGGATTGCGCCTCACAGTGTTTCTGAGAATTTCCTGACAATCGAGGTTCATTACAGCTTTCTAAATTAGGTATCCTCCATGTGAGAGCATAAACAATTGTTCTCAGAGCTGGGCTAGCATTCTGTCTTTGCTGGATCTAAACGTCTGTGTGTTTCTTGAGCAAACATGTGCTCCTTTCTGCTGTAATTTTAGTGAACTTTTTGCCAGTTCCTGCAGATCTTACATTCTGTCTGGGTGACTAATGATATCTTCCCTTTTTTCTTGAGCCGTGCTATGATTTCATCACGTAAGTGGTAGCTTGGTTTCTCTCCTTGAATACTCAGAATGTTGCCTTTTATATGGATTGCCGCAAGCATCAGTAGAATGGGATCTGAGTTGTAATTTATTTGACCTGTCTGAGGATGGAAAAGCAAGGCACATTTCTGATGACAAGGAAGTTTTGTTTCTTGGAAAATGTTATTCTAAGACCAACTATAAACATTATCATCCCTTCAGAATAACATAAAGAGTCGGTGAGATAACCCCAAATGGCTATTTAAATCAGGCAAGTAATAGAAAACTAGTGAAGAAAGCTGAGAAGAGAATATGGTGAAAAAACACCTCAAAGGGCTAGCCACGTTTGAGTTAGACAATCTTTGGTATGCTGAACCACATGAACCCAGTATTGCCAACGCTTCTGATTTTTCAAGAGAAAGTAGAAATGTAGATTTTAATATGAATTTTTCTGATTTTCAAAGATTGACAATGAATTAAGCTGAAAACAGCATTATTTGAGTGCTGAACACATGTCTGTGGCCAAAGGCTATTAGTTTGTAATCTCTGGTCTGTATCTTCTAATAAATTTTTTTAGGTGAAGTTATTAATTAAATAGAATATTTAATTTAAATATTCTCTTTAAATTAGTTTAAATATTTAAACTATTAAAGTTTAAACTATTTAATTAGTTTAAATTAAATAGAATATTTCCATTTTCTGCTAAGTTTTCATGGAGAAATGCATCTCTCAGGATAAAATGTTCTCCAAAGATATTTCCATTTGTTTCAGAATCTAAAAGGCTTACGTCAGTTGCCTGTGACATTCAAGACAGTATGAGAGATGCAGAGCTAAGGCATCGTCTTCCCCTTTTTTCAAGGAACTCATTATTTAGTTAGGAGAAATAGACAGAATACTCTCCTCCCCATAAAGTGCTATTTCTTAAAAACATGGCAAATGAAAATGTCAGGAAACTATCTGTAAACATTATAAAAATTGTTTAGGAATTCATGGCTGGGCATGGTGGCTCATGCCTGTAATCTCAGCACTTTGGGAGGCCAAGGCAAGAGTTTTGCTTGAGTTCAGGAGTTTGAGACTAGCCTAAGGAACATGGCGAAACTCCATCTCTACAAAAAAAAAAAAACAAAAAAAAAACTTAGCTGAGTGTGGTGGTGTGTGCCTGTAGTCCCAGCTACTAAAGAAGCTGAGGTGGAAGGATCACTTGATCCCAGGAGGTCAAGGCTGCAGTAAGCTGAGATTACACCATTGCATTCCAGCCTGGGTGATAGAGTGAGACCCTGTCTCAAAAAAAAAAAAAAAAAAAAAATTCAAAGCAGAGTGGTGAGATAATGTAAGGCTGTGTTGATCAGCGTAGACATTATGAAGCAGAAAGCATGGATTTAGACATGGATAAAAGGACAGGAGAGAATTGCAGAGAGGGAGCAAAACTGCAAAGAAGGGATTGCGTGTGACACTATTTGTGAGTAAATGAGAGAACCAGTCTTTTGGTAGTTAAAAGTTTAATGTTGGGAGTAAAGTGGTAAAATTTGCATTCTAAATCTGGCACACACAAAAAAATACTTTTGAAAACAGGAAATATGAAACCAAAGAATTTGGGTTGTCTAGTCCTGGCTACAAAGAGGAACACATAACCTTTTTAGGCTATTGCTATCTAATATTAATACTTTAATCTGAATTAATTATTTTCCTTTAGACTTCGTGCTCAATAAGCAATTCTCTGATTCTCACTTGACATTATAGTGAGATTGGCCATAAAAGACAACACCTTGATCACAGAAACTTTTGATTTCTATTATTTTGACCCAGCTGATTTTACTCTTTTCTCCAAGGATGTTGACACAATTAACTATGTATTACATACATATAATATATATGGGGGTATGTGTGCATATGTGTGTGTGTGTATATATATACACACATATGTATGTATTTAGTAATATAATGTTGCCAAAATATTATTTTCCAGGTAAAAATTCACTAAGCCAGCTTAGTGTTTACTTATCTCTGAAAAGCAGTCAAATAATTTTGAATTCTTATCTTTTACCATTTTTGTCTTACTAAAATTATTTTCAGTGGGCTCAATTAATTTTACTATGGATTTTACTTGATTCCTTCTGAAATCCAAATTAACTTTTTATCAGATATAAGTTCTTTCATTTACAGTTTTCTCTTTTATAGTTATTATTTCTACGAAGTCTGATTTTCTGAGGTCAAAATTTGCTACTCTAAATTTTATGATGTTTGATTTTTTCCTATAAATATTTTGATAATAACAAAATTTATAGGTTAGTCTAGCTATTTATATTTTTATCCTATGTTATCTCCATTAAATCTATTTTTGGATTTCATAATATTATGAATTAGACAAGAGACTATTAGCTTGTGTTTATTTCTTATTAAGTCTATGAGATAATGGTCAAGTTTCCTCCAGACATTTCTGTCTGGATTAGATTTCTTTTTATTTTAGGATTGAAAAATTCGGTTATTATGCTGCAACAAGCATATGAAAAAAGCTCAATATCACTATTCATTAGAGAAATGCGAATAAAAATCACAATGAGATACCATCTCACACTAGTCAGAATGTCTATAATTAAAAAGTAAAAGAATAACATGCTGGTGAGGTTGCAGAGAAAAGGGAATATTTACACACTGTTGGTGAGAGAGTAAATTCATTCAACCATTGTGGAAAGCAGTATGGTGATTCTTCAAAGAGCTAAAAGCACAGCTACCATTTGGCCCTGCAATCTCATTACTGGGTATATACTCAGAGGAATAAAAATCACTCTAGCATAAAGCAAATGTTCATTGCAGCAGTATTCATAATAGCAAAGACATGAAATCAACCGAAGTACCCATCAATGACAGATTGGACAAAGAAAGTGTGGTACATATACACCATGGAATACTATGCAGCCATAAAAAAGAATGAGATCATGTCTTTTGCAAGAACACGGATGGAGCTGGAGGCCATCATCCTCAGCAAACTAACTCCTCAGCAAACCAACGTAGGAACAGAAAACCAAATACTTCATGTTGTCACCTATGAATGGGAGCTAAATGATGAGAACTTATGAACACAAAGAAAAAAATAACAGACACTGGGGTCTACTTAAGGGTGGAGGGTGGAAAGAGGGAGAGGAACAAAAAAGATAACTATTTAGTACCGGGTTTAATACCTAGATGATGAAATAATCCGTACAACAAACCCCTATGACCTGAGTTTACCTGTTTAACAAACCTTCGCATGTATCCCCGAACCTAAAATAAACATTAAAAAAATTATATTATTAATCAATTTTTTTCCATGAGCTTCTAATCAGATTATATACCATGCACTCACTGTCCCTGACATGGGTGAAACAGAGAATAAACAACAGGATCAAAGTAGAGGGACTGAAGGTACCGCTTCATGGCCAGCTACCTTAGACACCCTGGTTTTATGTGGTTATCTTGGGCTCATTTGTTCAGCAAGTATTTATTGAGAACTTACATGATAAGACACAACACTTTGCAAATATAGGGGCGAGCGTGTTTCCATAAACCCTGTGCTCATGGAGCTCTCAGTTCAGTGGGGAAGACAATACAATGGTCAATTACCATAATGTTTGATGGATATTATGATAAGAAAAATGCTAGGTGCAATGGGAGTGCAAAACCGAATATAGCCTGAGGGCCAGGGAAGCCCCTCTAAAAGAATGATGTTGGGGCTGAGGGCTGCAGGATGAACAGCAGCCAGAAGAAAAGAAAGAAGATGTGGTGGACAGTAATAGCATTCCAGGAAGCTCTGTCATTGCTAGAGCCATAGAGTGGCTCTCCACTCTCCTAGTGGATCAAATGAGGTAGGAGGAAGGGAGAGATCAGATCATACAGAGTTTTGTAAGCTAATTTAGAGTTTGAAATTTACCTAAACCACACTATAAAGCCATTAAAGTATTTTTAAAAGAAGAGTGACATGAGAAACTCTAGAACAGTATGGAGAATTAGTTAAAGACCAGAGGCTGGAAGCAGAGCGGCCAGTGAGGGTTGGCTACTATTGTGAAGGCAAGAAATGACATTGCTGTGGCTAGAAGAGTGAAAGTGAGAATGGAAGGAGTAAAGTATCTTGAATAATATGTATTTATTTATTTATTTTTATAATTTCAAATTTTATTTTAGATTTAGATTCAGAAGGGACATATGCAGGTTTGCTACATGGGTATATTGGGCGATGCTGGGGTTCAGGATATGAATGATCTTGTCACCCAGATAGTGAGCATAGTACCCAACACTTAGTTTTTCAACCCTTGCCCCCCTCTCTTCCTCTCCCTTCTAGTAGTCTCCAGTGTCTATTGTTGCCATCTTTATGCCCATGAGTATCCAATGTTTAGCTTGCACTTATAATTGAGAACATGTGATATATGGTTTCCTGCTTTTGCATTACTTCACTTATGGTAATGGCCTCCAGCTGTATCCATGTTGCTGTGAAGGACATGATTTCATCTTTTTCATGGCTGCATAGTATTCCATGGTGTATATGGACCACATTTTCTTTATCCAATCAGCCACTGATGACCTAGGTTGATTCCATGTCTTTGCTATCATGAATAGCACTGTGATAAACAACAAGTGTTTGTGTCTTTTTTTCCTTTGGCTTTATACGCAGTAATGGGATTGCTGGGTTGAATGGTAGTTCTGTTTTAAGTTCTTTGAGAAATCTCCAAACTGCTTTGCAAAGTGGCTGAACTAATTTACATTGAATAATTTGTAAAAGGTAAAATAGATTTGACACTTGAATAGATGCAACTGGGAATGGGTGAAGCAGGAAACAGAGTTTGCCTTGCACAAGGGAAAATTGAATGAAAGGTTTGCTAATGTAGAAATCTCTAGAAATATTGGGTTTGGGGAATAATATAATAACAGGTTTAGAAATGCATGGTTTTGTGTTTCCATGAGATAAGAGTACATGTTTAGTGGATAGCTGGAAATAAGACTGAGGCATTCTTGAGGGAAATGACTCCATATGGCAGATAATGAAAGACACAAGCATGGATAAGGACACCATGGGTAGATGAGAATTGTGGGAAAGGCATTGGGCCCATGGCCAAACTCAGAATCACCAGTGCCTGAAGTTCAGGTAGAGGAAGGTAACTCTACAGAGGATAATGAAGTGTGAACAGAGGTAGGAAGAAAACCAGGAAGGAGTGATGTCAGGGAAATCAAGGAATGATAAAAGTGCCAAAATTCTGCTCAAAGGTCAAGCAAAGTTGAAGTCCAAAGGAAGATGTGTGTTTGATTTAACGACATGTTGTTGGTAATGGGATTATGGTGGAGCAGGAAACCGGATTGAGGAGTGAATAGGATATGTGGAAGTGAAAACAATGAATTCAAGAAGTTTGCTTGAAAAGAAGCACATGAGAAATAGAGCCACAGCTGCTGTAGGACAAAGATGAAGATGTTTGTTGTGAAAATATACATGGATATATTTCAAGGATGATGTAAAGGAGTCTCTAGAGATGGAGAGGATGAAGTTATAGAAAAGAATAAGAGGTGGGGAGTTAGAAATCTACAAAGGAGAAAGCATTGGGAACCAGAGCACAGTTGTGGGATGACCCTTAAATTTCAAACAAACAAGTTCTTATCAGTTATCCTCATGGCCCTCTGAAACCCAACTTGACATTTTTCTCTTGGCCTCTGTGCTCAGATTCTTAACTGTATCTTTTCTCTAATTTGGAAACACTGGAAATTCTGACAGAGCCTCCTCCTCTCTCTTTTCATTCTCAATCTCTATCTTAAATTCTGCTTCCCTTTGCCCCTGTGAATCCATAAATATGTCACTTCTCCATGTTTCTCATCAAAGAAGATAGATGCTGAAGCCAGATGGCTGTGGGTTTAATATGGATGCCGTCACTCATTTTTGTTGTTTTGCTTTAAACAATAACCCAACCTCTCTGGCCCTGGTTTTCTTATCCATAAACATGAATACACACACACACACACACACACACACACACACACATATATGTATATATGTGTGTATATATATGTATATATATATGTGTGTGTATATATATATTATATATATGTGTGTGTGTATGTGTGTGTGTGTGTGTGTGTGTGTATATATATATATATATATAAAAATACACACATACATATATATATATATTTGAGACAAGGTCTCACTCTGACACCCAGGCTGGAGTGCAGCCTCCTGGGCTCACGTGCTCCTCCTCTCTCAGTATGCTGAGTAGCTGGGACCACAGGCATGGGCCACCACACTTGATAATTTTTAATTTTTTTTTTTTTTTTGAGACGGAGTCTCCCTTTGTAGCCCAGGCTGGAATGCAGTGGCACAATCTTGGCTCACTGCAACCTCCGCTTCCTGGATTCAAGCTATTCTCATGTCTCAACCTCCTGAGTAGCTGGGATTACAGATGTGCGCCACCACTTCCAGCTAATTTTTGTATTTTTAGTAGAGACAAGGTTTCACCATGTTTGCCAGGTTGGTCTTGAACTCCTGAACTCAAGTGATCCGCCCACCTCAGCCTCCCAAACTGCTGGGATTATAGGCATGAGCCACAATGCCCGGCCAATTTTTAAATGTTTTTGTAGAGATGGAGTCTCCCTGTGGTTCCCAGGCTAGTCTTGAACTGGTTGCAGTCCTCTCGCCCCAGCCTCCCAAAGTGTTGGGATTACAGACCCGAGCCATGGTGCCTGGGCAAAGTTATAATTTTTTGAAAATTAAATAAGAGAACATTGTGGGCCTTAAGCGTGTTTATTTCCATCTATTCCTTTATAAAAAGAGTTATCTCTCTCAGTCGGCAATCACCTATGTGATTTATGTAAGCATCTCTGAGGTTCTCTTTCAGTCTCATTCAGTTCTCATTCTTATTTTATCCTAATGTTGCTTTTTTCCTCACAATACTGGTCATCCTACAAGTATCAACCATTATGGATCATCTGTTGCCACCATTTAAATCAAAATTTTGGGGCAGGAAGAAAGAAAGCTTGAGGGTGGGGAGGGGAGAATTAGGGCCAAGTTGTTTCCAAATCTGTACTCATAAAACGTAGCTAAGAATCAGGCAATAGCATAGGTTACATAGAAACAGAAACTCTAAATCCTGATTTCAACACTGGAGGACATATTGACCATTTTAAACAATATTGTTTGATCTTGTTTCTTATTTTACAAAACAAATATTGCAAGTCTTTAGTAAGGATTGGTGGAACTTGTGAATTAAAAACAAGAAACTCTTGAAATGAGAATTGTGAACCTGCGATAAATTTATTTCTGTGCATAATATGTTGATTTCTTAAGTGGGAGCAGCCAAGGACCTGTTAGCATAAACAAATATCTCATAGAGAATCATTTGTTTGTCGTGTGGTCCAGATCAAATCCCATTGTTCTCAATGGGAGTAGGAATTTTACACATCACAGCTTCTACTAACAGAGATGTTAGTAAAAGCTGCATATAAATAATGTCTTCAAAAGTGATTTTACAGGCAACAGAATTGGCCACTCGTCCCATTTTTAAAACTCTGGCTTACTTATGGATGTACCAGTTCATTACATGAATACTCACTTCAGTTCATAATCCTTCTTTTTGATAATTAACCCATGTTTCCATATAACTTTAAAAGGGGATCTTCAACAGCATTTTATGTAATATTTCAACTCCGAGGCTATAGAATAAGCACTTGAGTGTTCATGATAGAAGTCCCTATTGAATTAGAAGCAAAGTAGAAAGTCTTGACTATTCCTCTGGCCATTTTGCTGGAGACCATTGAAATGCTGGAGAGCCTTCCTTCTGGCACTTTTATTGAGGGGAGCAACTGTTCTAACTCAAGATAAATAAAGTCAGAAATGGAAGGGAAAAATTAAATCCTGGAAAATCAGAAAATAAAATGTAGGAAAAGCAGCTCTAGTGCATGACACTACAGAGTGTGTCAAGCTGTTTTTGTTTAAAATAACACACAAAATGCAACTTTAAAAAGTACGTAGGTGTTGAAAAGCATTTCCTTTTTGGGGTGGGTGTGGTTGGCTTCTATTCACTCCCTCCAGAGCTGTGAACTCTCTCTAACTTGGAGACTCGTCTCCTCTCACTACATCTCATTTCCAAACTTCAGGAAAAACGAGGTGTCAGACACTGAAGTGATTTCAATTTGGCTAACAGTTCTAGAAACTAAACTACTGATTGCTTTGTACGTCTCTGTCCTGAACAGAGCAATTGAACACTACGTGACTATTTCAGAATAGAAAATTCAGTCAATGGCTTTCAAAGTAATTGGAAAGTCCTTAAATTGGCCAAACTCAATGTCGGTTACTTTCATCCTGTCCTGCACACATTGCCCTGTGAAATTATTTCGGGATACCCAAGCTCTATTTTCCACGTCAGCTCTGATTTGTAGTTGCAAACATGTTCTCTCTTTTCCTCTCATTTTTTTCCTACATCTATGTACTCTAAGAGCTATCATTTTTTTCTGGATTAAAATTATGGAAAAGGGATCTTGGTAAGGCAAAAAGGCTGCAAAAAGGGTGAGAGTATATGAAATGCTGCTGAAAACAGGCATCCTTGAAAAAACACAGTTTTAGAGAAAGAGGGCAAACTCATGGTCCGGATGTCAACTTGAGATTTGCAGCTCTCCGAATCTGAATAAGTTTGTCTTGAATGCCCTCCCTAGACTTCTGTGTTTCTGAGAGGGAATTCGTGCCATCTCACAGTGACCTCTCATTTGGACCTTTTGCCTCTACTGAGTTATCCTTTTTGGCTTTGTGTCTTACAGTGTTTGTTTATCTCTCCAATGGTGTCTCCCAGAGGTGCATGCAGCCACTGTTCCTGATTTCTACAACAAATCTATTTGCTAAGAGCCTTCTTATACACAGCAAACTTTGACAAAAGTTAGAGATTTAAATTTTAGGAGCAGAAAAACATTACACAGACTGTTAGACATCTTCATTCATAAAGATCCTGTAGCAAATCTCCCATGTTTCTTGAACAAGAGAACTCCCTTCTTGCCACCCTCTTCTCTTCTTTTGACTCTTTTCTGCTCCTTCTCTCTAAGGAGAAAAAAAAGTCCTCCCATTTTAGGTATTTCCAACCTACATTCCTACATAAAAGTGCCCTTTTGCATATCCAGCTATTTAGATGATGATTTGAAATTTCCTTTTGTTTTTTAGAATATTTAGAAGAATCTTTAGATTCTTCCAGGTACTTAGTGGGAAACAGGATGGGAAGTAGGGTTGGGAGAGAGGGGATCTATACATCTTCTTGTCTGTAATAACTGAGGACGTTGTGTAAGTAGTAATATAGTCCCAGTGTTTACCCCTCTAGCGTGGTCTTTATCACCCTTTCCCATACTCTCTGTACTCCGAGCACCCTGGCTTTCTACTCACTGTGGTAGGCAGTGTATTGGTTCTCAAAAGACACTCACATACTAATATCTGGAACCTGTGACTATGTTCCATGGCAAAGGGGAAATTAAAGTTGCAGATGGAATTAAGGTGTCTAATTAGAAGACTATAAAATAGGTAGATTAACTACTCCAGGAAGGCTGAATGTAATCACAAGGATCTTTGATGTGCAGAAAATTATGCAGAAGAGCAGATCAGATTGACGCAGTTTGATAAGGATTCAGCCCACCATTGCTGACTTTGAAGATGAAGGAGAGGGACCATGAGCCACAGAAAACCAGCAGCCTCTAGGAACTGGAAAAAGCAAGGAAATGGATTTTCCCCTAGAGCTTCATCCTCCCTCCCAGCACAAGGTCTTAGCACTGTTTCATCTTCCCAGAAGGCTTTTCCCTCTTCCACCCTGCTTCTAGGTATGAAAATTCAAGTTTTAATTTACTACATCAATGCTTATGCTTATTTTCTCATTTATAATATTGATGTTATTCTTTTAAAAATATTTCTGGAAAATGCATATATTGTTGTTTCAGTTGTCAGAGACAACTATAAAATTGTCTATCAATTGTACAAATTCAGGCTGGGTGCAGTGGCTCATGCCTGTAATCCCAGCAGTTTGGGAGGCCGAAGCAGGTGGATCATTTGAGGCCAGGAGTTCAAGGCCAGCCTGGGAAACATGGAGAAACCCCATCTCAAATAAAAAATACAAAAATTAGCTAGGCATGGTGGTGTATGCCTGTAATCCCAGCCACTCGGGAGGCTGAGGCACGAGAATCACTTTAGCCTGGGAGGCAGAGATTGAGTCAAGGTTGTACCACTGCACTCCAGCCCGGGCAACAGAGCAAGACTCTGTCTCAAAAAATAAAAATGTACAAATTCAATTTCATCATTTCTGCTTTTGTACTTAATATTTAATTTCAAGTATTTTAGTATTTTTATGATAGTTTTTTATTTTGAGATAATTTTAAACTTAGGTAAAACTTCAAGGATTATACAAAGATCTCCTGTATATATCATTTACACCAGACTTAACAGTTATTGCATTTTGCCTCATTTCTTTATGAACATGTATGTGTATACACATATATAATTTTTTTTCTGAACTGTTTAGGAGCAAGTTGGAGATATTGTGCCCTTGCACTCTGAAATATTTATGCATTCTCTTACAATGATCAAAATCAGGATATTTAACATTGATACAATATTCTCACTTAATCCACAATGTATATTACATTTTACCTTTTGTCACAATGCTGTTTTATAACTATTTTTTAAATCTTGAATCAAAATCCATAAGGATCATGAATTGCATTTAGTTGTCGTGTTTCAGTCTACTAAAAGACTGGGAATACAGGTCTTCAGTCTTACCTTTTCTTTCTTGACCTTGTCAATGTTTAAGATTGCAGGGCAACTGTTTTGTAGAATTTCTATCAATCTGGGTTTATATGATGTTTCTTCATTATTATATTTAGTTAATGCATTTTTGGCAAGAATACCAAATAAGTGATGTTGGGCTCTTCTCAGTGCATCATGTAAGAAACATATAATGTTGACTTGTCACAGTACTGGGGATATTAACTTTAATCACTAAGTTGAGGAAGTATCCAATAGATCTCTACTCTCTGAAGCAATTTTGAGGAGATGCTTTCCAGTTTTGTAAATGTCCTGTTCCTCAATGAACTTTAACTACTCAGTTTTATCATGCATTCATGTTTTTCTAATTCTGTGGCTCCTTATGGATTTATTGGTTGGCTTTCCACTATAAAGAAGAGCTTTTTCTTATCATCTGTCTATCTATCTGTCTATCTATCTAACCATCCATCCTACCTGTAATGAGTCAATATTGACATTTCCAATTCCAATCCAACACCATACATTACATTATCATTTTAATGCTTTCCATATTTACAATGCCCTTATCCAACAGTTGAGAAAATTGTCTCCATTATCCTTAGTAGATTTAGTTATTTGCTCAATAATAGAATACATAGAGTATAAATTAGAATTCCTAGCTTCAAATTCTGCAAAAAAATCACCCAAGCATATTCAATAGAGTTCAATATTGTTTATGTTCTGTTTCTTTTGGTGTGGCATAAAATTTGCATATAGTAAAATGCACATATCTTAAGTGTACAATTCGATGAATTGTGATAAGCACATGCAGCCTTGGGATCTGAACTCCTATGAAGATAAACAGCACATCCATCCCCTGAGAAAGTTTCCTGTCTCCTTACCAATTAATACTCCACCACCAAATGACAACTGCTTTTTAATTTTTTCCGTCATGGAGTAGTTTTGCCTATACTAGAACATCATATAGATGAAATCATAGAGAATGTATTCTTTTACAGCCCAATGTCAGTGAATTTCATCTATGCTGTTATAACGATAGTTCATCCTTTTTTAAAATTAAGGATAATTCATCTTTTTTTAATTCTGTTTCATGACTGTACCATAATTTTGTAATCCATTCCCTTATCAATGAATCTATATATTATTTCCAGTTTTCCAATGTGAGATTATTATGAAAAGCATTTTTATGAACATTGTGTTCAAGTCTTTACATCACACATACACATATACATACACATTTGTTTATGTTGGGTAAATATCTTTTAGTGTAATTGCTGTATCATAGGCTAGGTGTATGTATAACATTATGAAAAACAGCCAAACCATTTTCAAAGGTGGTGGTGGTTGTGTCATTTTCACACCCATCAGCTATGTATGAGAATTCCAGTTGCTCTGTCTTCTCAACAACTTTGGTTGTGTTTGTCATATTAGTTTTAGCCAGTCTAATACATGCAAAGTCGTATCTTATTGTGGTTTCAATTTGCATTTCAGTGATGACTAGCGACGTAGAGAAATCTTTCCAATGCTATTGGCCATTCATATAGCCTCATTTTTGACAAGTTCATTCTAATCTTTTGCCAATAATTCATTGAGTTGTTTGTAGAAGTTCTTTCTATATTTTCTACACAAGACATATGCATTAAGAGTATTTTCTGGAAGTCTGTGGCTTGTCTCTTCATATTCTTAACATTGTTCTTCAATGAAAACAATCTTGAGGTTTATGAAATCTTACTTACTAATCTTCTGCTTCTATTGTTACTATTTTCATATTCTGAGAAATCCTTAGCTACACCCAGTTCATTAAGATATTCTCCTGGGTTTTGTTTTGTTTGAGACGGAGTCTCATTCTGTCACCCAGGCTGGAGTCCAGTGGTGCAATCTCGGCTCACTGCAACCTCTGCCTCCTGGGTTCAAGCGACTCTCCTGCCTCAGCCTCCCGAGTAGCTGGGATTACAGCTGCGCACCACCACACCCAGCTAATTTTTGTATTTTTAGTACAGATGGGGTTTTGTAGTGTTAGCCAGGCTGGTCTCAAATTCCTGACCTCAGATGATCCGCCCACCTTGGCCTCCCAAAGTGTTGGGATTACAGGTGTGAGCCACCAGGTCTGGCCCTCTTGGGTTTTTTTTTTTTCTTCCTAGTAGCTTTGTGGTTTTAGCCTTTATGATTTGATCTATGATCCGGCTTGATTTATGTGTGTGTGTGGCAGGGAATCAAGGGTTTGTTTGTTTATTTCCATGTGGATATTTACTTGTTTCAGCACCGTTTGTTAAAAATGCTGTCCAAACCAATTGACTGAACAAATGTGAGTCTATTTCTGGGCTCTATATCTTCTTCTGTCAAACTGTGAGTCTATTCTGACTCATATATCCTGATTATATCTTACTGTGTTGATGATGATAGTAAATTTTAAATTCAAGTAAAGTAAGTCTTCTAATTTTGCTCTTTTCAAAGATTATTTTGGCACTCTTAGGTCTTTTTCATTTCTACATAAATTTTCAAATCACCTTCTCAAATTCTTTTTCTAAAGCCTTCTGAGATTGTGATTGTGATTGCTTAGACTCTGTAGAAAAATTTGTGGAGAACTGACACCTTAAAAAGTTTAAGTCTGGCAGTCCATTTAACATAGTATAGCTCTTTATTTAGGTCTTTTCATTTTCTTATCAATGTTTTATAGTTTTCAGGGTAGACATTTTACATGTTTTGTTGAATGTATTCCTGAGTATTTTATGATTTTGATGTTATTTTAAAGCCATTTTTAAAAAGATGTTGTCTTTTCTATTGTTTACTCCTAGTGTATAAAAGGACAAATATTTTTCTCTATTGACTTTACATTCTGTGACCTTGATAACATCTCTTATTTACTTTCATATTTACATTGTGAATTTCTTACTATTTTCTATGTACATAATCAAGTTTTCTGTAAGTAAAAAGTGATCTACTACATAGGAATACAGCTAACTGAACAGGTGAAAGATCTCTACAAGGAGAACTACACAACACTCCATGCAATATGGATTTCAAGAATCAGTAATGTTAGAATGGCCATACTGGCCAAAGCAATTTACAGACTCAATATTATTTCTATAAACTACCAATGTTGTTCTTCACAGAATTAGAAAAAGAAAAATCTATTTTATAAATCACATGGAACAAAAAAGGAGCCACAACAGCTAAAGCAATCCTAAGCAAAAAGAACAAAGCTGGAGGCAATGCAGTACTCGATTTTAAACTATAAGAATATAGTAATCAGCATGGTACTGGCAAAAAAGACATCAATGGAAGAGAATAGAAAACTCAGAAATAAAGCTGCACTCTTACAACCATCTAATCTTTGACAAAGCCAATGAAAACAAGCAATAGAGAAAGGACTTCCTACTCAATAAATGGGTTGGGATAACTAGCCAGCCATATTCAGAAGAATGAAACTGGATCCTGACTTATTACCATATAGAAAAATTAGCTCATGATGGATTAAATATTTAAATGTAGGCCTCAAACTGTAAAAATCCTAGAAGAAAACCTAAGAAATGCCCTTCTTGACCCTGGTCTTGGCAAATAATTTTTGGCTAAGTCCCCAAAAGCAACTGCAACAATAAAAACAATCGACAAGCAGGACCTAATTTAACTAAAGAGCTTCTGCACAGCAAAAGAAACTATCAATAGAGTAAACAGACAACCTACAGAATGGGAGAATATATTCAGAAACTATGCATCTGACAAAGGTCTAATATTCAGAATATATAATGAATATAAACAAACCAAGAGGCAAAAAGCCAATAGCCCCTATAAAAAAATGGGCAAAGGATATATACAGACACTTCTCAAAAGAGGACATATAAATGGCCAACAAACATGAAAAAATGCTCATCATCACTAATCATCAGAGAAATGCAAATTAAAACCACAGTGAGATACGGTCTCACAGCAGTCAACATGGCCATTGTTAAAAAGTCAAAAAATAACAGATGCTAATGAGGCTGTGGAGGAAAGGGAATGCTTATACACTGTTGGTAGGAATATAAATTAGTTTAGTAACTGTGGAAAGCAGCTTGGAGATTTCACAAAAAACTTAAAAAGGTGCTACCATTCAACCCAGCAATGCCATATCTGGGTATATAATTATACCAAAAACATGCATGCACTCATATGTCTATAGTCATACTATTCATAATAGTAAAGACATGGAACGAACCTAGATTCCCATCAATTGCAGATTGGATAAAGAAAATGTGGTGTATATATACCATGAAATACTATGCACCTATAAAAAAGAATGAAGTCATGTCCTTTGCAGCAACATGGATGCAGCTGGAGGCCATTATCCTAAGCGAATTAATGCAAAATCAGAAAACCAAATATCTCACCTTCTCACTTATAAGTGGAAGCTAAACATTGAGCACACGTGGACATAAACATGGGAACAACAGACACTGTGGACTACTAGATGGGAGAGGTAGAGAGAGAAGCATGGGTTAAAAAAACTATTGGGTACTGTGCTGATTACCTGGATGCAACATATCCATATAACAAACCTGCATGTGTACATCTAAAATAAAAGTTGAATTTTTTATTAAAGAGTGACTTATCTCTTCCATTCTAATCTTTATGCATTTATTTTTTTCTTGCAGTGTTCAACTGCCTAATACTTCCAGTAAAATATTTAATAGAAATAGTGAGAACCCACTTTTGACTTTCTTAAATTTTCAAAAATTGTTTTAGGTTTTCTACTTCATTGATTTCTGCTCTTTTTTATATAATCTTTTACTCATCTTGTATTTAATTTGATCGTCTTTTTCCATCTTTTGAGGTTGATAGCTAGGAATATTGAATTTAAATATCAATTAAAATATAAATATATATTATATATAATTTATATATAAAATATATGTATATATTTATATATATAAGCACTTAAAGCTATGAATTTCCCTCTATGTACTGCTTTAACCTAAATCCCACATATTATAATGTTGTACTTTCATTATCATTCAGTTGAAGTATTTTATAATGTTTCCTCTGATTTCTGCCTTGACCCATAGGATATTTAGCAGTGTGTTAACCAAGTGGGGCTTTAATAAATACTTTATTGTTATTGATTTTTAATTTAATTCTATGTGGTCAGAAAACATACTTGGCAAGATTTTAAACTTTGAGTGAATTAATGATTGCTTTACTTCACAGCATGTGGTCCTTGGTAAATATGCTATACATAGTTAGAAGAAAGATATGTTCTATAGTTATTGGATTATTTGTTATATAAATGTCAATTAGGTCATGATAATTAATCATGTTTAAATCTTCTCTATCCTTGCTTATTTCTTTTTAAGTTCTAGCAGTTGCTGAAACAGTTGCTAAAATCTGTGATAGTGGATTTGGCTATTACCCTCTAATTTTGTCCGTTTTTTCTTCATGTATTTTGAAGGTTTGCTATTGGACACCTACTCATCCATGATTGTTGTCATTTTCCTAATCGACTGTTTTATCATTTTAAAATCTTTCCTTATTGCTGATAATATTTCTTATCTTAAAGCTTATTTTGTCTGATCTTATTATAGCCACTCTAGCTTTCTTATCTGACTGTTTTTATGGTATATATTTTTCCATTCTTTTATTTTCAACTTCTCTGTGCCCTACATTTAAATTGCTCCTCATATATGCCAAGGAGTTGGGTCTTTTTCCAATTTAAATCCACTTACAATATCTGTCTTTTAATCGGAGTGTTTCAATTTCATTTAATATAATTACTTACATAGTTGGATTTATGTCTACTATTTTTTTCTGTATTTTTTCTAGTTATGCCATTGTTTTTAAAATCTTACCCTTTTTCTTGCCTTTTTTGAATAGCTGTATTTTGTGAGATTCATTTTTAGTTTCTCTACTGGTTTTTAGTGTATTTCTTTGCACTATTTATTTAGTTACAATATAGGGTATTGTAAGGATTGTGAAATACATTCTTAATTTATTACATATACTTAGCATTACTATTGTACTATTCCACATGAGATATGAGATGTAAAAGCCTTGCAAAAGTGTAATCTATTTTACCCTCATTATATATACAAGTTTTCATATATATTATATCTATATACATTGTATGCCCCACAATATGGTACTATAATTTATTATGTAAATAGTCATATACATTTTCAGGAAAATAATAGAAGAAAAAAATTATAGCCTTTTATGTTTACCCACTTTTTTTTTTTTTTTTTTAGACAGAGCCTTGCTCTGTCACCAGGCTGGAGTGCAGTGGCAAGCAATCTCAGCCGGCTGCAACCTCCACCTCCCAGGTTCAAGCAATTCTCCTGCCTCAGTCTCTGCAGTAGCTGGGACTACAGGCGTGTGACACCACGCCCAGCTAATTTTTGTATTTTTAGTAGAGATGGGGTTTCACCATGTTGGCCAGGATTGTCTTGATCTCTTGACCTCATAATCTGCCTGCTTCAGCCTCCCAAGTTTACCCACAGTTTTACCATTTCCAATACTTTTCATTCCTTTATTTAGAGACAGGTTTCCATCTGATGTCATTTCCCTTCAGATAAATAACTTCCTTTTTGCATTTCTTAAAATTAAAGCCTGATGGCAATGAAATCTACTTTTGCATTATATGTAAAAGTCTTTACTTTGCATTCATTTTTGATGAATATTTTCTTTGAATACAGAGTTCTGTGTTGACAGATTTTTTTTTCTTTAATCATTTTGAAGAAACCATTAAATTGTTTTCTGACCTCTATGTGGCTAATGAGATAGACATAAACAATTGATATAGTTGGCTGTGTCCCCACCCAAATCTCACCTTGAATTGTAATAATCCCCATGTGTCAAGAGCAGGGCTGGGGGGGCAGTTTCCCCCATACTGTTCTCATGGTAATGAATAAGTCTCACAAGATCTGATGGTTGTACAAATGGTAGTTTCCCTGCACAAGCTCTCTTGCCTGCCACCACGTAAGACGTGACTGCTTCTCCTTTGCCTTCAGCCCTGATTGTGAGGACTCCCCAACCATGTGGAACTGTGAGTCCATTAACCTCTTTTTCTTTATAAATTACCCAGTCTTGAGTATGTCTTTATTAGCAGTGTGAGAACAGACTAATACAACCATCATTCTTCTGTCACTTCCTGTTGTGCACTGTCATTTTTTTTTCTGACTTCCTTCAAGATTTTTTTTAATCCTTTATCATATCCAGTTTGACTATGATGCGCAAAGGTAGGGCTGTGTGTGTGTGTGTGTGTGTGTGTGTGTGTGTGTGTCTTTATCTGTAAGTTATATTGTGTGAGGTTCACTGGGCTTCTTTGATCTCTATGTCAATGTTTTTGACCAAATTTTGAAATTTTTCAGTAAATCTTCCTTCAACTGTTTCCTCACTCTCTCCTTTTCTTACCTGTTCTAGAACTCTAATTAAACATATATTAGAGTTTTTATATTTCCCTACAGGTTTCAGAGGCACTCTGCATTTTTTACTGTTGTTAATCCTGTACTCTCTTCTTGAGGTTGGATAATTTGTATTGCTCTGTCTTCAAGTTCACTTAGTCTTTCTTCTACCATCTCTAATGTGCTGTTAAGTCTGTCTAATGGATGTTTTATTTGAGATATTATATTTTCTAGTTCTAGAACTTCCCTTCTATTCTTTATATTTTTCAATTCATTCCTATCATTTCCTGTAAATTCATTTTTTATAGCCCTTGACAACCAAAATGAGTGATTGCAGCAGGTGGCCCAATCAATCAAGGTTTATTGAGCCTGCTTGAGGATGCACCCAGAAAAACACTAGTCACAGATGGATCTGTGGCCATTTGTTCCAAAGGAGTTCTCAGGAGGTTTAGTATTTGTATTAGTCTGTTTTCATGCTGCTAATAAAGACATACCCGAGACTGTGGAGTAAAAGAGGTTTAATTGGACTTAGAGTTCCACACGTCTGGGGAGGCGTCAGAATCATGGTGGGAAGTGAAAGGCACTTCTTACATGGTGGTGGCAAGAGAAAATAAGGAAGAAGCAAAAGTGGAAACCCCTGATAAACCCATCAGATCTCATGAGACTTACTGACTATTGTAAGAATAGCATGGGAAACACTGACCCCATGATTCAATTACCTCAACCTGGTTCCTTCCCAAAACACATGGGAATTCTGGGAGATACAATTCAAGTTGAGATTTGGGTGGAGACATAGCCAAACCATATCAGTATTTATATATTTTCCTTAGAAAGGTGGGAGTGGGTGGTGGGACACAGTGAGAAGAATGGTTATATACTCGTGAGACTTTAGCTAGTGCCCAGTAAATCTACATTATACATAAGATAAGGCAAACACATGAAGAAAATGGGAATAGAGGAAGCAGACATCTCAGGGAGGGGTGAGGAAATAATTAATCCCATCGTGTCTTTGTTCTCTACCTGGGAACATAAGCTAGTAGTCAACATTATCAGTGTGGAGTCTTTGAAAAGGCTGGTTTTTGTTTAGACCTTAGAGAAGAAAGCCTAATGGTGGTGATATGGTTAGGCTTTTTGTCCCCACCCAAATCTCATCTTGAATTAGAATCCCCATAAACCCCACATGTCAAGGGAGAAACCAGGTGGAGGTAACTGGATCATGGGGGTGGTTTCCCCCATGCTGTACTAACCTTTGTTTATGCAAGCAGATAAATTTAAAAATTTGAAAATAAACACTCAAAATTTTACAACAGTTAAAATTATATTCAATGATATTAACAGTTCTTTCTTTTATTTCCCAAATACATTCTGATATAAATTGTGATAAAGAAAATGGGTTTACATGTAATTAAAGTTTTTATATCAATATTTTTAAATAACTATAAAGCTCTAATTTGTGGGTTACATGTACATCATTAGAACAGACAGGGTGCTGGCTGCTGGCTTGGAAGGCACATCAACCACAAAGGCATGGATGTATCCAAAATACGTGATAGCAGAAATTTAGGGCTGCTGCCTGGGCAGATTCTTGCTCATCTACCCTATCATTCCACCACTATTTGAGCTGCACAACTTAGTGCTTGGGCATCACTACATGAACTCCTTAGTAGCTGCATGGGCCTTTGTCTATGACAGGCAGCAGCAGATCACTCTTCAGGTGGCTGTTGGATCAGACGCCCAAGCAGCAGGACATTCTTTGATCATGCACACTGTGTTACACCAGAGACACTGCTATTGTATTCATTGGTTTCATGGACTGTGGGTCAAGCTCTCAGGCCCCTCTCTTCTGGCTGTTTGCTGAAGAGTCCCAGAAAAAGCTGCTCAAGGCTGGAGGTGGCCAACCCAAATATTCCAGCAACTCAAGCTCCATGAATGATGCAAGGCTTAAGAAATCTAAGGACACAAGAGTGCTGGTAGGTTGGGAAACTATTCTGAAGTACAGAAGTCAATAGATGATTATTATTTCTTTGGTACGTCAGTGGCAGAAACTTGTGTTATGGTTTTGTTAATTATTTTCTAATTGCCTAAAATTTTTGCCTTCTGTATTTTGACACTGTATTTTTTGGCACATAAATGTTCTGAATGCTTTAGTTTTGATATTGACTCTGTTGCCAGAAAGAGGTCCTGATCCAGGCCCCAAGAGAGGGTTCTTGGATCTCGCACAAGAAAGAATGTAAGGCAAGTCCGTAGAGTAAAGTGAAAGCAAGTTTATTAGGAAAGTAAAGGAATAAAGAATGGCTACTCCAAAGGCAGAGCAGCCCCTAGGGCTGCTGGTTGCCCATTTTATGGTTATTTCTTTATCATATGCTAAACAAGGGGTGGATGATTCATGCCTTCCCTTTTTAGGCCGTATAGGGTAACTTCCTGACATTGCCATGGCATTTGTAAACTGTCATGGTGCTGGTGGGAGTATAGCAGTGAGGACGATCAAAGGTCACTCTTGTTGCCCTCTTAGTTTTGGTGAGTTTTAGCCAGCTTCTTTACTGCAACCTATTTTACCAGTAAGGCCTATATGACCTGTATATCGTGTTGACCTCCTAGCTTATCCTGTGACAAAGAATGCCTTAACCTTCTGGGAATGCAGCCTAGTAGGTCTCAGCCTTATTTTATCTAGCCCTTATTCAAGATGGAGTTGCTCTGGTTCAAACACCTCTGACATTTCCCCCTCCCTTTTATAAGAGAACCCTTCATCCTAAGGCTTGTAGAGGGATAATCCTTCTTCTGTAACATCTTCAGGTTGAATAGGGGCAATGATATTCCTGCCTAACTATTGGGTCTCTTGCATTCAGGGTAGAGAGAAGCTCAGTCAGAAATCATTTATATGGCAAGGGCTATTCATAATTCTTGAGTGCCAATGAAAAGTGATATCTGGAAGATTAATATGTGTTCAATTTAAGAGAACATTCGGTAAGCTTATACTGCATTCTTACACATAGAGTGCAACACCAGTATATTTCACAACAATAAAGGAAAATAAGCAATATTATCCCAAGTAAACTAAATTAGAAGACTTTCCATTAACTGAACAGTTGGAATCAAGCTGATATGGGGTTGCTAACTGATTCTAATACCCGTCCAGAATTAGAATATCAATCCAGATTTTTGCATTACCCATTCCTCTTGTTTCTTCTGAGCTGCTGTCAGAGATCACTGATCGGTTCACAGTAACAATCAATGTCATTCTAAATGTCAGGAGAGAAAGCTCAAGAACAACTGATGAGACTAGAATGTAATAACAGGTGTGCCATAGTTCTTAAAGCATAATTTTTTTTGGTTTCCCATCTCCCATTTTTACTAAAGACAAATCATGGTAAGACTGATTTGCTTTATTATACTTGGTCTGATTATTTGTATAAAGTGCAGCAAGAATATTTGTCACCTAAGCTCTTTTTAAATTGGTTCTGATGGTACTTTGTTCCAGAGAAGGAATCTCAGATAAGGCTTTTTTAAAGCTGAGGCCACGCATGGGTTTATACCTTCAAATACCTATAAGCTGAGCAAATTCCCCTCCTATTGAGGTCCCAGGAAAACTTGGGCCTCCAGGGCCTGTTAGAAATTGACATTCTTTACTTACCACAGGTCATAAACCCTGTACAGGGACTGTGTAGACAAAGTATGAGGCCAGTTTTTCCCAAGGAGATTTATTGGCTCTGCAAGTCAAGTTTGATTCCTTAAAGGAAAGCAAGCCATTTCAGCCAAAGCCTTGGTAAAATAACCAGTTTCTCCAATTGTGTCTTGTTGCAAAAGAAAACAGATTCCTATTGCACTTATGCAAATAACTATATTGCCCTAAGTTAAGATACTCACAAATATTAATAGTTTCAAATTCTGGAGAAATCAGGTAGAGAGAAACAAATATGCTCCAACTTTTGTTCACAAGACTATACTCAATTGTTAAATGCTGTCAGTAGCTCAAGAGAAAAGTTTCCTCGACTTTGAAAAACAGAACAAAGGATCAGCAACATTTTAAGCAAAAAGTCAAAAAGATTACTTTAGTCTTTTATTAGTTCAGTCCATGCAGTTAACTCCTGTTCTGCTTGATATTCATGAACATTTCGGCTCTCCCTGAGAGTCCTGAAAGTTTTTCCCTCTATTTTAATGTTACAATTTCCAAAGTCACTGGGAACCTGCATTTAACAGCAGAAAGTCCTATAGCTGAGTATAACCCACTTTCTAAAGAGGACCAAAACAAGACAACAATTGTCCAGGGAATGGCTGACAAAAAGTCTTAGTTAGGACAGCCACTATTAAAGCCACAATTGACAAGGAAATTTTGGTTACCTCTGTGGCATACAATGATTTTATGTAACAATTATCAGTATTAATAACAAACATTAAGTCCTATGAGAATTGTAAGAGTTTCCCATAATTTTGGAACACATACCAATAACATATTTATACAAATACAGCCCAAAGAAAGCCAACTTTGTATTTTACAATGCTTCCTTTAGGACTTTTATACCAAATAAGCCAAATTTTACTGTTGCATTAGTGTACTATTAATGTTAAACTAATTTTTTTTTTTTTTTTGCCATCACAAACTACTGTTTAATGGAGATACACAAAGAAAGGGGACAGGTATAAATAGTTTGCAAGACAGTTAATAGCTCTCAGATAGTCCTCCTATATTGTCATAACCCTCACTGGAATCTGCACATAATAAGCTCTTAATAAATATCTGCTGTGTAAATACCCTAGGTCTTTGGTTCTATAAGAGAAATGTCTTATTGGCAAGATATGTTTAACAACTCTTTTTTATATTATTATTATTATACTTTAAGTTTTAGGGTACATGTGCACAATGTGCAGGTTAGTTACATATGTATACATGTGCCTGTATACATATGTATACATGGGTGCTGGTGTGCTGCACCCATTAACTCGTCATTTAGCATTAGGTATATCTCCTAATGCTATCCCTCCCCCCTCCCCCCACCCCACAACAGTCCCCAAAGTGTGATGTTCCCCTTCCTGTGTCCATGTGTTCTCATTGTTCAATTCCCATCTATGAGTGAGAACATGCGGTGTTTGGTTTTTTGTCCTTGCGATAGTTTACTGAGAATGATGATTTCCAATTTCATCCATGTCCCTACAAAGGACATGAACTCATCATTTTTTATGGCTGCATAGTATTCCATGGTGTATATGTGCCACATTTTCTTAATCCAGTCTATCATTGTTGGACATTTGGGTTGGTTCCGAATCTTTGCTATTGTGAATAGTGCCGCAAAAAACATACGTGTGCATGTGTCTTTATAGCAGCGTGATTTATAGTCCTTTGGGTATATACTCAGTAATGGGATGGCTGGGTCAAATGGTATTTCTAGTTCTAGATCCCTGAGGAATCACCACACTGACTTCCACAATTGTTGAACTAGTTTACACTCCCACCAACAGTGTAAAAGTGTTCCTATTCCTCCACATCCTCTCCAGCACCTGTTGTTTCCTGACTTTTTAATGATTGCCATTCTAATTGGTGTGAGATGGTATCCCCTTGTGGTTTTGATTTGCATTTCTCTGATGGCCAGTGATGATGAGCATTTTTTCATGTGTCTTTTGGCTGCATAAATGTCTTCTTTTGAGAAGTGTCTGTTCATATCCTTTGCCCACTTTTTGATGGGGTTGTTTGTTTTTTTCTTGTAAATTTGTTTGAGTTCATTGTAGATTCTGCATATTAGCCCTTTGTCAGATGAGTAGCTTGCGAAAATTTTCTACCATTTTGTAGGTTGCCTGTTCACTCTAATGGTAGTTTCTTTTGCTGTGCAGAAGCTCTATAGTATAATTAGATCCCATTTGTCAATTTTGTCTTTTGTTGCCATTGCTTTTGGTGTTTTAGACATGAAGTCCTTGCGCATGCCTATGTCCTGAATGGTAATGCCTAGATTTTCTTCTAGGGTTTTTATGGTTTTAGGTCTAACATTTAAGTCTTTAATCCATCTTGAATTAATTTTGTATAAGGTGTAAGGAAGGGATCCAGTTTCAGCTTTCTACATATGGCTAGCCAGTTTTCCCAGCACCATTTATTAAATAGGGAATCCTTTCCCCATTGCTTGTTTTTCTCAGGTTTGTCAAAGATCAGATAGTTGTAGATATGCGGCGTTATTTCTGAGGGCTCTGTTCTGTTCCATTGATCTAGATCTCTGTTTTGGTACCAGTACCATGCTGTTTTGGTTACTGTAGCCTTGTAGTATAGTTTGAAGTCAGGTAGTGTGATGCCTCCAGCTTCGTTCTTTTGGCTTAGGATTGACTTGGTGATGTGGGCTCTTTTTTGGTTCCATATGAACTTTAAAGTAGTTTTTTCCAATTCTGTGAAGAAAGTCATTAGTAGCTTGATGGGAATGGCATTGAATCTATAAATTACCTTGGGCAGTATGGCCATTTTCATGATATTGATTCTTCCTACCCATGAACATGGAATGTTCTTCCATTTGTTTGTATCCTCTTCTATTTCATTGAGCAGTGGTTTGTAGTTCTCCTTGAAGAGGTCCTTCACGTCCCTTGTAAGTTGGATTCCTAAGTATTTTATTCTCTTTGAAGCAATTGTGAATGGGAATTCACTCATGATTTGGCTCTCTGTTCGTCTGTTGTTGGTGTATAAGAATGCTTGTGATTTTTGTACATTGATTTTGTATCCTGAGACTTTGCTGAAGTTGCTTATCAGCTTAAGAAGATTTTGGGCTGAGACAATGGGGTTTTCTAGATATATAATCATGTCATCTGCAAACAGGGACAATTTGACTTCCTCTTTTCCTAATTGAATACCCTTTATTTCCTTCTTCTGCCTAATTGCCCTGGCCAGAACTTCCAACACTATGTTGAATAGGAGTGGTGAGAGAGGGCATCCCTGTCTTGTGCCAGTTTTCAAAGGGAATGCTTCCAGTTTTTGCCCATTCAGTATGATATTGGCTGTGGGTTTGTCACAGATAGCTCTTATTATTTTGAGATACCTCCCATCAATACTTAATTTATTGAGAGTTTTTAGCATGAAGCGTTGTTGAATTTTGTCAAAGGACTTTTCTGCATCTATTGAGATAATCATGTGGTTTTTGTCTTTGGTTCTGTTTATATGCTGGATTACATTTATTGATTTGCGTATATTGAACCAGCCTTGCATCCCAGGGATGAAGCCCACTTGATCATGGTGGATAAGCTTTTTGATGTGCTGCTGGATTCAGTTTGCCAGTATTTTACTGAGGATTTTTGCATCAATGTTCATCAAGGATATTGGTCTAAAAATTCTCTTTTTTGGTTGTGTTTCTGCCCGGCTTTGGTATCACGATGATGCCGGCCTCATAAAATGAGTTAGGGAGGATTCCCTCTTTTTCTATTGATCGGAATAGTTTCAGAAGGAATGGTACCAGTTCCTCCTTGTACCTCTGGTAGAATTCGGCTGTGAATCCATCTGGTCCTGGACTCTTTTTGGTTGGTAAGCTATTGATTATTGCCACAATTTCAGATCCTGTTATTGGTATATTCAGAGATTCAATTTCTTCCTGGTTTAGTCTTGGGAATGTGTATGTGTCGAGGAATTTATCCATTTCTTGTAGATTTTCTAGTTTATTTGCGTAGAGGTGTTTGTAGTATTCTCTGATGATAGTTTGTATTTCTGTGGGATCGGTGGTGATATCCCCTTTATCATTTTTTATTGCATCTATTTGATTATTCTCTCTTTTTTTCTTTATTAGTCTCACTAGCAGTCTATCAATTTTGTTGATCCTTTCAAAAAACCAGCTCCTGGATTCATTAATTTTTTGAAGGGTTTTTTTGGTCTCTATTTCCTTCAGTTCTGCTCTGATTTTAGTTATTTCTTGCCTTCTGCTATCTTTTGAATGTGTTTGCTCTTGCTTTTCTAGTTCTTTTAATTGTGATGTTAGGGTGTCAATTTTGGATCTTTCCTGCTTTCTTTTGTGGTCATTTAGTGCTATAAATTTCCCTCTACACACTGCTTTGAATGTGTCCCAGAGATGCTGGTATGTTGTGTCTTGTTCGCATTGATTTCAAAGAACATCTTTATTTCTGCCTTCATTTCGTTATGTACCCAGTAGTCATTCAGGAGCAGGTTGTTCAGTTTCCATGTAGTTGAGCAGTTTTTAGTGAGTTTCTTAATCCTGAGTTCTAGTTTCATTGCACTGTGGTGTGAGAGACAGTTTGTTATAATTTCTGTTCTTTTACATTTGCTGAGGAGAGCTTTACTTCTAACTATGTGGTCAATTTTGGAATAGGTGTGGTGTGGTGCTGAAAAAAATGTATATTCTGTTGATTTGGGGTGGAGAGTTCTGTAGATGTCTATCAGGTCTGCTTGGTGCAGAGCTGAGTTCAATTCCTGGGTATCCTTGTTAACTTTCTGTCTCATTGATCTGTCTAATGTTGACAGTGGGGTGTTAAACTCTCCCATTATTATTGTGTGGGAGTCTAAGTCTCTTTGTAGGTCACTCAGGACTTGCTTTATGAATCTGGGTGCTCCTGTATTGGGTACATATATATTTAGGATAATTAGCTCTTCTTGTTGAATTGATCCCTTTACCATTATGTAATGGCCTTCTTTGTCTCTTTTGATCTTTGTTGGTTTAAAGTTTATTTTCTCAGAGACTAGGATTACAACCCCTGCCTTTTTTTGTTTTCCATTTGCTTGGTAGATCTTCCTCCATCCTTTTATTTTGAGCCTATGTGTGTCTCTGCACGTGAGATGGGTTTCCTGAATACAGCACACTGATGGGTCTTGACTCTTTATCCAATTTGCCAGTCTGTGTCTTTTAATTGGAGCATTTAGTCCATTTACATTTAAGGTTAATATTGTTATGTGTGAATTTGATCCTGTCATTATGATGCTAGCTGGTTATTTTGCTCATTAGTTGATGCAGTTTCTTCCTAGTCTTGATGGTCTTTACATTTTGGCAGGATTTTGCAGTGGCTGGTACCGGTTGTTCCTTTCCATGTTTAGTGCTTCCTTCAGGAGCTCTTTTAGAGCAGGCCTGGTGGTGACAAAATCTCTCAGCATTTGCTTGTCTGTGAAGTATTTTATTTCTTCTTCACTTATGAAGCTTAGTTTGGCTGGATATGAAATTCTGGGTTGAAAATTCTTTTCTTTAAGAATGTTGAATATTGGCCACCACTCTCTTCTGGCTTTGCAGAGTTTCTGCCGAGAGATCCGCTGTTAGTCTGATGGGCTTCCCTTTGTGGGTGACCCGACCTTTCTCTCTGGCTGCCCTTAACATTTTTTCCTTCATTTCAACTTTGGTGAATCTGACAATTATGTGTCTTGGAGTTGCTCTTCTCGAGGAGTATCTTTGTGGCGTTCTCTTTATTTCCTGAATCTGAATGTTGGCCTGCCTTGCTAGATTGGGGAAGTTCTCCTGGATAATATCCTGCAGAGTGTTTTCCAACTTGGTTCCATTCTCCCTGTCACTTTCAGGTACACCAATCAGATGTAGATTTGGTCTTTTCACATAGCCCCATATTTCTTGGAGGCTTTGTTCATTTCTTTTTATTCTTTTTTCTCTAAACTTCCCTTCTCACTTCATTTCATTCATTTCATTTTCCATCATTGATACCCTTTCTTCCAGTTGATCACATCGGCTCCTGAGGCTTCTGCATTCTTCACGTAGTTCTTGACCCTTGGCTTTCAGCTCCATCAGCTCCTTTAAGCACTTCTCTGTATTGGTTATTCTAGTTATAAATTTGTCTAAATTTTTTTCAAAATTTTCAACTTCTTTGCCTTTGGTTTGAATTTCCTCCTGTAACTCGGAGTAGTTTGATCATCTGAAGCCTTCTTCTCTCAACTCGTCAAAGTCATTCTCCGTCCAGCTTTGTTCCGTTGCTGGTGAGGAACTGCGTTCCTTTGGAGGAGGAGAGGTGCTCTGCTTTTTAGAGTTTCCAGTTTTTCTGCTCTGTTTTTTCCCCATCTTTGTGGTATTATCTACTTTTGGTCTTTGATGATGGTGATGTACAGATGGGTTTTTGGTGTGGATGTCCTTTCTGTTTGTTAGTTTTCCTTTTAACAGACAGGACCCTCAGCTGCAGGTCTGTTGGAGTTTGCTAGAGGTCCACTCCAGACCCTCTTTGCCTGGGTACCAGCAGCAGTGGCTGCAGAACCGTGGATTTTTGTGAACCGCGAATGCTGCTGTCTGATCGTTCCTCTGGAAGTTTTGTCTCAGAAGAGTACCCAGCCGTGTGAGGTGTCAGTCTGCCCCTACTTGGGGGTGCCTCCCAGTTAGGCTGCTCGGGGGTCAGGGGTCAGGGACCCACTTGAGGAGGCAGTCTGCCTGTTCTCAGATCTCCAGCTGCGTGCTGGGAGAACCACTGCTCTCTTCAAAACTGTCAGACAGGGACTTTTAAGTCTGCAGAGGTTACTGCTGTCTTTTTGTTCGTTTGTGCCCTGGGGTGGAGCCTACAGAGGCAGGCAGACCTCCTTGAGCTGTGGTGGTCTCCACCCAGTTCGAGCTTCCCAGCTGCTTTGTTTACCTAAGCGAGCCTGGGCAATGGTGGGCGCCCCTCCCCCAGCCTCGCTGCCGCCTTGCAGTTTGATCTCAGACTGCTGTGCTTGCCATCAGGGAGACTCCATGGGCATAGGACCCTCCGAGCCAGGTGCGGGATATAATCTTGTGGTGCGCCGTTTCCTAAGCCCATCGGAAAAGTGCAGTATTGGGGTGGGAGTGACCCGATTTTCCAGGTTCTGTCTGTCACCCCTTTCCTTGACCAGGAAAAGGAACTCCCTGACCCCTTGCACTTCCCGAGTGAGGCAATGCCTAGCCCTGCTTGGGCTTGCGCACGGCGCCCTGCACCCACTGTCCTGCGTCCACTGTCTGGCACTCCCTAGTGAGATGAACCCAGTACCTCAGATGGAAATGCAGAAATCACCCATCTTCTGCGTCGCTCACACGGGGAGCTGTAGACCAGAGCTGTTCCTATTTGGCCATCTTCTAACAAACTCCCTAATTCTTAATAAAACTTTATAGACAAATTTATTCAATCTTAATCAGTTTGACCATAAGATAAGATACCTATAAACTTTTTTTCTCACCTCCCTAGCAAAGTGGATTATAAACCTCTTATAAGCCTTTATAATTTTTGTGAAAGAGCAGATCAGTGCTCTAAGAAACACCTGATGTGCTTATATTCCATTGTTCAATTTATGGAAAAATTGAATAATACCTTTAACTTTAGGTAATATGTTCATATTCAGAATTTCTTTTACAAGATTAACTTTTTGCAAGCCTTCCACAACTTGCTTAAACTTTTAGCTTTATCTTATCCAATTTAAAACAATCCTTCAACTTTTAAATCTAGGCAAAACAAAACAAAACAAAAGAAAAAAAACTATATCCTCTTGCCTTCTTATAATCTTTTACCAGAAACACATTTTACTTTCCTTACATACCTTGCTTGTAAAACTGTTTTTATTTTCCAAAGATTACTTAAATCATGTGATCTAAGAGGCATTCCACTTTTTACTTTTCTGACAAAATATTTGATTTAAGCATTTACTATTTTTAAGCCATTAATCAAAGCTCTTTTATATCATCACACACAACACATATAAATATACAGACAGAAGAAGATCCAGTAGTCGTAAGATTTTTCATTTGCCAGTTTTCTAATTGAATTACTGGCTTCAAGGTGAAGCCCTTGGAAGAACAGGGCCAGGAAAGCATGCAGTTTGTATAGCCTAATAAGCAGGCACAGCTAGAAGGCAAAAACAGACCCCTAAAATTAAGAGTCCCATTTTTATACCACCATCCTGGATCCCAAAAAGAGAGAATCAGCCCATCTCTCATGGGAGTCTTATCTCTTGGTGGAGTCTAGGGACTTCTGCATACTTCCTAGGTGTCCAAGAGCATGCTTCTCTTATGCAAATGTGCAAATCCAAGAATCCCCCCATAACTGCTATTAGCCATCCCCAAAAGTATATTTTCAATCTAGTTGGTACACACTAAAACTCTCTTATAATATTAGCAAAGTAATTTCTGATACCCTCCAAAGTCAAAAATGTCAGATAACACAATGCAAAGCCTTAGATTTTGAGAGGGATCTATACATTTTCAATTCCTGAGGTTTCATGAGGAAAACAAAGGTTTTTCCCAAAATGGGGTCTGTGGCACCTCTTGTTATCCCCAAGGAGTCCCAGGCTGTTAGAGCTTGAATATCTACTTTTAATCAAACTGACTTTTAACTACAGCACTCTTTTTTTTTTTTAAATTAAATTTCTTATTACCCAAATTTAGCCAGGCCAAATGTCCAATATTTCTGGCTTTTCAACTTTACTAAAAGAAACATCCCCTGTGCTCAGAGAAAGGAAAATTCAAGATGGTTCATGGAGGGGAAAAGAATTTTAAAATGGCAAAGGTCACATAGATATCAAATCAGAAAAGACTCATTCCAAAATCTGGATATTGAACCCAGGCCACTATAGTAAAACGGTGAAGCCTTATCTGCTGAGCTACAGCATTGGGCAATTTCCACTGTACTTCCCAGAAGGAGTCTAGAGAAGCCAGTTTTGAACTTTCAAAGGCTTTTAACTGCTCAAGATAATTTTTAGGGCTAGCTCTTGAACCCCCAAATTCCTATTCCCTGCATGGCAGAGACCAAGAGAAAGTACCACCATGTGATTACAAGGTCAAGCTCCCAAGGACATTTTTCAACATGTGGCCTCTGGGCAAGATGGTTGCCCTGAGTGACAGAAAATATAAAAAAGGGAAAGGAGGGTGCATTATTCCATTGTTACCCTGCTATGAAGAAATACCTGAGACTGGGTAATTTGTAAAGAAAAGAGGTTTAATTGACTCACAGTTCTGCATGGCTGGGGAGGCCTCAGGAAACTTACAATCATGGCAGAAGGCACCTATTCACACCATGGCAGGAGAGAGAATGAGTGCCAAGTGAAGGTGGCAGCCCCTTATAAAACCATCAGATCTCATGAGAACTCACTTACTATCATGAGAACAGCATGGGGGAACCGCCCCCATTATTCAATTATCTCCACCTGGTCTCACCCTTGACACATGGGGATTATTACAATTCAAGGTGAGATTTAGGTGAGAACACAGAGGCAAAACATATTATTCTGTCCCTGGCCCCTCCTAAATCTCATGTCCTCATATTTCAAAATACATTTATGCCCTTCCAACAGTCCCCCAAAGTCTTAACTCATTCTGGCATTAACCTAAAAATTTAAGTCCAAAATCTCATCTGAGACAAAGCAATTCCCTTCCACCTATGAGCCTGTAAAATCAAAAGCAAGCTAGTTACTTCCTAGATACAATGTGGGTACAGGCATTTGGTAAATACACCCATTCCAAATGGGAGACATGGGCCAAAACCAAGGGGCTACAGACTCCATGCAAGTCTGAATCCAATAGGACAGTCATTAAACCTTAAAGTTCCAAAATGATCTCCTTTGACTCCATGTTTCATATTCAGGTCATACTGATGCAAGAATGGGGCTCCCACAGAACTGGGCTGCTCTATCCCTGTGGCTTTGCAGGGTACAGCCCCTCTTCTGGCTGCTTTCATGTGCTGGCAATGAGTGCCTGTAGCTTTTCCAAGCACACGGGGCAAGCTGTCAGTGGATCTACCATTCTGGGGTCTAGAGAACGGTGACCCTCTTCTCATAGCTCCACTAGGCAGTGCCCCAGTAGGGACTCTGTGGGAGGGTTCCAACCCCACATTTCTCGTCTGCACTGCCCTAGCAGAGGTTCTCCATGAGGGCTCTGCCCCTGTAGCACACTTCTGCCTGGACATCCAGGTATTTCCATACATCCTCTGAAATCTAGGCAGAGGTTCCTAAACCTCAGTTCTTGACTTCTGTGCAGCCACAGGCTCAACACTATATGGAAATCACCAAGGCTTGAAGCTTGCACACTCTGAAGCAATGACCTGAGCTTTACCTGGCCCGTTTTAGCCACAGCTGGAGCTGAAGCAGCTGGAATACAGGGCACCATGTCCCGAGGCTGCATAAAGCAGGGGGTTTTGGGGCCCAGCCCAGGAAACTATTTTTCCCTCCTAGGCCTCTGTGTCTGTGATGAGAGGTCTGCCATGAAGGTCTCTGACATGCCGTGGAGACATTTTCCCTATTGTCTTGGTTATTAACATTCATCTCCTCGTTACTTATGCAAATTTCTGTGGCCAGCTTGAATGTCTCCTCAGAAAATGGGTTTTTCTTTTCTATTACATCATCATCCTGCAAAATTTCCAAACTTTTATGCTCTGCTCTCTCTTGAATGCTTTGCTGCTTAGAAATTTCTTCTGCCAGATACCCTAAATCATCTCTCTCAAGTTCATCTCTAGGGCAGGAGCAAAATCTTACCAGTGTCTTTGCTAAAGCATAGCACGAGTGACCTTTACTCCAGTTTCCAACAAGTTCCTCACCTCCATCTGAAACCACCTCAGTCTGGACTTCATTGTCCCTATCACTATCAGCATTTTGGTCAAAGCCATTCAACAAGTTTCTAGGAAGTTTCAAACTTTCCCACATTTCCCAGTTTTATTCTGAGCCCTCCAAACTGTTCCAACCTCTGCCTGTTACCCAGTTCCAAAGTTGCTTCCACATTTTTAAGTATCATTATACTATTACCCTACTCCTGGTACCAATTTACTATATTAGTCCCTTCTTGCACTGCTATGAAGAAATATCCAAAACTGGGTAATTTATTTAAAAAAGACATTTAATTGACTCACAGTTCTGCATGGCTGGGGAGGCCTCAGGAAACTTACAATCATGGTGTTAGGCACCTCATCACAGGGCTGCAAGAGAGAAAATGAGTGCCGAGCAAAAGAGAAGCCCCTTATAAAACCATCAGCTTTCATGAGAACTCACTCACTATCATGACAACAGTATGGGGGAACCGCCCCCATGATTCAATGATCACCTGTTCCCACCCTTGACACATAGGGATTATCACAATTCAAGGTGAGATTTGGGTGGGAACACAGAGCCAAACCATATCAGAAAGAAAGAGAGAAAGAAAAGCATTGTCTGCAGCAGGGTGGGGAAGGTGAAATGTGCAGGGAGGCCAGAGGAACATCCACCCATCCCAGCAACGCTGAATCAAAAGTTCAAGTGGCCATTTGTCAATCATGAAGGGATCTTTCCCAGCAGTCCCATGAGCTCTCAAGTTTCCCCTTCTGAGGAGGAAAAAGCTCCCCATGTCCCATGATCCTATATATGCCTAATTCTGTCACTCATAGCCATAAGCAAAGAGTGCAAGACAGATTCAACCAAAGAGAATTGTGGTTAACATCCCATAGTGCCAGACTCACTTTTAGCTTACAGGGACTTTACTGAGAGGGGCCTCTAACCCCCCAAATCTTAGGAAGGGCTCTAAACTTCCTAAGTTTTGACTCTAATCCAAGTTCATTCAAGTGTTCTTGCCTTTTATAAAGAGGGACCTTTAACCCTCTCCATCTTAGGAGAGGCTCTAACTCCCCTAAGTTGGGCCCCTAACTCAATCTCATCCCTTATCTGGGTACCGGACCATTTATCCAAAGTCAGCCAATCAGTACTGCAGTCTATTTCCTTTGGGTTAGGGGTCTCCTCAGTATAGTCCCTTCATGGTCACCAGAAAGATGTTACCGGAACAGGGTCCAAATCCAGATCCCAAGAGAGGGTTCTTGGATCTCGCCCAAGAAAGAATTTGAGGCGAGTCCATAGAGTAAAGTGAAGGCAAGTTTATTAGGAAAGTAAAGGAATAAAAGAATGCCTACTCTATAGGCAGAACAGCCTCTGGAGTTATCCATTTTTGTGGTTATTTCTTGGTTATATGCTAAACAAGGAGTGAATTGTTCATGTCTCCCCTTTTTAAACCGTATAGGGTAACTTCCTGATGTTGCCATGGTATTTGTAAGCTGTCATGGTGCTGGTGGGAGTGTAGCAGTGAGGACGAACAGAAGTCACTCTCATTGCCGTCTTGGTTTGGCAGAGTTTTATCTAGCTTCTTTACTGCAACCTGTTTTATCAGCAAGGTCTTTATTACCTGTATCTCATGCTGACCTCCTATCTCATCCTATGACTAAGAATGCCTTAGCCTTCTGGGAATTCAGCCCAGTAGGTCTCAGCCTTATTTTATCTAGCCCCTATTCAAGATGGAGTTGCTCTGGTTCAAATGTCTCTGATAATCATAATTTTCATCAATTTATGAAAATATTCTGTTTCTCATTGTAATTATAACTTTACTTTCTCTGGCTAGAAATGCCATAAGCATAGTTTCTTTTATCTTTACCATTTGTCTAATACTCTTTATTCTTTTAGATTTGATGTTTCTTTGTCCTTTTGATTTATATATTAGGAGTCTGATAGCCCAGGTAGTTTTATGTTTACTCTGGGTATTTGCCCTTTGGAAACAAATTTTTTCCTGTTTACTTTCATTATTGTCTTAACTAATTTACCTGCTTTTTCTTCTGCTATTTTGTTTTATGCTACTCCTTTTTGATCTTTCTTAATATTTATCTCGTTTTATTGAATCTTTAGTTTCTGTTTTATTCTCATCAGTCACATATCTTTTTTCTGGAACATCTATTATTTTATGATTTTCTTTCCTTGGCTACCCATGTTGATCATCAATCATCTTCACTCTTGGCAATTTGAACTCTTTTATGTTTTACTTGACGCTCTGGGAGATATTTAAGTTACTATTCCACAGGACCAATTCATTTTATGCATTGTCAATTCTATTCATTAATGCCTCCAATTCACATATTCATTTCAATTCTGTATGATTACAGAACTTTTTACATTTTAAATTTAAGAATGCTTCTTTCTTTATCTCTGTCTTCATCTTAATGAATTTTCTCCCTGTAATTTTATGCTCTTTTTTCATAGTTGCCATGTAGTCCTGCTTCCTTTAATGACATTAAGAAAATGTCATCATAAATTTTTTCTTTCTGATTTAAAGTTATTTTTCAAATACAAGATTTTTCTCAGAATCTTTGGAAATAGGTTTACATTCCCTTCTAGTTCAGTGTTGTTTCTCTAAAGGTTTGTTTGTTTATATATTCTTGCATGTGATCTATCCAAATTTGATCTATCCAAATCTAGGATTTTGCCACAGACAAGAAGCAGATGTCTTTAGTCCTACTTACAGCCCACCTTAGAGTTGACAGTTTACCCATTTTATCTAACCTGCAGAGCAGAGCTTCCCCTCTAAAAAT